>NC_000010.11:112870368-114120368 GCF_000001405.40 Homo sapiens
TAAGCAATTCTCCTGCCTCAGCCTCCTGAGTAGCTGGGACTACAGGCACCCGCCACCATGACCAACTAATTTTTGTATTTTTGGTAGAGATGGGTTTCACCATGTTGGCCAAGCTGGTCTCTCACTCCTGACCTCAGGTGATCCACCCACCTCGGCCTCCCAAAGTGGTGGGCTTATAGGTGTGAGCCACCATTCCCGGCCTTGTTTGGAATTTTTCATACTAAAGGTTCTTAAAAAAACAAATAAATAGGCCAAGCATGGTGGCTCATGCCTGTAATCCCAGCACTTTGGGAGGCCGAGGCAGGTGGATTACCTGAGGTCAGAAAGTCAAGACCAACCTGGACAACGTGGCAAAACCCCGTCTCTACTAAAAATACAAAAATTAGCCAGGTATGGTAGTGGGTGCCTGTAATCCCAGCTACTTGGGAGGCTGAAGCAAGATAATCACTTGAACTTGGGAGGTGGAGGTTGCAGTGAGCTGAGATTGTGCCACTGCACTCCAGCCTGGGCAACAGAGCCAGACTCCATCTCAAAAACAATGAATAAATAAATAATAATAATAATAATAATAGTAATCTTTGTCAGTACAAAATGACACTTTGTGATCTTTGGTGTCTACTCCTTCCACAACACACCCCCAGAGATCACAAAGGGCCAGCATCATGCTTCATTCTTCATGGCTTACCTCTCCTGTGGTCAGAAAGGGGTTGGGTTTGAACTGGCCCTCTTCTAAAAGTCCCTCCCTTTCTTACCTTTCCTACCTACACAAGACAGCTCTGATGGCTATTCTATGTGTCAACTTGACTGGGCTCAGGATGCCCAGATATCTGGTTAAACATTACCTCTGGATGTGCCTGCAAGGGTGTTTGCAGAAGAGATGAGCATTTGAACTGGTGGACCCAGGAAAGCAGATTCCACTCCCCAAAGTGGGTGGACCTCATCCAATCCATTGAGGACGTGACCAGAACAAAAATGAGCAAGAAGGTTGAATTCAGTCTCTGCCTGACTCTTTTTGTTGAGACATCAGTCTTCCTGGTCTGGGACTTAAACCATTGGCTCTCCTAATTCTCAGACCTTCAGACTTGGACTGAAACTGTAGCACTGGCTTTTCTGGGTCTTCAGCCTGCCAGCACAAATAGCAGGACTTCCTTTTTTTTTTTTTTTTTTTTTGAGATGGAGTCTTGCTCTGTGGCCCAGGCTGGAGTACAGTGGCATGATCTCGGCTCACTGCAACCGCTGCCTCCCAAGTTCAAGTGATTCTACTGCCTTAGCCTCCTGTGTAGCTGGGATTGTAGGCAGGTGCCACCATGTCTAGCTAATTTTAGTATTTTTAGAGGAGATAAGGTTTCACCATGTTGGCCAGGCTGGTCTCGAACTCCTGACCTCAAATGATCAGGATTACAGGTGTGAGCCATGGGATTACAGGTGTAAGCCATGGAGCCCGACCAAATTGCAGGACTTTTAGCCTCCATAACCACATGAGCCAGTTCCATATATATATTTATACTTACATAAATATATATACACACATATATACACACAATATGAATACTGTGTACACACAGTACATATATACACACAATATGGAACTGGCTCATTGCTTATATACATATAAATACACGTATATTATGGTGTGTGTGTGTGTGTGTGTGTGTGTGTGTTCTGTTTGCTCTGTTTCTCTGGAGAATCCTGACTAATATAATACCTGTCTGGGGCCAGGGGCACAGACTTCAGCCAAGAGCTTCAGAAGAGTCAACTGGTTCATTTAAGAAACAAACTCACAGCCTTTCCCTCTTTAGCACCTTCATCAACCTGATTCCTGTGTCACCCTACCTTTGATAGCCTGCCATGCTCCCTCCTACATGGGCCATCTCCTTCTCAGAGGAAGGAAGCATGAAGAGGCTAGTGGATTTGGCATTCCCAGCCTGAAGATTGGTTCTTCTCATTTGGCCACGCTTGACACTTTCTCTTCCATGCATGTTGGCTATAAAAGTGCCTGGAATGCAGAAATTACTATGAATATTCATGAAGTTACATTATGAATAATACTTCTGTAAAAATGAATAGTCTTCACCCTGGGAAATGGAATTCTTTGTCCACACTTTGAGTCACTTGGAGATTGTCAATAGCAGTGTTCAGCAAACTATATAGCCCATAGGCCAAAGGTGCTCCACCATCTATTCTCATATGGCCTGCAAGCCAAGACTGGATTTCACATCTGTAAATGTTTGAAAAAAAATCAAAAGAAGAAAACTATTTTGTGATATATAAAATTATATTAAATTCATATTTCAGTGTCTATACAGTTTTATTGAAACACAGCCACACTCATTTGCTTATATTTTGCCAAAGTCTGCTTTCATGCTACAAGGACAGTGTCAAGTAATTGTGATGGACACATGACCCACACAGCCTAAAACATTTAGTATCTAGCCCTTTACAGAAAAAGTTTGTTGACCACTGGTCTGTAGGCTTGAGGTTCTCCTAAATGCATTCTTGGTGATTCCAAACTCTTGTCTCATAGAGCTGAACTGCAGTGCCATACATTGCCAGTAGGTGAGGCTATGCACTACACACCAGCTGGAAACCACCCGGAGTTGAAGCTTGGGATTTAGAACATTCATTCATTCATTCAACAAAGATTTAATGAAGGCCAACTTTGTGCCACACACAGTTTTAAGTTCTAGATTTATAGAAGTCTACAAAACAAGCAGAAATGTCTGCTTTCCTGGAACTGAGGTTTTACTGAGAGGAAATGACCACAAACAAGATGGATAATACTACACAGTATGCTAAATGGAAATGAGTGTGATGAAGAAAAATAAAGCAAGGCAGCAGGTAGAAAGGGTCAGAGACGAGGAGAGTAGCAACTTTAAACCAGGTTAGGTGGCCGGGCACAATGGCTCATGTCTGTAATCCCAGCACTTTGGGAGGCTGAGGCAGACAGATCGCTTGAGGCCAGGAGTTTGAGACCAGCCTGGCTAACATGGTGAAACCCCGTCTCTACTAAAAATAAAAATAAAAATAAAAATAAAAATTAGCCCAGGGTGGTGGCACACACCTGTAGTTCCAGCTACCTGGGAGGCTGAGATATGAGAAACACTTGAACCCGGGAGGTGGAGGTTGCAGTAAGCCAAGATTGTACCACTGCACTCCAGCCTGCGTAACACAGCAAGACTCTTGTCTCAAAAATAAAATAAAATAAATAAATCAATCAGGTTAGGTAACAATTTTTACCTTGTCAGTGAAGTCCTGAAGGAGATGAGAGGGCAGGCAGTCCATGAATATGTCTGTGATAAGAATATTCCAGGCATGAGGAACAGCAAATGCAAAGGTCCTGGGGTGGACTGCACCCATCACATTCAAGGAAGATCAAAGGAAATGAGTAGTAGAAATTGAGGTCAGGAAGGCAAGGAGTAGAGGACAGCTCATATGGGGCCTTGTAGGTCACATTGATGACGTGGCTTTTATTCTGAGTGATGTATGAAGCCAGCAAAGCAATAGGAGCAGATAAGTAATATAATTTGATTTCCAATTCCTGAATTAATACCTGTCTGAAATATTCTACCACTACTTTACATAAATGAGGCATACTTTGCCTTTTATTTTGATATATTACATTTAAAGAAAGTTGAAATGTGTGAGGGTAAGTATAAAAAGTTGAGTAACAGGAAGAAAGTATGTCTGTGAGCACTTCAGTTATCCATTGCTGCATAACAAATCAACCCAAAGCTTAGTAGTTTAAATGAACAGTGATTTCTCATTTGTCATAATACTGTGGCTTTAGTAGGATCAGCCAGGCCATTCTACTCTCTTGGCATCAGCTGAGGTCACTCATGTGGCTGAATTCTACTGGCAAGTGAGCTGGACTGGCAGGTCTAACGTTTCACCCCACACATCTGGAACTTTGTTGTCCTCCATGGACTTCTCCCGCCAGTTATCTTAGGCTTTTTCACAATATGGCAGCCTCAGAGTCTCAGGGTTTCCAGGATTTCTGCAAAAGCTGGCTTCAAGAGGGAAACAAGAAGCTGCCAGAACTCTCAGAGGCTAGACCTATAACTGGCACAGCATCACTTCTGCCACATTGTACCGGTCAAAATAAGTCAAAAGTCCAGCCCAAATTCAAGGCTAGGAGAGATTCCATCTAGTGATAGTTGTTTGATGGGTTGAGCAGCATTCATGTACTTGGAGAGAAGAAATTGATGGTGGCCATCTTTGGAGACTGTCAGAATGGGCAAGAAACACTGATTCCTCCCACCACCACCATGGCATCTTGGGGTGCCCTTCTCTCCTTTTGGCCATTGTGTGTGCATAATATTGATCAGTTTGATTGGTGGATGGAAACTGATTAACTTTATGTTCTTGAATCATGTGTTTCCCTGAGGCCTGGAAATTATTCTGAGAAGCTCCCTGACCCCTATACACGAGCCCCCTTATAGCCTGTGTTCATTTTCCTCCCTGGCTCTGCAGGCCCACCATCCCCATTCCTGGGCATTGTCACACTCTGACAGGCAGCTGGGCTAATGTCAGAAAATGGGACAGGTGGTATGGCATTCTGCAGAATTTGGGGGATGTGGTGTAGCTTTTTCCCTGGAAGAAGCCAGAGCTGGCCAGACTGACCAAATGTGTACCGCACCCCTAATGATGGTCCACCTTCCCAAAAGGAAAGCAAGTGAAGGATCATGCATTTAAATTACCTCTAGGCTTCATAAACAAAACCAAAATCTTTTTTCTGGAAATAATTTTAGATTTACAAAAGAGTTATAAAGGTAGTACAGAAAGGTTCTCATACCCTTCACCCAGCTTCCCCTAACGTTAACTACTTACATAACCATGATCCATTTGTCAAAATGAAGACATTATCATTGACACCCTGGTGTGGTGGTGCACGCATGCAGTCCCAGCTACTCGGGAGTCTGAGGTGGGAGGATCCTCTGAGCCTGGGAGGTGGAGATTGCAGTGAGCCACTGCACTCCAGCCTGGATGATAGAGTGAGACCCTGTCTCAAAAAAGCAAAACAACAACAACAAAAACATTCCCACAATACTATTAGCCAAACTACAGACTTATTTAGATTTCCCCAGTTTTCCCACTACTGTCCTTCTTCCATTCCAAGAGCCCATCCCGAATTCCACATAGCATTTAGCCTTAGCCATCATGTCTCATTAGTCTCCTTCAGTCTATGACAGTTTCACAGTCGTTCCTTGTCTTTCATGACCTGGAGAGCTTTTGAAGAGTAGCACTCAGGTGTTTTGTAGAATGTTCCTCAATTTGGGGTTGACTCATGTTTTCTCATAACTCAACTGAGGTCATGAGGTTTGGGAAGAGGTGTCATGCCATTCACATTGTATCATGTCAGGGGCACATGCCACCAACCTGCAATATTACTGGTGATGTTAACTTTTGACATTAAGCTTACCAAAGGTGGTATTTGTGAGATTTCTCCACTGAGAATTCACTGTATTTTCCTTTCCATTCTCTATTCGTTAGAAGCAAGTCACAAAGTCCAACTCACACTCAAGGGGATGGGAATTGAACTTCTGGAGGGAGGAACCTCTGGGCTTTTAAAAATACACAGCACACTAGGCAGGGCTGCCAGGAGCAGGGAGGGTCCCAGGCCTGCCCACTGACTTGCTGTTGACCTTGGGTGAGTCACTGTGTTTCTCAGAGCCGGGATTTCCCTCCCTCTTATGAAATCCATCATGGTTTCACGGCCCCACAGCTGTCTCTAGGAGCCTCAGAAGGATTTAGCCAGTAACACTTTGAGCTGCTGGAATATGGATCTGATAGGGGACACAGGGTCCTTGTTAATGACACTGGGGTCCTGTTCCTGGTCTGTAAGCAGTTTCCAATCCTGATGCTCATCATCCCCATAACAGGAGTGCCCCCTCAAAGTGGTGGGGCCGTCACTATTTTTACAAAATGGTCTCATGTTATAAACATGCTAACGAGGATTTTGTGTAGCAGGAAATACCACAGGGAAATATTTTTGTAAAGTGAAGCATTATTTTGCAAAGTGAATAATTCCCCTGAATTAGCCTTTTTGTCTAAAGTCAACTTTTCACTTATTGGATTTGCTTAAACTAAGGGGCTCTAGGAATTCCTTCCAAAGTACACACTGTCTTTGTGCAAATGCTTCTGAATGGACAGAATGTTTTCTATGTTGATGGTGATGAATTACCTGAGAATCATAACTTATAGTAATTGTTTTACGGCCTTGTTGGTTGACTCTTTACTAGTGGAGAATCCTGGCCAGCCTGTATTCTGTCAATTGACACTAACAAGAACTAAACCCCAAAAAGATTGCCGTTTGGTGACTTTAGCAAAGACAATGAATGGTGAGCTATGTTTTTCTGGGAGTAGGTATATCTGCTGGGATTAGATGTTTTCTCTGTTTCTTCTGACATCACACCACTCTCCGTGGACCACCATGTCTGGGCACACAGGCTTTGCGTCCTACAAAACTCCAGGGTATCACTCCCAGGGATTCTGATGTGGATGGTGCTCCCTGGAGTTCAGCAACATGGCAGCCCTGTCTCCCACCCTGTGGAGCCACTGCTGAACTCGTCCAGTTTCTCACCCCGCGTCAGGTCTCTGATAAACCTGGAGGAGGGCTGACATAGAGCAGAATGCCACTGTCCAAGACTTTGGTGTTCTCTCCAAATTCCTCTCCACAGACAGTCAACAAAGGCTTCTGACAAGGTGGAAGAAAATGTTCATTCTACCCTTTTCATTTGTGGCCATGACTGGACCACCCCACCTGGACAATATGTAATAACGTCCTTCAGAGATCCTCTAATTGTCTGAGAATAGCACAATTACCTGGGTTGTGCTGGGGGAAGGGTGTTCGAGTGTTTCTTTGTTGAAGATAAAGAGTTAAAATAGACAAGAATTTTTAGTACTCTCTTGACATGTCTTCATTTTTCAACATAGAAAGAATCTCAAAAATGGAAGTGACCCATAGCATCCCTCATCCTGAGAAAGACTCAGGCCAAGAAACACCCCCCTCAGTGTTTCAGTCTTCTACTCCTTTTTTTTTTGAGACAGAGTCTTGCTCTGTCACCCAGGCTGGAGTACAGTGGCATGATCTCAGCTCACTGCAACCTCTGTCTCTTGGGTTCAAGTGATTCTCCCACCTCAGCCTTCCAAGTAGCTGGGACAACAGGTGTGCACCACCACACCCGGCTAATTTTTTTGTAATTTTAGTAGAGACGGGGTTTCACCATGTTGGCCAGGCTGATCTCAAACTCCTGACCTCAAGTGATCCACCCACCTTGGCCTCCCAAAGTGCTGAGATTACATAGCTAACTCTGCTTTACTCTCTCCATTCCTAAGCACCTCCGATCCTTTGCCTGTATTGTGCCTCCTACCTAGAAGGTTCTCCCTCTTTCTTCCCTGATTATCCAAGTCTTCTATTGTTCAAGACTCAGTTCAGCCATGCAGTCTTTTAGAGGTCCTTTCTATAACTGCCTTAGCCCCCAAATGCCATCCTCATCTACTACTCCAGAACTGCCTCTTTGAAGAGGAGGACATACTCATCATCCCCATAACAGGAGTGCCACCTCTTTATCATGATGCATTCCCTTACCATGCCCTTTCTTGTTAAATGAAGTGTAATGATAGGCACACATTATTTTTGCCAGACTAATATTCACTCCTCCTTCTGATAAAGGATCTGATTTTCCTTTAGGGCTCCACTGCTCCCTCATCCTCTCTCTCCTGCCTCCCAGCACCCTAGCTGGCTCAGAAGAGCATGTGTGCCTAATCAATGTGTGCATTCAATCCCCTTGGTCTGATGTTTGGTACTGGATCTATCAGGGCCACTGTATGGAAATGACCCACCCAGAAGTGGAGCCACATCAGAGGAAAGAACAGAAATGGATGATGATGATGATGATGATGATTTTTTTGTTGTTGTTGTTTGTTTTTTGTTTTTTGAGATGGAGTTTCACTCTTATTGTCCAGGCTGGAGTGCAATGGCATGATCTCAGTTCACTATAACCTCTGCCTCCTGGGTTCAAGCGATTCATTCTCCTGCCTCAGCCTCCCGAGTAGCTGGGATTACAGGCGCCTGCCACCACACCTGGCTAGTTTTTATATTTTTAGTAGAGACGGGGTTTCACCATGTTGATCAGGCTGGTCTTGAACTCCTGACCTTAGGTGATCCACCTGCCTCGGCCTCCCAAAGTGCTGGGATTACAAGCGTGAGCCACCACACCAGGCGATGATGATGTTTAAGCCCCTGGATTCAGCTGTACCTGAAGTTAGAATTCTGCCTTAGACTTTTCTGGTACCTAAGCCTATAAATTCCTCTTTTGCTCTAGCTAGTTTGGTTTCTGCCACTTGCAATACAAAGTTCTTTGTGGATAGGGATCACGCCTGATTTACCTTGACATTCCCCTGTGGCAAGCACAGTGCTTGGCATATATATAGTAAGTGTTTCATAAATAGTTATTGCTGATATAGGGGGAAAATATGCTAAACCAGCCAGTTCAAAGGGGGAAAATTCTTTTTTTTTTTTGAGATGGAGTCTTACTCTGTCACCCAGGCTGGAGTGCAGTGGCAGAATCTCAGCTCACTGCAACCTCCATCTCCTGAGTTCAAGCAATTCTCCTGCCTCAGCCTCCCTAGTAGCTGGGATTACAGGTACATGCCACCACGCCCAGCTAATTTTTTTTCTATTTTTAGTAGAGATAAAGTTTCACCATGTTGGCCAGGCTGATGTCGAATTCCTGACCTCAAATGATCTGCCCCCCTCAGCCTCCCAAAGTGTTGGGATTACAGGCGGGAGCCACTGCACCCAGCCTAAAGGAGAAAAATTCTCATTTTATGAAAACCAAATAAACCACAGTGGTTTTTCACCTCTCACCTAGTGAGACAAAGTCCAGGTGGTAGCCTATGCTTGTCTTTATTCTCTACCCTCTCTCCTTCAATCTCTGAACTATGGCTTCTTCTGGGTTTTTTTTTTTTTTTTTTTTTTTTTTGAGATGGAGTCTTGCTCTGTCACCCAGGCTGGAGTGCAGTGGCGCAATCTCGGCTCACTGCAAGCTCCACCTCCCAGGTTCACGCCATTCTCCTGCCTCAGCCTCCCAAGTAGCTGGGGACTACAGGCGCCCACCACCATGCCTGGCTAATTTTTTGTATTTTTAGTAGAGATGGGGTTTCATCGTGTTAGCCAGGATGGTCTTGATCTCCTGACCTCGTGATCCGCCTGCCTCGGCCTCCCAAAGTGCTGGGATTACAGGCGTGAGCCACCGTGCCTGGCCTGAGCTATGGCTTCTTAAGACCATGAGCTTTAAGGTCAGGCTGCCTGGCTTCAAATCAATATTTTGCTGCTTATAAGCTCTGTGTCCTTAGACAAAGTATTTAGTCTTTCTAATCCTCAGTTTCTTCAAATGCAAAATGGGGAAAATAGTAATATCTATGGCTTGGGTTGCTATGAAGATTAAATGAGCTGTTATTATAATTTTTTTCTTTTTCACTCTGTCACCGAGGCTGGAGTGCAGTGGTACAATTAGCTTCTACCTCCTGAGCTCAAGTGATCCTTCTATCTCAGCCTCCTGAGTAGCTGAGACCACAAGTGTGTGCCACCATGGCCAGCTAATTTTTAGAAATTTTTTTGTAGAGATGAAGTCTCCATATGTTGCCCAGACTGGTCTCAAACTCCTGGACTCAAGTGATACTCCTGCCTCAGCCTCCCAAAGTGCTGAGATTACAGGTGTGAGCCACCACACCACCACACCCAGCTTATGATAGCCTGTTATAATTCTTTTTTTTCTTTTTTCTTTTTCTTTTTTTTTTTTTTTTGAGACAGGGTCTCACTCCATTGCGCAGGCTGGAGTGCAGTACACAGCTCACTGCAGTCTTGACGTCATGGACTCAGGTGATCCTCCTATCCCAGCCTTCTGGGTAGCTGGGACTACAGGTGTGCACCATCATGCCCAGCTAATTTTTCATATTTTTTGTAGAGACAAGGTTTCACCATGTTGTTCAGGCTCATCTCAAACTCCGGGGCTCAAGTGATCCCCCTCCCTCTGCCTCCCAAAGTGCTGGGATTACAGTTATGCGGTTATGAGCCACCATACCCAGCCCGCAATTCTTAAAATACCAACATTATCCTCCCTGAAGTCTGTACCATTTAGCTGTTTCCTATTGGATCCTAGGCAGGACTTTGGGACCAGGTCGTGCTGTGAGAAAAGGTGCAGGAACAGTGTCAGAGTTGGGATAGTGTCAGCCAGAGGAAAAGCAGGTGATCTCTCAAGTAATAGTTAAAGAAGACCTCAGATTCCTGTTAACTGCAGCCAACCTCTACCAAGAATAAGGGCATCACATCCTCAGACTTTACAGATCTAATTTTTCTCCTTCATGGATGGAGGAATAGCAGAAAGAACATGGGTTCTGGTATGAGACTGATGGTTCAAAGTCCAATTCTGATCCTTCATAACACTTTGACCTCTCAGAACCTTAGTTTCCTCATGTGTAAAATGGGGATGACATTACCAACTTCAGTAAGAAAAATCACTTAGAATAGTAACTACTCAGGTCATCATTCAACACAGATATTTTGAGCCTAGTCTGTTACAAGCCTTCTGACACGTGGCAGGGTGAACAGTATACTCATGCACTCTACCATCATGGACCTTAGACTAATGAGGAAGGGAGCTATCGCTCAACAGATTCTAGCAAAACATGGTGAGTAATTTGATAGGGGAAGTAAAAGGAACTCAGGATCTTATAAAGGGAGGTTTAAAACGTAAGTTAGGCATTTAGAAGATGAGTAAACAAAGAGGAGAAGTTGAAGGACTGATAAGGAGCCCAGAGTGAAATTGAGGAAAGCAAGACTTCTGTCTCAGCCTTGTGATTTGCATGGGATCCCTCTCATCTCTAGCTCCAGGAGTAATTTCAACCTCTTATCATAACAACTGATTGAGGTGGCTCAGTCTTAAGCCAAACAGCACATGGCATTTCCACAGCAATTGTTTTGGGATGATCCAATTAGAGCAAAGATAAAAACTCTTTGTTCCTATGGATGTGACCTAAAAAGCTGTGTCGGCAGCCATCTTACAACTATGTGGGAAATTTGACTGAGGACAAAGCCGATACCTCAGAAGGGGACAAAGATTGAAGAATTGCAGAGCCTGAGCCCTGATCAAACTATACCTGAAGCTTACTAACCATTGATCTTTTGACGATGCATGAGCTGATAAATCTTTGTTTAAGCCAGCTTGTGCTGAACTTTTTGTTATTTTTATATTTATTTATTTATTTATTTATTTTTGAAATGGAGCCTTGCTCTGTCGCCCAGGCTGGAGTGCAGTGGCACGATCTTGGCTCACTGCAAACTCCACCTCCCGTGTTCAAGCAATTCTCCTGCCTCAGCCTCCCGAGTAGCTGAGATTACAGGCACCCACCACCATGCCTGGCTAATTTTTGTATTTTTAGTAGGGACGGGGTTTCACATATTGGCCAGGCTGGTCCCAAACTCTTGA
Organism: Homo sapiens; assembly: GCF_000001405.40. Classification (NCBI taxonomy): domain Eukaryota; kingdom Metazoa; phylum Chordata; class Mammalia; order Primates; family Hominidae; genus Homo; species Homo sapiens. The sequence goes on from NC_000010.11 coordinate 112,881,858, forward strand.
CCTTGTGATCTGCCTGCCTTGGCCTCCCAAAGTGCTGGGATTACAGGAGTGAGCCACTGTGCCCAGCCCTTTTTGTTATTTTTAAATGGAATTATTCTAACCAATAGACAAGAGAAGAATAGTTTGAGAAATAGGAAGCAAGTACAATAGTATCTGATGATATCAACATGTCAAGCAAAACAAGGACAAGAAGTTTCCTTTGGATTTGGCAATATGAAGATAATTTGTGACCCGGGCAAGATAAGTTTCAGTAGTAGGGAGTGGGGTGACAAGGAGAACTCTATGCAAGCTTGTACGGCACAAGTAAGTGAGCAGAGGACCCGCTTGATTGTGTTTGAGGGACGCAAGCAATACATAGTCTCTGTCATCAGAGTGGGATTGTATTTTGTAAGATCTTAAGCATTCTGTGTTATTGTCCCACTATCCATCAAAACATTTCCCCCAAATCCTTTAACTGTTTGGGTTCTGGGCTGTCCTGTAGGTTTAACTATAAAAAGTACAGTGTTTCAAGTAAACTGTGTAAGAAGCTTCCGTCACAGTTGACCAGTTGGATTAAGTTTTGGCCTTTTTCCCACTAATATAGTTACTGCTTCCTAACATTCTGGGGACAGGGAGTCTCATAGCCCTTAGAGAATTAGCTTAAAACCATGAACCCTTTCCCTTGGAGAGAAAATGCCCCCAAATTCTGTACACATTTCTGAGGCTTCATGATCACTATGCAGCTGGCCTCACAGATTACCTGGGACACTGCCCAAGCTTGCCATCATTTATAAGCTCTAGTGAATCAAAATTTCCTTAACTGGGGTCTTGTTCCAATGAATGAAGGATTCCAACTCATCAAACTAGCTCTCTCTTCCCGCCAGTAGCTCCTAGAATTCCAGCTTTCTCCTTCAGCCTTCAGGGGTTGATCAAGGTGGAGTTTGTTGCCTTCTCACCCTGTCAAAACACCCACACCAGCCTCACCTCTCTCTGCTTCTCTTCCCAGTTCCTCCTCCACCAAGCACAAATCTCCAGCCCTGGCCCTAGTAAAGGCCATGAATGTAAAAGGTGTTTATGGTCATACTCTCACTCACTCATCTCTTCATTCTTGGGATTCTACCTGCAGAGTGAGGCACAGTTCTCAGACACCTGTCCCATACAACCCTGGAAACCACACTCAGGAATTGGGAGGTGAAGACATGCAAGTCCAGGATGTGACCTGCCACTAACACATTCCCTACCTGTGGCCTGAATTTTTCCCATCATGCTCCTCCTTCAGTATAAAATAATTCACTTGTCCCGAAGTGCTGGTTTCAGCCCAGCTGAGAGATTTGCTGGTGAGGAATGGAGTGATGTAAAATCTGAGTGCAGCTCTGGCCCTCTGATCTGGAGTAAAACAACTTTGCCCTAATGGTATGCCTCCCACCTGAGCTCAAGTAAAGGGTCTAAAGTATTTTGTTTTGACCTCTGTTAACACTTATAATTATGTCCTGTTTGTTTGCATGCCCACCAGTCATCCTCACTAGCTCCTTTGGGGTGTAACCATGGATAATTCACCCTCGTGTATTACAGATAATAACATTAACAAGAGTGAGTGTGGACTGAGATCTCTGCTCTCTCCCAACCCTATGCAACACTATCTATTACTAACCTCTCTTAAGTTTTTTTTAACTTTTTTTTTTTTAATCAAAGTCTCGCTCTGTTGCCCAGGCTAGAGTGCAGTGATGCAATCTCGGCTCACTGAAACCTCTGCCTTCCAGGTTCAAGTGATTCTCCTCCCTCAGGCTCCCAAGTAGCTGGGGTTACAGGTGCACACAACCATGCCTGGGTAATTTCTGTATTTTTAGTAGAGATGGGGTTTCATTATGTTGGCCAAGCTGGTCTCGACCTCCTGACCTCAAGTGATCTGCCCGCCTCTGCCTCCCAAAGTGCTAGTGTGAGCCACCACACCCAGCCTTAAACTTTTCATTCTGTACTAATTTTGCAATTCTTCTGCAATACTAATATTGCAAAATTAGTGCAAAAATTCCCATATATCCTTTACCCAGCCCCTGCCCAAATGTTAACATCTTGCACAACCACAATAAAATAGTCAAAATCAGAAAATTAACACCAAGGCAATACTTAACTCTATGGAACTAATAACTAACTATATCTAATAATAGCTAATCTCATTCAAATTTCACCAATTATACCACTGCTGGACTTTTTCTGGTCCAGAATCCAGGGTTTCATGTTGCATTCAGCTGACATGTCTCCAGTTTGCTTTCATCTGAGGTAGTTTGTCTTTAACACTTTTGAAGAGTATTGGCCAGTTAGTGATTTATAGAATGTCCCTTCCTTGGATTTGTCTGATGTTTCTTCAGGATTAGAATCAGGTTATGCATTTTTGGCAAGAATACCACAAAAGAAATGCTGTGCCTTTTTCAGTGCATCATATCAGGAGGTACATGATGTCAATATACAATGATGTCATTACTGGGAATGTCAACTTTGATCACTTGATGAAGGTGGTATACACCACCTTTCTTCACTATAAAGTTACTCTTTTCCCCTTTGTAACTGATAAGTATCTTGTGGGGAAATTCTTTGAGACTATGTAAATATCCTCTTTGTCATCATACTTTTCCCACTAATTTTAACATCTATCAGTGATCCTTTCTTGAAAACAATCATGACTGGGGTGTTTGCCAAATGCTGATTCTCTATTTCCATATTTCTTTCTCCATTGAAAACTGGAATTCTGTAAGGAAGAGGTTTTCTCCTCTCCTTTTTGCTTACTTATTTATTGACATCAGTATACATTCATAGAATATTAACCCCATTTTTTCATTGAGAAAACTGAGGCTGAAAGATGGATAATATGGTACCCACAGCCACAAAGCTAGGATGAAGGAGAGCCAGGATTTAGTCTTGCGCCACCTAAGTGCTTAACTGATACTTCTTCATGACAATGCAAATTTTGTAACTTAGCACGGTTACCTCTTTGCTTTGATTACCAGGTGATATAGTTTGGCTGTGTCCCCACCCAAATCTTACCTCCAATTGTGATAATCCCCACGTGTCAAGGGTGGGGCCAGGTGGAGATCATTGACTCATGGGGGCGGTTTCTCTCATACTGTTCTTGTGATAGTGAATAAGTCTCATGAGATCTGATGGTTTTATACATGGGAGTTCCCCTAAATAAGCTCTCTTGCCTGCCACCATGTAAGATGTGACTTTGCTCCTCTGCATTCACCTTCCACCATAATTGTGAGGCCTCCCCAGCCATGTGGAACTGTGAGTCAATTAAGCCTCTTTCCTTTATAAATTACTGAGTCTTGGGTATGTCTTTATTAGCAACGTAAGAACAGACTAATACACCAGGAAATTCAAATTTAAGACTACCTTCAGTAATACTGCCAGTTCGTACAACATGCAAATTTTGCTACTACATTCTCTTATTATTGTATCCTGTTTCTCTCTTGTGCCCATGTCATTATCTGTGTTTTATTTTCTCAATCATATTTGTATTTTTTTAAATCACCTGAAATCTTTTTAGGGGAGAAAACAAATAATAAATAAACATATCTCTGAGGCTAGGACACGATAGGTTGCTTATTATTACTTGATGTGAATCACTTTGATTGCTGAAATGCTGAAAGATTGTTTCTTGACAATGGTGGCCACAAGTGGTCCTTAAGACTTGTCCACAAGGACAAATTCACAGAACATGTAGAGACACATACCTTCTTTCTGTGGCTCCTAATAAATGAGTGTGCCCAGATGGGGTTATCAGAGGATGTAATGATGACAGCCAGGTACCAAGTGCTGAATGCCTAAAGTTGATATATGGAGGAAGGAACATTTTTAATGATGTCTCAACCATCTTTAAGATGGAACCCAAATGGCTTGTTCTGGGACACTGTTTGGAGATTAAAGAGACTGAGGGGGGCAAGCAGTGAGCTCTCTGAGACTGCAAGTATTCGAGCAGACCAGACACAAGGGCTTTTGCAGGGCGTGCCAATGTCACTTGGAAGATGTGGATGGTGGAACTCTGTGCTTTGCTTTCCAGGCTCCATTTTCCCTCCTTCTGGGAAGCAGGTCTAAAGTCTGGAATGCTTCTCTCCTCCACTGTGACTGTATAGTTAGGGTAAGCTGAATTCACCCACAGCTCCAGGTCTTTAAGCCAATACGTTTCACCTGTCCCCACCCATAATGTCTGGTTCAGGTATCTGCAGGTAACAACCCAGAGTCAGAGATGTGACAGCCAGCTTCTAGCACCTTCTAGGAAAGAGAAGCTCATCTCCTCCATGGAAGTTTATAGAAGAGGTATGCTGTCTTCCCCAGTGATGGAGGCTGTGAAGTAGGGAGCTATAGCAGCCTGATGATAGAGTCAGCCTGAGGCTAAGCCAGACAATGGGAGCTAAGAAATGGAACTATGGTCTGAGCTGTGGCTCTCGCTCCATCAGAAGCCAGATATCTCCTGCATCTCCTGGACGGTGACAAGACCCAGCAGTTTGCCATTCTTTATTAAAACAGTTTGGTTAGAGGCTTTGATCATTTGCAACTGAAAGAATCATAAATGTTAAAACTAGATGGACTAAAAATCAGATTTAGTTTTAGAACCACTGAAGGAAGTTTACTAAACACACAGAATGCCTTTGAATTTGTATCAAATACAAATATGATTGATAAACATCCCCTAGTAATTCTTGTGCACACCAAGACCTGGAAGCCACTGATCTCTGCTCAAACACATTAAGACTGGCCTTTGAAAGGTCCTTAGTGTGTCCTTTTGCTCCCTCCCCTCCTCCTCCTCCTCCTCTGCCCCCTCCTCAGCCAGGTGAGAGACCCCCAGGAAGAAGGCCTGGCCCCAGCCCCGAGCTTCAAGGCTTTCTATTTATATGCGAAATTGCTTGCGTTTTCCTAGTTAGTGGCAGATCTGCCTGTTTGATGTTAATGAGTTTGTGAACCCAACAAAAACATGAAAGACGAGGCTTTTCCAAAGAGGAAAAATAGAAAATAAAATGCCATCCAAAATGAGACAGGCTTGAAATCCGCCTTGCATCTCACCAGCCCCTTTCTCTGTCTTCCCAAAGGGGCACCTTTCATCCAATTGAGGAAATCAAGATAAAATGCCAGCCTGGTGAATATCCTGCAAAACCAAATTGATCTGATTTGCCTGGACAAAGAAAATGAGGAATTTGGCTGATCAAAGTGGGCACAGCTCCCTCTTAAGCCCCACCCACCCCATCAGGCCTCCTGTGGATAAGAAACACAAATCTCTCGCACATCAGCGCTGCTCTCATATTCATTTTCAAATAGCCCCTTGCATCCTGGTGCAAATCTTAGCTGTCTCCTAATAACCCACTTTAGGACATAGATGTTCTCATCTGATATTATTAAATGGAAAGGGGCCGCTTTCTAATCTGGAGAGAGGCAGGGGCATTTGTAACAGCCAGAATCAAAGGCCTGGTCTCTTTCTGTTCCTAATTATCAATAGTGTTTTATAATCTTATTAATATTGATACACAGTATACTGAAGATCTGTTAAGGCGTAATGTATGTGGAAGATAATTAACAAGATCCGAGTCAGATCAATCGCCTATTTGACAGCCAACGGTGTGTGGCTTATAAATTATACATATTCTAGGTATTGCTCAAAATGTTTAAAGTTTCAGTCCAATCCTTCCGATCCAGCGCTGGGGGAAGGCATGAACCTAAAGGTACCGTCCCCAGCCTATTGGAGCCTTCTCTGCACACGCAGGACTCACTCTTACTTAAAAATCAAAGGGTTCTGTTAACTGCCAAGATCTACACAGAGCATAAAACACACCTTCTCCTTGTAAAGTGCAGAAAAACAAAAGGTGAAATCTTGTAAGAAAAGAGATGATTAACAAAAGGAAGGTAATTTGCCTTTTGATTTCTGAGAGAAGGTAGCAGTTGGGTGTTTCAAATGGCAGAGCTGATCTTGCCTGCTGACGCCAGTCTGTAACAGAGTCAGATATTTGGTTGCAGTAAATGCAATTAACAATCCCAATTAATGTGTATGTTTGGGTGGATTGAAGAGTTTAAACTGGACCAGGTGCAATGGCTCACACCTGTAATCCCAGCACTTTGGGAGGCTGAGATGGGCGGATTGCTTGAGCCTAGGAGCTTGAGGCCAGCCTGGGAAACATAGTGAGAACCCGTCTCTACAAAAAAAATACAAAAATTTGCTGGGTGCGATGGCACATCTCTAGTCCCAGCTACTCCGGAGGCTGAAGTGGCAGGATGACTTTAGCCCAGGAGGTCAAGGCTGCAGTGAGTCAAGGTTGAGCCACTGCCCTCCAGCCTGGGTGACAGCAAGATCCTGTCTGAAAAAAAAAAAAAATTTAAACTGTGCTCTCTTGCTCTTGGTCAAATAGTGTGTGTGTGTGTGTGTGTGTGTGTGTGTGTGTCCATGTGCTGTGGACATGTGCTGTGAAGTCACTGAAAATTATTTTTTCTCTGACAGCATTCCTTTAGGGACAATCTGTCCCCCATTCTATAATAATCCCATTGGGTCCATGCAGTTCGGATGGGTCTGACCCTAAACCAGCAGGCACAATACCCAATTTGGCCAATCAGATTCCTCTCACCATTTATTTTTCAGTCACCAGAAAAGATGGTATGATTTCCCACTGGGTTTTTAAGCAAGAAAGGTACAAGCCTTCTACTGCTGGTGGTCTCTTTGCCACCAGGCAGAGAGAGCCTGCCTGAGAAGAAGCAATTCAGAGGAAAGTGCAACCGGGGCATGAAGAGAAGTGGGTTCTCTTCATGGACCACTGGGCCACTGCACCTGGCCCAGTTTAAGCTCTTCAATCCACTCAAACAAACACATTAATTGGGATTGTTAATTGCATTTATGGCAACCAAATATCTTACTCTGTTACAGACTGGCGTCAGCAGGAAAGATCAGCTCTGCCATTTGAAACACCCAACTGCTACCTTCTCTCAGAAATCAAAAGGCAAGTTACCTTCCTTTTGTTAATCATCTCTTTTCTTACAAGATTTCACCTTTTGTTTTTCTGCACTTTACAAAAAAAAGTTTAAAGTTTCAGTCCAATCCAAAAAAAAAGCAGCCCTAGGATGCTAGTCCTACTAGCATCACTTGAGCTCCTGGATACAGCTGTGCCTGAAGTATACATTGGGACTCTCAATTACCTGAGCCAATCATTATGTCTCCTTTTCTGCATAAGGCAATAAGAATTGGGTTTGTATCACTTAACTGAAAAAATTCTAGCTAACGCAGGCAATTGAGGCAACATTTTTGGCCCTTCTTCTATTCTTCTCCACAATGCCAATGAGAAAGGTAGGCAACACAATGAAGTTCGGGAGCAGGAAAAGGACGAGCCACCATAAAAGAGAGTGCAGCCCTTTTATCAAGACGATAGGGGCCTGATGTAGTGGCTCACACCTCTAATTCCAGCACCTTGGGAGGCTCTGGTGGGAGGATCACCTGAGGCCAAGAGCTTGAGACCACTACCAGCAACATAGCAAGACTGTCTCCAAAAAAAATTGAACCAGGACTGGTGGTGTGCACCTGCCTGTAGTCCTAGATATTCTGGAAGCTGAGATGAGAAGATTGCTTGAGCCCAGGAGTTTGAGGTTACAGTGAGCTATGATTGTACCACTGCACTCCAGCCTGGGCAACAGAGTGAGACCTTGTCTCTAAAAAAGACAGTGGGGCTGTGATGAGGAGATGTGGCCTGGTGCTGAGCCCTGCAGATCTCCAGCATCCATCACATTTAACTGGGGAGACCGCAGGGCTTTACTGCAGAGCTTGTAGCCTCCATCAAAAGGAAGTCAGGGTTTCAGAGAGTCCTCCAAATCAAGCAGTGTACTGGCTTGGACTGGGGAAAGTGACAACCTACTCAAAAGGAAAAGCTCCCTGAGCCTAAACAGTCCTTGGGATTTGCAATGGGTCATTGTGAGGACATTGAGTGATGTCGAGGTACCCCGTGTATTGTGGTGTTGGGTTCATGGAGGTTCACCGTGATGATTCAGTGCAGCCTCGTCTTATTTGCTGGCTAGGTACTAAAACCAGTTTTAAGGTCAGCATCACAGATGGAGTAACGTGGAACTGCCACTAGTCTCTACAGGGCTTTGGCACAAATTGGAAAAAGGTACCGCCTTTGGATAGACAAATTAGAAAAAGGTATCTCTTCTAGACAGAAGACTGCAGCAGAGTGCAGGGCTTGGAAAGAGTACTTCTAGCAGGAATTTAATTGCCATTTGTCCCCTTAGGCAGCACTTTGTGCAGTGCACAGACTGGACAATGGTATGTGGCAGCCCTGAGTAGAGACTCCCTAATCAGCCCCCACTAACTAACTCTGATCCATTGGCTGCTCTTCCTGGCCTCTGTAAAACATCCTAGGGCATGCGTGTCCATAGCCATCTGAATGCTCAGGATTGGTGCATTTCATACTCTCTAGTATTTCCATGCACCTCTGCTTCCCCAGCTGAGTTTAATGTTTACCATGAACCCACCAGATTAGTGGTTTGGGTATACCCAAACCTGCTTATACCACGACATTGCCATGAACTAATTTAACAGAAAAGTATGGCAGCCAATGAAATAGGAAGAAGCAAAGAGAGCATAGTGGTATCTATGAAAACTAAAAGCATACTTTGGAATTATAAAGGCAAGTTGCTAAAAAAAAATCCTTAAAATTAAGGAATTATTTGGGGGTAATAGAAATGCATTGTAGCTTGATTGTGTTTCACAGCTGTATAAGACTGTATCCAACTGTTTAATGACATTGAATTATGTGTTGTAACTAGATGCAGTTGATTATATGTAAATTATTCCTCCATAAAGTTGATAGGAAAAATACTAAGTGCAAGTGAGACAGAATAAAAGATAGGAGAAGAAACATAAAACTCCCAAAGAGGCTTGCAATCTGATTGTTCTTCAGGTGTCTTTAAGATCTGGCTTCACCTTAAGAAAACCACAACTGGAAATTGTAAATGATGTGCATTTGGCTTAGGCAAGAAAGAGAAGCCGGAACTCCAAAGACCAAACCCATTCCTTTAAGAAAAGCCTTGGTTCTACATCAAAAGATTGGTAAAGAAAATGTATACTTACCATGTTTAAATTTTGTTTGTTTCGTTTTGTTTTTGTAGATGGAGTCTCGCTCTGTCACCCAGACTGGAGTGCAGTGGCGTGATCTCAGCTCACTGCAACCTCTGCCTCATGGGTTCAAGCGATTCTCGTGCCTCAGCCTCCCCAGGTAGGTGGGATTACAGGCACGTCACCATGCCCGGCTAATTTTTGTATTCTTAGTAGAGACAGGGTTTCACCATGTTGGCCAGGCTGGTCTCGAATGCCTGGCTTCAAGTGATCTGCTTGCCTCAGCCTCCCAAAGTGCTAGGATTACAGGCATAAACCACCATGCCCAGCCACCACGTTTAAATTTTTAAAAGCATTTAGAGTATATGCATATGAATTGTTTTATAAAGTTTCTCCATTTTAACTGATTTTTTTGTGATGAACTGCCAACTTATACCCTGACCCCATCACACAACAAGCCTTCCACAGTGGTCTAGTCATCCTGAAAATCCCGGAAATCATCCTTAAAGGGTGTGGTACTGCCATATCGCAACAAATCCAGCACAACCTATTTTTCCTTTTTTTCTCAAGGGAAACGGTTGCTCTTTCTTCAGTTGAGCCTGTGTGTGTGAGGGTTGCTCTTTCTTCAGTTGCGCCTGTGTGTGTGTGTGAGGGCCACAAAATGCTGGCTCCCACCCTCAGTGTAGGAGCCATGGCTGAGAGGTGCATCCTATGGGAGGCCCTTCCAGAACACAGGCTTTCCCAGGGAAATGCCAGGTGCTACACCATTTACATTGTTCTGTGTGTGTGTGGCCATGTAGCTGAGTTTCTTATAACTTAAATTTTTATATGCTGGGATTCTGCCATATATCCACTTATATACAGCAGTTCATTCTGTATCACTTCTATTACTTCTACCAACTCCAGAGCCACATGCTGTAACGGGCTCTCCCGCTTAGAATCACTAAGCATTAGCAATAGGAGTGTGGTCAATGAGATTATCATCCCAGTCCTTCCTTCTTTAGCATTATAATCCCCCTCTCATTGCTTCACCAGAGCACAGAACTTCTCTGTCCCTAAACATTGGGCTTGGCCGCTGATGTGGCCATGCAGACATGACAGGAGTTGTGGGCTAGCAGGAACAGACATAGACATGGAAATATGCATGCTGTGATGAATGACGCTGGCTTTATTCTGTGGGCAATGGTGAGCCATGAACAGTTTAGGGTTTCCAGCAGCATTACTGTGATTATGACATTGAGCAAACTTTCGCTCAGCTGTCAGAGAATTGGGTAAGACAGGTACTGTAATTTTTTTTTTTAGGACAGAAATGGGTTTGTGCATTTGGCTTGCTGTCTTTTCTTTCTGCCATATGCCATGAAAAGAGCATGCCCTAAGAAACCATTAAAGGAAGTTAAGAGACACAGGGAGAAAACCTCGACCTACCCTACTGTCTGAAATGAAGCCCAGTCAATCCATACCCTAAGACAGTGCTGCCTCAGCCAACTCATATAACCACGAGCTGGAAATGTATGCATTTTTGTTGTATGCAACTGAGACTTAGGAGCCTTTTGTTATGCAGCATTGTGGAATAAAAACCTAACTGATACAAAGGGGAAATGAAAGAGTTTCTAGTCCAACCCACTGATTTTGTAGCTAAAATTATTTACTCTGTAATATATATATTGCTTAGACAGTTTCTGGTCTCAGTTCCATCATCTGTGAAATGAAAATACCATACCTGGCCAGGCACAGTGGCTCACACCTGTAATCCCAGCACTTTGGGAGGCTGAGGCAGGTGGATCACCTGAGGTTGGGAGTTTGAGACCAGCCTGGCCAACATGGGGAAACCGTCTGTACTAAAAATACAAAAATTAGCTGGGCAAGATGGTACACGCCTGTAATCCCAGTTACTCGAGAGGCTGAGGCAGGAGAATCGCTTGAACCCAGGAGGTGGAGGTTGTATGAACCAAGATCATGCCACTGCACTCCAGCCTGGGTGACAGAGTGAGACTCCATCTCAAAAACAAAAAACAAAAAATACTATACCTGTCTTAACCAACTCTGATAGCTGTGCAAAAGTTTGCTCAGTGTCATAATCAAAATAATGCTGCTGGAAACCCTAAACTCTTCATGGCTCACCATTGCCCATAGAATAAAGCCAGTGTCATTCATCACAGCATGCAAATCTCCATGCCTATGTCTGTTCCTGCTGGCCTGTAACCACTTTGTTTGTCCCCACACTCACACTCTGTTGCTGCCATTTGAATTATTTGCCATTTCCCAAACTGTCTCTGATCTTCTCTCCATGGTTTTTCTCTCATTGGTCTCTTCCCTAACAAAGCCTTTCCCTGCCATCTCACCTTTTGGAAACCTTCATGGTGTAACTTAGATATCACATTCTCCAAATGGCTTCCCTAATCCCTTTAGCTGAAATTAAGACATATTTCCTTCTGGATGCTTAATATATTTTACCTGCATTATAGGCATTGGGGCCAAGTCCATCAGCCACACTGAGTAAGAACAAGCTTTATGATTCCAGGGATCAGTGTTTGTTCATTTGCATCTCCCAAGGACCCTAGTCTATGAAGCACTGTGTCTGCTCAATGTGTGTTGATAATCAGATATCTTAGCTTCAAGAAGCACAGTCACTGTAGCACACTATGGTGGTGTATTTCTTCCATGTTCTAGTGTCCTCCACAGTAGATAAGCAATGGTACTGACCCACACGTGGATGATGAACTGAATAGCTGCCATTATTGAGCACTTATTCTGGGACAGGATCTGCATTAGCATACTGCACATTTTGTCTAATTTAAATCTCTCCACAGCCCTCTTGGTTGTCTCCAGGATTTGTTTCATTTAACAGATGAGATACGGCAAGGACTGTTATGCATCGTCCTTTTCTTCCTGAGCACCCAGCTAGAGCACACTTCCCAGATTCCCTTGTGGTTAGGTGAAACCATGTGACTGGTTCTGCCCAGTAGAATCCGAGGGGAAGTAGCATGTGCCATTTCCAACCCAGGCCCATAAAAACCTCCCCTGCAAAGCTCCTCGCTCCTGTTCTGCCAGTAGATGTAGAGGATCCAGCTAATGACCTTGAGGTCTAGAGGATGGTGGAGCCACCAAATGCAAAGAGCTTGGGTTCATGACACCTTCCAGAGGAGGTCACCTGCTGAGTACTCCTGTATTGAGCTGTAATATGATCATGAATTCAATTTCTATTGTGTTTAGCCATGGAGATTTTAGTATTTTTACTTGCAGCTGTTACATGAGGAAACTGAGGTTCAGTTTAAATGACTTTAGGCTGATTATATAATAAGTTAGTCAGAGAGGGCTATGATTTAACCCAAACCTAGCTGTCTCTGATTCCTGTGATTCTAATTACTACAATATACTGCCTCTTTGCTAAGGGAAAAAAAAAAAAAAAAGCAAGCAAATGAAAACAAACTCCCTATGGGGGCAAACTCAGGATTTTCCAAACTGTGACTCCCCCTGGCTCTGGAATGTTGTACCCAGCAGAGTTTTGTGAGATTGCTGAATAGTTGCCTACTTTAAGGGAGTGGGGAGGCAGAGGGGAATGATGTGTGTTGATTCCCCACACACGCCAGGCACTTTACATACATGTTATTTCCCTTCACAGTAACCCCTGGGACAGTATTAATGCCACTAATTTCCCCATTAAGGGGGAAAAAGATGTGTCAGTTGAGGGGTAACTGTTAAAAATGCATACCGCCAAAAGATGAATTTCGGGCTCTGGTTGAGTTGGATTGAGGCTCTTTGTTTTTGGGGTTTGGCAAGGCTCTGAGAAGCTAAGCAACTTGCTCGTGTTTCTGTGGTGAGGAAGCCACAACACTGAGATTTGAATTTATCTCCCTCTGATTCCAAGTCTAGTGCTGCTTCTTTTCATTACCACCTCAAGGAAGATATCATTTCAGGGTCCGTTTCTTTTATTCCTTCACTAATTGATTCATTTAATCTTTATTGAGTGCCTACTATGGGCCAGGCACTCTGCTGGTCTCCAGGGATCAGGGCCAGAAAGAGGGTGAGGCAGGAAGGGCACCCAAGGCACGGCATCTAAGGAGGCACTGGCTCTCAGGCACTCACCCTGAACTCCCACAGTCCTGAAGGTGAGCACCTTTTTAAAGTTTGTGCCATAGGCACTCGGTTGACCCCACCCTAGTCCCATCCCTGAAGGAGTAGTGAGCAAACCAGACCTGCACTCTGCCCTCAGAGAGCTGACACTTCAGTAGCAGACATGCAAGCTAAGGAGATTCCAGTTACCACAGCAGATCACCCACAGCTTCCTCCTAGAAAACCACCATCACCTTATTATGCTCACAGAGTCTATGGTCAAGAGCTCAGACAGGCCCAGAGGGCATGGCTTGTCTCTGTTCCACATGTTTCGGGAATCGGCTAGAAGATGTGCAACTTAGGGGTGATGAGGACAAGTGGGATCAACTGGAATCACCTGGAGCTTCATCACTCATGCATGTGGCATCTGGACTGTGATGAGTGGAGAGTCAGGCTAAGCTGGGACTGTGCAGTGGAGCACTGCATGTGGCCTCCCCAGGTGGCCCCAGCTTCTCACAGCCTAGTGGCTGTGTCCCCAGGGGACACATTTTGAAAGGGAGCACTGAGAGAATGAGGGGCAGAGTCACAAGGTTTCATTTATATCTCGTACCCAATTGGTCAAAGCAGTCACTAGTCTGCCCAGGTCCAAGAGGAGGGGACAAAGCCCCACATTTCGGTGGAAGGAATATCAAAGTATTGGTGACCATTTTTAAAATCATCACAATGACCAAAAAATAAAAAAATTTAAAAAAAGAATGAATAATTCTTCTACAGAGGAAATGAACTATGAAAGTGTGTAGCAGAGAACTGAACTGGTAATAGTAATATGCTTCGTTCATCCAACCACATTTATTGAGCACCTACAAGGAATCAGGCGGTCAGCAGAGGGACTAGAATAATAGATGCTCATATAGGGGAGGAACAGTTCTGCCTGGGAAGGCAGCGCAGGTCTGCCTTGCTTTTGTCTGTCTTTGTATGCAGCCATAGAGGTGGTGCTGATCCATTACATGAACTGGTTCAAATGTGTGTGTGAATTGTGTCCTGAGCTCCTCTCTGTGCTTGTCTTGGGGAGGAGTTGAGGGTGACAAAGAAGGAGCAGTTCTTGACCCTGAGAACTTGGAGTTTGTGCTGTCAGTATCATCACCACCATCATTATTATCAGGAACACACTGCAATGGATACCTTGATATCCATAACAATCCCTTGCATTTCTGAAGTGTTATTGGTCAGGGTTCTCCAGAGAAATAGAACCAGTAGGAGATACAGACATGAATGGATGGCTAGAGAGATGATAGATAGGTAGAGAGATAGATGATAGATAGATAGATAGATAGATAGATAGATAGATAGATAGATAGATAGAGGAAGCGATTTATTGTGGGACTTGGCACATATAATTATGGAAGTCAAGAAGTCCCACAATCTGCTGTCTGCAAGCTAGAGAATCAGGAAAGCTGGTGATGTCACTTGGTCTGAGTCCAAAGGTCTGAGAGTCAGACAGCTAATGTGTAAGTCCTGGTCTGAGTCCGAAAGTCCGAAAACAAAGAGCTCCAATGTCCAAGGGCAGGAGAAGTTTGATGGCCCAGCTCAAGAAGAGAGTGATATCCCTTCTTCTGCCTTTTTGTTCTATTCAGGCCATGTATTACATGATGCCATCTTCTTTACTCAGTCTACTGATTCAAATAGTCAAGCTTTTTGGAAACACTTTCACAGACACTCCTAGAAATAATGTTTTACAAGCTATCTGGGTATCCCTTAGCCCAGTCACGTTGACACATAAAATTAACCATCTCGTGAAGGGATTGTGGGTTCCAAAGCTCATTCACACTCCTTAGCTCACATGAAGCTCATCTCCAACCTCCAGGGCAGGAGGGTAAGCATCCCCCACACTCCCATTTTACAGATGCAGAAACTGAGCTCAGAGAGTTTAAACCAAGGGCATCCCCCAGATGGGAGAGCTAAGCATGGCCTCCAGACTCTGCACTGGCCCGTGCCTGGAGGGTTTTTTTTTAATTCTCCAGTTTTAACATCACCAATCATCAGAAAAATGCAAATTAAAACCACAATGAGATATCATCTTACACCAATCAGAATGGCTATGATTAAGAAGACAAAAAATAACAGAGGTTGGCAAAGACGCAGAGAAAAGGGAACGTTTATACCCTGACAGTGGGAATGTAAATTAATACAACCTCTATGAAAAATAATATGCAGATTTCTCAGAGAACTAAAAAAATAACAACCATTCCATCCAGCAATCCCACTACTGGGTATCTCCTCAAAGGAAAAGAAATCATTATATCAAAATGATACCTGCACTCTTCTGTTTATCACAGCACTATTCACAATAAGAAAGATACAGAATCAACGTAAGTGTCCATCAACAGAGGACTGGATTTTTTTTTAACGTGATATTATATACAGTATATATATATATCGTGTATATATATACACGTTATATATGTATATATACATGTATGTATATATGTCATTATATATACATGTATATATATCATGTTATATATATCATGTATATATATCATGTTATATATATATCACATATATATGATATATGATATATATATACACACACACAGTGGAATACTACTCAGCCATAAAGAAGGAATGAAATCCTGTCTTTTGCAGCAACATGGATGGCTTATTATCTTAAGTGAAATAAGCCAGGCACAGACAAATACCACATGCTGTCACTCATAAATGGGAGCTAAACAATGTGTACCCATGGA
The DNA here is from genome assembly GCF_000001405.40 of Homo sapiens. NCBI lineage: Eukaryota > Metazoa > Chordata > Mammalia > Primates > Hominidae > Homo > Homo sapiens. The sequence goes on from NC_000010.11 coordinate 112,897,713, forward strand.
AGGAGAGTGTGGAATGATGGACAATGGGGACTCAGAGAGGTGGAGGGGGTGGGAGTGGATGGATGCTGGGAGGTTGCTTGGTGGGTGCAATGTGCATTGCTCCAATGATGGAGGTACTGAAGGCACTCACTTCACCACAATGCAATATGTCAATGTAGCAAAACTGCACTTGTACCCCATTAATATATACAAATAATTTTTTTAATTAAAAACTTCTTTAGTTCCTTTTCTACCAAATTCCTGTGTCTTCCTGCCATCTGTCAATCCTGACTTCCCTTTAGGGCCATCCATTTAGAAATAAACAGATAAGGCCAGGCATGGTGGCTCATGCCTGTAATACCAACACTTTGGGAGGCTAAGGCGGGTTGATTACCTGAGGTCAGGAGTTCGAGACCAGACTAGCCAACATGGTGAAACCCCATCTCTATTAAAAATACAAAAATTAGTTAGGCGTGGTGGCACATGCCCGTGATCCCAGCTACTTGGGAGGCGGAGGCAAGAGAATCGCTTGAACCCGGGAGGCGGAGATTGCCCTTCAGCGTAGGTGACAAGAGCGAAACTCCATCTCAGAAGAAAAAAAGAAAAAGAAAGCAATGGATAAAGTCACTGAGCACCCCTGTGCCAGGTACCATGCAAAGCACTCACACGTGCTAGCTCAGGTCATCTTCCCAACACTCTACAAGTGAGGTAGAATTATTATCGTCTTCACCTTACAGATAGGGATAAACAGCTTAGGAAGTGACAGTGACTTTCTCAAGGTCACAGAGCAAGTAAGTAAGCTGTGGAGAAGAAACTGACCCCCCATCAGTCTGACTTGAAACCAACTTGGGTACTGCTGCCCATGGATGCCCCTTCTCCACCCCAGCTCTTGCCGTGGGAGCCTTTGTCCCCAAAATGCTGGACTGAGATGGACGCTCAGTGACCCGGATTAGGGTGCTCTGCCCTTGCCTAGGATGAGGTGAATATTCACTATCATGACCAGCTTGGGGAAATCGGGCCTCGCTGACGTCATCAATTATGCATGGTCCTGGGCTAAGCCCTTGCGCTGTGGGACTTGGGGAAAGGTGCTTCCAGGGAGAGGGCAGCAGCGCGTTGAGTCACTTGCCTCTTGTTTAACTCTTTCCCTGCTGCCTCGACTCTGGAGGCGGGGTTTGGGCCTGGGGTTCCGTTTTGGGCGTCTCTGACAGGGCTTGTGTAGAGTAAGCCGGGTTTCCACCCCAGTCCGCTCCCTCCACTTCAGGCCTCATTAGTGCCCGCAGCTCGGATTTACACAGATGTAAATCTGGCCATTAGCACCTCACGCTCTGGCAAGGAGGTGTGGCCAAAGGGAATTTAAGGGCAGCAGGGGGTGGGGGTGGGGAGCAAACTTTGAGCCCAACTTAATGTTTAACTTCTCGGACAATGGGATTGTCAGGCTTCCCCATCTCTATTCCAGGCAGTTTCTTGGGGAAAGGGTCGATAAATACCCACAGATAACAGACGACGCTGGGTGGGTGGCAGGAAATGGATCGCTAAATTATACATCAGATGCAAGGTAGCTAGGTCGGGCCAATGGGAAGCAACTTCTCCAGGGAAAAGCTTCCAGAGCCCCCAGTTCTCTCCCTAACCACACTTTAGCTTTCCTTTGTCTGGAAAGAGAAGCCACTAAATGCCTCTTACCCCAGTGTTAACTCTTTGTTAGGAGGGAATCTGAAGGGAAGATAATTCCAGGAGCGGGGAAGAATGAGAAAGAGAGAAAGAGAAACAGACCCATTTCTGGTAAATAATTAACACCAAAAAATGTTTCCCTAAAAAAAAAATGCCCAGCAGAACTTTCAACTTCTCCAATTTGGGAAGTCAAAAGTTTAACTGGGCGCCAGGCGGCTGATGCCAAGACAGGCCTCCAGCTATGTAACACTGGCCATGCCTGAGCTTGGCTCTGGACCTCTCCTTCCTGAGGAGATGTGGCATCTGGGTGACAGCAGTAGAGGGCCTCTAGCTTTCTTCCGGAGCCGCAGGCAGGGAGGCAGAAGCCTGGGGTCTGTCATCCTGGGTGTTTGGAATCCCCCCACAGGGCTTCACAGAAGCACAAGTATGTCATCAGGCTGATCTCAAGTCGAGACATAAGTAGCATCAGTTTGGGAATCACACCTGGGTCTCCATTCCGGCTTGGTAGTTACCTGCTGTGTGACTTCACACAGTTACTTAACCTCTCTGAACCAGTTTACTTAGCTATAAAATGGAGTCAACAAAACTGCTTTGGGAGAGTTGTTGCCAGGATTAGACACAGTACATGTCAGGGGTCAGCAAACTATGGCGTGTGGGCCAAATCTAGCAGGTGCCTGTTTTTGTCTCTTTATATAAAGTTTTTAAAACAGCCACCCCCTTTGAATGACTGATTGTCCATGGCTGTTTGCATGCTACAACAGTGGAGCTGAGTAGCAGAGGCCCTGCAGCTCTCAAAGCCTAAGGTATTTACCTGTTAGACCTTTGCAGAAAATGTGGCTGACCCTGGGATATGTAAAGATGTAGCTTGGTGCTTCAGAAAAGTTCAAAATGTGGAGGAAGCAGTGGTTAGTGTCATTAATATCATCCCAGGCTATTCCACATCTTGTCCTTCATTCTTTAATCTGGAAAGTGTGACTCTTGCGTCCCTTGTGTATTTTGCTACTCATAGATCCTGCCTCCACTCACACTCTAAGTGCTGGTAATTACATTTGGGACAGGGGCTTTTCTATGCTCCTGAGTGTGCAGGAGATGCTAATGACAGCACCTCTTGCCCTTGTTAGGACTAGACAGGCCTCCACCCTAGGTGACAACCTATCTTTGACCCCTACTCTTCTCACCAGCCTACCCAGTCCACCTCCAAGGTCTGTGGACTTTTTTTTTTTTTTTTTTGAGACAGAGTCTTGGTCTTGTCTCCCAGGCTGGAGTGCAATAGTGCAATCTCGGCTCCCTGCAACCTCTGCCTCCCAGGCTCAAGCAATTCTCCTGCCTCAGCCTCCCAAGTAGGTGGGATTACAGACACCCACCATCTTGCCCGGCTAATTTTTTTTTCTTTTTCTTTTTTTGTATTTTTAGTGGAGATGGGGTTTCACCATGTTGGGCAGGCTGGTCTCGAACTCCTGACCTCAGGTGATCCGCCCACCTCAGCCTCCCAAAGTGCTAGGAATAGAGGCATGAGCCACTGTGCCCGGCTGGTGTGTGGACTTTAACTCCTTCACTGGGCTTAAGTGATTGGTGTCACAGAAGGAAAATGAGTTTTGGCATTAAACACGCTAGCATTTGTTTTTGGTTTTGCTTTTATTTCTTTATTTGAAATAGGGTCTCCCTCTGTCACCCAGACTGGAGTGCAGTAGCGTGATTGCAGCTTACCGCAGCCTCAACCTCCCAGGCTTCAGTGACCCTCCCACCTCAGCCGCCCAAGTAGCTGGGACTACAGGCAGGAGCCACCATGCTTGGCCAATTTTTGTATTTTTGTAGAGACAGTGTTTTACCATGTTGCCCAGGCTGGTCTCAAACTGCTGGGCTCAAGCGCTCCATCTGCCTTGGCCTCCCAAAGTGCTGGAAATACAGGCGTAAGCCACCGCACCCGGCCTAGACCTGCATTTGAATCCCAGTTTGGCTCCTTCTCCTCTCAGCAAGACCCTGGGCAGGTATGACCTTGATCAAACACGCCCCATATTCCCCTGGCTCACCTTCAAGGTCACCCGCCATTCCCTGTGCCTGCTGACAGTCTCCACCCTCAAGTGCCCAGGGTCTCCCCTTGGTTCCAAGAGAACTTGCTCAATCTTGAGTAGGGCAAGCAGAGTGCCCTAGATTTAACCCCTCCAGAGAAGGCATCCCCCAAAGAGGGCCAGAGGCTGTTGGCTAAGCATCTCAGCTTCCTCGTCCCTTTGGGGACAAGAGATGACACAAAGCACTGGTTCCTCGGAAGGCCCCCAGCAGGATGAAGCCTCAGTTGTCCATAACAGCACCTGCAATGTCTCTTCCTTCCCTGCTCCCTTACTGGTGCTTCCTGGGATCGCCTCCTGAATAAACTACCTGCTCCCAAATCCTCCCAAATGCTAAGCTCTATAAGCCTCAGTTTTCCCAATGGTAAAAGGGGTCTGGCAACATCCACCTCATAGGGTTGTTAATGAGTGAGACTATGTAATAATCCTTGCAGTGGAAAAATCCAGAGGTGCATCTGCTCTCTCCCTGAGCCCTTGTCTACTATGTGCTCTATGGAATGAGGTGGGTGTTTATGAAGTCTCATAATGTCATGACCACCATGGGTTAGTAGCCAGTGCACAAAGGCTAAGGTTTGGAGAATATGAGTTATATGCTTGCATCAGTACTTAGGTTCTTACTGGGGCTCCCGTGACAAATGAAAAATGGCTACTATAGAAAAGAAAGGAAATGGAAGTCTCCATCTTGGTGAGAAGACAAATACACTATTCATTTGTCAGAAAGATTTCAGGTCCTTTCAGAAGTAGCATGAAAGAGCAGAGAGTTTGAATCTTGGCCCCACCACCTAAAATAGCTGTGTAAATGTGAACAATTTACTTGATCTTGCTGAGCCTGTTTTCTGTATTGCAAAATTGTAATGAGAATTTAAATAATATCAGTAACCCCTTTGAGTAGAGGCAGTTCTATTGTGGGTAAGAAACGAATGATACGGTCTTTGCTTTCCAAGATCTTAGAATCTCACTGGGAGATAGGGCCAGGCAGGTGGCTCACACCTGTAATCCCAGCACCTTGGAAGGCCAAGGCGGGCGGATCACTTGAGGTCAGGAGTTTGAGACCAGCCTGGGCAACATAGTGAAACCCCTGTCTCTTCTAAAAATACAACAATTAGCCAGGCATGGTGGTGTGCACCTGTAATCCCAGTTACTAGGGAGGCTGAGGCAGGAGAATTGCTTGAACCCGCGAGGCAGAGGTTGCAGTGAGTTGAGATCATGCCACTGCACTCCAGCCTGGGCGACATGGCAAGACTCCATTTAAAAAAAAAAAAAAAGAATCTCATTGGGAGATAAGATCAGACACAGGAATAGCAGAAGCAGAGCATGACTGGATCCTTGGCCAGCAATATTTACTGAGCACCTACTATGCACTAGACATTGAAATGCAGGTGCTTGCTAGAAGTGGTCACAGGAGACTCTCCCTCTACCAGTATTCATCTTATAAGCCACCTTTCCTTCCTTCCTTCCTTCCTTCCTTCCTTCCTTCCTTCCTTCTTTCTTTTCTTCCTTCCTTCCCTTCTTTCCTTCTTCTTCCCTCCCTCCTTTCCTTCCTTTTCCTCTTCCTCCCTGTCTCCCTCCTTCCCTTCCTTCCTCACTTCTGTCTTCTCTTTCTTTTTCTCTTCTTTTCACCCATATTGTTTCATTCCTTCCTCTCTAAATCTGTTTTTCCCTCCTTCTCTGTCAGCACCATAGACCTCCAACCAGCGATGTTACTTGATCTCAGGGGAGCTGCAGGTCCAGACAATCCCAAGCCCTGGAGATCCCATCCATCCTTCAGGGTAAACTGGGAGCATCTTCTTCCACCCCCAGAGTATTTGAATTTGAATGGAAGGAGGAGCATCATAATCACTGAATGCATCAAATATCTCTGAGTCCCATTATATGTAAGGTTCTCTACAAATAGCAGTACGCTGGAACCAGCTCATACTAGCTTCTAGGAAACAATTATTAAGTTTTCAGGATTTTTTTCTTAAATTTATTCATTATTATTATTATTATTATTTGAGACAGAGTCTTGCTCTGTCAACCAGGCTGGAGTGCAATGGCGGGATCTCAGCTCACTGCAACCTCCACCTCCCAGGGTCAAGGGATTCTCCTGCCTTAGACTCCCAAGTAGCTGGGGTTACAGGCACACGCCACCACACCCGGCTAATTTTTTTGTATTTTTAGTAGAAATGGGGTTTCACCATGTTGGCCAGGCTGCTCTCAAGCTCCTGACCACAGGTGATCCACCTGCCTCAGCTTCCCAAAGTAGTGGGATTACAGGCGTGAGCCACTGTACCCGGCCTTTTAATTTATTTTTTATTTTTTGAGACAGTTTTCCTCTGTCATCCAGGCTGGAGTGCAATGGCACACTCTCAGCCCACTGCAACCCTTGCCTCCTGGGCTCAAGCAAATCTCATGCCTCAGCCTCCCGAGTAGCTGGGATTGCAGTCATGCACCACCATGCCTGGATAATTTTTGTATTTTTTAGTAGAGACAGGGTTCCACCATGTTGGCCAGGCTGGTCTCAAACTCCTGGCCTCAAGTGATCTGCCCACCTCAGCCTCCCAAAGTGCTGAGATTACAGGTATGAGCTATCATGGCCAGCAAGTTTTCAGGAATTTCTGAAGTGGCTGATGTCACATTGGTAGCTTGAAGTCAGCCATGATGGGACTATTTACACTACCGAAATTGGCAACTGCTACAAATCAGAAATGTATTTCCTCAGAGAGCCAGTTGTTAAACATTTACCAGCACACCACTGCATAAAATATAGGTTATACAAGAGAGACAGAGATGTGTAGAAACACACCCTGCCTTCAAGGAGCTACATAGGAGGTGAGATGATAACGATGTTGAGAATGTTGCTGATTTATAGCCAGGAAATGAAAGTTCAAGTTTCAGCTGAGTCACCCAGGGCAGGTCATTTTCTTTCTCTGGAACTCAGATTTCTGTTAAATGGGAATTATGGTAATATCTCCCTGCCTTTTTCACTGGGTTTTTGGGGAATTCACCAAAAATGATACACATGAAAGAAAACCCATTGGGGCCAGGCGCGATGGTTCATGCCTGTAATCCCAGCACTTTGAAAGGCTGAGGCGGGTGAATCACATGAGGTCAGGAGTTTGAGACCAGCCTAGCCAACATGGTGAAACCCCATCTCTACTAAAAATACAAAAAAATAACCAGGTGTAGTGGCATGCATCTGTAATCCCAGCTACTCAGGAGGCTGAGGCACAGGAATCGCTTGAACCTGGGAGGGAGAGGTTGCAGTGAGCTGAGATGGCACCACTGCACTCCAGACTGGGCAACAGAGTGAGACTGTGCCAAAAAAAAAAAAAAAAAAAAAAAGGCGGGGGGGGGTGGGTGTGGAATTATGTAACATCTCTCTGCCTTTCTCACTGGGTTATTAGGGAATTCACCAAAAATGATACATATGAAAGAAATCCCATTGGGATCTATACTGAGCTGTTCCAATCATAGAAACATCCAGAAGGAACAAGACTTCACCTGAGTGCCCCCAAGAAGGGATTTAACTACACACAGGACCACCCTGATGAACTATTAGAAGCCAAGAGAAGCAAAAATTGAGTTTTATGTCCCCTGGTTAGACTAGAAGCAGCTTGACAGCCGGGCCCTGTCTGCTATTTCTTTGTGCCCTTCACCAAGTATAACACAGGATTGTGATCCTAAGGAATAAACAGGTGGTTCAGGGAGGAGGCCTGGGGGCACCTGTGGTGAGTCTACCCGCAAAGGCTGTGCTATGAATGGAGGCAGAGATAGTTCTGTCTTTTCCAATCTACTGCAAAGAGGCTGTTGGGGCTGTGTGCAGGTATCTGAATGATGAAATGGAATGTCCTTGATGGATAAGGAGCAATAACTATTGCAAGCACATGACTTGGATTGGGATCTTTTTTAAAAATGTTAATCTAGGCTGGGTGCGGTGGCTCACGCCTGTAATCCCAGCACTTTGGGAGGCCAAGGCGGGCAGATCACGAGGTCAGGAGATCGAGACCATCCTGGCCAACATGGTGAAACCCCGTCTCTACTAAAAATACAAAAATTAGCTAGGCGTGGTGGCAGGCACCTGAAGTCCCAGCTACTTGGGAGGCTGAGACAGGAGAATCGCCTGAACCCAGGAGGTGGAGGTTGCAGTGAGCCGAGATCGTGCCACTGCACTCCAGCCTGGCGACACAGTGAGATTCTGTCTCAAAATAAAAAATAAAAAATTGTTAACCTAAAGAACAAGGTAAGGGTGACTCGCTTTGTACCCTGGGGGCTTCTCCTTGGGCAACTGGTGGAGCATCATCCTGAAGGTTTCCTCGTCAGCCAGTTGTCCCACTCACATTCTCCCAGCATCCCAGCCTTACCTCCTGCACCCTCCCTGTTATTCTTCCTCCCTCCATGACAGTCCAAGGCATTTACACTTGGAGCCACCCACTCTGTGCGTAATTATAGGAAAGTATTTGTATCTTTTTCTCTAATGATTTAATGGTCTGTCTTCCCAACCACACTGTAAAACCCTGGAGGGCATAGAATATTGTCAATTGTATCTGTTTCTCGTGTGCTTCTTATTAGTACCCTGGAAGTGCTCAGTACATCATATGAGCCAGAGTGCTGGCCAGGAATGAGACCACGCTTTGCCTGTTGGTCACCGCATCTCCAGGGAACTCAGAGGCATCTCCAGGAAACACCTGAATATGTGAGCTGGTTCCTTACAACAGTCCAATGAAGCAGAGGTGTGAGCAGATCCTTTTTACAGCTAAGGAAACTGAGGCACAAAGAGGTTGACAGCACACTTGCCCCAAAGCGCAGGTAAGCAGCAAAGCCAGAATGCAAAGTTTGGTCTATCTTAAAAACCCATGCTCTAGACTGGGCACAGTGGCTCACACCTATAATCCCAGCACTTTGTCAGGCCAAGGTGGGCGGATCACAAGGTCAGGAGTTTGAGACCAGCCTGACCAACATGGTGAAACCCCGTCTCTACCACAAATACAAAAATTAGCCGGGCGTGGTGGCATGTGCTTGTAGTCCCAGCTACTTGGGAGGCTGAGGCAGGAGAATCACTTGAACCCAGGAGGCGGAGGTTGTAATGAGCCGAGATCGCGCCACTGCACTCCAGCCTGGGTGACAGAGTGAGACTCTGTCTCAAAACAAACAAACAAACCCGTGGTCTTAACAACTATGTTATTAGGCAACACTGAGGAAAAGCTGTGAGTTTACTGAGTGAGTAGTACTATGGTGTTATCCCAACTTAGCCAATTGAAGAACCGAGGCAGTCAGTGGTTAAGACAACCTGCCCACGTTGTTGCAGGCACCCGGGACCTGCTGGGAAGGTCTTGGATGGTAGATCTCTGCAGAGAGTGTGAACTGCCAAGGGCTGCTGGGTCTAGAAGAGAGGGCCTGGAAGGTGTTGGAGTCTCGGATGAACAGCTCTCTAGTAAGGGCAGACAAGATGATGGTAGAAAGACTTTAGGCTCTGAAGGGTGCCTCCGTCCTCTTTGTAGGTTTGCCCTTAAACCCAGTGTGACTCGGTGCAAACCTCCATTTCAGGTCTGTTTTCCTTTCTTCCTTCCCTTTTGCTCATCCTCGTGCAGAGCCCAGGGTATTTTTGGTGTTTTGTTTTTTCACTTTCCCTCCTGCACTGTGTGACTGCGGCAGAATGTTCCGGGAACATCTAGTTAGAGATCACTTCGTGTGCTCCAAGGCCTGGGGACATGCTGTCCTCCTGGCCAGGCGGCCGCCAGGAACTGTTAATATGGCAGCAGCACTGGCCTCCCGGGGCTAAGGAGGCACTGAATGGGCCTGGCTCAGTCCCTCAGGACTACCCTGGAGGCTCTGTAGGCAGACCAGACACCAGGGTTACGTGGGGACTGCAAAACCCAGAGCAGGGGCCAAAGCTGAGATGAAGGCCAAAGCTCTGCCTTCAGATTCCACTTCTTCCCCAGCCAAAGTCAGCCCTGGGCTTCTCCTCAGCCTTCAGAAACAGCCACTGAGGCTCGACCAACTCTGGTGGCCTAGAACGTCTCAATCTGGTCCTCCTTGCAAGTGGCACTCTGCAGACCCACCAAGCTGGCATTCAGAGCTGCATTCCCAATAGAGACACCTCTCATCTCTTGATATTTCTAACCTGCCAGGCACTGTGCCAAGTACTTCCTATATAAGATTGCCAGATAAGGCTGGATGTGCTGGTTCATGCCTGTAATCCCAGCACTTTGGGAGGCCGAGGTGGGCGGATCACCTGAGGTCAGGAGTTCGAGACCAGCCTGACCAACGTGGAGAAACCGTGTCTCTACTAAAAAATAAAAATCAGCCGGGCATGGTGGCACATGCCTGTAATCCCAGCTACTCAGGAGACTGAGGCAGGAGAATCTCTGGAACCCAGGAAGTGGAGGTTACAGCGAACTGAGATAGCACCATTGCACTCCAGCCTGGGCAACAAGAGCGAGACTCTCTCTCAAAAAAAAAAAAAAAAACAGTTGCCAGATAAGATTCAGGACGTCCGTTCAATTTGATTTTTTTTAGTGTAAGCATGTCCCATGCAATATCATGTCCTGTGCAATATCTGGAACACACATAACTATAGCCAATCACTGTTACTAACACAGCTTTTTTTTCCTCCTTAAGAGGTAACTTAGTCACAGAGCTTCCAAGCAACGGAGCCAGGATTTGAACCCACAGAATTCTGACTCCAGAGTCTATGCTACAACCACTGTGCTATGTGGCCTCAAGGGTAGCCATATGTCATGATTAAGCCTGAAGTCTCTGAAGTCAGCCTGAAGTAACCGAACCTCTCTGCCTGAGTTTCCTCCTCTGTAATAGGGACAACAGTAGTGTCTGCCTCGAAGAGATGAGGACTGAATGAGTTCATACAGGTCGAGGACTTAGAACTATGCCTCTGACTTCTCATGCGTGGGATGCAGCGAAGTTAAGTTGGATCCACAGAGGTTTGGGTGAGAACTGGGATTAGTACCCAGAGGTACTCGTTTCCTGGTCCGATACTTACTGCCTTGTTAAAGGCACCATGAGCCAATACTTTTGTGGGGGCAGATGAGAAGGTACAAACTGCCTCTCAGTGAGGGGAAACAGGTCACATCTTTTCCGTCTCCCTTTTCCCCCTGGGCATGGGCTGTGTCTTTGTGTGTACAGAGCTAAAATTTTAAATTTGAAATAACCCACTGGGCACAGGCACAGCCAATCAGAAGGGACGCCGGCCATAGTGCTGGAGTGGGGTTCGGATGGTCCCTCCCCAGAACCCAAGTATTAAGCCCTGTGATACTCAGGAGGTCTAGGGGAAGCGGGGCCCAGGCGGAGGGGCCAGGGCAGGAAGGAACCCTCAGGGAGCTCAGAGCAGTGGTTCTTTGTTAATCAGGACAGACACATTTCCTTTATTTTATCTTTTTTTTTTTTTTTTTTTTTTTTTTTTTCTGACGCTGGGTCTCACTCTTGTCACCCAGGCTGGAATGCAGTGGCGTGATCATGGCTCACTGCAATCTTGACTTCCTGGATTCGGGTGATCCTCCCACCTCAGCCTCCCAAGTAGCTGGGACTATAGGCACATGCCACCATGCCTGGCTAGTTTTTTAAAAATTTTTTGCAGAGTTGGGATTTCACCATGTTGCCCAGGCTGGTCTGAAACTCCTGGGCTCAAGCAATCCACCCTCCTCGGCCTCCCAAAGTGCTGAGATTACAGGTGTAAACCACCACACCTGGCAAGAGAGGGACATTTCAATATCTTGACAGCCAGCACAGCCATAACCATATGTGTTGGTGAACTTCAGACCCACGTATCAAGCTTCAGGAAATAGACTGTCTCCATCCACTAGAGAAAGAAAGGTTGAGGGATAATGTGTTTGAGCCACGCTTGGTTGAATCCCCTCTCACTATGGAACAGTGTGGCAGTCATAACTGTCTGTCATTAAACAGTCAGATAGGCAGGGGTCAGTTCCTGTCAATCGTAACAGGACTTCGCTGTCAAAATCTGATAAAAGGCTGGGAGCAGTGGCTCATGCCTATAATTCCAACACTTTGGGAGGCCAACGTGGGTGGACTGCTTGAGCTTAGGAGTTTGAGACCAGCCAGGGCAACATAGGAAGACCTTGTCTCTACCAAAAAAAAAAAAAAAAAAAATCAGCCAGTGTGGTGGCACATGCCTGTTGTCCCAGCTACTTAGGAGGCTGAGGTGGGAGGATCACTTGAGCCCAGGAGATCGAGGCTGCAGTGAGCTGTGATTGAGCTGCTGCACTCCAGCCTGGGTGACAAAGGGAGACCCTGTCTCAAAAAAAAAAAATCTGATACCATATCGTTAGCCCACGTTATGGTGATTTCAACAGGAAGAATACTTCTAAAACGTTTTTAGAAAAAGCCCTAGACTGGACATCAGGGGGCTTAGATGCTAGTCCAGTTATGTTCCTAACTGTGAGACGTTGAACAAGCCATTCTCTTTTTTCTTTCTTTCTTTTTTTTTTTTTTTTTTTTTTTGAGACAGATTCTCCCTCTGTCACCCAGGTTGGAATGCAGTGGTGCAAACTTGACTCACTGCAGCCTTCGCCTCCCGGGTTCAAGCGATTCTCCTGCCTCAGCCTCCCGGGTTGCTGGGATTATAGGTGCCCACCACCATGCCTGGCTAATTTTTTGTATTTTTAGCAGAGAAGGGGTTTCACCACATTGGCCAGGCTGGTCTCAAACTCCTAACCTCAAGTGATCTGCCCACCTTGGCCTCCCAAAGTGCTGGGATTACAGGCATGAGCCACCATGCCCAGCTGAACAAGCCATTCTCTAATTTTGGTTTGTGAAAAGAAAGAACTGGGGAATGGATTAGTCATGACTCATTTCGTTGCAAATGATAGACAATCAACTCAAACAGGCTAAAGCCCAAAACTGGACGTATCTGTTCACATAACTGAAAAGTTCAGAGATTATATTAGTTTCAGGTGTAGCTGGATCCAGGGGCTCAAAGAAAGTTTCCATGATTTGGCCTCATCCTCACACTTTCACAGTCAGTTATGCCCACTTTATATGGTGACTCCAGTAGCTTAGCCCGACATTATCCTTACAGCTAGCACCATCAGAAATAGACCTCCTCTATTCAATAGGTCCATCCAAAATATTATCTTTGGACTGATAGGAGTCATGTGTCCATCCTAAATGAATCACTAAGGCTGGAGGGATAGAATATGCCCATTGTCCAGGTCTGGGTTACATGTCCACCCTTTGGAGCCAGGAGCAGGTTAGCCCCATCCAAAGATCTGAGAGTACAAGAGCATTGGTCTCCCAAAGATGAATCAGGGTGCTGTGAGACAAGGAAGAGAGAAAGGATGCTGATGCTGGGACGCCATGGCAGGTGTCTACCACAACTGGCTCTCAGGTGGCTCCTAGTTCTAAAAATCTGTAATTTTGGAGAATAAAGTTCTCTGCTTTCTGTCCTTTGGTAGCTTACAAAGAGGACAATGTGGGGCAGAAGATAGTGTTCTCTTTTTGATTATTTACGTTTCTTTTTTGTTGTTTTTAAAAATTTATTTATTTTTAGTAGAGATGAGGTCTCACTATGTGGCCCGGGCTGGTCTTGAACTCCTGGACTCAAACAGTCTTCCCACCTCAGCCTTCCAAAGTGCTGGGATTACAGACATGAGCCATCATGTCCAGCCTACTGTTTTCTTATCTCACCTGTTTTTCCACTGTTGTGTGCCCCCTTGGGAAGGGAGTAAAACAAAGCATTGACCTTGTAAAAAGTCAAAAAAGGCCCCTCTTCAGTAGCATGGATGGAAGACATTCTGCATCTTCCTTCCCAAACAGTGTGGGTCTCCAGGCAAAGAATTAATCATTATAAATGGTGGGGGGGACGCACAGCATCAGCATCTATTGCCATCTGAGCAGCCCACATTGTCACTCATAGAGCAACAACATTTGCTCTTCTCCCTTCCCAGAAGCATTTACCCTAAAGAATCCTCTGGTCCTTAAATCAAGCTCCAGGCTGATTTGTATGCTGTAATGGTGATACACACCATCTGGTTACAACCAGGTCCCAATGCCAAATGGTGAACTTGTCTGAGAAAGTGCAGTTTTGTGAACAACAGTAGAAGGAAAAATGTGAATAAAGGGCAGTTTGCTGAACAGAGGTTAAATACTTTCATACGGCTCAGCTAACCCAAAAACTTCCCTGAATTCTCATTTTAAAAAAAATAATAATCTGATTTTTTAACCTCATTAAATGCTGCACTTTGAGAAGCAAGACAAGGACTGAGTTGAAAATTGGCACCTGGTTCAGGTCACTGAGCTGTAATTCTGTCTTTGCCTTGCCTGGTTTCTCTGTAGGGGAGGGCTCTGCAGAGTGACAGGAAATTGGGCAGGGGTTGAGATTTCCTAGAGCCTCTTCGAAGCCTTTTCCTCTCCCAGCCCCAATCCACAAAGCTGATTCTAGTTCCTTCCTCCATAACTCTCCACTGTGCCCAGGCCCATTCCTTTCCCCCACTGCCTTTGGGGGACAGGCCGCCATGTCGGTTCTTGAATCCTGGCTAAAACATTGAGAAGTCCTGAAGCAGTCCTTCTTTGGAAGCCATTGGCTTCTTTGGAAGTCCTTCTTTGGAAGCCATTGGCTTCCTTTCTTTCTGTCCCTTCCTCGCTTTCTCCTTTCCCTTCTGTGCTTCTACTATCGTTTTCTTCTATATGTCTATTTTCTTCCTAATTTTAGCAGCAGTACTGAAAATTCTAATAAGAAAACTTAGAAGCAACTTTTTGGAAGTAGTAATGTAATATACAAAAGACCATTGAATTGTATGATTTAAATGGGTGAACTGTGTGATTATATAAATTATATCTTAATAATTGTGTTAAAAAAAAAGAAGAAAATGTGAGAACTACAAGTGGGTAGTATAGGTAATTGAAGATGCATTTACCTAGCAGTATTCATTCATAAGACTAAGGAATCACTCACTACCCACATCCAAAAACGGGCTAAGTTGATGGAGATGGAGCGGTACATTCACTCGACTTGGAGTCACAGCTGTTCTTTTTCTTCCCTTCTAGAGGCCAAAATGGCAGATGAGTTTGAGGTTACGGCCAAAACTGGAGATTCTGTGTACAGAGTGTATTTATGTGGGTGGGAGTCCTTCCATCGCCGCATAAAGTTTCATCTCCTAAGCATCGCAGCGTTTGTAGTCTCAGAGGTTAAATTCGACTAACAATGGCTTCCTTTTCTGAGAACGACTTGGTTAAAAGGTGTATGACTCATATTTGTCAGGGACAATTTGCTTTTATCTGACTTTTTTCCTCATTGACGTCACTTCCTCCTCCTTTCCTTTTCTCAGAGGTAGCGTTGGGATTTGGCAACATGAATACAGCAATTTACAGGGAAGTCACACGTAGTCTCCCGTTTGGCTCCGGTGGCCATGCTTAGAGCTACTCTAGGTTACCCTAGGCCTTCATACACCACCTGCCCCAACTCACACACTCTCAGCTCTGCATAGGAAATTCGCCACTTTATGGCTTCGCATAAAAGTGCCATTCTGAATAAACGCAGAAGCAATCAAATGCTCTAGAGTTGTTGGGCTTAAATATCAGTCATGCTTCATCGCAGGCATGCAGGACCTGTTCCTTGTATGATATCGTCATATAAAGATTAAGGACCTTAGGGGCATCTTAATGAGGTGATAATGAGGAAAAAATGTTCTGGTTTTGGGGGGGAGCTGTAGTCTTTACTTTCATGTTCAAAATGGGTTTAATCTGACATTGAACTCCTTGTTATGCAGTATTAAGGAAGAGTGGGGCGGGAAATGAAGATGGGTACTAAGGTAAGGGTGTGTGTGTGTGGGGGGGGTAGGTGTGTGTAGGTGTGTATGGGGGTGTGTGTGCGTGCACGGGTGTGTGTG
This sequence comes from Homo sapiens, assembly GCF_000001405.40. Taxonomy (NCBI): domain Eukaryota; kingdom Metazoa; phylum Chordata; class Mammalia; order Primates; family Hominidae; genus Homo; species Homo sapiens. The sequence continues at coordinate 112,913,266 of NC_000010.11, forward strand.
TGTGTGTGTAGGTGTGTGTGTGTAGGTGTGTGTGGGGTGTGTGGGGGTGTGTATGTGTGTGTGAGGGGGTGTGTGTGGGTGTGTGTGGGGGTGTGTAGGTGTGTGTGAGGGGTGGGTGTGTGGGGGGTGTGGGGTTTTTGAGTGTGTGTGGATGTGGGTGTGTGTGGGTGTGTGTGTGTGAATGTGGGTGTGTGTGGGTGTGTGTGAATGTGTGTGTGTGTGGATGTGGGTGTGTGTAGGTGTGGGTGTGTGGCGGGTGTGTGTGTGTAGGCACACAGTGTGCTTGGGATTTTTTTTTGTTTTCAAGACAGGGTCTTGGTCTGTTGCCCAGGCTGGAGTGCAGTAGCATGATCTTGGCTCACTGCAACCTCTGCTTCCCAGGCTCAAACGATCCTCCTGCCTCAGTCCCCCCAGTAGCTGGGTCTATAGGCGCACACCACCACACCTGGCTAATTTTTTCTATTTTTGGTAAAGATGGGGTTTCATCATGTTGCCCAGGCTGGTCTTGAACTCCTGGGCTAAAGTGATCCACCCGCCTCACACTCCCAAAGTGTTAGGATTACAGGCGTGAGCCATTGCGCTGGGCTGGAACTTTCTTAATCTGCCTTTTATTGCTCTTGAACACCTGCCCATAATATGAGGCTCTCCCTTTTACAAGGACTACCCAAGTCCTAGGGCAGTAACTCCAAGGAGCTTCCTTCTCTAATATCCAGACCTCTTTATGTTCCCTTCCTCTGTATTTATGCCACTGTCTTTGCCGCATTGCACTATTATTGTTTTCACGTTATTTCCTAAGGTGCCCTTTGTTACTCTTGAAGACCTGCCATTATTTCAAAACCTTTTCTCTTTATATGAACCACTGTGGAGCAATAGGGTGAGGGAGCTTCCGACTTCGCCATACAGATGGTCTTTATTCTCCCTTCCTTCCTCCTTCTTTCTTTTCAGACAGTTGGAATAACCAGATAGTTGAGAACGTTCTTTGAAATGGGAAGTCACAAACTCTGTCCTTTGCTGAGTGACTTAACCCCTTTGGGGGAAAAAGATTTGTATAAAACCAAGGTGGCATTGTTATGACTATTGAATAACAATAGATGAGTTAAATCATTCATTCGTTTGTAACCTAAATATTCCCCTGGGGTTATGACAGGTTTCCTGTATATTTATGCGCAAAATTACATTTGCCCTGAATCTTCACCCCTTTGACTAAGAGGAGTCTAAAGTCTGTTTGTGTGTGATTCTCCTATTCCAAGAATTACAAAATGTTCTTAGTCATGTCCTCGTTTTTCTCCCTTGCCAGTTAATTCAGCCCACAATCAATTATCCGTCCATCCTTTCACCTATCTGTTCATCTGTCCATCCGTCTACTCATCCATTCATTCAACACATATTTATTGAGCATTTAAATGAGGCAGGTACTCAACTAGATGACTAGTGAGGGCTTTGGTGGTGAGTCTGAATATCTGCCCTCTGGGAGAATAGACAAAGAAGTAGACAAACATTACAATATGTGTTAAGTCCAGTACAGAGTGGACTGGGCACACAGAGAAGGGACAGCTGGCCAGAGTTAGGGACTCAGAAAAAGTACCCCTAAAGAAATGCTATCTAAGACCCAAGGGATAAGAAAAAGCAGGGAGGAGGCAGGGCGCAGTGGCTCACGCCTGTAATTCCAGCACTTTGGGAGGCTGAGGTGGTGGATCACTTGAGGTCAGGAGTTTGAGACCACCCTGCCCAGTATGGTGAAACCCCGTCTCTACTAAAAATACAAAAAATAGCGAGGCATAGTGGTGCATGCCTATAATCCCAGCTACTTGGGAGGCTGAGGCACGAGAATCGCTTGAACCAGACAGGTGGAGGTTGCAGTGGGCCAAGATCGTACCACTGCACTCCAGCCTGGGCTATAGGGCAAGACTCCGTCTCTCAAAGAAAGAAAAAAGAAAAGAAAAGAAAAGAAAAGAAAAAGCAGAGGGCAGGAGAGAAGGACTTTTTTTCTGAAAAATATCCAATGATGTATCTACTACTTTCCTAAGCAAACTAATTCATCTTGCTGATTCCCTGAGCCTCTCACATAATGATGGATTTTCATGTAGAAAGAGCAGAGATTTGGATTTAGTAGCTCAGGACAATTTTGCTTAAATTTTTCTGGGTGGAGGTTGCCTCATTTGTAATATGTGCAAGGTAATAATTCCTAACCTACAGAGTTGTTAGAAGAATTAGGTGTGTTACAGGCAAAGCCCCCAGCACATGAGAGACCTTCACATATGGTAGATCTTATTACCATGAAAAGCAAAAAAATATATCAGTGGTTCCTAAGGGTGAGGGTGGGGGAGGGCTAGTGGGGTGGGGACTCCCAGGAAGCTCTTTAAAAAAAAAAAAAAGTAAGGACAAATAAACAAACACACCCATGCTCCGTCGCGGGAGGTTCTGAGTCACTAGGTCTGGGGTGGGTCTCTAACATGTGAGCTCCGTAGGTGATTCTGATCTTAGCCCCGTAGGTGATTCTGGTCTTAGCCACGGTTGGGAAGTGCCGCTGTACCCTGCAAAGGCAAGGATCTATTTTCATTCATAGAGCTGCCATTTTAAGTACATTAAAACCACAACTAAAAGCACAGTAACCATGATTTAAAGTAACTATTAAACAGAGTTGGAAGGGCATGCTGATGGTCAGTAACCACCCTCCCTGGGTAATTGAGAAGGGACTTATGAATCAGTGAAAGTGGAACTGCAGAATTTCTCAGGCTCTTAGAAATGAGGCCTGTAAAAATGTCTGGCTGGAGTCAGAGTGGAATTTAGCTGTCATATTTCTCTTGACTGACCACTGTAACCCTTTGGTAATTGATCTAGTAAATTAGTAACTCATATCACACACAGCTTAAGCTTTCTAGAGTTCATGATTGCTTGCTGAAAATAGACATCTGGCCATAGAATTTCCAGCATAACTAGTAAAGAAAAATTCAGACAGACATTTGCTCGTGAAAAGTCTCAATATTTCAACCCACAGTCTGAAATTTCAGTTGTTCAGGGTGGAATTCTTGAGTATGTTTGTAAATGTTCCCCGAATGGAGAGTGTTCAAGCTGTTTGTCTCTTAGTCACTCGCTCACTGTAAGACAACACAACAGAGTTGACGTTTGAATTTGCCTAGAGCTTCAAGACAGTCACTATCTATGAATTGCTGGAAAAAAAAATCTCAGGAATAAGCAAGATTTGGTCTTCAGAGGTGGTTGTTTTAGAGATAGGATAAGAGGAGACTAAATATTCTTGGTTTGTCCTGAATCATGTCAGCAAAGAAAAAGCCTGGTATATAACTCTTTCCGAATATTACCCAAGGAACTTCCCAGAGAATCACCAGCCAGAGCTTATTAAACCAACCTGCAGGTTCCTGGGCACTCTTCCAACCTTTCTGTGTTTCTGGGGGTGAGGGCCAAGGCTCCCAGGTGATTTTTATAGTCATGACCACCTTATGAGAAGGTAAAAAATGAGGGTGGGCACTATGGCTCATGCCTGTAATTCCAGCACTTCGTGAGGCTGAGGCAGGAGGATTACTTGAGCCCAGGAGTTCGAAACCAGCCTGGGCAACAAAGCAAAACACCATCTCTCAAAAAAAAAGAAGAAGAAGAAGAAGAAGAAGAAAATTAGCCGGGCATGGTGGTGCATGCCTGTGGTCCCAGCTAATTGGGAGGCAGTGGTGGGAGGATACCTTGAGCCCAGGAGTTAGAGGCTACAGTGAGGCATGATCATGCCACTGAACTCCAGCCTGGGCAACAGAGTGAGACCCTGTCTCCAAAAAAAAAAAAAAAAAAAAAAAGTAAATAAATAAAAAGAGGGTGATAATGTATTTTTACTACACTTATTTTGCCACAATGGAATTTTATGTCTGCGCTTAGATTTTTTTTTAAAAAAAGAGTAAATTAAGAGCATGAGACTTGGAGTCACCCATTTCTGCTTTCTGTTCCTTTGCTAATTCTTTTTTTTTTTTTTTTGAGATGGGGTCTCACTCTGTTGCCCAGGCTGGAGTACAGTGACATGATCACAGCTCACTGTAGCCTCAAACTCCTGGGCTCAAGTGATTCTCCTGCCTCAGCCTCCCAAGTAGCTGGGATTACAGGTACACACCCACACCCAGCTAATTGTATTATTTTTTGTAGAGAGCGGGGTCTGTTGTCCAGGCTGGTCTCAAACTCTTGGGCTCATGTGATCCTTTCCCCTTGGCCTCCCAAAGTGCTGGGATTACAGGCATGAGCCACCATGCCCGGCACCCCCTTTACCCATTTTGAACTTTAGTTGCCTTCTCCATAAATGGCACTGATAAGGGGAGTTATCCTTCCCCCAACATTTCCTTAAAGACCAAATGAAAAAAAATGGGTATGAAAATACTTTGTAAACTAAAAATACACAGTTCTATCATTATAGTCATTTTATATATGAAGAATCTACAGTTTAGGATTCCCAGCTGACATTATTCCTGGAAAAATGTTAACCAGCCTCCTTAATTTGGCTGTTTTTACTTTTATTCAAAGAGAGGAGGGTGTTTCCATACACAATGAGCCATCTAGCCGTAAGCATAAATAAGGCAGTTCAGATGTTGCAAAGGAGACAGGGGTCATTAAGTCCTTAACATATCAATCCAGAATTGCATAATGCAAATCTAGAGCAGCTACCAAGGAACAGGAGAGGCTTAATGTGTTCCCCAAAGCGCATTATGTTATTCTACATCTAGGAAAGTGCTTAAGTCAGAGCTTTCTCCAACCAAAGCAATGTCCACTATCTGTGACGGCTTGCCTGCAGAGTTTTTTGTTGTTTTGTTTGTTTGTTTGTTTTTTGCCTGTTTCATGAAAAAAAAAAAAAAAAACTGGCTGTAGAACAAGCCAGCTTGATGCATTTTGTGACAGATCTCTGCTAATATTCTAATCTCTCAGGCCCCAGACATGAGTCCTCAAAAGAGATGGAAAGACTTTGTCCTAAATGTAGTTGATATATAAGAACCTTCCATTATTCGCCTTACCTTACCCATCTGAGCTTCAGTCTAAGAAAGGAGGTTGTCTCCTTCACAAGATGCATTCATTGGCATTTTCAATTGACAGAGATTGAGTAATGCATTAAGTAGTCCTGTATACAGCTGTTGATACTTAATCACCTGAGATCTCTTCAGTACTATTTATCTGGCATAATCTGATAGGTGCCCGTCCAATTATTTGCTTTGAATAGATCTATTTCTCAGGCTTAGGGGAAATAGCCATTGATGGTAGAACTCTTACAAGCCCCTACCTAGCCTCAGTAGCAAACAAGGAAAGGCTGGTGGAGAAGAGAGAACAGGAAGAGAGAAGTAGGACCCATGGCTTAGCCTCTATGGGAGATGAAATGACTCTCTGGACTGGAAAGAGGCCTTGCATTCATTCTGCTCATCCACTCATTCATTCATTTCATTCATCTGCTCAACAATATTTACTGCATGCCCCTCTGTGCCAGGCAGTGTCGTGGGCACAGGGGCTCTGTGCCCTCCTCAGATGAAAGTCACTTAGCACATTGCCATAACCTGGGTTTATAGCCATAGTATTTACAAGTTGGGGAAGTTTTCCTCTTGCTTTGTTTGGGAGGACAAAGAACTATAAGAAATACTGGGTTAAAGCAAAGGGGAGAAAATCCAGTTCCACCTGGCTCCTCCCTGAATGGGCTCCCACCCCTTTCTGGGGTAGGTGGAGCAGTCAGAGCCCCTAACCACTGGCTTGGAAAGAAAAATCCTGAAGTCATTTGATCCAGCTCTAAGAGGTGCATTCTACCAGGAACTAGAAGGCACCTTCCAGGGAGTTAACCCTTTTGATCGCAAGTACAAAATGCAAGACCTTCAAGGCACTAAGAGGATGCAATATATGAACTTGGAAAAGATGATGATGATGAAATGACAATGATGTGATGATGATGATGACAATGATGACGATAAATAGCTCCCATTTATTGAGCTTTTACTGGGTATCAGGTACTGAGCTATGTGCTTTATGTATTATTTCATTGCATCTTCACAACAGTATGAGGTAGATACACTGATTATCTTTATTTTACAGATAAGAAAGTTGAGTGTAAGAAAAGTTAGGAATTTTGTCCAAAGACACACAACTACTAGATGTCAGAGCTGGGCCAGTGTCTGTTTATCTTCCTTCTCTGTTCCTTTGATTCTGTTTGGGATTATAAAATAATGGGGGCTCACTTCTATGTAAAAAGTCCCATGTGGCTCCTATTCTATTTTGTATGTGTGTCTGTTGATCGAGGAGTTGTTTGCCTGGCATAGATGGCCCCTCTGATCTGATTCGACTTTCTTGGTCTTGGAAGTCCTCTGTTTTCATTTACTGTCTAGTAAGATGGGGAGGGGCACAAAAGAAATGTCAGTGTGAGGTTGCCTTTGGCCAGAGTCTTGAGGCCATCCAAGAACCAGCTACCTCTTTAGCCCCGAAGACCTAAGGACCGAAGATCCCGAAGAAGTAAGTGACATGGAGGAAAGAACAGATGATAACAAACGAGGAGACACAGGAAACACACCAGAGCCAAGGAGAGAGTGGAAATGGTCCTGAGTACGAGCACTACTCCTTTTGACATTCCTCAGTGGTGACCAAGCTTTGCTCTTTTAGAGCGGGAGGATCAGCTCTGTGGCTGAATCAGGCTGGGGACAGAAGTGAGTAATGCCTCCATAGGTTAAAACAAAACAAAACAAAATGATGACTCCTGATGAGGTTTTCGGGAGTTGCAGAACATGGCACAAACCTGGAATCAATGTCTTACTTTCTTTGAAAGGACGGTGTCCACCTGGATGTTTGCACATGGTTGTCTCTGTTCACAAATCTAACACAAGCTTTCCATGGTCCATCCTGTTTGAGGTGGAATGCAGTGTTTGCATCCTCAGTACCTGTTCAATATCTGGGACTGAGCAGACACTCCATAAATGTGTGCAGTTTATTTTATTTTGAGACAGAGTCTCATTCTGTCACCCAGGCTGGAGTGAGGTAGTGCAATTATGGCTCACTGCAGCCTTGACCTCCCAGGCTCAAGCAATCCTCCCACCTCAGCCTCTTGAGTAGTTAGGACTTCAGGCATACACCCAGCTAATATTTTAAAATTATTATTATTTTTTGCAGAGACAGCATCTCTCTATGTTGCCCAGGCTGGTTTTGAACTCCTGGGCTCAAGTGATCCTCCTGCCTTGGCCTCCCAAATTGCTGGGATTACAGGCCACTGCATCTGGCCATGTGTGTGGTTTAAATGAAGAGCATAGCACTTCTCTTTGGCAGAGACTGAGCTGAGGAGATAACAGAGCAGAACACAGGAGTACCTGTAGGGCAGGTGGCAATGGCCAGGCCACTGATTAGGCAGGTGGAGAAAGACTAAGTGGATGGTGTCTGTTGGAAAGTCCAATAGTATAGAAAAAAGTGTCAATGCAGAGACCACAGGTCTAGAGAATGAAGCCAGACTGTGAGCCTGAGGTCAAAGCAGGGAGCAGGCCAGAGATGGTGCTTGGGTGTCAAGGAAGGGCCCAAGCATTACAGTGTAGTGAGAAAAGTCTAGGCTTTGGAGTTAGGCAAACTGAGATTGAATTTTGCCTCTGCTTACTGGCCTCTCTGAGCTTTGGTTTAGTCTTTCCTAGCTGCAAAGTAGAGATAATAAAACCTACTAATTCTGGTTATGTATTGCTGTGTAACTATGTATCTCAAAATTTAATGACTTAAAACAACAGCCATGGTTTTATTTTATTTTGTTTTGTTTTGTTTTGTTTTTGAGATGGGGTATTGCTTTGTTGCCCAGGCTGGTCTCAAACTCCTGGGCTCAAAGCCATTATTTCTATATCTCACAATTCTAGGCAGGGCTCGCCTGGGAGATTCTTCCGTTCCATGTAGTATCAACGGATGTCACTTAGTGGTATTCAGCAGGCTGAGAGGCTGCTCTGGAGGGTTCAAGAGGGCATCACTCACAAGTCTGGAGCCTTAGTAGGGATGACTGGCAAGCTGGGCTCAGCTGGTACTGTCAATCAGCACACCTACACCATGACTACGTGGCATGGTGGTATTAAGGTAGCTGAACTTCCTATGTGACTCCAGAAAGCAAGGAGAAAGCAGCACAGTTTTGTTTTTTTTGTTTTGTTTTGTTTTTGTTTGTTTGTTTGTTTTGAGACAGAGTCTTGTTGTGTCACCCAGGCTGGAGTGTAATGGCATGATCTCGGCTCACTGCAACCTCCACCTCCCAGGTTCAAGTGATTCTTCTGCCTCAGCCTCCTGAGTAGTTGGAATTACAGATGCTTACCACCACGCCCGGCTAATTTTTGTATTTTTTAATAGAGACGGAGTTTCACCATGTTGACCAGGCTGGTCTCGAACTCCCAACCTCAGGTGATCCACCTGCCTCAGCCTCCCAAAGTGTGGGGCTTACAGGCGTGAGCCACTGTGCCCAGCTAGGCACAGCTTTTTATGAGCGAGCCTCTCACTGGACTCTGTTGGTGGATATATACACAGGACCAACGGGATCCAAGCAGAAGGGACATAAGCCCTACCTCTTGATGGAAAAAGCATTAAAGAATTTGCAGCCATGTTTTAAAATTGCTACACTGTCTTGTGACGATTGAGTAGACAGCGTTTAGCACAATGTCTGGCATGCAGTAGGTGCTCACAATGTTAGCATCTTTTCCTCATCTTATACCCGCAAGGAGAAGAAATGAAGTTTATGGTCTGGGATTTCACGCCAGAAGGTCCTGTATCAGTTAGGAAGTCTTAATCATAAGTAATAGAAAATATTCATAAGATGGCTTAAACAGGCCAGGCGTGGTGGCTCACACCTGTAACCCCAGCACTTTGGGAGGTCAAAGGGGGCGGATCACCTGAGGTCAGGAGTTTGAGACCAGCCTGGCCAACATGGGGAAACCCCATCTCTACTAAAAATACAAAATAAGCTGTGCATGGTGACGCGCGCCTGTAATCCCAGCTACCCGGGAGGGTGAGGCAGGAGAATTGCTCAAACCTGGGAGGCAGAGGTTGCAGTGAGCCAAGATCGTGCCACTGCACTCTAAGATGATATATTATCTCATATGACAAGAAGGTGGGAGTTAAGGCTGGACTGTGGCTCACACACCTGTAATCCCAGTGCTTTGGGAGGGTGGGGTGGGAGGATAGCTTGAGCCCAGGAAATCGAGGCTGCAGTGAGCTATGATCATGCCACTGCACTCCAGCTGGAGCAACAGAGCAAGACCCTGTCTGAAAAAAAATAAAGAAATAAGAAAAATAAGATTGGAGTTAGACTGATTCCATGGTTGGTAATTTAGCTGCCCAATCATATCTTCAAGGAATCAGGTTATTTCCCTCTTTTCATTTTGTTATCCTCAGTCTGTTTACTCATCCTCTTAGGTGAGATTCCCACCTAGGCCTAAGCTGGCCGCTGCAGTTCTGAGAGCCACATGAACATAGTAACATCCCTTAAGAAATCTATGTGAGTGCCAGGGTGGGGCTTTGGTGTTCCTTTTCATGAGCAATGAAAATGTTCTAAAAGGCTCCCCAGCAAACCTCCCCTTGCAACACATGGGTCCACATCCAAACCATTCATTTGTCAAGAAGAATGAGACCATCATGACTGGCTTAGATCCATCCAGATTTCAACCCTAGGGCCAGGGAGGAGTCCAACCTTCCTAAAAGGTTGTGATCACTTGGGGAAGGGGAACAAAGTCAGGATTCTATTACCGTGAAGATAGGAGAGAATTGCCATTGAGTAGACAGCCCACAGTGCCTCCCACAATCCCCACCATTGCTTACTCATCACACCGTTCATCCCGGACATGGCTTCACCATGTGTAGGGGGACTGAGCTTGGACATGGTCTTGGTGGGCATTAGGAGTCATTGTCTTGGAGATCGGTGATAGAGAATAGAGAATAAGGGAAAGAAGGTGCAAAGATAAGAATAGAAATCTAAATCCAAAGTATCTGGGACACTAAGTCAAAGCCAAGCCACCAGAATGAGGGCTTGAGAAGGCAAAGGTACAGCCATTTTGGAAATAGTACGGAGATAACTCAAAAAAACTAAAAAGCCACTGCCGGGCACGGTAGCTCATGCCTGTAATTCCAGCACTTTGGGAGGCCGAGGCAGGCAGATCACTTTAGGTCAGGAGTTTGAGACCAGCCTGGCCAACATGGCCAAACCCCAACTCTACTGAAAATTCAAAAAAAATAGCCAGGCGTGCTGGCGCACGCCTGTAACCTCAGCTTCTTGGGAGGCCAAGGCAGGAGAACTGCTTGAACTAGGGAGGAGGAAGTTGCAGTAAGCTGAGATCGTGCCACTGCACTCTGACCTGGGCAACAGAGCAAGAATCTGTCTCAAAACAAAAACAAAAACAAACCAAAAAACAAAAACAAAAAACACTAAAAAACTGAACTACCATTTGACCCAGCAATCCCACTTTGGGGTATATACCCAAAGGAATTAAAATCATTATGCTGAAGAGATATCTCCCCTGCCATGTTAATCAAATGTGGTATATAAACTCAGTGAAATACTATTCAGCTTTAAAAAAAACCTGGAAATTCTGTCATTTGTAGAAACATGGATGAACCTACAGGACACTATGTTAAATGAAATAAGCCAGGCACAGAATGACAAATACCACTTATGGATCTCAATTATATGCGGAATCTAAAAAAGTCAAACTCACAGAAATAGAGAGCAGAATGGTGGTTACCAGAGGCTGCGGCGGGGGTGAATGGAGAAAGAGAAGATGCTGGTCAACAGGTACAAAGCTTCAGTTAAGCAGGAGGGATAAGATCTGGTGTTCTATATACTGGATCGTGACTATAGCTACTAATAATGCACTGTAGGCCAGGCAAGATGGCTCACACCTGTAATCCTAGCACTTTGGGAGACCGAGACAGCAGATCACTTGAGGTGAGGAGTTCGAGACCAGCCCGGCCAACATGGTGAAACCCCATCTCTACTACAACTACAAAAAAAATTAGCCAGGCATGGTGGTGCATGCCTGTAGTCCCATCTACTCAGGAGCGCTGAGGCAGGAGAATCGCTTGAACCCAGGAGGTGGAGGCTAGAGTCAGCCGAGATTGTGCCACTGCACTCCAGCCTGGTTGACAGAGTGAGACTCCATCTCAAAAAAAAAAAAAAAAAAAAATGCATGGTGTATTTCAAAATAGCTAACAGAGAGGATTTTAAATGTTCTCACCACAAAGAAATGATAAATATTTGAGTTGATAGATATGCTAATTAGCCTGATTTGCTCATTCCACAATGTATATGTGTATCAAAACATCACATTGTACTTCATATGTGTGTGTGTGTGTGTGTGTGTGTGTGTATCAATTGAAAATAAAACTTAAAAAAAAAGGTAAAGGGACCAAATGCTAGGCTGATCTTTACTTTTAGCCATGTTTTAGCTATTCTGGGGGCTAGGACAGAACTGAGATTAGTATGTAGGTAGAGTTGAGCCTATAAGTAGGAGAAATTATCTCCACCTTGAGACAAGAGAAATGTTGAAGAATGAGCAAGCCTGGCCAGGTACAGTGGCTCATGCCTATAGTGCCAGCACTTTGGGAGGCTGAGGCAGATCACTTGAGAATCACCTGAGGCCAGGAGTTCCAGACCAGCCTGGGCAATATGGTAAGACCCCCATCTCTAAAAAAATTTTTTTAAATTAGCTGGAGGGTGGTGGCACACACCTGTAGTCCTAGCTAGTCAGGAGGCTGAGGGAAGAGGATCACTCGAGCCCAGGAGTTTGAGGCTGCAGTAACCTATGATTGTGCCACTGCACTCCAGCCTGGATAGCAAAGCAAGACCCTATCTTTGAAAAATGAAAAATAATTTTAAAAAATTAGGGGCCGGGCGCGGTGGCTCACGCCTATAATCCTAGCACTTTGGGAGGCTGAGGCGGGTGGATCACCTGAGGTCAGGAGTTCCAGACCAGCCTGGCCAACATAGCAAAACCCTGTCTCTACTAAAAATACTAAAATTAGCCAGGCATGGTGGCACGCACCTGTAATCCCAGCTACTCAGGAGGCTGAGACAGGAGAATATCTTGAACCCGGGAGGCAGAGGTTGCAGTGAGCCGAGATTGCACCACTGCACTCCAGTCTGGGTGACAGAGCAAGACTCCATCTCAAAGAAAAAAAAAAAATTAAGGCTGAGGCAAGCAGATTGCTTGAGCCCAGAAGTTTCAGACAAGCCTGGGCAACATGGCAAAACCCTGTCTCTACAAAAATACAAAAAAAAAAAAAAAAAAAGAAAAAGAAAAGACTGATCATGGTGGCTCTTTCCTGTAACCCCAGCATTTTGGGAGGCTGAGGAGGGTGGATCACTTGAGGTCAGGAGTTCGAGACCACCCTGGCCAACATAGTGAAACCCTGTCTCTACTAAAAATACAAAAATTAGCCAGCCATGGTGGTGTGCACCTGTAATCCCAGGTACTTGGGAAACTGAGGCAGGAGAATCACTCGAACCCAGGAGGTGGAGGTTGCAGTGAGCTGAGATCGCAGCACTGCACTCCAGTCTGGGAAACAGAGTGAGACTCCATCACCAAAAAAGAAAAAAGAAAAATTAGCCAGGCATGATGGTGCATGCCTGTAGTCCCAGCTACTCAGCCGGCTGAGGTGGGAGGATATCTTGAGCCCAGGAGGCAGAGGCTGCAGTGAGCCAAGACCACACCACTGTATTCCAGCCTGGGCGACACAGCAAGACTCTGTCTCAAAAAAAAAAAAAAAATATATATATATATATATATATATGTATATATGTATGTGTATATATATATGTGTATATATATATGTATATATATGTATATATGTATATGTATATATATGTATATATGTATATATATGTATATGTATATATATGTATATGTATATATATGTATATATGTATATATATGTATATATGTATATATATGTATATATGTATATATGTACATATGTATATATATGTATATATGTATATATGTATATATATGTGTGTATATATGTATATATGTATATATATGTGTATATATATATGTATATATACGTATATATATATATATATATATGTCATCCCAGCACTTTGGGAGGCTGAGGCAGGTGGATCACAAGATCAGGATATCGAGACTATCCTGGCTAACACAGTGAAACCCCGTCTCTACTAAAAATACTAAAAAAATTAGCCGGGCATGGTGGCACGCGCCTGTAGTCCCAGCTACTCGGGAGGCTGAGGCAGGAGAATGGCGTGAACCCAGGAGGTGGAGCTTGCAGTGAGCTGAGATCGTGCCACTGCACTCCAGCCTGGGTGACAGAGTGAGACTCCGTCTCAAAAAAAAAAAAAAAAAAAAATCAGAAGCCTGACTTTTTTGGCCCCATTCTCTCCCTTGGAAATGGACCCTAAAATCTATGGACAGCAGCTTTCTGAGTCTTTTGGGAGACTCTGAACTAAAGTGGTAAGAATCACTTCACTGGCCCGATTACCTGCTCCCACATTGCTCCTAGAATAAAGACCCAAATCCCTAACCCAGCCTCTGAGACTTTGTGTGGCCTAGCAGGGCCTCTAAGTATGATTGTGTAGGTGTGCCCTGCACAAGAACATTTGGCTGAGAGATGAATGAGGGCTGAAATCCAGTCCTCACTCCAGTAACCAAGCATAGGCCCCACATCTTTGTTTGCCTGGAGAGATTGCCTTTTCTAGAGTCACTGGGCTTGTAGCAAGTTCTGGATCCAGCTCTTGCTCCCTTTCCATTGCCAGGTCCCAGAGGTACTTGTGCCCTTTTCCACTGGCCTTCTCAGAGTTCCCCAGACATACTGTTATCTACAGCCACCAGAGCAAACCACGTCAGTACTGAGTGGCTTGAAAGGATGATATGATATTTATTTTGCTCACAGATCTGAAATCCAGGCAGCGCTCACTCCACTTGGCATCTGCTGCAGTGGCTCAGAGGCTGGGTCTGGAGTCATCTGAAGGCCCTTTCACTCTTGTGTCTGGAGGGCAATTGGCCCTTGCCAGCTGGGACTTTTCCACGTGGCTCCATGGGTGCCTCACAGCATGGTCCTGGGTCCCAAGAAGACGAGATAGAACATTTTTAGATTTAGCCTCAGAAGTCACATGGCATCACATCTGCAGTAGGCCCACTGGATTCAAGGGGACACAGACCTTCATCTCTCCATGGGTGAGTGTGGCCTCATGTTGCAGGAAGAGCTATGGAGTATCACAAAGTGATGCAGCCATCTTTAGAAAATGCACTCTGCCACACACACCTGCTTCCTTAGGCCACAGGGCCTTTGGACATCCTATTTCTTCCACAGGGAGCGCTCTTTCCCCTCTTCCCCTAATTAAAGTCTACTCATCTTTTACATCTCAGCTGGGTTATCATTTCTTCAGGGAACCCTTCCCTGAGCTCCCCAACCAGGTCAGTTCCCCTAGTTTATGCTTACTTATTCCTCCTCAAGGAGTGTCACAGTTATATTTTACATATGTGTGCATGCATATAATATATGCATGTAATTTTGTGCTCTTTTATACACACAAACACAGCATATCAATGCCTGTCTTAATTAGATGGTAAGCCTCATAAAAAGAGGAACTGTAGAGCTTGTTGGATTTTGTTCATTGCTCTATCCTCAATGCCTACTGTAAGGACTAGAATACAGCGGGTCTCATATATTTGTTGAATAAAAAAATGCATGGATACTCAAGGCTGGATTTTGGAGCTTCCTGGGCTGATGGCTGTGTTACCCCCGGGGCAGGATCCTTAAACCCAGGAAAAAGAGATTCAGAGGAAGATACTTCTGAGCTTGATGCTGGAATAGCAGCTGATCTCAACTTTGGGAGTTACATCAATGTTCATCTCAACAGAATGAATCCCTCCTGCCCAGCTCCCATGGACTTGCTTACAAATGCTAATGAGTTCATTTCATTTGTCTCTACCCAGCAACCCAGGTAGTACCAGCCTCCCAAAGGGAATTAGGGAAGACTTGGAATACTAGGAAAAATACAGGACTAATGAATAGTTTCCATGTGGGACCCAGCCCCGCCTCCAGCTCCTTTGTCAGAGGTGGCAGAGATCTTCAACCTGTTCTGACTTTGCACTCAGATTAACAAAACATGCACTGCTAGGGGCACATAGATTCTTTCACCAGGCAAAGGTGTTTGGGTTCAGCAAGCTTACACCCTAATTATAAAGGAGGAGAAAATGGGGCAGAGTCTGCAGTGGGGATGGGAAGGATTTTTAGGAAGGGCATGGATAAAGAAAAAAAAAGGTTAATAACCAAGTTTGCTGTGAAATTAAAACTTCATGACATATTTGTCCAGACCCTGCCGAACATTTGCAAACCTCTCTTTGGGAAGCAAGAGAGACACAGCCAACAGGGAGAAACTGCAGGGTGGGAACCAATTTCCTCCTAGATCTACTCTGGGGAAAATCTAGAAGCCCAGGACTGCCAGAGACCATCTTCATGTTCTCATTCATGTTCAGACCCCAGCTTTTGAGGGCCTAAAAGCAGCTCAGGCCTTGTTCCACCTTTCTCAGGGAAAATCTGTGCACCCTGTAAAAATATTAACTAATCCTACCTGAGCAGGAGTTTTTTTTTTTTTTTTTTTTTTTGAAGTGGAGTCTTGCTCTGTTGCCCAGGCTTGAGTGCAATGGCATGATCTTGCCTCACTGCTACCTTTACCTCCTGGGTTCAAGCAATTCTCCTGCCTCAGCCTTCTGAGTAGCTGGGATTCCAGGCGTGCACCACCACACTTAGATAATTTTTTTGTATTTTTATTAGAGATGGGATTTCATCATGTTGGCCAAGTTGGTCTCAAACTCCTGACCTGAAATGATGTGCCTTGGCCTCCCAAAATGCTGGGATTACAGGCGTAAGCCACTGCACCCGGCAAGAGCAGGAGTTCTTAACGTTTTTGTGTGTCATGGTCCCCTCTGACCATCTAGTGAAGGATATGGACATTTTCTCAGGCTCCATATTTTGTTTTAAATGCATTAAATACAATATATAGGATTGATTGCAGATTTCTGCTACTGACCAAGATGGAGTAATAGAGATCAGAGTTACCCTACCTGAAAAAGCCAGGTGAAGTATATGCAACAACAGTTTTCAAAACATTGACAATTGGGTAACATAGGGCAGTTGATCCCCAAGGGATGAGAAATAAACGAGGTGACCACTATGACATTGCCCAGCTTGGGGACATAGGAGAGTGTCTCAACTGTGGCACAAAGATGAGGAGCTCATGGTGTCGCTGGGCTGAGAAGGAAAAGCTAGGAGAGAGGGGAGGCCAAGGTGGTGGGAGTTTGCAAAATATCAAAGAGGAGAGAATTTCACAGAGAGAACTCTTGAAATCTGGAGAGGGTCTCCCTGGAGTCTTCAGCTAAGTCCTGATTAGCACATGTGCATGAAGAAACTATGCGAGACCAGAAAAAGAACCAGCAAAAGGAACAGAGAGAACTCACATAGGGTCAGGTATAGTTCCTGTTCTCATCAATCAGAGTAGAAAACCTCATAATCCACAGGGCATAAGGTAGAGTACTCTGAATAATTTTGTCTCAGTAGTTGGAAAAATTTAGGTTGAAACTAACTGCTGCTCTGTTCTCACCCAACAAGGCTTGAAAACAAGACTGAAAAAATCAGACTGATTCTAAGTAACTTAACCATGCCCCAGAATAAAGCTCAAGAATAATTAGAGTATTTGTGAAAATACAGAAAATATCCAGCACTCAAAAAGGTAAAATTCACGATGTCTGATGTGTGATAACTATCAGGCATGCAAAGAATTAGGGAAAGACAACCAATAGTGAGTATAAAAATTACTCAATCAAAACTGAATCAGAAATGATGCAGAGGACAGAATTAGCAGACAGGAACAATGGAAGTTATATTCAAGAAGCTAGAGGAACAATTAAGCATATTAAGTAGAGACATCAAAGATATTTTTAAAAATCTTAATAAGAATTCTAAAGATGAAAACTATAATGTCTAAGATGTAAAGTACATTAGATCAGATTAACAGCAGATTACACACTGCAGAGAATGATTAATGAACTTACAAACGTAATAGAAACTAAAGTAAAACACAAAGGAAAAAAGACTTATAAAAAATATACAAGAATCATTGAGCTATAGGAAAACTTCAAGTAGCCCAATACATGTGTAACTAGAGTCTTCAAATGATAAAGTATTTGAAGAAATAATGTTCAAAAACTTTTCCTATTTGATGGAAAATATGAACTCAAAGATCCAAGAAGCAGGCCAGGAGCAGTGGCTCATGCCTCTAATCCCAGCACTTTGGGAGGCTGAGGCAGGTGGATCGCTTGAGTTCAGGAGTTCAAGACCAGCCTGGGCAACATGGTGAGACCCCATCTCTACTAAAAATGCAAAAAAAATAGCCAGGTGTGGTGATGTGTGCCTGTGGTCCCAGCTATTTGGGAGGCTGAGGTGAGAAGATCCCTTGAGCCTGGGAGGCGGAGGTTGCGGTGAGCTGAGATGGCACCACTGCACTCCAGCTTGGATGATAGAGAAAGACCCTGTCTCAGAAAAACAAACCAAAAAATATCCAAGAAGCTCAATAAATCCCAAGCACACACACTCGAAATAAATAAAATTACAGTGAGGCATATCTTAATAGAATTGCCTAAAACTGGTAATAAAGAGAAAATTTTTCAAGAAGCATTGTTTCTATGCACATAGACACAAAGATAAGAATAACAGTAGAATTCTTGTTAGAAACAATGCAAACCAGAAGACAGTGAAGCAAAATCTTTAAAGAACTGAAAGAAAAAAAAAACCCCAACACTGATAAGTTAGAATTTTATAGTTAGCAAAAAGATCTTTCAAAAATGAAAGCAAATAACCAAAGACGGCAAATAAGCATATGAAAAGATGTTCAACATCATATAAAACTAGGGAATTGCAGTTTAAAAGGAATAACGAGATACTACTATACGTCTATTAGAATGGTTGAAATCCAAAAATACTGAAAATATCAAATGCTGACAAGGACGTGGCATAACAGGGACTCTCGTTCATTGTTGGTACTGGATGGGAGCCATTTTGGAAGACAGTTTAGCACTTTGGAAGGCAATTCTTACAAAACTAATCATAACTCTTACCATGTGATCCAGCAACCATACTCCCTGGTATTTATCCAAATAAGCTGAAAATTTTGTCCACATAAAAACCTGCACACAAATGTTTATAGCAGCTTTGATCATACTTACCAAACCGTGGAAGCAACCAAGATGCTCTTTAGTAGATGAATGGATAAATAAACTGTGGTACATCCAGACAATGGAATATTATTCAGCACTAAAAAGAAAAGAGCTGCCAAGCCATAAAAAGACATGGAGAAAACTTAAATGTAAATTACGAAGTGAAAGAAGCCAATGTGAAAAAGATATGTGCTATAAGAATCCAACCTTATGACCATCTGGAAAAGGCAGAACTATAAAGACAGTAAAAAGATTAGTGGTTGCCAGGTGTTGGGGGAGAGGGAAGGATAAATAGGCAGAGCACAGAGGATTTTTAGGGAAGTGAAATTATTCTATGTAAAATGATAATGGTGAATACATGCTATTGTACATTTGTCAAAACTCATAGAATGAACAAGAGTAGACCCTAATGAGAATGATGAAATTTGAGTGGTAATGATGTGTCAATGTATGTTCATCAATTATAACAAATACGCAACTCTGGTGCAGGATGTTGATAGTGGGAGAGGCTGTGCATGTGTTGAGGCAGGAGAACATATGGGAAATATCTGTACCTTCTGCTCAATTTTGATGTGAACCTAAAACTGCTCTAAAGAATAAAGTCGGCCGGGTGCAGTGGCTCAAGCCTGTAATCCAGCACTTTGGGAGGCCCAGGTGGGCGGATCACGAGGTCAGGAGATCGAGACCATCCTGGCTAACACAGTGAAACCCCGTCTCTACTAAAAATACAAAAAAATTAGCCAGGGTGTGGTGGCACGTGCCTGTAATCCCAGCTACTCAGGAGGCTGAGGCAGGAAAATCGCTTGAACCCGGGAGGCAAAGGTTGCAGTGAGCTGAGATCGCACCACTGCACTCCAGCCTGGGCAACAGAGTGAAACTCCATCTCAAACAAACAAACAAGCAAAGAATAAAGTCTATCTTTTTAAAATGAAAGTGAAATAAACACTTTATCAGACATAAAAAATTTGAAAGAATTCATCACCAGCAGATCCATACTACAAGAAATGTTAAGGGAAATTCTTCAGGCAGAAGGAAAATTGCATCGGTTGGAAATCCAGATCTACATGAAGGAATAAAGAGTATCAGAAACATTAATTACATGGGTAAATATCTGACTTTTTCCTTATTATGTAAATCTATGTAAAAGATATTTGACTGTTTAAAGCAAAATTAACAATGTATTATAGGGTTTATAAGATACGTGGTGGTAAAATGTGTGGCAATAATGACACAGAGACTGGGTGAGGATAAATGGAAGTATGTGATTGTAAGTTTCTCATACTGTATGTAGAAAGGTATAATATCATTTGAAGGTAGACAGTGATAAGTTAAAGATATATACCATCAACCCTAAAGCAATCATCAAAATAACAAAACAAAGAGTTATAGCTATAACCCAACAAAGATGATAAAATGACATCATAAAAATGTTCAGTTCATTCAAAAGAAGGTAAAAAAGAGGGGAAAAAAACCCCAAAGAACAGAAATAACAAATAGAAAATAAATGGCAAGACGATATATTTAAACCCAGCTATAGCAATACTCACATTAATGTAAATGGTCTGAACATTTCAATTGGCCGGGTGCGGTGGCTCACGCCTGTAGTCCCAGAACTTTGGGAGGACAAAGGGGGCAGATCACTTGAGGCCAGGAGTTCAAGACAAGCCTGGTCAGCATGGTGAAACCCTGTCTCTACTAAAAATACAAAAATTAGTCAGGTGTGGTGGCACACGCCTGTAGTCCCAGCTACTTGGGAGACAGAGGCACGAGAATCACTTGCACCAGGGAGGCGAAGGTTGCAGTGAGCCGAGATAATGCCACTTCACTCCAGCTTGGGCGACAGAACAAAACTCTGTCTCAAGAAAAAAAAGAAAAAAAAAAGCAGTTAAAAATAATTAATTTAAAAAACCCACAGGATTAGCCCAATTACATTGAAATGCAGCTATCAAAATATTTTTTAAAAATAAATTTGCAGCCAGGCGCAGTGGCTCACTCCTGTAATCCCAGCACTTTGGGAAGCTGAGGTGGGAGGATCACCTGAGGTCAGGAGTTTGAGACCAGCATGGCCAACATGGCGAAACCCCGTTTCTACTAAAAATACAAAAATTAGCTGGGCGTGGTGGTACAGACCTGTAATCTCAGCTACTTGGGAGGCTGAGGCAAGAGAATCACTTGAACTCGGGAGGTAGAGGTTGCAGTGAGCCGAAATCACACCACTGCACTCCAGCCTGGGTGACAGAGCCAGATTCTGTCTCGAGAAAAAAAGAAAGAAAGAAAGAAAGAAATGAAGTAGGCCAGAGTTAAGTAGAGCCTGGAGCTACTAGGAACCCTGGGGTAGTTAAGTAGAGGCTGGAGCTGCTACGGACCCTGGGGCCTCCTGCAATGCCTAGATCCCTTGTCTTGTGGAAGTTGCAATGGGTCTGGTGGGACAACAGCCATCAATGCTGGTGGTCAGTATTGGAGGCTGGGGCTCCCTAGGGAGGGTGGAGTGTTCTACGTTGAGAAGGACCAGGGTAGGAAGAGCCAGAATGAACTCTAATCCCCAAGAGAGTCTGGGTCCAGTGGGAAATCACGACTACTTGATATGTCCCAATAAAAAGAGCCTGCCTGGGCCAACAGAAGGGGCCAGAAACCAGGAACGGGGGTTCTGGGTGATTACTAGGGATGGAGTGAAAGAGCCCTCAAGAGCCCAAGGGTAAGGATAGTGGGTTGGGTTTGTTTGTTTTTTTTCTTTTTTTTTTCTTTTTTTTGGTCTAGCTTCTGGAACAGCACTAAAAGTCTCCAGATGACAGATATTGGAAATTGTAGGTGAGGTTGCAACCTTTACATCACCTTCCCCAGACTAAGGAATTAGTAGCTGGATGTTAGCAATGTGATTGATGATTCATTGGAAGAGCTAGTGAGGCCAGCAAAGCAGAACAGTTATGATACAATCAGGTATCATAAAAGTCATTCATAGTTTATAACTTGTCCTGTTACTGACATTTTAGCTGCCCCAGGGATTTTCGAGTCACTCCAGGTGACTAGACAATGCATCTTTTCCACCACGGACTTGGCTGGAATGTAGGCTCTTACTTGGCTCAGGGACCTGCTACTCACATAGGAGCCAGATTTCAGCCTCTCCCTGTGAACCTTCAGAGATTCCCCAAAGGAGTAATACTGTGAGCATGCTCCCACCTCCCTAGCCAGACTCTGGGGGACAGGCACCAAGTACCAGCCTGAAAAGCAAATCTGCGGTAGACCTTGCTTCTAAGGCAAGGGACTTTGAAAAGATGCTATGGATGTTGGCAGGAGCCTCACATGGATCTGGGCAGACCACAGGGTGTAAGGTATTAGACTGCGTGCTCTGAGTGAATGACTGCCATGCCAAGTTCAAGTTTTAAATTCTTAGCATCTAGTACAATACCTTGGCACATATGAAGATGCTTTGTAATTCTTTTTAAATTGAACTGAACTATCTAATGGTGATATTAGTGAATGTGAACATAGATTCTGTAGAATTGTGAAGCTGGGAAATAATTTAAATATTAATTGGGAAGTACATACCATAGACAAAAAAAAAATGTCCAGTGGATCTAAATGTGAAAGATAAAACAAAATTCTTCTAGAAGGCAACATATGGGAATATGTTTATGCCCTTGGGGTAGGTAATGATTTCTCACATAACACATATACTCACAAAAGCAATAACCATAAAGGTTACTAATATTAAAAACCTCTGGGCCAGGCGCAGTGGCTCATGCCTGTAATCCCAGAACTTTGTGAAGTTGAGGGGGGTGGATCACTTGAGGTCAGGAGTTCGAGACCAGCCTGGCCAACATGGTGAAACCCTGTCTCTACTAAAAATGCAAAAATTAGCTGGGCATGGTGGCCGTGCCTGTAGTCCCAGCTACTCGGGAGGCTAAGGATGGAGAATCACTTGAACCCGGGAGACAGAGGTTGCAGTGAGCTGAGATCGTGCCATTGCACTCTAGGCTAGGCGACAGAGTGAAACCCCGTCTCAAAAACAAACAAACAAAAAAACAAACCCAAAAAACTTCTGTTCATCAAAATGCACCATTATGAGAATGAGAAGGCAAGCAATAGAGAAGGTATTTATAAAACCTATGTCTGATAAAGGACTCATATGTAGACTATGTAAAGAATTCTTATAAATCAATAGGAAAGAGATGGACCACCTATTTTTTAAAATGGACGAAAGACTTGAACAGGCATTTCACTAAAGAGGATATCTAAATAGCCAATATGTGTGTGAAAAGATGCTCAACATCATTAGTTAACAAGGAAATGCAGATTAAAACCAATGATATACCACCGTACACTCACCATAAAAGGGGAAAAACTGACCATATCAAGTACAGCAATTGCATCTCTCTGTACATTCTTGTATAACTGGTTCAACAATTTTTGAAGAATTTTGGTACTATCTATTAAAGTGAGCTTATTGTCACATTCCAGATGTCACAATGCATTCGTATATGAACATGTGCAAGAATATTCATAGCAACCCTGTTTATCTTGGCTAAAACCAACCTAATGTTTAAGCTACAGAAGACAGGATAAGTACATTTATCTTCATTGTACATGCATTTGTGCATAAAAACACATATATGTACACACACGTATATTTACAATGTACAAGTAATAAATGTATATTCATTGTATGTTATAAATTTATATAAACATTGTACACAATGGAATACTATACAGTGAAGAAAAAGACTACTGCTACATTGTTGCATCTCACAGATAAAATGTTAAGTAAAAGAAGCTGGAATGTTTTGTGTTAGTAGAGATGGGGTTTCATCGTGTAGCACCACTGCACTCCAGACTGGGAGACAGAGCAAGGCTCTGAGGAAATTGACACTCTGAGACACACTTTGAGACTCTGTCTCAAAAAAAAAAAAAAAAAAAAAAGAAGCTGGAATCTGGAATCAAAAGAGCATGTACTGTATGATTCCATTTATACAATACACAAGAACAGGTCAAACTAATCTAGACTTATAAAAGTCAGAATAGGCCGGGTGCGGTGGCTCACGCCTGTAATCCCAGCACTTCGGGAGGCCAAGGCGAGCAGATTACCTGAGGTCAGGAGTTCAAGACCAGCCTGGCCAAGATGGTGAAACCCTATCTCTACTAAAAATACAAAACATTAGCTGGGCATGGTGGTGGGCACCTGTAATCCCAGCTACTCGGGAGGCTGAGGCAGGAGAATTGCTTGAACCCGGGAGGTGGAGGTTGCAGCGAGCTGAGATCGCACCATTGCGTTCCAGCCTGGGCAACAAGAGCGAAAGTCTGTCTCAAAAAAAAAAAAAAAAAAAAAAAAAGAGTCAAAATAATGGTTACTTTTTGGGTAGGACTGCCAGATATAAATACAGGCCACCCAGTTAAATTTGAATTTCAGAAAAACAGCAAATAATTTTTTAGTATAAATATGTTTCATGTAATATTTTTATTTGCTAAATCTGGCAACCTTATTTTGGGAGAATATCTATTTGGAGGGTATGCAAGGATTGTTTATGTGGTTCTGGTAATATTCTAGATGGTAAGTTGCATGGGCGTTTGCATTTGTAAACATTCATAAGGTGAATATTTTATTTATTTTTTTTTTTTGAGACGGAGTCTCGCTTTGTCACCCTGGCTGGAGTGCAGTGGCACGATCTCAGCCCACTGCAAGCTCCGCCTCCTGGGTCACGCCATTCTCCTGCCTCAGCCTCCGGAGTAGCTGGGACTACAGGCACTCACCACCATGCCCGGCTAATTTTTTTGTATTTTTAGTAGAGATGGGGTTTCACCGTGTTAGCCAGGATGGTCTCAATCTGCTGACCTCGTGATCTGCCCGTCTTGGCCTCCCAAAGTGCTGGCATTACAGGCATGAGCCACTGTGCCCTGCCGAATATTTAAAATTTTTGCAGTTTATGATATGAATGTTATACTCTAACAAAAATGTATTTTTATTATTATTATTATTATTATCATTATCATTATTATTTTGAGATGGAGTTTTGCTTTGTTGCCCAGGCTGGAGTGCAGTAGCGTGATCTCAGCTCACTGCAACGTCTGCCTCCTGGGTTCAAGTGATTCTCCTGTCTCAGCTTCCCGAGTAGCTGGGACCACAGGTGTGTGCCACCACGCCCAGCTAATTTTTGTATTTTTAGAAGAGACAAGGTTTCGTCATGTTGGCCAGGCTGGTCTCAAACTCCTGACCTCAAGTGATCCACTTGCCTCGGCCTCCCAAAGTGCTGAGATTACAGGCGTGAGCTCCCACACCTGGCCTAACAAAAATGTTTTTAAAATTAAAAGAGAGGTAGAGCAATATAGGAAGAGTCAAGAATCCTGGGTTCAAATCCCAGCTTTTACTGACTAGAGTGAGTTTGGTCAAGCTTTTCGAGGTCTCAGTTTTTTCATCTGTAAGATGGAAACAGTTTTAACAAGAGATACTTCTACTAACTCCATTTTATGTAAGAGAAAATGGAAGTGTGCCTTCTGCTTTGCTACTGGAAAGTGCTTCTTAAATTGTAAAAGATTCAACAAATCTAAGACGTTACGTATGATTATTTAGGACAGAAGATTTTAATACAAAGTCTAGGGATTATTTGCAAAAATTTAAATGTCAGTGCATTTTCCTGGTGAGACAGCCTAAATCTAGCTTTGGATTCTCAAAGGGGTTTCTGACAACCTTCCCTACAAGTTGAAAAGTTAGGGCCGGGCACGTTGGCTCACGCCTGTAATCCCAGCACTTTGGGAGGCCAAGGCGGGTGGATCACCTGATGTCAGGAGTTTGAAACCGGCCTGGCCAACACAGTGAAACCCAGTCTCTACTAAAAATACAAAAATTAGCTGGGTGTGGTAGCGTGCACCTGTAATCCCAGCTACTTGGGAGGCTGAGGTGAGAGAATCTCTTGAACCCGGGGTGGACGTTGCAGTGAGCTGAGATTGTGCCACTGCACTCCAACCTGGGCAACAAGAGCGAAACTCCATCCCTACATAAATACATAAATAAATAAAAGTTAGAAGACCCTTGGTCGGAAGAAGACCATCCATCCCAGAGTAAGCAGTAATAGCCTTGACTGGACTACTGTGACCTGGAGTTCCTTTCTTCCCCTTTGTCCTAGCCTTCCTTCTTTCCTTCCTTTTCATTGCAAAGCAGGCCGCATTGGGAAGCCACCATTCAGTTGCCTCCCTTTTGTAAGCAGGGTCTAGGGGTGGAGGATGGCAGGCCTTCCTCACCGGGAGCTATGCTCTTGCTTAATTAGTGTTTGCCAAGGGCTGCAGATTATTAAATTACTAGTCAATTGTGATGAAGCCTTGGGGGCTTTCGAAATCTATGTGCTGCCCTAACTGGATGGGAGGGACTTGCCTGAAGGGACAGGGAGAGGAGGGTGTTTGGAGTCGCTCTTTTGGTGGGGCTGCCCCTCCCAGTGGATAGCACCACAAAGAGATCCCAAAGGGTCTTTGCTGCTACTGTCCAGATTATCTTTGGGGCCTGAAAGCCACCATTAGGGATGTGTTTGATTTGAGTTTAGGCACCTTTCCTTTGTATAAAGCAGCTGTTCTTGAGAGGATTAACTGGGAGGGATAGGATAACAGTGATAAGAGCTAAGGTCTACTGGGCTCTCCCAAGGAGCCAGAACTATGCTAAATGCTGGTATTCCATCCCCATCTGGAGAGGGGAGGCAAGAAAGGGAAACTGCCCCATTGAAAGACGTAGAAATCAAGGCAACTCTACATGTTATTTCACTGAATCCTCGTAATAACACTCACATGTAGATATTCCAACCCTGTTTTACAGATAAGGGAAGAGAGTCAGAGTGATTTATGGAGGGGCCCAAGGTCACGCATCCACACAGGGCAAGATCCACACGATCCAAGATTTCAGTCCTGCTGCTGAGGCCAAGAGGCTCCCCCGAGCAGGGCATGGGTTCTCAACAGGACTGTGGGGGCTGGGGAGAGTCACAGTTGGAAAAAACTTCCCAGGCCATTCTAATACAGCCCCTGGTTGGCTGGGGGAGTTGGGATTGGGGAGAAGGGATTGTGGCATCCCCCTAACCAGTTAGAGAACTGATTTACTAAAGTGAATCTAAAGTATATCACATTTCTAAGGCGGGACACAGTGGCTCATGCCCATAATCCCAGCACTTTAGGAGGCTGAAGTGGGTGGATTACTTGAGGCCGGGAATTGGAGACCAGCCTGGCCAACATGGTGAAACTCTGTCTCTACTAAAAATACAAAAATTAGCCAGACATGGTGGTACACACCTGTCCCAGCTACTTGGGAGGCTGAGGCAGGAGAACTACTTGAACCCAGGAGGCAGAGGCTGCAGTGAACCAAGATCGCACCACTGCACTTCAGCTTGGGAGATGGAGCAAGACTCGGTGTCAAAAATAAATAAATAAATAAATAAATAAATAAATAAATAAATAAATAAATTGCGGTGGCTCACCCCTGTAATCCTAGCACTTTGGGAGGCCGAGGCGGGTGGATCACTTGGGGTCAGGAGTTCGTGACCAGCCTGGCCAACATGATGAAACCCCATCTCTACTAAAAATACAAAAATTAGGTGGGCATGGTGGCACGTGCCTGTAGTCCCAGCTACTCAGGAGGCTGAGGCAGGAGAATTGCTGGAATCCAGGAGGTAGAGGTTGCAGTGAGCTGAGACTGTGCCACTGCACTCCAGCCTGGGTGACAGAGGGAGACTTCGTCTTGAAAGAAAGGAAGGAAGGAAGGAAGGGGAAAGAAAGAAAGAGAAAGAGAATGAGAAAGAAAGAAAGAAAGAGGAAGGAAGGAAGGAGAAAGAAAGAAAGAGAAAGGAAGGAAGGAGAAAGAAAGAGAGAGAGAAAGAAAGAAAGAAAGAAAGAAAGAAAGAAAGAAAGAAAGAAAGAAAGAAAGAAAGAAAAAGAAAATAACATTTCTTCCAGAGAGGGGATTCCATGTAGAGCAGTGGTTCTCTAAGTGAGGATGATTTTATACTCTCCCTCCCCACCCACCATTCCTCCCCGCTCCCCTCCCCCCACAACCTGCTGGGGATGTGTGACAATTTCTGGAGACATCTGTTATGATCACAACCCCTGGGGGAGTGAGGAGGGTCTGGCAACTAGTGGGCAGAAACTAAGAGTGCTGTCCAATACCTAACACGCATAGGACAGCCCCTGACAACAAAAACTTATTCAGTCCAAAACATCAATAGCGCTAAGCTTGAGAAACCCTGGGGGAGAGTAAAGGGTGCTGTTTTGGGGTGGGGGGTGAGGAAGGGGCAAAGCTGGGGAGAGAGCTCTGGAGATCCCACAAAAAAGCCTAAGTAGGGGAGGAATGGATGGACAAATGTTAACTTCACAGCGTAGCCGGGTGTGAGTTTTGCTTTAAAGAAATCTATTTATATTTTGCCAAGATCCCCTTTATACTCCCAGGGTGTCACAGAAAATCGTGAGGATGAGTCTGTCATTGGGTTGACCAGAATCCAGGAGCAAAAAAAAGATCTGGACTGGGAGACAGGAAACCTGCATTCCAGTCCTGGTCTGGCCACTTACCAACTATGGGACACTGGGCCACCCTGGATCTCTTGGAGTCTCAGTTTCTTTTCCTGTAAAATGGGGGTAATTATATTTGTTCTCTCTACCTCACAAGGTGTTTTAAGCAGCAAGCAGGACAATCTATAAGAAACGGCTTTTGGAAGGACAATCCCTGTTAGGCTGTTCTTGTGCTGCGGTAAGGAGATACCTGAGACTGGGCAATTTATAAAGAAAAGGGGCTTACTTGGCTCAGAGTTCTTCAGGGTATACAGAAAGCGCAGCACTGACATTGCTGGGCTTCTGGAAAGGTTGCAGGGAGCTTTTGATGATCATGGCGGAAGGCAAAGGGGGAGCAGGGATGTCACATGGTGAAAGCAAGAGCAAGCGAAAGAGAGTGAATGGGAGGGGGGTGCCACACGCTTTTTAATGACCAGATCTCACTCACTATGATGAAGACAGCGCCAAGCCATTACAGCACCAAGCCATGAGGGATCAGCCCCCATGATCCAAACACCTCCCACCAGGCCCCATCTCCAGCACTGGGGATTACAATTCAACCTGAGACTTGGGAGGGGCAAATATCCAACTCTATCAATCTCCTTACAGGACAGAGGATGCTGCGGTTGTGAAATCTGTATGCAGGTCTCCAAGCACATTTGGATAAGTGGGATTAATCAGTTTTTTAAAGTTTTTTTACTTTTTTTTTTTTTTTTTTTTGAGACAGAGTCTTGCTCTGTCTCCCAGGCTAGAGTGCAGTGGTGCGATCTTGGCTCACCCCTACCTCTGCCTTCTATGCTTAAGTGATTCTCCTGCCTCACTCCTGAATAGCTGGGATTACAGGCACCTGTCACCATGCCCGGCTAATTTTTATAATTTTAGTAGAGAAAGGGTTTCACCATGTTGGCCAGGCTGGTCTCAAACTCCTGACCTCAAATGATCCACCTGCCTTGGCCTCCCAAAGTGCTCGGATTACAGGTGCGAAACACTGCACCTGGCCCATCATTTATTTTCAAACTGAAGGAGTGAAATTAAATATTTTGTCACTGGGTGCGATGGTTCACGCTTGGAATCCCGGTACTTTGGGAGGACAAGGCAGGTGAATCACGAGGTCAGCAGACCAAGACCATCCTGGCCAACGTGGTGAAACCCTGTCTCTACTAAAAATACAAAAATCAGCCTGGCGTGGTGTCGTGCGCCTGTAGTCCCAGCTTCTCAGGAGGCTGAGGCAGGAAAATCACTTGAACCCGGGAGGCGAAGGTTGCAATGAGCCAAGATCGTGCCATTGCACTCCAGCCTGGGCAACAGTGTGAGACTCTGTCTCAAAAATAAATAAATAAATAAAAATAAAAATAAATATTTTGTCATCCACATGCTTTGAAATTCAAGCATGACAGTAAAATTGACAGAGGTTTAAAATTATATATCAGGTGCAGTGTTAATGATGGCTACCTTAAAATTTCCCCAACTTGTGTGAGAGGTATGGATATAAGAGAAGAGGAAGAAAGTCAAAGCATTTATCTCTCAAAATAGAGCATTACTTTCATCCTGATGGCACAAATAATCCATGCCTAGTTGTGAAAAAATGATAATAATAAAAGACAACATAGGAAAGTATGAAAATGAAAGCAAAGGCTGGGTGCACTGGCTCACATCTGTAATCCCAGTGCTTTGGGAGGCTGAGGTGGGAGGATTGCTTGAGTCTAGGAGTTTGAGACCAGCTTAGGCAACATAGCGAGACTTTGTCTCTAAAAATAAAAAATATGGCCAGGAGCAGTGGCTCACGCCTGTAATCCCAGCACTTTGGGAGGCTGAGGCAGGCGGATCACCTGAGGTCAGGAGTTCGAGACCAGCCTGACCAACATGGTGAAACCCCGTCTCTAGTAAACATACAAAAAATTAGCCGGGCGTGATGGCGGGCGCCTGTAATCCCAGCTACTCATGAGGCTGAGGCAGGAGAATCGCTTGAACCCAGGAGGTGGAGGTTGTGATGAGCCTAGATAGCACCACCGCACTCCAGCCTTGTTGACAGAGTGAGACTCTGTCTCCAAAAATAAATAAATAAATAAATAAATAAACAAATAAATAAAAATTAAAAAGAAAAGTTAGTCGGTGTGGTGGTGCATGTCTGTAGACCTAACTACTTGGTAAGCTAAAATGGGAGGATTGCTTGGGTCCAGGAGTTCGAGGCTGTAGTGAGATAGAATTGTGCCACTGTACTGCAGCCTGGGTGACAGAGCAAGGACCTGTCTCAAAATAAGTAAATAAATAAACAAACAAACCAAACAGAAAATGAAAGTAAAAATTTTCCCAAATTCTATCATCTAGGGGGAAAAAGTGCTGTTGACATTTTGAAGCAAATGTCTCCAAATATTTTTACTTTTTAATATTTTTTTGAGACAGAGTCTTGCTCTGTTGCCCAGGCTGGAGTGCAGTGGCGCAATCTCAGCTCACTGCAACCTCTGCCTCCTGGGTTCAAGTGATTCTCTTGCCTCAGCCTCCCAGGGGGAGGCCACCATGCCCTGCTAATTTTTGTATTTTTTAGTAGAGACGGGGTTTCACCATGTTGGCCAGGCTGGTCTTGAACTCCTGACCTCAAGTGATCCGCCTACCTCGGCCTCCCAAAGTCAAATATTTTTAAAGAATAATTACATTAAAAAAAGAATTCTACAGTATATGCTTTTTTGTAACCAGCAATAATATAGCATGAACATCCAGAAGATAACGTTAGAAAGATGCTTCTTGTATAAAGGGGTGTGTGAGGTGCCTTCAAAGAAGAAAAGACAGAAAGACATTAACATCAGATCCTTCCCTAAGAAATGTTCTCTCTGGCTTCCAGATAGAGTTTGGGTGGGTGGCAGGGCCAGGAGGGTCTCACAGGCATATAGATGCCATCACTTATGGCCTTTAGCCCCTAATGCACATTGATTGGAAGGAGAATGGGAAGTGGTGGGGCCCAGGAGGCCTCTTCAGATTCTTCCTGGCCTAAGACTTGGGTTTCTTTAGAAGCATAGTCCTTTGCAGAATGAGAACAAGGAAACTGCATCCCTGTGCTGTCAACAGACCATCAGGAACCTTGGCCACCCTTAAAAAGCACAGGGAGGATTTCCAACAGTGTGTGAAGTCATTAGAAATTCAGTGTGTGGGGACACAGGCAAAGAGAAACACCACATCTCCATAGGTGGGGGTGCTGGGAGGGGCTCCCGTGTTTCTTATGGAGTTTGGGGGTTATTATAAGCCCTCACTCTCAGCATCCTGGAACCTTTAATAACGATTAATGCTCTCCTTCTTGCTCTAGGTATTTACAGCATGCCCTCAGGCTACCCAGAACCGGTGTTTGCTAAAGATGACAGTCCACTGGAAGACTCTCTTACTGTTGCTAAACCTTGTGCTGCATATTGTTGTCTATACTGAGACCCAAACTCACTCTGGATCCTGGAACTCATTCACTGAAACTTCTTCCCTTTCCTCATCCAAATGAGTGTTTTGTTAGGAAACGTAATCCATCCGTACTAATTTGGAATTTGCAGAAACATTTGGGATTTTGCAAGGGAGGAGAGTTGCTGATTCTAATCCAGTCTCAAGTGATTCCGTCAACATAGATTTAGTATTTTCTCAAGACAGTTTGGGGCTGATGCTGCTGTGGATTCCTAGTGAGGACCAAACCTGAAATCTTCACACTATGGACCTGAGAGTCTCCTTGGATATTTTACCTCCTCCCATCCCATATTGCTTCTGGCCAGATGCAGGTGTGTCAGCCCACACCTAGATGAATTTCAAGGGGGAACAATGGCATCATCCTCTCCTGAAGTTTCACCTGCTCTGTCGCTTGAACGCACGTAAGCCACCTTGTGAGACTGTTCAATACCGGGGGACATAGTATCTGCCTCATTTTAAGGTGCCCATGTTTTAGTGGAAGGTGCTTTGCTATCTGTGACATTTTTGAATACAGCAATGGATTTGAGTGGGCAAAGCTGCTCTGTAAGACAGGGTGGGGTCATTGAAGCCATTTTAAAAAGAGAAAACAAAAGAAAACCTCAGGCATTTTAATATGTTAAATACGCATCCAATTATTAATTCTAAAGACTTCTACAAATCAACCTAGATGAAACTTTTTTCACCTTTTTCCTGCCTCTTTTCCCCTTCTCAGAAACATTTAGACCTACCCTATGGCAATGACTATTGGGAAGTCTCTGCCCTGTATATCAGGGTAGCACAAATAATTCAGCACAAAGCAGCCCAGTTACTGTAGCTTGGCATTAGGATAAGTATATCTTAAGAAAGTTCTTATGCAGACTTGGCTTCAGGCAATAAAACGTCATAGACGTATAACTGTAGCGAGTGAAATTTCTAGGGAGCAAATTAGGCTGAAAACATCTTCTAGAGACAGCTAGAAAGGAATTGTACACCACCCCAAAATAAGGCAAGTTATGCAGTAAATGTTTCATTTATTGGCCTTCTTCCATTACTATTAGGGTTAAAAGACATCTTGTCAATAAGAAAAGTATATTTATGGAGGACTGATGTCTTTCAGAAAGCTGTTCCTGTCACAAATGCCTATAGCAGTGGTAATCGGCTTATGAAGGCAGGTGATGAAACCCTGTACAGATGCGTACATCTCCCCATTAACCCTTGGATCATCAGGTATTATTGTCACTTTATTACCTGGACCTGTTATTAGCTGAAGCAAGGTGATCAAGCCGGGCACTTCAGAAAAATGTCAGAACAGAAGAGTGTTCCTCAGGGTTTCAAGGGGAGAGAGTATGTGTCTCTCCAAGTCCCTTCACAGAGTCTTTGGGGGGATAGAGGATGCCTGTGAAGTGGGCGCTTTTGCCTAACCCTTCCTCTTGCTAAATTTGAAAACTCTTGGGTGTCCAATTTTTTAACGTTCCTATGTTGGCTAAGGGAGTAGCTTTCCTCAAGGTCCAAATAAGGAACCATCACCCACGCAGAACAAAAAGCAAACAGAAAATCTCACAGCGGAATCAGGACTTTGGCTTCTAAACATTTCCCCATTTTATAGCTTCCTTATGTTTTCAGAGTCTTTTTTTGGCTTCCTTTAGCACACTCCCGGCATAGATAAGTCCAACACAGTGGGGTAACAGATCATCCATCTTGGAGCCCAGATCTTTAAAGAAAAATCACACAGGAACACAAATACACACACCCACACATGTACATATCACTGTCAAGGGTAACTTAGCAGAATCTTGCCGAGTGACTGGGGGAGCTGAATATGGTTGTCAACATGTATTCCCCACTTCGGGTAAATCTGACAGACTAGCCTTGTTTTTCTCAAATTCCAGAGCCAAGCTTTCAATATGGTTTGTCTTCTTTGCTGGTGTGCGTGAATCTCTGAGCCATAACTGGGGCGTGTGGTGAAACGATGGAATCACGGACTTTTAAATATTAACAGGCAACTTAAAAAAGCCCATTCCAACCACCTCATCCACCAGGTGAGACAAGACGAAGGGGCCGTGGGTGACACAGCCTGTGGCAGGCCTATTTCTGCAGTCCCCTGTCAGGCACATTCCTGTATTTCAATGGGCACCTAACACTTCACCATATCTCCCACGTGGGGAACCAACACTTAAAAGGTGATTTGTGTAAACAGAAACCTCCTTTTCATGCTCATTGATAGGGATAAACAAGGAAGCACCTCTGGAAGAGGTAACACTACTCACTTAAGTTTTAAGGTATCAGCATGTATCCAAAGAGAAGGATTTAATCAAGGGAGGGCTGAAGGAGAGGAGAAAACAGAAGAGAAGCAGCAGAAGGGCAGTGGATGAAGAGGGCGAGGTCAAAGTCAGAGAGGCCTAGGGACAGCTACTTACAGTTCAGGACCTGGACTGGCGCCAGGAATGGACTCCAAGGGGTGAGGGCCCAGCTTCTCCCTGCCTTCCTCCCAAAATATGCAGAGACCTAACTGGATTCCAAGGGATGAGGGCACAGCTTCTCCCCCCTCCCACCCATTTCCCAACATGCAGAGCCCATGGTGGCAAAATCCCCTGGCTCAGGCTAAAGTCAGAACTGGTCTGGTTTCCTGTGTTTTTCAAATCTCTGCCATTTGGGCAGAACGCTTGGTCCTATAAACCAGGAGTCATCAGTATCCACAGAGAAGTTGCCTCAGCACTTGGACCCAAGTCAACTGTGTTTAAAATTTCACACCAAATCTATAAATTACACATTCACATTGTGGGCCAGCCTACCTTTTTTTTCAAATAGTATTCAAGGTATTTTTCTTTTTTTTTCTTTTCTTTTTTTTTTTTTTTTTGAGACGGAGTCTCGCTCTGTTGGCCAGGCTGGAGTGCAGTGGCGCCATCACGGCTCACTGCAAGCTCCGCCTCCCGGGTTCACGCCATTCTCCTGCCTCAGCCTTCCGAGTAGCTGGGACTACAGGCACCCGCCACCACGCCTGGTTAATTTTTTGTATTTTTAGTAGAGACGGTGTTTCACCGTGTTAGCCAGGATGGTCTCGATCTCCTGACCTCGTGATCCGCCCGCCTTGGCCTCCCAAAGTGCTGGGATTACAGGCATGAGCCACTGCGCCCGGCTATTCAAGGTATTTTTCAATACCTTGCTGCCTGGCTACTGCAGTGCCAATTCTGCCATTCCCCCCCGCTCCTCAATTCAGGCATCACCTGAGGGACTTGCAGAGCATCAGGGATCTGGCCCCTCTGAGATCTTGCTGGTCTACTCAAGCCTTTGTACAGCACCAGGCAACGAAATTAAATGTGGGACATGCACTATCACAGAATAACTTTTTAATTGCTTAATTAAATCAGAGATTTAAGGAAGGAGAGATTCAAAAGAGTTCCCTTTGAATGAGAAAAATAAGGATATGCCAAAATGGATAAAGTTACTAATCATGGGAACAAAGCCCTTAGTATTTACATATGATAAAAATGCAGGCCAGTATAGTAAAATCAGTAAGTACATTCTTTAAAATTTCAATTCAGTATATTCCTGAGATTTTATTATACAGGTAGTACTATAAAGAACATAGAAGACCTCATTATCCAACTTAATTCAGACCAGGGTTTGATTAAAAAAATAAAAAACAAAAAACTACCACACAGGACAAAGAAATTGCCATAAAATTGAGTTCCTATAAATGTGTTCCAGTTTAAGTAACTAAGTCCCTAAAATGAGCCTTAGTAAAGTCTACGCTGCATATAGACAGACTTAGGCACATCAAGTATACAGGTGACAATTAGCAAGTGTATAAAGCTATGGTCATTTCGCTAAATGTGTAAATCTAAAGGCAACCAAGTAAAAGACCTAAAAAAGGAAACTGTTAAGTCCATTTGTACATGGATTTAACAGTGAAGCATTTCATTCTTCATGTTTTCACTTGGTGTCTTGAAATAATCCCCTTTCTGTCTCCACTCTCCCTCTTAGACACTGCACCTGCCTTATTTATTTATGAAGTCTGAAGGTTAGTCCTACCTGCTGAGACTAATTAGCCCTGTGCTTTGTATCCTATGCAATCCTGTCTGATTAAATGTACACATTTGTTTTACTTCTTTTCAGGCTCCTTCTCACTCTACTTCTGATATTCTGATTAATATCAAAGTTGGGAGTTACAGTGATTCTCCTCTGCCTCCCCCCCAACCCATTTTTATTTTGCCTGCAT
The DNA here is from genome assembly GCF_000001405.40 of Homo sapiens. Lineage (NCBI taxonomy): Eukaryota > Metazoa > Chordata > Mammalia > Primates > Hominidae > Homo > Homo sapiens. Next base: position 112,948,597 of record NC_000010.11, read on the forward strand.
CTTATTCTTTAGTGTGCAAATGTGGTTGTGATTTTTTTCCAGTGCAGGGGAATTCGTTGGCCTTGTCAATCTCGGTATCATTATTTTTAGTAGTCTTTCTGAGACTTTAGCCTATAAAACAGTTTTGCTGAAACCCCAAACTCTCTAAATATTACATGGCAAATTTGCTTTCTTTTGGAAACCTCGGTGCTGATGGGCCAGCTGAAGTGCAGGTGAGCTTTTTCAGGGAAGGGTGGGACAACAGTACATCCTGGACTCTAGACTAATACTACTCCTAAGAGGCAATTTGCTAAATCCTACTGATTTATTTTTTTCTTTTTTCTCTTTTTCATGTTGTAGTGTCCAGTCTACTTCTTACTGGGTATTTGCAAAAATGAATTTTCTTGCTCTATCACCCAGGAACATTGTGTTTTGGGAGCTGGGTCTTTCCTCTTTAACATAATTCCATTCCCCATTTTGTAGCAAATCAGTCTGCTCCTCCTCTAATACCTAAAAGTCAACAAATACCTGCCTCAAGCCCCAGGTTTCCCATCTTCTCCCGAAGGTCTTCTAGCATCGGTTTGGTTAGCAATTTCCTGCCAGAGCCACCTACATCTTGATTATTTTGGTCAGTCTTTCGGGGATTTCATTTCAGACCCCCTTCGAGAAACACTGTAGCCCAACTGATCCCAGGGGTTGGTGAACTTTCAGTTTTATTTTCCCTGACGGTGTTAACGCCCAAACTTTTCACCTCCTAAGTCAAAAAGGACTTTGACTCTAGCTCATTTCCTACTACCTCCAACGTCAGTTAAAAAAAAAAAAAAAAAAGCAAAACACCACTCTACATTTAAAAGAATCATATATTTTTCCTTAAGGATACTTTTAATGTTTCTGACATTTAGCATTTGTTTTTTGCATAAAAAGTCGTTTTGGCATATCCATCCTAGTGGGACTTAACATTTCATGAAATGATTCACTACTAATAAACAAAAAAGGGAGGAGGGAGGCCTCATGGGTTAATAGTTTCTTTCATTGTAGATGACCAGGAACTTTGACCAGCCCCTTCACTTCCCCAAGCTCTCTGAAAGTGGAGGGTTGATCTTTCCTTTTGACCACTTTTGTCGCATCCCGTCTAAGGGTGGCTGATTTCACTGCTGAATTAACCACCAAGCACCCCCCCACCCCCTCCCCCAGCCACCACTTTCTCAAATACTACCCTTCCTTTTCCCCCTCCCTTAAGACTTATTTCTAATATTTCTAAAGTGCACTGTTTTGGGCCTCTCCCCATCCCCGCCCCCCAAGTGGGCTTTCCTTCCGCCTTCCTCGGCTCGGATTCCTGACTTGGTCGCCACCCCCTTCTCCTCCTCTCCCACCCCGCATTGTCTTTCTGAAACCGCCCCCTCCCGGAGCAAGTCCCTGCACCCTCGCCCAGAATCCCGGGCTCGCACACACTCCGCGCAGGCCGCTCCCCCTGCACACTCCTCCCTCCGTCTCCCCCCGGCTTCCCCGCCCCTCTCTTCCTCCTTCTTTCCCTCCTCCCTCTCCCGGCGCCCGAAAGGATCATTGTTAGCCGCCCCCGCCCCGCCCACCCCGGCTGTTTATTTATGCACACGTCACTGGGCCGGCCCCGCCCTCCGGCATCTCATTAAGGCAGTGTGTTCCTCTCGCCCTGTCAATAATCTCCGCTCCCAGACTACTCCGTTCCTCCGGATTTCGATCCCCCTTTTTCTATCTGTCAATCAGCGCCGCCTTTGAACTGAAAAGCTCTCAGTCTAACTTCAACTCACTCAAATCCGAGCGGCACGAGCACCTCCTGTATCTTCGGCTTCCCCCCCCCTTTGCTCTTTATATCTGACTTCTTGTTGTTGTTGGTGTTTTTTTTTTTTTTACCCCCCTTTTTTATTTATTATTTTTTTGCACATTGATCGGATCCTTGGGAACGAGAGAAAAAAGAAACCCAAACTCACGCGTGCAGAAGATCTCCCCCCCCTTCCCCTCCCCTCCTCCCTCTTTTCCCCTCCCCAGGAGAAAAAGACCCCCAAGCAGAAAAAAGTTCACCTTGGACTCGTCTTTTTCTTGCAATATTTTTTGGGGGGGCAAAACTTTTTGGGGGTGATTTTTTTTGGCTTTTCTTCCTCCTTCATTTTTCTTCCAAAATTGCTGCTGGTGGGTGAAAAAAAAATGCCGCAGCTGAACGGCGGTGGAGGGGATGACCTAGGCGCCAACGACGAACTGATTTCCTTCAAAGACGAGGGCGAACAGGAGGAGAAGAGCTCCGAAAACTCCTCGGCAGAGAGGGATTTAGCTGATGTCAAATCGTCTCTAGTCAATGAATCAGAAACGAATCAAAACAGCTCCTCCGATTCCGAGGTAGGAAAAGCCCCTCGGGCTGGTGGGGTTTTTTATCTGTTTCCTGGGCTTGGCAAATGTTGCTGAAAGGGGAGAAATCGGGGCTGGGGGCGGCGGCGGGGCCCGGCGGGCGGCGTGTGCGTACGGTGCCACCATTGCAAAAACTTGTAACCCTGTTTTTTTCTACCCCCCCCTCGACCTCGCCGATTCTTTTTCTCCCCCTTCTCCCCCTTCTGCGTGGCGTTTGCCCCTCGCCCTCCCCACCTCCACCCCTCTGGGAAGGCGGAAAGACGGCCTCCGCCTCGCTCCGAAAGTTTCCGAGACAAATCCCGGGAAAGTTTGGAAGAAGGTGAGTACGCCCCGCGCGCCCCGCAGCCGCCCGGAGCCGCCCCCCGGGCCGGCCGCCCCGCGCGCCCCGGCCCCGCGCCCGGCTCGGCCTGGCCCTGCGCCGGCCCGGTCGGGGCGCCCGGCCCCTCGGGGCACTTTCTAAAAAGTTTCTCCTCACTCTCTCCCGCTCCGCGCGGCCGCCGCTGTCCCCTCGCCGCCCCGCCATGTTAGCGGCCAAGAGGCAAGATGGAGGGCTCTTTAAGGGGCCACCGTATCCCGGCTACCCCTTCATCATGATCCCCGACCTGACGAGCCCCTACCTCCCCAACGGATCGCTCTCGCCCACCGCCCGAACCGTAAGTGCCTCCGCGCCCGGCCCCCGCCCGCTGCCCGCCCGCCCGCGCCGCCCGCCGGGCCCCGCATGCGGCCCCTGCCCTGCCCCCTCCCCGCCTCCCCCTCCCCGCCTCCTCCCCTCCCTCCCTCCCCTCCCCCGCTCGTGGCCCAGGAGGCCCGAAACTCTCCAAACTTTTCTGCCTTTTGTGGACTGGATTTGTTTGCACTTCGCCACGTTCTTGCTTTCAGTTTGCTGCCTCGTGATGTTGGGGAGACCTCTCTGTCCAAGCAGGGCTTTGTTGGTGGGGAGGGGGGGGAATCCGAAGAACTTTCCTTTGCGTTCTGGTTCCCCCTCCCCCTTTGGTGGTGGTGTTTGTTTCTTCACCCTGGGAAGATGACTCTGTGGCTCTTCCTTTGCTCTCTCTCCCTCTCTCTCCTTCTCTTCCTTCCCTCTTCTGTGGCGTCTTGGGCTTTCCCCGGTTAACCCCTTGGCTGCCGCTGCGGGCCACGAGTGACTGACTGTGCTGCGCCCGATGCGCGGGGTAGAGAGTGGGTTTCCTCCAGGCATTGGACTTGAGAACTGGCTAGCGCGCAGAGCCCGGGGCCCTGGAGAGGCTCCTTGGCTTTCTCTTTTGGGCGACTATGTATTTAGCTTTCTAGTGGAGATTGCTGGCTCTCGGCCCTCCTTCCCCCTTCCCCTGGAAGGTCACACTTCCCAGATTGGTCCCACCGCAAACTTGGGGGCTCTGAGGCGTCCTTTTCTTTGGCAACCCGCAGGGCCGCGAGCGCCCTGGGCGCCGTGGCGGGCTCCGCTGCCCGGCGCACTGGCTGCGGGCTCTCCCGGGCCGCGCAGGGCAGCAGGGCTGAGTGGGGCGGGGAGGCCCCTGCGGCCCGGATTCTTGGTTTGTGTGCAGCCGGAATGGACTCCTCCAAGCGGACTTGTGTATTTCTAGGGAATTTTGGCGCCTTGGGATGTATGGCGGGGTCGGCGCTCGCCAGCTTCCGTGTAGGCCCGTCGTGGGCCCCAGGGGGGCCAGAGACCAGGGTGTGCGGGCTCAAGGAGGTGCGGGGGCCGAGGGAGGCTGGGGCGCCTCTCCTTCAAGGGAGTGGGCCGCCGATCGCCGGCCACCCAACTTTGGGGGCCCCAGGGCAGCGCGGGGTGCCGGGCTCGGGGGGCGCTTCCTGCAGGGTCGGTCCCGCGCCCAACCCTGACATTTGTTAATACGGCTCATCCCCTCCCCCACCGGCCTGTGCCCCCTGCCCTCACCCTGAACCCCCTCCTCCTCATCCCTCCCTCCCTCTTCTAAGAAGCCTGGATTACGAATCCCTGGACGCAAGACGCATTTGTGCCCGGCTTCCCGGTATTGTCATTTTACACCTTCTCCAGTTTGGTCCCCTACCCCTTATTTACACACACGACTTTTGTTTTTTCTTTTTCGGTAACTCTAGATAGCAATTTGAAATAATGCACCCACTGTTCAGCAGCCATGGATTCGGTGCTAATGGCCGAGGGCTTGCCGGACGGGAGTCGATCAGATCTACAAGTGTTTTTAAGCATTAAAATATTAACTATCAGGTTTGACTTGCTTTTTTGGGCCCTGGCAAAATGGCAAGGGCATGCTAGACCGGTCATTTTTTTTATGGCTAGGGAAGAGAAATAATTATTCCCCCCCTGCCCGGCGCCCAGACATGCTTGGGAAGCTGGGAGAGCGGTTCGGCTCAACCCCCTTCTCCAGGGCCAGTTCCACCAGGCTGCAGGGGCCGCGCTCTGGGCTTGCAGCTGTAGGGGAAGCACAGTTCGCTTACTTTGTATTTTTCTTGGGAGCTTGTGGGGCATCTTAAACGGGACCGTTCGGCTCAGAATCGCAGTGTTCGCCTACCAATAAACCGGACCAAGCAACATTCCAAAGAATCCCTGAGAATTTCTGCCTCTCCTCCCCTCCCCCTTCCGATGGAAACCTCCCTGGTATTATTTTAAAATCCACTTAACCATCTGAATATTGAGCTTTGATGGCGGGCTTGCTAGCTTTCTTGACTCTTTTTAAACTCGCTGTCTGATACTGGCAATCTTGCCATCCCTTCTCAAACTTGAGCAGTTGTGTTGTCTTGTAATTAGCAAACAGGGAAATTGCTAAAGGCAAATAAATGATTTCCCGGTGAGAAAAGGAAGGCTCCCAATGATCGGTCCCTTTTGTGGGCATTATAGGAATAGACGGCGTCTAGTTATTTTAATTGTGGACATAGCGGGTGGCCTGGTGCTGTGACATCAGATTGAGTCTCAGAACACATTTCTGAACTCAGTAGGCAGTTTTAGTACTTACATGTCAAACACCAGCAGACATCTTTGTGTACACTGCCCCTTCGTCCTTCCTCCCTGTTACCTGGGTTAGATTATGTGCTCCAAAATTAAAGTTATTTATTTAGGCTGGTCAGCAGAGCAGTGGAAATGAGGATGGTAGGCTGTTGTGTGTCATTCCTGACGTCTTCAATCAGAAGGCCAGCTTGCAATCCAGATTTGATACAGCTGCGGGAGGAATGGAGGAATGCATAGGCAAGATAGCGGGCTTCCCATACTCTTCTGAAATCCTTAGTGTTTTATAGGGTGTGTTTTTAATGGCAAGGTGTAAAGACAAATTTCGCTGTATGCTTTATTATTTTCCCTTTGCTCCTTGGTGGCGGTGATTTTTGCTACATTTTCTGTTACTTATGGTGTACCTGTAAGCAGCTGCATCCTTTAAAAAGCAAACTCTCTGGAACCCTGATTTCTGCTTTTTTATTTAAGAATGTAAAGAATTAGAGAGTATCATTAAATCGGCTTATGATGAATAATACATTATCTCAAGAATAATGCTTTAATTGCTGAAGACACCATAAAGCTTGATAGTAATAATTTTATTTTAAAATGACAAAGATTTCTGCATAATATTAATTTAGTCTTTGATTCAGTAATAGGAATGGCTTTTAAAAAGACAGATTCAGATACAAAACTGCATTAAGGAGAGGTCTAGTTAAGTAGATGGGAAGTGTTAGAACTGCAAATATTAGAACTGTGGTAACATTTGTATATTAAAGATAAGAATACTGTAACCTATTAAAGTTGATTGGAAAAAGTAGTTTTACATTTCTTTTTCCCTCCTGGCAAAGTGGAAATAGGAATATGGTGGTTGAAATTCCAGTTAGGTTTGAAATTTCTTTTTAAGGACTTGATTATTCGAGCCCTTGCATCTTCTCTTATCCAAAGTTATTTGCTTTTCAACCGAGCTCTTTGCTACTAGGTTGAACAGATAAATAAGCTGCATCTTGAATTCATTTTTGAACTTGGAATCCAGCATTTAAAGGAAACCGAGAGGGGCCTATTCATTGGGATTTTATTTAGCCGGGCAACTTCTCTTTCTGGCTTGTGAAAAATGGACGTTTTTTCCTCACTGAAACAACATAATCCTTTCTAATACAAAAGATTTAGACCTTGGAGTGTGAAGGGTTAATGGTGGTCCTTCCCAGTTGTCCTCCCACCCCCCCACCTCACCCCTGATTGTTTTGACAACACTTTTCAAAGTGTGACATTCCAAGCCCCTACATAACAATGTAATATTACTGTAATTACACAGGTCATTACATTTTAAATAGAGAACAATAAAATGCTTATCGCCCTGAAAAAGAACAGGTGTTCTTACCCTTCTTTGGTATTTATGCTAATTGTTTTTCATCTCCTTCAGAAATATTTATGGCGAACATGTTTAGATTTCAATCTCAATGCAACCGTATTAATTCCATGCTAATCTTTATAGGTTGGGGTTTAATGTCTGCAGTATGGATTATAGGCTCAACATTCACCCAATAAGTCATATTTTAATGATTATAAATTAAATATGCCAGCGCTTTCCACTTTGTTGATATTGAAACTTTCTGAAATCCCAGAAACAAACTCAGGCATTTGGGAGCCTAACGAGCTTATCTGGAAGACGTGTTTTTGGAAACTTTTGACTGTTTAAGGGAAGGAGCTTTGACTGATGCCCTCTGTGTCTGATTGAGAAAGAGTTTTTTGAGGAAAACAATCCTCGTTCTTGCTAGGAGTTCTTCACCTTGATTTTAATTTTACTGATAGGGATTTCATTTAGAGTCATTGCTGGAAGTTGGTCAGCTTTCTGTTTCTTAGCAAGCTGTGAAAAAGTTACCGGAAGGTTTCCAGGGGCTTGCAGATCAAGAATGCTGTTCTGTTTGCCGTGCTGGATCGCTGCAGTTCTGCACGCCATTGAAAAAAATATTTGCTTTAGAAAACTAGCATTTTAATAGTTGCACCAGAGGCTGTGCTTTTAAAGATTACAGTAGAAGTCTTTCCAGGTTTCGAATGCCTCCTTACATCCCACGAGGTGCCCCTGGCTGTGTGCAAAAAGTGCCTAGATTTCTCGGTGGAGAAATCCTGGTGCAACTTCTCTTACACACGTGCAGTGGGTAAACTAGAAGGTATCTAAGAGGATTTTACATTTTGTCAGATGTTTCACAACAGGCCCCCCTGAATCACATTAAAAATGCACTGTAGAGAAAGGACAGCTGCAAATTTTTGTGTGGACGCGTGTTTCTGGACCATGACTAAAACTCCGAGGACCTTTCCCCCAGCTGTCTGGAAGTTATGTGGAAGTTGGTTTATTGGCAGTTAAGTATGAGACAACCTGGATTTAGCAAATGCTCTCTCCTGCACAGGAAGTAGATGACATTATATTGGGGGAAGGGAGGAGATTTCAGGCAAGGAGTGATTTACCTTTTTTTTTTTTTTTTTTTTTTTAAATGCTGGAGTTGCCAAATAAATAAGCACTTTCCAGGGAAGTAAGTGTAAGCTTTTTAGTCTTGGTGAGTGGCATTAGATAATATCTTTGACTGCATTTATAATTCTTTTGAGGTGACACATTTTAAAGTTTGGAAAAGGAGGCTGAACCAAATTCTTGAGGGTCTTATTTTCAAAGGGGTGTGTGATGTGGGCATCTGAGTTTCTTCTGGGAGTGAATATTGGCAACTATGTAAGTAAATCTTCAACTCTGACTTATAATTGAGCACATTTGTGAAGGAAATGGTTAATTTTACAACCAAAGGCAAACTCGCACCTCGACAGGTCTGCTGAAAGAAATGTGCCCCAGTCTTTTTGCTGGCAAGCGCACCACCAGGTCATAAATCCACAGGCTTTATTTACAGCCCATAACACTTATGAATGTTAAGATATTTGACGCCACGTTGGCCTTATAATATTCAAGGTCCGCAGACATTGGCAGTAGCTCAGATTTCTCTCACTAATTATAAGCAATGAGATGGGGGGAGGTGGTGGTATCCTAATGCAAATGCTGCCCTCCCTTCTCCGCTGACCCCCACCTCTACAATCTTGAGTTTACTGAGACAGACGCCACCACTCCTTTGGCAGCTGACTTGTACGTTTCCTCTAGGCTATTGTTATACACATTTATAAAGAGCACTTTCAGGAATGGAAATTCAGTGGGGGCTCTGCACAGATGCCTTTTTCAAAAGCAAAGTTGCTCTAGGTGTTTGCATCTTTTCCCTTTTCTTTTCTCCCTTTTTCCTTTCTTTCTCTTTTCTTAATTCCCCCCAACACCCCCACCTTTTTTTTTTTTTTTTTTTTTTTTTTGAGATTACATTGCCTATATTGTGCATTTTCCCCAGGAATACTTAAAGAAACCTGGTATGGGAGACGGCTCTTTAATTTATATGATGTTCCCCTGAGTGGAAGGGAAAATGTACACATTACATAGTACACTAGTTAAACTAGTTAACGTGAGAGTTTTTAAAAAAGTGAGATGAGGTGAAGAGAGTTGACTAAAAGAATATAATAGGTGAGGGGAAAAAAAATCCAGGTTTACACTGGGGATGGGAGGGCTGCTTATTTGTGAAAAATGTACTGGTATCTGCGGGAGGAGGCACAGAAAAGTAGCCAGAGGAGACAGAATAAATGCCTAAGAAAGATAAGAAAAGTATAATACAAGAGAACAAAGATTTGGGTTTGGGGGAATTGAAATTGGAGATTGGAAGTTTCCTTATGGAGGGGCGTGGGAGTACCCTGGGCTGGGCTATTAAAAAGGGATATTGCTTTGCTCAGCAAAGATGGGCTGCGATCCCTTCATTACCCAGGGTGTTCTACCTAGCCACAGATGTGTTTCCTATCAGTTACTGTGTAAGCATCTGAGGGTGAGGCATTATCTGTGGTGGAGACTGGAGTGTGAGAGAGAAGGCCAGTTGTCCTGCTGATTTTAATTTATGTTGAAAAAGTGGGCTGTTCTGGTGTATTACAAACTGACTACGCGGTATAAGGAGGAAGTGAGATTCAAAGGTGTTTGCCAGGCCAGGAGAGATGATGGCTCTCATTTCTGACTGGATCCTTCCTTCCATCCAACCCAAACTTAAAGACCCAGGCCGAAAGGTTTTCTTTTCTAATCAATGGCATGCAGAAACTTACTAGCCCTCAGGGATAGATATGAATCCCTAAACAGCTCATTACAAAGAAGGGGCTGTGGGATCTTTGAACGGGTTATCAGCCGAGGTGTTCTTTGCTTTTCCCAAGATAGGTTTTTTCTCCTTAGGCACATCTGATTTCGGGCTAGTAATTCGACCTGTTATATTTTATTCTTTTTGTCATGCAGTAGCCCCAACCAGGTCGGTCTACGGAGGAAGGAATGGCCAGGAGTGGCATCAGCCCTGAAGGAGTTAAAATTGCTCCCTAAAGTTTGGCATCATGAAAATAAATTTGAGGCCTGGTAGGCATTAGCAGGGCACAGCACATTTACAGAGCTTAATTAGTACGCACTGTAATTGTTCATGGTCTGCCAGAAGAAGTAATGTTCAGGAAAAGTGGAGTCCCTCTCTTGCAGTCTTCAGCTTGAAACCGATAAATCACTTGCATATTTGTGTAGTGATTCAAATGGAGCTAAGACCTCTCCCATCCCAACATGTGGTAAATTGTAAAGTCAATGAATTGCAGATGTAGGCTACAGTGAGATTCTCTAAGAAAATGCAGAATGAATGGGAAAGAGTGACGCTATAAATATTTACTGAGAAGATAACTAGATTCCTTCGTGCTGGGCCAATTATGATGTACTAAAATATATTAGTAAAATGCTTAAAAAATTGAGAGGATTTGTGTGGGTCTTTGGGTGGGTTGGTTTGTTTTGGAAAGTGAAATAAAAGGCACTATGTTGTTGTCGTGTCAGTTTTATTAAGCCTGAATCACAATGGCATACCCAGGGAAGGACACATGAAACCCACATTAATGCAAATTAATTCGTTATGAGTTGCAGCACTGCGACTGCTAAGTGGAGTAATGATGGGGCATCATTTTAAGAGTTTTAGTGTAGCAACTTTTAATGAAAAATGCTGTGTTAGGAACATGTCTCAGCACTTCAGCCCACGTGTTTTTCTATATGCTAGAAATATGTTTTGTACAAGAGCAGGAAACTTGATTCACTTTATTTTTTCCCCCAGACAGTTTAAGAGCTTTAATTATGTTTTGACGTTGAAAGAAAATCATCTAGTTTTTCTCAAAAATCAACCCAGAAATGCCCATCACCATAAAGAAGTTCAAGCTCAACTTTTTTTTTTTGCGAGACTTTGCAGCACAAAGTGGAGAAACGATGAACATAGCATTTCCCCGCAGACCTACAGATAAAACTTTCTTGAAGCGACTTTTTCCCCTTTTTTTCTTCTTAGAGAATTTTGGTCTCAGGCAATGTTGCAAGTCAATACTTCTTTCCCCAAATGTGAGTAGGTGGATACGTATAGAAGCTGTAAAAGTTAATGATCGTTCTCTGACTCATAGCTGATGGTTTCAGGTTGAGGAAAAGAAAAATTAATGAGGGTAAATAGACATTTGATGGAACATTGAGACAGTAGGAGAGATTGTTCTTGTGTCTAAAGGCATGCATTTTGTTGCAGCAGAATTTCTGAGGCAGAATGCCAGGAAGTGAAAGGGGATGCTGTCGTTAAGTTATTGTTTAGGGATGGTACAAATGTTCAGTGTCTAGATCTCTGCAGGAATGTTTAAGCTCAAGTACCAGGCAATGCTGGTTTTGCCTTTTCTCTTGAAGTCAGAGGCCCCCCTTGGTACTTTTTATAAGGGCAGGCAGTCACCCAAAGTCTTGGTCAAAAGTTTATTTCCCATTAAATGTAAAAGGCTCTCAACACAGGACTGGGGGCAGTGGGGTAGGGGAAGCTGGGCTTATAATGGCCTGTGGTTGCTCAAATGACTAATGACCTAAGAAAAGGTCTTAGGTATACTAAAAAAAAGTATTTTGTTTCTTAAGGTAATTACATGGAAATTAGATTTCAAGTGGCTCATGGTAGCAGCTACAGGGTAGAGAGGAAAGTGGACCAAAAAAACTAACACCTCCTAGGAAATGATCTGTTTTTTTTTTTAATATAGATAAGAGAAAGCCAGGTGATTCATAAAACTGAAAATAAAGTAAATGTTCCACCTCTTCCCAATTTAGCAGGACGAATAGGCATCAAAAATTAATGTGCATCATGTTAGAAGTTAGCTTAGTGCTGGAAAAACCAACAGAGGATTTCAATTGTTTTAATTGTCTTTGAGGAGGAGATTCCTGTGGTTGAAAAAAGCTGTTTCCCATTCCATGTCTGGGTATCTCTGATGTTTTGCATATCAGAAACATCAAATTTAGAGCCCAGTAGTGATTAGAAATAAGATGAAGAATCTAGATATGATGATAATAAGGGAAGGGGTTAATCTTAAAATGTTGGTCTTTACATTGCTGAAGAATTTTGCAAGCCTGTGCTGAGAACTGCCGAGTCTTCACCGTTCTTCCTCTGGACAAGTGAGGGCTGAGGCATTTGTGGGTAGTAGAATGGGGGATGGGCTTGGTCACTGATTTTTGTTGAGAGCTTCATGGGAAGCAATGAAATGGAAAATACGCTGGAGTTCTCATCTGGTGACTCCCTGGGTACTCCAGGCAGGGAAGTGCCATTTTGAAGGTGTGAGGCACAGCCAGGTGAGAGCAGCCATGTTTGCCGGATGAGGAAATGATGTGGAGTGGTCTTGGAGCACTCCTGGTGACTGGTGCAGGACAGTCCCAAGAGATGAGGCAGATGGGAACCTGTTTTTTTTTTTTTGAGATGGAGTTTCGCTCTTGTTTTCCAGGCCGGAGTGCAGTGGTGCGATCTTGGCTCACTGTAGCCTCTGCCTTCCCGGCTCAAGCAATTCTCCTGCCTCAGCCTCCCGAGTAGCTGGGATTATAGGCGCACACCACCATGCTGGGCTAATTTTATTTTTGTATTTTTAGTGGAGATGGTGTTTCGCCATCTTGGCCAGGCTGGTCTGGAACTCCTGTCCTCAGATGATCCGGCCTCCTCGGCCTCCCAAAATGCTGGGATTACAGGCGCGAGCCATTGCGCCCAGCCTGGGAACCTGGTTTTTATTTTATTTTATTATTATTTTTTGAGACGGAGTTTTGCTCTTGTTGCCCAGGCTGGAGTGCAATGCCTAGATCTCGCTCACCGCAACCTCCCCCTCCCGGGTTCAAGCGATTCTCCTGCCTCAGCCTCCCTCATAGCTGGGATTACAGGAATGCGCCACCACGCCCGGCTAATTTTTGTATTTTTTAGTAGAGACGGGGTTTCACCATGTTGGTCAGGCTGGTCTCGAACTCCCGACCTCAGGTGACCCCCCCCCCCCCAACCTCGGCCTTCCAAAGCGCTGGGATTACAGGCGTGAGCCATCGTGCCCGGCCAGAACCTGGTTTTTAAACTCAGATGTGCCTTAGTCATCTTGTCCTGGACTTCGCAGTCTCACCTCATATTCCAAAGCACACAAATGGCCTACCATCTTTTATTCTTCCTTCTAGCTTCTGGAGAGAGAAATGATTGTTCCAGTTTAGAATGCCAGGAGTTTACTGGGTGTTTGTATTTTTTATCTGTGCCTTAAAAAAATTAGATTATAATGAACAAGACATCTTTATGTTTTACAGGGAAGGAAAAAGCAGTGAAAGTATGCATTTTCGAAAGAAAAGTGTGTTGGGAAAAGAGAGAGAGGGTGGAAACCCAAAGGAGAAATAAAAATTTTAAGTCCTTGTTGCAGTAGCTGGAGGAAGTGAGCTTGGAAATCTCTCCAGCGCAATGGTTGCTGGCTGGGAAGAAAGATCTGACTTAGACACAGAATAAGCTGCTTGTGCTGGGTGTGTTTGTGAGCTGGGTGAGGTTTTCTGTGTCGCTGGGCACGTGAGGGAAGTTACGTGGCTGGGGGGTGGGGTGGGGGGCATTAGAAGGGAGTATGGGTGTCTGTGGGCGCTCGCGTGTGCGTGTATGTGTGTGTGTGTGTGTGAGAGAGAGAGAGAGAAGGTAAAATTAACTTTGTCCTATATGTTGGTTTCTCTGCTAGAGTCTTAAGGAACTTGCAGCTGCATTTTTATTGTTTCAATTACAGCATTCTCTCTAGGATTGTTGGTGTTATTTGGGTGATGATGAAGGCAAGGATTAAGAACAGAACTGGACAAGTGAAAATTGAATTTGGATTAACCACAGTTTGATTAATTTATTCATAAGATTGTGACTATATGAATTTTTTTCAACAACATATCCTTAGTTATCAGGTGTCCACTCAATTTTAATTGACAATATAAGATTCCTATGGTAACCCTGTGTACAGATTGCCTAGGGGCTCTGCAGGGATTGTGGGAAGAGAAGCTTGGACAAGTTTCCATTAAGATCTGAATCAGGCGATTGGAAAAGAAGAGAATAAAACCAACTGAAAAGAGAGGGACAAGTTGTTAGTGTTGCCTACTCTGCTTTGAAGGAGAACCCTCCTCAGACAAGAGCTACTTTCTGGCCAAGAATTCCAGGCTCGCAGAGAAACCTGTCCCAGGCACAGAAGTTGTTTTAACATGATGCAGAATTGTCACAGTAATTAGTGCAATCTCCGTTTACTGACTGGCAGTTTTTACACAAAGGAGATAGGGACAAAGGGTGCAAAGTCATCTTTGTTTTTCAGCAGGTCACTTTACTTATTTATTTTTATTTTTTATTTTTGAGATGGAGTCTCACTCTTACCGCCTAGGCTGGAGTGCAGCGATAAGGTCTTGGCTCACTGCAACTTCTGCCTCCTGGGTCCAAGCAATTTTCCTGCCTCAGCCTCCTGAGTAGCTGGGACTATAGGCGCCCGCCACCACGCCTGGCTAATTTTTGTATTCTTGGTAGAGACGGGGTTTCACCATGTTGGCCAGGGTGGTCTCAAACCTCTGACCTCAGGTGATCTGCCCGCCTCAGCCCCCCAAAGTGCTGGGATTACAGGCGTGAGCCACTGCGCCCTGCCAGCGGTTCACTTCAGATACTGCTTCTGAGTATGTGTGGGGGGCTGTGTGTGGGGGACAGATCTTCTGTTGTTTTAGGGCAATGTGGTTCATTACTCTCCTTTGACAGGTATAGGGTTTTTTTCCCACCTACTTCATTGTGTCTCCTTTTAATTTTGATTAATATTCTGTTTGGGGCAAGCAGACTTACATTATATCTATATATAAATATATATGTAATGTTTTCTATTTGTTTATTTGGAACAGATAAAATGATCTCAGAGCCCACTGCATCCTAAAATGGATATTTATAGACTTAGCCCATGAACAACATGGATTTAGACTATTTTTTTTATGGGATTACTACCCTTGTGTTTATTTTGAGTTAGTTCAAAAGTTCTTATGTGATTTTTTCCACTTTTATTTATTTTTTAAAACTGTGTGGACTGAATTGTTTTTCTTCCAGGGAGCAAGATACAAATTATCTGGATCTGAAACTCGCAGCCTAAATTACACTTTGTGCTAGTAACACAGACGTGTTCTGGTAGTAGTAATAGCACAGGAGTAGTAACGGTAGTTTATTATAATACTACAGATCCATTTTTGGAAATGCAGTTGATTTGCCTGTTGCAAGGAGGGGAAATGGACATCAATTTCACAGGGTCATCTGATTCCTCATTAGTAGTTCCTATTTGGCAAATTAAAATGCATTTTCAGATAATTGTTGAGATCCTTCAGTGATTATTGTATTGTTTATAAAGTAAATCAGCAGATGGTGTTTGTTTTCCCAATTGATGGGATCCCAAGATTAGCAAGTATTACTTGGGAAGATGAGAATTGGGTGAACAATCTTGCTCTTCCTATTTCGGGATACCTGCTTCATTGATGGGTGGTCTCTAGGACTTCAGAGGGAAAGGCTGAGGATAGACTTAGACCTTGGGGAGGGTCTGAGCCAATCAGTGACTTACATTCACTCAGTTGCCATCTAATAGGTGGTCCTCCCTTAGAAAATTGGCGGCTTTCTGGCAGTGTTTGGCCCTCTCTTTGGGGAAGTGTGGATTACTAGAGTGCAGGCGACAGAGATGGCCTGGGATGGACAGCTTAGTCATCATGAAAGAATGTGTAAGGCATCGGGTGGCCCCTGAATTCTGTCTGACACATTTGTTTTCCCAGAAATAGAATTGCATTGGAGAGTTGGGGCCCAGTTATTAGAAATATGGGGATGGGGTGCTTGTACTTGTTGCAGTCTTGTGGCTTCTCATAATCTTTTCTCTCCTAATCCTTCCTCTTGCCTACATGTTGCAATTCTGATGACTTTTTGCAGCGCACAGTTCATTTTTCTTCAGCATCCCGCTCAGCACACTGGCTTCCTTTATGTCTTAATGGGCATCCGTCTTTCCTTTTCATGTCATTGATTCTCACTCGTGGCCCCCATCTTCCCTGTATGCTTATTGAATAGGTGCTTAAAAAACAAAAACAAAAACAAAAACAAAAAAACTTTACCTTAGATTGTTATGATCATCTTATCCATAGCAACAAATGAAAGTACACAGGTCTTGATTGAATGCCAAGGCTGCAGTTCAATCTAGGAAGGTTTGTCTGCTATTCATAAACTGCTTAAGATGTTTTCTTGTAGTTTGTGACATAAGCAGAACGCTTTGATTTGGTTTCTTTCTACAGCTCCATTTTCAGTCCGGCAGCACACATTACTCTGCGTACAAAACGATTGAACACCAGATTGCAGTTCAGGTAGGAAACGCAAGAGATTCTGAAGCTTGAATTGTCTATATGTAGGTCTCTTGTGTGTTTTATTCTCCGCCCCTTCCCCCAACTGAGATAATGATGATGATGATGATGATGATGATGGTGGTGGTGGTGGTGGTGATGGTGGTGGTGGTGGTGATGGTGGTGGTGGTGATGGTGGTGGTGGTGGTGGTGGGGGGGGGTTGAATCACTGGGGGAGAAGGGGAGCAAAGGAGAGAGAAGCAGGAGAAATGCTGCTGAAATGATTTAGAGATATGGAAAGAAAGAGAAGGCTGTGCTTATTGTTAAGAGTTTCTTGACCGGGCATAATGGGCACACAGACCCCAGCTTGACTACTGTTTTTCTTTGCTTAGGGAGGGATCTTGAATTGGGAGTAAAACGGGGTGGCACAATGTGAATGGGAAGGCTTAAGGGGAGAGGTGGGAGAGGAGGCCGTGCAACAGCCAGAGGGTTGTTTCTGGTGGATCAAAATCATGTTAAGTGGTGCTAAGAATATCTCTTTGGACCTGATCATCCTGAAATGTTGATTTCTCTTGGACCTGTCTATGTATGACACTAAATGTGCTGGAAGGGAAAGGCGACAGATCCCAGCTTCTGATGAGTGTCCTGTTTCCTGCTCACGTAGTACTTCCATTCTCTTAAATCCGAAGGCTAAACAAATCATGGACTAATATAGACTCGGAGCTGAACTGATGCCAGCAGAATGCAGTAGAGGAGGGAGAGCAGACTAATACGATTTTCGTCTGTCTGCCTGGCCTTGCTGGGATGGATGTACCTCATGGTGTAACTAATGGTACCAAAACTTCTTGAGTGTTCTGGCTTAACCCTTTGAAGGGATTCTCTTGAAACCGTTTGCTGTAGTGTTGAGGTCTAGCTGGAGAGCCTTCTTTTTTTGTGAGTTGATGTTGGTTTGTTAGATCATTTGTGTTATTCCATGACTTCTTTTCTGGGCAAGAGCCCTTGCAGATAACTTGTCTGTGTGTGTGTATATGTGTGTGTGTGTGTGTGTGTGTGTGTGTGTGTGTGTGTGTGTGTGTGGTCTTAGGTAGCTGCAGCCACAATGCATCTTTGTAGCTCTGTCATCTCAGTTCTGCATCTTCCTTGATAAGACTTCCAGATAGCTGTTTGCCCCAGGTAAACGGAATTATTCCGCCAGTGAAAAGCATGAGTCAGCAGACATTTTTATTTGGTGCATTCCTAGTGTTTCTGTACTCATTTTCAGGCCACAGCAACTTATTTTAAAAATATTTGAGGCTGGGTGAGGTGGCTCATGCCTGTAATCCCAGCACTTTGGGAGGCTGAGGCGGGCGGATCACTTGAGGTCAGGAGTTCGAGACCAGCCTGGCCAACATGGTGAAACCCCATCTCTACTAAAAAATGTAAAAGTTAGCTCAGTGTGGTGGTGGGTGCCTGTAATCCCAGTTAATCAGGAGGCTGAGGCAGGAGAATCACTTGAACCCGGGAGGCGGAGGTTGCGGTGAGCCGAGATCACGCCACTGCACTCCAGCCTGGGTGACAAGAGTGAGACTCTGTCTAAAATATATTTATATATATATATATATATATATATATTTTCTTTTCTTGATTACTTCTGCAGTTGTGCCGCCAACCTTCTTATGTGTGTCTTTTGGGGGAAAGTGTGACTCTTGATTTTACCCTTCTCCACTCCTAACTGTTTCCAAGACTGACATGTCTTTAACTTGAGGCTGCAATTGTTCTTTTTGGCATGCTGCCCATTTGTCCCTCCTTCTTCCTTTTGATGGACAGCATAGTAAGTCTTGCTCCCAGAAAGTGCTTTAGGTGCGGGACTTGGTTAGAGAACAAGCCCAAACCCTAACTCCTGGTGCCTGAGTGGATGTACAACTCTTGGTGAACGGGTGGATGTACCATGTCGAGGCCTCCTACATCTCGGGTAGTGCTGGAAAATCTTATTGCCTGGGGTGTGGGAATTGTTGAGGTTGAATAGGATAGTGATCCTTATCTTGGTGTGGAAAGGCTGGCTGGGGCCATGTCACTGGGAGACTAGCCCAGACCAGACCAGCTGTTGTATCTTTACACCCGTTGCTGAAGTGCCCCTTGTTAGGCCGAGCAGTTCGTCTTTCTCCAAACCACCTGGCACGGTGCAGGCCATGTGAAGCTCTTTCTCAGGAGGAAGATGGAGTAAATTACAGAGCTCATTGTTTTGGAGGACTGAAACCATTACTATTCCTCCATGAACAGGTAGTATTGTTCTCTGCTTCTATTTGCTAAGGCTTGATGCCCATGTGGGCAAACAGAGAGACATTTTATTAGAGACCCAGCACCATGCTTTTGCAGTGTTCATTCTCCCTCAGTCTCTGCTAGACCCGCACAAGGCCAAGCTAAATGGCATCTAGCTGTAATTTTAGTTTGATCCTCAAAGGATAAATGGAAAAAGCAAAACCAAAGAAGCAAAGGGAAAAGAAGGGGAAAGCTTAGACGAAATGAAATTGTTCCCAAAGTACATTGGGGAGCTCATAATCTTTTCGCTCTGGATGTGGCATAGAGCAGATATGTTCCTTTCGCTCCATTCTCCAACTTAAGACTAAATGCAGCGTGATTGTCGGGGCAGAATTATTGTCCCTGGAAACTTAAAACTGTTCAACCTTAATAAATACTAGATTTCAATAGAAGCTGAGCTTGTTGCTCTCCTAAGCTACATCCTAAAATAACCCAGAGTACTATGACCCTGTGCATCACATTAGACTCATACGACTCATACTCTTTTCCCTTCCCATCCCTCCTGTAATCTCAGGACTCAGCCAAGCTCACTGTTTATATGAATGGCCTTGGGTGATTCTATAGACACGTCACTTTCTTATAAAAGGTTTGGACACAATAGCAGTTGCTATGTTTAGATCTTTCCTACTTTTGACAGCCTCCTAGCTCCCCTTGGTTTTGAAAAGACAAGAGCAACTCAGATGGCCACGTTCTCCCAAAATGGATAACACAAATGAAACTAGAAAGAAAATTAAAAGTTTTTTTTTTTTTTTTGAGACGGAGTTTCGCTCTTTGTTGCCCAGGCTGGAGTGCAATGGCGCGATCTCGGCTCACCGCAACCTCCGCCTCCCAGGTTCAAGTGATTCTCCTGCCTCAGCCTCCCGAGTAGCTGGGATTACAGGCATGTGCCACCACGCCCGGCTATTTTTGTATTTTTAGTGGAGATGGGGTTTCTCCATGTTGGTCAGGCTGGTCTCGAACTCCCGACCTCAGGTGATCCTCCTGCCTCGGCCTCCCAAAGTGCTGGGATTACAGGCGTGAGCCACCGCTCCTGGCCAAAAATTAAAAGATCTTTTAGAAAAGACATTGTTTTAAAATTCTATTGACTTTTAAAATGTTTTATTGAAGTATAATATACATGTAACATAGTACACAGAACTTTAGTAGAGAGTAGAGAGGTGGATGAAGTTTTCCATATGTGAACGTCCATGAAACCATTACTCAGATCAATATATATAGAATGAGGTTGGGACACCTTTACTGTCAAGGGCCAGACACTAAATGTTTTGGGCTTTTTGAGCCGCTCAGTCTCTGTTGCAACTACATTTGATCCTTGAATGGCACAACATGAGTTTGAACCACATGGATCCACTTAGACATGGATTTTCTTCTGCCTCTGAGACAGCAAGACCAACCCCTTCTCTTCCTTCTCTTCCTCCTCTTCCTCCTCAGCCAACTCATCCCAAAGACGGCAAGGATGAAGACCTTTATGATGATCCACTTCCACTTAATGAATAGTAAATATGTTTTCTTTATGATTTTCCTAATAACATTTTCTTTAGCTTACACTATTGTAAGAATACAGCATATAATATATACATAAATTATATATTAATTGACTGTTTATGTTATCGGTCAGGCTTTCAGTCAACAGTAGGCTATTAGTTAAGTTTTTGGGGAGTCAAAAGGTATACTCGGGTTTTCTTTTTCATTTTTTTTGAAACGGATTCTCATTCTGTCGCCCAGGCTGGAGTGCAGTGGCGTGATCTCGGCTCACTGCAACCTCCGCCTCCCAGGATCAAGCAATTCTCCTACCTCAGCCTCGCTAGTAGCTGGGACTACGGGTACCTGCCACCACGTTCGGCTCATTTTTTTGTATTTTTAGTAGAGATGGGGTTTCACTGTGTTAGCCAGGATGGTCTCAATCTCCTGACCTCGTGATCCGGCCATTTGGCCTCCCAAAGTGCTGGGATTATAGGTGTGAGCCACTGGGCCTGACCTATACTCGGCTTTTCAGCTGTGTGGGGGTTCGGTGTCCCTGGCCTGGGGGTTCAGGGGTCAACTGTACTCAGCGCTTCTATTGTGGTTTGAAAGCAGTCAATGATAAACCCAAAGGAATATATATATATTCCTTGTTGTGTCTCAGTAAAACTTTATTTAGAAAAAAACAGGCAGTGGCTGTATTTGGTCCCAGAGGCTAACTTCTGATAAAGAGCTCCCCAGAAGTCTACCTTGTTTCCCCCTTTTTCCAGTTATTTGGCTTCTTCCTCTCTCCCCTGCCCCCACTGAAAAGTCTGTTAGTTTTATTTATCACTGTGGATTAGTTTTACCTGTTTTTTGACTTCATGTAAATGGAATCTTATAGAATGTACTGTTTCATGTCTGGCCACACTCAGCATATGTCTGTGAGTTTCATCCATGTTATTTTGGGTAGCAATGGTTTGCTCTTTTTCATGGCCAAGTAGTATTCCACTGATGAATATGCTTCAGTGCATGCATCCTTCCTACGTTGTTGGATATTTGGAGTGCTTCCAGTTTTTTTGCGATTATGAATAAAGTTCTAGTAACATTCTCCCACACATCTTTTGGGGAAACATATATTTCCATTTCTGTTTATACACCAAGAGTAGACTTGGAGGGGCATGGGGTAAATGTGTGTTTAGTCTTGCACTGACCTTCTGAGAGAGACTTGAGTGCTGGATTTGAGTATTGTCATTGCAACAGGGCCAGTAGTTGTTAGGTATGTGAGTGATACGTGTAGGGTGAGCAGTAAATTTATCTAGGTGTGATCAGAGGCCAATTGCCCAAGCTCCGGTGCAGGCCCCTTCATGCAGTGATTTGGCCTTTGGCCCCAGCTCCTAGGAACTCCTCCCACTGTCTCCATTAACCTGGGAGGAGGACTAGCAGGCTGAATTCCAGAGGTGGACCCACATTGCAGATGTGTGTAAACAGAGCTGTCTCCCAGGAATGCCCTGCAGGTGATTGTAGATAATGTTTAGGCATCTCTATTGCCTTCATGAAGAAAGCCCTTCCAACACTCCTACTCTCAGCATTATTCCAAACCTATGAGCACTGTTGTGATGAAGGTCGAGACCCACAGAAGATGTTTCCCTTGGTTTTTGGAAGGGCTACTTCTGAGCCAATTAAGCCTTTGTTTTAAGAGCGTTTTGGCCAAAGGTTAATGTTTTAACACCAAGTCAGATGTGATTTAGGAAAAACCTCCACATGCAGCAAAAACAAACTGTGTAAACCTTTCTTGGTTGTTATTCTTTTTAGATTTGAAGTGGTTTGTGTGTGTGTGTGTGTGTGCATGTGCGCGCTTGTGCGTCCACACAAAGACAACTAGGAGAGGATCCAGAAGAAATGGACCATTTTATTTGTTTACACAGCTGAGGAGTGGATACTGTGCAGTGGGGGTTACTTTCCCTCTTGTTCTTATGCTTGCAAGTTCCCATCTGAGCTTTACCAAAGCCTAACCTTCTGCTTGGTCTTAGAACTCCTCCACCATGAATCAGTAAGGCCACCAGGACCCTCCTCCAGGGCCTGGGTGCTTTTTGGAGCCAAGGAGAGAAGAATACTAACTGGAGAGTGTCCTTACCCCATGTTGGCCACTTATTCCTGGATGTGAACTGGATGTTCAGTCTTGTCCGTGTCTTAACATTGTTAAGATTCCTGGGGTGCGTTGACACAGAGTCTATGTCTGTGTCTGAGCAGACCCTTCATACTGTGATGAGCATGGCCAGAAATTAGTACCAGCGGACTGGCCCAGCATTGAAGAATGAGGTGGCAGTGTTTGCAGGGCGCTTGACTTTCTCCCACTTCAGGTTTTTGATGAGGGTCTCTTGTGTTCTGGGCCTTTCCTCTCACCCATCACAAGTTCCCTGGCCTTCTTGTTTTCATGAGGATTTGCTCTCTTGGCTGAGCAGCAGATCCAGGCTAAGTGAAGAACTCCTGGAAACAGGTTCAGCCCTTGGTGCAGTCACTTCCTCACGTTTCCTTTAGAGCTGTAGCAGACTTAGGCTGTGACATTTCATGTCCATTTTCCACAAAGGAATGAAGAATTAGAGAGAGATCATTTCACTAGAGTAGTTTGATAGAACCTGTGGATGGCAGGTAACTTGCTCAAGAGGTTCATTGACTTGCTATGGTGATGAGTTTTAACCTAATTAGCTAATTTAAGTCCATACCTCAGAAGAATGTTCATTCATGAAAAATATTTGCATCTAATGTGTGCCAGGCCACTGGAGAATTCATCAGTGAGCAAAACAGACAAAAATCCCTTGCTCTCACCAAGCTTAAATTCTAGTGATATTTTAATATTAATTTTTAATATTTAAATTCTAGTGATACTGACTTATAAACACCCCGTTCCCAAACTGAGTTAGGTTTCCAGTGTAGTCCAGGAGTTAGATTTTCCTTTTCTTTTATTTTTTTTGAGACAGAGCCTTACTCTGTTGTCCAGGCTGGAGTTTTTCCTCTGCCTTGCTCTGTTGTCCAGGCTGGAGGTTTTTCCTCCGCCTCCCAGGTTTCAAGCGATTCCCGTGCCTCAGCCTTTTGAGTAGCTGGGATTACAGGTGTGCACCACCACACCTGGCTAATTTTTGTATTTTTAGTAAAGACGGGGGTTTCACCATGTTGGCCAGGCTGGTCTTGAACTCCTGACCTCAGATGATCCTCCTGCCTTGGCCTCCCAAAGTGCTGGGATTACAGGTGTGAGCCACCACGCCCGGACAGGAGTTACTTTTTTTTTTTTGAGATGGAATCTTGCTCTGTCACCCAGTCTGGAATGCAGTGGCGTGATGTCGGCTCACTGCAACCTCCGCTTCCCGGGTTCAAGCAATTCTCCCGCCTCAGCCTCCTGAGTAGCTGGGACTACAGGTGTGTGCCACCACACCCAGCTAAGTTTTGTATTTTTAGTAGAGACGAGGTCTCACCATGTTGGCCAGGCTAGTCTCAAACTTCTGACCTCAGGTGATCCATCTGCTTTGGCCTCCCAAAGTGCTGGGATTACAGGTGTGAGCCACTGGGCCTGGCCGTCATTTTTTTCTTTCCTTTTTTTTTGAAGCGGAGTCTCGCTCTATTTCCCAGGCTGGTGTGCAGTGGTGCGATCTCGGCTCACTGCAACCTCTGCCTCCTGAGTTCAAGGGATTCTCCTGCTTTAGCCTCCCGCTGGCCGTCATTTTTAATCAGGGTTGTGATTTTCAACCTATTGAAGTTTGAGAATTGCTGCCTTAGAGTCTTCTGAAACCAATCAATTGATCATTTATTGGCTGTCCCAGTCATTTTCACTAGCCAAATAAAAAGTGAGGGCTGGCTAAGTACTACATTGGGATAATATTTTCTTATTTTGAATGAGAAATTGGACTGCCCTTATGTTCCAGTGAGTTTTTGAGGCCTTTATTTTCCCATTCTTATGTGAAGACAGCCAGATACTTTTGCAAAGCTTGAGAAAAAGCATTTGTTTATGGAAGAGTAGCTTGGACAATAAGGTGCTTAGACTTTGGGGTCAGAGGCAATAACAGTAGTTAGTAATAATAGCTGCTTATGCTTATTGAATTCTCTTGAGGGATCCAGTGTTAAATGCTTTTTGTGAATTATTATTACTATTTTGAGACAGGGTCTCACTCTGTCACCCAGGCTGGAGCACAGTGGTGTGATCATAGCTCACTGCAGCCTCGACCTCCCTGGACTAAGGTGATTCTCCCACCTCAGCCTCTTGAGTAGCTGGGACTACAGGTATGCATCACCACACCTGGCTAATTTTTGCATTTTTAGTGGAGATGGGGCTTCGCCATGTTGCCCAGGCTGGTCTCTAACTCCTGAGCTCAAGCTCTCCGCCTGCCTTAGCCTCCCAAAGTGCTGGGATTACAGGCGTGATCCACCGCGCCCAGCATATGTGAATTCTTTATTGATTCTTCATAACAACACAGAGGGAAATTTGAAAGGTGTAGTTACTGGTATTATCACCATTATCCTCATTTTGTAAATGAGGAAACAGATACCTGAGATATTTTGCCCAAGGCCAATTAGGATTCAAACCCAGACAGTGTGACTAGAGAGAGATTGTCCTACATAGGCTTATGGTAACTATTGCCTGCTCAAAGTAATGCTCACAGTGGTCTAGGGGTTCCCTTACAGCAGTGGCTACCAACCAGCCTTCTGGGCAACACACATAGAAATCACGTGGGACCTGGTAAAAAGTACAGAATCCTGGGTTCTACTCCTTGGAGATTCTCATTTAGGGATTAGGTCAGTGTTTCACAAGCTCAAGTATCACCTGGAGGGCACCCGGAGAGCAGACTGGGAATCCACCCCCAGGGTGTCAGGTTCTGTAAGCTTGGAACGGGTCCTGACATTTGCAAGCTTTTAATTAATGCTGTGTTCCTTCTCTGGGGATAGCTCTTGGAGAACCACCGGACTAGGGCAAGGGTTCCCAGCTTGGACTGTTAGGTTATACTCACTCAGGAAGCATTTCAAACAATATTCAGCCCAGGCCCTGCCCTAGACCAACCGAGTCAGCATCTCTGGGGGTTGTGGCCTGTGCATCCCTGGGTTGCAAAAGCTTCCCAGCTTTTAGTGAGCAGGCCAGGTTGAGGCATCTGGTCTAGGGGATCCTGGAATCTGCTACCACTTCCCCACACTGGATGATTCTAATGCACACAGTCACACTAGAGAACAACTATTGTAAGCCTTTTTTATTGTTTAATTTTAATTTTATTTATTTATTTTTGAGATGGAGTCTCACTCTGTTACCCAGGCTGGAGTACAGTGGTGCCATCTCGGCTCACTGCAACCTCTGCCTCCTGGGTTCAAGCTGTTCGCCTGCCTCAGCCTCCCAAGTATCTGAGATTACAGGTTCTTGCCACCACGCCCTGGCTAATTTTTGTATTTTTGGTAGATACGGCGTTTCACCATGTTGGCCAGGCTGGTCTTGAACCCTCACCTCAAGTAATCTGCCCGCCTTGGCCTCCCAAAGTACTGGGATTATAGGTGGGGGCCACTGCACCCTGCCAATTTTTAATTGTTTTGTAGAGACGGGTCTCACCTTGTTGCCCAGGCTGATACAGTCCATTTTAATAGGCAAGGAAACAGGTGCATGGAGGTGAATGGGTTGGTCCCAGTTCTTACCACTTGGTGGACACGGGACAAGACAAGAATCCAGGAGTCCAGTGCAGCTATCTTTCAACACGGCTTTCTTTCTATCTTTCCAGGAGAGGTTATCATCTTGTCTAAGCCAATAGCAATTGGATTACATTGGCCAGATAAAATAAAACAATCTAGTTTTACCGTTTTTACTTATATCATTTTAAAACTTATATCTGTTTTAATTATATCATTGTATTTGTACGAGTTGAGATATTTGTATCTGTTCATTCTCCACCATATTAGGGCACTTAGTTCGGAAGAGGGCTGGTGAGGATACCAAGACAATGTCTGGTAGTCTTTAACTGGAACTACCAGAAAGAAAAAAACAACTGTCGTATCAGCCATACGTGTGCCTCTTATGGGCCACGGCAGGTGGGCCTCGAGGTCTGACCTATGGCAGTCAGCTGCTGGTATTTTCTTTTTTTTTGTTTTTGTTTTTGAGATGAGTCTCGCTCTGTTGCCCAGGCTGGAGTGCAGTGGCGCGATCTCGGCTCACTGCCACTTCTGCCTCCTGAGTTCAAGCAATTCTCTGCCTCAGCCTCCCGAGTGGCTGGGATTACAGGTGCCTGCCACCATGCCTGGCTAATTTTTTTGTATTTTTAGTAGAGACGGGGTTTCACCATCTTGACCAGGCTGGTCTTGAACTCCTGACCTCATGATCCACCCACCTCGGCCTCCCAAAGTGCTGGGATTACAGGCATGAACCACCGCGCCCGGCTGTCTGCTGGTATTTTCTTAGCATAACTTCATTTTGTAAATTCTACTTTATAATATTATTTTATAAAGTCCCTGAAAATCATGGGATTGTTTAGCTGAGCACAGAAATTTCTAAATGGGTTGTGACCAACATTTACAGGCTTATCAGGCTTAGTAGTTAATTTGTTTCTTGAGTTTGATTTGGTTGCATGGTATCAAATCCTGATCAAACAGATAAGTGGTTGCTTCTTTTTTTTTCTTTTTCTTTTTTTTTTACTGGTTTGCCTTGAAATCTTAGCATCCACTTCAGTTAAACAGAAATGGCATTACCTGTTCCCGGGGGTTCCACCAAAACCACTGGTTGGATGGTAGTGTGTTTAATAGTTAATGAATACTACATTGAAATGTAAAAATAAAGTTTAAAAGTAGGTACGTGTACTATATTATCTCTATATTTATATGTTATAAAAAGAAACATTCACATCAAACATATGTGGAGTCTTTGAAGCATCTTCACAAAATCCTAGTGTTTTAAGGGGTGCAGCTAGGAAAATACTTGGTTATACCACATTCCACCCAGATTGAGGCTCGGTCTGGAAACTGGCATGTCTGTGTCTTTGGTTAGTAGTAGGGGCTGGATGAGATAGGATGACTTAATGCAGGACTTCTCAGCCTCAGCACTGTTGACATTTTGGGCTGGAGAATTCTTCGTTGCAGGGGACCATCCCGTGCATTGTAGGGTGTTTATTTTTAAATTTTATTTATTTTTATTTTTATTTGAGACAAGAGTCTCACTCTATTGCTTAGGCTGGAGTGCAGTGTTGCGATCTTGGATCACTGCAACTTCTGCCTCCTGGGTTCAAGGGATTCTCATACCTCAACCTCCCCAGTAGCTGGGATTATAGGCGTGCACCACCATGCTTGGCTAATTTTTGTATTTTCAGTAGAGATGAGGTTTCACCATGTTGGCCAGGCTGTTCTCAAACTCCTGACCTCAAGTGATCCGCCCGTCTCGGCCTCCCAAAGTGCTGGGATTACAGGCGTGAGCCGCCATGGTCGGCCTGTAGGGTGTTTATTTAGCACCATTCATTGACCTCTTCCCTCTTGATGCCACTGGCACCCAACAAAAATGTGACAACTGAAAATATCTCTAGACATTGCTGCATGTCCCCTGGGGATCAAAATCATCCCTTGGTTGAGAACCTCTGACTCAGTCTAATAGTTTAAAGCATGCATCCTACCATTGATATTATACTATATTACCTTTGCATTTTAAAGAAACAGGTACGAGTGGAGGTGAATAGTTCAGTTCCTGCTTCTGGAGTCAGGTATATCTATCTGGGTTTGAGTGTCGGCTCTGCTAAGCTTCAGTTTCCTAAATCTGTAAAATGGGGATAATGGCAGTACCTGTTTCTAGAGTTGGGAGATTAAACAAGGTAAGATATATAATGATCTGGGCAGTACGATGATACAGGGAAGCGTGCTTGATAAATGTAAGCTGCTATTTTTACCATTGAGGATTATGAAGTACTTGTTTGCACATTTAGAATATGCTTTATCCCAACATGCATTGTGTATTTTTTATTTCCTGTCAAGAGCATCACACATGATAAATTTGATAACTTGGACTATCTTTGCTGTGTAACAAAGATTTATGACTCCTATTCCTGTTGGTTGCTGTTTGCATTTCTCTTATGTCACTGAAAATTTTTTGCTGGGTCCTTGTTACATTTGACTAGAATATAAGCACTTCTGAAGGGCTAAGATTGTGTCTTACTCAGAGATTGTGTTTTACTCATATTTATATCCCTGTAGCACCATGCACTAATTTCCTGGGACATCGTAGGTGTACAACTAGGGGTGTGAATGTGTTTGAATATCTAATTGTGGGCAGAAAGGAAACAGTATATAAGTGAGATTGGGGTAGGTGTATATTAGAGGTAACAAAGTGTGCTTTTAGAATTTTTAAATAACAGCCCCTTTTATAATATGAAAGACCAAAAATAATTTGTTTTTGTGCTCAGCCAGGTAGTTTGAGATGAGTGTTCGACCACTTTGTCAACTTGGTGTTCTTTTCCACGTATCTTAGATTTTGATTCCAGCTCTCCATCAGTGCGTGAATTTGCACTGCTGTCTTAGAGACTATGGCATCATCCAAACAGTGGTAACTATGGTTGGACTGGTGTCTATTTCTATGACCATCTTCTGATTTTCAGAATGCTTAGAGGTTAGTTGGCTTTTAAAAGCAATATTACCTTTTTTTTTTTTTTTTAAATGTCAGGCAGCATTACCTGTCAGATCATAATATTTTCATACACTTTGACAATTGTCATTCATTCCTGCAGGGGACTTCAAAACAAATTTTAAACAAGATGTTTTCCTAATTGTGGATGGATGAGCCTGCACAGACAGATTCATTCTTTTCTCTTTCCAAACCTCGTGCCTCCCAGATTTTTGAGGTTGAGATGAAGCACCAGAATAAATAGCTTTGGTTGCAAACCAGAAATCTTCCAAGGCTTGAAAATGGATGTGTGTGATAGTAGCCCATTCTAGGGGTACTGGAAGATTCTTCTCACTAGGGCTTTGGTGAGGCTGCCCTGTAGGGAAGAAGTCTTGTGTCAACAGTTTTTAAGTTGATTCAGTAAGCATTGTTGATGATTGAAATTGAAGAATTGTGAAGACAATTCATCTTGAGGAACAGAGAGCATAGGGTGTGAGCCAGGCTGCTGGGAGCAGACATTGACATACGGGCCGTCATCAAACTAATTGTTGTTTGAATTACCTGTTATGATCCGATGACAAATCTGCCTTGCTCCTGCCACTGGAGCAGAAAATGTAGCTTGAACTGGCGTGATGTTAGCAAGTGTAAACTGTACTTCAACAAGATGGATAAACCCAATTATGGGGCAGACCTGTAGAGAGAAAATCCATTTAAATCTCATAATGTTAAGCAGAGCTGTGTTTAATTCATTTGGACCAATTTGGGAATGATGTATGAGTGTTGGTGAACATTAGTCAAAGAGGGGACCACTTGGGGGAAAGGGATGTGCCGATGCCGCAGGCCACTCGGGGGAGGCAGCTGGGGTGTCGTCTCAGCAGCCTGCACTAATGGCGGGGAAAGGCAGCAATGACCAAACGATGTACTGCCTGCTGTCGGGGAGCAGCGCTGTGTAAATAAACCAATAAGGAAAACATACGAAGCAGAAAGGAGAGGAGTTGTTTTTCCTAAATGCTATTGACAGCCCAAAACATAAAGGAAATTTGAGGTTCCCTTTCTCTATTTCTAAACCCTGAAACCCGTATGGGCTCTGCTAAGCCTTGTAACAGGAGGCCTAGAAAAAGCTCTTGCCAGAAAGCTTAATGATGATTTGAAAGAGAGAAAGAAAAAGGACAGCTAAATTTAAATTGATATCTTGGGGCATTTGATTCTCTATTGGAAAACAGTTAAGAGGGATTATTATTTTGAAATATATGTCTTATGCATATTTGAAATGGAGTCTAGAAGGTCTTGTCTATTTAAAAATCTCCCTCTCTATTTTTTAATAGCTACTAAGTGGTGACCCAGCTTTGCACATAGTGGGTGCTGAATGTATACTGATTAGGTGAATGAAAGCATTGAACTTGAGAGGCAGTTTTCAGAGCTAGATATTGGTGTTTTCTGTACCTCAAACTCATTAGGATGTATAAGGACCTCATATCCTAATTTCTCATAGTAGTCTTTTTTGGCTTTCATTCCCAGGAATTTTGTGATTTTTTTTTTTTTTGAGACGGAGTCTTGCTCTGTCACCCAGGCTAGAGTACAGTGGTGCGATCTCGGCTCAGTGCAAGCTCTGCCTCCTGGGTTCATGCGATTCTCCTGCCTCAGCCCTCCCGAGTAGCTGGGACTACAGGCACCTGCCACCACGCCTGGCTAATTTTTTTTTTTTTTTTTTTGTATTTTTAGTAGAGATGAGGTTTCACTGTGTTAGCCAGGATGGTCTCGATCTCCTGACCTTGTGATCCACCTGTCTTGGCCTCCCAAAGTGCTGGGATTATAGGTGTGAGCCACCGCGCCCGGCCAGATTTTGTGATTTTTATATAATAATATATGATTCCACTTCTTTTAAAATATACATATATATTTTTATTATACTTTAAGTTCTAGGGTACATGTGCACAACGTGCAGGTTTGTTACATATGTATACATGTGCCATGTTGGTGTGCTGCACCCATTAACTTGTCATTTACATTAGGTATATCTCCTAATGCTATGATTCCACTTTTTATCCCTACTCCTACATTGTTGGTTTTGCCAAGGATGTTCTTAGAAGACTCCAACCCTCTTTTATGTGGGGAGGAGGTGCTAAAGCCCCCTAGTGAGTTGGTATTGTTTTTTTTCTCTTTTGATTTGGGGGGTTTTCATCTTTCATGGAGTGGACTGGCCTTGGAGACTTCGCCTGTTGAAAGGAGAACTTAAAAGACTGGAGTGCATAAGGAGCTTGGCAATGGACCGCCAAGACATTCATGGTTGTGCACTCTTGCCTCAGTACCCATAAATCTAATGATTGGAAGTGCTGGGTGTAAGTGGAGGTTAAAGCCCTAGAATTTGTTTTCTGTAACTGGGGACAGTTCATTGTATGAGGTCATGGTGCACATTGAGTGCCCATTCCGGGCACATCTTTTATCCCAGAGTCAAATTCGTTAGGATTTTATACCACTTTCTGGCGTTCTCCAAGTTTCAGCTTAGTTGAAGAACCAGTAAAAGAATGACAATAGACTGGGTGCGGTGGCTCATGCCTGTAATTCCAGCACTTTGGGAAGCCGAGGCGGGCGGATCACTTGAGGTCAGGAGTTCGAGATCAGCCTGGCCAACCTGGTGAAATCCTGTCTCTACTAAAAATACAAAAAATTAGGTGGGTGTAGTGGCATGCACCTGTAATTCCGGCTACTGGGGAGCTGAGGCAGGAGAATTGCTTGAACTGGGAGGCGGAGGTTGCAGTGAGCAGAGATGGCGCCACTGTACTCCAGCCTAGGTGACGGAGCAAGACCCTGTCTCAAAAAAAAATAAAAAAAATAAAAAAAATAAACGAAGACCTCACAGTTATGTTTCAACACTATGAATTCTGAGAATCTGAATTTTCTGATCTAGTTACCAGTAGAATGTACGTAAAATACTTTGAGAAAATTTAAATTAGCATCTCCACCAAAAAGCCCCAGCACATTTAGCCCATGATTTGACCTGCCCAATGGGAGTCTTCCAAATCATTTAAGAACAAGTAAGTACTATTAATTAAATGAACTTGGAAGAAACATATCAGGATGTGCTTCCAAATCTGAAGGTATTTGTGCTGAAAGAATCATCTGTTGTGTTCCATGAGTTTTATGGGGGACTCTGTCTGGTTTGGCTCAAAAGCATTTGTCAGGTTTATACTCCTGAGGGTGGGGTATACACAGTGTGAACTGGGCAGGCAGTGAATAAGGGAATTTCTGGAGAACAGACCCTTAAGGAAAAGAAAGCCTCCGCTTTGCGGGTTAGAATGGCCAGTGTATGTTGGGGGCAAGTCTTTTCAGGGCCTTCTGTGGTTTTTGTCCTGGTGAGCTTACTGCTTTCTGATGTAATAGCAAAGCTGAAATCTTGCAGTAATGTGCAGAGAGGAATTTTTGTCCTTTGGATTAGCTTCTAAGATATAAATATATAGCAAAAGACCCAGGGCTACTTAATTTGATACAGAAATGAAATGGTGAGTTATCTAGATAAGGGCTTGATTGATTTATGAAATGTATCAGACTCAATTCAGGAGTGTTCCGGGAGTCACGAAGTTCGGAACTAGATTCTTACCCTTAAAATCAAAAACAAACCTCCCCTGCTTCCCTCCTCCTGGTCTTAAGTCACTAGTTTTTATTCTGGAATCCAGCGGCATTTGTTTCTTTTTTTTTTTTTTGAAACGGAGTCTCACTCTGTCGCCCAGCCTGGATGGAGTGCAGTGGCACGATCTTGGCTCACTGCAAGCTCCGCCTCCCGGGTTCATGCCGTTCTCCTACCTCAGCCTCCCAGTAGCTGGGACTACAGGCATCCACCACCACGCCCGGCTAATTTTTTGTATTTTTAGTAGAGACGGGGTTTCACAGTATTAGCCAGGATGGTCTCGATCTCTTGACCTCGTGATCCGCCCGCCTCAGCCTCCCAAAGTGCTGGGATTACAGGCGTGAGCCACCATTCCCGGCCAAAGCATTTGTTTCTTAATAATTGCTGAAGAAGCCAAGAGTTTCCTGTTAATTAAAAAGAGAAATCACTGAAGCAATGTATAAAGACACTTTTTTCTTGAAAGAGAACTTAAAGGAAGATTTGAAAGTGTCCCTAAGCTAAGAACATTCTTACCAAACCACCAGTATGTTTTAGGCAGCCTGCTTTGCTTTGTGTTTTCTTGTCACTTGTTGCTGTTGCTACATTTTCATAATGGTGAAAGCAGATGAGAAATGTCTCCTCACAGAAGATACGATTTGTGAAGCTGTTTCTCTCTGAAGAATTGGCACTCAGGGCTTGAATTTGAGCAAGTAAAGGGCATCAATAATGTGATGGGCCCCTTTCCTTGGAAGAGACCCGTCCTCAAAAAAAAAAAAATAAAGAAAGAAAAAAAGGGGAAAAGCTGTGTTTTGCTTGGGTGACTTTTCAGCTTGGTTAAATTTGCCAGTTTATCTCTATCAGAAAATAAATCCTAATACTCCTGACATGATTTTGTCATTTTAGGATCGTTTAGGAAAAGCATCAAGTTAGTTTTTGCTGATTGGGTTGGTACCTCCGCCATCCTTAACTGTTTATTTAATAGTCATAAATTGAGAGTTTGGTGTTTCCTACCACCACCCTCTTTGGAATTTTTGGTCAAGATCATCTCCAGCCACCAAGTTTGCATAGCAGTGAAAGGAGCCCGACAATGACTTAAATGTGACGGGAACCAATGATGTGACTTGTAAAAAGTACACAGAGAAAACCACATGCCACATGCAAAGCAGATATGGTTTTGATTTCGGCCTCAGTGGTTCTCTTATCGTTTCTTTCGCCCTGAGAGTGGATTTTTATCTTTCGATCTGACTTCTGTTTTGGTCATGGTTTGTGGTTTCCTTTTGCCATCACAGCTCTTACATTTGGCTGCATGGGAACCAAAGTGACCAGGACTCCTGGTCGGTGGAAGTCTCAGGCAAGGCAGCCCCAGCATGCCAGCCCCCAGGAATATTGAGACTGCTGTGGCTTCAGAATTATTGCTCCTGTCCTGCTAACTCACAGGCTCCCCACCTGGGGATTCTTATCCCTCTGTCTTTGCTTCTTATGTAATACGTCTGTGGACTATTTTGGAAACATCTAGATGAACTTGTGATCGATCTTCCCATTCTATGTATTTCTCCTGGTTCCCTGCTTTTCTATCATCTCCTTTGGGAGGGAATATTTTTCCTCATTAACTAGTTTCCAGGTCAAAATTTCTCCATGAAGTATGAACTTTTCTCTATCCCAGTATTTAATTTCCACCACTTTTTTTTTTAAAAAATAACATAAGGCTGAAACTTTTTAATTGGGCAGGTTACTTAATTGCTATGTGGCTCTATTTTCTCATCTGTGAAAAGCAGGTTTACTGAGAAGACTGGCCTATCACGGGGATTCATGTGAGGCTCTGTCACAGGGGCCTAGTCCAGTACCTGGCACATAAGAAAGGTTTATTGGGTTTATGACTATTCCCAGTGGGGTGTTTCTGGGCAAACTGGGATAGCTGATCACCCTAACACAGTTGTTATTAAAACTCTTGCCAAGCTTACAAGTGGTGATATATTGTGGCGCATATCTCTTTTTTTCCCCGCTTGCTTAGTACCTCATAGCGGAATCTGGACTTGAGTTATTTCTCCTGAATAAGAGTAGTCCAGAATACCCTTTATTTTTGTTTTCTTCTTTGAGATGGAGTCTCACTCTGTTGCCCAGACTGGAGTGCAGTGGTGCGATCTTGGCTCATTGCAGCCTCCATCCACCTCCCGGATTCAAACAATTCTCCTGCCTCAGCCTCCCGAGTAGCTGGGACTACAGGCACGCACTACCACGCCCGGCTAATTTTTGTATTTTTAGTAGAGACAGGGTTTTGCCATGTTGGCCTGGCTGCTCTTGAACTCCTGACCTCAAGTGATCTGCCCACCTTGGCCTCCCAAAGTGCTGGGATTACAGGTGTGAGCCACTGCCCCTGGCCCCAGAATACCCTTTGAAGAGAGTTAGGGTGAAAGAGTCCATGTTGTGATATCATTTGTCTCCCCATGGAGGGAAACCAAAAAGCCTGGGGGTGAGATGGGACTTATAATTATTATTTAGCTTCTGATGGGCATGAAATTAGTGACAGCAAGGCAGGAATTTGTGGCCTTTTGGTTGTAACGTCTGCTCTGTTTTTGTTTTTTGTTTTTTTGTTTTTTTTTTGTCAGATTTCTGTTGCTTAATACTTCATTAAAAAAATAAATTTAGGCCGGGCACGGTGGCTCATGCCTGTAATCCCAGCACTTTGGGAGGCCGAGGCGGGCAGATCATGAGGTCAGGAGATCGAAACCATCCTGGCTAACACGGTGAAACCCCGTCTCTACTAAAAATACAAAAAATTAGCAGGGCATGGTGGTGGGCGCCTGTAGTCCCAGCTACTCCGGAGGCTGAGGCAGGGGAATGGTGTAAGTAAACCTGGGAGGTGGAGCTTGCAGTGAGCCGAGATCGCGCCACTGCACTCCAGCCTGGGCGACAGAGCGAGACTCTGTCTCAAATAAATAAATAAATAAATTAATTAATTAAAAAGTCATCCTTTTCAGTTCTCAAATGGCAGAGGTCTGCATCCTGCCTTGCGAACCTATTAACACTCCTTTCTTTCTTTATGTGGGGTTTCCCTTGGGCCTCTGTGGTCAGGCTATTGTTTGTCTGAGTTTGTAATAAGCGTGTAACAGCCTCCAATTTGCCTCAAAGACAAGTGGTGTTAGTTGGTTACTAGGGACAGGAGACCTTTGGAAATTGTGATTGGAAGCTAACTGTTCCAGGGTCCCTGGGTGCCTGTGTCGTATGGGAGAAGGCACTGGTGTTTCACTGCAGGTGAGTCTGTGCACACAGCATAGGTCAGCTTGTTGGAACTTTCTTGTGTGTCTCTCCTGAGGAAGCAATCAGTTAGTGGCCACGAACCCAGGCCTGTTCACACATAAACTTAGATGACAGTGGTGCAGTAGGGAGCTTGTCCAGAATGATTTATTCTCAAGAGTGGTGAAGACATAACTTCGATTCTCCCAGTCGACTTGAAAACAACCGTTGTTTTCTTTACACCTTCTGATTCCAGAAGGTACAGTTTAAACCTCCCTCATTTGCAGCAGGCTGAATTAAAACACAGTGCTTTGGGATCTATTTATTGCTATCTGTCTTTAAGCTTTCAGAAGCCAAAATGAAAAGAGAAATCAGAAAGCAGTGTTGGTCAATAGACTTTCCCCCCGTACTTACCTCCTTTTGACTTGGGGAGCTGTAAAACAGTAGGTTATACCTTCCCACCCTTCCCCAGCCCCCTTCAGAAGACTTGTGTTTCAGCAGGCTTTGTGAATCAGAAAGCTATGTTTTTGTTTTTGTTTTTTTTTGGCATTTGCCAGAACTCTATAGCTGTTCAGTGGCCTTAGGCTGCGGAAGGCCTGTTTTCCTCCCCTCCTTTACTCTAATTTGTCCCGGGCATTCTGGCTGATGGCATGGCTTTTTAGCAAGAGCAGTGCCTTACCTCTTTAATTGGTTAGTTCCTCTAAGTGATGATTTATTCCCTACCTATCAGAAATGTCTTAATTTACTTAATTGCATAGCCCCCCACCCCTTTTAAGTCCCCTCCCTCTAAAAAAAAATTAATACCAACAATAAAACTATTTCCCCAGGCAGTGCATTGTGAGATGAGGCATTTTTCTCTGGGGAGAACCTTGTCTTTGTGTATGGCAGTGGGGAAGAATTAATTAAGGGAGAGGATGAAGCTTAGTAATTGAAGTTAGGGGCCCAGGAGCTCTGAACACTCCTAGGTCTGCTATTAAATTATCTGGCTGCAGATAGCTGGTTCTCTGGGTCTTGGTTTGCTCATCTGTGAAATGCCCCCACAGGATGGATGCAGTGGTAAGACCAATTAATTAGAAGCCATAAAAGTGTTGTTTTATCTGAAGTTAAGCATTTTTGTTGTGATAAGGAGGCGTTCTGGGATGATGGATAAAACGCTTTGGCACTGAAGTCAGACGTAGCTGGGGACTCAAGTCAGCAGTGTCCGTTTATTGCCTGTGGGACCGCCCTGAGCCTTAGTTTTATCTATAAAATGGGGATAAAACCTCTCTCCGAGGATTAAATGGGATAACATGTACAGCGCCACAGTGCTGACACAATGGCCCATGCTAAGGAAAGAGCAACGGTGATTACTTTATTGGAAAGGAAATGATACCTGTGATCCTGGCAGGCTCTAGCTGTTGCTGGGGTACTTTGGTTCCTTTCACTTCTAGGGAAGGCAAGTGGCTACTTTGTGGTTGGTTTTCTTGTCTTTTCAAACTTCCATCTCTTCTGGTTAAATTTCTTCTGCTTCTCAGAAGCTGTAAGAGATGAACCCTATTCTCCTTGTCAGATGGATATCAAAATAGGGCTTTCAAATGGACTTCAGGATCCTTCCATGGGAATTCATTTGCTACCCATTTTCACTCTTATTTTAGTGACCCCCTCCCCCAAGACATATAATATATAAACACATACATTGATTTTCTTTCTTTTTTCTTGTATTACTACAAGGATCAGTTTCTTCTGGCCTAAGTCCAGAAACAACATGCCTGTCTTTTTTCATTGTTGAGGAAAAACAGTCTGAAGGCACCATAATTCCTTAAATTGGATTTCAATTCTTGATCCCCTTATGTTCGGTAAACAGAGTGTTATATGAAACATCATTGTTTAGGAGCAAGAGGCTGGCAGCCTTGCTTTTTTTTGGGTGGAAGGGTCCTCGATTGGAGCCTCCTGGGGCGAGGCTGTGGGTGGGGTCCCCTAGAGGTGAATGCCCCCCCCTTCACTTGGGATGGAGGCATTAATCCCTTTCCAAAAAATGCTGGTAGAAGTTGGGAGGGCTGCCTGTTAGTGAGCAGAGTTTAGCTTGGAAAGAAGCCTGTAGTTTGTGTGTGTGTGTGTGTGTGTGTGTGTGTGTGCATTCTTGTTAACTCTATTAGTGCCATGGGCAGCCGCTACTTCACTTGAAAGCTTTGGAGTTTCTATATTCAAATCAAAGTCACCCAGAAGCAAAGATGAAGGGGACAGTGTGATCTTCAAAGACGAGGGAGTAAAGAAGTAGTGGGGAATATTTTCCTGGGTAATTCTGCACCCCCGCTCCCACCTTTACAGAAACACTAAGAGCCTTAGCCACTTCCTCTTTCTTGGTGGTTATGTGGGTACTCAGGCTCTGGTCAAGTCATTGGCTGTTTATGGAGCAGGAGACAGATGACTTGGGAAAGCAACATGAAAATGTCTTGGGTTGGTTTTGAGCTTGCATGGGGGGAGTGAGTCAGTAGATGTTTCTCGGGTTCTCTCTCTTCCTCTCTTGCCTTTCCTCCTTTCTTTGAGCTTGTTTCGCTCTGAGAGTACAGGCTTGGCACCCACTTACCCAAGAACTGATTAGTTCCTAAAAGAAGCAGTGAGTTGATTGCTTACAGAGATGATGTAAGCTTTGCTCTGGGGTACATCAACTTGGATTTCTCATGCTTTATCTTATAAAGCCTAAATTAACAGCTGGTTTGGTTTGAGTTCTCTGGGATCTGACTAAGGGATTAGAGTCCATTCTCAAGTGAGTCAATCTAGTTTAATTTATTTCAGGTCTATCAAAAAAGATCAATCAAAGCTCTTTTGAAAGTAAAGCTATAATCGGTCTGCACACTTATAAGTCACTGTTGTTGCACTTGGTGTTTCTCTCTGGTGGAAAAATGCTCAGGCTGTGGTTAAGAGGATGTATTAGAGCATTTTCTGTGTACCTCCCTTTCTTGCAGCCTCCACACCTCCCTGGGAAGATTTTGAGGAAGTGTCATGTTTGAGAACCCCACTTAAGTGGGAGCTGCACTCACCTCCGTCTCCTTTTTCTCTGGGCATACTGGATCCCTGTTTTGGAAGTTTCTAGTTCAGTATAATTTTAATACCTGGACCTGAACAAGTCCAGCCTGTTTTATGTCACTGTTTTTGCTCCTGGGCTTTTTCTTGCAGATATTGGTGGGTGAAGACATGCATTGAATTCTTTCCAGAATGTCTGCTGTGAAGAATTACTCATGTCATTTGCAAGGCTTAAGCTGAAGCATTCGCTGCTATGGTCGATCTAGGCTTTTGTGGGCACTGGAAACGACAACCCGAGTTGTTCATTTCTTTTGTTTCTATTTTAAAAATACTTACCGAGCATCTTCTGGTAGCTAAGAACTATTCGAGATACACTTGATGTGCCAAGAGAAACATCAAGATAAAGGAGGTAGTTAAGAGCTTGACTGTAGAGTTAGACCTGTCTTTGAATCCTAGCTTTGCTACTTTGTGACTTTATATGACCTGCAGCAAATAAATCTCAGTTTCCTTGTCTGTAAAATAGGCATAGTAAAACTGTCTCCCTCCAAGGATTGTTGTGATAATGAAATGAAATGATACTGTATCTTTTGCTTTTTAAATAAGCCACTTCTGGGGAGCTTCCAGGAAGCAGAAGTTTTTTTTTTTTTTTTTTCCCCCAAATGCATTCAAAATAAACAAATCTCCTTTTACTACCATAACGGTGTATGTGAATGTCCTGGCGGATGCTCTCAAGAGCGTCAACAATGTGGGAAAGAGAAGCAAACACCAGGTTCTTCTCAGGTGGAGCTCCAGAGTCGTCCAGTTTCTAAGTGTGATGATGAAGCATGGGTGCATTGACGAATTTGAAATTACCGATCATCACGAAGCAGGGAAGATTGTGATGAACCTCACAGGCAGGTTATCAAGTGTGAAGTGGTCAGCTGGAGATTTGATGTGCAGCTCAAAGATCTAAAAAGATGGCAGAATCATCTGCTCCTGTCCCAGCAGCTGGCCTGCATTGTGCTGACCTCAGCTGGCATCATGGACCACAAAGAGATGAGATGAAAACACACAGGAGGAAAAAGCCTGGGATTCTTTTTCTAGGGGTGTAATACACCCATGAAAAAATAAATAAATAAATAAATAAAAATAAAATAAAAATGCCTCAATGGGGGAAAAAAAACGCACCAGAGACAAATACTTATTTAGGATCTGTAATGTACCCATTGCCATACCTAGGCATCCTAGATACAGCAACATATCCCTGCCCTTTAGGAATGTACAGTTTACTGGGAAAAAGATAACACTTATCAGAGGAGGGTGTTTGGGACTGTGAATCCCGTGTGTGTGTGTGTTTTGAGACAGAGTCTTGCTCTTGTTGCCCAGGCTGGAGTACAGTGGCTCTCAGCTCACGGCAACCTCTGTCTCCTGGGTTCAAGCAATTCTCTTGCCTCAGCCTCCCGAGTAGCTGGGATTACAGGTGCCTGCCACCAGGCTGGGCTGATTTTTAGTATTTTTAGTAGTGATGGGGTTTTGCCATGTTGGCCAGGCTGGTCTCGAACTCCTGACCTCAGGTGATCCACCCGCCTTAGCCTCCCAAAGTGCTGGGATTACAGGCGTGAGCCACTGCACCTGGCCCGTGTGTTGTTTTGAGCTTCTGTCTTATGTACCACTTCCCTTGGCTCAAGGCGTCCTTTTTATCTTTCTTCCACTTGACTAAATGAGAATAGTGTGGGTCACTCTCTACCTGCCTCCCATCTGTGGTTCCTTTTGGAGATAGGCCGAGTGGGCCACTCACCCTTTAATTTTCTCTTAGTTTCCTTTCTGTACACCAGTTTGAACCTTAGTATTATCACTAATGCAAATATGAGCCTAGGCTCAATTTTTCCAGTTATGAAATGGGGCTGGCATTATTCCGTGATGTGCATGTTAAGAGAGGGGAAAGCTCACATTTTTGAGGTCCTCTTG
The DNA here is from genome assembly GCF_000001405.40 of Homo sapiens. Lineage (NCBI taxonomy): Eukaryota > Metazoa > Chordata > Mammalia > Primates > Hominidae > Homo > Homo sapiens. Next base: position 112,988,729 of record NC_000010.11, read on the forward strand.
TGGTTCTATCTTGTGTAGGAACTCACGCTTTGTTTATTCAGCAATCATTCCTCCAGAAATAACCTTAATAGCAACAAGAAAAAAGAATAGGTGTTTTTTGAGCTCTATCTGCCAGTTTCTCTATATATGGACATTATATATTGCAACATAACACTCACAATGCCTTTAAACATCATCCCCGTTATACAGATAAGAAAACAGAATTTCAAAGAAGGTAGGGGACTTGCCCAGGGATACATAGCTAGCAAGTGGCAGCGCTGGATTGAGTCTGGGCCTTGTCTGAGGCTCGGGTCCTGTCATGCTCTGCGGTTGCTATGTTGACATGCAAAGGGAGAGGCAGCTGCTGGGAGTCTAGGTGGGTTTCTCTTTGAGAATGCTAACGTGAACCCTCAAGGTGAATCAGAATCCTTTTGCAAGTGAATAATCAGATGTAGGTTCCTGTGTCTCCCTGTAAAATGAAAGCCTCTTTTTTCCAAGGTCCAGTATAGACCTGAAGCTGGGTTACTCTGGAATTTCCCTCTCTGGCTGGAGTGACTGAGGCCTTGCACGTGACATTGGTGAGGACTCGCAGCCTCAGGTCTGGCTTCCCTTAGCAACCCCCCTTTCCTGTCTCTGCCTCTGGAGTTCACCATTAAAAAAAAAAAAAGAAAAAAAGCCAAAACACTTTATAAAGTTACATGCTGGGTTTCTTCTATGTCCTAGAAACTGTCTTAATTCATCTTCCCCTTTACTCTTATATGAGCAGGAAGAAAAAAAAATTGCTAGTCAATGCTAATAATTATGGCATGTAATGTAATTGGAAGTGTTTCACTGACATGCTCATGAGAGTTTGCGGCTTCATCTTCAGGCTGGGATGTAGCACTAGACTTGCCTTGAGTGTCTGCACAAGCCTTTGATGCAGGTAGACCATATTATAAATAGGCGCGTTGCTATGGTGAGGATGGCAGTCCTTGCTTGCTGTGGGTAACCTTTTCTACCTTCTCGGACACTGTTTTAAAACACAGCAGCGTGATAGCATTTCATTTAATTTGGACCAAGGTGGGGTAGATGAAATGTTGAGATTTAGATCTAAAATGTTGTTGTGGTGTTTCAGGGGGTTCTGGCTCACCTAGTACTATGGAAGATTTTGCAGATTGGGCTTCCTCATGATTTATTTAGAAATAGATTTTCTAATAGATGGGGTGAGGGGAGGGTGGTGGGCAGAAGGCTGGGCTTTCTTCTCTTCCCCCTCCTCCTTTCATTGAGCGCTTCTGCGAATGTGTTGGCTTTGATGCCCCAGGAGCTCATACAGTGAAATGGAAGTTCAGGTTGGCACGTTGCAGAAATGATTATTCCTGGTAGTACGTTTCCCATTACTGTTAATAATATAAAGACAATTGCCTGCCTCTCAGGACTCCTGCACGTGGCTACAGTCATTTCTTCATGGAATTAGACACATAGCAGTGGGGACCAGGAGTGTTTTATTAGTGATTGTCCTCCTGCAAGTTTCCAGGGTATCTCAGCTTAGACACATGAATTATTTTTTCCTGTTGCTTGGAGGGTATACTTTTAATTATATTCATTCAATAACAGAGCAGTTCAGGTTTGTAAAATATTTTTTCTCCCCCAACCTTTTCCCCAGCATACATCCCCGTCCCGTAAGTTTCTGGGCAGAGACAATCTCAGGAACCTAAAGGTTGCTAAAAAATTAGCTAGTTGGCCAGGCGCATGACTCATGCCAGTAATCCCAGCACTTTGGGAGGCTGAGGTGGGTGGATCGCTTGAGCCCAGAAATTCGAGACCAGCCTAGACAACATGGCAAAACCCTGTCTCTACAAACAAAACAAAATCTAGCTGGGCATGGTGGTGCATGCCTGTAGTCCCAGCTACTGGGGAGGCTGAGGTGGGCGGGCGATTGAGCTCAGGAGGTCCAGGCTGCAGTGAGCCGTGATTGTGCCACTGCACTGCAGCCTGGATGACTGAGTGGGACCCTGTCTCAATAATAAATAAATAAATAAATAAAAAATAAAAAAAATTAGCTAGCCAAGCTGCTTATAGGTCTTTTACATGGCCAAGCCACTTTCTCACCTTTAAAATGGTAATAACGTTTCCGTACTCATCTCAATGGGTTTTGAGTGCCAAGACAGACCGTTTGATGGAAGCCCTCTGGGGAGAAAAATGCTACCCAAGACAGGCTTTTCAATTGGAGACTGATCCATTGGTGTTTTGGTCAGTTGGTGTTGAAATCCCTATTTTTCCAGCTCAGGACTGCCTCTCTCCCTGGAACTCTTCCCGAGGTGAGTTCTGCAGCCTTCCTTGGGAACTCTCAGCCTCTGGATCCCTTCTTGCCAGGTGGAGTGGACATGCCAAAGTTGTGGGCCAGACTCGGACTGCCTGGCTTGTCTCAGCACCTTTGGGGACCCACTTCCCCTCTCTGGGAACTGGGGAAGCTAACAGAGATCTTGCTAGGGGGGTGGAATCCTGTATCCATGTGAGGTTGTACCCCCAGGCTCCTGAGTGGTTTGAAAGTGGGGAACCCTGGCCGGGCGCGGTGGCTCATGCCTATAATCCCAGCACTTTGGGAGGCTGAGGCGGGCGGATCACAAGGTCAGGAGATCGAAACCATCCTGGCTAACACGATGAAACCCCGTCTCTATGTGCGTGGTGGCTGGCACCTGTAGTCCCAGCTGCTCGGGAGTCTGAGGCAGGAGAATGGCGTGAACCCGGGAGGCGGAGCTTGCAGTGAGCCGAGATCGCCCCACTGCACTCCAGCCTGGGCGACAGAGCGAGACTCCATCTCAAAAAAAAAAAGAAAGAAAAAAAAAGAAAGTGGGGAACCCCTCCCCCAGGATGAGAAGAGCCATGGGGTGAGTCTCTGCCACCGCCAAGGGGAGTCAGGCTCAGAGGCTGCTACAGGGACAGCCAGCTCTCTTTAGATGGTCCCCACCATCTAGTCAGGGCTTGTTACATATGGAGCAGAGACAGCGCAGGCTGCTGCTGTTTTCCTGGAGAAGGCCCCTGTCGGTCTGTTCAGCTGTAGCTGACCTTTCCTCCTTGTGCTTTTTGGGGAGGGAGCCTTGGAAGGAGTAGGGCACGTGGGGCACTCTGCTTCCCGGCCCCACACTGGCGAACCTATGGATTCTGCCTCTGATTCCTGAGGAAACATCACTGTGAAGGTGGAATGAGCCACATACAGAGGTGGCTGTTGGGGCCGGGGAGGGGTGAAACGCCCCCAGGGTGTACATTGCACCAAAAGCCAGGCTGCATATAGACCTCAGGATGGGCTGGCTTTTCTATTTATTTAGAAGTATTTCCAGAGGGTAACCTCATTGGCTACAAAGCATGTCTGAACAAGAGCTCCGTTGTTCATTCCCAGCCCTGTTACCCTGGCAGGATGCAGACTCCAGGCGGCCTGTTGGTCAGGCCTTGGACTCAGAGAGCAGTGAAGCCTGAGGAGGGGTGGGGGGCAGAGGCGTGAGTGGTCTAGGGCCTCAGTCCCTCCAGGACACCCCTTGCCAAGCGCAGAGAAAGCTCTGCCCATCCGTCCCCTCAGGCAGTGGGATTGGGCAACCTGGGAAGCAGTGAATGTGCGTCGGTAGCATAGATTCCATTCCGCACGCCACCCTCGCCTCCGCCCCCCAGCCCTGGGAGGGATGCATGCCCTCCGGGAGACACCCAGACCCGACAGAGAGGCCTTTGTTGGAGCTGGAGGTGAGAATCTGTGGGCGTTGGGATTCCTGGGTTCGAGTTCCAGCTCACTGCCAATTGCCCGAGTGCTGGGCGAACATTTCTGGAATCAAAAGGAGTGCAGCCTGCCCAGCAGGGCCTACGGGAGCCGGAGGCTGCAGGGTGCTAAGATTGCGTTATCTTTACCAAGTGCCCGGAGCTCCTGGGAGGGAAGAGAGAGTCCTAGGACTCAGGATAGGAGGTGGTTGGAGTTTCTCGAGGAAGACTCCATGCTTTGGTTCTGGCCCCTGGAAACCCCTCCTGAGGACTGGACCTCCAAGCAGACCCCCTCTGTGACTCCGGAATGCAGTGTTACTCTCTTATATTTTTCTTTCTTTTTTTTTTTTTGAGACGGAGTCTCACTCTGTCACCCAGGCTGGAGTGCAGTGGCACGATCTCGGCTCACTGCAACCTCCGCCCTCCGAGTTCAAGCGATTCTCCTGCCTCAGCCTCCCAAGTAGCTGGGATTACAGGTGCCTGACACCGCGCCTGGCTAATTTTTTGTATTTTTAGTAGAGATGGGGTTTTACCATCTTGGCCAGGCTGGTCTTGAACTCCTGACCTCATAATCCACCCGCCTCGGCCTCCGAAAGTGCTGGGATCACAGGCGTGAGCCACCGCACCCGGCCACTGTCTTGTATTTCTAACGTCCCCCTGACTTTTCTGATCATGTAATTCTTAACTTTCTCAAAACTGAGATTTGTCACGTGTCCTCTCCCCACTCCATTTTGTGAATCAGAGTCTTCCAGGGGCAGGACCTGGAGAATGGGTCTTTATTAACACACATGTGAAAATGCTTTTGCCAGCAAGGCGCGGTGGCTCATGCATGTAATCCCGGCACTTTGGGAGGCCGAGGCAGGCGGATCACTTGAGGTCAGCCTGGCCAACATGGTAAAACCCTGTCTCTACTAAAAATACAAAAATTAGCTGGGTGTGGTCGTGGGCACCTGTAGTCCCACCTACTCGAGAGGCTGAGGCATGAGAATCACTGGAACCCAGGAGGTAGAAGTTGCAGTGAGCCGAGATCACACCACTGGACTCCAGCTTGGGTGATAGAGTGAGACTCTGTCTCAAAAAAAGAAAAAAAAAAGAAAATGCTTTTGCCATGGGCTGTCTCCTGCTTCTGCTTTGCATTGGGCCTCTGTACCTAGGTTGCAAGATTCCTCAGGGTGCACCTGGGCTTATCGTTATCTGTAAGTTATCCCAGCAAGCACTTAAAACACAGTGTTGGACGATGAATCCCCTCTACAAGAGAGGGACAGGGCAAAAACGACACCTCTTGCCTCGCAAGCTGTCTTGGGCCAAACCTCAGGTCTATTCTTTCTTTTTTTTGAAAGTAGTGGCTGGGCACGGTGGCTTACGCCTGTAATCCTAGCACTTTGGGAGGCCAAGGCGGGCGGATCTTGAGGTCAGGAGTTCGAGACCAGCTTGGCCAACATGGTAAAACTCCATCTCTACTAAAAATACAAAAATTAGCTGGGCGTGGTGGCGCATGCCTGTAGACCCAGCTACTCAGGAGGCTGAGGCAGGAGAATCACTTGAACCTGAGAGGCAGAGGTTGCAGTTAGCTGAGACCATGCCATTGCACTCCAGCCTGGGCGGCAGAGCGAGACTCTGTCTCAAAAAAAAAAAAAAAGAAAGTAGCAGCTCTACTGAGATATTTAGAAACCATAAAATCCACCTATTTGAGGTGTACAATTGAGTGATTTTCTGTATAGTCACAGATCTGTGCAGTCATCCACACCCTCTAACTCCAGGACATTTTCCTCACCCCCGAGGAGAAACCTCCCTTACCCATTAGCAGTCACTCCTCATTTCCTCTCCCCCCAGCCCCTGGCAATCACTGTGGATTTGCCTGTTCTTGACATTTCATATAAATGGTATCATAAAATCTATGGGCTTTTGTGTCTGTCTGCTTTCACTTAGCATACGGTTCTCAAGGTTCATCCAGTATTGTAGCATCTATCAGTATGTCATTCCTTTTTATGGCCAAATAATATTTTATTGTATGGATAGACATTTTGTTTATTCATTTATCTGTTTTTGGTTATTATGAGTAACACTACTATGAACATTTTGCACAAATTTTTGTATTGACATGTTTTCATTTCTCCTGGGTATAGTCCTATGAGTGGAATTGCTGGGTCATATAATAAATAACTGTTTAACATTTTGGGGAGCTGCCAAACTTTTAAAACCTTGGGTTCTGTGATGTACCAGTTGTGTTAGGCAGCACAGCAAAATGTGACTTTTGATTGCCAGAAACAATATTTAAAAAGTGGTTATAAAAAGTGGTTTGGGAGGCTGAGGCAGGAGGATCACTTGAGCCCAGGAGTTTGAGACCAGCCTGGGCAACATAGTGAGACCCTGTTAAAAAAAAAGAAGGCCAGGCACAGTGGCTCATGCCTGTAATCCCAGCACTTTGGGAGACTGAGGCGAGCAGATCACCTAAGGTCAGGAGTTCCAGACCAGCCTGGCCAACATGGCGAAACCCCATCTCTACTAAAAATACAAAAATTAGCCAGGCCTGGTGGTGGGCGCCTGTAATCCCAGCTACTCAGGAGGCTTGAGGCAGGAGAATCGCTTGAACCTGGGAGACTGAGGTTGCAGTGAGCGGAGATCATGCCATTGCACTCCAGCCTGGGCAACAAGAGCGAAACTGTGTCTCAAAACAAATGAAAAGAAAAGGCTGTCATGTTAGATCCACCCTCCTCCTCAGGGGAACCCCTGGGCTGCTCTCTGGGTAGAGATGGGAACCCAGGCCTCGGGCCAGTGAGTGGAAGGAAACTTTGGGATGATTGACTTGGGACTGGGCTAGAGGTGAAGAATCTCCCAGTAGGCAAAGTTCGGCCTTACGTTTTTTTGTTTCAAGCAAACCACATCATTACCCACAGAGGCCATTGGTGAGATATTTGTAAGTCTCCTGACAGTGGCTGGAGTTCGTTGCTTGGTTGTTGTTTCTCTGTCTCAGCCCTGGAGATGGGAGTGACCACCTGCTCTCTCTGGACAGAGGCTGTCCACGTTCATGCAATTCCTTGGACACCGGTGGTGCAGCGGGAGGCGTAACTGGGAGTGGGAGACCCTGAACTGTGCCGGTTCTTGCAGAGTATCACTGTGACTTCAGGCGAGTCACCCCACATCAGGCAGCTCAGAACAAGGGATTGATCTAGAAGGACCTTTCACCTGGGCTATTCTGTGACTCAAATTATCTTCTCCTAAGCCCACTACTGCCTGGTGTGTTGGTTAAATTAGCCTAAAGGTCATTCCCTCGGAGAGGCCCTCTGGGAAACCTCCCTTTCCTGAGAGTCACTGCTTGCTGGCGCCTGCCCCTGGGGTTCCTTCAGAGTCGTGATCATGCCCTGGCCTCTTCCTTTATTTGGCAGTCCCTTCCCTTCCCCATCCCTGATGAGGGTAGGGAGCATCTGTCTGCAGCTTCATCTTCATTGTCTAGGGGCTCCAGAAATATCTGTGAGTAAATAAGTTATTTAATCTTTGCCTCAAATTTCCAGTGACTGTAGGGATATAGCTGTGAGCCTCTAGGAGCTGAGATTTTTTAAATTTCCCACTTAAACATTTATTTAAAAATTTTGTGCTCAGCATGGACTAAGGACTTTACATTCATTAACTCATTTACAGCTTGATCCTATGCGGTGGGCATTCATTTACAGAGGATCCCATTTTACAGGTGAGGAAGAGGCCAGCTAGGGGTGCAGCCTAGGTTAGTATTCTAGAGCTCATCAGGCTGTGTTGTCCCCAGTGAAAGAATAAGCAAAGAAGTGAATGTTGTGCATTGAGAAAAATGACTCTCGGAGGAGGATGAGCCTCTCGGATATGGCGACCGAAGTGATATGGGGCCCTTGTCAAGGGTCTCTATTATGGCATCAAGAAAAGATGCTGCTTTCGGTGATGCCCGAGGAGAGCCTCAATATTTTACATGGGAAACCTAAAAAAGGGGCCATGTTGTGGTCTCTGCACCTAAGATACTAAAGGAAATATTTTATGGAGAGATGCAACATGTCAGGCCTTGGAGGGAAACCCCAGGATCCAGATGGTTGCACTCTCAAACCAGGGCCCCCCTCACCTTGGCCTTCAGCATTTAGTGTTGGAACCAATAGCATAAGCTTTGGTCAGGACCTTTGATGGAAGCCACAGTGCTCATTAGTGACCACGGTTGACTACCTTCTCTCTCCTAAGCTGACTTCTGGAGGGCACCTGGGATTTCCGGCCAGTGATCAGTGCTGGTGAAGCCTGAAGGCCAATGTGTAGGTTTAGCTGTTCAGTCAGAACCCAAAAGGGGCCAAAGAGATGGTTTCCTTCAACCTCCACTGAGGGAAGTGAAAGTCATGGTTCGTTAAAAGGCTGAGCTGGGACCAGAGTCTAGGGTTCTAGAGGTGGGAATTTCTACAGCTTTGGGGGACCTTGCAAGGGCATTTGCTCTTCTGGGACTGCAGGGAGACTGTGCTTCTCAGAGATGTTAGCATTTGGCTTGGGGAGAGAGAGGAAAGGAGAGGTTCATGCTCCGCCATGATGGTGGAAAGTGATGTTGGTGTGGTGAGGAGCTGAGCTGAATTCTAAGTGGTTCCAGGGAATTAACAATGTTCCTGCCCAAGTGTCCTGTTCCCCCACAAACTAATGAGGCAGCAGGTGTCTGAAGAGAAACATTGCAGAATGTCTGCCAGGGGTTTTATGGTTAATTTTCCTCCATTATGAGGGTTGACTCAGCCTTGGGTATTAGATGTCTTTGAGAATCCAGGGTTCAAATACCACAGCTGGTAGAATGTTTCTCAACTTGGAGCCAATCTCCATCTACTGAAGGTACGCTGGTTTAGACAGACAACAGGGACATCAGCATTTTAAAAAGCGGTGGAAAAAGTTTGCTTGTCTTGATTGGAGCCATGACATTTTATTTTGAAATTTCAAATAACATGAAGGGAGGTTTGGAGCGGTTTTTGGTTTATCCAAAGGGCAGTGGATTGAAGGCTGAGAAACACCAGGCTGAATGGGAGAGGGGTTGGGGTCCCCCTGTGAGATAGTGAAACAATGGTAGTGCCATCCAATGATAGGCACTTTTCTGTCATTCAGAAGCAGAAAGGGGGCCAGAGGCCCATTGGCCTTACTGGGCAGTAAGCTGTAGAGCTGCTGCCTTTTCGTGAAAGGGTTGACACCAACCTTCTCCCCCAGGAAGAGTGACCAGGGACCTGAGGGGCATGGTCGAGCAGATGACAGCCTTTGTAAAACATCTCCCTGGTCTCATCAGCGATATTCGTCCTGCCTTCCTTCTGAGTAATTTCCATCTTAGGACTGGAGTCAGGTGGAGCAAGATTCCATGTTGGTTTCTGTTGGGCCTAGAGTGTCACACTGAGACCTAATTTCATACTTTATGAATTCTAGTACTGCTCTCGAAGGTAAGAGCCGTCCTCTTTGGCTGAAGGTTTTTGCCTGCAACCTTGCATTGTAATCCAGTGACACCTGACGTATCTGTAAATTTCTTCAAATTTCTAAGTGTATTACAACCCCGTGTGCAAAAGATGATTAATTAATTGCCTTGACAGTAAAACAAAAAACAAAAAAAAGGTGTGGGGGTATATGGTATCCCTGATTTACTATAGAAGATGCAGAGAGTGAAGGGAGATGAGGTGGGGAGGAGGGGCCCAGGTTCTGGTCCTACTTTTTTTTTTTTTTTTCTAAAGAGATGGAGTCTTACCATGTTGGCCAGTCTAGGCTTGAACTCCTGGCCTCAAGAGGTGCTCTCACCTCAGCCTCCCAAAGTGCTGGGATTATAGGCGTGAGCCACCGAGTTTAGCCCAGGTTCTGTTTCTTGCTTAGTCACTTTCTGTTTGAACAAAATTGGAATTTCCTTTTTGGATCTGTTTCTTTAATTGTAAATTGAATCGGACTAAAACCTTTCCAATTTTTTCACATGTGAAGACATACACAAAAGTTTTATTGGAGGGTTGCACATGTGAAAGAAAAAGGGAGAAAGCAGGATTGAGCAGGGGGAGCCGTCAGATGGTAATGCAGATGTGATGAGATCTCTGCCGGACCAAAGAGAAGATTCCTTTTTAAATGGTGACAAATTCATGGGCTTTCTCTGCCTCAAAACCTAGCACAGCTGTTATTTACTGAACAATTAGAGAGCTAAGCACTTTTTAGATACTATATAATTTAATTGCCGTATGAGGCACCCTTAGTTTTCAGACGAGAAACCACAGTTACAGGGAAGGCAAGTAACTTAGTCAATGTCAGATAACTAGGAAAAGGTTAGAGGGGCCCTGGACACAGGCCTGTGTGACTGAGAAGCTTGGGCACTTCACTGCTACATTTCATCTCTTCGCTATAAACATTTTAGCTTTTTGTGTTTGCTGACTGGCAACAATACATAGTGAAAGTTCTAATAATTTGTAATGCTTTTGCATGTCTTTGTATTTTTCTTGGTTATCACATCACATCAAATTAAGATACTGATCAGCAGTGTGAGAGGTTATTTTTCCATGTCCTCTTCATTAGTGTTAGCTTGTGGATGGATTTGAGGCTCTCTGTGCTTTCCCCCCAGCAAAGTGAATACCAGACTTTCCTATTAAAAAAAGTATTTTATTTTTCAGAGACAGGGTCTCATTCTGTCTCCCAGGCTGGAGTGCAGTGGCACAATCATAGCCCACTGCAGCCTCCAACTCTTGGGTTCAAATGATCCTCCTGCCTCAGCCTCTCTTAAGCAGTGCCTTTCCCCATTCTCATGGGACTTTCCAATCCATGAGATACTTTGCTGCAGGGAAGCCCTGTCTGTCCAGGCCTGTGTAATAGACGACTTCACATGGTCCTGTGTTGTTGTTTGCCTTCTGTGTGGCTAAGTTTCCATGACCTGGTGGCTTGGAAGCCCCATCCCTGATTTGTGGGAGAGGCAGGGAGGCACCTTGTAGCGCACTAGGCGTTGGGCCTGAACAAGTCTGTGTGCTTCCAATGTCTTTGTGGGGAGGTTTACGAGTCCTTCTTATTATATAATAGTATCTTGTCTTAGCTTGGTGCCTTTCTTCTCAGAAGCTTGAGGCACTCTGCAGATACCATCTCAATTTGCTTTCTGGGAGGAGGAGAGGAAGCTACCCAAAAGATGAAGTTCTCTGTGAGGGGCTTGAACACAGGTTGATAGCGTTGCTGGTTAGTTATTCTCATGGTGTGGATGAAAAATGGAATACGCTGAAATTTCAGTTACTCGTCACAAAAATAAGGCGTATGTAGAAAACATCCTGGGCTAAGGGTTTGCATGCTTCTAGAACTTCCTGTTACTTAATGGCTGTTGAGTATAAACCTCGGGAACAGTGGGGATCCTTGGAGACCCCAAATAACTTGTATTTGTGGTTACTCCTGTCTTGTCTATCAATACCCCTGTCTATATCGTGTTAGAACTAGGACACACAGACTGGATTCAGAAGCTGGCCTGGGGTTTAGGAGAACATGGGACCTAATCCTGGCCATCTCGATTTACCTCCTGGATCTTGTTTTCTCATCTGTAAAATGAATTGGGGTGTGGACTGTTTATGGCCTGTAGGATGCTAGCCCTGAGAATTTTCTCCAGATATTCTACGGTTAAGTAATTTTAGGGGACACTGTCTAAGCAGTTGCCTCTTGGAGAATGAAGATGTTCATTAGGATATTGAAGGCTCTGAGAAGTCCTAAAGTTAAAGAAAATCTGCAATGTTCTTTGTGGGACCGAATAATGCAACCTGGGAAATGAGGGATTAGATGACACTTGAGTAGCCTTCCAGATCTGAGACGAGTCTCACTCTGTTTGTTTACTCCATCTGTGATGGGTGTAGGCACCATCTTGGGGAGCAAGCTGTGATAGAGAGGGAACAATACCTTGTTAATGTTTGTCTAATTCACTACCCAGGTGCATGGTAGTGAATTAGACACTACTTTGTAGGTTCTGGAGGGAAGAAGAAAAGACGAGACCTGCCTGGACTGGGGCTTGAGACCACTGTCAAATACAAGTACAGTTGTACAACTGGTAGGGAGTGGGTCATAGTATGGCCGGTCTTTTTAAAGGTGAGGAATTCTTAGGCCCAGAAAGGCAAAGTGACAGATCCTGGATTTAACCAGCAGCCCAGATTTGAGGCCTAGCACATAGCAAAGCACCATAGCTATTCAATAGCTGCCAAGTGGGAGTTTGGATGATGGCTTTCCTGGACAGCGAAAGCAGTGATGTTTGCTTAGGATGGCCTTTGGCAGTGCTGCTGTTATCCTTACCACTGGCAAGCCATCTCACGGGCCCGGAGGGGAGGGCAAGGAATCCTAATTCTGTGAGAAGGCTCTGGGTACATGAGTGTGAGATATGGATACCCTAGGCTCTGCCCCTGAAGACAGTGGCATCGGATTTACTGCACTATTCCAGTCGGACAGGCACCTTAATTTTTCTCTTTCTGGGTGTTTGATATGGTTGGGTCCTATTTCTTCTCCTCCAAACCCCGCTAGGGCCATTCCCCCACCCTTCACTTCCCGGCCTTCCACTGCAGTCTCTAAGGATTCTGCTTCATCTTTATGTGTGAACAGGGTTTTGACAAACATGATTAACTGGGTATTTTTGGAAGGCTCAGGAGGAACGCAGAGTGCTCCGGAGGGCAGGCCTGGAGTCAGGAATGCTTCCTGCAACCTGTTCGTGCAGTGAGCGTGTCTTCCTCGCCCTGCCCTTGGCTGGGGAATGTGCTGGCTTGGAGGGCAGGAGAGTGACAGGCGGTTTGAGAACTCCGGGCTCTCCCGTCTTCGGATGGCTCCTGTGAAAGCAGGGCCTGAAACTTTTATCGTCACTGCTGCAGGTGAAAGACTTTCATTTGGCTGTAGTGGTCCAACAAAGAGTATTTTATTTATGTGTTTCCAAGCCCTTAAAAATTCTTTTAGGGCACATCAGTGGGGAGTTAATAGAAACTTTGAAATAAGAAAAATGCCTGCAGGGTAAGTAGAACCCCAGCCAGCCAGCTCCGAGTTCTGTGCTGTTAGCTGGTAGGTTGGTTCTCAGAGAAGTGGCTGGCTGGCTGGGTTACGGAGCCCACATCTCTAATGCCTTAGTGTTCAATCATTAAGTGGATTTTTTTTTTTCCCTTCTCTTCTTTTGGTTTGGAGGGAGGACTACTCTAAACTTTACTCAGGGCAGGGTAGCTCCTGAAAGGGCTCCCTAACCTTTCTGGTTTATGACACAAAGAAAGTTTGGAGGTACTGGGATAAGAGATGGCTTGGGTGACCCCCCTATCATGCCCCCTAACACATACACAGCAAACCAAACCAACTCACCCTTGATCATACTCGTTGTTTACACGAAGGGAATTTTTATTGTCTTGTGAGTGTTGAGTGATGATTAAACAGAAGAGATGTGACTCCAAGCCTGGCTTCACTAAGATAGTCTTGTTTGTTTCTTTTCCTCCAAAGTAATTTCCTAAAGAATTAAAAGCCCCTTTGAAACCCAGCACTACCTTGTCTCTGATTATCAGCATAGGCAGGAAGGGCTTTTAAGGTCTGAGCCCAGCTGTTTAGAGGCTACGAGACGTGAGGCAAATCCTGGTATCTCTCTTTGGGCCTCAGTTTCTTCATCTGTGAAATGGCACAGTACTACCCTCCACCAAGGATGATGATGAGAATTAAATGGGATGACAGGTTTCATCCCCAGCTCCTGTTCTTAGGAAGGAAAAACTGTGACTTATGAAGCCTGTAGGTTGTGTTCAGGTTTGTATGAGGCCTCGGACTTCATACAAAGGTATCAAAGTGGCAAACCCTGATCCAGATGTTTTCAGTTCAGTCAGCTGGTCCTTGAGCCTGTTGTGTGCCAGATATCCTGACCAAAGAAGCTAGATGGGAGCTGCTGTGTTGTTCCTTGGGGCTGCTGGATGCAAGTTGTTTAGGTCGGCGGTTTTCAAATGCTGGTGATTTTGCTCACCAGAGGACATTTGGCAATGTCTAGAGACATTTAGCATGGCCAGTCATTGGGAGGTACTCCTGGCATCTCGTGGGCAGAGGCTAAGGATGCTATTGAACATCCTGCAATGCCCAGGACAGCCCCCTGTGACAGGAGTCATCCAGCCCAACATGTCACTAGTGCTGCAGTGGAGAAGCCCTGGCTGTGTGTGGGGGTGTGTGTGTGTCCTCTTCTACATTTGATAAGGTAACTCACACTTGCTGCCCCCATGATCGCTGTGGGGGATGCTTATCTATGCCCCAGTCCTGGTGTTGGTTGATGGGAACATCAAGATTCAGGCAAGATGGAAAATAGCCCTTAGAACTAGCAGGAAAAGAATCTCCTTTCATTTGTCTAGAGGTTCTGTTAAAGTGCCTTTGCTTCTATTTTGAGACTTGTTCTTAAAAAAAATGCGGATATGAAAGAAAATAAAAACCACATTATCCCTCCACTTTTTCTTGGAGGAGGATGTGTTGAAGAAGTCAAAGTTCACCATCCCTTTAGATAGAATCATTTTGAACAATTTCATATGTCAATACATTTTGCTCATCTCTAAATTTCATTTTAGAGCCTGTGGTGTTCTGTGCATGGATATGTGTGCGTGTATGCACACAAAAATAAAAGGAAATATTTATTCTTATGAATAAGTATAGAAATAAATTAATTTTTGGAATCTCAAACTATCAGAGACTTATGTAATAACCAGAGGCAGGCCTGATTATGTATGGGCAAAGCATTTGTGAACAATGTCTCCATTGTATAACATACAAAACAAGCTTTTCTTCCACATTGGATATGCAAGTCGGCCTTCTCCAATAAGGGCCTGTCTCTTTCCAACTCCCCCCACCTCCCACCTTTGAGCAAACATTATTTATTGTGGCTGATGTGTGATCAGGTCTTGATTTGGGGCCTCTTTTTGATGCCTTCTCTTTGTGGGATCTCACCCACGTGCCCCTGGAGACCCTTTGGCTGCCAGGGCCTTTGTTTCCCAGCCACCCATGTGGTGCCAGTAGTGTCTGCTTTGTAGCGAGCTGTCCCCAGAGCCTCAGCATGGCTTGGGGATGGTCTCTGAGGTTGGGCTTGGATCCCTCCCACTTTTGGGCTCAGAAAGAATGACTGCCCTCTATTTCCCTGTCCCTGCCCTCTCTTATCCTGTTTCCCAGCCCGCATCATGTTATCTTTGCTTCTTGTAACTTACCAAACGATTTATGGGCAAGTAGGGGAGGTGAAGAGGGAACTCATCTATCAAGATAACCTACTTTGTGCCAACCACTGAGCATAGCAATTGTCCCTTCTCCAGCCCTCTGAGGACCGTGGATGGGATTCTCATGAAATGAAACAGGTGAGGAACTTTTCTTTTAGGGAACTTGCTTGAGGTCCCACAGGCAGCGAGTATCAATCAACGTCAGGATCTGAGCCCTGTTCTGTTCGGCTGAAAATATACTCCCTGAGATGGTGTAGGCCACCATGGCTTTCAGCAGGCTCTGTGCTTGGTGGAAGGAAGCTGGAAGCTGTGTACACACCCACGGGGAACAGGGACCATAGAGGAGCACCTTTTGAGTGCAGAACCTGGCGAAACATACACCTTTAGAGGGATTTTAGGTACCCTTGAGGCTGGGAGAATCAAGCAGAGCTAAGTTTCCCATTGGGGTGTCACAGACTGAAGAAACAGAGCCCTAGGTAGCACAGGGAAGTTGATTGCCCAGTATCAGTTAGTTTGGCTTTAATGACTGAGAAGAGATTCCACCAGTTCATTGAAGAGAGGGCGGACTTTTTATTGGAGGAAAGAAGAGTGCCTGTAAGTAGAGAAGTCTCCGGGGTGTAGTGCTGTTTGGGGCAGGAAGAACAGTGTGAGCCACTGTGGAGAGAAAGCCCAAAGAGTCTTGGCAGGGCAGGGAGTAGGATGGATTTGAAGCCAGAGGAAGTATGGGGTCTCTGTAGACTCCAGGCAAGCCATGTTAATATTTTAGGAAGCCGTGATGGAGCTGCAGATGGGTGTGGAAGTTAAAGTTTAACTGTTCATTCACCAGTCCTTCCCCTGGAGAATGTGCAGCACGTGGACAGTGGAACTTTAAGGTCCTTGGCTTGTATTTCACACCCAAGAGATGAATAGGTCCAGGTATGTCATAGACCAGACTAATGAAATAACAAATTTCTTTTCAAAAATTTTACTTTTTGTAGGAAAGCTTCTCTGTCTGGCATTTTTCTTCTCCCAGTTGTGACTCAATCTTAAACGTCTTCAGACAATTAGCATAAAATTTCCCACAGTGAATTGACGTATACTTTTGAGGGTTCCATTTCTTTTTTATTTTTTTTTTCTTTTGAGATGGAGTTTCTCGTCACCCAGGTTGGAGTGCAATGGTGCCATCTTGGCTCGCTGCAACCTCCGCCTCCCGGGTTCAAGCGATTCTCCTGCCTCAGCCTCCTGAGTAGCTGGGATGTCAGGCACCCGCCACCATGCCCGGCTAATTTTCGTGTGTTTTAGTAGAGATGGGGTTCCACCGTGTTGGCCAGGCTGGTCACAAACTCCCGACCTCAGGCAATCCGCCCGCCTCGGCCTCCCAAAGGCTGTGATTACAGGTGTGAGCCACTGTGCCCAGCCTAGGGTTCCATTTCTTAACCCCTCCTTCTGATGCCTCAGAAAGTCTTGCTCTGTAAGCCTCTTGTAGCTGCCTCGGTTCAGGGGAAGGGGGAGGCTTTTGTTTTAGGACCGTCCAGACCATAGACACATTTCCTGGCACCTAGCACGTGTTGGGTCAAACAGGAATGATGAATGCATGCATGAATGAGGTTCTTAGCGCTGAAGACGGTGTCATAGGTGGTCTACCACGCCGCCTGATCATTCCAATGGCCCATTATGAATGTGTGTGCTGCAGGGCCCTCCCACGATCCCGTCAGCACTGTGCATGTTGTGGGGAGGTGCTGGGAGAAAGACTGGGTCTCAGAAGATGGGTTAGAGGTGGGTCCTTCTCTGCTGCTGGCTAGCAGGGTAGCTGTGGAGGGGTGCCCCATCTTGCTGGTCTTAAATTTTCTCACTGTAGGCAGGGAGCATGACCTGGCTGAATTCTAAGTCCTTTTCTACTCTGAGGTTCATTGTGGGTGTGACCTGCTGGGCTCAGCTCTGGCTTTGGGAGACACCCTCTCCCCTTGATCTCGACAACCCCTTAGCAGAGCCCAGTGGCTCCTACAGTGCCCTGAGCTGCTTGCCCGAAGGATGCGGTTGTGGTTATCTCACCCCCTGCCACCCTGTTTGCGCAAGGGTTTGAGATTGTGTGGCCCCTCCTTGTACTTCGGGGTGAGGCTTGCTCCAGAAAGGTGGTCTGCAAAGGGGTTGGCTGGGGGGGAGGAGGAAGTCATTCTCCAAGTGTTTGTCCTCATCGTTATCCCAAATTGCTTGCCTGGAATAAGGAAGGAAAGAAAAAAAAATACTCTTGAGTGGTTTGGGCCAGGATTTTAGCTGATGGATCTGGTAGTTCCCTCTGTCAGATTTGTTTTCTTTGAACTGTCTGGGCCGGTCACAGTGTCATTGTTTAAATGTGGAATGTAGGTGTTCTGTGTTCTGGGAAATAAAAACCAAAACTGGTCCAGGGGATCCACAGAGGTAAGAAAAGAACATTCCAATAGGAATGTTTCAGAACCAGGAGGGGAGGAGAGAAAAACGGCTCTGTTGGTCTCCTAGAGGAAGAACTTGTTAGATTTGGGGAGAGTCAGGATAAATTTGACCCTAAGAGTCTCTGATTCCTTTTAGAGACTTTTCTTATAAGAAATAAAATGGAACTTGGGAGAGGCGGCAACTTGGGAAACAGCACATTCTGCCGTAATGAAAGTCGTCCCATAAGAATTTCTCTATCCCTTTAGCCAAATTTCTGTTTCTAAAAGGGGAAAAGGGGCTAGAGATAGGCTTGTTTGTTTTCTTAGTTGAATCTTACTTTTTGTATTTCCAGCCCATTCTGCAGGGTAAGAACAAGCACAGCCCGAGGGCTCACTCAGTGTGATGTTCTAGAGCCTGGCTCTGCCTCAATCCCTCACGCTGGAGGATCAGGCAGCAGGGGCCAGTGATGGATTTTTTTTTCTTCCTTTCCTCCCCTATTAATATTTACTGAGGTATAAATTACAGCAAAGTGCGCAGACCTAGGTATCTAGGACTGTGAGGTTTTCCTGTGTTACCTGTGTAACCACGACCCAGATCAAGATAAGGAACTTTTCTGGCATCTCAGAGGCTCTTCCTGCTCCCTTTCAGACTCCGTCTCCCAGAAGGAACTACTTCTGATTCCTATAGCCATAGACTGAATTTTCTTTTCCAACTTCATATGCATAGGATCATCATGGGTGTTTTAATTTTAATTTCATGTCTGCTTGCCACTCCCAAATGGAAATGTGTTGGCATCTCTGGATGTTTCTTCATAAGAAACATGCCCTGTGGGGCAAAGCCCAGGACAGGGCTGTGCTGCTGCTGGAAGTCCTGTGCAGCTGGCCAGCCTCTGCTCACCCCTCCGGCCACGCTGGCACTTTCAGCTTCTCCAGCCTCCTGCCCTTCCCACTTCCAGTCCTGCACCTGCTGTCCTCACTGATGCACCTGCCCTTTTCCTTCCGTCCTTTATGTGGCACACCCTTAAGGGAGACATCTTCCTGTCTGTGTTTTGCACCCTCTTAAAACTACATTCCTTTCCCTTCAGCATTGGCATCTCTGTCCTTGTGTATTACCTGGGATGACTATTCAGTTAACAAATGCTTTCTTCCTAGGCTGTGAGCCCAAGTTTGTTGGATGATTGGATGGGGGCACGTTGTGTGAGAGAAGGATCATGGGGTAGCATCTGGCTCTCTTAGAGGTGTGTGGGGGCGTGTGATGCCTGCCAAGGCGCTTTCGTTCTGGGGGGTTCTGTGTGTTTGAAGCACTTGGGTTGTGTGTCCCTGAGGCCTCCGTCACGGGCAACCTCATTCCTTCTCTAGCCTCCATCCCCTGCCCCCTGCCCACCCCAGGCCTCTGGAGCTGGCTCCCTTTCCTGCTCACTCTCTTTTGGCCAGGATTTTAACATATATCACAGGCTGGTAGGCTAAGAGCTTGGGACTTCCCCTCACCACACTCAAAGCCTTTGATCTTTTGCTTTGGAGGTAACATCAAAAGGAAGGCTGAGGAAGACAGCCAGGCTGTGAAGTTCAACGTTCAAGTTAATAGCTTGACTGAAGGTTGTGCTGCGTTGTGGCAGCATCACCGAGGCTGGAGTAAACAGAGTGATTCTGCCACATTTTCCTGGAAATGCACCCCAATATTGGAAGAGGGCTTCTTTTACATTCGGAATGAATTCAGGCTGTAGTCAGAGCTGCTTTTCCCTTTCCCCATTTTCCTTGGAAGTGTGAAAACTTGGGGGAGAAGATGTTTGTAGGAGGGCATGATGAGGGGTAGAGGAAGCCCAAAGAGAGGATCTGGGGAGGGGAAGCCCCATGGGATGAGACTCTGAAGTTATCCTTGCCCCGATTCCGGGACTTGCTATCTGCCTGCCTTTTGGCGTGGTGTCTCTGTGCCCCTGACTGTTCCTGATTTAGCGAGGTGTTTCTGAATTCTGATGGAATTCAAAGAAGCCTGGGCAGGCAGGCAGCTTGACTTGGGGCTTGGGGAAGCGTGCAGCCCAGACATAGCAGCGATGAGAGGGCCTCAGGGCTGAGGGCTGAGATGAGAATTTCATCACATGCAAAAGTGAAAGCGACCCATCGTCTTCTCCACTTGATCTCTTGCTGAGCTTTGCAGACACTTTGGTTGTTGTTTAATTTAACATTTTCTGCAATGCTCCTTTTTTCAGATTTTCATCCAAAGCTCTGTATGAGAGGTTTTCAAACCCATTTTGGCCCTGATTCTATTTGGCATACGATTCAACTCTGGGGATGGTCATCTTCCCCACACCTGCGTTGGGTACCTTTTTGGTGTATGCTCAGAGCATCCTTGGACATCTTCCTGGTCAGTGTCCAGCATCGTGAAGCTGCCCTTTAGCCTCTCAGTGCCCCCAGATACACCTGTCTCTCTGCGTAGCGGCACTCAGCGTCACCTTTCTGTGGGGTCTTGAGACCCTGATGATATCAGCACTATGCTGCCAGAATTCCCCTTGGATTCTTTAGTGTGGCTTCTCAAGCATCCCTTATCGCTATAACGCCTTCATGGTTTTTGGCATAACTGTATACTACCTGTGCTATTATTTATTTGATGCATTCAAACATTTGATTCATTTATTTAAACTCAGTCTCACTGTAATCCTTAATTAACACCTGTGAAATTATAGGTTTGATGTGCTACTTATTTATTTATTTTTTAATACACATTAGTATAATCCCGTAACGGCTAAAGTAACACTTTGTACTGCCTAAAACCATGCTTGGGAGCGCCACAGTTTGAGAAAGTGCTTAGCCTTCCTTTCCCTCCTTTAGTGACTTGTGGTTTGGGGCATCTGTTGACTCCTAGGGCTCCCTTGTTCATCTTTCTGTTCCTAAGCTCAGGGATTAGTTGCTCAACCCAGGTGTGGCCTCAAAATTCTGCTCATGGAATAGCCTCAGGCTTCTATAAATCTCATCTTTTTTGTTTTGTTTTGTTTTTGTTTTTGAGACTGAGTCTTGCTCTGTTGCCCAGGCTGGAGCACAGTGGCGCAATCCACTGTAACCATTGCGTTCTGGGTTCAAGCGATCCTCCCATCTCAGACTCCCAAGTAGCTGGGACTGTAGGCTGGTACCACCAGGCCCGACTAATTTTTAAATTTTTTGAAGAGATGGGGTCTCACTATATTGCCCATGCCGGAAGTCTAGTTTTATAGTGATGAGAATTCATCTGGGGTCCAAGGGGCCCTCCTGTGTTGCTTCCTGTGCTCCCCTCTAAATAAAGATACTCCTTCCAAGTTGTCCTGATTTTCAGGTCATCACCATTTTTTGAGCTGGATGGGGAAGTTGGCCTGGAGCAGCCTTCCCTGTCTCCGAGTTGCATTACCTCCTGAGAGGTCTCAGCAAATCACTGCCATCTCTTGATCAGAGTTGCTGGCAAGAGTCCTCTGTGGTTCTAGGTTTTCAGCCCTGGAGACTCTCGCCTGCATTCATTATACATGTCCTTTTGGTGCCTTGTTGAAAGGCATCTCCTGCCACCGAAGGGTGTGGGCTTCTGGAAATTCTCAGAAAACACAATATGCCAGCCTCCAGGGATGGGTCTCCAAAGCTTCAGGAACATATCCTGGGGTGTTGAGGAAACACCCACCTTAAAATGTTCCTCAAGGGGGAATGTTACTGCTTGCCCTAACCCTCTTGAGCTGATGCTCACATGACGTCCCTGAGATGGGCTTCTTTTTTGCCCGTACTTAAAGCTGTAAAGGGCCATTGTCAAATTTGTTTAGCTTCTCAATTCATGTTCCTTAGAGGATGGTAAATTAAAGTTAGCATTCCTGGACAGAGCCTTTCATACATTGAAGACAACCCGGTGAGTCTCAAGGGGAGAGGTAAGGGAGAGATGAAAGGTTTTCTCCAGGCCTGTTCGGCAGCATGGACTGTTCTTTTAGGTAATTAAGGGAGACCATAAAAGACAATTGTGTGAGTCCATTTACCTTTCACTTGGGGGTCTTAAGTCTTTGGTTGGGCTTCTTTAACCCTGTGTGTCACCCACGGGCTCCTATGGGTGCTGTTTTCATTGTTCCGTTATCTAGTTGGCTGGAACACACCTTTGGGGATTGGAGAATGGAGTTCTGGGGGCTTTGGGAACTTTGAGTTTTCCTGCAATGTCCTATAGAAGCTTGAGTCTGTGATTCCTGGGCAGGGCCTTCTCCTAGTTGAGTGAGATTGGTGGGGCAGGGCAGCCAGTTAGGGGGTCATGGGAGCAGGTGTGGAAAAGGTTATATGTCTTAGTAATTCTTTGTGACAATCACCCTCATTCATTGATATCTTCTTCCTATCATGTATTAGGGCAGTGGTTCCCCCAATGTGCTGCACATTAGGTTCACCTGGAGAGCTTTTATAAAAATGCCAATGCCCGGGGCCCACTTTGGGAGGAGCCAGGCATCAGTAATTTCAAAGGTCTCTAAATGATTTACAGTTTGGGAATCACCGTATGAGGATAGTAAGCTCTGAGTCCTATGCGTTCTGTGCCGAACACCCATGAAGCAGTCTTCCAAGCATTTTACCTGCATCATCTCAATTCTCACACTGTTAAGGAGATAGACAGTATCATCTCCATTTTGTAGACAAGACAACTGAATCTCAGAGAGGTTTAAGTCTCAGGACACCAAGGTCATTATTAATCAGGGGGACTGTGATTGCTCCCTTTATAAAATGTAGGAGATATTGTGGAGTACGGTTGAGAAACCATTGCAATAGTTTTCTTACTTTGTTAAGAAATTAGGCTGGGCGTGGTGGCTCAGGCCTATAATCCCAGCACATTGGGAATCCGAGGTGGACAGATCTCTTGAGCTCGGGAGTTCCAGACCAGCTTGGGCAACAGGGTGAAACCCCATCTCGACTAAAAATACAAAAATATTAGCCGGGCCTGGTGGTGTGCACCTGTAGTCTCAGCTACTTGAGAGGCTGAGGTGGGAGGATCACCTGAGTCCGGCTGCAGTGAGCTGGCATTGTGCCACTGTACTCCAGCCTGGGCAATGAGAGTGAGATCCTGTCTCAAAAAAAAGAAAAAAAAGGAAATTAGTGGTGGAAGGTGACTTTGCATCTGGGCGTATCTGCCTGCAGAGTTGGTGTCCTTACCTTGAAGAAACCCTGCTTTAGTTGGAGTATCCTTAATGGTTAGTGGCAGGAGGGGAGGAGTGGTTCCTGGGAGACTGGAACAAAATATGGTACCTGAATGCTTAAGGCTTGGCAGATGAGCAGTCATTTTCTTACACAGAGCTTAGGAAAGGGCATCCAGGTAGAGGAATCAGCATGAACAAAAGCACAGGGCCATAGAGTTCTCAGAAGGAAAGATGGGGTTAACCGGAGCCAAGCCAGAGATCTGGTGGTAGTGGGGGGTTTCCAAGCTAGAATGGTTGTGTGGTATTCTGTCCTCAGGGGCTTTGAACTCTGTGTGCTAATGAGGCCTCAAATTCTCTGGGGCTCTGGTTAAAATGTAGATTCTGATATCAGTTGGCTTGGGTGGGGCCTTGCATTTCTGTAAGCCCTTAGCAGTTGCACTGCTGCTACTACCGTGAGTATTGCTGTTGAGCATTACTACCTTGAGTATTGCTGTCAAGTGTTACTACCTTGAGTATTGCTGTTGAGTATTACTGTCGAATTTTACTACCTTGAGTGTTGCTGTTGAGTATTACTACCTTGAGTGTTGCTGTTGAATATTACTACTTTGAGTATTACTGTTGAGCATAACCACTTTGAGTATTGCTCTTGAGTATTACCACCTTGAGTATTGCTTTTGAGTGCTACTGCCTTGAGTATCGCTGTTGAGTATTGCTACCTTGAATATTACTGTTGAGTATTACCACCTTGAGTATTGCTCTTGAGTATTACCACCTTGAGTTTTGTTCTTGAGTATTGCTACCTTGAGTATTGCTGTTGAGCATTACTACCTTGAGTATTGCTGTTGAGCATTACTACCTTGAGTATTGCTGTTGAGCATTACTACCTCAAGGATTGCTCTTGAGCTTTACCGCCTCAAGTATTGCTCTTGAGCGTTACTGCCTCGAGTATTGCCGTTGAGTATTACTCCCTTGAGTATTGCCATTGAGTTTAGTCCTGTGAGTATTGCTGCTACTGCGCCTTGGCAATGGTTTTCAAACTTTGCAACACATCAGAATCACTTGGGAAACCTTTAAAATTCTAACGCCCAGGTCACATCCCATTCCAACTAGATCAGAACATCTGGGGAATGCGAGCCATGCACCAGTAGTTATAAAACCTGCCCAGGTGATTCCAAAGTGTGGGAACCTTTGAGAAGCACTGCTTTAGGGGTTGGAATAGTCCTGGCTGAATTTTAATCAGGGAAGACTGACTGCTCCGTTTATGAAACGTAGGAGAGTGGAGCAGGGTTGAGAAACCATCGGGATAGTGTTCTTACTTTGTTACGTGAGCAATATTTGTTGAGTCTCTGTGGTGGGTTCTAGGGGTTCAGAGGACAGCAGTGTGCTGCTAGGATGGTGGTCTGAACTAGTGGAAAGGCACTCAAAGGAAGAAAGACAGAATTCTAAGAGGAGAGGAATTTTAGGAAGGAGATACCCAGGACTTTTGAATTACAGGTAATTTGATCAGAACCCAAAACTGAAATGTCTCTGCTCTGTGATGAAAGGGTTTGCTGGCATTGAGTAAGGAGCTGCAGGAAGGCCTTTAACTTGTCTCCAGGTCTCTTAACAGCTTTGTCATTTACATACAAGCACCTGCCTGGCTAAACCATTCATTTCTGTAGCTTCCTTCTGGATCTGTCTAGGGAATATTTGCTTTGCATATTTTGGGGTTATCTTAAGTGTTTGAAGGAACCAAAATATTTTTCTTAAAAATAACACTCAAATGTAGTTCACATGATTAATTTTGACTGATTTGTGAGAATCAGTAAGTGCTGACTGACTGAGGCGCCCCACACATCCGGCTTCCTTCTGTTACTCTACGCGTGTTGCTGAAACTTAACGAACCCATGTGGGGTCTTCTCGCCTGGTGCAGTCCGGCCCAGTATTCATACTGAGGTTTGCAGTGGGAGAAAGGAAGGTATTTATTTGTAGGTCACCAAGCAGGGCAAATCCAGCAGCTCACGCTTAAGACCTGACCTCTCCCATGGTTTATAAGCAAGTGGTTTTTTTTTTTTTTTTTTTTTTCAGACTGAGTCTTGCTCTGTCACCCAGGCTGGAGTGCAGTGGCGTGATCTCAGCTCACTGCAACCTCCGCCTCCCAGGTTCAAGCGATTCTCCTGCCTCAGCCTCCTGAATAGCTGGGACTACAGGCGTGCGCCCCCACACCTGGCTAAGTTTTGTCTTTTTAGTAGAGATGGGGTTTCACCATGTTGCCCAGGCTAGTTTCCAGCTCCTGACCTCAAGTGATCCTCCTGCCTTGACCTCCCAGAGTGCTGGGATTACGGGCATGAGCCACAGTGCCTGGCCTGTAAGCAAGTGTTTTTAAAGAAAGGGGTAAATTTTAGGGAAACAGAAGTTCTAGGCAAAATGGTAAATTAATACAGGGAGGTAAGACATTGGTTTGGCCTAAAAAGATGGGATATTTTGAAGTGGGGGCTCATAGGTCATAAGTGGATTTAAAGATTTTTTTGGTTTGTAATTGGTTAAGGAAGATAAGCTTTGATTAAAGATTTGGGGTCAGCAGAAAGAAATGTTAGGTCTGGCTCGTGGGCATGTCTTTTTCTAGGCCCCTCCTTGGAAAGAACTTTAGAGCAAAGAAAGGCAGTTGGAGCTTAGTCCCCACTTTCTCCTGATCTGAGGTCTACGGACCACTGGATCCATTTGGTGGGGTCCATCTTTCTGAAAAACAAGTCAGGGACATGTATTGAGATGATATTATTGGTATTTATAGGGAACCAAACAACGCCCCATGACTCTTTTTTGGCTATTGTTTTAAGCCACTGTTTTTTTTTGTTTATTGAGTTGTTAACTTATTTTTTAAAGCTAGCTAGCTGCCTGGAATTTCTTTAGAAGGAACTGAAGTTTTTAAAAATTTTTATGTTGGGGGGTATTGCCCTGCAGGCCCCTAAAAGGGGTCCCTGCGCTGTCTCAAAACTTGGATGCAAAAAGAAGTTGAGTTAACACAGGAGGACAGGGGTAGACGCACCAAGGGCATGTGCCTCGAGTGCGTGGTCCTTATTAAGAAGGGTGGTTAGACAGGGAATGGGTTAGTTCCCAGGTCGGCATTCAGCTGAAACAGTGATGGTTAAAATTCTGAAAAATGTCCACGCTCTGCATTCTCTTCCTAACACCCAGGACCCAGTAACTATAAAGCCCCCTACCCTGGGGCATAGCAGGGGGCTTCAGGGACCCATGAGAAGGTCATCTGCTGCTAGTTACACTCCTTCTGGGACCTGATTTAGACAGTTTGGTGGTAGTTTTGCGAGGGTTAATTTCAGGGCCAAGGATGCTTCTAGAATGGAAATACCTTCTTGACATTGGGAGCTTTATTGGTTGATTATGTCAATGTGAGAATTCAGGAAGCCCAGTGCTAATCCTCCATCCTAAAAGGAGTAGATTGGCTGGGCGTGGTGGCGCATGCCTGTAATCCCAGCACTTTGGGAGGCCGAGGGGGCGCGGATCACCTGAGGTCAGGAGTTCAAGACCAACATGGCGAAACCCCGTCTCTACTAAAAATACATAAATTAGCCAGGTGTGGTGGTGGGCGCCTGTAATGCCACCTACTCGGGAGGCTGAGGCAGGGAGAATTGCTTGATCCCAGGAGGCGGAGGCTGCAGTGAGCCAAGATTGTGCCACTGCCCTCCAGCCTGGGCGACAGAGCGAGACTTCATCTCACAAAAACAAACAAACAAACAAACAAAAACTAAAAGGAGATTTCCTCCTTCTGTCCTTTATGGGAGACTTCAACCTTGGGAAAGTCTGGAATCCTTGGACATTAGAAATTCTGAAGTTTTGGCTGGCTGTAGTGGCTCATGCCTATAATCCCAGCACGCTGGGAGGCCGAGGCAGGTGGTCACTTAGGCCAGGAGTTTGAGACCAGCCTGGCCAACATGGTGAAACCCCATCTCTACTAAAAATACAAAAATTAGCTGGGCGTGGTAGCGGACGCCTGTAAGCCCAGCTACTTGGGAGGCTGAGGCAGGAGAATCTCCAGAACCTATGAGGTGGAGGTTGCAGTGAGCTGAGATCACACCATTGCACTCCAGCCTGGGCAACAGAACAAGATTCCGTTTCAAGAAAGCAGAAACTCTGAAATTTTTGCCTGTCCAGGCCACATCAATCCCATTCCTCTGCTGTCTCTGCAGGATTCTGTGAGGAATAATTAGTTAATGTTTGCAGAGCACTTTGAAATCCTCAGATGAAAGGCACCGGAGAAGCACAAAGTATTATTATTTATTATTAGCTTGCCCCAGAATGGAGGCGCATGAGGCCCTGGCAGCTCCCTGCCTCGTGCCAGGTGTGATCCTCCTGCTGGGCTTTTCCTGCCTGATGAGCTTTTTTTTTTTTTTTTTTTTTGAGATCAGGTTCAGCTCTGTCGCCCAGGCTGGAGTGCAGTGGCATGAAAACAGTTCACTGCACACAGCTCACTGCACTGCAGCCTCAAACACCTGGGCTCAAGCAATCCCCCTGCCTCAGCCTCCCAGGTAACTGGGACTATATACTACAGGCATGCGCCACCACTCCTGGCTAATTAAAAAAAATTTTTTTTTGTAGAGATGGGGGTCTCACTATGTTGCCCAGGCTGGTCTCAAACTCCTGGGCCTCAAAGATGCCAAAGGTTCACACCTTGGCCTCTCAAAGTGCTGAGATGACAGGCGTGAGCCACTGTGCCTGTGCTCAATTGATTTTCTTTATTAAAGAAACATGGAAGAAAGTGAAGGATGAGAATCAGTAACGTAACGTGTGCTTCAGATTGTGGACAAGTGATGTGAAGGAAACACATTGGTCCCACTGTGGTGACAGAGCAGGGGTTTCCTTACCTGGCAAGGTTGCGGCTGCCATTCCTTGGGGTCTGGGGTTAAGACCATCTGCCTGAGGGTAACGCAGTAATAAATCAGTACTAAAGGGCGTACTAAAGTACTGTATTGCTAGGCTAGGCCATGCTTGGTGTATTTTTTTTTTTTTTTAATTGAGACGGAGTCTTGCTTTGTTGCCCAGGCTGGAGTGCAGTGGTGTGATCTCGGCTCACTACAACCTCTGCTGCCCAGTTTCAAGTGATTCTCCTGCCTTAGCCTCCTGAGTAGCTGGGATTACAGGCACGTGCTACCATGCTTGGCTAGTTTTAAAATATTTTTAGTAGAGATTGGGTTTTGCCGTGTTGTCCAAGCTGGTCTCAAACTCCTGACCTCAAGGGATCAGCCCACCTCGGCCTCCCGAAGTGCTGGGATTACAGGCATGAGCCTGGCTGGTGTATTTGTTTTAAATTTAAAGTTTACTAAATTTAATGATATCTGGGGAATCAGCTTGCTTCCTGGGGATCTGGATGTACTTGAGGTGAGAGGGTGGGGATTCAGAATTATCCTTTCTATCGCAGCATGTTCTGGATTGATTCATGTAGGTCTCAAGTGTGTGTAATATTTCATTTCTTTGTGCAATTTTGGCATGCCGAGGCGGGCACCCTGAAGCTCCGGCAGAGCCTGGAGACAGAGTGGGGAGCTCTCCGCTCTTTCCCTTCCTTCATCCCAGCTGACTTCGACTGGAATTGAATTCATCAGCTGCTGGAGAGTTGTTTTATTTGCCCTGCTGGTGGAGAGGGAGGAAAGGAACATCATGGGGCCAGGCTTTTTTTTTTTAAAGGAAAGATTTGATTTACTTTCCCCCTTAGTAGCATGATGGGCACCTGCACCCGCCAGCTAATCAGAAGCCACTGTCCCCTGAATGCCTCCGCTGCCCACCAGATCCTGACAGCATCCCACGCGGGAGCACTCTCGTGTGCCCCTGGCAGCTTCTGCTGCCTGGCAGTTCTCTAAACTTGCTGGTGTCTCTCTGCCCGGAGGCTCAGAAACCCAGAGGACTGACCACTTCTTGAGGCTCATGTCCAGTTTGCAAAGAGCCCCCAGCAAGCAGAGAAGGGGATTTTTGTACCAGCGATATCTCTTCTCCACTCCTCAACACACTCCTTTCCACTCTGTCTCCTATAAACATGGAACAGCCAGGAATACTCAAATCCTAGCCTGTCATGAAGCCAAAAATTGATAGAGATCTACTGTCCAGAATGATTTCTTATAGTGACCCTGTGTTTAGTTGGTAAGACTTTCTTAAACCATGAGGGATTCTGGTCCCACAGGGCAGTAATATCTGGGGCAGAGCCTGAGACTTTTCTCATTGATTTCCTCTGTGAGCCAGGAGTGACTGCTCTGATGCAGGGTGCTGTGTGGTTGGTAGAAGCTGGCGTTATCCCATTTTACCCACGAGGAAACAAATGACCAGTGGTGGAGCGGGAGCTCAGCATCCCATGTGCCCACTTCCTCCTCGGGTGGACTTTTCACCTGCCCATGCCGTCTTCTTTGCAAACTTTACTGCAGTGACGGAGACATCTTTAAATACAAATTCTTGGGGGAACCCTGTGTTCCTTGGCTGGAGCCTGGCTGGGAAGGAGGAGGGAGCAGAGGGCTCTCTTGGGTGTGGCCTATTGCAGTTGAGCCAGGGAAAGGCTGGTCCACTGGAGACACCCTCTCTGGTCACCGCAGACTTCCTGCCCTCCATCCAGTGTCCTTCTACTTGCAGGATGTGTGCCCAGCAGAGAGAATCTCTGAAGCCATGTCATTATTGGGATAACATTCCTGTCCCAGTCACCTTATTTCTCAGAAAAAGGACAATGGGAAACAAGTTTTTATTGAATCCTATGCTGGGCCTATTAATGGGGTCTCTTACTTTTCATAGCAGCACTGCAAACAGAGTTACGTTTCTATTCATTTTATGGATTAGAAAGCTGAGATCCAGAGCGGGCAGATGTAAACCTGGGGTCTTTAAAATGCATCCTTTTTGCAAACAAATAAACTTAGTGTATTAAAAGGGCTGGAGAGAGCAGAGTAAGGTAACATTTGGGTGGTCAGCATGTAGTTCTGGGTCCCCACAGTGGAGATGGCACAGTGCTGGGTGCTGGGGGAACTATGGTCACTAAGAGACACTGAATAATTTAATGCATGCCCCTGATTCCATCACTGACTGTTGAGGTAACACATACATTTATATTGTCAGTGGTGGTGATGATTACATGAGCTGCGTAAAGCGTTTGACCAGTGCCTGCACATAACATAGTAGGTGCTCAATAAAGATCACCCACTCTTAAGAGGTGGGAGGAGGTGAAGTCATCTTTCTGGGGAGTGTTGCCCTGTTGTTCTCTGCTGCATTCTTTCTGTCCTTTGGGCTCCGAGAATGCTGGGTTGGGCAGTGTGAGTGGTCTTCTCAGGCCTCTGTGACATGTTGCTTTCATGAAAGGTTCCCCTCTAGCCAAAGACTGAGTGGTCCTTGCAGGCTTTCTCCTGAGTCCTTTTTTTTTTTTTTTTTTTTTTTTTAAAGACAGAGACTCTGTTGCCAGATTGGAGTGCAGTGACGCGGTCTCGGCTCACTGCAACCGCTGCCTCCCAGGTTCAAGCAATCTACAAAATGCATCTATAAAATGATGCATCAGCCTCCTGAGTATTTGGGATCACAGGTGCCCACTACCATGCCTGGGTATTTTTTTGTATTTTTAGTAGAGACAGGGTTTCACCCTGTTGACCAGTTTGGTCTCAAACTCCTGACCTCGAGTGATCCGCCTGTCTTGACCTCCCAAAGTGCTGGGATTACAGGCGTGAGCCACTGCACCTGGCCTCTCTCCTGAGTCCTTTTGTTTGTGCCTGCTTTGGGGATTCCCTCTGGCTGGGGTGGACTGCCGGGATCTGTTTGTCCAGTGTACATTTCCTGGTCACCTAGCACCGGCCAGCTGCGGTGCTGGGAGGAACAGGGCCTGGCTCTGGGAGGCAGCTGGGAGAGTCAGGAAGTGAAGAAAGTTCTTGTGGGTGTGATGGTGGAAACCCAAGCAGCGTCCAGAGGGAGCACAAGAGGGAGGGACAAATCTTGGGAGGGTCCCGGGCCAATGGGACCCAGTGTAAGAAATTGCACCTGTCCTGGCAGATAGAGAAGGTGGAAGCAGTGAATGGTAGAGCATCCTCACTCTTCTCTCTGCCAGCAAGCACCTTTGGGGAAGTCCTCACGGACAGGAATGTCGTGTGTCTTGGCTTGAGATGTCAAAGAAACATGTTGGACACACCATGGTGACAGAGCAGGAGTCTCTTAACCCCGGCGTGGTTGAGGCTGCCGTTCTGGTGGGATCTGGGGTCAGTCAGGGGTTAACAGTCGCTCCTGCTTGCCTGATTGACACAGTAATAAAGGCAGTGACACCAAACTAGGTCTCAGGAATGTGTCCTCGTTAGAAAGACTCACTAATGGTTGTGGGGGGGTGGCCCATGAGTCCTTCTGGGTGGTGGCGAGAAGTAGGGGACCCTTTGGGCTTTGCCCTTTTTGGTCATAGGACTTCACTCCACAGACATAATTGAACCGTTGGGTTTCTGCAGCCAAATTCAAATGTCACCAATCTTGGTCACCCCTTTCATCTCTTGGGTCCTCTGTAAGTTATAGCTATCTGATAGTTTACTGAAAAATAAACTGAAAATATGTTTTAAATTGTACTTTCGATTTAAAATAATGTTTAGAGACAAAAAAAAAGGGTCCAATCCACTTGGAGAAAAGCATTGTCAAAGGTGGTTGATTTTTTTCTTTTGCTGTTTTAAAGTGGTAAGTGGATGAGTGTTTTGGATATATTGATTTTTCAGGTGTGCAGGCGGTCACATGAACAGCTGACATTTTTTTTTTTTTCATGTGGACTTCAGCCAGTCTTGACACCTGCCCCTTAACGAAAAGTAAACCATCGCCTTGTTTGACAGTTTAAGTGCAGTGATACGGATGGAGGCAGGTTTACGTTATGTTAAAGGCTTGACAACCCAGAACCCCCCTGTTGGTTTCTTTGTTGTAACCTTTGAGCCGGTGGCCTGCTGAAATGTCACCTTTGCCCTTCTTTAAAAGCAGGAATAATAGGTGGTGAGTGGGTGGATGCCTCTTAAAATACTGGAAAGTGCTGTGGCCCGAGGGTAAGCTTTTTAGAAGTGAGTGTGTGTGTTGTGTTGTTTTAATTAATGAATCTTCTGGGCCTGAAGATAATGAGGTCAGTGAGGGCAGCCATGCTGCCTCACAGCTCACCTTAGGGTCCTTGTTGTCCAGAACGTGCCTGACCTACTGGAGGGGCCTGGGAATGCTTCTTTGATTGACGTGGGTAGGAAGACAGATGTGGCGGCCTCCATGCTGATGGGAGGCAGCTGGGAAGAAGGTCATGGGCACCATCTCAGGAGTGGCAGAGCCACCTCCCCCTCTCCTCACCCCGTGTGTCTGGATTCTTCCAGCTGTGTGGTCCTTCTTCCTGCCTGGAAATGAGCATCCTGCAGAGCTCGGCTCCTGTTCACACCCTCCTCCTAACCCCCTACTCTCCCTCTCCCTTTCATCCAGGGCTGGAGGACCAGATGGGCTTTACCTGATGGAGTGTGCTTTGCTGACATGGTGCAAAGAGCCAATTCCTGGTTGCAAAGAGGCAGCTGGGTGCAGAGGCGGGGTGCATTCCTGTAATAATAATAACTTGTGTTTTTATAATACTTTACAGTCTAAGTACTTTTCAAATACTTGACCTCATTTAGTTCTCACCACAGCCCTCTGAAGGGATATTACTATTACCTTCATTTTATAGATGCGTTAACCAGGGCTTGTTTTGGGAGGTAGAGGGGGTGTGAGGGGGACAGAGGGGAGGGAACCAGTGTTGAATGAATTCTGAGGCCCTGCCAAAGCAGCCAGCTAGCTAGGTGTTGTTTAATGGACTCTTTGCATCTACAGAATGAGGGAGGTGGGATGAGGGGAAATTATTTCACAATAACTGAAGGTCGGAGAGACTAACTCTCTGCTCATTGTCACACAGCAGTTGAGTGCCAGCTGGGATTTGTCACCCAGGTCACCTGACTCCTAAGCCCTGTGATCGTTCTCTTCTGTCTCTAGTATACCCAGCATAATGCCCGGCAAAGTGCTGGCATCAATAAATATTTGTCGAATGTTAAATGAGGCTTAAAGAGAACCATTCATGCTTGGCACAGGGGCACAGTGAGACAAACATGTTTCCTGCCCTCGTAACCTTCGCTTCCAAATTCTGTGACCTTGGGCGGGTTGCCTGAGCTCTTTTCCAGCTCAGTTTCCTGAAAACTCATCCGGAAAATGGGTAAAATATCAGAGTGCATTCTGTATGGTAAGACTGCAAATGTTAGATGATTCTGCTACTTATTATTGTTTTCTTTTTCTCACCACACACCTTCCCTTTTTATGTACACCTCCTAGGAAGTAAGTTTCTGATAACATACTGCATTGTTGGATAACAGCAACAAAAAGCACTTCCTGACATTATTGCCCAAATCACCAAATGAGGCAATTACCAACTTTGGAATAAGAATAGCAACGGTGGTAAGAGCTGACATTTCTTGAGCGCTTGCCATATGCTGGGTGTACTACTATAAGCTGCTGCCTGCAATTATGATTTGGGAACAACTCTGAAAGTAGTTACCTCCCATTTTATAGAAGAGTAAACTGAGGTTCAGAGAGGTTAAGTAACCCCCCCAGGGTCTCTCAGGAAGTAGTTGGTGGCCTGGGATTCAAACACCAGAATTGGTCTGACTTCCCACTCTTTAAACCACACTCAAAACTGAACTCTCCACGTGTGTGTGTTCTGGGCATTTTCGCATCTCCCTTGGCTTGTTGACAGCGTGGACTTTTGCTTTCCCATTCTCATAGAACATGGCCAGTGCAGGAGGAGGAAATCCACACTGGTCTTTGGACTGAACCAGAGGCTGGCGATGGTCCCGAAACAGGGTGCCAAGTGGCTGACCCTTGTTTTTATGCCTTGCGCTGGTAAGCTTGGGGCACCAGGAGTTCTTTGAATTTCTCTTTCTTGACTGTCCACGCCTTCTTTAGGCAATCTTTTAACAGGCTATGTTTTAAATCTTATTGACATCTCTGAAGAAAGAGGAGGAAAAAAAAATCAAGACATGGCCTTAGAGAAGTGACAGGTTTTCTTTGAGATTTTGTTTTCTGTTTTCCTTTTTATTTTGTGCACATTGCAAAACCTCTTTGGGATGATGATTTCGTGTGGTTTCTTGGTAGCCCTTGGGCAGCTGCTGCCAGGTTTCACCCAAATGCATTGTGACCCCCTGTTTCGTGGGACGGCTTTGCCTCCACATGGCTGATTGTGCTCTGTGTGTCCGCTGTGGGCAGAGTGTGATTGTAAGAATCAGAATTCTGCTGGGCTTGCAAGCATTTAAAAAATCTCTATAAGTTTGAGAACTGGTTGGAAGGGAGAGATGCAGCGACTTAGAACACCCGGCCTGCAGCTGAGCTTCCGTGTGCCTGGGAGGAGCCCATATGGAGAAACAGGAAAATTCCACTTCACCAGAAAGCTGGGGAAATGAGTGGGAGTAGGGGCCAGGCTGGTTAACTAGGAAGACTTTTGGTCACTCTGCTTTACTTAGCCTAAAGTGTTCATTTCCCCCTTAAGCGGTGGTTAATACGCGTATCTGCAGATTTACTTTTTGGATGATTTAAAATCTTGCAACATCTCAAGGGATTGTATCCTGATGATACTGATTATATTAATAACAAGATAATAGCTTATAATATAATAGCTAGCAATTACCAAGCACTTACCTTACACCAGGTACAATGCCAGGCATTTGATCCTTACACGAACTCTGAGAGATGGCTGTTTGTATTCCCATTTTACAGATGAGGGAAGCTGTGCTGAGAGAGGTGAGTTCATTTGCCCAAGCTCACCCACTTTGAGATGGTCTGCTTTTATATCCTCTTAGCCCAATTCTTTTGGATGTCAGCACTTGGCATGTATTAGGCACTGGATAAGTGTTTTGTTGAATGAACAAAATGATGGAACTTGGATTTGAACCCAGGTCTGAGCTGGCTTTGAGTCTTCAGAATAGTAGGTCCAATTAGTGGAGTGGGGGCTCAGTAGTCCAAAGGGAAAGGAGCAAGGAGACATTGTGGGGGCCGAGAAGAGGGCTTCTGGGGTGTTTCCTGGGCACATTGGCATTAAAGGCATAGTGTGAAGTGCCATTCAAGACCATGTGCTGGATTAGTGTTTTTCCTCTCCACTTGAGGTGCTTGCGATTGGCTTTGTGCCCCGGTGTCTGCAAAGTGAGTTGGGCTGAACTCAGGAAGACCTTTTGGTTGGGATGACTGTGTATTCACCTGCACCTGAGTAGGGACTGAGTTTCACTTGCCAGTTTTACCGCAGCAAGACCTCGTTAAGTTGGCTTCCTCTCATTTAGGCATTTGGGAAACTTTAGGCGGCTGGAGTTTAATTCTCAAGGCAAAGCCCCTTTTCAAGGGACATGAAGAAAGGCAGAGGGATATATTTAAAATACCTGAATGAACTGTTTCTTTTTCTTTTTATTTTTTGAGATGGAGTCTCCCTCTGTCACCCAAGCTGGAGTGCAGTGGCACGATCTCAGCTCACTGCAACCTTCACCTCCCAGGTTCAAGCGATTCTCCTGCCTCAGCCTCCCCAGTAGCTGGGACTGCAGGTGTGCACCACCACACCCAGCTAATTTTTCTATTGTTTTATTTTATTTTATTTATTTTTTAATTTTTTTTTTGAGACGGAGTCTCGCTCTGTTGCCCAGGCTGGAGTGCAATGGCGTGATCTCGGCTCACTGCAAGCTCCACCTCCCGGGTTCATGCCATTCTCCTGAATCAGCCTCCCAAGTAGCTGGGACTACAGGCACCTGCCACCACACCCGGCTCATTTTTTGTATTTTTAGTAGAGATGGGGTTTCACCATGTTGGCCAGGTCTCTTGACCTTGTGATCCGCCCGCCTCGGCCTCCCAAAGTGCTGGGATTACAGGCGTGAGCCACTGCGACTTGCATGTAGACAGTAATGGCAGGTCACTATCAGTGGGTCTGTTAATCAGGTGTCCAACCTGGTGCTGGGCTTGGTGGCTCATGCCTGTAATCCTAGCACTCTGGGAGGCCAAGGCGAGTGGATCATCTGAGGTCAGGAGTACAAGACCAGCCTGGCCAACATAGTAAAACCCCATCTCTACTAAAAATACAAAAATTAGCTAGGCATGGTGGGATGCATCTGTAGTCCCAGCTACTCAAGAAGATGAGGCAGGAGAATGGCTTGAACCTGGGAGGCGGAGATTGCAGTGAGCCAAGATCATGCCACTGCACTCCATCCAGCCTGGACAACAAAGCGAGACTCTCACAACAAAACAAAACAAACAAACAAACAAACAAAAAGTCACTTGCTTCTTTTTTTGCTTGCTTATGGACATAAACCCTGTAAACTATCTCATACATCATGGGAGTGAGTTTGCAGTGGGTAGACTGCTATTCACAAACTCATATACATCCTATGAAGGAGTACAGGTTAAATAACCATTATCCAAAATGCTTGGGGCTGAAAGTGTTTTGGATTTTTAATTTTTTTCAGATTTTGGAATATTCGCATATACATAATGAGATATCCTGGGGATGGGACCCAAATCTGAACAGGAAATTCATTTATGTTTTATATAAACCCTTTTTTTTTTTTTTTTTTTTGAGACAGAGTTTCACGCTTGTTCCCCAGGCTGGAATGCAGTGGTGTGATCTCGGCTCACTGCAACCTCTACCTCCCAGGTCGAAACGATTCTCCTGCCTCAGCCTCCTGAGTAGCTGAGATTACAGGGGCTTCCCACCACGCACAGCTAATTTTTGTATTTTTAGTAGAGATGAGGTTTCACCCTGTTAGCCAGGCTGGTCTCGAACTCCTGACCTCAAGTGATCCACCCGCTTTGGCCTCCCAAAGTGCTGGGATTACAATGTGAGCCACTGTGCATGGCCTTATATAAACCTTAGGTAATTTTATACAATATTTTAAATAATTTTTGTGCATGAAACAGAGTTTTGACTGCATTTTGACTGTGACTCCTCACTTGAGGTCAGGTGTAGACTTTTCCACTTGTGGTGTCAAATTTCAGATTTTGAAGCTTTATATAATGAGATAGGGTCTTGCTCTGTTGCCCAGGCTGAAGTACGGTGGCACAATCACAGCTCACTGCAACCATGACCTCCTGGGCTCAAGTGATCCTCCCATCTCAGCCACCTGAGTAGCTGGGACTACAGGCATGCACTGTGACTGGATTTTTTTTTTTTTTTTTTTTTTTGAGACGGAGTCTGGAATCTCAAGTCTCGCTCTGGTGCCCAGGCTGGAGTGCAAGTGGCGCGTTCTTGGCTCACTGCAATCTCCGCCTCCTGGGTTCAAGTGATTCTCCTGTCTCAGCCTCCTGAGTAGCTGGGATTATAGGCGTGTGCCACCACTTCTGGCTAATTTTTGTAGTTTTAGTAGGGTCGGAGTTTCACTGTGTTGGCCAGGTTGGTCTTGAACTCCTGAACTGAAGTGATCTGCCCACCTTGGCCTCCCAGAGTGATGGGATTATAGGCATGAGCCACCGTGCCCAGCCTTGGCTAATTTTTTATATTTTTTGTAGAGACAGGGTTTCGCTATGTTGCCCAGGTTGGTCTTGAATTCCTGGACTCAAGCAATCTGCCCACCTTGGCCTCGCAAAGTGCTGGGATTACAGGTGTGAGTCACCGCTCCTGGCCTGAAGCATTTTGGATTTTTGGGTTAGAGTTGCACAGCCTTTACTGTTATTATCCTGATGTTATTATCCACATTTTACAGGCAAGGATCTGGAGGCGTAGAGAGGTAAAATCATTTTTTCAAAGCCCCAGAAGTACTAAGCCGCAGATTCTGAATTTGAACTCAGGCATTCTGGGTCAGAATTAGTGAGGTTTTAAGTTAATTTTTTTTTTTTTTTTAGATAGAGTCTTGCTCTGTTACCCAGGGTGGAGTGACAGTGGTGCTATCTCGGCTCACTGCAACCTCTGCCTCCCGGGTTCAAGTGATTCTCCTGCCTCAGCTTCTAGAGTAGCTGGGACTACAGACATGTGCCACCACGCCTGGCTAATTTTTGTATTTTTATTAGAGATGGTGTTTCGCCACGTTGGCCAGGCTGGTCTTGAACTCCTGACCTCAGGTGATCTAACCACCTCGGCCTCCAGAAGTGCTGGGATTACAGGCGTGAGCCACTGCGCCTGGCCTACCCCCTGTCGCCCAGGCTGGAGTGCAAGTGGCACAGTCTCGGCTCACTGCAACCTCTGCCTCCCAGGTTCAAGCGATTCTCCTGCCTCAGCCTCCTGAGTAGCTGGGATTACAGATACCCACCACCATGCCTGGCTAATTTTTTTTTTTTAAGTATTTTTAGTAGAGACAGAGTTTCAACAAGTTGGTCAGGCTCCTCTTGAACTTCTGACCTCATGATCTGCCTGCCTCGGCCTCCCAAAGTGCTGGGATTACAGGCATGAGCCACCATGCCTGGCCTAAGTTTGGTTTTTAACCATGCTGCTTTTTCTAGACCCTTCTGTCAGCCAGCTCCACAATGGTGAATCAGGGAGTTAGGTCCGTCTGTAAGAGAGGGCCCAGGAGCTGGGTCAGATAGGTAAAGAGACATTCCTTAGTTCTTATCCTCTGCTACCAAGCCATTTCTTGGGATCAAGCCCTCTTTGGCCTGTGTCATTCCACCTCCATTAAGTTCAGCCTTCTTTCCTTCTTTCCACATCTTTCCACTGCTGTTGAAAACTTGAGACCTGAAATCCCATCTCCTGAATTCCTGGGAGCTCTAGAAGTGGAGATGGCCAGGTTCTGTGGTCAGAGCTGGTTGGGATTACAAATAAACCAAAGCCTGGGAAACTTTCTTGCTATTAATAGCGCAGACCTTTTGGGGAGGGAATACCCAAACTCGATGCTGTTGGAATTGATTTTGCCTGTCTAGATGACATACTAATGAGCTAAGTGGTTAGCTTCGGATCATTATTGCTCTTTCCCAAGCCAAGTTCTTTTAAAGACTAAAACCACAAAAGCAGAGAACGAGTTGGGTTAGAGAGGCATAGTGGCTGGGTCCAGAGAAGGGAGAGTGGTCAGCCCTGGCCTTAAACATGAGAAAATAAAGGTGGTCCTTGCTTTGGAATGAGTTAGTGGTGCTGACTAATTCAACTGGTTTTTCTTTTTCTTTTTGGAAGTGGAATTTGATTTGGTGTCTGGATTTTGATAGGGCCATTTATATTTCTTCAGCACTTTTTGGTTCTTGCAGAAAGTTACATTCCTAGTTCCTCAACTGCTTATTTCTTTTTGGTTTTTGAAGCAGGAATTTGATTTGGTGTCTGGGTTTTGATAGGGGTGTTTATGTTTCATCAATGTCTTTTGGTTCTTTCAGCGTTTCTCTCCTTGTCTGTCATGTGTCAGAGAGGGTGCCTGTCAACGATTCTCTCTCTCCAGGGAGAAAGTCTTTCTTAAAACAGCCCTAAGATCCTTATCTCCTCAAATCACCCACTTTGATGATAATATCCATTGTTCTCTTCTCTGCTTCTTGGCATATTCTAGTCAGTCTATGTATACAATTAAAAAAACAAAACAGCCCTCTGTGTCCAAAGTGCTTGGAATATCCCAGTGTTTCACAGGAGACTTTGGAAGTGGACAAAACTGTATTTCCTTCCCCAAATGAGGTTATTGTGCTCGA
This sequence comes from Homo sapiens, assembly GCF_000001405.40. NCBI lineage: Eukaryota > Metazoa > Chordata > Mammalia > Primates > Hominidae > Homo > Homo sapiens. The sequence goes on from NC_000010.11 coordinate 113,027,654, forward strand.
AATATCTCCTGGTAGTTTATTAAAGGAAACCGCAGGCAGGGGTAAGAGAGGCAGTTTCTACAGCCTGCAACCCTATTATCTTGCCTCTTCTTTTCGACCCTCCTTCCTCCCTCTCCTCTTCTCTCCCCCCCTCACCCTATTCAACCCAGCCCCACATGTCATGCCGTCCCCAGGAGGTAGCCCTGCAGCCCTGCTTCTCTGGGATGGTCTGTTCTTGCCACCCGTCCCATGGAACGTGAAGAAGGAATTTGGGGTGTGGACTTCCTTGAGTGACTAGGATTAGACCCGTCGGGTCTGCAGTCAGACGAGAAGCGTGTGGGCAAAGGGAACTATTGTGTGAGGCTTCTCTGGACAGAAAGCCTGCCTTCATCTTTTACTGTGCCTAATGGACAATTGAGACATTCAGCTTATGTCTGAAAGGAAAGTGGGCCGGGATGGTCTAGCAGACCTCCCAGATGAAGGCTTGTAGGAGGAGCAAATAGAGACAAGGATTACCAACAGGGGGAACAACTGGGGCAGAGTCCTGGGAGAGAATGTTTATTTCCTTGCTCTCTAGGAGGGATTTGGAAAGAGCCATAATCCTGGGTTAGGAGTAATTTGTTACAGCAAGATGATACTTGAGTGACAGGCTGCTTCTGGCTGAGGCAGCAAGACTTGCATGCAGGGGGGTCGTGGGGCCTCCAGAAGGTCAGCCTCCCGTAAATCTTCACCCTGGCTTTGGGGTTTGTTCCTCCCCAAGCAAAATTAACCAGAGGCACTGCTGACCTTTGGGCTTCCTGGGTGTAGCGTTACGAAGCATCTCCACATGTTTGTCACAGCTAGAATTTGACAATAAAAATTTGGACAGGGAGACCCTGCCAGAGCCACTGACCTCTTTCCAATGTGACAAGGGGAAAAAAAACAAAAGGAAAACGCAGCACGGGGTGCGGTTTCAGTTGAAGTTGGAGGACACGGAGCCCAGCCTGTCTCGCATTTGCTGTCTATGTAGACTCACTAAAGCAAGTTAATTCATTGCTCTTTGACCGCCAAGTCTTTCGTTGTCTTTTGTTGTTGTGGAATGGGGGAAAGAAATACAGAATGGGGAGGAGAACCTAATTAGAAAAATCAAGCCTTGAGAGCTCCCAGCCATGGAGAAAGAAAGGGATTTTTTAGAAGTTGTGATTTTAATATCTGCTGCAATCTGATGATTCATGGATTTAAAATAACCCTTCCAGGTCACCAGGACCCTGTTACTTGCTGGCTTTGTACCTCTCAAAGGTCATTTGTTGGCTTCGTCTCTTAACAATTTCCATGGTAGACCTAAAATTTCTGGCTGTGAAATCCCCTGTGTAGTGGGAAGAAGAAATAGCAAATCTTAGCTGCCTTGGACCTGATATAATTATTTGTCTTCATTTACATGGTTTATCCTTCAAGGTTGAATAAATGATGTGGGAGCTAGTCAAGGGGCTTTAGGTATGTGATTTCATGCCTACTTTTTTTTAGGTAGAGAAACTGAGGTCACAGGGTACTAGAGAATGGACTCTAAGATTCAGGTTTCTGAATTGCCTGTGGTTTTGTTGACTCAACTGCTCTTCTGTTGTTTTTTAGCCACATGCCTTGAAACAGTCCTCTTTCCCATGTTTCTTCATCAGCACCATTAACCCAAGGTATACTGTCCTCTCTTATCTTTCACAAGGTCTTGGAGTTCCCATGCCTTTGTAAGCATCCCTCCCCGAGATTCAGCACCAACCAAAATCACATTTGGAAAAATTGCTTGTTTCCCAAGAAGCTTTGGAGGATATGATTTTGTATAGAACGGGTTCACAGGTTTTCTGTTCATTCTTCTATGGTGGAGTGTGTGTGTATGTGACTCTGTCTTCTCTCCATTCCTCTTTTTTTTTTTTTTTTTTTGAGATGGAATTTCGCTTTTGTGGCCCAGGCTTGAGTGCAATGGCGTGATCTCGGCTCACTGCAACCTCCACCTCCTGGGTTCAAGCGATTCTCCTGTCTCAGCCTCGCAAGTAGCTAGGATTACAGGCATGCGCCACCACGTCCAGCTAATTTTTGTATTTTTAGTAGAGATGGAGTTTCATCACTTTGGTCAGTCTGGTCACACAAACTCCTGACCTCAGGTGATCCAACCGCCTCGGCCTCCCAAAGTGCTGGGATTACAGGTGTGAGCCACCGCGCCAAGCCTCCCCATCCCCTTTTATCTCTTAAATGAATGTGGTCACCATCAAAGATGGTGCCTGACTCTTTTTTGTTTTCAGTTCATCTTAAATTCACATATAATTCACACGTCATAAAATGTACCCATTTAAGGTGTACAGTTCAGTGGTTTTTTAGTCTATTTAGTATATTTACAAGATTGTACAAACATACCAGTATCTTAATATTTTTATCATCCCCAAAAGAAACACTGTAACCCTAGCAGCCAGTCTCTACCCGCCTTCCCCATAGCTCCTGGCAATCACTAATTTACTTCCTGTCTCTATGAATTTGCCTATTTTGGTTATTTCATATAAAAAGAATCATACACCATGAAACTTTCTTCATCTGCCTTGAAGTTAGCATATTTTCAAGGGCTACCATGTTGTGGCATGTGTCAGTACTCCATTTGTTTTTATTACTGAATAGTATTCCATTTTATGGCTGTACCGCATTTTAGTTATCCAGCTATCGGTTGAGACTTGGTGCATTCTTATCCCAGAACATACCATATTCAGCTCCCAGTGACACCCACATTCATTCCTGGGCTGCTCCTTGTCTTCCAGCTATTTTCCTGGTCTCCTGTTGCCTCTGCCTACTTCAGCATGCTGTAGAGACATGGGTAGTAACTAAAACATTCCAATTAACTGCATTGTACTTGGCCTTTTTATAAGAAGCAGTAATTAGAAAATATGGTGGCCACAAGATTGATATTAAAGTGAAAGATTGTAAATACTTTTCTGCCTGAAGGTAGATGGCCTCTGGCCTGCCTCTTAGTGGGAGGTTCTTCCAGGAGCTTGCAAGCATCCATTATTTGTTAGTCATCAGCTTAGCGGCCAAGGAGCATTAGCCTGTCTTGCTCTGTCTGCTGAAGACTCTGAGAGACATGGGAGGGCAAGGGCTGCTCCTTTTGAATTCTTCCAATGTCTTCATGTCCTTTAACCTCCTGGCTTAGGGACTTGTGTGCTGGTGGTGGAGCTGACATTTGTTTGGAATCCACAGCCCTTTGGGTGGGACTCAATCTTGGGGTTGCCTGAAGACTTTGAGATGGCTAGGTCTGGGCCTCTTTTGGTCACTATGGAACAAGACTGTCTCAGAGGCCAGAGTCTGTCTCACCAGCTCCCTGTCTTGGGACTGCACCATTGCAGGGTCTTTGCCCTCCCCTGGAGATTTCTCTTCCTGCCTGGGCACCCATTGGCCATTCTGCCCGTAAGCTCAGTAGGGTGTAGGCAAAAGAGTTCTGGCCTGGAAGTACCAAAGTCCTGCGTTCTGGTTTCAGTCCCTCATAACTGTGTATAACTAAGTCACTTAGTTTTCTGTGCCTCACTTTCTTCTGTTTTAAGATGGATTTGGAGATTATTGGCTTTGACCACCTAAAAAGGATGTAGTGACAATCAATTTAGAGGTCTAAAAGAGCCTTTGAGGAAGTAAAATGGAATCTTCAAATGGACTACATGCTGATTATTGACACTGCCCTAGCACTGATAGTTGATGTTGACTGATGGTCAGAATTGCTTGGCAAGTTGGAAAAAAGTACGTACAGATCCTGGGCCACTACCAAGTTTCATTTAACAGATCTGGAGTGCATCAGGAAAAAAGTCCCTCTAAACAAGCCAGCAAGGTTTGGATACTGTGCAACCTTTTTTTTTTTTTTTTTTTCCTTTTGAGATGGAGTCTGGCTCTGTTGCCCAAGCTGGAGTGCAGTTGCACAATCTTGGCTCACTATAACCTCTGCCTCCCAGGTTCAAGCAATTCTCCTGCTTTAGCCTCCCGAGTAGCTGGCATAACAGGCGCCTGCCACCACACCCAGCTAATTTTTATATTTTTTGGAGAGATGGGGTCTCACCATGTTGGCCAGGCTGGTCTCGAACTACTGACCTCAAAGTGATCCGCCCACCTCTGCCTCTTAAAGTGCTGGGATTACAGGCATGAGCCACTGTGTCTGGCCCTACTTACCTTCTTTGTGTTAATTCCTGCACCATTGATTAGCTTATTGTCCCATTGACTGTGTCTTTAGATGACTTCTCTGGGCCTCAGAATATCTAGTCCATAGCTGACACAGAGCATCTGTTTAATGGTAAATGCTGCAGGAATCCATGCATTGGAGTAGAAAGAGTTTTAGATCATGTTCCTCATTTCTTGCTACAGACTTAGGCAAAGCGTGGAGAAGAGGTTGTCCAATGAAGAAATGAAGTGACATGCCAGGTCAGTGGCAGAGCTAGGCCTGGAAAATAGGTTTCCAGACTCTTCCCTTTCTACCATACTTTTCCTGGGAGTACGCACTCGTAATTTGAAGAGCGACTTTTGGGAGAGGGTGGAAGGAAGGCCTGGGCCTCAGCCTAAGGGGCCCATTGGTTGTGAGAGGAGGGTCTGGTGAAATTCCATACCGATTGTCCGTGTGTGAGCTGCTGTACCATAGCCTCCCTGCAGAACCACTAACCTGTCAAATGCAGAAATAGTTCAGGGACAGAGCTGTTAAAGGATTGGCGGGTTAAAGAAAACAGTGAATCCCAAGTTTTGTTAATTGGATTTTTTTGTTTGTTAGTTATTTGTTTTGCTTCATTGTCTTCATCACACCAGGGGCCTCCTTAAATCTGGTGGAAAAATTTCCTTGGAAAACAATTCAGTGTTTGTCCATAGACTTGGGAGGGAGAGATGCTAGATGCTGGAAAGTCTTGCTTATTACTTTGGGGACACTGAGATGTTCCCTTCACCATGTACTTTGAGACACACATCCTGGTTGAGTTCAGGCAAGGATGCCTAACAGTTGATAAGAAAACTGGGAAAGATAGAAGGGATTTGTAAGGTAAGTCAGGGTGAGTGAAAACACATCCGGTATGCTGGAGACCTAGATGCTTGACTGCCACTCGCTCCTGTCACCTCAGTCAATCTGGGTCTTGCTCTGTTGGCCTTAGTTTCCTCCTTGCTAACAGGTTAGTTCCACCTTTCTGCCCATTTATTTTGTAGGGTTATTGTGGATGTCATTCTGAACTCTAAAATACCCTCTAAATATGAAGTGATATTAGTGCTCTTTACATTGTTATGATTAAAAATATTTATGAGAAAAAGGTTAACTGTAAGGATTTCATTGAAAATCTTATAACAACCAACTGATAGAGATAGAAGATAAGGCTATTAAATTGTTCACACAGATGCCTTGATATCCTACCTTTTTCCCCCTATATTCCTTTTATGTGAGAAATGAGATAGTGATTTAAGGGAAAAACTTAAAAGAGTTCCGACTATGTTGGTTTTTTTTCCCCCAAGTCAACCTTAATATCTTACTTAAATCTTTTTCTTTTTTATCTTTTCTTTTCTTTTTTTCTTTTCCCTCCCTCCCTCCTTTCCTCCTCCTCCTTCCCTTCCTCCTCCTCCTTCTGCTGCTTCTCTCTCTCTCTCTCGTTTCCTTTTCTTTTCTATTCTTCCTTTTTCTTTTGAGACCAGGTCTTGCTCTGTTGCTCAGGCTGGAGTGCAGTGGCACCTTCTTGGCTTATTGCAACCTCTGCCTCCTGGGCTCAAGTGATCCTCCCACCTCAGCCTCCCAAGTAGCTGGGACCACAGGCACGCGCCACCACACTCAGCTAATTTTTTTTTTTTGGTAGAGATGGGGTCTCCTAGGCTGGTCTTGAACTCCTGGACTCAAGCAATCTTCCTGCCTCAGCCTTCCAAAGTACTGGGATTACTGGCGTGGGCCACCATGCCTGGCTTGAAATTTTTCTATGGCTTTATTCTTTCTCCAAGTACAGAGTCTACCCAACCTTCTGAGATCTTTGGTTTTCTTTTCCTAGGTAACTATAGTACATACTTATTTATGTTAAACAACAGCAATCACACATTTCTTTTTCTATACAGTCATGCTTTATAGGCAAATAAAGCCTCCGTCTTAGGCTTTCTGGATTTTTTCAAAAGATGCAATTCCTGGAGTATGTTTTTACTTAGAGCAAAGCAGCCTAGTCTCCTATACCTTCTGCATCTGCAGAAAAGTTGGTTAAACAGACTTTGTAATGATGCCCCTTACAATTCTGAAGGGACTTGTGAAATAGTTTCACAGAGTTTCAGTGTTAGGTATATTTGATCAATGCTAACTTTTGGAAAACTTTGGTGCCTGTATGATTCAGAGGGTAGGGCAGAATATTAAATTAATCACAACTTCTTGTATTTTAACCATTCTGGGTAAATTGGGATTCCGTGACGCCCAGGCAAAATTATTTGTTTATAGAAGATGGGCTGAATTTTCCATCGTCCATTTCTGAGAAATGAGGTAGGTTTAGAAAGAGACAATCAGGCCTCTTCTTTAACAGAAATGTTTGTGTCTACTAGGTGTGTGTCACAATATGAGTTCCTGAAGAAATAAGTGTCCGCTATTGGGTTGTATACTTGTACTTCCTATTTTCTTATTTTGCACATTTTTCTGGTATTTCCCTTTCTATGGTGAGTGGCTTCTGATCGTCTTTCCTTTTGTAAAGTGTAATGATATGAGAATCATAATCGTGGTGCGGTCTTTTGTGTTGCATATTTGTAGGGGGTCAGTATGAATGGCCCGTGGTGAGGCTGCACTGAAAGATTAGGAGCAGCCACCTTGATGCGGAGGAGGCTTAGTGACTTTGGACATGATGGGCTATGGCTGGCTATACTCTCAGCTTTGGGCGCATAAGCAGAGTATTGATTTTGTATTTGGTTAAAACCAGAAGTACAACTTTCTGGCACCAGAGGATTAGGAAAATTTAACAGCGGAAAGCCATCATGAGGATAGTAACCAATTAATTCGATTTTTTTGGTCAGACATGGCTCCCACCTGTAATCCCAGCACTTTGGGAGGCTGAGGTGGGAGGGTCATCTGAGGTCAGGAGTTTGAGACCAGCCTGACCAACATGGTAAAACCCGATCTCTACTAAAAATACAAAAATTAGCCTGGCGTGGTGATACGCGCCTGTAATCCCAGCTACTCGGGAGGCTGAGGCAGGAGAATCACTTGAAGCTGGAAGGTAGAGGTTGCAGTGAGTCGAGCTTGCGTCACTGCACTCCAGCCTAGGCAACAGAGTAAGACTGTATCTCAAAAATACCATAATTCGTTTTGTCTTTTCTTTACTTTTTTCTTTCCTTTTCCTTCCCCTCTCCCCTCCCCTCCTTCCCTTTCCTCCCCTTTCCTTCCCTTTCCATCTCTTTCCTTCCTTTCTTTTCTCTCTTTCTCTCTTTCTTTCAACAGGGTCTCGCTCTGAACCTTTTCCAGTCAGAATTGCTCAGGGATTTTTAGACTTCCATTCTGGAAAAGAGGGGGTAGTTATTTTGGTGAGATTGTGGTCTTGTGGTTAGACCTTGTGATGGGGGCCTCAGCCAAAGGGTTCAGGATTTTTTTCCAAGCTTTTCCCTCACAACTTGAGTTAATCCGAAACGTTGCTATTAGGCCACCGGACATGCTTTTCTGCATGCCTGTGTTGGGCTGTTTGGATTGAAGGCCCAGCAAGGGAAGGCACCCTCGCCCATCTGACACAGGCAGGCCTCTACAATTTTATTCCCTAACCAGGGCATGACAAACTATGGCCCATAGACCAAAATTGGCTTGCCACGTGCTTTTTTCTGGCCAGTGAGTTAAGAATGACTTTTTATTATCATTATTATTAATATTTTTTGAGCCAGGTTCTCATTTTGTCACCCAGGCTGGAGTGCAGTGGTGCAATCACGGCTCCTGCAGCGTGAAACTCCTGGGCTCTAGCAATCCTCCTGCTAACTTTTTTTATTTTTGTACAGTCTTGCTGTTGTTGCCCAGGCTGGTCTGGAACTCCTGGCCTTAAGCAATCTTCCGGCCTTGGCCTTCCAAAATGTTGGGACTACAGGCCTGAGCCGCTGCATCCAGCACTTTTATTATTTTTAAATGGTTGAAACACATCAAGAGAGGAATAATATTTTCTGACACAGGAAAATGATATGAAATTCACATTTCAGTATCTGTAAATAAGCTTTTATTGGAGCACAGCCATGATACAAGACATATACTGACTGCCTGTGGCTGCTTTCGAGTTACAATGGCTGAGTCGAGTAGTTATGACAGAGATTGTGTGGGCCGCAAAGCCTAAGATATTTGCTGTCTGGCACTTTGCAGAAAAAGTTTGCCAACCCTGCCCTGAACAAATAAAGGGACAAATTCCACTTGCCCCGTCCATCTGTGGAGCAGAGTCACTGAAAGGAAATACTGGAAATACTGGAAGCCACTTGGTGTTTTATCAAGGATGTGAGGTTTCCTGGCAACTTTGTCGCCATATCATCATCATCATCACCATCATCATCATCATCATCATCATCATCATCATCATCATCATCATCATCTGCCCTTTAAGTTTTCTGCTTGTTTAGAAAAGAAATTTATACAGAGCCCCCAGTAGCAGCTGTAAGGGGGCAGGTTCTTGGAGCAGCCCATCCTCAACATTCTTGCTGCTGATGGAAGATTCTCAAGGATGAAGGCCCCTCTATGGGAGCAGGATCAGTCTGGCTTTAGTAGATGCCAATTTCTGCTAAGACTATTTCCTAAAGGAGCCTCTCCTCATTTGCCTTTTCTCCCTGTTTTCATTGGGGGAGGTGGAAGAGGAGAAAAATAATTAGAGATGCTCACCTTTTTCTTTTTGCTGGCAATTTAACAGTCTTTTCAGCTGCTTTGATTCCTTTCAGGCCATTGGTGTTGTATATATTTCAAGATTTGCTCACAGGTCCAAAGCTTAACTTAAGCTCCCTGAGACATATCATAAAATATGATTTGGGGAAAAACCCTAATGGGCCATGATCAGAACATTATTATTCAACAAAGGATGAAATGCTTAAGCCAAGATGGCCTTCTTTCTTTCTTTCTTTCTTTCTTTTTTTTTAATGAAAGTTGAGCAGACTCCCGTCCAACAGTTTTCAATGTAGGAATTCCCACAGCCCCATTTGATTGCAGTTTGTTGAAAAGTTTAATGTTTTTGTAGGCAATTCATAATTTCCACATTGAACAGCCTGAGAGGAAGAGAGCTGGAGCCCACTGTTGTTTTTGTAGTGGGATGGTGGGAACTTTTTTTTTCCCTCCCCCAAAAGGATATAAAACTAAGTCAGATGGTTGGGAAAACGTGGCACAGGGTTCCAGCCCTTTTGTAAATCTGAGATGCCCCCTCCTTTAGGTCTTCCTTTAGGACCCAACAGAATAGAAATTCCTGCTGCTTAATGTCTCCAGGAAGGAAAAAAATTTTCCTCTAGGCTGTAATAGTACCTAATTTCCTTTTTCTTCTCTTTATTTATTTATTTTCCCTATTAATAAGCACCAATTGTAGAAGATGAAGGAAGCTGGGAAACCCATCACTTTTGGAGAAGGTTAATAGCTTCCTTTAGAAAATCCTGACATAATACTTATTTCCCCAAAAGGCACTTCATCAGCCTGAATGCCAGTTAAGATTCAAGGAATGGGCTTGGATTTGTGTGTACCCAGCGGTTCTGTGGCATCAAGTTGCACTGGGAAGGAGAGTTTGGGGCTGTCACTGTGGAGTCCCTGCAAGTCAGCAGGACCAGGGCTGTCTTCCTGCACCATCTGGATTTGGTTAGCTCTCTCTGGGCAGTGGGGCCGAGTCTCATTTCCTCCAACAATAATGTTATATAGGCAATGATCCTGGGCTGCCCTAACATAATTGAAAATTATGTGTATTGTAGGCTTGGAGTGCTGAAATGTGGGCTCATAAAAATATGTGGTGCAGGTAGCCTATGGAGATTGGATGTGGCACACAATGAAGCTTTTATGTAAAGTAAGAATTATAAGTCTCCATGTTAATATTGTATTATGAGTATGACAGTTCTTGGGTGGGTCCTCAGGGCAGGTCTGTCACCTTCAACAAAGCCCGAGTTTCCTAATTCTACAGAGCTGGTATTTGGATGTAATCAAATCGGTTTTGCAGGTGGCCAAAGATGAAAACTTGTCCACCAATCCAGCTCTCCCCACTGAGGGATAGCATGGGATGTAGATGGGTTTGACTCCATTTGGCATTTTTGTTCACGGGTTTTTATGAGATGGAGAGGTGAGTGTTGGTGGGTGTCCATTTTGGTTGGCCTCAAGGAAATGACTCTATTGAGTGGTTTTGACCAATGCAGCTCATATAGTTATGTGGTAAGTGAGAATGGGAAGAAGTTGGGATGAGATGGGGCAGTTTAGATTCCCAGAGCCCTCTGGCCTGGGTTACAGATGGAGACTGGAAATATTTACTTTAGTGGTTCTCAACTTGAGATGATACTGCTCCCAGAGAAGGTATTTGGAAGTGATGAGATGGTAAGGATAACCAAGGGGGTTCCTGTTGGTATTTACTGTCTGGGGGCTTGGAGTCCTACAAGTCCTTCAGTGTTTGGGGCAGACTCCCCACCTAATACCCTGTCGCAGATAGGACAACTCATTCAGTACACAGATGAAAAAAACAGAGATCACTGAAGCAAGGGGAGTCGATGCAGGGTCTTGTGGCAAGATGCAGACACAACCGGACTAATAACTAGGTTGCTCACCACGGGAGGCCTCTAGGTGAAAGCTCTGAATTTGTAGCAGACACACCCACCTCGTATAGATCCTAGACGTCATGGGAAAATCGACTGTGTACTTTGGCAAGTAGTTCTTGGGCAATGATCTTCCAGCTTTAGGTATAACCAAATTTGGTTTGAATTTGCCAAGCAGTCGTATCTTCGAGGAACTCCGTCGGCTGGCTTGTGGATGGCTTTGGCACTTCTGTCTCTCGTGGGATTTGTGCAAACCCTTCTTTCTGTATTATCCTTTCCTGTCTTTTTTCTTTCTATTGAAATTGTTCTGACCATCAAGACCTAACTCTGTGCAGCCTTCCCCAGTCTATTGTCCCAGAAATTCTGTCATCTTTCTTGGCATTTCCTGAGTCCCTGAGTCTCTGTCACAGTGTCACCATGTTCTGTCTTGATTTACCTGTGTCTGTAAGGCTCCTCATGCTGGCAAAACTCCCCGAGAGCGGACATCTTTGTCTCTCCTAGTGCTTGTCACAGCCTGTACACAAAGCAAGTAGTACTCAGTGTTCATTGAGTAAAGTTTTCTATAGAATTAATATTAAAACCAGCCATTTATTTTGCTTGAGGAGGTCTCCGAAATGACCAAGGTGTCTCCTTATATCTTATATCCCCTCCAAGCATTCATTAACTGATGGATTAGTGAGTTGGCCTTGAGAAGCATAAAGGCTCGTCTCCATGTGCTTCTAAGCATTGTGTCTAAGTTCTGTTTGGTTTCCTGAGTGAAACTGTCTTAATGTTACCAACAGAAGTTAAATGCCTAAGAGTTTCTTATACATGGGCTGAGTACCTCTGTGACTGGGCAAGCCACCTCACCTCATTTTACCTTGTCTGCAAAATGAGGAACTGGGTCAACTCATCGTTCAAATCTCACTGAAAGCTAATTGATCGCTTTTGACAGAAGTAGCTCCCTTGGGCCGTATATTTATTTCCTAGCTTGGAGGAAGGTGGGGACAGACAGAATTGATGTACACCTTTATTTTTATCTCTATGGTAAACCTGTGCATACTAAAGCATTCCTCTGGTCTTTTGAGATGAGTGTATACATTGTGTCTGGCCCTGTGCATTTTTTACCAAGAAGTAAGTTTTGTTGAGTAAACTTGGGTTGTATGAAGAACTGCATGCTCACCGTACTCAAGTAGCTTTTGCTACCTAAAGGACAGCTGCTCATATGTACTTGACTTCCTTTAAAGTGAAGGATGATGACATTTGAAAAACGGAGGTTGAAAAGGAGCAGATTTGGAATTGATGGTTTCCTAGGACACTTCTGGCTTGAGATTTGTGTTTTACTTTCTTCCTTTGGAATAGCTCTATATTCTTTCCTCTCCCTCCCCACCTCTCCCACTCCCCTCCAGCCCCCACCAAGTTAAGGTAGTAGTAATGAAATCATTTTTTCTGAAGCTACCCTGTACTTTGAATGCAAAGACAAAAAATACAGTTGCTAGTAACATTAATCTTCTATATGTGTACTTACTGAACTTGAGCTCTGAGGAAGACCCTATTGGAATTGCATGCTTTTTTATTTTTTTAATGATTATTTGCATGCTTGTATGTTTTTCAGTTTCTGACCCATGTCACAGTTATTTCTTGGGCTAGTTGTTCTGCATTTACTTTCTGAATTCATTGTTTTTCATTTCACTTTTGTTTCCTCTCGCCAGTATCTCCAGATGAAATGGCCACTGCTTGATGTCCAGGCAGGGAGCCTCCAGAGTAGACAAGCCCTCAAGGATGCCCGGTCCCCATCACCGGCACACATTGTCGTAAGTAACCTCCCAGAGATGATGGCTTCCTTTATTGAGGGGGTGAAAAAGAAAATGCTTTTTTGATGATAACAGGCCTTATTTGTCATTTTTTTCTTTCTTTAAACACATTTTCTTTGGAAATATTGTTGGGTATAGTTTATATCTATAAGGTATTCATTTTCTGCTATTGGACCTTAATGATTGTAACCTACCTGGAAATTTTACAAACCTTTCCTCCACTCTTTTCCATGTATTTGGTTAAAATCTAGCCTTGTGGGCTCTAGTTTATAGGACACAATCACCATGGTATGGAGGAGACTAGAGGTGGTATCAAAGCAGTTATAAAAATACATTCAGGGCAGGTGAAGTGAAGAAGAGGGAATTAGAAAACTCAAAAGGGGGTCCTGGATTTGAAACTTGCCTATTATCCTCTCCCCCAATTTATCTTAATATTTGTTGGCAACATTCTACACTAACATTAGAAAAATTTCATCTGGGCTGGCTGACTTGTAAACCTAGAGTAGAAATGAACTTTGAAAGGCTAAAATGGAATTTAATCTATACATCCATGGCTTTGAAAGTATGTAGGTTTGATAGAGAAAGCATTTGTTTTTAGTACTAAGAGACTACAAGTGTGTGTCTACATATATTTTTAATGTATTTTCTTAGGGTTTTGTAGGCTCTAAGAGTGGAATTTATAAATTAACCTCTTGAGAAGATAGCTCAGCCTTATTTGAAGATTCCCTTCTATGTATTTATATCATGAGCTGGACTTCATACTTTTGAAATAATTAATGGAAGGCATATTTTTATAATGAATCCATCCATGACAGGTAGAATTATGCAAAGCATGAATCAATCATGGGTTTTTCATTTGAGTATCACAAAATGTTAATCATAAATACATTTTGCCTCTATATTGTAATTTCTAAAAATTGCAAAATAAGTTTCTTAAGTAGAAAAATCTTAAGATGCATTCTGCCATTTTGGGCTAACTGCCTCCTTATTTTGGAGCTTGCTGTAATTGAGCATGTGTTATTTAATGAGTTATACCTCTGTCATATGTGTGTGTTTATATCACAAAATAACTTATTTTTATAAAACCATATTTTGAGTCATCATTTGTGACAATGTCTTCTTTTCTCTGGTATAAATGAGGCATGTAGAAAGAAGATTGACATTTGCTAGAAGCTTCCCCTTTCCTCTAACTCCACAATAAAATGGATGCTCATAATTACATCTGCTCCTATAAGGTCAAGATTTCAGGGCTGGAAGTGACCTTAGATCATTTAGGCCCAACTTGCCCTCAGGAAAGGAAACTGAGGCCCAGAGATGCCTTAAGTGAATTGCCCAATGTCACACGCTGAGTCAGTGGCCAGAGCAAGGCTTGGATCCAGTTCTCTGCTCCCTTTCCAGAGCCTTGTGATGTCTTCTCTCCTACAGGAGGTGAAAATAACTGCTGTGGCTGGTTCTGTTTTGCTGACTGTAAATTGGGTCATGGTCAGGGACAGTGCATAGGTGTAAAGAAGTTGCTGGTTGGGGGTTCTAATGCAGGTTTCTCCAAAAGTGAATGCCCTGTTAAAAAAAAATTCTTAACAAATATACAGAGATTTTTTTTTTAAAAAAGTGTGACAGTTCTAGACACCTAGAGAGTAAAGTGAAGAAGCCTGTTTTCAGGTTTCCCGCCTCCCTGAATTTCCCAGCATGGTCCAGGCTTTGAAATTTATTTATCTGCTTTTGGCAATGGTTGATGGGAATTTCCCACATTTATTTTTTAGCTACAGAGAAAGGACATTATCTTTAAAATCTCTTCGTTGTTCTCTCTCTTTGAGTGAGGAGAGAAGATGTGAATCCTGGCAGTGGTTCAGAGTGGACACAGCCCCTGTGTTTGTGGCATAGGCTCTGTGGGCCCCATGCCAGGGAGCAGTACCCCCGTGTAAAGGAGTGGGGGTTTGTCCATTTGGATAGAGCAAAGATCCTCCACCTCAAATCCCACAAGAACAGTTGCCACAACCTGGGCCCTAAGCATCTCATTTTCCTATGTAGAAATTAATGATCTGGAGGAGATGGCAAAACATTCCTTCCAGAGCCTGTGTGGATTTTGGCCAGGGGTGCAGCAAGGGGGCTTAGGCACCTTTTTCCTCTGCTGTGTCTTAGCAGGCGTGTTGACCATAGCAACTCCCCTGGGGCATACACACCCTCTTGTAGATGGAGACCTTTGTCCAAAGCAGCCACAGCTGGCAACTGTCTACAATCTTTTGGGCTTTCTGCTGTGCTCAAGGGGATCTGGGAATGGCCATTGCCTAGAGGGGATGGGCTGGTGGAGGAAGGTGGGCTCTGGGAGCCGGGGAGAAGGGAAAAGCCATGAATTTGGACAAAAGGACAAATGTGGTTTACATTTGTGAAATACTTGAATGCTTGTCATGAATGGTGACTTTGGTTCTATGAGTCAGCCCTGTGATGGGGTATTTCTGCAGTCTTCACCTGACACCAGGGGTGAGAAGGAGGATTTCTGGGGAGGAGGAAAGAGTTGAGGGAGATAGGAAAGTAGAGTGGAAGAAAGGCCTTGCGTTGTTGACCTCTATCCACCTGGTCACCTATAGTTTTTGGGATTGAGGATGCATACACCTTGAGACTACAAATTTATGATTATATTTTTGCTGAACATAAGGCAATGTGCCAACCAAAACCAGCTGTTCTTTGGCTGGTACAGTGTGTCTTTGTTTGTAAAGGGTGCATTCTGAATGGTGGCTGATACATCATTTGGGTCTTTGTACAGTTAAACATTGGCCAGAGGGTCTGGTTCGTGTTTAGAGTCGCCGATGAAGGGCTAACTTTTCTCCAGACACTTGGGGCTCTTGTTCACACTTTGCTTTTCACTCTTTTAAGTAAGACATAGTCACATCACAGTGTTTCATCAGACATGTTTCAAAATAATTGTCTAAGGATTGCTTCTTAATTTCCCCGAAATTTGGAATTGTTGTAACTTTTGGGCCAAGCTATTTCATAATTATTTCTAATGTCTCGCTTGAAGAATAGGGATGTATTCAGTGTTGATTATTAATCATTCGAAACTACAACTTTACAGATTGCTAAGAAGAATAACTTCTTCCAGTACCCATATGGGGCAGAATCTTCACGTGGGAATTCAGAGCATTTTGTTGGACTATTTTAATCTGATTGGATTATTTTCATGTGGTATGTGGGTTACCACATTAGAAACGATTGATGTGTAGAATAAATGTTCTTAACAAGTGGAGGTCAACTTATCAAATGATATTTACATTAAGAATAGACTCCACAAATTTTAGTTCCTGTAGCTGATATAGCATCTCATTTGTTATATAATCCAGTGATTCCTAATCTGTGTTCAGAGGAGAGAGGAAATCGATTGCAACAGGGACGATGCCTTCATTGGCTGGCCCAAAACTGGGAGTTTATACAAGGCGTCAGTCTTTGCCTTCCTCCTCCCTGCCTTCCCTCTTCCTTCTTCCTTCCCCATACTCCCCAACAAATTCATGGACTTCTTAACAACTCAGAGACATTAGCCACAAGTTCCAAGACACCCCCACCCCCCAGCCTCCCCAGTCCTATTTTCGCATTCATATAACTAAACTCTTTTTCTTTCTTGGTGGAGTTTTGAAATTTATATTTTTAATTCTTTGCTCCCTTTTTTCCTCTTACAAAATGAGTGCCAAGCAGCTAAGTTGTGCTGAGTGGTAGAGTTTGAGTCAGTCTTGGCTGGTAAGCTGTGGGGTTAGGAGCCGCTCCCTGGATACCACCTCTGGTGTCTTTGCTATACAAAGACTTTCATTTAGCCTCCTTTGTATCCAGCAAAAAAAGATTCAGTACCCAAAATGGTGGTATTTTGGTATAGTATGTATCTTACAAAACGGCAAAAGACTTCAAAAGTTCCTACAATTTTATCTTGGGGGTTTCCTTTTGAAGTCGATGTAGAATTTTACCTTGGGGTGGATTTTTTGTACTTCTTGGTCTGGTGTGTTTTGTTGTGTAATGAGCATGGAGGTGTGGGATAAGAAAGCAGACTGAATCCCGAGGAACAAAGCCTGCCAGACTGTGGTGGTGTACTTTTCTTGTTGTTATTGCTTAAATGCTGCAAGAGAGTGGAAAACTCTTACGAAATAATGCACGATGGGTAGAACTTCAGAGAAAATCTCTGCCGTCTACCCTGTGCATTTTCGAGGAAGCTCAGAGGGCATGCTGAACCTTTGCTTTTTGTTTCTGAAGAGTTCAGGGGAACCTACCCATAATTAATTTTTTAAAACACTACCTAGAGAGCACCCTCTTGGTTATTAAACACATGCGCTGTTTCGATGGGATGTTTGACCTGGATTGTGGATGCTTGCTGGGACGTGGCATGTGTTGGGAGGCTCTGTGCTGCCTGCTGAGCACCAGCAAAGCCACAGTGGCCCCTACCTCTGTGGGAGGCCCTGTGCCAGGTGCCCTCAAAGAGTAGGGGGCCCATGAGGGTATGACCAGGGGGACCTGATTTCGGCTGAGAAGTTGGCGGGGATTACAGGCCTGGGCGGCTCCCTGAGGAAATTGCATTAAAAATGAGATCTGAAGGCTTGATTGGGGTTGGCCCAATGAAGGGATAGGAGAAGGGATGGGGAGTGGGCAGAAGGAAACACATGTGTGAAGGTCCTCAAGGGAAAAGTGCTTGGCTTGGACAGAGGCAGGAAATCAGGTAGGAGGCTAGAGGTCGGGCAGGGCTCCGGGAGAGTGACTTGGGGTGCAGCATATGGTGAGGATCTGACACTGGGGAGTCATTTGAGCAGGTTGGCTGTTTCTGTAGGAGCGTGTGTTAAGCTGCTGGCAGTGGGGATGGTGAAAATAGAGATGTGGAGGAAACAGCAGCGGAACTTGCTGACAGGTTAGATATTGGCATTGAGGGAGAAAGGAGAGTCAAAGGTAGGTAGATGGAGATGCTTCACTGAGTGGGGAGTATTGGAGGAGGAGCAGGTTTGGGGTGGAAGCGTTGTCCTTTTAGAGAGATTGTATTTGCCATTGATTGATTCATTCATTGTTTCTGCAAATATTTAGTGTGGGAAAAAGCATGCTAGACACCAAGAGAGAGTGGAGTCAATGAAGAACGATAACAGCAACAAAGACTGTAGCGCTTCCTATGCGAGGCTTGTTCCAGTTGCTTCAGAGGCTGTGTTACCCCTGTTCTAGAGAGGAGGAACTAGGCCCAGGGAGGTGGGGATTTGCCCAGTCGTGGGAGTCAGGATGTGAAACAAGGCACCCTGGCTCCAGAGCACACCGTCCTCTCAACCACTGCAGAGAAGCTGGGAAAGAGACAAATAAGTGGGTGCTTAGAGCACAATGTGTGTGGTGTGCCAAGAGCAGCTGGGAGCCCTGGGACCCCCAGGGAACCCCAGCCCCACCTGGGCATGGTGGGCATGGCTGGAGGAGGCCTGCTGGCTTTGCTGGAGAGTGGGACATGCATCAAGGTGGCCAGAGACTGGGCTTCTGGGTGTCGTGCTGTGACTGCTGCAAAGGGCTCATTGACATATGGTGGGGAGGGCCAGCGTATTTTCTGCGGGCAGGACATTTGGGGGATATGGGGTGTGACCCTGTACTATCTAAAATCTTTTACTTCTGGATTATCTCCACTTTCTCTACTGCATATATACTTTGTTTTTATTTATTTTATTCATTTATCTATGACTCAGCCAGACTCTCTAAAAGAGTTGACTTGTGTTTCCTAGCAGCCACTGAGTCAGAACTTTCCCATTTCGCAGTCAGGGCTGTGGTCAGGGTGTCTGTGTTGTCTAAGGATATAAAGCAAGCCTTCGGGCACTACCAAAACATTATTTTATAAGGAGAACTATGAGTACCTAATAGGAAGAACCAGGCAATCAGGTTATCTTTTGGTGAGGAAGAAGTGGTAGATGGGATCATTGGTGCTTTGAAGGGAGTGGGTGGTGTAGACTCCAAAGTGTACATGGGGCCATGATAGAGTCTATGTCAGATGTCCAAAGCTTCCTTCTCTCCTCCCAGAAACTCTGTCCTCTGGTGAAGAGTTTTGAAGTTTCCTGAGGTTTGGGTTCATGGTGTGGCAGGTGATACCATGGCAATAGAAAATATCCCATCAAGAAGGATTGTGTGACCTCAGTTGTAGCCCCTGCATGTTGGAATCACAACAATTTGCAGGGCCTTAAAATCAAATGCCATTTCACCAACTGCCCTCCCCCGTTTTTTTCAGCACTGTTTGGTAGCTATCTGTTTCCCCTGATATTCTTGGACACTTCCAGAGATGGGGGCTCTATCTCCTGGTGGTAGACTGTTTCTTTTTGGTACAATATGAACTCTTAAGAGAGTTCTACCTTTAGGGAGCTGCAGTCTCTCTCCTGGAAATGCTCAACTCCTTAATTCATGTTTTGCTGTTAAATTCTGCTAATGCCTCACCTTACATGTCTTGACAATTTGAAGGTAGCTATTGTATTCCCCGCAACCCCAAGTCTTCTCTTCAAAATGATTATTAATTGTAATTCAAATCATCAGTGACTGGTATCTTAGACTACTTAAGGATGGGAATTGCTAATTTTGTATTTAAAAGTTGTACCTCTAAAGTAAGTGAAATTTATTTTTAAACGTAGCTTTCTTCATTCATAAAGTTTATGTTCATTGTAGGCAGTTTGGAAAACAGCCCATAATCTCACCACTCGGAGATTACATTGTGAATAATTTGGTATATTTCCTTTTAGAAATATACCAAATTATCCTTTTTTCCTCTGAGTGTATGAATATTTATATTTGTTTTTAACATACTTGAGCTCATAGTGCTCAGTATTTCCAACGTTCTGTTTATTTAAGATGAAAATTGCTGTAGTTAATAAGCACTTCCCCATGTCATTAAAATGCTTAAGGATTTTTAATGACCACATAACAGTCCATAATATGATTAAACCCCAATTTACTGAATCAATGCCATATTGTTGGGTCTTTAGATTGTCTCCTTTTGTTTCTGCTACTGTGAATGATCCTGTGATGATCATCTTTGTGTGTAAATCTTTGTCCCCTCGCCCCCTCCCCTTTTATTATTTTCTTGGGATAGACCCCAGGACAAAAGGTAGAAAAGAACAAAGTGTTAAAAAATTTCTTGATACATAGCCACAGATTATTTTCCTGAAAGTTCTCAACATTTATAACTACGAGCAGTATGTAAGAGAGTTATGGTTGGAATGATTTTAATGTCTCTGGGGAATTTAACAACAAAAAAACTTTAGGCTTCTTTGGAGAGAGACATGCCCTTAACTCCACCCCGCCCTAGAACAGAGACCCAGCCCATCCAAGTCAGCCTCCCCAGGTCCTCCACCTTCAAAACAGGCAAACGAAATCATTTCTTGAATAATTGGTAGGCTTCAAGGTCAGATGTTTATTTTAGATAATTCACAGCATAAATTTATATGTTTTAGGTACCTTAGCCCCTGAATATACTCAGTTCATTTAGGACTATTTTAGAGGTCTTGAGTTTACTCTTATAACCTCACATTTTTTTGTGAATTTTTAGTTCTATTATCTTTGTTTTCATGGCATATTATTGGGCAAAGATACTATTTATTCGATGCTATGTGTGAGCTGGGTCAGGATTATGACCCTGAGTTATGTTTCTGGGAAAATGTACCCACTTGTCAAAGATGCCGTTGGCTCCTGTGATTAAGGTCAGCCCACAATGAATGTGGGGAGGGCTGGCAGCCTCTCAAATCAGCTCTTGACCATTTCTCAAGCTGGGGCCTGTTGTGCTTGGGGGAAGAGTCTTTGGCAGCTCAGCTCGGGGCTAGCGTTTCCTGACATTTGTTTCGCTGAATGTTAACAAGGTTACTGGAAAAAAGGGTTCTCTCCTAAAATAGGTTTAGGGAAGCACTGGGATATGCGAAGTGAATGAGTTTCTTTAGGGCAGGATCTTGACTCTGCAGGGGGCTTGGAGGCCTTCCCTAGAGTGGGGCTTCCTAACACTGCAGAGCTCTTCCCAGGACGAGGGGCAAGATTGGGACCTACTTTGGAAGGTTGTTTTTGTTTCGGCACCTGCTCTGTTTACGAAGCGTGGGAGCCTGTTTTAAATTAATGTGCGCCTACTTAGAGCTACACTCATGGTTTTGACTATGTTTATCTTTCCAGTAAATAAAACAAAATTGTTCATTTGGCACCCAGCCTGTCCTGCTTGTCATTTCTTGTCTTGCTGATTAACTCTATGGATGGGGCATGTTTCTCCAACCAGATTGTAAGTTTCTTGAAGCCAAGGAGCCCTGTGGTTGATTTCTTCACATGTGGCTCTCTCTCCTCCCACAATGGTGCTTCGTTAATTAAGCAGAAAACCCATCTCTGGTTAGGGACTGGAGTTGATTTCGTTTGGAATGAGTGTGACTTCATCATGACCTGAAAGTGTTCAGAACCATCTTGGTTAGCACAAGGGCGTGGACGTGTGTCTACTTTCTACCTGATGGGATAGCATGTTTAATTTGGGGTTATGACACTGAATGGTTTGCCAGTAACTTGCTAATCCAACCTTATACATTCCAGCTCACAGTGGAGCGTGTCTAATTGCCACAGCAGCATTTATGTGGAACGTGGTTGCACAAAAGCTCCAGAAAGTCAGGCTGAGGGCTCCTATCTCTCCTCAATCTTGGTTTACGATGTCTGTTTCTGAGGAATCCTGGGATGGGGCCACTGGCTCTTTAAGAGAGAGCCCGATTTGGAAATCTAGGACTTGATTGTTGATTATGGGCAATAGATACATTTTAAGAATGATGTTGTAGGCTGTATGAAGTCATTTGATGATTGTTTTGTTAATGGCTTGCAGGTCAGATTTTCATCTTTTTAAATTAATTATCATAGAAGGAGAAAACAACTGGATTTCAGAATTGTCCCTTGAGGTGTACTGGAAACTAAGGCGTGAGGGACTCATAGGGGTCTGGCTTGGAAAGTGTATTGCTATGTCCAGTTTACACATAAGGATGTGCAAATCCAGCAGGTTAGCTGAGCTGCCCAGGAATATCCAGGCAAGAATGACCATATTCTGATAATTACTCAGGCCTCTGCCTCATCTCCGCTGCCCCCCCGCCCCCTGACTCTCTTCTGAGTGCCAGATTCAGCCTCCATTTGAATGCCAAATAGACAGGAAATTAGCATGCCCAGAATCCACGTCTTTAGTGCACTCTCTCCCCAGCTCCAAACCTGTTACTGCTTGTGTTCAACATCTCAGTAAAGCTCAACAACATCGACCCATTACTTAGGCCTCAAACCTTGGGTGGCATCGTCGATTGCTCTTTTCTTTCATACCCCACATTCAACCCATCAGCCCATCCCACAGGCCCAAGTGTGTCCTCTCTACCTTCAAAGCGTGTGTGGCATCCACCGCTTATCACCACCTCTGCCATTACCACTGGAGTCCAGTGCCATCATCTCTCACTTGGATGTGGCCAGAGTGTCTTTGCTGGTCTCCTTCTTGCTTCCTACCTTTGTAACAGCCTATCATCTATCTCTGGTCTCCATAGCTCACTCCCATACTTTGAGAGGGCCTTTGAAAGCCTTAGACAGATCATATCACAGACCTCTATACTGAAAGTCGGGATAAATTTTATCTCTGGAAAGAGTCCCAAAGCAGCGATGAACAGATATTTTGTCCTGTCACTTGATGAAGAGGTGGGGCTTTGAGACCCAAGAGCTTAGAATGGAGAGCCTAGATGCCACTAAGCCCAGGCACTGGCCATGCTTCGAGTGGAGCTTTTGTGCTGGTGGAGGAGAGATGGCTGGGGGACACCTGTAGGCTGAGCAAGTCCCCGTTCATCAGACCCTGGCTCATCCAGCAGGGCGTGGCTGATGTTTTCAATGTTGTATCCTGAGTGGGACCCAGATGCTTCCCAACTGTGCCACATCTGAGCCCTGCATGCCATCTGTCCAGTTGCAGCCTGACTGCAATGTGAGGCTGCTGAAGAGCTCTGGATGGTGTGAAGCAATCTGTTTTCTAGCCCGAGCCTGCATAGCTGGTGGATCCTGGACCGTGATTAAGTGCATCACCTAGGCTTCAATGAGATGGAGTCACTGTGTGTCCAAACAGTGGGATAAAGGCTTTACTCTTTGTCTTCCTGCTCTGAGGGCACAAGCTGCTTGTTTCTCTCACAAGGACACCGTCTGTGTTGCTCAGGTGCTGGGGTGAAAAAAACAGCAAGCATTTGAAAAGGCTGAAGAAGGAAAGAAAGCTGAGAGCGGTACAGCCTTGGGGACTGAGCCATCCCATTGTCCCAGAGGTGGGGGTGTTATCAAGACCTGTTTTTGAGCCATACCTCTGACTCTTCCTGGAAAGTTAGACCCAACTCAAGAACACACTAAGAGAAGTGTTTCCCCCTAGCCCTTTCAGATTGAAAGGAGACGCCAACCTTGATGGGTGGAGGTAGAAAATAAAGTCCCAAAACAGTGTCTTGTAAGCGAAGGGGAACATGGCTGGGCAGAGGGCTTCTGGTGAAACTTTTGGGAGTATTCAGTTGGAACTCAGGAAAAAAAAATTGTTTTTTTGGAAAGAGGTAGCAGCCCCCTTCAGCCAAAGCTCATAAATGAAGGAATGTCTGAGACTCAGAATTACAGTGACCAAGGCAAGACATTGTCAAAGGCTGAATAAGTGAGTTTGACTGACAGAGGCCATCTCCATTTTTAGTATATGGCCAAGCATCTTTCCCACAGTCTTCCTTGAGCCCCTTCCCATCCCACTTCTGAAAAGCACTGAGTTGGCCATTATTATGCTTTTTTCTTAAATTATGAAGTTGTTTTCAGGTATTGAGAATAACACCCAGGTGCTGAACTCCCAGCATAAGAAATCAAACATTCAAAATGGAGTAAGGTTCTGAAGCTGACATCTGTCTCTACACATTTTTTTTTTTCTGATAATGGCATTTCCTATCTCCACCCTCACTCTTTTTGTTGTGGTGAACTACACTTCCCTTGTTCCACTCGGTTCTGTTGCACATGTGATTAGGCAAGGGGCAGATATGTGATATTTATTATGAGTCTTTTCCACGCAGAGAGGATCTAAATCTGGCTCTTTGCAATTGCCTTCATACATGTGCATACACACCACACACACACACACACACACACACACACACACACACACAGACACATACATATGCACACACCCCGACTCAATGGAGGACCCTCATTTGTAGAAGGGTAAAATGGGTGAGGCGGAAATGCCTGTATGGCACCATGGAGTTCTGTGTAGCCAGTTCTAATCCTGGGCTATTTGGTAAGGAATGAAGTTGGAGATAGTCTTCTGTCCCTTACAACCAAAGGAATTCTAACTAATAGTTTGCCAAGTTTTATGTTTATAATAAAAAATGACATGCTTTTTCTTTTGGATTTTTAATGCTTTTGAATTAAAAATGCTAGAACATGAACTGATTCTTCTATCGCTATTTAGATAGAGCCTTGCAAGAGCAGAGCACGCATGCTTTCTTTAAGAACAGGTTGGTTTGTGGTCGTCTGAGGACTGTTTTAAGGAGACTTATTATACACAATCATCCCCCACAAATGATTTCTAAAGAGAGGCTGGTATGAAAGAAGGAGTTTCCATGATTCTGTCCTGTGGTTCTGGGGAATTCTGAAAATGAACTTTAGATATTTTTGTGAAATTCTTATTTTCATATTTTTGGTATCTCAGAGTTTTCTTTTCTGGCTTCTGTTTAACATACTCTTCTTTGCCCTAAATCTCTCTTATTTTTGCTCCTTGGGACAACTGAAGAATCCTTAGATAATTAATAGTATGAAATACTGCCCTTTTAGTTGAAAAATGTCACAATAATGTAATAAGATAAATAAGGAGGTGTCGCTTTAACCTGTATCGTGTAGTCTCCTCTACTTACTAACACTTACTTGTATTACTAGAAGCATTATTTTTTAAATCATGGAAAATTGGTGGCAAGCTGAGCATACAGTTGTTTATTTCTGTTTGACTGATTATTACAACTTCATTATTTGATGAAGGTTCTGTACGTTTTCCTTTAAGACACATAGAAATTGTGAGAAGATCCTGCAGCCCCGAAAGGCTACAGTGTTGATCCAAGGACTCTGAGCCGAGTGCAGGGTTTGTACTTGGACCTGCAGGCTGGGTGGCGTCTGTGGGAGCAGTGTGTTGAGAGAGATTCTGAGGCTGTATGTGTCAGGGCCTCCAGGGGAAGGATGCATTGATGGATTAATTTCTGCCAAGGCTGAAAGAGGAGAGAGTAAGAGGCTGTAGAGGTGTCACAGCTGTCATTGCTGTTTTAGGCAGTCAAGCTTTTGGGAAAGTGTCAGAAATTGAGCCCCCTACTGGATCTATCGGAGCCCTGTCAAATGTCCATTTAGATGTCCTGGTGAACAAAAGTTCTCTGACTCACCATTTAAAAACTTGTTCCAAATGAAATTATGGGAGAAAGGAACATTTTTCATCCGAACCCAGAATGAGGATGTACCCAAGGAAAAGGACGTAGGCTCAGGAGCTGGACTGTGGCTCAGCTGGCCTGATGTATCCCACTTTGTTCCTCCCATGGCTGGGATGTCTCTTTGCTCTCCATGACCCATGTATCTTGAGGACATGACACATGGACCAAGCTTGAACTGCGGATTCATTTTTATGCATTCTACCTGTGAATGATTGCAGCGGATCTAGTCGTATTTCTGAGAGTTACTCAAACTGGACTTCAGCAGTGAACTCTACAGTTCTCTTTTCCTCCCACCTTTCTATTAGACATTGCATGATACAAAAATCAAGATATTTCTAAGAGGGTGATAACTTCAATGTTATCTAAACTTTTAATTTGGAAGAAGAGGGGTTCTTTGTTCTTTTTAAAAAGATACAAACGAACTTCTTTATCTGATTCTTTTTTTGGTGCAAACCCATGATGCCTTCTTCCTGATTCATCTGCTACACTGTGAGTTCAAGCCTGGCGTGGGACACAGGCACAGCTCTCATGCCAACGATCTCATGGTTAAGTTTTGGAACATAATTTGAAAAATGTAACCCATTGAGAGGCAGTAAGGACATACGGTGAGCTAGTGCGTGTTTGGACGTCTGTGTGGAATAAGTGAGTGGGTAGAGAGGACATTTGTCAAGGAGCGGGAGGGCGGGCCATTGGCTTGGGGGAAATGGGCTGAGACTCTAGGGGTGGCCAGCACCGCATACGGAGGCCAGCAGGGTTGGGCTTGGCTAAGTGCTGTGGTGTCTGGATGCCTATGTGAGTTTCCTCCAGAAGTTTTCAGTTGGCAAAGTAGAACCTGCTGGATATGTAGCAAGGGTGTGGATTGTCGGGATCCTGCTGGGCGCAGGCGTGTGATACCAGAGGTCAGAACAGAAGCTGAGGGATGAGGCTTTGGGAGCTTTTTGTCATGCACTGTCCTGGAGCCTCAGTTACTACAAAGTCTGCAAATGATAGACCGGAGCTTTGGTTCTGCCTGATGCTAGCTCCCCTGTTCCTGATTTTTCTTTTCAATATTAGACTTAATCCCAGAATTCACATGTTGAAAGAAAACTTAGAGGTCTAGTGACATAAAAGCCTCATTTTGATCGTTACAGAACTGATGCCTTGAGAAATGGAGAGAGAAGTACACGATCATGGTAATACTGGATGTTCACTGAGCACTCACTAGCTCCAGGCCTTTTCTAAGTAATTTATGAAGTTGTCAGGTTTAATCCTCACAACGCCCTTATGAATGAGCTATTGTTATTATCCCGATTTGGCAGATGAGGAAACTGAGGCTTGAGGGGAGGATGACGTACTCAAGGTCACACAGCTGGGAGGCGGCAAGCTGGAAGTTGAACCCAAGGAGTCTCACATCGGAGCCAGGACTCTCACCCTTCAGTGTTATGCTGCCTTAATCAGGCACACATACAGGCGGGGAGAGGCAGGTTTCCGGACACCAGACTAGGCTGGTGCCGGTCAGGCTACACCAGGGAACCTGGAGGCCTGTCATTCTTTTGTGATGCTGTTAGTTCCTGTTGAGGAAGTGAGGCTTTGTGGGTTCCCAGGAGGAAAAGGTATGAACTCATGGCAAAAGAAAGGAACCAAAAAAGGGAGATTTGCATCACAATGAGCCTTCTATTCATCCTAAATTATACCTCCTTTTATACCATGTGTGTCTGCAAACTTGTGGGTAAATCACAAATCTTTCTGGTAAGTTACAATGGATGGAAGGTTTTTGCATTTCTCTCAAATCACCAACCATTTAATGCTATGTGTAGTCACTCCCTAATCTATCTTTTGTATAAATTTGGATCTTTGAGTATTGGGGTTTTCCATGATGTTTGGCAGTTCCCCTTAGGGTGTCTATCTCAAAGTTTGTCACACTGACAAGCTTTGGGGAGAGAAGTTAGAGGTGGGCTTCCCTGTTTTTAGTGGCTGTGTCTGATTGTTCTGTCTGTTCTCCAGGACAGGAGAGATTGATTGCTTTCTAGCTTTTTTTAAAATTAAAACAACAACAACAAAAAAATACAGAAAGGTACAAAGGATAACAAACACATTCATGTACCTGCCACCTAAAATAACAATTACTAATCTTTTCACCCTCCTAGCCCATGATCTTCCCTCCCAGGCTGTTATTAATATGAAAACCGAGTTCAGGTTTTTATACTTTTCGACATCTATTTATATTAACGTATGTATTATAAATAATCTTAGTAGTTTTTAACTTTGACATAAGTGGCTTCACATTCCACATAACATTCTGCAGCATGTTTTCTTTTATTTTTATTTTTTTCTTTATTTTTAAATTTTTATTTTGCAGCATGCTTTTCTTATTCAACATTACATTTGAATTTTTTCAACATTGTACATTGAAATTTAGCTCATTCTTTTTAACTGCTCTGTAGTATTTATTGTATGCATATACTACAGCTTTCTATTTCTGTATTGATGGTTAATTAGGTTGCTTACAGTTTTTTAAGATTACAGATTCTGCTGTAATAACCATCCTTTGGGCAAGTGTATGTAGGTACCTATATATGAGTTTCTCTAGGATTCATACCAAAGTAGAGGAATTGGTAGGGCATTGGTTTGCTGGTTTTAATTTTAATTCACATGCTATTGTCAAGCTCTCCAGAACAACTGGATGAGTTGATTGGATCAATGAGTATTTCCATCACCAGCATATAAACTCTTTCCTCATAATCACACCAATGCTTGATCCTGTTGGACTTAAAATTTTTGCCAATTTGCTGGGTATGCAACGGCATCTTACCTAATTTGCCTTTATTTGATGACTCCTGAGGTTGAACATCTGGTCATATGTTTATTTTCTCCTCTGTGGCTTGCCTGGTTTAATGCCTTCTTCATTTTAAAGAATCAGATAGTTTTCTGTTATTGATTTATAGGAACTCTTTATATAAGTTGAAAACTTGATTATATGTGTTGGAAATACTTTTTCTAGGCTGTGATGTTTTAAAATATTGCTTTAGATGGGTTTTCATTTTTACCTTTTATTTTAGAGATGGAGTCTCACTGCATTGCCCAGGCTGGATTGCAGTGGCTATTCACAGGAAAGAGCATAGTATGTTACAGCCTCCACCTCCTGGTACCAAGAGGTCCTCCTGCCCCAGCCTCCTGAATAGGTGGGACCACAGGTGCACATCACTGTGCCTAGCTTTGGATGGGTTTTGAAAGAAAGAAGTTTTAAATTTTAATGCCCTCAAATTCATCTGTATTTTCCTCTGTGCTTTTATTTTGTACCCACTCTAAGTAGCTCCGAATTCTGCAGATAGTTGGTGCAGGAATTCTGATTTTGAGTGGACATCTGCTCTCTAACAGTCACATTGAAGGAAATTAGGTTTTTTTGGTAGGAATCTAAGCAAGGGGTTGATTTGTAAACTAGGCTTTAAATATGATTTTAAGCAACTCACTTAGAACAAGATACAAAAATTGTGGACTGGACCTATATCTGGAAAACTTGAAAGTGCTAGGGCAATAAATAATTCTTGGTCACATACAGCCGAGATCCTGGGCTCCTGACTCTGGGACAGAAGCTTTCTATATTTTATCTCATCAGTCTTTGCAACAGGCTCCTTGAAGCAATTTTATCCCCATTTTAGAGATAAGAAAACCAGAGCTTAAAGCAGTTAGATAATTTATGAAGTAAGTGGCAGAGCCAAGATTCAAATCCAGACCTTTCTGACCACAAAGCTCGTTGCTGAATACCGCGCCTCATTGCCTTCTTGCGAATTACTTGGGATTTGTTTGAATCCCAAAATCTTTATATGTTATTTTAAATTTGAATCTAATTGGAAGTGGGGCAGTGAGGGTAGAGGACAGAAAGAAGGGGAAGAGCTTGAGACTCAATAATAGAAACAAAAAACCCGTCTCCAGGAGGGCGGTTCAAAAGGAAGAATTCCATATTTCATGTAACTGAAACGTTAAAAGCCCAAATAATTGCATCATGCAAGTCTGATGCTGAGTAATCACCCTCCCCCATATTATTGGGGAGAGGGGGCAAGAAGTCTGGGAAGCTGTTTTTGCCTAAGGAATTACATTCCAGGGGACTCTGAGGATTTAGGTAACCACAAAAGCCATTTATTTCGAGTACACTGAGATTTCTACCACTTTGATCCCTAATCCATAGCATAATTAATAAATGAAATGTGCTGTAGCATGGGTTTTTTACAAAGTGTACTTTTAAAATGGCTTTTGGTCTGACATGATTCATTTGCCACTTGGAAAAGCGTCATCGCCTCAGATGGGCAGGCTGGGAGAGGCTGCCTGGTGGGTAGCTGAGGGCGGTTTCCTGGGGCACAGTTCCTGCCTTGGGCCTCTACAGAGCGGTCTCATCCAAACATCTCCCAGACTCTGCGTTTTCCAGGAAGCGTGCAGAAATAGGAGGCCAGTACTGAAATGCTATCTGCTCTGTGTATGTCAGAAGACCACAAACCACTTATAACAAATGAAGATCTTTTTATTTGTTCTTATCCCTTTATGTCACTTGAGGAAAGTTGCTGTGAGTAGGTGATGATCATTACAGTGATCACTGGTTGCCCAAACTGAGAAGCCAGACATTTGGCTTGGTTTCTCTCCCTTCCTCTTGTCTCTCCTACCCTGTAAACACATACTTGGTGATTACCCATGGGGAGACAAGACAGGCTGGGAATATATACTTCTGCAACTTCAGCCTCCTGGGTTCCAGCGATTCTCCTGCCTCAGTCTCCAGAAGAGCTCGGATTACAGGTGTGCACCACCAGGCCCAGCTAACTTTT
Source organism: Homo sapiens (assembly GCF_000001405.40). NCBI lineage: Eukaryota > Metazoa > Chordata > Mammalia > Primates > Hominidae > Homo > Homo sapiens. The sequence goes on from NC_000010.11 coordinate 113,057,342, forward strand.
TGTATTTTTAGTAAAGATGGGGTTTCATCATGTTGGCCAGGCTGGTCTCGAACTCCTGACCTCAGGTGATCTGCCCTTCTCGGCCTCCCGAAGTGGTGGGATTATAGGCGTGAGTCACCGAGCCTGGCCCCAGGCAATAATATACCAGTGGGCAAGAAAATATTCTTGCTCTCATGGGACTTCTGTTGGGGGTCAGGGTATAGGGAGGAAGGCATAGAGATGAAAACCAGTAAATAAGTAACAGGGGAAAACATTTTAAATACATTAATAACTAATAAAATAGAAATAAATCTGTTGGCTACTTAACAGGATGTGCCACATTCCAGATACATTACGTTAATCCTTATGATCTTTGGGGGCTAAGTATTAGTATTCCATTTTACGGATGAAGAGACTGAGGCTCAGAGGGAAGGGAGGTGGCTTTTCTCAGGTGGAAAGCCAGACCTTTTCAGTGGTCATTCAGTTCATAGCTAAGGTCTTATTTTCTGTGCTCTCTGTCGGCTGAAAATGGGCAAGGTAATTTCACATAGTGACAGGAGCCATGTCAGAGAAAGAGCAGGACAGTGGGACAGAGAGGGACCAGGCTGGGGGCTGTTTGAGATGGAGGGTCAGGAAGAACCAAACTAAGATGTGAACAGTGGGAGGTGTTGGAGCTGTGGTGCTTGCCTAGAAGGACCCTCATCGAGCAAATAGAAGCTTCTGGCAGGAAGAAGTTAATGTCTTGCGTGTGCCCTATGTAGGTTCATTAGGGCCTTTAAAGGGGGAAGAAGGTGGTGGCTATAAATGTTACAATCTTACCTTTGGCCCCTAGGGATTCTGTCTTTCAACCTTGGTTCAGTAACAACTTGTGACTGCCCAACAGGGCTTCCTTTCGGGAGAGAATGGCTTGTTACATTCAAATATGCCATGAAAGTATCACCATTTATTTCAGTGTCTGATGCCCCAGCTTGGGCAGCCTGAGCAGGCTCTGAATGGGTCTGAAGAGGCCCTTTAGAGTAGAGATGAAGAGGGGGTGGGGAATCCTCAATTCTAAACAAAGAGTCTGCAATGGGAAGATGGCCAAATGCTGTTTTTGGAGTGGGTGAGAGGGAAAAGAAAGGTATAGATGGTTCGTTGGAAAATGTGGTTTTATACCGGGTTTTGGTGTCAGGTCCCCGAGGGCAACATGGACTCCACACTGTGATCCTCCGGGCAGCTCATAGCCCCAGCCCCTTCCTTTTGCTTCCTGGTCAGTTTGTGAGAAGGAGGGGTTGTGTCTCCAATCTGAGCAATAAGGGGTCTGAGGGGGGTTGGATCCATGTGGCTTTCCTGTGTCTTGTTCCTTGTAAAAGTTCCAGGTTTTGGGTCGTGAGCTGTGTGTGTGTGTGTGCGTGTGTGTGCGCTGTACGTTAATATGGAGAGATGGGCTTGGGCCAGTGGGAAATAGAGAGACCCGCAAGCACAGAGTGACAGGGTTTGATAGTAAGCAGCAGGCCAGCGTTGCTGCTTTTATTCCTCGGTAAATCCTTGCACAATGCCATATGCTCTTGCATTCCGTAGCTGCTGCATAGGGTGTGATTTAGTTAATGCCCGCTCTGCAAACAGGAAACGGTGCTCACTGCTGTGTATGCTTTTCATGGAGATAAAGTGTCAGGAGCAAGACCCCAAACCTGCGAAATCACTAATGCAACCGCCCCCCATGCCCCAAAAGGTGGGAGTGGGGGATAAAAAGAGTAGGAAAGTGGTGTGGGGAGGGGAAGCTTTAGGGCCATAACTCAGACAATTTGTCAGGCAGTGGCATCGGTTGGGAGGAAAATATTGATGTACACTTTTTGTTTTTGAACCTGAAGTTTGGGTTTTTTCGGATGCATTGGAGGACTTTTAAATGTTTTCGGAGTGCCAGAGTTTGGACTGTTAGGTCACCGTAGGTACCGGCTTGCATATCATTTCAGAGGAATATTTTCAAAACTCCATAAAAACATGCGGCTTTCAAGGCTGGACCACTTGTTCAGGTCCTCCTCCCACCCCCCACCCTTTTTGGCAAAACCATGCAAACATTGGTATTCAAAAATATTTTGTTACTTTTCTTGGCAAAGTGTTCCAAGAAGGAATTGCAACACAGTCTCAGAGTTAGGAGGCAACTTTCTGGGGAAAAGGCGGGGGTTGGGGAGGTTTGGAGTTTGAATCAAAAACAGACACCGAAGCTTTAATAAAATAAATGAAGCGGAGCCCTTTCAGCTCACGGTGGACTGTGTTGGTGCGCGGGTCAGGCTTTAACGTGCCTAGTGGAAATTGACAGTCTGAGAACTGGGACATAAACAAAAATGTCAGTCCCTGGGAGTCTTGTTCACTGGACAATGTCTCAATTGTTCCTTTGGTTTTCAAGGCAGCAGGGAGAGTGGAATATTAACTGTTTACTGCCCAAAGCTGGCTCGGAAATTGCTTGGAGAAGGGGAGAAAAAAGACAGAAAATCACATTTTTTATTTAGAAACTATTAAACATGTCAGTAAGAGATAGGAAAAGAGCAGATTGTTTTCTCCTTAATTATCTGCCATTCACTTCCATATTTCTGCATACCATTTTTGGGGTGTGTGTGTGTGAAGGAACAGCAGGGTGTTTCTTTTTAAATTTGAATGTTAGCCTTGCATATTGTCAGTTTTTAAAGCTTGCTGGCATGTAGATTATCCGCCCCCGGTGGATATGACAGTGGGCTTTAGGAAAGGAAGTGTGATTTCTGATAACATTTACATCTTAGCTGTTCAGCGGATACCCTGTTAGTGTTTGTTCTTCAGAATGCTCAGATAGAACAAAAATCAAGTGGTTGGAATTTTAAAAAACAAAATGTATTTGGCTCTCCATAAAAATGCATTTAGTGATAAAGGGGGGCAGCAAGTAACTATGTCTGAGAGAAGGAATTGCAGGCACAGAGGAGATCCAGAATTCTGTTCACACTTGAATTTACTTGATTCGAGAAACAAACAGCAAAGCCTGGTGTATTGGCCTTTATCTGGGCAAAGTTCAAAACTCAACTGGTAATTATGTCCTTAGAAGCCTTAAAAGGACTGTGTTGTTACAAAAGCAGTGACTGAGCTTACTTCTTCAGGACCGAATGCACTCGAGTTGTTTGTTAGATAAACTTGTTTTAATAAATGGGGGGGTCAGGGGAGAGGTTTCTGTTCTTGGAAGATTCCCTGATAAGTAGCTTTCTTCTCTTGGAGAACTTCAGGCTTTCTCTCCAAGCGAGGGGTTTGCAGGCAGCTAAAGTCAGCTTCGGCTTCTGCTTCCTGTCAGTCAGGAAGTCACTTCCTTAACCCAAATTACAAGCTAGAGCACAACTCCCCAGCCATACCGAAAAGAGCAGGTTTTTCCCAGAAGACTGTGTTTCTAGATGCGGAAGTGTAAATTGGTACGCTGTGTGATCATGGAATGCCCAAAATACATAGGGAACAGTGTTGTTGGAAAGAGGCGCTGTGTCCCCAAGGAGAAGACGCCGCCCAGAATGGCTGGATCGCCTGTTGTGGCTGAGTGCGAGGCAGCTGTGGCTGGCTGCTGTGTGACGATGACCTAGTAGCCACCCATGTGGAGTCCTGGCTGCCTCAGAACCCTATCACATCTAGGCAAAATCTTGCATTTTTTATCTGGGAGGCCTGAGGACTTCAGGGCTGGTGGATAGTAAGCTCCTTGGTTATCTCACAGATACAAGAGGTCTTGGGAATCCACGATCAAACTTGATGTGTGCGTTTACCCTCCTCCCTTTGAATCTGTTATTCAAATATTTAAGCCTCCAACCTTGTGGCCCCTACCTGCACCACCCCTCACCCCCCCGACAAAAATCAAGCTCTTGACCTCATGGCTTCTTTCAGTGACCCTTGGGGGACAGGGTTTCCCAAGGCTGGTTGCCAGCTGGCATGGTCCCCCGTTGGTGAAGTGGAGACCTGTGTTTTTTTGGTCATTTTGCAAAGAGCTTATGGATGACAGCAGTTCTCTGTGCCTCGCTGGGACAGAGTGTATTCTGAGGTCCAGCGTCTGCATGGAGATCTGCCTATCCTTCACTTGGGGTGCTCAGTAGATAACGCGGCCACTTTCCTATACATTTCCTTAATTTAAGGGAACAGCGTAAACTCAGCCCAGGTGGATTAATCTCTCCAGTGACTTTTGAAACTTCAATTTCCAATTTCCCTCTTATGTCTAGGTGTGAGTGAGGATACGTGTAGTAATTGTCGCAGGTATTAGTGAGAAAGGGTGCAGATCACACAAATATTTCACACGTTATTAGTTGGACCAGACTTTGGAGGCAAGGGAGGGCCGTGTCACCTAGGAAATTTGCTCTTCCGTGGAGATGAAAGGGCAGTGAATTAAGTGCCTGCTTTTTCTCCCTTTTTCCCTCTGACGGTTATTGATCCTCCCCTGGAACTGTACAGTTCACGTTCTGATCTTTTTCTTGACAAAGGGAATTCCCAGTTTGTTCGCTGGCGAACGCACTAGCAGGTGAGGAGTTAAAAGTTGGCAACGCCTGCCCTCTCGAGAGTGTCAGGATTTTTAGTCTCTTCCTTGAGAGCTAGAAGATGTTTCTAAAAGAATCTCTTTGGTGACTTAGAAGTGGAGAGAGCTTTAGAAGCATGGCACAAATAAAAGGAAAGAGGCAAACACCGTCATTCTACATCTGTTTATTTTGTTATTAACAAAAGGCAAGGCGATTTTCATTAAAGTTTTGCTGGGGTTGGGGTTGAGGGTGTAGAGAGCAAAAGTGTGAGTTGTACACCATGACTGGAATCGCTTGGACATACTCTTCAGCAGACATCGTGTGACTGTGGAAGAAATGAGTTTCATGAAGATGACTGATAGAAGGAAGCCACTGAACCAGTCCTCTATCACCTCTTCCAAGGCTAAAGTTTGGAGCCACTTGCAGAAGGCTCTCCTCAAACCCCTGTGTTCTTTGCCTACCCCTGCTGTTGCCACATCATCTTGGAGAGCTGGCTGCTTCCCTCCTCAACTAGAAGTTCCTAGTGCCTGCTTAGTTCTTGTCTCTTGCTTCCCAAGTGCTCACAAAATACATCCATGTTCGCTACGAGGAAATGGACCACATAAGGTTTCCGTGAAAACCTTAGCCCTTAGGTCTAACACAGTAGGAACAGAAGTTAATGTTTTCCTGACGTAGAAGTTTCTCTTGCTGCTTCTGGTCACATTTCTTTCTTGTGTGGTTCTTCTATGGCTACTGCACTTTTTTTTTTTTCTTACTGTCTCCCCCTTCCCCCACACACCACCTTTTGGGGATAGGGTGGCAGGTGAGAATATAAACAGATAATGGTTAAGAGATAGTTTAGTCTTTCTAGGCCAGATTATTTAGTTTTTGCCATCTAGGTAAAATTCGGTCCAATTAAGCGTCCATTAAGTGTTTTAATATAAGCTGGAGAAGGAGTTGAACCTGGAGGTCAGGGCTCTGTGGTCTATTACAGTCCCCCTGGGGTCTCTAGCCCAAGGGAGACTCCAGGGTCTTAATAAATGACTGGGGGTTTCATTTTGAGGCCTTTACTACCAAAGACTGAATAATACATTGGGCATGATGGTTTTGTCCTAAACATTAACAGCCACAAAAGGTAGAGAGTGTGTCTGTTTATAGATACACATGTATCATGAATAATTAGTTGGGGACTGTGCATCAGGTCTCTCATTTTACATTCGAGGAAGCAATGCACGGAATGAATTCTGGACCTGCGAACTCTGAATTTCAATTCTCTGTCTCCTACTTTTACTGGAGTGCTTGCAAACAGTACAGTGTTTTTGTTGTGAAGTTATACCGTGCCTGTAATCTCTCTGCGGGTGGCCCTCCTAAGCCCTACTTCAAGAAATAGCTCTAAGCTCATGACACCCGCCCCACCCGATGCCTACATATGTCTTATATCCTTGGAGTAGTGTTTGGGGTTGCAAATTTGACTTTAGGGAGACATACTCTCTGATGATAGGCTAATGCTTATATTTACTGATAAACTTCCTTTTTGACGGTCATGGGCTTCGGGGGCCACCCAACCAAACTGTGTGGCTGCTTTTATGTTGGGCCAAAAGACAGGCTCCTTGTGTCCTCCCAGTTTCTTAAACAATGAAGTCATGGCATTTTACAGTGCTGGTGAATGGATTGAGATTGTGGTGGCCCTGGAATGTGGCACTGCTCTGGCTGGAGGGAAGATGAGAGTGAGGGATGGAGAGGAGAGGAGAGCGGGAGATGGGAACCTGGTGGACACAGGAGGGAGTGTGAGTTCTGAGGGCCAAAGGAAACTTGACACCGGATGGGACATTAATCTGATTCTGTTATCTGAGGCTGTCACCAGTCCTCCCTGTCCTCCTGGCATGCTTCTGTTGAAACCCCCACACCCGGGTGATTCCTTGCCTCTCCCAAGGAGCCGGAGGGTGGAGAAAGCAACAAGAAAAAGGAGCCAAGAAAAGAGCAATGAAAGAGTTCTTTAGGAAAAGGGGAAGGTCCCGAGAGATCTGGTAAATGTTAAACTGAAGGGCCAGGCATGAGGAAGAGTAGGCAGTAGGAGAAGAGTGTATGTGTGTGTGCACATGGATGTGGCGTGTGTGTGTGTGTGTGTGTGTGTGTGTGTTTCGTTGGATGGATGGATGATGTGTCGTCATCCAAGCAGATTCAAGGAGGTTCCTAAAAGGCAGTGAGGTTCCTGAAATAGACAAGTCTAGGGAACTCCTGCGAGGAAGGGGAGGCGTTTATTGGTATTTGGAGAGATTGTTAAGAGCTTGCTGGAGTCAGGTGGAGTCCCTGCCATTTTGCCTCTCATCTCCTGAAGAAGGACTGTTTCTTTTGGGATATGTAACAGGCTTCCAATCAGGCATCACAATTTTCTTGCTTGAGGTGTTTATTCTTTCACTCAAGCTAGCCGGAAGGAGCCTAATACCTGTCAGGAACTGCCTCCTCTGGGAGAGGGAGGGGCCAGGCCCAAATGGTGGCTGCAGAGGTATTTACCAGCTGGTTCCGTGCTCTGCAGAAGGTTGGTGAACATGTAAATGCGGGTAGTAGGCTCACATCTGCTTCTGTTTTTCCTTTTTCTGTAGGCCAGGCTGAAAGCTTAATAAATTGTACGAAACCCAAGTAAGCATGGATGTTAAAGAACATTAAATAAATTATATAAGTATGCCTACCTGTAACACTTTTATAAGGCAAATGCACATGGGTTATTTTGCCATAAACGTGCACATGGACCAAGATTTATTCTAAAGCCCTCTTGTTTCAGCCTTGCTGCTGGTGAAGGTACTACTGTTCATCAGCTTTTCCCTTTTTTACCTGGCATGCACTGTAGCTGGTCTTGGAAAATGCGATAATGATGCCATAAGTACCCTTGTGCAAAAGTTGTTTTTTGTTCCAAAACATTGCCAGTTCACGGCATATAAAACTACCACGGATGCTTCAGCCGGGTTTCTTTTTCTCCAAATAAGGCAAGCATTAATGAAGCAGCTGAGGGCTTGGGAAAATATTTTGTCATTCCCAAAATGAAATTTCTTCCCCTCTCTAGGCCTGCCCATTGATTTTTCAGCTGAAGCACAAGTGTCTAGCCAGACTTGGTGAACAGTAGGCCTTGCACCTAAACTTGTCAATTGCCATTGTCACCTCTAATGACCATTGATATAAATAATGCTCAGCCTTCATATTTCCATGCATATTCACCCAGAGACCAGAAGGCTTTGTGTAGAGGATGGTGGGATCATCCCATTCCATAGGGAAAAAAGGGCCAGGTTCCCTGACTCCACCTGTCATTGAATTACAAGCTGGGAAGCTGGGCCAGGCAGAGCTCCAGTTGCCAGACACTGTGGCCGCTCTGGTACCAGCTACTCCTAGTACCCAGTGCAGGCAAGGTGTTTAGTGTGGCCTATGAGGATGTTGTTTACCAGGCAGCAACCTCATGAATAGGCAAAAGGCCTGTTTTGAATGCCTCCTGTTTAGAAGTCTGAAATGTCACATCCAGACAGTTTGGAAACATTTTAGGTGGAGTCAAGGGCAGAGACCAGAAGACATTCATAGATCTGCAGTTGCAGATGGAGACTTTGTTCCAGCTACCCATGGTGTGAGTATACCTTACGGGTGCTATTTGGAATAGGACCTTATTTTTGTTCAGTATATTGGACAAAGTAATTCCTGCTTCCAAACTCACACAGTATTTATGTGGCCCCGGCTGTCTGGCTTATCCACCTGCAGCTGTGGAATTACTTATGAAGCGCTTAATATGCAGCCTCGGTTTCTTTATCTGTTAAGAATCGGGATAACTGGGGCTTCTGAAGGGGTAGGGTCATGTAGCCTGGTGGTTAGGACCTCTGGCTTTAGAGATGGACAGGTTTTGGTTTGGGCTCTGGCTCAGCTGCCTCCTTGCTTTATCAGCTTGAGAAGTTAATAATCTCCAAGTTTCCTTATCTGTAAAGTAAGGAAAATAATAACTACCTCCCTCATAGGTTGTAGTTAGGAAAAAGATGTTGTGAGGCTCAGGTGGTCTGAGGGATATAGAATTGCTTCTCAAACATGATATGTTGCTTTGCCCAATGCTTAGGAGGGAGTTGCGGTTAATAGTTGAAGTGTTCTGCAAGTAAGTCTTTTGGATCAGTATAAGGCTGTGATAATTCTTATTATTTGGTTTGTGTCCGTGCATGAAAGCAGAAAGCAGCCAGAGGAGTCCATGATTCAAGGAGCATGAGAATTACTGTTTGCAACACCATGTTTTCTGAATTCCAGTATACCATCAGTTGTAAGATATGCTTAAGGTTGGACGCGGTGGCTCATGCCTGTAATCCCAGCACTTTGGGAGGCCGAGGAGGGCGGATCACTTGAGATCAGGAGTACGAGACCAGCCTGGCTAACATGGTGAAACCCTGTCTCTACTAAAAATAAAAAAAATTTAGCTGGGCTTGGTGGTGCATGCCTGTAATCCCAGCTACTGGGGAGGCTGAGGCAGGAGAATTGCTTGAACCTGGAAGGCAGAGGTTGCACTGAGCTGAGATTGCGCCATTGCACTCTAGCTTGGGCAACAAGAGCAAAAGTCCGTCTCAAAAAAAAAAAAAAGTTATGCTTTTAATCTAAAAGCAAATTTTCAGGGAGAAAAAGAGCACGGCTCTCTTAACTGTATCTACTTACCATATGCATCTGAATTTCAGATGCGTAAAAATGTAGAAACAATGCGAGTCTTCAAATGGAGGAAATAATGCCTGTGTGCTTATATAATTTGAATAAAAGCTGTGCTGTTTGGAGCCCTAAACTTCAAATGGATGACATGTTAAAAGCTTCCAAACCCACTTTTGATCAAAAATGGGTGGAACCTATGTGGACCAGATTTTTCAGCTGTGCTGAAAGAGTAACAGCAAACCAGAGTCATTGGGCGTGGTTGTGCCAACGATCAGCTCTTAGAAGACCATACCAATCACATTTTACAGGATTCTATTCATGAAGATTCTGCATATCTGTTTCCATGTTGTTTCTGACCATTAAGGAGAGTTGCCGGTATTGACAGATGAGGAGGCTGGGCTGCCCTGCAGCTTGCTTCTCCATAAGCACACCATCAAAAACATGTCCACATTCCAGTCTCACCTTAGCCCATCTCCTCATTGGGAGGAGTTAGGCTGCAGCATGAATGGGAACAATGAATATGGAGGTTTCTTCAGAAGGCGATATTAGAGCATTTAATATACTGCTGTTCTTGTGTATTCTATTGGAAAGAATGGGCAACTGCACATTAACCTTACTGTAAGTGTGATGCATTTGAACATACAGTTAAGAATAGCTCAAAGAATATGCATTTCTGCTGTGAGTGGTTTTGAATAAATCAACATAATAGCCCATGGTTATTAACATATTATGTGAATTGGACAATGATATATACTTTGAGGACCTTGAACTAAATCCACCAGCTAAGAGCAACCCGTAGGAGGGGCTCCAGAAGGACCGGAGTTCTGGGTGTTGAGGTTGTCATACAAAGAAATGAACAGCAGACAACTGGCAGAAGAATTTTCTGGTAATACTCAACCCAAAGTCAATTTTCAAATGCTTGGACTGCAGCACAGAATTGACTAATGTCAGATTAATTGAATTTGGACTTCTAAATGTGGGTCAGTTTGGGTTGGAAGTGATTTTATTATCCAGAAACTTCTGTGTACCCCTCTTCCCCCACAAGAAATATTCAGCCATAATTTTCCCCTGTTGCTGAGCTTCTCTTGCAAAGTTTCTGAGAAGCAGTGAATCTTTCTGTTAGATTTCATAAGAAGTAGTGCTAGGCTTTTGATATAATTACGTTTAGATTTCAAGGAAACTTTCAGTGTGTTGAAAAATAAATTCTAAGGCATAAAGGGGAAGGAGTCCTCGGCTGAGACCCAGACAGCCCGAGTCCTTAGCCCAGTTAGAAACTTGCCATGTGACCTTGAGCAAGTCTTGGCATGCTCTGCCTCATGGTTGAACATTTTTTTTTTTTAAGTGGGGAGGGTTATATATGACCTTCTTTTTGTCCCTTTAGCTCGGACACTTAGAGGTTTAGTGATCTGTGGGTTTTGTTTGTTTGTATTTTTGGTGGGAGGGGGCTAGAGTACAAAATGGAAAAGAAGATAAGTAGACAGGGGCTCATAATCTTTGAGAACCAGGATTTTCCTTAAATTGCTCTCTTTTGAATCTCCTGGTACCCTTTAAAAAACCTCTTTACCTGGGTGCGAGTCTTCTTCCGTGACACTTAATATAACTTTATGGACCTCAGTTAGACTCTGATGTCCTTTTCAAAACAGTGTTGTTTTTTAAAGTATGAAGTGCTTATTAAACCCGCTTAGGAGATGCAGTCCTAGGAGGCCATTGATCACACGTGAAAACACTCTAGATATAACTCTCCTTTCAAAAAAGTGGCTAATGAAGTATATACCACCTTCCTATTTTGAATAAAGTGCTATGACTGGACAAAATAGAACAACTTTTTGGACAAAAAGGCTGCTGGAGCCGCTGCCGTCTCTATTCTTGCACTGCTTGCTGTTGACAGCCCATGTGTGAGGACACTTTGTTAGTGACATTTAGCCAGTGATTGGCCCATCCAAAAGGCGGTTACCCAGAAGCCCTCGTGAGCAAGCCAGGATGCTGGGAGAGGGATGGGAGGTGGCCTTTTGGAAACAAGGGGACATGGCTGGGTTCTTGTAAGTCATGTGGAGAGTATGATACACCTCTACCCTGCCATGCCATGGCAGCTGGGCCTCGCAGAGATGGACACCAGAATTCACAGCACCAGAGTTCAAACACTAAACACGGGCAGCTGGACATTGGCCTTGGGAGGCCCAGACGTGGAGCACTGTCCTGGACCTCAGGCTGTTTCAGGGACCTCTGTGGCAGGAATTGACTACCCTTCTCTTTCAGGCTCAGCCATGATGTGCTTGGCTGTTCCCTTGGGCTCTCTCTTCTGGAAGCTCGTCCCGTCCGCAGGCCCCCTTGCTGTACTTGTACCTTCATTCTCCATCTCTCAGCTTCTGCGCACTCTGAACTTTGGCCATTCGCATGCTGCCAGACCCCTTCCAACTCTTGGACTCCTCCTTACATCCCTTTACCGTTGGCTCCCAATTCTTTTTTTTTTTTTAATTTCCCAATTAAAACAACAACCACCACCAAGAACAAGAGTTAGGCCCTGCCTACCCTTCTTTGGATGGGGTGTTTGTGCCAAGTAGCATCACCAACTGCTGTTCATCCTTGACATGGGTGTCCTGGGGTCAGGTGTTTCCTCTGGCCCAGTTAGCAGGGAGGAATGTCATATGGTTTAGAAAGGAGGGCCCAGGGCTGGCCGTCTCTTGGAGGGGCCCGGGATGGGGTACGCCCCCTTGGAAGGGGATGGTGGTTGCGGTGGGCGCTGTAAATGTTGTGTCCAGCTCAGAGGGTGCAACAGTGTCTGTAACTCATATTCTTTTTTTTTTTTTTTAGACAGAGTCTCGCTCCTACACCCAGGCTGGAGTGCCGTGGTGCAATCTCAGCTCACTGCAACCTAACCTCCTGGGTTCAAGCAATTCTCCTGCCTCAGCCTCCTGAGTAGCTGAGATTACAGGTGCTCAACCACCACGCCTGGCTAATTTTTGTATTTTTAGTAGAGACAGGGTTTCACCATGTTGGCCAGGCTGGTCTCGAACTCCTGACCTCAAGTGATCCGCCCACCTCTACCTCTCAAAGTGCTGGGATTACAGGCGTGAGCTGCCGTGCCCAGCCAGTATCTATAACTGAAGGCTGTTTATTTCTGCTTGCCTAACCCGTCCAGGAGGATGTGCTGGGGCCATCTGAACAACCATTGACATTCAGACATTATTTAGAAATGGAATTGGGAAGTGTTTAAAAGGCATAGACTAGTCTGGCCTTCTGCCCATTCAGAGACTGTGTATGTAGTCAGTGTACAGTGTATTCATTGAGGGCCCCTCGCTGGATGTTTCAGCCACTCCCTCACAGGTTCTCGTGTCTGCTTGGTACAGTTGAGATCTGCAAGAGCTGATTCATCGGCCTGATTGAGATTCCTTTGTAAAACCAGATATTCAAGAATACTAGTGGCAAGAATGCTTTGGTGAGCGTAAGATAGCGGCTCCCACTGGATCACATGGCTGGTCGGTGTCAGGGAGATCACTGTGGGAGGTAGCAGGAGTCAGTCTTTAAAAAAATTATTGGGCCGGGCATGGTGGCTCACACCTGTAATCTCAGCACTTTGGGAGGCCAAGGCGGGTGGATCATGAGGTCAGGAGATCAAGACCAGCCTGGCCAACATGGTGAAACCCCGTCTCTATTAAAAATACAAAAATCAGCTGAGTGTGGTGGCAAGTGCCTGTAATCCCAGCTACTCGGGAGGCTGAGGCAGGAGAATCCCTTGAACCAGTGAGTCGGAGGTTGCAGTGAGCCGAGATGGTGCCACTGCACTCCAGCCTGGCGACAGAGTGAGACTCCGTCTTAAAAAAAAAAAAATTTATATATATATATATATATATGAATTAATTAATTTAATGTTGCATTAACGAGTGGTATAAGGTTCTTAGCCCTTTGTCTGGTATCTGCTGGGTGTTCAGTATTCATTTCCTCGCTTTCCCTGCATATTTTGAGCTAATAAATGTTTGGGGACACCACTTTCCTGTAGAATCTCATGTAATCCCAAACAGATCCTAGCTGCTTGCTATGGCCCATCTGCGGGACCCGCGTCAAGGCTTTCCCATAAAGGAGAGCCCTGCGGGAATCATCATGTGCCAGGCACTGTGCTAGGCTCTTTAGGTGCATCTTGAAACTTAATCCTCGTGACATTTTGGAGTAGATACTATCATCCCCACAGAAGGTACTGAAGTCTCAAGCACATTAATAGCTTACCTAAATATTGCTAAGGGTCTTCCAGATGATCTTTAGGAAATTTTCAGCCAGGGGAGAGTGAAAGCTCTATTTGCTATAGTTAAAGCAAGGAACCCTCCTTCTTAAAAAATTATACAGTTATTGAGATATAATTCACATACCTTACAATTCATCCATTTAAAGCATGCAATTCAGTGGTTGTAGTAGATTCAGGAGTTGTGCGAGCATCGTCACAGTCAATTTTAGAACATTTTCATCACCTTCCACAAAACCCCCGTGTCTCCTAGTAGCCACTCCCCATTTTCCCTAAGTCCCACAGTCCTAGGCAACAACTAATATATTTTCTGCATCTATGGATTTGCCTATTCTGGACATTTCATATAGATGAAATCATAGGCCCGTGGTCTTTTGTAACTGACTTCTTTCACTTAGCAAATGGAAGGGTTTTTGATGGAATCTTAGCTCAGATGTCGCCCTAGGCTTGGCCTTCTGGAACTCACTGTTCTCTTGCTTCCTTCCACCCTGCCTCCCTACCCGCTTTGCTACAAGAAGACAGAATGTAGAAACCCCCAGTTGACTTTTTGAGTAGAAATGAGCCATGTTCTATTTAGTGGTAGAATGTTTGCTGGGTTAGCCCAGGACTTCAGATGGAGTGCTTCCTCCTTTTTAATACCTTGTGACTGCTGTGTTGGCAAGCAGAGGGTTAAATGCTGCAGGAGGACATGGGAGAGTTTTTGCTTTGAGGGTCCACTGGAGCAAGAGAAGCTTGAGAGTCTGTCTCTGAGATCCCAGAACAGACATGAAGATATGGTACCGATTCCCTTGGTGCTAAAAGGAACTCCAGGGGAATTTCAGGAAACCCCTCCTTTTCTCGTCTTTATTCTCACCCCGTCCCCCCGCCACCTCTCTCCCCAAGTTCACACTCAGGAGGGAGGAATCTTTTACCTTTTCCGTTCTGGGCAGCAGCTGTAGGGAATGTTATCAGTGTTGGGACTGGGCACGGGACCAAGCCTTCCTGGTGCCTGGACTGCAACCAAGCTGAGAGCTGACATGGCAGGGCGAGTTGTGTGTGAGTTGGCTGCCCCTAGGCTCATAGGCCTAGCACAATAGAGACCCTGTCAATGGAGGGACACTATCAGGCAGGTCACTATCAATGTGACAGACACTATCAGGCAGGTCACATTGGTGCAGATCCTTGGAGGACTCCCCCCCACCCCCCATGAGTGGATTCCTCCAGGTCAGGGGCTGGCTGGGACTGTGGATGCTGGAGTAAGTGGAATTGTGGGTGCACTCTGCTTCAGCAGTACTCTCCAAGGAGAATGATTGTTTTAATAAATTACTGTTTTAATAAGGGAGGTGGAAGAGCTTTTTAATCACTTGCTTTTTAAAAATTTTTAATTTTATTTTAATTAATTAATTAGTTTATTTATTTTTTGAGACGGAGTCTTGCTCTGTCGCCCAGGCTGGAGTGCAGTGGCACGATCTCGGCTCACTGCACCTCTGCCTCCTGGATTCACACCATTCTCCTGCCTCAGCCTCCAGAGTAGCTGGGACTACAGGCACCCGCCACCACGCCCGACTAATTTTTTGTATTTTTAGCAGAGACGGGGTTTCACCGTGTTAGCCAGGATGGTGTAGATCTCCTGACCTTGTGATCCTCCCGCCTCAGCCTTCCAAAGGGAGGGATTACTGGCGTGAGTCACCGCGCCTGGCCTTTATTTTTTATTTCTTTTGAGATGGAGTTTTGCTCTGTCACCCAGGCTGGAGTACGGTGGTGGGATCTCGCCTCACTGCAACTTGCGCCTCCCGGGTTCAAGCGATTCTCCAGCCTCAGCCTCCTGAGTAGCTGGGATTACAGGCGTGTGCCACCGCCTCCAGCTAATTTTTGTATTTTTAGTAGAGACCGGGCTTCACCATGTTGGCCAGGCTGGTCTCGAACTCCTGACCTCAGGTGAGCGTCCTGCCTTGGCCTCCCAAAGTGCTGGGATTACAGGCGTGAGCCACTACACCCAGCCAATCAGTTGCTTTTAAACTACTTAAATAAAAAGAGCCAACCCAAAATCTTGTGCATGCTTGGGAAACTGGCAGTGGAATATGAGAAGTTTTTATTTGTGGTGCACACAGGTGACTCGGGCTGTTGTGTATTGGTTCTTGCCTCGATCTGTAGCAAGCAATCTGTTGTTTCTTGCCTGCCTTTTGGGAAGAAATGAAAAAAGAAGCAGCACGAGTCTCCATACATCATGATTGTGATGGCACTGGGCCTGAGACCTTTTCTGCTGTCCAGGTAAAAATGTGAAGACCATGGTTTTGAGGTTTCTTAATAAATTCAGGTGTTAAGTGCCAAGTGATGCTCCCAGCCCCTGAGCTAGAGCAACTATGCTGTTCATGTCCCCAGGAATGGAAGTGGACCCTAGTTAGGTGCTGGTGGCCAGCCATGTGTACCTAGGGCAGGGCCAGGTCGTGTGTGTGTGTGTGTGTGTGTGTGTGTGTGAGAGAGAGAGAGAGAGAGAGACAGAGAGAGAGATAGAGAGAAACATAAAGGTGATCGGCACTCAGACATCCTGTGTGGTCCACCTCACTTCTCAAGCAGGTGTCTTTCCAGTCTACAACTCGTTGACCACAGGTGGAATTCATAAGCTCTGTTCCCTGTCCTGCTTGGGTCCTCCAGAGAAAGAAATGTTGAATTATCATCTTGGTGATGGTCAACTCTGAAAGCCTAAATTTTCATGATCACCAAAGTGTTTGGATTTAAAAGGGTGGCTCACTCCGTAATTCCGGCACTTTGGGAGGCTGAGGCAGAAGGATCACTTGAGCCCAGAAGTTTCAGACTAGGCTGGGCAACAAAGCAAGACCCGGTCTCTACCAAAAAAAAAAAAAAAAAAAAAAAAAAAAAATCAAAAAAATTAGCTGGGGGTGGTGGTGTGCTCCTATAGCTCCAGCTACTCAGGAGGCTGAGGCGGGAGGATCGCTTGAGCCCAGGGGTTTGCGGCTGCAGTGAGCTGTGATTGCACCACTGCACTCCAGCCTGGGCGACTGTGAGACCCCGTCTTTAAGAAAAAAAAAAAAACAAAGGTCACAAGACATTCTTGGCTCCGCCCTGCAGAGCTGCTTCCCGATCTCCTTTTTTATTTGCTTCCCAACCTGCGGGCCTCAGTGTGACTCACCACACCGGACTGCCTGGCCCTGCTGCCTGCCGCCCATCCTTGCGGCCTGGACGACTCCATGTGCGAGTTGCTGGCGCAGCGTCCAGAAAACAGACCACACCCCAGGAATGATGATACGTTATAGCATTTCTCTGCTCTGTAAGAGAGGCACCAGGGTCGTGTGCTGGGTCTGGGGTTTGTCCATTCCACATCCGGTGCTGCTGTTGACTCTGGTGTCGGCCGCTGGTGAGCTGGCTGTAGCTGGTCACCTCTGGGTGGTTTCTGGGGCGGTCGCAGGCTGACTAACACACCAAAGGTCAGCCAGGGTGTTGAAGCTGGCACCTTTCTTCCTGGAGCACAGACGTCATCTTGGATCTTTTAGATACTTGGACTTACTTTATGCAGAACATTCTGGATTTGTGAATTAGATGGACTCTTTATTATTTTGTATTTGGATTATTTCTTTAAAGAGATCAGAGATAAAAATATCATTGTTTTGCCAGTTTGCTACCACCAGCCCACACCCCTCTTCCCGTTGTCCAAAAAGGGGGTGGTTAGAGTTTTCTTGAGTGACTGGGCTATTATGATTAGCAGATTACTAAAGCTGTGTGATTTTAACAAGACGTAAACACATATGGGAACCCCTCCTTCCATATCTTGCTAATGTCAATTAGCAACATATTAATCTTGCTAATGTCAATCCTGTCACTTCATACATTTATAAATATTAGGGACATTTAAAAGAGTTGTCGGACTGTGCGGGACCTTGGCACACTGCTGACGGCTGCACACTCATCACTGCGGGGCTCATCACACATTGACACCAGCACCATATTTTGCTGGGTTTCCTGATCTCGGTTGAGTATTTGGATTTGAATGGGATGGTTTTAATGTTGCTACTGACTACTACAGTGATCCAAATAAACTTTAAAGCTGGGGCCTCCACGCCATAGGCAGATTTTCATACCAGTTGCCTTTACCTCAGTAGTTTTCAGCTGGGGCAATTTTGTTCCCCAGGAGACATCTGGATACAGTGTTGGTTGTAACAGCTGGGCAGGGGGTACTTCTGTCATCATCTCATGGGCACAGGGCAGGGATGCTGCTAGGGCAACCCCTCACCCTCCCAAAGAATTATCAAAAACATCAACAGTGCCAAAGCTGAGAAGCTCAGCTTTAATGTGTTCATTGAGCAACTAAAGAATAGACTCAGATATAGGAAAGTATTTATTTATTTATTTATTTAGAGACAGGGTCTGGCTCTGTTGTCCAGATCATAACTCACTGTAACCTTGATCTCCTGGGCTGAAGCAATCTTCTCACCTTAGTCTCCCAAAGCATGCTGGGATTACAGGTATAAGCCACAGTGCCCAGCCTGAAAAGAATACTTTAAATGGGCGGGGTAATGGTGGCTTATGCCTGTAATCCCAGCACTTTGGGAGGCAGAGGCGGGCAGATCACCTGAGGTCAGGAGTTCGAGACCAGCCTGGCCAACATGGTGAAACCCTATCTCTACTAAAAATACAAAAATTAGCCGGGAGTGGTGATGGGCACCTGTAATCCGAGCTCTCCTGGAGGCTGAGGCAGGAGAATCGCTTGAACCTGGGAGGTGGAGTTTACAGTGAGCTGAGATCGTGCCATTGCACTCCAGCCTGGGCGACAAGAGCGAAACTCTGTGTCCAAAAAAAAAAGAAAAAAGAAAAAAAGAGTATCTTTAAATGAATGGCAACCCAATTTGCAAATGTATTTTTTTTAATGTTGCCAATTACTTTATGTGTTTAAAAAATATCTTTCTGGTTTACTAGGGTATTCTTCAAAAAAAGAGAAAAGATTAAAGCTGCACAGACATGATGATGTAAAAGCTAGTAGCTTCTCAAGCTGTGAAAGGTCTGTGGTGCAGAGAATAGCTCCCTGTGAGCTGAATTTTGTTTGCTGTGGTGCAGCATGGGTTTAGATCCTACCTGGTTAGTGAAAGAGATAATGTGAAGTCATTGCATTTGCATTTGTCAAAATCCTAGTTTTCCACTTACCTAATAGTTTTTTGTTTGTTTGTTTGTTTCATTTTGTTTTTAAAGACAGGATCTTACAGCCGGGGCCTGTAATCCTAGCACTCTGGGAGGCTGAGGCGAGTTGATCACCTGAGGTCAGGAGTTCGAGACACACCTGGCCAACATGGTGAAACCCTGTCTCTACTAAAAATACAAAAATTAGCCAGGCGTGGTGGCACGTGCCTGTAATCCCAGCTACTGGGGAGGCTGAGGCAGGAGAATCACTTAAACCCAGGAGGCGAAGGTTGTAGTGAGCCGAAATCACGCCACTGCACTCCAGCGTAGGCAACAGAGCAAGACTCCATCTCAAAAAAAAAAAAAAAAAAAAAAGACAGGATCTTGCTCTGTCACCCAGGCTGGGATATACTGACTTGATCATAGCTCACTGCAACCTTTAGCTCCTGGACTCAAGCAATCCTCCAGCATCAGCCTCCTGAGCAGCTGGGACTATAGGTGTGAATTACCATGCCTGGCTAACTTTTTTATTTTTTGTAGAGACAGGGTCTTACCCTATTGCCTAGGCTGGTTTCGAACTCCTGGCCTCAAGTGATCCTTTTGCCTTTGCCTCCCAAAGTGCTGGGATTACATGCGTGAAACACCACACCTGAACTAGTCTTTTTGTTGTTGTTGTTAAAGTGAGAGACCCAGACCAAAATCATCTTTCTTCTCCCAAAATGCTAATTATTATTTGTTTTAAGTTATAGCTCCAGATTACCTTGTAGGATTATTCACATTTTCTTTCTAAATGCTGTTCTTGAAAGGAACCATCTATTGACAGTACATCAGAAATTCTATGGTTCCTTTATGACATTTCTGGGGAAGTAAATGAAAGGTGTAAATTAAGAAAAGCAAGTGTTTGCGGTTCCCACTTTAACCTTGTGTTATGTTAAGTGGCTTTGTTGAAGAGGGCTGTCACTGTTCTTGAAAACTTGGGAAAATCCATAGCAAGCTGTGCCATTAGTTGCCTTTGGGAGCACAGGATGTTTGATGTGAAAATTATATGGACACATCTAATTGGGTGTATTTTCACCCCACCAGATATCAAGTAAAGAGGTGACTCTTCCCCCTCCCCTGCATTTTTAGCTAAATTGTTTAACCTGAATTTCATGCTATTAAGAATTACATTTCAGTAATCCACCTGCCATTTTTCAATGCCTTTTGTTTAGTAGCATGTCTGTATGATCCACCTACAGAACATTTCTAGACATCTGGCAAGAGCTAGTTATCATCCCTTCCTGATTTGGGGTGCTAAGACCTGTGGTCCCCTTCTTCCACCGTAATTTACATTCTTCCCTGAGTCCTGCAGGAACTCAGCCAGGCAGTGGAAAGAAAACAGAAGCTCTGTGGACCTCTGCTTACTGTAAAATGGGAATAATAATTCTTATCCTGCCTGTTTCCCAGAGTTGTATATTCTTTTCCAATAAAATGTACTCAAAATTAAAATACAAAGCAGTTACACAGAGATAAGATAGTGGTAATTATGCCAATTTAAACTCCAGAATTAAAAAATAAGTTTAGTCACATACCATGCAGTTCACCCATTTAAAGTATATAATTCAGTGGTTTTTTGTATATTTGCAGAACTATGCAACCAATATCGCCATTGTAGAACATTTTCCTCACCCCCTAAAAGAAACTGTACCCATTAGCTCTCACTCCCCATTTCCCCCACTCTGCCTTCTCCCCCATGCCCAAGGCAACTGTCAATCTACTTTCTGTTTCTATGGATTTGCCTGTTCTGGCATTAGATATATACATGAAGTCATAAAATTTGTGGTCCTTTGTGACTGCTTCTTTCGCTTAACTTAAATGTTTTCAAGGTTCGTCCATGTTGCTGCATGTATCAGGACATAATTTCTTTCTTTTCTTTTCTTCTTTTTTTTTTTTTTTTGAGATAGAGTCTTGCTGTGTCGCCCAGGCTGGAGTGCAGTGGCATATCTCGGCTCACTGCAACCTCTGCCTCCCAGGTTCAGGCGATTCACCTGCCTTGGCCTCCTGTGTAGCAGGCCCATGCCACCACGCCTGGCTTGCTTATTTATTTATTTATTTATTTATTTATTTATTTATTTATTTATTTATTGTATTTTTAGTAGAGATGGGGTTTCACCATGTTGGCTAGGCTGGTGTAGAACTCCTGACCTCAAGTGATCTGCCCTCCTTGGCCTCCCAAAGTGCTGGGATTACAGGCATGAGCCACTGTGCCTGGCCAGGACTTTATTCCTTTTATGGCTGAATAATATTTCATTATATGGATATCCCATATTTTGTTGACCCATTCATCAGTTGATGGCAAGCTTCAGAATTAAAAAAAAAAATTAAGCTAGTTCATATTTGCTTTAATTTTCCAAATGATCCCTTTCCTTTTATTGCAAGTTAAGTGTTCCTATGGTAATGACTGTTATGGGGCAAAGATGATCAAGTCTATGAGCGGTCCACACAGTTCAACAAATATGTACCTCAGCACACTACCTGGAACCAGACATTGGGTAAAGATAACTTTAGAATTCATGGTCCCCCTGAGACACTAAAGACTTTTTAATGAATGCAATTAGTAACTTTCTACTTACTGTTACTCTTTTTATTTTATTTTTTGAGCAGGATCTCACTGTGTTGCCCAGGCTGAAGTGCAATGGCCCAATCACAGCTCACTGCGGCCTTGACCTCCTGGGATCAAGTGATGGCTGAGACTACAGTCATGTGCCACCACATCCAGCTCTTTAAAAAATTTTTTTTGCAGAGATGGGGTCTCACTATAGGCTGGTCTTGAATTCCTGGCCTCAAGGGATCTTCCTCCCTCAGCCTCTCAAAGTGCTGGGATTACAGGCATGAGCCACCACACACACCCAGTTTGTTGCTCTTTCTGTAGGTTGGCTAAGGATTAAGATGTTATCTCCGGTGGCTGAAACATGCCTCTGATAGGTGCTATCTCCCTTGTCTTCATTTTCACGCTGGTGGTAATCCTGGAAGCCGCAGGGATCAGTCAGATGGCAACAGCAGATTCTTTTTTTGTTTTTTTTTTTTCTGAGATGGAATTTTGCTCTGTCACCCAGGCTGGAGTGCAGTGGTGTGATTTCATCTCACTGCAACCTCCGCCTCCTGGGTTCAAGTGATTCTCCTGCCTCAGCCTCCCGAGTAGCTGGGATTACAGGTGCCTGCCACAATGCCTGGCTAATTTTTGTATTTTTAATAGAGACGGGGGTTTCACCATGTTGGCCAGGCTGGTCTCAAACTCCTGACCTTAAGTGATCCACCCATCCTGGCCTCCCAAAGTGCTGGGATTACAGGCGTGAGCCAGTGCGCTGGGCCAGCCACAGCAGATTCTGACAGGTGATGCCCTTGCCAGCCTGGGGAGCCTTTTGGTTTTGGGTTTGGTTTTTAAATTTGTTACTGTTTTGGTGGTTGTTTTTACCTGTTGTAAATATTAAGAAGCCTAGGCATGATGATGCTCTGAAGACAGGAAAATTTGTTTTGTCCCGATTTGCCACACGGACTCCTGCCTGCATCTGCGTTGATGTGGCCACACGGAGAGCTGCTCTGCTCAGGAGATCCAGCCCGGGCCAGCAGCTTTATAATCAGTTCTGATCGCCACCCTGCAGGGCTGTTTTTGGCATTTTAATGTCCCTTAAGTACTTTCAGAAGAAAGTTTTCAAGGAAAACCTGAATTTTTTCTTTATTGGCTGCACATGTTAGACATATGAAGATGTGTTTCACTTTACAAAGTGGGGGGAACCCTCAACAATCTTTAAGAGATCCCTAAAAACTGAGGGTTGTTTCAGAACCATCTAAATCCAAGAACGTTGGACCTGTTATACTTATTCTGGCAGATGGACCCATCCCTTTTTTTTTCTGAGACAGAGTCTCGCTCCATCGCCCAGGCTGGAGTGCAATGGTGTAATCTCGGCTCACTGCAACCTCTGCCTCTCGGGTACAAGCGATTTTCGTGCCTCAGTTACCCAAGTAGCTGGGATTACAGGTGTGTGCCACCATGCCCGGCTAATTTTTGTATTTTTAGTAGAGATGGAGTTTCACCATGTTGGCCAGGCTGGTCTTGAAATCCTGACCTCAGGTGAACCACCCCCCTCCGCCTCCCAAAGTGCTGGGATTACAAGTGTGAGCACTGTGCCTGATCGCCATCCTTTTATTGGTGAGAAGAAAAGGGAGCAAGATGAGGTTGACCCCTGCATCTTATGTGTGTACTGTCTCT
Source organism: Homo sapiens (assembly GCF_000001405.40). Classification (NCBI taxonomy): domain Eukaryota; kingdom Metazoa; phylum Chordata; class Mammalia; order Primates; family Hominidae; genus Homo; species Homo sapiens. The sequence goes on from NC_000010.11 coordinate 113,080,032, forward strand.
GCCTCTGTACACACACACATGCACCACAGACACACCACACACACACAGCCCACATACACAGCCCACATACATGCACACACAATTTAGGGTTTTCCCCCTTCTCACAAAAATCCTCTTTAACGTGATTTTTACTAATAAAGTTATAAATGTCTGGGGTTAGAAGACAGCCAAAGTTTTGGGTGGCGCAAGAGATAATTCATCCCAGACTCCACACCCCTTATGCCATGAAAACTTCACCTCTCCGTTTCAAGCTGAGAAACCCCACATACACTGCAGATACATTACAAGGCAGCTACCACATCACCAAAGGCCAAGCAGAAGGCATTGTGGATGCCCTGGGTATATACTCTCTGACACAGAGGTGACTGCCTAAGCAGTCAGATTTGCGACAGTGTGATCCTTTTTGGAATTCATATACTGGGGCAAGTATTGGAACCAAGGTTGCCAGCGAATGGGGCTGGCAAGTCTTTTTTCAAGTTTCCTTGTGTGTTCCCATTCTGAACAAGGTGGTGTCAAGTTGATCCTGCCTGTGGGAATGCATTGTTCTTGAATATTTATATCTTTGTATGCTCCCATTGGGATTTCTCCTTTCATAATATCTGAAAAGAACTTGTTTTCATTAAAGCCATTTCAATTTCGTACATTTTTATGCAATAATTTAGTGTTTATGGTGTCTCTTAACCAACATGGCTTGTTTTCATAAGCACCCGAGAAGGTTTAAATAACATTTTCTCATAAATTAGCCCTCGTTTGCACACTTATTCAGTTATTGCATCATGAAGACCCTCTGGAGTTTGATGTTGTCAGGAAACATATTAGCAGAAAATAGTGTGTTATTATCTAATGCTGATAATTGGTTAGTGGAAATGAGAAAAGAGGATATGTAATTGGGGTTCCTGTGGCTAACAAGATGTGAATTATGAAAGCATTTCCAGGAGAAATTCCAGGGGTGTTCCAGGAACCTGTTATTTACATTTTAAAACATTTGATTCCCATTGAAAGGGGAGGAGGGCGCTGTTTACCAACACTGCTTTCTTTTTCAGAGCAAATCCATCTAAATTTCCTGAGTGGTAGCTAGATCTCCTAATACACCTAGCCCCTATGTTGTTTTGACTTTGCAGTCCCATTTTAGGCTGCTAACGTTCTTTTTGTAAGAGATATGTTGGCTTTTAAAGAGAGGATTACCTAGTACACATCACAAGTCCTGATCAGACCCTCTTCTCCCTCTTGGCCCCGTGATTCTGCCCAGTAATGTTTACAGCACACAACACGCACCAATACTACTTCCCAAAGGCTGCTTGGGAGAAGGAGCGTACCTTTAGCAAGAATCTCAGTATAAGCACAGTATAATGCTTTCTTCATTAGCTAGATTCACAAAGCTTTCTGCAGCCTGTGCTGCTTGAACCCGAGCTTCTGCTTAATGTTCTTCCATAGCCAGTCATTGCTGAGTAAGGTGGATGGGCTTCTGTGTTATGCTTAAACAAGTGAAATCAACTCCTGTTCTCTCAAAGTCATTGATGAGCATGGTTTTTCATGCTTGCTCGCTATTGACTTGTCTGGAAAGATTATACTGTTAAGGACAGAGACTCTGTCAGTTGCATATGGAAATAATGGATATAAAGATTGCAAGGAGAGTTCATTTTCCACCTGCTTGAGGTCACATTGAACCTCATCCCTGTTGCGGAAAACAAATGGGAGTGATAGCTGGTGCCAGTTAGTGTATGGATGTCCTCGAAATTAGATGTGCCTTCAAAAAGACTTGATTTAATGTTAGCCAGGTCTGTTTGAACTTCATTATTACTATTATTATTTTGAGATGGAGTGTCGCTCTGTTGCCCAGGCTGCGCCCAGGCTGGAGTGCAGTGGCATGATCTCGGCTCACTGCAACCTCTGCCTCCCAGGTTCAAGCAATTCTCCTGCCTCAGCCTCCTGAGTATGTGGGATTACAGGTGCCTGCCACCACGTCTGGCTAATTTTTGTATTTTTAGTAGACACAGGGTTTCACCATGTTGGCCAGGCTGGTCTCGAACTCTTGACCTCAAGTGGTCTGCCTGCCTTGACCTCCCAAAGTGCTGGGATTATAGGTGTGAGCCACTACCATTTTTTTTTTTTTTTTGCGTGCCTTGGTTAATATCTCAAGTTCAGATAATGTTAAGGTTAACCACTTCATCTTATTACCTTTCATCCCAGTAAAGCCTTGACCTTCACATATAAAACTAATTTAGTGTCAATACAGTTAAAAAGTGTCTCCTTTATTCAGAATTACCCATATAATGTCTTTTTTTAATAACTTTATTCCAAACTTGAAAAAAATTATCTTTACCCATTTTTCCCTGTACTGTTTATGATACAACAATTAAAAAAATCTTATTTCCAATTTCTCAATATTTGATAGGTACACTTTCCCCCCCACAGGAAAAAAGAAACAGTTGACAAAACTTTGTTTTAACCAGCAAACACCTTTTGAAATGGTGCTGCAAATTCCTATTCATGATGCCATATTTCTAAAACACTTTTTCTTGGTCATGTTGAACTTTTATTCAGTAAAAGAAATCTTCATTCTGCTTGTGTGTGTGTGTGTGTGTGTGCACGTGCACACGCACATGCATGTGGCCTTTTCTCCTTGAATGTGACTTATTTTAATAAATTTACCCTCTTATTATATAATGGCCATGTCCAGAAATCGGGGTGCATCGCTTCTGTACGTAGAGAGTCAAGGTCCTAACAAACCCGCCCCTCTGTGTTCTGCTAGCCATACAGAAGTGGAGTGTGTTGGAGGTGGACACAACCCTTAGAAGTCATCCAGCAGCCAGCATCCTCATATGCTGTGTCAAGCTGAGCCCCAGAAATTCAGAGAGTACAGCTAGTCAGTGGGAGGGTGGCAGTGGCAGTGACACTGAGGCCCCATGCTCTGTCTGTGCGAGGTTAAGGAGGGGTGAGCAGTGCTTTGTAAAGGTATGTGAAAAAGTGGTCTCTTTCTATGCTCATTCTGTTTTGCCTTCTGTTTGGAGCCTTGTCTTTTTCTCAGGTGAGGTCTTTGAGGGCTGAGGTAGACTTCATTTCTGCATGCCTTGAGTGCAGAGATGGTGATTACATTCCAACTCGTGCCAACTTTGAGCAGAGTGGCTGTGTGCTATGGAGGTAGTAAGGGAAGAGGGAGGTGCCATGTGTGACCTGGACACTTGCCATTCGTGACTCTAGGACACTGCCCTCCACATATACTGATAGACACACACACACACACACACACACACACACACACGTGCAAGTGTGGGCCCATACTCACACCTTGCCACTCACACCTTGCCACTCACACATGCTCACATTAAAAAAAAATAATAATGAGAAAAAAGGATTGCATACATCTGCCATGTGAGTGATGATATCCCGGTCTGGGGAGGAACTGGGCTTGTCTTTACGATAAAAATGGTAGCTTATCTGGAGCCCTGATGGCAGTTTCTTTGCCTTTGCAGTAAGTTGACAGTGTATTTCAGATGTAATTAGTTCCCATCAAAGTTACCTCATCTTCAGAGGTGAGAATTATCGATGGTGCATAAAGCTGGATCAGTGTGACCTGTAAAGACCTTACCTGTCTCCAAGGTTACGCGTGTGTACGTGGGGTTGGCTGGTTTGGATGGTTGCTCTTTGTTTTTTGGCATCCTTGTGTGTGAATACATGATAAGAAATATGAGGATGTTACCTTCTCACCAATTTTTAAAAATTGTCAGTTCAGTACTTTGCTTTTTTAGTGGAATGGCCCTTAGCAATATCCTTCTTTTAAATGGATTTCTTATTGTTCCAAAGATGTGGCATTTCCAAAAGAAAATTCTTCCATTTATGCATAGAACCTTGAACTCTAGTCTTTAAAAATCTAGGCTTTAGTTTCAGCTCTTTTTTAGCTGTGTGGTCCTGGACAGGCCCTTTTACATCTAGACTTGGAGATTTAAAGAAAATCATAAAGAATTAAATGAGATGATTTCTAAGACTCATTTCATTTTAAAACTCTGATCTTTCAGAGACGCACAAATCCATTCCCTCTTGCTGTGGAGGAGAAAATACATGAAAATCTGAATCCATATGCATTTGTCAGGGTTCTCCAGAGACATAAAACCAATAGGATGTATGTGTTTATATAGAGAGATTTGTAATAAGGAACTGGCTCACCCAGTCATGGAATTCCATAATCTGCATCATCAAGTGTCATGGTCTGTAGCTGGGAAGCTGGAGACCCAGGAGAGTCCATGGTGCAGCTCTAGTCTGAGTCTAAAGGCTGGAGGACTGGTAGAACTGATGGTGTAATTCCTTTTCAAAGGCCGGTGGGCTGGAGCCCAGAGATGCTGCTTTAGCTCAAGCCCGAAGGCAGTTACTCAGGAGGATGCCGGCTGGTTTGGAGGAAGATCAGCCTTGTATTCTGTTCAGGCCTTCAGCTGATGGGCTGAGGCCTGCTCACATCAAGGAGGACCATCCGCCTTACTCAGTGAATGTTAAACTTATCTAAAAATATCCTCAGAGAAACATCCAGAATAGTGTATAACCAAATATCCGGGCACCTTGTGACTTAGTCAAACTGACACATAAGGCCAGGCATGGTGGCTCACACCTGTAGTAATCCCAGCACTTTGGGAGGCCGAGGTGGGCGGATCACTTGAGACCAGGAGTTGGATACCAGCCTGGCCAACATGGTGAAACCCGGTCTCTACCAAAAAAAATACAAACATTAGCCGGGAGTGGTGTTGTGCACCTGTATTCCCAGCTACTCGGGAGGCTGTCACAAGAATCGCTTGAACCCGGGAGGCGGAGGTTGCAGTGAGCTGAGATTGCACCCCTGCACTCCAGCCTGGGTGACAAAGTGAGACTCTGTCTCAAGCCACCCCCCCCCAAAAAAAAAAAACAAAAAACCCTGACACATAAAATTAATCACCACCAGAGTTTTCTGAGGCAAAGAGGAGTAAAGCTGTTGCCTTTTTCTTCTTGCCTGTGAGGTTGGTTGAGATTCTTCTAACAGCCAACAGGTGTTGGCCAATGTTACTCTGATTGACACCTTTCTTTTTTTTTATTCAGGTTTCCCTCTGTCACCCAGGCTGGAGTGCGGGGGCACAATCATGGCTCACTGCAGCCTTGATCTTCCAGGCTTAACCAAACCTTTCACCTTGGCCTTCTGAGTAGCTACAGGCCTGCACCACCACATCTGGCTATTTTTTTTTTTTTTTTAATTTTTAGTAGAGACGAGGTCTTGCTATGTTGCCCAGTCTAGTCTTGAACTCTTGAGCTCAAGCAGTCCTCCAGCCTTGGCCTCTGACAGTGCTGGGATTATAGGTGTAAGCCACCACACCCAGCCCTGAGTGACATTATTTCATACAAAATTCTCATCTCTGGAGGCCTTTGTATTTTTAGGGGTTTTGTTTTTCAAATGCTTTTTACCTCTTTCTATACTTGTTCATTTTTAAATGTTTCCTGGCAGAGCAATTAGTATTTTCTGGCTTACTAGGTGCTATTCGATTGCATTAGCGTTTGAATATTACCCAGCTAGTTGTGGAGTGGGGCAGTAAGCTCATAAAGAAGCAAGATAATGGAATACACAAATATTACTACGACTTTATGGGTGGCATACCTTGATTCTTGATCCACGTGGCTGTGTTCAGATCTGGTTAGCACACATTGACATCAGGGGCTGAGCCACCAGTGAGAGTCAAACCCAGCAGCCCTGTCAGTCTACCTTCTCTCTTGACTTGATCCAGCCTCATAACTTCACTTTCCGCAGGAGAAACACACCTCTTGAGGTCCTCTGTCACAAATAGGCAGTGTTTCTGGAGAAAGCCAGGAGGCAGATTTTAGTGCTGTTCAGCATCTGTGGTCTCTACTTTCTGGATCTGGTGCATTATGGAGACCATGAAATGACATGAAATAGCTCAGTGCTGCCAGTGGCGGTGACAGGGACACTAGAGGTGAAGGAGGGCCCTTGGGGCAATTCCAGCAGGTGGGTGGTGGCTGAAGGTCCTTGTCTTCTTTCTGCAGAGACTGGCCACCTGCTTCATTCTTTCAAGAAGCACCAAATCCCTACTTCAGTACTTTGCCCACTCGTCATGTCAGGAGCATGAAACTCACGAGGCCTTCATTTACTTTTATCCTGTAACACCTTCAATTTTTCCCACATCCTCCCTTGATTCGTGGATGGACAACTATGGAGGCCAATCTGGCTGAGGTGAGGACTGCTTGAGTCTAAATTCCTCTCTCCTCAAACCCAATTCAAACTGGCCTGAGCAAAATGAATGTATTGATCCATAACTGAAAAGTCCAGAATGATCAGGCATCAGGCATGGTTGCATCCAGGGGCCCATGTATTAGAACCATCTCCTTCCAGTTCTGGGCTCTGCTTGCCTCCCAGTTGGTTTTACTGCACAGAGGCTTATTCAAGTCCAGAGAGATCTTATCTTTCCCTACAAGTCTGTGACCTTGATTCTGAACCTGCATCTATGGGAAGGGCTTGCAGTGTCTGAGTGAGCTTGGACTGTGTAAACTTTCCCACTTCTGAAGCTGGGGGTGGGGTTCACTCCACTAAGCTACATGGCTCTAGAGTCAGGGGGTTGCCCCCTAAGTAACTGGCAGTATTGTTACCAGAAAAATCATGAATGGACACTGAGCAGAAAACTCAGCAGATGTTTATTTCCTGGTCTTTAGGATTTGTTGAAGAGTTTTTTATTTGTTTGTTTTTTAAGAAAGACTCAAAAGGAAAAAAAAAAAAAAACTATAGTTATTTTCTCATGATATAAAAAGATTCTGTAGTTGTATATACATTTGAACTTTTTGTAAGACATCTCCTACCCCCCTAAAATTGGAAGTCATTTATTAAGACTTTGTATTCTGTAAGAGGATTGGAAATGAATAATTAAGAACATTAAAGAGGAAAGCAGGGGGTGGTGGGAAAGTGTGGTCTTGAGGGGGTAATAAACCTCCTACAGGCCACACACACACAAGAAAAAAAAAAGGGCAATAAGTGTAGCCCAGTAACATAAGGTGGGGAATAAGGTTAGGGGTAAGGTTAATTCTACAAGTTCAAAGCCAGTAGCCCCTGATGCGCTGTTGGACGTGAACTATAAATTTGGCTCTGAGGTTCCCAGGCATGGAAGAATATCTAGATCTGTACAGAGAGGTTGTGTGTGTGTTTAACATTTCCATAATGTACAATTTCCTCTAAGAGTAAAGGCCATGAGGAAATGCCCGTGGAAGATAAAGGAGACCATGTGGTCTGTGGCAACCATGGATACATTTCTTTCCCAACGCATTCTCTGAGGCACTTTGGTAACTCTGCCTCTTTGCTCTCAGCATTGTGTTAGAAAATAAAGCCAGCAGACAAGGATTAAACCCTCATGTTGCTGGGTTCCTTCTAGAAACAATTGGAGGGCTAACCAAGTCACCTTTGGTGGAAGGCAGTAAGGTGAGTCATTGCTGTGGCTGGACTGAATAGGATAGCCTTAGCTGTAAAATTGGGCTGATCTTTCAAATGGACTCATGCTTGCCGAATGACTCACGCTCCTGTTTACAAATCAGCTCTGTGAAGAAATGCAGAGTGGGAGGCTCTGCTTGCCAGACGGAGACCTTAGACCTCCAGGGGTGGAGAACGGAGTACTTCCTCTGGTGCTCGGCTTCCCTTCCTGGGGGCAGATCTCTCAGCTTCTGGTTGGTGGCTCTCAAAATCCAGACACAAGGTCAGCTGCAGCCAGCGTGGGCCCTGGAGTAGCTCCAGTTATGGGGCAGCAATGGCCCCCTCTCATTTTGAGAGCTCACTTTGCCTGTGGATGGTTTTAATCCATCTGGATAAACTTGAGGCCCATGGGAATACCATATACTATGGTAACCATGTACACTGCTCTAAAGATGTGGCTGCTGTTGTATAACTTTTTCCTTTATTTTTGTCAATTTCCTATTTTCCAGAGTCTTGCATACCCACTATGTCTACTGTGATAGTGAACGTAAAAACATACAAGATGTTGGTGTTATCCTCAATCTCTTATTCTTAATCCTGAACAAATTACATGAAAAAATCGTTCATGGAGTTTTTCTTCATATAAAACTTTTTACAATGAACATAAAGGGCATAGCTATTTCTTTTTTTTTAAAAAGAAACGTAGAATATTATTTCTTGGTTGTGAAATCGCCCTTCTTGGACCCCAAGTTGTTTTTTACAGCCCTAAATTCTCTTGTTTATAGAGCCTGTTTATAGAGCCATAGACAGGCCAATGGGTCTCTACAGCAGGCACCTGCATGAGTTGACTGGGACCTGAGCTATATTCCCCCTCTGCCATTTACTAGCAGTGTGACCTTGGGCATGCTCCTTACAGTCTCTGAGTCAGTTTCCTCCTCTGTGAAATGGGCATGATACTACCTACCTCATAAGGTAGGGGTGAGGATTAATGGAGTAAGAGGCACACTCCTGTCCAGGGCCCCAGACAGAGTAGGCCGTCAGTAAACTGTAGCAGCTATTGTGATAGGGTTTGAAATTCAAATTAACGCATATTTCTTGAGCACCCAAGGTGTGTGCTGCTGGATCTTTCAAGGGGTCCAGAATTGGTAGTATAGTTGCTTTTCTCAAAAGACTGTCGCCTGGCAGAGGAAAAGGTGTTAAGGTATGAGTGAAGACAGATCAGCCAGACATGGTGCCGCTTGCCTGAGATCTCAACACTTTGGGAGGCCGAGATAGGAGGATTGCCTGAGCCCAGGAGTTCAAGACCAGCCTGAGCAACATAGCAAGATTCTGCCTCCACAAAAAAATAAAATAAAAATAAAAAGATTAGCTGAGTGTGGTGGCGTGCACCTGTAGTCCTAACTGTTTGGGAGGCTGAGACAGGAGGATTGCTTGAGCCCAGGAGTTTAAGTCCAGTCCGGGCAACATAGCAAGACCCCATCTCTTAGAAAAAAAAAAAAAAGATCAGCTCCCCAAACAGCTGAAGTATTAAGTGGAACCATATGTAATTGTATTTTTGTAGGACAGAAATATCAGCAATTTCACATAACTAATAGATTCAGTAAGGTAAGTTGAGAGAGAAAATGCTAGCTAACTGGTTCTTGAGAGGCTCAGAGGAAGGGGAGGCCATGCCCATTAGGAGAATGGTGGGTAGGGGTGGGAATACACAACAGGAAGGCTGCCTGGAGGAGGTTGCATTTCAGATGTTCCTAGAAGGGACCCTGAGCTGGATGGCAGGGAAATAGGAGAGTTCTGATTTGTGCTGGGAACTGTAATCCCTCTATCATGGAGCTTCTATAGAAATGTGGGTTAGGGCAGAAAGGAAGGCTGGGGGCTGTGTGTGCCTTGGTGACGTGTCCCCCTCGCTCCCGAGCCTTACTCTGTTCCCCTTTCTTCCTGGCAGCAGAGCCCCCTCCCTTGCTGCACTCAGGGACATGACTGTCAGCACTTCTACCCCCCCTCAGACTTCACTGTCAGCACTCAAGTCTTCAGGGACATGAAAAGGAGCCACTCCTTACAAAAAGTTGGGGAGCCCTGGTGTATTGAGGTAGGTCTCGGAGCAGAATCACGGTATGAGATGAGCTAGCTCTAAAATGAAGCCGCCCACCCAAAGTTTACCTCTCTCTAGGGCAGGGCCCATCCACTGCGATCCCTGAATTCTTGTTGGGTCACTGTCATTTTGGGTGCCATGATGTCTGGGTGTGCTGACCGCTGATAGGGATATCATAGCCATAAAAACGCCTGTTTACAAGGAGAGGGTGGAGGGTGGTGCTCGCATGACTCCAGGATGCCTGGCTCCCAGTGAAGGCCCTCGTGATCCAGTGCCACACGTAACTTCTGTGAAAATGAGGAGCACAACATTATCCCATTAAACTTGGCCCCAGGAAGTGTCTCTTGGGACTCTTCACAGTTCACAATGGAGGAGAAGTTACCACCTCAACTTTGCCTTCGTTACTAGTAATTTAGAACTTAAAGATTTTCTTTTAAAATTCAGGGTGCTGGAAAATGCCCACTTTGCCTCGACAATACCTACCTGAGGCAGCCGTGAATGGCTTTACTCGCAGATGTTGCTCTCCAAGGACAGGAAGCATTGTTAATTTCCTTTAAATAATTCAATACAGTGTCAATACCCCACACTGCTCAGTGCTTGGGAGTAACAGTTCTCTTCAAATTAATAGTCCTGAAGAAAAAATAACACCTAGAACATGCTTTTATCTTCAGAAAAGCAAAAGTCAATGCAGATGAAAAATTTTCAAGGAACTCTTAGGTTTAAACAGCAAATGATTTAGTACTAGTGTTAGCTTTTAAAAAAAGAAAAGTGAATATTTATGAACCAAATAATAAAGCCTCTGTCTTTAAAAACATTTATTGTATACCTATTGGGTGCTGTGCTATGTGTTACAGCCACAGGGACAGAAAGCAGTGCCTCCAGCAGGCAGAGACCTGGAGTAATACATATGTACATAAGTCTTGCTGTTGGAGAGACAAAATGTGGAATAAGTCATCTTTAAAAGTTTGTTCTGGCGTAGGAAGTGATGAATAGCCACATAAGACAACTAGAAACTGTAAAAATACATAAAGAAAATGTAAATACCTATACTCTTATTACCTATTGATAATCTCTCTCTCTTTTTTGAGATAGAGTCTCGCTCTGTTGCCCAGGCCAGAGTGCAGTGGCGCAATCTCAGCTCACTGCAACTTCTGCCTCCGGTTTCAAGCGATTCGCCTGCCTCAGCCTCCCGAGTAGCTGGACTACAGGTGCGCGCCACCAAGCCCAGCTAATTTTTTGTATTTTTAGTAAAGACAGGGTTTCACCCTGTTAGCCAGGATGGTCTCGATCTCCTGACCTCGTGATCCGCCCGCCTCGGCCTCCCAAACTGCTGGGATTACAGGCATGAACAACCATGCCTGGTCTTTTTTATTTTTTATTTTGAGACGGAGTCTTGCTCTGTCTTCCAGGCTGGAGTGTGTGATCTTGGCTCACTGTGACCTCCGCCTGCCAGCTTCAAGAAATTCTCCTGCCTCAGCCTCCCGAGTAGCTGGGATTACAGGCACCTGTTACCATACCCGGCTAATTTTTGTATTTTTAATAGAGACAGGGTTTTGCCATGTTGGTCAGACTGTTCTTGAACTCCTGACCTCAGGTGATCTGCATGACTTGGCCTCCCAAAGTGCTAGGATTACAGGCGTGAGCCACCGTGTCTGGCCGATAATCTCTTAATATTTGGATACATTTCCACATTTCTAGTCATTCATATGCACAGACCTTAAAAGCGTTTCGCAAAATTGGTATTATACCTCATACGGTTTTGCAATTTCTTTCTACTTTTAATTCTAGGAACACTTTTTGACACTATAACATGTGCCTAATTCTCTTTAGTAACTTCATGTACTAAAGTGGAAATCCTCTGGTCCACCTATTCCCTGTTAGCCAGATGTGCATAAAACTGAAGATGTGGCTGGGTGCAGTGGCTCACGCCTGTAATCCCAGCACTTTGGAAGGCTGAGGCGGGCAGATCACGATATCAGGAGTTCAAGACCAGTGAAACCCCGTCTCTACTAAAAATACAAAAATTAGCCAGGCGTGGTGGCGCGTGCCCGTACTCCCAGCTACTCAGGAGGCTGAGGCAGGAGAATCGCTTGAACTCAGAAGGAAGACAGAGGTTTCAGTGAGCTGAGATCACACCACTGCACTCCAGCCTGGGCAACAGAGTGAGACTCCATCTCAAAATGTTTCTGGAGTCTTTCGGACTTTTCGCTGTCTTGCATGCTTGCCTCTGATCTTGCATGTTCTTGGGCCACGCCTATGTCTTGATTACCTGGAGCTGCTGTCTGTGTGTTTAAGGAGCATTCCCTTTAACTGGCCTGGGTCTGATAGAGCAGGGAGGCCCCCTTTTCTCTGCATTAGCCATGGCCTGGTAGAAGATCTTTTTCAGTAGCCTCTCACTGGTTCAGCTTTTAATAAGCATAGCTGTTCATTCTGGCTATTTATGATAAGATGATATGAATATAGCTATTCTCCCATCAGAGCCTGGCACATGGTAACTCATTAATCTTTGGTTGGCGGCAGGAGGTAGATAAAGGAACCAGGCACCCATTTTAAGTATGAGGAAAATGAAACAGAAAGACTGGGTTTCTTCCTTATAACTCAAGGTCTACAGGAGCTGATTAGATCCCTGGCGCCAGTGACTGAGCATTTCTCAGCCTTGTCCTCAGAACCCAGAAGCATCTCCCAGGGACGTGCCAAAATGCCACGTTTCCAGGATGTCATCTAAATCTGTAAACTGTGAATAGGTGAGGTACAAAGATGCCACTTATGGGCTGTGCCAACTTGGGCAAGTTACCCGACTGATCTGTGCTTCAATTTCTCCATCAGTGATAAAGGTTCACATACAGGCTGTATGTAAAGCGGGAGCTTGATGAGAGAGCTGGTGGGCTCAGACTGGTGCAGGCAATTGGCAAGATTCTTGAGGAATCACAACCTGATGGTGTGTCTGTGTGATGGGCCAGTCGCTGCTGGAGTAGCTCAGTTATGTGTTCCATGTAGGTTTCCATGGAAATTCACATGTAACATTCCTAGTACCTACTTCAAGAATTTTGGTGGTGGCTGGGTGTGGTGGGTCATGCCTGTAATCCCAGCACTTCAGAAGGCCGAGGTGGGCAGATCACGAAGTCAGGAGTTCGACATGGTGAAACCCCGTCTCTACTAAAAATACAAAAATTAACCAGGCGTGGTGGCACATGCCTGTAATCCCAGCTACTTGGGAGGCTGAGGCAGGAGAATTGCTTGAATCTGGGGGACGGAGGTTGCAGTGAGCCAAGATAGCACCACTGCTGTCCAGCCTGGGCAACAGAGCCAAGACTCCCTCGGCTGGGGGGGTTGGTGGGGGCAGGGTAAGAATTTTGGTGATCTCTGAAAATCCGGATCCCACAGCATGGGTGTGATAGAAATGGCTCTGCAGAGTGTGATGGGAACCTCTTGTGACTGGTCGTCAGAACTAAGTTTGAGTCCAACACTCACTTTTTTGGCAAGGTGCTTCCCCGCTCCGTGATGCAATTCTTGCATCTGCAAAACAGGCGGTGGTCATGGGATATTCCCGCAGTCTGCTCCACTGGGTACCTACAGAGATCCCTTGACATTTAACACAGGCTTCCTGTGATCCAGGAACTACTGTACGAACTACTGTAACTACCTCCTATATTAACTTTTCCAAACCTTGATAGCAACCTTATGAGGGAGGTGGTGTGATTATTCCCATTTTGCAATTAAGGTAACTGAGCCAGAGAGAGAGAAAGCAATATCCATAAGATCACACAGCTGAAGGGTGAGAGCTATAAAAATTGCTGGGAATGAAGGGCCATGGTTCTTGGCCATGGTTCTTGGCCATGGTTCAGAGCTGTGATACCAACCATCTTCCACTTGTTCAGGGAGAAGGTGTTTGATCCTTTTCTTCACTCAGCTGCCTTAGGAGTTGGGAGGAAATTTTGTTTCAGGATACCTAAGTTCTTACAAGTCTCAACAATTGTACTTTCTGTTCCATCTACATTTCAAATTCATTGTCCCTTCTCTTTCTTTCCATGTAATTCAGCCAGATTCGAACCCTTTAGATCCCTTCCTCTAGGGAATTAAGGTTGGTAGACCAGCTGAGTAAATGTGACTCAGAAAGTCAATATCCACCTGGGCAGGGATGAGTCATTTCTTTCTAGTTAGCTATTCATGTACATTTTAAAGCTCGCCACACAAAGTCATTACATTGAGGCTATTAACATGTTTAATAGTGACAATAATAGGGTGTGACCCATGGCATATAACCGCATTCAGATAAGAAGAAAGAGTTTTCTTTTTTCTTCTTCCTGTAATTGCTCAGTCAATACCATTTTCACGGAAATACTTGCAAACAAACTTTTAAAAAGTTCATTGTCCAAAGCCTTCCCTGATTCCTTGTTTCCTTCCTCTTCAGGGGTTCTATAAACTTTTCCTGATCAGTGGCCGGGGATTAGCGAGATGGTGCACTCTGTCCTGATTTTGTGGTTGACCTACCCTTTTGCTGGTGTTGAGCCTGTTTTTATTGCATTTTTTGGGGTGTGTGTGCGCGTGCACGCGCATGTGTGTTTTTTCAGGAGGGGGCACATTATTGCTGCTACTTGCTTATTAACCTCTCAATCTAGAAATTTCAGGGAAGAAGAGACTTCCGCTAAATTTGCCAAGCTAGACACATAAACAGGGAGTTAGCCATTTTGGTGAGAGGAAATGAAACTTTTCTTGGGTTTATTAGACCACATCCTATGTGGCTTATTTTATGTCTGATTTCTAAAAAGCATGTCATCACGGTCAAAGTTTTATTTTTGCTTGTTAGTCATTTGAAACAAATATAGATATTGCTTCATTTCCTGGGTACTGTATTTTTCAGTACGTGGTATGTATGGAAAATTTGGGTTTACACAATGAAGTGCACTAGAAGGGAAGTATTTGCTAATTTAGAACTCTCTACATTATAACTTTGGATTAGCAAGCATTCGGCTAACTAAACATTTTCATTTATCTCCTACCCCTGATTATATAAAGAAGCAGATGAGACAACCAAAGAAATACCCCTCCAAGACAAAGTGAATATTTTGAAATACTTCCTCTCAGTCTTTTAAAAAATGTGATTTAAAAATCGTAGGTGGGATCATACTATACATGCACTTGTTTTCTGTTTATTTTACATCTCTCTATACTAGAAACACTTTCCTATATATGCCACAAAAACTGTGAAAGTACTAATGATTATCCCTCCTGTCCCTTAATATGCTTAGCTATTGCCCCAATGAACTCAGACTGTTTCCAAAGTTCCGCTGTTGGCCGGGCACTGTGGCTCATGCCTGAAATCCCAACACTTTGAGAGGCTGAGGCAGGTGGATCACTTGAGGCCAGGAGTTTGAGACCAGCCTGGCCAACATGGCAAAACACTGTCTCTACTAAAAAATACAAAAATTAGCTGGGTACGTGGTCCCAGCTACTCGGGAGGCTGAGACAGGAGAATCGCTTGAACCTGGGAGGCAGAGATTGCAGTAAGCTGAGATTGCACCTTTGCATTCCAGCCTGGGTGACAGAGCAAGACTCCATCTCAAAAAATAAAAACAAAAAACAAAAAACCAAAAAACAAAGTTCCACTATAAATAGTGCAACTGCATCTCATGTGGCAGAGGGTGGAAGTTGCAAATAGTGAAGAGAGAGTGATTCTGGGACATTCCATAATGCCCCCTTGATGTATGTGACCCATCATTGCTTCGCATGTATAGCCCCGGATTGTTCTGTGTGAGTGGGCCGGCAAATTCAACTCCTCCTCACCCCCTCTCTACCCCAGTTCATGCTCACTGGGTAGGATGGGAGGTGGGACTGCCAGATTATTTTTATTTTTTCCTTTCCCACATTGTCTATCTGCCAATATTTTTTTGTTGAAGTCTTTTAGGCTAAATGAGCGGACAAATTTTCTCTGCTGATCAACCGCCGTGGTAGCATCAGTGGGCACTGCAGTGCCTCCCTGGGAATTTTTAATGCCTCAGTGAGGTCATATTCCCAGTGTAGAGGGAACATGACGTAGTCCCACTCTACTTATCAGATGCAGAGCTTGCTACCAGGAAAACAGACGCGGAGAAGCCGGGATCATTTCTGGCCCCATTTCCCTCATTGTTCACCATTCCTTGGACTGCAAAGAGATGTCATTGTAAACGCTATCCTTTTCATTTTGTATACTAAGCAGGAAGCCCAGGCACTCTCTGTGGAGGTCTTCCAAGGAGCTCATCCATGCAGAAGATAGGAGTGTTCCTGCACCCTGCATCCTAGCCTCAGTGAGCCCACTTGACACCCCCCAGGGTGCTGCAAGCTGTGCCCATGTCTCTCCACGTTAGTGGCTACCTCCCTTTTCCCCTTTCGTCGTGAGTCACGTATTTTCTTTGTGTCTCGTGTGACAAAGGTCACTCGTAGAGAAGATTTGGGCCTTTGGTGTGTGACATGTCATCCCCACAGTTGATTGTTTTGGCTCCTCCCCTTTTGTAATGCTGTGAGGTGACAGGTCAGTTTTTAATGGGCTAGTCTGCGTCAAGGGAGAGTATAAATTAGCCTTAAGACTTTGTATTCCATATAGGGTTTCCCATATGAGAATATGCAGTTAGCACTTAGGGAGAGGGGTAGACGCTGCAGGGGTGGTTTTGACTTATCTGCCTATCAGTCAGCGTCTCTGTTGACGTACCTGTTTCTCAGATAGCAATCCCTTTTATGACGTCAGCAAGGTAGATGTTTGGAATTTGGAAATGGAGAGGAACCATATTTCAGCCCAGACTCTGGAACTTAATTTACTCATTTTTATTAAGGGCAGTGATTATTAGGCAAGCAGCTAATAGCAGATCTGAGTTCTTATTCTTCCTTATAAGGCCTGTCCTATGGACCTTATTGGAAAGGTATTTATTGCATCAGCTGCTGCTGGTTTAGTCAGGAGCACCATCATCTTTCACCTTTTACTTCACACCCATCCAGTGTTCTCTGTCACGTCTCTGAAAGGCCATTTCAAACCGGTTTGCATTAAGAAAAATCAGTAGTTTCTTTTTTTTTTAGTTTGGTGGAAGCGCCATAGGAGGCCAGATTTGCTTTTCCTGGTCAATGTCTGGCCTCTTCTGTGGGGGCCAAAAATGAAAGAGGAGCAGCCACACCCTTTTAGATTCTGGCCATGTCACAGCACACTTACAGCCAGCTTCAGAGGCCAGTGCAGCAGGGAGAAAAGCTCTTGGCTGGGAAGATCTAAATTAGAGGCCTGTTTGTGCTCAGAGTGAAAGTTTCTGTTTTGGAAAAGCCAGCTCCCTCCAGAGGGGAGGGTGGGGATGGGAAAGCAACGAAGACACCAGAGAAAGAAGAAATAAGAGGGGGACGTGAGGAGGCATGTAGTGACTGACTGCAGGACATGGGACCCCCCTGCTCGGCTTCTGCTCCTACCCCACCGGTCACTGGGTCAGACAAGCTTAGCCTGAGCCCCGCGTCACCATCCCTGTCCTAGTGGTAGCCTCTTGCTGTTTAGAAAAACAGAGTTGGGGGAGATGACAGTAGCTTGCCTGTGATCTACACACAGGGCAGGTTGGGAGGGGTCCTGCACACTCTGTCACGTAGTGCTCATCCCAGCTCCTGCCTGCTAGGTTTGTGGCAATATTTGTGGTAAGCCTTGTGGTTCGCCAGGGGCCAGGGTGACAGATGAGAAGTCCACTTGTTCCTGAGAAATGAGCTCCACTAGAAAGTAGGAGCAGCTTGTAACCAACCAGGGGGAAGTCCTGTGTGTAGGTTGTCACAACTCTCTCTCAGGACAAATTTCTTTCCTCTTGCCAGTTGTAGAAGAACCCATGAGGAGGCCGGGCACGGTGGCTCACGCCTATAATCCCAGCACTTTGGGAAGCCAAGGCGGGTGAATCACCTGAGGTCAGGAGTTCGAGACCAGCCTGGCCAACATGGTAAAACCCCATCTCTACTGAAAATACAAAAATTAGCCAGACATGGTGGCAGGCACCTGTAATCCCAGCTCCTCGGGAGGCCGAGGCAGAAGAATCACCTGAACCTGGGAGGTGGAAGTTGCAGTGAGCCAAGACTGCACCACTGCAGGGTGACAGAGTAAGACTCTTGTCTCGGAAAAAAAAAAAAAAAAAAAAAAAAAAAACAACCATGAGAAAGATATATGGAGGTGAGAGGGAAAGGTGTACCCTGGAGGGATTTCTTATGGCATCTTTTACTGGCTTCAGAAACACAGGTCATGGCCAGACGCAGTGGCTCACACCTGTAATCCTAGCACTTTGGGAGGCTGAGGCAGGCGGATCGCCTGAGGTCAGGAGTCAGAGACCAGCCTGGCCAACATGGTGAAACCCTGTCTTTGCTAAAAACAGAAAAATTAGCCAGGCGTGGTAGTGCGCTTGTAATTCCAGCTACTCGGGAGGCTGAGGCAGGAGAATCGCTTGAACCTGGGAGGTGGAGGTTGCAGTGAGCCAAGATAATGCCACTACACTCCAGCCTGGGTGACAGAGTGAGACTCTGTCTCAAAAAAAAAAAAAAAAAAAAAAAAGAAGAAGAAGAAGAAACACATGTCGTACCTGAAGGGAAGGTAGGTCCTTTCCCTGCCCTTCTTCCCCATTTCCTTGGTAGGGGCAGCAGTGTCTGGCACAGGCTCCTGACCCTTGTGATGTAATGATATGTTGGGGATGTTTGTTTCTTCTTGGACCTTTCCTGTTTGGGACAGCAAAATCTACAAGATCCAGGTCTCCGTTGGGGCTTTCCGCACTGGGATCTTCCTTGGTCAGGTCACTTGCAGCTGTTTTTCAAATCTACACTCAATGGCATGCAATTCTGTGCCCTGATTTAACGTATGAGGGTCAAGTGTGAGACGTGGGATTTTTATTTAAAAAATTGTATTTTAGGCCGGGCTCGGTGGCTCACGCCTGTAATCCCAGCACTTTGGGAGGCCGAGGCAGATGGATCACAAGGTCAGGAGTTCGAGACCATCCTGGCCAATGTGGTGAAACCCCCGTCTCTACTAAAAATACAAAAATTAGCCAGGCATGGTGGCGGGAGCCTGTAGTCCCAGCTACTCAGGAGGCTGAGGCAGGAGAATCGCTTGAACCTGGGAGGCAGTGGTTGCAGTGAGCTGAGATCGCGCCACTGCACTCCAGCCTGGGCAACAAAGTGAGACTCTGTCTCAAAACAAAACAAAAAACAAAAAAAATGTATTTTAAAATATATTATGATCATTGACTTTTTCTTTTGGTCTCCTGTTCTACGAATTGTAATATAAATTCGTATTATTGCCACCACGTAGGACACAGAACAGCTCCATCGCCCTGTACATGTCCTGTTGCTGCCTTTGTGTAGTCACTGGAGATGTGGGTTTTATTTTTATTATTTTCTCCATTTGATAGATAGTGCCGACTTGATTCACTTCATCCATTCCAGGGCCAATTTTTCACTGTTGATTGTCAGGGGCTCTGCTCTGCTGTTTCTCCAGCCCTCTCCAGTGAAAGAGATGTAACTGCAGTGCCATAGTTGTCAGCTTGTTAGTTATTGGCAAGTCTTGGTTGGATTTTCTATTCTTCATTGTGGGCTGTCCTTGCCTGTACACCTAGCATGCTCTGGAACCCTTTGTGGATTTATGAGAATTCAAGCTAATTCCAACAGTGGCCAAAGAAAAAAATAGCCAGGGAAATATGTTATTGCTAACCATATAGGCCTCAGAGTGAAAACGGCTTTTGGAGTATTCTGCTTTGAATTATTTATTTTAGTCTTTCTCAGATGTCAGGACAGATTTTTAAGATTTGGGCATAATGTTTAAAATGAAGATGGTATGTCTGTAGATTTTATTGACCCAACTTGGTCCCCCCAGGCTGTCCTCACCTGCCCCACGACTTAGATGAAACCAGGAATGGCAAGAGGAGAGCATCCAAGCCGCCTGCACCAGCCCTCAGTGCATCCCCACCCAGGCTCTGGAACAAGCTGCTACATGCACGGGAAGACCAGAGCTGCCGTCTTCCTGGCTGTTGTTCAGAGCTTATGCTTTCTTAGGGAAAAGTACAATGTAGGGCTATGTGTGTGGTGGGGATCTTCTGTGTGTGCTTGTCCTCCCCCTGGGAAATGATGAGAGGTGACCCCCGAGCTCCCAGCTCAGTGTCACACTCGAGTGAACAGTAGATGATGCTTCTGCCGTGCGTTTTGCTGGGGAAGGTAACAGCCATCGCACACATGTAAATTCTTGTGTAATCCAATTCCTGTCTTTGTAATTACTTGGAGACTTGCCATCGCAGCCAATTGAGAAGTGGGAGCAGTGACCCTGGGCAGAAAGCAGAAATTGGAGAGGAGGGGAGGGGCGGGGAGGTGGCATCCAGAACACAGTTGTAGCTCTCCTGGCTTTACAGCATCTAAAATCACTTCAGGATCAGGAAAAAGCAAAAACATTATAACTGCCCTCCACGCAAGTACCCCAGCTTTTCTGTCCCAAGTTCCCACTCCCTCTACCTCTCTCTTAGCAGGCTGGAGGAATTCTCAGCAAGCGTGATAGAGTCAGGTCATCCGTGACTTAGCTGAGAGGAAGGACTTTTACTGATAAGAAACTCCCATTGTCTGGCAACAGGTTTCTGTAGAGGAATGTCTTCCAGGTGGGAGAAGAATGGCTTTCATTTTTAACAACCACACACTATAAACAAAGCATCCCGAGAGCACGGGTACCTAGCAGAAGAAGAACGAAGTAGCCAGGAAACAAGTTGCTTTTCAGCATCCCCACTGAAATGATAGGGTACTTTAGAAAGCGGGTGGTGGCATTCTTTCCACAAGTACAGCAAGTGTCACTGTGGGGTCTTAATTCTCTCGAATCTGCCTTTAGAAGGCAGAAGGCAGAATGATCAGCTCTGCTCTGAATGTGTTTGCCATTTGATTGACGTCGGAAACATGATGTCACTTCTGCAAACACCCACGTGAGAAGGTGTATTTTTTTTTTTTCTTATTTGGGTGACAGATTGCATGTTAGGGCACTAAAAGATGAAAGCACTAAATACTTGCTTTAGAAAAACACAGTGGAAGATTCTCTCATCCTCCCCGCTGAAAATTTATGGGCTTAGAATTCCATGAACCAAAATGACTGTCTTCAGTTAAACTTATTGCGACCCTCTGGGCATGATTAACAAATCAGGTGGAAAGGGAAGGTGGAGGAGTATACGGGATTCTTTTTTCATGTTGTGTGGAATAGGGCACTTTAGTTGAAATTGAGGTTCAAGTTAGCAAAAAGAAATTCCATCCTTCGGCTGGGCGTGGTGGCTCACGCCTGTAATCCCAGCATTTTGGGAGGCTGACGCAGGTGGATCACCTGAGGTCGGGAGTTCGAGACCAGCCTGACCAACATGGAGAAACCTCATTTCCACTAAAAATATAAAATTAGGCAGGCGTGGTGGCGTTTGCCTGTAATCCCAGCTACTCGGGAGGCTGAGGCAGGAGAATTGCTTGAACCAGGGAGGAGGAGGTTGTGGTGAGCTGAGATCGCGCCATTGCACTCCAGGCTGAGTGACAAGAGCGAAACTCCGTCTCAAGGGGGGAAAAAATCCATCCTTCTTCAATGTGTATCTTATCCTTCTCAGTGTTTAATAGGACGTTCTACTCAATGGATTGGTTTCCTCCCTATAAAAAGGAGCATTTTGTTATTCCCTCTTTCAGATTTAATGATAAAGTCATAATTCCTGCAAGCCTTTTGAGGAGGATATATCTTATCTCATAAGATAGCTGGGCACAGTTGTTCAGGCCTATATTGTCAGGGCTTTGGGAGGCCTCAAGGATCGCTTGAAGGCAGGAGTTTGAGACCAGCTTGGGCAACATAGCAAGACCCCATCTCTACAAAAAATTAAAAAGTTATCCAGGCATGGTGGTGCATACCTGTAGTCCCAGCTACTTGGGAGGCCGAGGCAAGAGAATTTCTTGAGTCTAGGAGTTCGAGGCTGCAGTGAGCTCTAATTGAGCCACTGCACTCCAGCTTGGGTGGCAGAACGAAACCTTGCCTCTTAAAAAAAGAAGAGAGGGGCTGGGCGCGGTGGCTCACGCCTGTAATCCCAGCACTTTGGGAGGTTGAGGTGGGCGGATCACAAGGTCAGGAGATCGAGATCATCCTGGCTAACACAGTGAAACTCTGTCTCTACTAAAAAATACAAAAAATTAGCTGGGCATGGTGGCGGCCGCCTGTAGTCCCAGCTACTTGGGAGGCTGAGGCAGGAGAATGGCGTGAACCCAGGACGGGGAGCTTGCAGTGAGCCGAGATTGTGCCACTGCACTCCAGCCTGGGCGACAGAGCGAGACTCCGTCTCAAAAAAAAAAAAAAAGAGAGGTGTGGTGGCTCATGCCTATAATCCCAGCACTTTGGGAGGCCAAGGCGGGTGGATTGCCTGAGCTCAGGAGTTTGAGACCAGCCTGGGCAACATAGTGAAACCCCATCTCTACTAAAATACAAAAAATTAGCCGGGCGTGGTGGTGTACGCCTGTAGTCCCAGCTACTCGGGAGGCAGGAGGCGGAGGTTGCAGTGAGCCAAGATTGCACCACTGCACTCCAGCCTGGGTGACAGAGCGTGACTCCATCAAAAAAAAAAAAAAAAAAAAAAAAAAAAAAAGTGAGAAAGAATGTGGTTTTGGTACTCAGTGTCTAGGACGTCTGTTTAATGGGATGGTTAGGAGCGTGTGCTCTGTACTCTGAGCTCAAACCTTGGCTTTGCCTCTGACCAGCTGAATGACCATGTGCAACTCACTGTTTATGCCTAAGTTTTCACATCATAAAACCAGGACATTATTTTGCCTATCTTTACTTATTAGTAGATTTGAATGAATTACAGTATATAAGGCAAGTGACATACATGGAAACTGGCAAACATCTGTTTTTTGTTGTTGTTGTTTGTTTGTTTTTTTTTTTTTTTGAGACAGAGTCTCGCTCTGTCGCCGAGGCTGGAGTGCATTGGTGCAATCTCTGCTCACTGCAACCTCCACCTCCTGGGTTCAAGTGATTCTCCTGCCTCAGCCTCCCGAGTAGCTAGGATTACACGTGCCCACCATCATGCCCAGCTAATTTTTTGTATTTTTAGTAGAGATGGGGTTTCACCGTGTTGGCCAGGGTGGTCTTGAACTCCCGACCTCAGGTGATCTGTCTTCCTCGGCCCCTCTAAGTACTGGGATTACAGGCATGAGCACCTGGCCATATCTGTATTTTTTAATTCACTTCTTTGATTTGGGAGGAAAGAAACCTGAACCCTCTTCTTAGTGGGAGTGGGATAGGCTTTAATGTTAATACTATGCATCATGTATTAAAAATCCACTATCCTTCTGGCACTGGATTAAGCTTTTCATAAGTATTATTGTTTCACCCTTACAGCTGCCACAGAAGAGAAAAACCAATATTATTTAAAGTTTATGTATAAATAAGCTAGTCGCTAACATGTACTCAGCACTTACTGTATACCAGGCTCTGCCTTAAGTGGTTTTCATATATTAACTCATTTAATCTGCTCAATTTGTGGGAACCATTTTTTCTCATTTTATAGAGAGGAAACTGGTGCAGACTTTTTTTTTCTTTTTAATAATTTGTCCTTGGTTCCACTGAAAGTAATTGTTAGGACTGGGATTTGAAGGCTGGGTCTTCAAATGTTGTCCAAACGAGGCTGCCCACCTCCCCATCAATGACAACCTTCTGTCCTGTAATGTGGAAGTGGGCCCAGCTGTATGAGAAGCTCAGAGCACACAGATGCTGTCCAGATATGCTGGCTTCTGATCCTTGCAGAGAAAAAATCTTTATTACCGGAAGTTGTGGCTTCTGAGCCTCTCTGCAATTGGCAACATAGATTTTTGTTTTGTTTTGTTTTGTGTGTGTGGTTTTGTTTTTTAAATAATTAGAAACAGTTCTACAATTGTTACCACCCACAGTAAAAAATTGCTTGGATCCCGCGAAGTAAGAAAGAAAAAAAAATAGGCCATTTGGTAGAATGATTAACAGGGGGCTTTAAAGAGGAAAGTCTGCTTTGGAGGGTGAGCTTTGGATGTACAGATGCTGGGACCCTCGTGTTTTTCAAGTCCCCCATTTGCCTGCATTGAGAATCAAATGTGAATGGTGGTTGCCAGTGATAGGAGGGGTTACAATGCGTGAGATGGCTCTGGGAGGAAACTCACATTTTTTCGTACTTATTAATGGTATGTCTTTTGTGCGAGTGGGTGTGAGTACTGAGAGCATCAAGTGTATATTTGCACAGTGTGTGGTCCTTGCTGCTGTGTTCCACTCCCCATGATGGTGGGCTACACTAGGAGGAGAAGCAAGCCTTAGCACAGCTTGACAGTTTCCATTATATGGACAGAGTCACTGAGGCAGGAGCAAGCCAGGCCTTTTTCCAGGTCAAGGGAGCTGGGTCAGTGTAGCTGGGACTCTTGGTTTCTTAGCACTGTGCTCTGACTATCAAAGCTACGCCCCCACTTTTGTGGGAATAAAATCGGTGCCCTTGCATATAAGTTGTTCGCTTCACTCCCAGCCCCCTCCTGAGAATTAGGATGGGCCAGGATCTGAGTTCAGTGCCTTTGGTCCAGTAAGATGTGCTATTCATTGGCGATCCTTCCCCCATAGTTTCAAGACTGTAAGTGGTCACATGGGCAAAGAGATGATTTCCTAATCCTCGTGGGAGCTTGAAGGATTTGCCTTTGTTAAAGGAGGAACATCACGCTGGAGGGGTGTCTGTCTATGTGTCCCACTTAAACCACACTGCTTTTGACTTCTCCTCTGTGATGATTCCCAGGCAGCCTCCTCTTGCCATCCTGACTTGTTTAAATTTATGGGTTGTTGGCAAGCAATTTTTTGATGCTATTCTTCTCATAGCCAGAGGCCAAGATCCCTTGTGGAGCAGTGCCTGAATTTAATAGATGTCATCTGGACACCAGGGAGGGGCATTGAGAAGCACTGGGGGAAAAGTCTTAGAAGTGAGATTTTACCCCTAACGCCGTCTCCCAGCCTCTTATTTATCCTTTTCAGGGCAATGCAGCCTGTGATTTTTTTGGTGGTACCATAGTGTCATATACCATACTCTACAATTCTAGGACAAAGGACACAGTGTCCTAATGGTCTTGCAGATGGCCTAAAATACATATGGTAAGCCACTTATTTAATTTGATCTCAAATATCTCAGCATTACTGAGCTCTACACCTGGATGTTTACAAAGCCTGAAGATCTGTACCCACTGCTGTAACATCAGGTGACACTCAAGGAACACAATTCTACTCTTCTGGCTGTCTGGGGTCTTGGGTCCCAGGCTAGGGTCTAAGGCAGACAAGACAGTACCATCCCATTAGCTTGGTACATGAGGCTTAAACAGTTCCTCGAAGTCATGGGGTGAAGGAGGGCACAGTTAACTCAGCCCCCGCTTATTCAAATATCAGATTGCTGGCTGATAGTCTCCCTCCCTGCAATGTTGGCAGGAAGCAGAAAAGAAGGGAAGATTGTGACAATAACTGTTGCAAAGGCCATTAACTTGACTTTGTGGGACAGACATGTAGGTCTCTCTTTACTGCTTCTGGACACAAATTATGGGAAAGCCTGCACAATAGGTCTCATTAACTTCCAGAGTGACATGACAGGGACTCCAGCTTTTGGGACAGCTTGAGTCCATTTAGTAAAATGTTATTGAGGACTTCTGTGCCAGGCAGGGTTCTGGTGTTGGGGACAAGGGTGTGAGTGAGAGGACTGAGTTGTTGCCTTTAGGAAGTGTACCGTCTAGCCAGGAGTAACGGCTTGAGTCGAAGTCGGCTCCCATTGGGCCTCTTAGGGAGTCCCAGTTTGCTCTGAGGCCTGCTCCTCTCTGGGAAGAAATCACCTTGAGAGCTTCTGGGATTTGGAACTCCCTGCATGGTTGGATCCCTTCCATCTTCATGTGAATTGTCTTGGTAATGAGGCTGCCCAGGAAAGCCATAACACAGGGACATTTGGTGGGCAGGTCCACTTTCGAAGTTCTGGGAGTTACCGTGGCTATTGTTCTGACTGCAGTCTAGATGCTCCCAGGCCCATTTCTCTCCTTTTTCACTCTTTAGTTCTGCCTGGTGACCAGGGAGGTGCCCCGCACCTCACCTGTCTAGTGGGGTTTCCCACCACACTTCCAATTCTTGCTCATTCAACATCAAGTCTTTGCTCTGCCTTTCTTCGAATCACGAAGATCCTGTCTGCCAGAAGCATCCCGTCCAGGTTCCAGGCAGACGACAGTCTCTGAGCATTCCAGGGTCTTACAGTTTAGAAAGAGGAGAGAGCAAGAGAATCTTAAAAGCACCATAAGCTGGAGCTGTTTAGAATAGAGCAAACGGCCCTTGGGGCTCTGGCAATTGATGTTTGTAATTAGTATCCTGATTTATTAAGAAGAGTTTGTTGTCTCCAGGATTAAAACAAAACAAAACAAAAAAATAGATTCTTTAGGGAGATTAATTGGGACTGTCCTGTGGGTAAGGAGATAGTAAGAAGATAGCAGTAAGTGGAATGTTACCTAACAGGTAAGGTGCAAATGGGCTCTGAGGTACTCCCTTGAACCTGGGCTTCTGACACAAGAAAAGTAAAATAACTCAGGTCAGGGAAATGGACCTGAGTGCACTGAGAATATTAATGCAAACAGACCCCAACCAGAGTAATGTGTTCACTGTGGTTGGGGTGGGTGGGTTTGTAGAATCTGTTACAGAATCTTGGAATTGTGAGAGCAGACTGATAACTCTAACCTGACCACTCTTCAAATCCTCTCTTGAACAGTGAGGAAGCAGAGGCTCAGAGAAAGAAGACTGCTGTAAGATCAAGCAATCGTGTGTAGCCAGACAGTGGGAGAATCAAGACTAGAATCCAGATCTCTTGGTTTTCCTCTTTCCCCTCGGCCACCTCCGATTCAAGGGAGAGTTTAATTTTGTGAACCATTCCTGTTAAGTGCCATTAATTTCAAGGTCTTTCTGGATTAGTGTGTGAAATTCAGTGTGTTCAGTATGAATTCACTTATTTTCCACTTGAAATCCTGATTTTTCTCGGATGCCCCGGGTGTTGATATGATGATCAGGAGGCTCGTGATGGTGATGAGGATGGATTAATATAATCATCTCTGCTAAAGGTTAACGAGAAAGCAGTGAGCTGGAATTGATACATAAAAAACACTGAAAACTTTTCAAGCAGTGAATGTGCTTTAGCGATACATAGACAATCAGATCTTACCATTTATGTGTGTATTTTGAATGATGAATGAATAACTAGTCTTTCCCAGAGGACTGGTATTTGGGAATCTTTTTATAAAGTGTTGCTTTCTGGGCTTTCATTAAAAGCTCAAACATAGAAATGTATGAAAATGATCCTTTGAAAACAAGTTTGGCACCAACACTATGTGAGAAAACTTGAAAAGTATATAGGTTGTGGATCACCAGTTCTCGAACTCAGGACCACCCTGACTGAGTTGACCATGATCAGAATGGATGCAAGAGTTCACTGGTTTTATAATTTTTGCGAAGAGCTGTCTTCTGCCCTTAGCACTCCCATGTCCTGTAACCAGGAAACAAGCCGGTGCCCTGGGTTGAGTTCAGCAAGTTTGTTTTGACTTGCAGCCCATCATGGGAGTGAAACTCTCATTATGTAATGTTAAACTGGGCCTGGAATGTCAGCAGAGCTTGGCCTGCCAAAGCTTGAAGGGTTGGTTGGGAATGGACTATGTTTAGTATGACTAATCCAGCTCGGCTGGGTACTGGGTGGGTGGGTGGCTCTCTGAGGAGGGAGGTATGACTTGGGCTATTTCAAATCTTAGCACTTTGTATAAACTCTGTAGTCCCTCCCCTCACCCCCTTCCCCTCCCACAAAAGAAGTTAAGCCTTACTGACCAACCAGTACAGTCAGGGGCTGTTGACTGATACCCAAGCCTTGATGTACACATTTGTGGTCAAGACATCAAGTTGCGGCCGGGCGTGGTGGCTCATGCCTATAATCTCAGCACTCTGGGAGGCCGAGGCGGGTGGATCACGAGGTCAGGAAATCGAGACCATCCTGGCTAACACAGTGAAACCCTGTCTCCACTAAAAATACAAAAAATTAGCCGGGCGTGGTGGCGAGTACCTGTAGTCCCAGCTACTTGGGAGGCTGAGGCAGGAGAATGGCGTGAACCCGGGAGGCGGAGCTTACAGCGAGCTTGCAGTGAGCCGAGATCGCACCAGTGCACTCCAGCCTGGGCGACCGAGCGAGACTCCGTCTAAAAAAAAAAAAAAAAAAAAAAAACAACAAAAAAATCAAGGTACATCACTTGCAATTAGGGAAATAATGCTTTTGGGTCCTGTGAAATAATGGTGTTTCTTAAAGCAGCCTATATTGGTCAAGCGTTGCTGGCAGGGGCACTTAGTAATTAAAGCAATTACACAAAGTAAACATTAGGTTCCTTAATAAAAATAGCAGTGAACCCTAGTAAAAACTGAATGTAAGGAAAGAGGTGGGCTATTTTCCTAATAAAGATTCCAAAGTATAATTTAGGGTCTGTCGGCTGACCTTCTTGGTCTTCCTTTGAGAGCCTCCAGCCCCCTTTGCCCCCATACTTCCCCACCAAGCTTCCTCTTGGCTCTTCTTAGGGGACAAAAGAATCCCGTTTTTATGCAAATGTTTTTAGCTGGAGGTAGAATAATCAGGAACCATGTTTGCACAGTGATCCTTAAACACAATGTGGACCCCCCCACCCCACCAGGCAAAGGTTGCATTTTGGTGAGGATGACAGAGCCCCCAGCCTCTGCTCCGCCTGAGGTGAAGTGGGGAATCGCTTTTGTCCCTTCCCTGATGAATGGGTGTAAAGTGTTCACTGAACCTGGAAACACCTCCTTTTGTGTCCGGTGCTCTCCTAACACAGGCCGTTAAACTTGGGGCAATCGCTCATGGTGGGGGATTGAATGGGGCCATTGTGGGGGGGAGGGGTGCACACTGAAGCCATTGTGGGCATAGAGATGCCATTGTTTTCTCAGTATTAAGAAAAGGAGTAGGACTCTAGGGACCTCCAGGCATCAGTGTGGCCGACCACTGCACTGACTGCTTTTCTAGGTTTGCATTATCCCTGAGGAACCCCCTAGCCTGAGAGGTTGGGCAAGGTCAGCCTAGGCTGGCAGCACCGCGGGGCGCCCCCTGCAGTATGGACGTGGTATTCCCTTTCCGGCCTCTGCAGGGCCAGGGCGCTCCATTTCTTCCCAGGACTGCCTGCCCTGGTCGTGGCCGTCATTTCTGCAGGGAGGTTGCTGTTTTCCTCCAGGCATCGGAGTTAAAAAGCATTTGTTCAAAAATCACTTCTTCCACTTTAGGAATAACATATTCTCCCATTCCCTGCCGGTGACTTTTTCATTTAATTTTCGTTTTGCCATATGGTCTTTCAGAGGCACTCTGATCTTAATTATAGTATTCAGCCTTTGTTTATTTAAAAATCAGAAGGCAGATAGGCTATTGAGGGTTTATCTGTACTAATTGTACCACCATACCTGCCAACTGTCCCCTTAACCACTACAATCCCTGCCGACAGTGTGTATACACAAACACACGCGCGTGCACACATGGGCCACATAACGTAATGTGTTGATCAGAAAGGAGCGTATTTCCAGCTTTAGAATTGCCGCACTGGCATTTTCCATCATGAACCCCTGCCATGTAGTGTTGACTTGAAGGGGATTTAGCCATGGGATTGGGAAGAGCAGGGAGTTAGGGTCAGAAGACCTGAGCTCAAATCCTGATTCTGCCACTTACGGTGTTATCTTGGGGAAACAATTTTATTCCTGGAGTCTCAGTTTTACCATCTATAAAATAGGGATAGTGCTATCAATGTCCCAGTAAGGGTGTGGGATTTATTTTTTAATTTTTATTTGTTTATTTATTTTTTTGAGACAGGACAGGCTCTGGCTCTGTCGCCCAGGCTGGAGTGCAGTGGTGCAATCAAGGCTCACAGCAACCTCCCCTCCTGGGTTCAAGTAATTCTTTTGCCTCAGCCTCCCAAGTAGCTGGGATTACAGGCTCCTGCCACCACGCCCAGCTAATTTTTGTGTTTTTAGTAGAAGCAGGGTTTCTCCACGTTGGCTAGGCTGGTCTCGAACTCCTGACCGCAGGTCAACCACCTGCCCCAGCCTCCCAAACTGCTGGGATTACAGGCATGAGCCACTGTGCTGGCTGGGTGTGGGATTTAAGTGAGATATTATGAAAGGCTGGTGGATGTGTTAAGCATCCTGACATCTGGTGTTCAAGAGTTAGAAAGTGAAGCCCCATACAGCTTTTATAATCAACAGGCTTAGATGCAATGGCCTCAGTTGTTTTTTGAAACATAATGTGCATATGGTTCATTTTGCTGTTTTACCTGCCTCTTTGATAACTTAAATATTCTAATTAAATCATGGCTTATATCAGAATGTATAATATTTTATAGATCTTTTAAAAAGTGACTTGTTTGAAGATTATAACATCATTTCATACAGAAAATAGCTTTGCTATGCTTACATTTTGAAAACACCTGTTGAAGCCTCTAAAGAAACATGTTTATAAAATGTTAAACACGTCAGTTATATTTTTGGTTTAAAACAAGCATGATAATTCTTGACTTCTTCCTCTGAATTTGGGAAGCTCTTCTGTTAGAGAAATCAATTTTTTTCCTCCCTGATGCCTGAATAAAGATGCATTTTAAAAAATATTATCTTTGTAGATAATAATGAACTTTTAGTTGTTATACTAGGTTCTAATAACTTTTTCATCAGGCCATCACAGTCTGAATAATTGTAAAAAAGTCAATTGTAGAAACTGTTTAAAGAATTTCCAATTCTAACATTTTCTTTGAAATGTTTGAGATTGTCTACTGGGGTTTTTTTTTTTTTTTTTTTTTACGAATTTTTTTCCTAAAAGATTTTTCAGAAGCAGTGTTTTCACATGTAAATATCTGCAACAAACAGCACTTAACCAGTCCTTAATTGGTTCTATATATTTATACGTGAGACACAGCAATAAACATGTAGTATACACATGTCTTTGGTAAAGGAAGCTCTTCTTCTCACAAGCCTGGCTGCCCCAAAATTATAGTGAAGGACAATGTCGATTCTAATTGCTGGCTTTTGACCCCTACATCTATATATTTTACCTAATTTATAGTTGGAAAAGGAGCTAAAAATGTTAAAAGGGTTCATGCCAGTAGTTTGAGTTGTTGTAGTTTATAAAGCCCTAAAATTAAGTATGGAAGTACAAGAAAGCCTATGCTATGTACTGGGTCAAAGAGAAGAAATCCAAATTAATATTAATTGGTATTCATGAGCAATCCCTGAGTGCCCGTAATGTTTCTGTCCCAATCATAGACTAATCTGGCCAATTGTATGGGTCAGACAAAATAGCCAACAGCTCTGAGTTTAGATTGGTATGAAAAAAGGGGATCTGACTGTTAACACCATATTCCCCAAGTCTGTAATGTTCTCTGACCTCCAGTGCAAATAGCTGTTCATCTTTAGATGATTTGACAGCATAATTTAGCATTTGGGATTCCTTTTTTTTTTTTTTTCTAAGTGGTGATTAAAAACTTGTGCTTCTTCTCTAGCATATAAATCAAGCTTTTCAGTTATATTTTCCGGGGCATAGAATAATTGAAGTGAATTGAACATTGGGCTGGATGGTCATAGAACTGGTTTCTGTTAGAGGTTAACTGACTTTGAGGAAATTATACCATCAAGGTACTCTGGGGTGTATCTGTCAGCTTTTTGACAGTTGTAAATAATTATCTCCCTCTCTAGATTATTAATTCCCTGAGGGCAGGACTTTGATTCACTGATATATCTATCTATCCCTAGTGCCTAGAACAGAGCCAGGCATGAAATAGGCACTGAATCAGTATTTATTGAATCAGTGAATGAATCTCCAAGTGCACCTAAGGGAAGGATACCAGGAAGAGTCTACTGTGTTTATGGAAACAGCAGCAATAATTCCTCCTCCTCATTTTCATTTGCTGAAATTACTAACCAACTGGGTGCGGTGGCTCACGGCTGTAATCTCAGTCCTTTCAGAGGCCAAAGCAGGAGGATCACTTGAGCCCAGGAGTTTGAGACCAGCCTGGGCAGCATGGTGAAACCTCATTTCTACAGAAAATGCAAAAATTAGCCAGGCGTGGTGGCATGTGCCCATCACCTCAGCCACTCGGGAGGCTGAGATGGGAGGATCACCTGAGTCCAGGAGGTGGAGGCTGTAATGAGCTGTGATCACGCCACTGCACTCCAGCCTGGGCAACTGAGTGACACCTTTTCTTTAAATAAATAAAATAAATAAATAAATAAAATTATTAACCAGCTAATCTCAAATCAATTCTTCTAAATCCTCTGAGCTTGTTTGTTTTTCTGTCTGTAAAATGGGGCTGTTTTCATGTGAGACTTAGATTATGAGAAATAGTCACGCCTAAACTTCCTTGAGGAGATGCTAGACAAAAACAAGATGGTTTTGAAAAAAATAACACCACCGTCCAGACTGTACTAAGATGCCTGGTTGCATTTGAAACCAGTTTCACAGTCTGCTTTGGGCAGGTGATTGCGACATGCTTTCCATCTGTGCCTAATGGGAGTATACTCCCAGCTCCACATGGCAGCAGGAACATTGGCAGGGCTCTTCTGGAGAGAGGAGAGAGCCAATAGGCGTTGCTATGGTGGAGGCATGACATAATTCAATTTTACTTTATTATTCACTGGATGTGCCCATTGTATGTTAGCCTCTGGGTATGTTTACAAGGAGCTTAGGAAAGAGGTAGAGGCTGTGTTGTCTGTAGAGGCTGTGCTGTCAGCAGAAGGGGCCAGGCATGTTCACACACACACACATGCACACATGCGTGCACACGCACACTTCTCTTCCCTGGCATGCAGCACCAATCTTGGGGCAGAGGTGAAATCACCACCCGGCTAGCGACTGGCAAGGCTCAGAAGGACTTGCTTTCCTAAAATCTCCTCCCCTGGTCTCATAATTCCCTGTAGCAGCTTGGGGCTTGGGTGTGTGCACACCTAATTTCTCTGAGAACACATACGTGTTGTAAAGGGCACAGCAATTTCCCGTGCTTACTTAATAGTGTTTAAATCAACTTACTGGATTTGGGTGCCTTTCCTTGCCAACATTCCTAAACTTCATGTGAACAGCAAAAGTTCAAAGTCCACCAAAACATCATTTATTTGTTAATGAAAACCAAGCAATTTCAGAATGGGATCGTACTGTCCTGTACTGTCACCTTCTCTCTGATGTTATGGAGGCATGTTGTCTTTCTCCAGAGGCAAGCAATATTGTGTTTTAAGCTTATGAGGCAATCATGGGAGGCGAGTTTGGCCAGTGTTTCTGTGTATTCAGATCCTCCTCCTTTTAAAAAGAATAAAATAAAAGGTAGAAGGCTTTTCCCTGATTATGCTTTTCTGGTGGGTTTCTATTTGTCATTGCGGTTTATAAAATGGCTTCTTCTCCTCTGCTTCCAATTCATTTGTTAATATTAACTCTTGGTTGTAGCAGAGAGTCACCGTTATCTGAAAAGCAAATTCCCTTATTTTTGTCATATTGATGTAGTAGCAGTAGTTAATTAGGGACCTCATGAGTGACAGGAGTTTTTGGGTTCTATAACCAAAAACCCAAACACTGGCCAACCCGGTCTGCCTTGTCAAGTCGGTGAAATCCTGACAGCTTGCAGTTTCTTCAGCCTCTCTCCCTGCACTTCAGTACAGGAGCAGCCCAGTAATAGTCCCGATCGCTAATAAGAGCACAAACACCCGTAAGCAGGTGAATTGGAAATATTGTCATTTTGACTACATCAACAACTTATAACTTACCAAAGCAACTTGATGTCCTTACTTAATTCTTCCCCCGCACCTCCCCACCAGTGCTTGATTAACAAACTGGTCAGTGGCTATTTAGACATGAATCACAGGGCATAGGACATCCTCATAGGATGAGCTGCCTGGGCTGGACACACTGGCCAGGTTGATGACTTCTCTTGAAAGGGGGGTTCTGTGTTGCTCGCACCTTCACCTAGAAGGAGATGTGAGGCATTTCTTAGAACAGTGTTCACCCCCTTTAGAATTTGTGACCCTTTGTCCTTGTTAGTCTTGATGGCTTCCAGTTCTCCAAGCCCCAAAGAACTGTGTGGTTTCTCTTATTTCTGCAGCATTTAAAGAAATTAAATTAGTTTTCCTGGGCTCCTCACCATCTAATTTGTTTCCCATTAGAGATAAATAATGACGTTTGGGGCATCATAAACCCAAGGATTTCCATGTTAGTTTTCCAAGGACCTTTTTTTAAGAGAGAGGGGAATAAGAATATTTGGGTCAGATGTTTTAAGATGTTAAATATAAAAATCAGCCTTTTAAGAATCAAATGCAAAGCCAGTCACTTAGCCTTGAATTTCCCACTGTGATTCCACTTTTCAAAACCCAGGATGACCATCATGATGGGTTTCGTTGGACTATCAGTTGTTACAGGTCAAATCATAGTCTCATGATTGTTAAAATCTTAATAAGGCCCCCTCTAATCCTGTGAGTTTTCAGAAGGAAATCCCTGTGAACAATCCTGGAATTGCTTTGCCTGGTAACATCTTATTTACTGACAATATCCCCAGCTGAGCTCTCTTGGTTAATATGTTTGCTCTGGCACTGTAGTTCCTTTTTAATCAGAAATGCTTATCAGTAGGTTGCATGGTTGGGGAAAATGGCATTTATTTTGTAGCATTTTCCCAAGGAATATTGGATGAATATTCCTTTAGTACTAAATATATAATGGTCTTTGTCTTAAGAACTTATTAGCACTGAGATTTCTGTGTTGGAATTTTCTTTATTGATACCGGTTTGTAGGTTCTGGAGAGTCCAACTGATATTTTTTTGCATCTCGATCAGAAGCTCTGACTTTTTGGTCCTTAGCAGAGAATACATCCCTTGATATCTTGGAGGCGCCCTTAGTGGAGTCAATGGTGTGTGGGCTTAAGGAGAAGTCAGGGCATTAGCAGGTCTGTATTTTCCTCCAGCGTGGAGTTTTGTCATTTCTAATGATGACAATCTATCAGTCCACATGGTTCAAAATGAAGATAAATTGAATTAATATATGTGAGTTAACTGACTCATTGATATAATTATACTGTGAGGATTTCTTTAGTGTAACCTAACACATTTAGTAGTGTTAATTGTAATGGCTTTGCACGGGAGCACTTAATTTCCTAAGCAAACAGAATAATTTATTAATTCTCAAAAAGCGATTTCAAGGCCTAGACTGAGAGAGAAAGAGTATGTGTTTTACTGTAGTCTCAGTTTGCTTTGGCTTATCAGATTGAAAATTGCTAAGAATTTTTTTCCAGATTCCAACTTGTTATTGCTACATTTCCATGTGTGCCCAATTCAATAGCGTATTGAAATGAAAGTAGGAAATAGGTACCGTCCAGTAAATCTTAATTAAGTTATTGAAAATTGAAGAGCACTGAATAATAAAGCAGTTCTAATTGCAGTTAAAACTGTATTGGCAGCAGATATGCTTGAACAGGGATGATAAAACAGCTGAGGAAGAGCGTTGGATGGCAGAATCGAAAAAGGGTAATACACAGATTAAATGCAAAACTCAAATGTTTTGTGAAATGTAGGCAAGCTGTGTAAACCTATTTTTTGCTGGAAAGCATGTTTTCTGTCATGTCAGAAATGATCACAGGAATCCTTTTAATATTCATTTAAATAGTTTTTAATTGGCTTCAGAGAGTTTAAAGTTCAGCATGAAGGTGAGATCTAAGCTTACTAATTAGATCGAATGCAGTTTGACTTAAAGAGCAGACTTGATAATTAAAGAATTTCATACCAAATATACATTTTGAAAACATTTCTTTTCACATCCTTGAGGTAAAATGAGTTTTCCTGAATTTTTTCCCTTCTTTTCAAATAGAAATTTCTCTTACAGAAAGATGATCAAATCTTGTATCGCTTGTTAGAAAATGACAAACCTCTCATTTGTTTGTCATTTAGCCAACATCCTGTGTTCAGGTTATTCTAATTTTTTTTCCCATCCAAGTAGAATTTTGAATTGCACGGAACGTTGTGATGAACACAAGTTGTTGTGTCTTGTGTTTTTCCCCCCACCAAGTTGTTTGATGCTGTTGAAATGGAAGGCTGAAGTAGAAGGGGCACTTAAGCAGTGAAGGGTTTTTCTTTGTAAATAATAGATCAAGAGCACTGGATCTGTATCTAATGGAGCTGTGTGCGGCCTCCATTTCAAGGACAGCGCGCGGTTTTAAAAACCACAACTACCGACCATCCCGTCCACAACCTGTGGTCAGTTTTGTGAATGTGTGTGCGTGTGTCTCTGCTTGCCTCCTCTAATTCCTTAGCACCCTTCCCCCTTAAACAGGCTGCTGTCACGTCATATTTGATTTCATAAAGTTAAAAATAGAAACCTCAAACAATATGAAGATGTGTATCGATATAGCTCCTTACCTGTCTTCTAATATTATGGAATGATTTGAGGAACTTCAATCCTATTTTACTCAATGTGTGAATGAGCCTATTTGACTATGGTAGGCTTTCTAAGAAAAGGTAGATGTATGTAGCTGACAACAATGCAGAAATGTTTGTCTTAGGAGCAGAAAAACTGGATTGGTTATGTATAGTTTATCATGATAATCTGATGAAAAATTAAATTTATCATTTTCTCCCTCTTTTCCCTTCCCCTTCCCCTTTTGTAGGTTATAAATATGTTCTTATATTTGCCAGTTTGAACTTGTGTTTGAAAATCATAGATTTGATACTCTCAAGTATTGTGGTGTTATTGCATACAATTCCTAAAAGCACAATAGGACTTTGTTCCCTCTGAATTTGAATTAGTTATATTTTATCACTTATAATCTAAATTAGACCTAATTAATATTTTCCCTTGTAGTGTAATAGTGCAAACATTGCCAGTATCTTAAAATATGTAGTCTCTGTTAAAAGCATATTTGAAAACAGAAAAATAAACATTATATGTTAAATATCAAGTAGGAGTCTATGTAAATAAAATAGAAATGAAAGTACAGATTAAGCCTGGGGATCCTTTGCTTATTTGTGAAATCGTTGTTTATAAGATTACAAGGTAGTTACTGTAAATTGAAACATTTCTTTTTTTGCTGCTTCCCCCCCGCCCGCCCCAAGTGCATCCTACACATTTGGGCCTATTTTTTAAAAAGGGTTAAATAGTCTTTCCTTATAAAATAGATCCATAGATAATCTAGGTAAATAGATTTTAAATCATACATTTTAATATTTTTTATTACATACAAAAATAAATGTTGAAAGCTAATGTTCCTAACACACTGCTTTCTTGAAAGAAAATCATTAATCTTCTCAAATGCAAGTGTAAAGTTGATCCATTTTAGCTTTCTTGTCCATAAATTGTTGATTATTGGTTTTGAAGGAAAACGCAGTATGAGTGTGGTTTGAATTTTAACACTGAAATCATAGATGTACAACATGTTCATTGCAGTCAAATCACAAGCAGAGAGAACCCATTTGAAACAATATTTAAAACATTCCTGTCGGGGCATTATTTAATGGGAATGATAAGTTTCAGATTTTAGGTTTTAGAAAGTTGAGGTTGGCTGTACATCAAATCTACGATTTAACTGCTTTGAAAGAACGCCTTTGCTTGTCTTCAGGGGGAAACAAATAACTTAGGGGACATCAGTTCATTCTCTAACAGTCTTTCATCCCTAAGTATAACAAATTGTTTCTTTTATTAATGTGGTACTCGCACTATGGAAGCAGTTCTTTGGGGAAAATAATCAGGAAGATATGCTTTGCTTCTCCTAGATGCTACAACCTGAAATATGTTGCTACCTTCCTTGAAGGGATTTTCTCTCTCTCTCTCTCTCTCTCTCTCTCTCTCTCTCTCTCTCTCTCTCTCTCTCTCTCTCTCTCTCTCCCTCTCTCTCTCTCTCTCTCTCTCTTCTCCCCCCAACAAATATAGCTAACGTAATAGAAATTACAGAACAGGATACAATGAGATTTCTTTCCCTTCTCTCACAGCACGTTTTGGTTGGCTAGGAGAAGGCAAGGTATTGGAATATGATTATCCCTATTTAAGGAAAAAAAGAATGATATAATTTGTCATCTTACCAGTTCTCGGCATTCTTTGTGGTGCGCGCTTAGTCAATGCCGGGAAACGGCGGTCTGACAGCTAATAGATATCTCTGCCCTCAATTGTTTAGACATTTTTTGTCTTTTGTGACATTGAAGAAAAGACAAGGAAGGGAATGGAAGCAACTAAAAAATGTCAAAAGATCAAAAAATCAATGGGCCGCAGGAATGCAATCTGTTTACCGGGGTGTAGCTGCTGTTTCTGCTCCGCCACAAGTCCGAGGCGGTTGTCTGGGGCAGGCACCGAAGTTGCGTCGCCTCCCTCCCTGGGAGCTGTGATACGGCACACAAAGCGGGCACATTAGCTTGCTCGCCCCCACCCCCCGCCCCCATAAATAAATAATAAAATAAATATAAGCTTTTCTCTTAAGACTGCAAAAACCAAGTTTTTTTTGGTGCTGTGTTTTTCGGTCCATTTCCAACCATTTCCAGGACTCGCTGGGCTCAGCCCAGCAGACGGGGTCGAGAATTTACTGGTGGTGTTTTAATTTTCTGGCCAGGGGAGAACCCTTGATGTTTTTTATTATTTATTTGTTTGATTTTGGAGAGAAAAAGTCAATTAAAAGCAAATGGGTGATAATTAGGTGAAGCACATTGGGCAGATGAATAATGGTTTTGTCTCTGGCTTGGACTATTTGGACGAGGCTTATATGTCTGTCTTGAGGTGATCAGTGGGAAGAGGGGAAATTTTACTGGAAACTTGTTTCTTAAAGAAGAGAAAGGGGTATGTGGATAGTAAGACTTATTTAGTTTTGTAGGGAGGGACAGAGTGTTGGTTTTTCTCCATAAAAACATTTGGGTTTTGAATGACAGACTTTGTTGCCTTTTCTTTTTCATTTTTTAAAGTTTTCAACCAACTGGTCATCTGGGGGGTGTGTGTGTGTGTGTGTGTGTGTGTGTGTGTGTTTGTTCACCTACACATTTGCCTGGAGTATAGTGAGAACCCAGGAAAATGGATAGGCCCTACCAGGAGAGGCTGCAATCTGTTGGGGAAGTTTTTTTTTTGTTTTTTTTTGTTTTTTTTTTTTTGTTTTTTTTATTTTATTTTATTCCCAAGCCTTGGTTGCTATTTGATAGTAAGTGTGGTCCAGGCTGCATATTTTATAAACTTTCTATTAAAGTTGTGGCATGTTATCATAAAACTCAATTGCGATACTTTGTATTACGCTCTGGGATTGAGAGATAGACATAGGATTAAAAAAACAATTTCTAGGCATTTCTAGATGATAAATTTAATTTTCTTTGCTATTTGGAGGTCTTCTTTGAAAATGCAATTGTAATGAACGCATTCAGAACTGGAGAATAGATTTACCCTTGGCTTCAAATAGTCGACGTTATCAGGCGCTGTCATTCGTTCCTTCCTATTTTCGGGCTGCTAATTGATGTTTTTGATGTCAGCAAGAAAATTGAAGAAAATGTCATGTGTGAACCAGTGCGGAAGTTAATAAGATTGACTTCGTTGACAGAATTTACAATGAGAGCAGAGACCGCATAATGGGACCGCTGCGAATTCGTGTGCTCTCTTTGGAGTCAAAATTGACACCTCACGCTAGGCCAGTGGTCGATAGGAGAGATGGAACATTTGGGAAAGTTCCTAATC
The DNA here is from genome assembly GCF_000001405.40 of Homo sapiens. Taxonomy (NCBI): domain Eukaryota; kingdom Metazoa; phylum Chordata; class Mammalia; order Primates; family Hominidae; genus Homo; species Homo sapiens. Next base: position 113,119,249 of record NC_000010.11, read on the forward strand.
TCATTTTTCCCCCCTTACCTTTTGGTCTCCGATGGTGATTTAGTTTCACCGGCAGCTGTTTATCCAGGGGGCTATTGCTGCGGACCACGCCAGGCCCTTAGTTCAGACTCCTGGTGCCACCAACAATGCTTATTTTTTATGCTGTTTTGAGTTTGAAAGCAAAAGAGTCTTAAAAAGGTTAGATTAAGATGTGTCTTAAGGAAAGATATACTAATATCGGTCAGGGTCATTGCAGATGCTTAGGTTATGTGCAATAAAGCCGAAACACAAATCCCTCCCTGAATAAAGAAACCATGTTGGCACTAAGATCAGTCCTTGAACATAACAGAAGGTTATAACTTGCAAGCAAAAAATAATAAAGTTCTTGGCCACATGTCTCCACCCCCAAAAGAAACATTTTAGCCATGGTGTCCCTTAAGGTGTTTTTTTTTTTAAAAAAACTTATCGAAGGTTTCAATATAATAGACTAATTTTCCAGTTATGTGGCAAAGTTTATTGGATTTGTGTGTATAATTATGGATTGGATTAGTTGAGTTTGGTTCAGTGCATCTGATTATCTTCTGGCCTTTAGGGAAATGCGCTAAAACCCTAATATGTCCACTACCCCCAAGCGGTCTCTTTTTGAAGGCGCCGCACAAAATGTGGTCTCTACCAGCGCTTGGCCTCCAAGGATCTTCAGTGAGAGACATTATTCTTGGAATATCCAATTAATTCCACGGGCAGTGATCAGTTAGCGCTTCTTCTTCCTTTCTCGCCATTTGAAATGCTAACACAATGAATATTTTCTCATTGGTCTGTGTCCCTCGGCTAAGCTGTTGCCGCGGGCTGAGAATTTCATCGACTGATGAGACCAGAGGCTCCGCCAATAAAAGGTTACAGTACGTGATTTGCATGCCAAGTGGGGTTTGGTTTCATGAACTTAAAAGTTCTTTAACTTTTATTTGACTCTTTTTCTTTTGTTCAAAGTAGATTGAGGGGTAGTATATTTGTGAGTGTTTAAAGTATGAAAATTACCAGGGACAGGAGGTCACAACTGTATTTTGGACCATCCTCACACAGACGGAGAAGATGGCCTTTGTGTTAGTGGCTTTTATGGAGAGCAACCACATCAACTTTCTAAGATCAGGTCAATGGGAAGCAGTTTTTCAGATGTTGCGATTTAGTGTTGGGTCCTTCAGTAGCTTGACATTTTGGGGATTGGTACTGGTAGAGTATCTTGTAGTACTAATAATCAAATACAGCATCATTTGAAATGACAAGGGAGCCATTGAGTAGGACATTAGGAGGAGGAAGGACTATTCTTTGGAGTGGTTGGTAATCAGAGTCTTGGGTACTGAGAAAATCATACCTTCTAGAGGAGTGTTCAGAGGCAGAATGTCTTCTGTTTTCAAGGGGACGTAGGAGGGTGTTATGAAATACTGAGTTGCACCGAGCACAAGAAAATTTACAACAAACTAACAGCACCAGTGTCACAGGAGGATACCGATAGCGGAGTAGATTGTGGTGGATTAGATTATGGCCTACAAACCCTGAGTTTCAGAACAGTTTCTCAACCAGACAAAGCCTCAGGAAGTATGAGGCCAAGAGCAGTTACACATGCATTAAATTGGCTAAATGCTTGGCTCAGAAAAATAATGTCTGATGGTGTCACCTGCATCTCTTTCATCTTCCAGACTCTTCCAAACTTGGATTTTATTAAATCAGGATGCTTCTTGTTGATTTAAAGGCATGATAGATGTCTTCTAATCTAAGGAGTATTGTAGACAAAAGCAAAGAGGGAGTATGGTCAAATGAAGGTACTTCTATCCCTTCGCAAAATGGGGGGAAAAGGGATTGAGGCAAAAGGAAGAGTCAGCCTTCAAACCACTGTAATCTTAGAGGAAGGGTAATATGATTGGAGACTTGACATGTTTCAACTGAATGAAAAATCATGATACCTTTACCAAAATTGTTAGCAAAAGGGAACTGGCAGGGATAGGAATGGAGAGAGCCTTGCCCCTCTTCTCGCTCTCCCGCCCTCTTCCTTCCTTCCTCTCCTAGCTGTCTGTGAGGAGCAAAGCAGGTGGCTCCCTGTGGCTGACTTTTCATGACAACATGCCATTAGAAATTGCCGTCCTGTTGATCAATCCTCTCGACATGACAGATTTGCCGCAAGGCCTGGCTCTTTGAGCGCCAGCACTGTGGCTTTTCCCTCCTTTTTTCCTGCACTAATTGGTGAAAGTTTTTTTACTGTGCTAGTGGCAGAGGAAATTCTTTTGAACGTTGTCACAATCAAGTGTTGACTTCTTTAGAATTGCAAGTAGGTTAAGTGAGTATCAACATTGGGGGGTGAATGGGAGGAGGGAAAACACTAACACAAAGTTACTACTACCTAAATTTTATGATTAGAGTAGTGTTGGAAAGCAAACTAATTGGATTTACCCCCCTTCTCTCAATATATATATTGTGGGGGGAAATGCACACGTACGCACTTGCACACGCACACATACACACAACACACACACACGTGCACGCACACATACACACAACACACACACACACACACACAAATGAAGGCAAGTATTTATTAAAATCACAGCCCTTTAAAACTTCCATTATGTTTTGTCATGGGGGTGCTGAGGCAGCCCTGACATTTGCAATGGGGAAAACACGTTGCCATATTGATTGAAGAAAATACGTCCATTAGTTTCTTCCTGTAATACACGGATTCGGAACAACAGTAACACAATCATTACATAACACACTGTAAATCAAAGGAATATATGAAGCTTCTATTAGTCGAGCACATTTTACTCTGAACTTAGTGACATTCTTCTGTCCAAAATCAGCATACAAAGAATCAAACCTCTTGGCAAAGGATATGTCCTTAGACATTGATTCTTCTCCTGAAGTATCAAGATACACTTCTGCTTAAATTCTGACATTCTAGTTTATACATAAGATTATTTTTTAACCTAGAACATAACAACCTTTCTTAAATGATTTAAATCCAAACTTCTCTATGAAACTGAGAGTTAATAGGGTTTATCTTTCTATTTAGACAGAATTTGAATTGGAAACCTATTTTTAATATTCTATGATTCAAAATGTTTACTGAAGGAATTTGTAAAATTAATCTTTGCTTAAACATATATTCCTTGATGATTAAAAAACTTGTTAGATTAAAAGCATTGTTTAGCCAGATTGAGACAGAATATGTGTATTTACATTTTTCATGTCACAGAATCTGTGTAGTACATTCTCATTCTTATCTATATACCATTTCAGATAATTCCAAGTTGGTAAGAAAGTAACAGAGAGTATGAAACCCTGCAACTTAACCGTGGGTTTGTGACTATCAGGAAGAAATTGTATGCAGGAATAAAGATTTTGTACTGGCCCATCATCTAAAAATAGCAACCACATGTAAAAAAGAGGCTACTTCTATTTAGCAGTAGGTATTTACTAGGAAAGGAGAATTATAGCAATAAAAGTTACTAAGATTATTAGCGGAATTTCTAGTAAATTGCTTTAGTTTTAGGTACAAAATGGAAAGAAGATGGGAAAGTGTGGTCCGGAATTACCTGGGCCCGGTATCCCTCCTTGGCCATCACAATTGCTGCAACCGTTATAGGGAAGAGAAGTGTAGAAACCAGAAACCCCTATTGAAAGAAGCATCAATTCATATAATTAATTTTGCCATTATAAAAATCATTTGTAAAATTTGCATTATTAACATTATCAAGTCACTAGTTGGTAAGACATCAGACATGACGAGAGTGAAGGGCAGCTTAGGGAGAACTGGGCTTTAAACCCTCAGTAGATCGGAGTTAGGATCAAAGGCGCTTGCTTTATGTGGCTGTGCTAGACTTTGAAGTCATGACTGCACCTACAGCACTCATTTCATCAAGTTCACTGGTGTCTTAATAGCAGATCAATAAGTTTCAAAGTCGGAGAGTTAATTTGATACTAGTGCTGATGCGGTCGTGCTGGGGAAGCCGAGAGAGAGGCAGAGAAAGCTGCCTATTAACAACTCCGGTTCAGAGCGCACAAAGATGCAGATTAAGGATATATCCATGGCCCTGAAAAGACAGGCTCTGGCCAGGAATGGGGAAGCTCTGGATTGATAAAGCAAAGGCTCTTTACTTTAGACATCTCAGGTTATTTGGAAGTCAGTCTATGCTTGAAAAATCTTTAGTCGGATACACATAAGTATGTGTGTTTACACATGTCTGAGTTTTGGTCTAGATAAACAGGTGATGGGGGAAACGTCTGCACATGCCTTTCTAAAATAAAGGAACATATCTGCATAAGGACTATTGTAGGTTATGGGATGATGTGGGGGAAAAGGTAGGAAAACTGTGATTTTTGAAGGGAGCATTGAATGTGTGCTTTCATCATAGGGATTACGTTGATTTTTTTTAAAGTGGCATTGGGAATATATCCTTAAGTGAATCATATCTAGGCAATAATAATTTGACACAAGTCCATTTTGATCCATTTTTTAAAAAAGGAGTGCTAGAGGAGAAGTCTTAGCCCCAAATTCCTTTCCTTCTTTGTAGCGTACCTTGACGTGCGTGTGAACAAATGGGATTCTTTATTGCTTTCTTGTATTCTTATCTCATCCTCTTAACCGATTTTGTCTCAAGTCTTCCCACTTAGAAAGTGATATATTTTTAGGACCTATTCCAAAAACTTGTTGGATATAAAGAGCACTGAAAGAGAGAAGAAGAAAAGTTGGGGCAAGATAGGATGTTTGTATGTATGTTTGAGATTTTTCTTTGTTTTCAGCGATTTTACTGGGGTCCTTCTGACGGGATAGGCATAAACATTATGGGGTGTGTGGCAGAGATGACATCAGTGGCTATGGCAGGAGGGGATTTGGAAAGGCTCTTTTTTTGGGCAAAAGGGGAGGGTGTAAAGATACAGAGTTCAAAGATGCAAATCACGAGAAAGTAGAAACCTTAAAAAAAATTTTTTTTATGAGAACTTTGCCATCTGTATATACAGCACAGGCTTCCCAGCATCGAAGGTCAGATTCACACCCTTTTCGAACAAAACTCTAATTTAGAATGTTCATCTAAGGGTTGATAATGGTATTAGAAGGCCAGTAGGGTGGTCAGTGGGTGTTGTAGATTAGCTCAGTGGCCATTACAGCTTTACCTAGACCCCCACGATTCATTGGGTAGATTAACCATCACATCTGTCATTTTATCCCTTTTACCACATTTAAAATACGAAAAGGGGGGTGGAAATATCATCTCGAAGACAACTTATATGGAGCAAGCCAATGAAGCCTGCTATTCCTAAAACATCTAAGAAATCGCCGTATATATCTATGTATGCATATATGTATAATATAGTTATAAGTGATATAACTCTGCAGGACATAGATATAGATGTTGAGATGATTTGGGTGAATTCAAATATGTTGGTTATGCCAGGTAAGCTGCAAATTTTTAAGCTTAATTCCTTTTAATTAGTCTTCTGCCTATGTTGTAGAGAAAGTTCTGTGTTTTAATGATCTCGTAAAACGTTTTCTGCTACTGGGCTGATTGCGCAGTTCGTTAAGCTTCTGTTAGTTTAATTTCTGATAAAACTTCCATTTCAACTTTGCGGCACCCTAAATGAGACCATCTTGGCTCCGAAGGAGTCTAGCGGGCACTCTTTCCGAATGGCGATTTGGGATCTGCTGCATGTATCAGAGGCTTTCGTTGAGTTGTGTTGTTTCCTGTGTGTTTATGACAGAAAGATGTCATCGTTAAAGGAAACTTAAGAGTTTCTGTAAATGTAATGGTTCATCCTGAATAAAGTGAGAGAGACAGTGCTTGGAATCTGGGGAATAAGGGTGGAAAGAGCTGAGCTGATGAAGGTGTTTCTTGTCAAATTTGTATAGGAATTATTTACTGTGCTGTCTTTCCTGAGCCGCTACAGTAAAAGTGAAGACATGGAAAATTATCCCAGATGGGACGAATCGCTCGTTCTCTGTTCTTTTTTTAAAAAGAAAAGATTTCAGAAAAAAAAAAAAGTCGTCTTTTTCTTTAGAACAGTATGAATAAAATCTGGACAGCTGTCGAAAAAGATATGCCGTCTGCATTTTTTTTTAATTTCTAGCCACCACCATAACTAAATAGCTTGAATAGTACCTCTTTTCTTTTTTTTCCCCTTCATACATAATGATCTCTACTTCATTAAAAGCGTATTAATCTGGTTCCCAGTCTCTTGGGAGACACCTTAAGATGATGATATTGTGGGTTTTTTCCCCCCGAATTGTTTAAAAAAAAATTCTAGCAGATTTGGTCCCTGTCAGTCAGAAATAATTGTGTTCTTAATCTTGTCCCTGATGGATGACTCGGAGTTCAGCAACGGGCCGGCTCCAATGACAAATACAATATTAATATTCATTAACTGCTTTGACAATGCTAATTTTGATGCAGTAGTAAAGGGCCTTCCAAAGTTACCGGCCAAAGCATCAGAGCTGCGCAAGGTGGCAAGATAATTTGTGCTGGTTTGCTGAGCTGAAGGCTTTTAAAGTCTATAGCAAAAAGCTAGGTACCACAAACAAAAAAGAGAAAGGGAAAAAAGTTCTGAAGCATTGGAAGGCAGGGCTGCGGAAATAATACGATCACAGTCCGCTAAAAAATTTGACACCTCTGATGCAGTTTCTTTGAGTGAAATTTCTACAAAGTTGCAACAAAAAAGCATAGCATGGTAAGTCAGCACATTCTTGATTTTGTTTAATCTTTTTGATCTTTTCAATTATCGCTATTTGAAGATCAATAGTCATTTTTTCCTACTATGCTTAGAAGACGCGCAGCGGTGGTTTAATATGTGTTAGGACCATTTGCTTTAAAGGAACACATCCACAAGTTTCGGTAGGTTTTGTTTTTTTTTTAAGTTAGTCATGAAAAATGTTATACAGTAAATTGTTCTGAATTCTTTTACATATGGGTGTTTTTAATGATCTATATTGGTTTTTGTATCCCCCCACCTCCAAAAAAAAGAATTCAGCAAGATAATTAAGCTCTGGATGTTGCCAAGAATTTTGAGAGTACTTTCAGTTGGCAGAAAACTTTGGAGTGAAGTGGTCCCTCCAAGTTTATCTAAATTCAGCGAGTTTCCTCCCCTGCCTTCTCTGAATGGCATCAGATAGCTATTAAAGCGTAATTTCACTGGAGAACTGCAAAGCATTACTTTCACCAACTTAGGTGAAGTTCTTTGGACTATTGAAATTGCCTTTATGTTTGCTAAGTCGGCAAACAAAATATCAGGCTTTGTTCTTTTGATTGAATGCCGGGGTTTGGGGGAAAAAAAGAAGAGTAAGAAAGCCCTGCCTTTTTTTTTTAAACGCCCCCTCCCTTTTGTGGGGGGGTGGGTTGTTGTGGAATCGGGGGAGATCCCAGTTATTGTGCTCTTCCCTATCAAGCGAGATAATTCTGTGAATGGAACTGTGCGTGAGCATCTTGTCTGGCGGCGCTGCTGGTGTGTGCTGCTCCCCTGTGCCGCGGGTGCGCGGCGGCGGCGCGGGCTGCAGGGCGGGTGCTGCCCTCCAGTGGAGCCCGCGGCCGGCGCGGGCCCTGGGCAGCATCTGGGCGCAGGCAGCATGCCCGCGAGCCGGCAGCGGGAAGGACAGCGCCGCAACCCTCTCTAGATGGTAAGCGCGGCCGGCGGCGGGCGGGCGGGCAGGGGTGCGCGGTGGCCGGCCCGCTGCATCCCGCGCGCCTGCCCTGCTGCGTCCACGGCTGTCCAGTCCGCATGCATGCTCTCAGCCTTTGCCATGTTCGCTGTCACTTTGCGGTAACTTTCAGGTTGATGTACCTTGACTGGTAAGCTGCCGGGGTGGATGCAGTAGATTTATTTTTTTTAGCCTCTCTTTAAAACAAAACAAAACAAAACAAAAAAAACGAAAAAGAGAAATTGACTATACCTCCCCCCACCCCGAATTTCAGCTTGTGACTATAAAAACATGCTTTTTTATTATTATTAACTTGGACGTGAATACGGAGGGGTTTCGGGTTTTTTTTTTTTTTCTGTCCACCAAGTTAAAGACACCAATGCTCCACCCTCCTCGCTCCCCTCCTCCCCATCCCCAAATATTTTCGTAAAGAATCAGCATTTTGCTACTTTTCGTCCATCCATTCCTCCAAGACCCATTTCCCCTTCCTCCCTTCTTGAACCTCTTTATTTAAAACAAAACAAAAGTTTGCTGATGCTGCAGATGCGGACCGTGGAATGTAAATGAGCAGTTCCTCCCACCTCCTTACTTCATTCCTCCTGCACATGATTGTAATTTCATGCTGAAAGGAAAGGAAGCTTTCGTTTTTGTTTTGTTGTTGTTGTTTTGTTTTGTTTTGGGGAAGTGTTTTTTTGTTGTTGCTGTCTTTTTTTTTAAACCCTACAGAACTTTGCAGCACTTGATCACCTTTTGATTTTTTTGTGGGAATGTTCTAAGCGTGGTGTACTTCTGACAAACTGGGGGCACCCTGGGGATGAATTTAGAGTAGTGCGATGGGATGGCAAATATCCGGAAAGAGTTTCTGAGGAGCAGTTTTTAGTTTGAAGAAATTCAAGAAATTTCCCTTTACTTTTTAAGGAAGAGGGGGTCTGTCTAGCATGAGTTAGCTTATGTTGCTGCGTCCTTTTTTTTTTTTTTTTTTTTTCCATTTTTCGGTCTTTTGAGAAAGCTAGAAAATAAATTCTTAGTCAAAGTTGCCCATCCTGTTTGCCGCACTTTATAAGTTATTGTTGCTGAATGATTGGGAGCTGTCCATCAGCGGCAGAGAACTTGCAGTTTACTTAAGAAATTGCGTGTGTGACAAAAGCAGCTGCCAGGAGTGTGGTGGTCCGCGTGAATAGAGGGAGAGAAGGCAATTAGGGGGCTGTGTGGTTGGGGCTTTTTACTTGTCAAAGTGGAGGCTCATTGCTTTTGTTACCACCATGTAAAGGGAATGGCAGGGTTTTGTTTTGGTATTAAGGGCCTTAAAGATTGCTGCCTGACACTTACACAGGAAGGCCAGATAAGTCCAGAAAGAGAGGCCACGGAGCAGTATTTTAAAAAAGAAGAAAAGAAGAAATGAAGAATTCCCACTTTTTTGTTATTTTTAAGCCTGCCCAGCCCTTGTTTTTGTTGATTTTTTTGGTGGGGAGCGGCGAGGGTGATTAACTTGTCCCGTGTCTTAACAGATTGTTTAAAGACCTACATCGTGAAAACAGTCTTGTGGGCTTGGAGATAAACAGATGGGCAATCAGTTCAGTAAATTAAAAACATCTCTACCTTAGGTGTCCTGCCGCCAGAAGAAACCAAATCTTTGCCACTGGTCTTGCTTCAAGCCACACAAGTCCAGGATCCCATGTGGCAGCAGGGGTGTTTTCTTACCTGCATGCAAATCGGAGTTGTGTGTTTGCTTTTGAAGAGGGTGAAATGGCTTAACACTTGGGGTGGGAAAAGACCGGAAAAGCGTTCTGGATGAGTTTTGTCCCCTGCAACTTTTTCTGTCTGTAATCCCTCCATGAGCAGCCACCCTCCCACACTCCCCTCCTTCATGTAAAAGAGGACGATTTCTGGCCTGTGATGTCTGAGTGTCTCAACTCAAGTTAAGTTAAAACCACACAAATGTACCCGGCCCTGGATCCCATAAGAGCCCCAGGAAAAGTAAGTCGGGTTTGTGGAATTCAGCTCTAGCCTTTGCATCCCTCTGCCGTTTCCCTTCCTTCTCTCTCTCTCTCTTTCTTTCTCTCTCTGTGTTCCTGGGGAAAGCTCACAAAACTCAACAGTCAAAAAAGCGAGTTAGCATTCTGACTATTGGAATACTAGCGAGCCCAGGAAGCTTCGTTTCTTCTGCTTCCAGGGAGGTCAGTTGAAAATCTTTCAGGCACATTCTGTTACTCTGGAAGGAAGAGAGGGTGTATACAGGGCAGGCAAGGCCCTGCAAAGTGTCACTTCCGTGTCACTGTGACAAGAAAATATCCTTTCCTCCTCCCTCCCCTCTCCCATCGCAGCCCTCTCCCTAAGAAATTTGTTTTGAGGGATTTGACAATCTTGCAGATAAAGTGCCTGCCTCCTGCACTCGGTTGATCATTTTCCCTCATGGCTGACCGTAATTTCTTTGCTACTCTTAGCGGCAGCTCTGTCCCTGCTGCCCAAGGTAACGGGTGAGGGAGGGGACTTTGCTGAGGTGCCCTGAGCTGGCTGGGGAACATGGACCTTCCCCCTTCCTTCACGGATTCTGTAGTGGCAAAGATTAGAAAGTAGAAGGAGTTTTTAAAATTTTTTTTAAAAAATTAAATCTGCAACCAGCTGAACTCTAGATTATTAGTGGACTTTTTTGTTTTTTATTTTTAAGATTTTTTTAGGGATGTGTGTACAGGGGGAAGGATTAACAAGATAATTCTAGGCAATATGAGCGACAACTTTGAGCATTTTGAGCCTACTCGGCCAGGAATCTGGAGCCATTTCGATCTTTTTAGATGCTTTTTTTCAGTTCTTTAAGTGAAAGGTTTAAAGGGAGGGGAAGCTGGGAGGAAAAAGAAAAGTGAGAAAAGCAGAAAGGGAGGAGGAAGAAAAACTGGCCCAGTCCCATCTCGAAGGTACAGAGAAAGTTTTTTTAGAGGTGGAGAGAGGGAAAACCAAGGCTGTTATGTACCCTAGGGACACAATTTTAGTGGGAATGGAAGATTTGAGTGGTAAGGGAGGCGCAGTGGCCTCCGGGGTCTCTCTGTTCCAGCAGTTGGGCGGTTGGCACCTCAATTTGAATTGCTGGGTGAGTAGTGGGGTGTGTGGTGTGTGTATGGGGGGATGTGTGTATGTTCGTGTCCATGCTTATGGTATTGACCATTAAACCTATGCTTTTTCCCCCCCCTTAATTTAGATCATGGGAAGGAAAAAACAAAACAAGAATAAATGGTCAACTCAAGCTATGCCCTTTCTTTGAGTCCTTTTCACAGCAGTTTTTTGGGGAGGGGGAGAAAGGGTTAAAAAAAGATGGGGAGGAGAGAAGTCTCACTTTCATCACAGTCCTTACACTTCTATGGTAAGGCAGACCCTGTTCCCAAAGTACGGGTGAGCTGGAATCTGGGAAGGGGTGGTACGGTTTGGAATTTCTTCTAACAAATAATTGTTTTCTTCACCCACCAGGGTGGGCTCCATCAGAAAAGAGAGAAGGAAAAATGACATTGCCTCATAGAGGAGCATACTTTAAAAGCTTGAAAGTTTTGAGTGATAAGGCTTTAACAGTAGCAGGGCTGTGTAAACTGTGTATTTTGGTTTCATATTTAATGCTAACTTTCTGTTGCTCCGTCTTTAGTTGTCAATCTCCAGATTTAGATGCTGGCTTTTTAGGGCTATGGTCTTGCTTGTGGTGTGTTTTGTAAACTTAATATAAAATGTGTTTTGGAAACCCGAGCAAGAGCCTGATGACAGCTCATTGTGCTGTTAATGATTAGGGAGAAGGCCCTTTTGCAATATGAATTTGGGATTTAGGATCCATTATACTCTCTTCAACTGTGTGGTGATATCTTTTTAAAAAATTATTATTATTATTATTATTATTATTTTTGAGACGGAGTTTCGCTCTTATTACCCAGGCTGGAGTGCAGTGGCGAGATCTCGGCTCACTGCAACCTCCACCTCCCGGGTTCAAGCAATTCCCCTGCCTCAGCTTCCTGAGTAGCTGGTATTACAGGCACCCGCCACCATGCCCAGATAATTTTTGTATTTTTAGTAGAGACGGGGTTTCATCACGTTGGCCAGGCTAGTCTTGAACTCCTGACCTCAGGTGATCCGCCCGTCTCGGTCTCCCAAAGTGCTGGGATTACAGGCGTGAGCCACCGTGCCCGGCCGGAGTGATTATCTTTTGCCACAAGCTGTAAGAGGATTCTCTTGAATTTGGAGGCAATTCCTTAATTACTTTTATTATTTGTGATGTTATTGTATGACCAAACAGAAATAATCTGCAGTGGTCGATAAGCTCTTCCATCCAATTTTGGGGTGAGAAGGAATGAAATATACCATAGACTTATGTTCATATTTTCAACATCATGAATTAAATTCTGTGTGTCAAATTAAAACACAAGATCATAGATAGTTCTCTCGTTGAGCGTAAAATAATGATGGGTGTAAATCTTGGTTTTCCTTTCTAGCTGTGTGCAACTCTTTGGTTCAATCTAGGATTGTGTAAACTGTCAGGAATGGTGGTGAAGAGAGTGGAGGCTGTGTTGCAAATGTGTATGTTGTGTTACTGCAAATATCACACCCAGTACAGTCTCCCATGTTGAGGTTCTAGACCCTAGTTTACTCAAATTACCTGCGTTACTTAATAGTGGTCCTGTTGGCTTTGATGAGAGTAAACCACTATTCTTGATGTCTTAGGAGAAGGGAGTTCCTTTGAAAACGTAAATTCCCGACTCCAGTGATACAGGTATTATGATCTCTGTATTGTCACAACAGGCTGCTGCATCGGCATTTTCTGGAAGCAGCAGAGCCTGAAACCTTGTATTCTTAGGGAAACCTCCCCTTTGTGGTTTGGGGTTGTTGGGGACCTGGCTGAGCTGTGTAATAGAATTCTTTCCTTCTGCAATATTTTGGAATGTGATGAAATCCTGACATGCCCTCCAGATTACGTAGTTCTGCACACATTTGAGGATTTTTGAAAAAATTCAACTTTGCCTGGGTCACTCCCTCGTTACCTTAAACTTGCAACACATCAGCTGGAGATCAGAGGGAGCAGCAATTGTGTTTGCCCTCCTTGTCCCATGGTGACTCTGTGTCATTTTCACGCGTGTTATTTATTCTGGCTGTAGATGCCCATTAAAGGATGCCCATGTTTGGGATACTAACAAGGCAGGATAGAACGGAACAATGCAGTTCTGCCTTTGTGTTCGTCTTCCTTTCTGTCGGTCTTTGCTGAATCACAGGGTTTGAGCATTTGTGTTTGTTGAGCCACATGAGTGGAAACATTTATTCTTCCTCTTGGCTTACCTCCTCTTTTTCTAGGGAGAAGATTTACCTGATCAGTGAAGGAAACAGCTGTTTCTTGAGCTTTTCTCAGACTCCATGGAGTAGGCATGATTTTCAAATGCAGGCTGAGATTCGAAAGTTAGGCACAGGGTATACAAGAAAAACAAAAGACCTTTTTATGCAGCTGTTCCTTGTAAATAAATTAGAAAGTTGGTGTCAGATTTTGTTCACTACTTCTTTCTTTAATTCCCCAGGATGTAATAACCATTATGCTCTTAAAATTTACTCTAAATCAAAATTGGTGATTTCCTTTCCATTATATTTAGGAATCCCTAGATTTGGGGTTGTTGTATTTGGTGGCGAGGGGGTGGTCTGGAAATCATTATTATTTGTTAAAAGTTGTTTTGAATTTGAGCTTTTGGATTTCTTCATTTGGGATAGGTTCGATTTATTTCTGGCTCGATTTTGAAGATCTGCTCTCCTAGAAACAGCTGTACTCTCTTACCCAATTCCCAAACATTCTCTGTGAACTCGGGCACTTAACAAGATTGATTATGTTAACGCTAATCATTTAATACCCAAGTAGTAGAGAAATATTTGGCAGGAGGGTGGAGGTTGCAAATTCCTGGGAAATTACTTAGGGGTGAAGTGGCTGGTTCTTCATCCCTGAGACCTGGCAGAGGATTAGGACAGAGGGCCCCGTTGTGCCTGTCGCACTCCCTCACTGACCTCCAGGTTGAGAATTTTGTGACGCTGCCGGAGGGAGGCAGAGGCAGGCAGGAAGAAAACCCTGGAAACTCGCTGATCAGGGGCGAGCCTGGACCGGGTGGGCTAAGATGTAAGCTTGCAAGTGTTTTAAAGGTTGGCTGGGGGAGGCACAATGGGATGTTTTCTTTTTAATTGCAAAATAAATGAGAATGAGGGGAAATAAATTATGTTTAATGAACTTAACTGGAAGTAATTGTTCAAGAGCCTGTGAATGCACAGCTTTACTGGGTCGGCCCTTGGCTGCGGTTTTCACAAAGCCAAGCAGCTGGTGCACATCTTTATTTTCCAGGTTCGAATGTTCCTTTATTCCTCCATCTCAACACCTTCTTTATTTTCCAGGTACGAATGTTCCTCTATTCCTCCATCTTAACACCTTCTTTATTTTCCAGGTTCGAATGTTCCTCTATTCCTCCATCCCAACACCTCCAGCCCACCCACCACCTCTCACCCCCCAGCCCTTCCATCCTCCTTTTGAGGATAGAGAAAAGGTCTTTAAGAAGAGCTGAGCTTGGTCCTCTAGACCCTTCATGTTTGGCAGTCTGTTTGGTGTGTTACCAGCTGGGTGGTTATAGTATAGAAAGGGCCACCCCAAGAAAGGCCAAGGACTTGAAGTGATCGAGTTAGTTCTAGGTATTTGCATGTGTGTGAGAGAATTTGGATGAAAACTGACTGCACGTTTCTCCTCTCCCTGCTTGCTCTGTTCAGTCATTTCCCAGCAAGAAGAATTTTAATGCCTGTGTGAATCCATGAGAAACTATGAGTCGGCAAAATTTCACAGACGGCAGGGAGAATCATCTCTCTTCCTCTTCTTGCTGTCTAAATGGATTTGATTCCAGAGAGGGAGAGGGAGAGAAATAAAAGCCAGCTATTGATAATTTACAATACAAATAAGCAGCACCCTTCCTAGGAGGCTCTCAGGGATTGGAGACGCTCTAACTCTGCAGCCTGCGGGGGTAGGTTCTGCAGCAGCCCGGCCAGAGGATGCAGGCTGTGTACTGCGGCTGGCAGGGTGGGCTTTGCTTTTCTGCATCTCACAGGCAGATCTCTTTTCTCTTACCACCTTGTTTCTCCAAGTAAAACTCGAACCCTGTGAAACCTTCTGTCTTTTATTTATTATTTCCAACAGGCAGTGCTGTAGCTATCGATAGAAGTCTTGTCCAGGGAAACAATCCACCATTAGCTGGGAGCAAGGCCTTAGACAGAAAGGAGCAACATTCAACTAAGGAAGACCCCGGCCACGGTGATGCATGGGTCCTGGCTAGCTGCGAGGGGAGAGGGGCACGGGCCAGGGTAAAATGCTCTGAGGAAGCCCACCCATTTGGGGCCACGGGAGGAAGTCATGACTGCTGTTTTTATTCTGTGTATATATAAGAGGTTTGCAGGATGCAAAAGCAAGTGTTGGCCTGCTGGGTTGGGATGGGACTGTCCATGCAGGCCTAGGCCTAGGTTGCACTGGCTGTGTCTCCTGTGGCCATCCCACCAGCAGAAATAGTTGCTAACTGCTGGGGTCATAGGCTGTTGGGGACAGGGGGGTTACCTTAACTGACTGTTCACCACCCTCACAGGCTGGAAAAACAGGACTAGTTGAGTTGCCAAAGGGTAGTTGATGGATAAGAAACAGCCCTTCCTTCATTGTGTTCCCAGCCTGTCCTCTTCCCCAACTTACCACATCTTCAGTGATGTGAAACTTTTATTAACGTTTTAGCGGTTGCCATTGGTCTTGCTGCAGCCATAGTAAACGGCATCTGGAAAAATGCATAGAGGTGGACTATAAACCAATTTTTAAATGTAAACCTGGAGTGAATGGTGTCCCTTCCTGATGCTGATTTCAGCCCCTGGGAGGGCTGGTAAGTGAAGACCCCCAAAGACCTTCCATGCCCACCCTGAGGAGGGGAAAAGGCTGACAAATGCTCCTCTGTTGCTTTAGTTTTATTGTGCAGAGCTCCTAAAGGCACTTTCTGGCCCCATTTTGCTTCTGCAGAAAGAGGCAGCAATAGGGGCGTATTGAAGAGGAGGGCCAAGGGAGACACCAGGGCCAGCAATGGCTCTATTTGTTTTCAGTGTCTGTTGATTAATAGGTTGCGGAGGTGAATGGCAAGCTTTCATTCCCTCTAGGTTGCCCACAGTTATAGAGCCTTGTGGGGTCGGGGTGAGAGGGGGACTAAGCAGAGGGATCTTAGAAGTGCCTTAATCAGTCTTTCACTTGCCAAGTTCCAAATGAGGAACAGCGTCTGGATGGGTGTGTGGGCGCTTGGCGATGAGGGTGGCATGGCCAAGTTGCAGAGCGCTATGCTTAAGGGTTCTTGAAAGGTCAAAGGTCAGCCACAGGGGCGCCTCCCCCTCCCCATTCCCCCCCACTGTAGTCGATGAATACGATGAATACTTTGGGTGGAAGGGCTTTGTGTGCCTTGAGGGCTGTTAAAGGACCTTTTCTTTATGATTTAACTATTCAATGCTCAAAACCCATGGAGCCTAAGGAACCAGACAGAGGAAAGCTTGGCTTTGCCAAAGAGCGTTTTCTCCAGGTAGAAAGCATAAAGCCCTGAATGATTTAAAGTCAGATGAGGATTTTGGTTCCTTTTAAATAGATATTGTTTACTTCATTTAATGGTTCGGCTTTTTAGTAGACTTTTTCTTTAGTTTCTTGTCAGCCCAGAACTGACGACATAAAGTGTTTTTATCATCTGAATCCTGCTGGGCCGAGATACTGCATGTTTGTATTTGAGAAGCAGAAACATCCTATTAAATGTCTTTACCCCTTCCATCCCCAGTCTTCCCATAATCAGCCAAATGTGTAAAAATCCCTGCTAAAAATATTCAATGCCCTGTGGCATTGTGGCTAAGGCAGGGAACACTGAGCTCCACCTAATTTGGGGTTTAGGGGCAATATTTGCTGAAAATGGTCTAGGATGCAGTGATTGGTAGGTGGGAGTTTGAGGACAGATCCCACCGAGAGTCCTGAAGCAGCTGTATCCAATAGGAAGGTTGGCCCAGGCTGATCTCATTGGGTGCATCTCCCTAGATGAACACAGCAATTAACCCCATCCCAGTAATGCCAGTTTCTGCAGACTGGGAGAGTGTAGAAGTGGGGTGGTGGAGGCAGGCAGGTGAGGCTGCAAAGCTTAGAAACACCACTCTCTCAAGGCATGTAACCTGGAAAAAAAATATCTTTACCTACCGCGTGGAACTGATAACAAATGCCGACTACTTCATAGGCTCGTTGTGAGGATTTCCTAGAATAAAGCATGTGATGCACTCAGCACAGAGGCACACAGACACAGAGCCCAAGGCACCATTAAACGGCGGCCACCCTGAGCTGTGCTGGTGTGGATGGTAGTGCTTCAGGGGTAGCAGCTGGTCAGTCCCCATCCTACCTTCATTTCGTCTAGAAAAGGTGTTCTAAGCTGATGGTGGTGGTGTGACTTCGGCAGCTGTGGTATAACCGTCTCGAAATTATGTGAGTTATTCATATATGAGTGTTTGCTGTTTTTGTGGCTCGGAGAATCCGTTGTCATCATGTTTTCAGAGTTCAGTACAGCAACGCAGGCTCTTCACACAGCTCTCCTTGACCATCACTACCATGAACTTGAACATTGGTTCGCTGTCACTGGCTGTAATGATTTTGTATCCCCATGTAGTTTTGAAGATGTATTTAGGTGAAATAGTTCCCGAAAGGAACCTGGCCTTACGTTGAGCTGTTTCCCTTGCACATTGGGCTCTGTTTATAAAGAGATAAAAGGGGGAGGGAATAAGTACTGCAGGCTAATGAGCCCACCAGCACTCCAACTACCCCATGGATAGTTGCTGCTAATTTAGTTGCCATGAATACATTTCTGGAAGGTTGTCTATGTTGCAACCAAGTTACTTTTCATATCTAAATTTTCTTAGGGTGGTGCAGTTTTGAACACAATTCTTAAAGACCTCGTTAGAGAAGTGGGAGGTGTTCAAAGAGAAGGAGAACCATCCAAGGGGCATCTTTCTGTTTGGATTCTTTTGTGTTTCATTTATGACAGCTCTTACTTAAAGGCCCTTGCCCTGATCTGGAAGGGACCATGATCATCTCCACCTGCCTTTTTTTTTTTCTTTAACTTTCAGCTCCTCTGTGGCAATCTCATTTATTGGCATAGTAAAGTGATGACTTTTCTCACAAGAGATATTAAAATATATGGATTAATTAAATACCGCATTTTGAAGAAGGGTATGTGCCTGAGGAGAGTGCCACTAATCATCTAGAATGATCTTGCCCCATAAACAAACATCCTTACCTTTGAAATCAGGAGTGGAATCATGGCTGTGTATCCCCCCTGCTCCGTGAATTAAATCAGAAGAGGCTAGAGGGATAGTGAACTGTGTCATCATTAGTATTTATCAGATTGCATTTTCAAAGCATCTTTGTATTGCACGTTTAGCTTGTGCCTGTCACTGTGCTAAATACTTTACGTGCAAGTTCTCATTCAGTTTTCACAACTCTGCGAGGTAGACACGATTCTCATCCAGAGTTGACAGAGACAGAAAGGAAGTCTTGAGGGAGGTCGAACAGCCAACCTGGTGAGGAAGAATGAAAACTCGGGTCTTCCTTGAATTCAGTTCTTGAATCACTGTGTGCAATGCCAGTTGCCCCTAAAACCCTTTTAAAGGCACAGTTGTAATTGAGATAGTGTCTGCAAGGGTATTGAACTGGATGGTCCAGAAGGACCACTAAGCTCTGTTCTGTGATTCTAAGGAGACTACATTTAAAGAGCGCCAACATTTACTTGAAGTTAATCTGTGATTGGCTTTGTCTTTCCCTTTGAATGCTTGCAGTTGCAATTTGGTGGTTCTTCTGCAGTTTAGGAGAATGTGCTCTCCATTCCGCAGACTGGGCACTTGGGAGGACATAAAGTTCTAGAAGACATAGTCCTTGTCCCTAAGGGACTTAGGTATAGTGGGACCAAGAAGGGTGCACACACACCCCCAGCAATGGGCATCGTGTGATGTAGGAAGAAAGGGTTCTGGGGTCTGAGGCCGGAGAGACATAGGCATTTGTAAGAAGAAAATCCCTCCATCATAGAGGATTCCAGGTAGAGGCAGGTTGGCTGGAGTGGCAATTAGTCCCTGGTTTTGGCAGGTATGACCACAGAGTTCTCCTCTCTTGCAAGGGAACCCATGAGCTTGGACAGAGAGGAAGTTCTGTTCTTTCACAGGGACCTGCCTGGCATGCAGTTGAGGTCAGAGGGAGTAAGGCTAGTCCTAGTACAGGTCCCATTTTTTCCCCCTAAAGCCAGGCAGTACCTAAAACTTCCAGTTCCCTGCCACCCCCTCCACCCCACCCCCACCCCCATGGTATAGTTTTGACTGAACAGGAAAAAACTAGTTGGCTAGGCTCAGGTGTGCAAAATAATACTGGGAGAGGTGTTAGTAGCCAGAACACAGGGCTCCACCTTTTGTTGGAATCGCCTTCATATGTATATCTAAGAAGATGGAGACTTAATTTTTAAATCTCACACTCAGTTAACTCCATTATTGCCCAAACGCTATCTTCCTCTTTTGTTGTAAAGTAGAGAAAGAGGGTTTTCCCCACATCTCCCCTTAGTCCTGCTTAGAAGATGGCTGTGGGATTTGTGCTTCTTTACTGTAGACAGATCATGTCATCTGGACAGCTTCTTCCTAACAATAAAAATAATATTAATAATAAACCACTGTAATAGATAATAAATAACAAACTTATCATGTGCTAGGTTCTGTGCTAAGCCTTTTCCTGGGTTCCTTAAGAACTAGGATTTGATTCATGATCAGAACCCATGGCTCTTTGCCTCTGTGCTTGCCTGTGTGCGTGTGGTCCTCATGGCGGAACACAAGAACCACCCACAACACCCAGCAAGCAGGCCCAGGATGCTTGGGTCCTGAGCCCAGACCCACTGTGAATGAATTAGGGCCTACTGAGAGATTTCCTAGGATTGGGGAATCTGAATGAGTGAAAAGCATCCCGGGAGATGCTTGACTAGGGGCTGACTGCTGCTGGTTCTGATGCCCACCACTAGCCCTTTCTCTTCCCATGTGATCCTTCTCCTGGCTGATGGTGGTCCTGCTCCCGTGGCACTTGATCAGTCCTTCCACCCCTTAGTAATCATCTTCCCTTCTCTGGGCTATGGGTGGTTCTCCCCACTGGCCCTGGTGTTTTTCCACACTCACTTTAAACTGTCTGGAGCTGGTCTGCTTTCTTTCATGTCAGCGGGTATGTATCTTTCCAACCAAAGAGAAAACTTCTGGAAGGCAGCAACAGTCATTTGCCCTGCCTCCTAACAGTCTCCACTTTGTCCGTGTCTGTCTCTTTCCCTCCCTTCCTCTCCTTTTCCCTTTTCCTTCTCCACCTCAGCACACAGTGGGAGCTTCCTTGTTCCTTATTTCTCAAGTTGTCCTGAGCAAATCTTCCTCTTAAGGAATCCTTAGTGCCTGTCCTTGAGGTGCCCAGCACTGGCTGTGGGCAGCAGCCCTTCACCCTGGCCATGGCCTGCCCCGCCCTTCATGGCTGCCCCTTTTATGGAAGTGTTGCTGGTTTCCAAAGCTCCATCTGCTTTGGTGGCTTTTAGCTTACTTGCTTTGATGCAAAATTGGTAGCACATAACACAAAGCTCCTGTAAGCAACCTGCTAGCCCCTTTCTCCAAGAGTCCAGTTATACATAGGAATTGGTAAACCAGGCTGTTGGAAACGTTGACTTCTTTTTCTGTAGTTTTTTTCTGGGGCATCTAGAGAGAATGCCTTATTTTTCTTTCCACACATAACCACAAAAAAGTTAAAAGCACTTTTTAAAAGACACTTTCCCCTCAATTACCTGTGGTAAGAAATGCTGTTCTTATATTACATTCCTTCCTCACCCATTTAAAAAAAAAAAAAAAAAAAGGACAAGAAGAGAAATAGTAAAGAGAACTAACTGCTTAGTGATCCCTCAGCTCAACAGGCACTAGTGGGCAGCACTAGGACCTTCCTTCTTTTCTTTTAATGCAATTCCTTTTCCTTGATGTTAATGCAAGTTGTGCCTTCCTAAAAGTAATAAAAGGAAATGAAGACACGTTCTGAAATGAAACTTGACTCTAATCCATTCATCATCTAATACTTGCCTCTTTATCTTCGCTGGTACCTAATCTGGTTAAATGTCCCTGTTGTAGGATTTTAGCGAAAATCCTCTATGGGGAATAGGGTTTTTTGCAATTGGATTACTCTCAGTAAATGGCCCAGTAGTTCGCTTGTTTCAGCTTAATTTTTTCTTTGTGATCTTCCTGGGCTAAGTTATAGCACAGAGTAGTGGAGTGGGGAGGGGTGGACTGAGCGGGAGGTGGGGGAAAGAGGAGGAGAATAATTTGGGAAAGCCTGGGCATGGCAACTAGAAACATTTTTAAAATGCTTTTCTTCCCCCCACCCTGCCCTCTGCTTCTCTCCACTGACCCACCCTTCCCAAACACAAAAATGCCTGTACTTTGTTTTTTAGAACTGCCCATTTCTAAAATGCATACCTTTTATTAGCCCAATTCGTCATCATCCAGTTAATGTATTAGCGTTCCCGGATGACTTTCTAATGAAATTCCTAATGAATCAGGGCTGCTGTAATCTGCATAAAATATGCAGGTGCTTGTCAGGCAGTTTAGAGCTTTCTGGTAAAGTTCACACTCCCACCCAAACCGTGAGTGGGGTTTTGCATCCATGCTGTCTGTGAAGGATTGTAGCATGCCCGCTGTTTCTAAGGGCAGGGAGGGGATAGGAGCTGTCGGGGGGTGGCTAAGGAGGCTGGCTGGGTGGGATTTGGGCCCTGCCAGTTTCTTGTAAGTGGTGGTTTTCCTAGATGGTCCCCTGTGCAGCCTGCGTGCCTCCTGGAGGTGGGGCCTTGGGGTAGGAGGTCCCCACAACATGTGGAAACGCAGTAGGCATGGGAGATTGAAGTCTCCACTTCTGACTCACCTGCTAATGGGAAAAGTGCAGACTCTTGGGCTCCATAATGGGGTAGGGGTTGAGAAGGTATTTTAAAAGCCAGGCTTAGTGGGGAAATAAAAACTAAAGCAGACCCACCCAGAGAGCTGTCTTACAACTATCTATTATTTTCACATGGACTGGGGGGAGTATGGGATGGGCAGAGTTGAGTGCATCTTAGAAAATCCAGGTGAGAGGCTGTGGCCAAGGGAACCCACGGGCCCGGTGCTCTGAAGCCCTGGGCTGCTGGAACCGGCTTGACGGTGTCTTTCTCTGTTCTCCTCCCCACAGTCTAACAAAGTGCCAGTGGTGCAGCACCCTCACCATGTCCACCCCCTCACGCCTCTTATCACGTACAGCAATGAACACTTCACGCCGGGAAACCCACCTCCACACTTACCAGCCGACGTAGACCCCAAAACAGGTAGGCTGTGGGCTACGGAGCCAAGGTAGAGTGCTGGTCCTGGGGTTCTGGGGGAACCTTTGAGGCCTCCACAGGAACCCCAGGGGTGGAGCAGTAGGGGACTTTGGGGGAACGGTGGTGGGGGGGCCCCTGTTGCTTTTCTGGGTGTTGAAAAGGAAGCTCTTTGGGGTGGTTGAGGCCTGGTGTGGCAGTGGTTTTCCACTCCCTTTGGAGAAGTTCATTTGCAGTGTTAAAGATCTCTTTATGGCTTCCAGTACCCCTGAAGGGGCTGTCTTGGGAACCTGGCTATGAGTCCTCAGTATGTTTCAGGAGTGGCTTTTAACTCTAAGAGCCTCAGGCAGACATGGATGCAGGAATCATATTGAAGGCATTTCTTGGGTTCCTCCTCAGCTTCCTGGGAAGATGAGACAGCATGGCTTTCCAAGCCTCGGCTCCCTCACTGGCTAAGAGGCTCCAGTCACTACTTGACAATGACTTGTTGGTATAGCCTCAAAAAGCCACATCACTGGATTCTGCATTTTCTTTGCTAATTTATTTAGGTTCTTTTTCCCCTACAATATTCTAGGTATTGTTGAACCCATTTTACAGATATGAATACTGAAGTCCAGGCAGGTTGCTTCATTTCTTCGTAGAACAACCAATGGGTGTCTGAGAAAAGTTGCCATGCTTTTCAACGTCTTTTTGTTGTTGTTGTTGTTGTTGTTTTTAAACAGAGTCTTGCTCTGTCATCCAGGCTGGAGTGCCGTGGCACAATTTTGGCTCCCTGCAACCTCTGCCTCCCAGTTTTAAACAATTCTCCTGCCTGAGCCTCCCAAGTAGCTGGGACTACAGGCATGTGCCACCATACCCGGCTAATTTTTGTATTTTTAGGAGAGACAGGTTTTCACCATGCTGGCCAGGCTGGTCTCGAACTCCTGACCACCTCGGCCTCCCAAAGTGCTGGGATTACAGGCATGAGCCACCACACCCAGCCCAGCATCCCCTTTTTATCCCAGTTGTTCATTGACTGCTTTTTTCCCAAAGGGGAGAGGGAGGGAAGGTGGGGTTACTTGTAGCTCTCCTCCAACAAGATCTAAATCAGGCAGGCAGCCCCAGCAGCCTGGTGGGGTGGTCTTGGGAGAACAGGTAAGGTTAGTGTGTGTCTTTCAGGCTACCCAGTGTGTTGGTAGGATTTCCCCTTCCTAGCTCAGTAATTGGAAGGATGGGTTTAAAGTGGTGATTGCACATCACTTTGTTAGAGGGGATTGGTAGTGTTGGGGTAGGTAGGCTGCCTGGTTAGGCGGCCTTCACTGCCCCTGAACGAAGCCACACATGAGCTGGGTTTTACTGGTCTCTGAGCCCCTTTGTGCTGGTGCAGGACTGAGCCTGGCGCTTGGATGCCTGGTGGCCTCCTCCAGCCGGCCCCAGGCTCCACCAGTGAATGGCAGCGTCAACGTCTCATTTAAATAATGGTAGTACAGGGAATAGCTTTTAAATGGTTATCGTAAAACATATGATTAACGTCTGTGGACTGTTTACTTTTCCTCTGCGAACATTCTTTCAAGTGTGCAAATGGCTCGATGTAGGGTCCAAGCCCAGCTAATCTGTTTGGTTTTTGTAATAGAGAGAAAGCAATGTCTGCATGAAAATGTCACCCAGGGAGACTTAATTTACAGATTAAAAGCTTCCTGAATGAATTTTTTAAAAAATGAAGTCGTTTTCGTCCACGAACATGCAGCCCGTTCCCTCCATTACTCTGTTTTAATTCTGTGGTATTGTGCCTTTTGCCTCCCACTTCAATGGCATACATCAATTCCTCTCTGTCAGAGTGGACTACAGGATGTGCTCCTGTGGAACTGGCAGATGTGCGGTGGCACGTACTTGCAGAATCCGCTCATGTGTGCCTTGTGAAGCTCTTAGCCCCTGCGACGCACGCGGTGCCCATTCAGCAGGTGGGCTTAATCCCCACAGACGACTCTGTCCTCTAGCGGATGAAGTTCCAGAATGGAGTACACAAGCCTCCAACACCTCCTTGTCTGTTCAGCTCTGACTCTGCCTTAGATAAGATGCCAGATGGCATTTGATCAGTTTCTCCAGCTCATCCAAATAGAGGCAGAGACATTTTAGAGGAGTCACCATTTTTGAAAAAAGGCAAGGGTAGTAACTTTTCAAATGCCACAGCTCAAAAAGTGTGTTAGAAATCAGAGGAGTAGCTCTTGTGCAGGTAAGGCATGAAACTCCGCAGGGTGAAGGGCCAGAGTTGTAAGAGCAACAGGGATTACCATTGCTTCATTCTCCACCAGGTGCTGAGCCTTTTTGATGTTGTTTCTTTTAAACTTGAAACAATCACACCAGTCACATGAGGCACAAATACCCAAGATGGCATATCTTGAGTCTACTCAGTATACCAGTCCATTTAGAAGGAGATAAACTAATTTTTCAAACTGAGGCTGAGGGAAAATGAGATGAAACCTACCAACAACTCAGGATTTATAATCATGAATGAACCTTGTGCTAGGATTCCAGAAGAGATGCGTCTCTTCCTCCTTTCCCTGTTCCCATCCCCTAATGGATTGCTCTTTCCTTCTCTCCCTCCTTTGTACCTAAAATGCTGCTTCTTCCCTCAGGAATCCCACGGCCTCCGCACCCTCCAGATATATCCCCGTATTACCCACTATCGCCTGGCACCGTAGGACAAATCCCCCATCCGCTAGGATGGTTAGTACCACAGTAAGGAGTTCCATTTTTTAATTTCCTTTTTGTTTCTTACATGGGCATGTTTATTATTTATTCTGTGTGTGTGTCTGTGTGTGTGTGTGTGTGTGTGTGTGTGTGTGTGTGTATGTGTGTGTGTTAGAAGCCAGGGTTGGGGAGGGGGCTGCGGGAGGGCACAGAAAAGGTGTTGCTGAGGTGTCCTGTGGGAATACAGGCAAATCCACAGCCATTCAGGTGGCTTATGTTACTGGCACTTAGCATTCCGCGACCATGGTCCCCAGAGGCTCTGTGGACAGAGGTGCCCTGCAGTTCCTTTGGGAATTGCAGAAGACTACTGGAACTTCCACCCAATGAAGCTGGTCATGACCCTTCTGCTGTTGGCTGCCCAAACTGCAGTCATGTCATTGGGTTGAGGCTGTCGAGTCCTCCATTTTAGGTGTTACATATTTTGGGGCACAGAAGCAGGAACAAGAACGGCCTTGTTTTGAAATCCAGGGTTGGGATTAGGGCATGTTCTTGTATGATTCCAGGACCCCCCACCTCATCCTGAACATTACTCCCAAGGTTGACAACAACAGTGGAAAGTTTTGTCTGTTGAGAAGCTCCATGGGACTGAATCAGCATCTCTCTGAGAGTCTTTGCACGTTGAATGTTTTACCTAACTGTGAACGGTGGGAATGGGGCATTTGGAACCGTCACTGCAGCATGTGGGGCCTTCGTAAGCATCAATCCTAGCTCCTGGCAGTGCCCAGATTATTTGACTAACTTTTGCAACTTAAAAAAACTGTGTTTTAAATTCAGAGTAGAAAGGCCTTTGATGCATTAGCATACTGTGGCAGGTTGTGTGTATGTATATTTTTGCATGAGCATGTGTGTAATATGTGTTTCGTGATTGTTTCTGTGGATGTATTTCTCCTTACCAGTGATCTGTACTCTGAACAACACAGGACAATACATTGAATGCTAAAAGGAATAAATCCTGGTAAAACTCAGGTTTGAGTCTTAGGGAAGATGGCCTTTCAAAGCCTTAAGGAAGATAAAATTTTGGAGTGGCTTACCCCACAATTCTACCCGTATTTCTCTAGTTAGATAGATTCTATGCTGTTTTTTTTTTTTTTAATAAAAAACAGATTGCATTATGTAGTAGCTGTACCAAATACCAACCCTGGGTATAGTTTCTGTTTCTCTGTCTCTTCTTATTTTTATTGGGACGGTAGACATGAACATGAGCTTGTGACCCATTTCTTCTAAATAGATGGGGCCAACCCTCGAATAGTTCTCAGTGATCATTTGCCCCATTCGGCTGATGGGGAGATATTTGAAGGCTAGATAAAAAGGAATAGCCAACTCAGACAACCCTCTGTCAGAAAAAGTTGTGTGTCTTTCATGAGGATGCTATTTTGCATGTTGCTGTATTTTTTAATTATTGTAATGAGGTGTGATTGTCTATTGGTTACCCACAATTCTTCTTGGGGACTCTCCCCCCGGTAACTCTTGTCAACACTTGTTAATTTGACAAAAGGCTACAAATTAAGCTCTGTTAATTTAATGTTTTCTCACCGAGATCTAAATACCGAAAGAGGCCCAAAGCGCAACTGAAGTCCTTTGATTCACTGTACTTTATTTTGGTATAAATTTACATTCATTATTGTTTTCCTTTGGATGTGTAGCCCTCAATTAGTGTGATGGCTCCATTAAAGCAAGCGAGACTTCGCCTTTAATTATTACAACAAAACACCTAGTTTCAGCTTGGGGAGAGGGTCTCTATTGACATAAGCAGAGGTTATAAAATTTAATTAGCCATTCCTATCAGATTTATGGCATTCAAATTGTTCTGTGTTTCTTCCCTTTGATCCTTCCTGTACAATCCCCAAGATTTTTGTTCTGATCAAATGAGAATAAAGCTTACTGTGCAGAGAGAACTTTTCCCTTTTCTTCTTTTTCTTGTCCCCACCCCCACCCTTGTTTCAAGTCTCTTACTTTGTACCCCTTCTTTGTAGGCAAGGTCAACCAGTGTACCCAATCACGACAGGAGGATTCAGACACCCCTACCCCACAGCTCTGACCGTCAATGCTTCCATGTCCAGGTGAGTTCCAAGAACCGGGGCCTTCATCCAAGGCCATGTGTGACTTCTCAAGAAGTTCTCTAGATGGCCACCAAGCCACCCAGGGACCACAGCTACATGTAGTTCTATTAGTGTAAAGCCAATGTGGCATTAGGCTGTACTCCCAGAAAATCCTGAAAAATTGCCCTGAAATTCCAAGGTAAATGATGTCTTTCTGGGTAAAATTTTTGAGTCACTCAGTTGAACAATGTATTTTAATGAATTAAGAAGGTAAGGGAGAAACAGGACAGAAGCTTTTAAAAATGCCATTTCTCTGTTGTCCTGTCCTCAGCAAGAAAGGTAGCGGTGAAGGTAGTTTTATTATTATACCAAGAAGAGTTCGAAAAAAGATTACTGGTGTTCTCAAAGCTCAGACTCTGATTGCAAGTCAACAAGAAAGCATCCGCCTCCTCCCCTCGAAGGTAGCACTGTCCAATAGAAATATAGTGTGAGCCACAGAGGGAATTTTAAATTTCGTAGTAGCCGTGTTTTTAAAAAAGTTTTTGTTTTTTTTTTTTTAAAAAAAAGATAAAGTTATTTTTAATGACATGTTTTTATTCAATGCAATATAGCCAAAATATTATCATTTTAACATGCTATTCCTGGACAACAACTATTAATAAGATGTTATGTTCTTTTTTGTGCTGAGCTTTGGTACAAAATCTGATGTGTATCTTATACGCACAGCACTTCTCAGTTTAGACTGGCCACATTTCAAATATTCAATAGCCACACGTGGCTGGTGCATATCATAGTGGTCTGTGCAGCTCTAAGTCTTTGAAAGTTAAAAAAAAACATGTGTGTGTGTGCTGTACATTCATATATATTTATATTTCAGCGTAGAAACATATTTACAAGATACATTCCTATCCCCATGTTCTTCTTTTCCTCCCTCTGATTAATTCTGGCTAATTTTTCAGTGACTGCTAGTTTATTTACAAACTGGTTGGCAGCAGTATGTTTTAGTCGCTAATTGTTTCTAATGATAGTTTTATTTTCTGTTCATCTGATTTTCAGTCAAGTTAATTAAATCGGTGGAGGTTTAGACTTTGCTGATGGTCTGAAATCACCAACCCATTCTGATGATGGCACATAATGAAATTAGCATGCGTTACATGGCAGGGGTGCTGTCCCCAGCTTCTTTCCCCAGTCCCTGTGGCCAACATGGGAAGCCAAGACCAGAGAAGGGCCTGGAAAGACAGGTCAAGATGCTGCTTTTCCTACTTACAAAACAGTAACTTTAGCAGTGATAGAGAGTTACATTCATTAAGAAAAACAAACCGTGGCATATCTAGCATCGGTAACTATGCCGTGGATATCATAGTTGAAGAGATCCATTTTCTACCTGCGATATATCATCAAAATTTCAAAATCCATGCCAGTATTAGTTAGGTAGGAAAACGCTCGTGTGTTCTCTGGCCTAGAGAGAAGAGGAGGCGTAACACTTATTAAATAGTGTCATCACAGCCTCGCAAAGCATGGGAATGAGTAGGGGGTCTCCCAGGTGGAGAGCACCCAGGGACCACGGCTACATGTCATTCTATTAGTGTAGCAGCTTATACTCCACAGCTCATCTTCCCACCTTCCCAGCATTTGTATATTACACCTGGTTATTTTTCATGTTTGTTTATTTGGTGCGTTCTGGAGGTTAACAGTGGTAAAGTAATTGTAGGATAGGGATTGGGGTTAAGCTGATCGATTGAATTATCATTAGGAGGTTAGTCGATGAATTATAGGTGGGCATGGGGGTGGAGGAAAGGCAGGGAACGTCAGGAAGAAAGGTTAGGGCCTCAAGGTGCGGGGAGAGGCGGCCGACTCCCCAGGTAGGCCAAATGAAAGATAGCTAGTTAAAAAGCATATACAGCAAATTAAATACATTATTGTGATAATGGGGCGACAGAAGTATAGGTCTATTATACTTATGGCAGTTATAGCAAATGTAGGCAGCTTGCCCTGTTCCAGAACACCCTTTGATATTCATTCTATTCAGCAGTGGGGCCAGGACTTCTCAGAATTAAGTGATGGGTCATTATACTTTAAACACCATGGAGAAGCCTAGATTGGCAATTAAACAGCTCTTGCTGACACTCACTTGTGCCACCCTGTGACCCCCTTTAGATTGAGATGTTGGAGCTCCGGGCCCTCAGCCTGCTAAATTGGTGCAAGGCTCTTCTCCTGACGAGAGCCGGCTCTGAAATCTGCCGGCTTCAAAGGGAGCGAGATCATGTATAAACCATAATGTGGGTGCACCGTGGCTCACAAAAAATAAGGCAGGAAGAGATGAAATGTTACAAGTGCAAGGGGGAAAATGAGAGAATAATGACAAACCTAATGCAACTCAAAGCAGGATTGTTGCACAGGAAAATGCATCCTACTGCTTGTGCATAAAATCAAGGCCGGCAGATGACATCCGGTTAACAGAAACGTGTCAACAGTGAAGTAAAGTGAGAGTGAGTAAGAGAGAAGCCCCTGAGACAGCCAGAAACAAAAATTAGTTGTTCTTAACAAGTTAAGGTTCATCATTATATTCTGGCTTGGAGCCATGAAAGCAGACGGGGGTATATAATGAGCTGCTTAGAATTTTTAGGGTGTTTATTGCATTTCATGAAATAGTAGTCTGCAGAAAGGAATTTCTTAAGCGAAGGTATGTGTATACAGCCCACATCCATGTTCACACATGGTCTCTTTCTTTGCTGAACATTTTTCAGATATGGGAATATACGCGTAGGTATGGGAACTTAGAAATGTGCCTTCTTCATGGCTGCATTAGAAGTTTGTCTGCACCCCAAAATGTACTCAGATTGTGGTGCCTTCCCGTGGTATTTGGTGTATGTACACACACGTACACACACACACTCACACATGCAGTGTTTTTCTCTCTCCCCCTCCCTCTCCCTCTCACGTCTGTACACATATTCTCATTCTGCAGGAAGGGAACATATGTATTTGAGGAATGTCAGGCCTTCAAAATTCACAGTAAAAGCTGCCACCCACCACTTCACCCAAGGGCTTCCAAGAACACATGTTCTTAACTTCTGTTTCCTCTGAGGCCTTCGAGCAGTGGGAAGGAACAGGGTGTCACTTGGAGCCCAAGTGTCTCCCAAGGGGTTTTGCTTTTTTTGTTTTTCACATTATTTTGAGAGGAAGGGGATGAAGATGAAGGTTGTTAGCATGTTTGTTTCCTTACATTTTCCTTCTCTCTCTCTTTTTTTGATACATTCGAAGGACTTGTATTGTTGTTATTTTTAAAATCATGTCATGCAGTCTTCACTACTGGCTTAAATTTGTAAAGGCAGTGGCAGGAAAGGCCACGTCAGCGTGGGATTTTTGAGTGAAATGTCTACTGTGGCTTGGGCCTTCTTCAAGAATCAGCATTAACTTTCCTTCCTCTGTTGATCTGTGTAGATTCAGTTAGTACTTTAATCATTTTATTATTTTTCAAATTAATGTTTGTTACCTTATTTTGGCTGAATGGAAACTATCTCTAGCCCGCTTCTGGAAAAAACTTTGTAAATACATACAGAATCATTTTGGAAGAATTGTCGTGATCGATCCTCATTAGGCCCTCTAGTTCCCACCAGAATTGGCTTTGTAAAGAGCAGATTGTTATTCCTTGGATGGTACATTGGACTGCTTTGGTTTGGACTTATTAAGAAAGCAACAGTTGCCATGATCTTCATCTGAACAGCTTCCCATCTGCTCACTTGAATCACCTTGCCAGGTTGGAGCAGGAGGCTGCCATATTGTTTACTTTTGGGATTCTGCCCTTTCTGTCCCTCACTATTTTTTCTATAGTAGGATATGTTGCTTGAAGAGGGGTGAGTCTTCCAACCCAGTACAAATCATGGTGACACCACGCAAAATTGAAAATGAGAAAGGTGTTTGATCCAGTTGTCAGTCTGCAGATGGGCCAAGAGTAGGTTGAGATTAGCTCTTTCTGTCCTGGCTAATGTACTTGGTTGGGAAATGCCAATTCAGGTCCTAAAATGTGCCTTAGAGAACTGTCCAAAAAATGAGCAGCATGAGAGGAGAAAACACAAACTGTATCTTTCATTTATAATTTTGATAATCATTTAGAAGACTTCTTAATGATGCCTAGACAACATATGAAGTAAAAGTGATATAGGAATCCTAAATTTTAGAGGAGAAAGGGCATACAAATCAGAATCAAAGGTTTATTGTGTGTGTGTGCACCTTTCCTTTCCTTTTTTTTTTTGCATCTTTCCATAAAGGGATAGAAACTTATTTAAAATGTCCATGACTTATGATATGAACCAAATAGGAACTATTTGAATTTTCCCTGTCTTCCTGCCTCACTCTCTCCCATTCCTGTCAAATGATGGGACACAGCACAAAAGAAAAATAAAAATTGTATTGCACTTCATCAACAGGATGAGGCCTAATGAGGCTTGCACAGCATTGTCAAAAATGTATGTATATTTCAACCACGTTAATATTTTATTTAGCTGTCAATATACAACAAAAGATTTCACCTTTCATTTTAGAGCTGATTAGGACTTAGGAAATTGTCTTCTTAGATGCCACTAATAATGCCTCAAAAAACAAGTGGACGTGCGATTTCTGGCAGGTAGTCCAAGCCCACTTTTCCGCCCAAGTACGTCAGTTGAATTTGTCTTTTGCTAAAGATGTTAAAAATCATAATGTCTTATGTCAGTAGCAATAATGAATTGGCTTTAATGACATTATGAGAATCATTATGTTTAATTTATCGCTAATTAATGCTGACAGGTTTCATATGCCTTGGGTTGCTTTCATGTGAGTGTTACGTGCTGTTTTTTTTTTTCTTTTTAATTGTGTGTACACATCCCTCCTCATTCATTCATTTTGATTCTGACGATTTACACAGCTTTCTGTCTTCTAGGTTCCCTCCCCATATGGTCCCACCACATCATACGCTACACACGACGGGCATTCCGCATCCGGCCATAGTCACACCAACAGTCAAACAGGAATCGTCCCAGAGTGATGTCGGCTCACTCCATAGTTCGTAAGTGTTGCTGTTTTTCTCACCTTCTTCGTAGCCGCAGTGTTCTGCAAGCCTGTTGCAGCTGCTGGGTGGTGGCTTTCTGCCTAAGGTTGGCCTCGTTTGGTTTGACTGCAGCCAATACCCAGCCTGTGTGGGCTCTTCACTCCCTTACAAAGAGAGAGAGAGTGCACAGTGGCAGAATCTCACTGTACCACCGTGGGTTAGAACAGAACTGTTTTTTGTGTGTGTACTTGGATACACTGGGATTTGCAACCACTTCCCTGCCCCCTAACCGCATCATTGAACATTTAGAGCTTTGTTCTGCAAGCAGGAGAAAACCCTGCCGAGGTGAAGACAGCAACCATGTGCTTTCCCCTCTGGCTTGGGAAAATTGTATATTTGTGAAACTTGAGGAAGTGATTGCAAAATCCCTCTCTTCCCCCAACCCCTCCCCAAGCTATTTTTGTTCCATTTTCCGGGGTGCAGAAGAACTAAAAGCATGCTTTTTAATCCAAAACTGCTAGGCTTGGGGGTTATGAGACAAGGAGATACGTTCCCTGCCATGGAGGAAGTTGGACCACGACCTTGTTTATTGGGTTGCGTCTGTTTTGTCTATCTCCAGAAAGCATCAGGACTCCAAAAAGGAAGAAGAAAAGAAGAAGCCCCACATAAAGAAACCTCTTAATGCATTCATGTTGTATATGAAGGAAATGAGAGCAAAGGTCGTAGCTGAGTGCACGTTGAAAGAAAGCGCGGCCATCAACCAGATCCTTGGGCGGAGGGTAGGTGACGCCCTTCTCAGGGAGAAGCGGGGGGCGGGTGGTGAGGGACCAGAGTGCAGCAGGTCAGGTGGCAGAATGTCTCTGTCCCCATTTCTTTGGAGAATTCTTGCCCTTCAGCCACATTCTGAATCCTTGAATGGCCTTCACTGAGTCAGGACTAGTTATTCTGCACTCAGCGTTCAGAACAGCCACAGCCATGCTCTTCCCCTACCCGAGCGAGTGAGCAAATGACAGAATGACATAGATAACAAATCAAGTTTTGTCTAAACATTCCTGTTAGTGCCAGGACCCAGCCGACGGTCAGTATGTACAGATTATACCATTTCTGGACGGACTCACCCAAAAAGGCAGCATTATTTATCCCCTGACCTTGGCGTAATGTGTGATGTTCTTTCATGCTTTTCTCTTTGTTCATGTCTTTCTCATCTGTACCCCACGTCCCCTCCAGTGGCATGCACTGTCCAGAGAAGAGCAAGCGAAATACTACGAGCTGGCCCGGAAGGAGCGACAGCTTCATATGCAACTGTACCCCGGCTGGTCCGCGCGGGATAACTATGTAGGTGGATCATTTTCGTTAGGATTGGAGTCTGTAGAGCTGTGTTGTGCGTCTATACGGACAAAGAGAACAGGACCTGCCACTTGACTAGGGTGGGCCTCAGGACCATCCAATCTGCCCGCTTTGGGGACTGGTAGCATCTTCCTGGATCGCTAAACTGCAGGGAGGGGCTTCCCGTGTGGATGGTTGGATCAGCTCACAGTCATTCTTCAGGGTGGAGAGAGGAGGCTGCAGTCCCAGTGTTCCAGCTCAGGACCAATGAGGTTGATTTGGTGCTTGTCTCCTTTCTAGAGGAGGCAAGGCTCTTAGGATACACCCAAAGGACCTTATGTTCCGGATTAGGTTCCGCAGGCTCCTCAGCAGTGATCAGTGGTGTGGCCTTCTAGGGAAGACCAGTGGGTAGGTGTGGAGGAACAGAATTTAATTCCTCCCAGGCCTTTCAGCAGGCCCTTTACCGTTAAGAAGGAAAAACAAAACTATTCCTTTGTGCCATGGTGCAGTAGAAGTTAGAAGCCTATTTCATCCTGAGAGGAGCATGATGGGAATATCCCTGAAAGCAGCCAGAGGAAGTCAGCCTTTGGCAGGATGCATGAACCGACTCTGGCCCCAGCAAGGGCAGGGAAAGTGTGCTATGCGGTGTGTGTGTTCCTGGGCTCTGTGTTGGCTACAGGATCTGCCTAGTCCTCTCTTGGGTTGTAGGAAACACCATGGGATGATTGTTTTTACTAATTGCAGTGGTTGTGACCCCACGATTCCTCTCCTCCCATGAGCACGCTGTCTTCCGGAGACTTCTGTCACTTCTCACCATTGCTGGTTATCCTCCATTTTGCCCAGTAACTCCGCTTTCCTCTCTCGAGGGATGAAATGCCTCTTGTTTTGCCTGATACTTTATTTCATGACATTTGGTTCCGTGAAGGGATTTCACCATCCACTCTTAGGGGAACACCAAAACTTGTCTTAAGGCCGGCACAGGCCTCTCATCCCCTTCCTGTCGATGTCTTGGAGCCATGGATGGTTACTTTTCCAGTTACTTTTGACTCTCCCACTGGCATCATCCGCGGTGAAGCAGCTTGACGTATAGGGGTCGAGGTCGTTAAATTATTACTGAATTGAGTGAAACATATCATGGCCTTTGAGGCTTCTGTGGCAGGGGCTGGGGACACACAGCTCTTAACTGCCTTGGCCTGGAAGTGTCATGGGTCACTTACTCCCATCACCCATTGGCCAGAGCTAGTCATGTGACCCAACCTAACTGCAGGAGATGCTGGGAAATGTGCAGTTACTGTGCACAAGTTATTACAGGGATTCAGAGTTAAGTCGGATATCTTTACTCCCTCAGAACTTAGCATCCGCCAGGAAATCGCAAACATCTGCCGGCCTATGTGATCCTGAGGAAGAGCTGCTTCTGCCTGCTCTGATGAGTAATTTCAGGCCTCCTTCCTCTTTCTTCTCATACTTTTAAACCCGTGCTTGCCATGTAGATGAGGGAACAGGGAGGTGCCCCTGGCCATCTTTCTCGAGGCCCTGCCCCCTTAGCTGGCAGCGCTAGACTGTGCTCCTCCTGGGAGTTGAATCAGGAAGGAGTGCTGGCACCTCTGGGATGGCGCGTGTGCTCTGCTGAGAGCCCTTGTCGCCGACAGATGGGCTTGCACGGGGTCTCCACTGCTTGGGACCTTTCTGTTTGTCCCCAGCATGTGTGCAGTGGGGAGGCCTTTCTTCTGGAGCTGAAAGGAAGAGGATGAGAAAGTGAATGCTCTCCCACAGGCTTGCTGTTCACCCCCACCTGACCCTGAGGTGGAGATTTCCAGTAGCAGGCAGGCTCCATAGCCTCCACGTACACAACCATATCATTTCAGGACAGCTGCTCTCCTGGTTTCGGGTCAGAAGTTCTTAGAGTTCATCTTGAGCTTCTACCTGCTACAGACCCAATTCTTTGAGTAATCTAGAATGATACCACAGAGCGGAATTCAGCTTCTCTATAGAGATCATATCCCCAATAGACATTTTGGGTCATAGTAGGGCCTTCATGTACAGCTGTGCAGGGCGTGCACTGCACAACTCTAGAGTATGTCATTTACACTGGGGTCTATGTGAATGGTGCCCCCTGGAGTTGTGCAGGGTGAAATCTCTACAAAGGTACAAGGCAGACTGTGATAGCTTCAAAAGAATACCGTGTTTGACTTGCCTGGGAGTCGTTTAGAGAAAGTATTGCTCGAGGCTTTTTGTGACATACTTTCTCGGTTTCAGAAGGGCTGTTAGGCACTCGAAATGACTTTAGCTCAGTTTTAAATTTGGAAGATGGTTTGGTATAATAAGGGAACTCCTGAGACGATTTGAGGTTTAGAGATCTGGATTTAGGGCTCTAGGAACTTTATCTCTTGTAAGAGGTACTTAGATTCCTATTACAATGGCTCATTACACATGGGTGTGAACACACACACTCACACTCACGCCTTCCTTTTATGCGCTAGGGAACACTGGGACTAAGAACCGCAGCACTGAAGCTTTTATGGATTTGAATGTGGTAGCAACTTAACTAGTATTTTTTTTTTTTTTTTTTAACTAACTTGACGTGGGAGTTTCCATATATTACTTTGGTCATTGTAAACTCCAAAAGCTTCTTCTGGAAAATATTTCCTGAGATCTTCTCATGGCTCTTTCACATTCCTGCTTTTCCAGCCAACTGGTAACGGAAGCCTTTATATCTTTACCTTAGGACAACAGAATTGAGTGAAACAGTCACGTTTGGATTGTCAGACTTGGTACCTTCTTTAGAGCCCAAGAGAAAACATCTTGAGTCCCATAGTAATATGTAACCCCTGGGATTATATTTGACATTATTTCCTTTTTAACCCTCTACACTGGGTAAAGGATAGAGGTCCCATGCCATTTGCTCACCTGAGTTTCTTTTCTTCTACCCATATCGTAGGCCCTTTCTTTCTTCTGTTACATTTAAAGGGGTAGTAGCGTGGCCACTTCCCTGGAGATGCATCTTCCTCTTCACTAAGTGTAGGGTTTATCCACTTTCTCATGTCTTCTTTTTATTAAAACACAATCCCTGTCCTCCAGAAGTCTCTAGTCTAAATGACAACTTCTTCAGTAGTCAACATCTCCGTGCTATATCCTAAAGGCACAGCTTCTTTGTGTGTAGAGGAATTTTCAGATGCCTTCACAGTATATTGCAAGGAATTGGAAACGGGGATGCTTTTTCACACATGGCTGAGAAGCCCTTGGGTATGTGGATGCTGATACTCCTTGAAGTTAAAACATTTCTGTGCCCAGTTTTTATGAATACTTCAGGCTCCTAAATGAACCGAAACTAGGCCCGCCTGCCTGTTCCAGGATAGCCAGGTGGCACTTTGCCCCTCACGTGGGAGAGGCGCGGGCATGGAGATGGTCCATTGCAGGCCCATGAGATGCCAGCTTCATGATAAAGCACATGAGGTCCTTTTAAAAGAAATTGTACATGAAGGAACATAGCGCGTTTCAACAAGATCCCCGAACAGAAGGCCAAAACAAAGCTCCCAAGTTGCACAGGCCCCTTCCCCTCACAGAAAAGATAGGCCATTTCTACAACAGATGGCCCTCAGCCCTGGGTGGAGCCTAAGCTTGGTGGCATCACCACCTTGAGGTTTTCCTGACAGAACCTAACGTGTTCTCGAGTTTCTTTCTTTCTTTTTTTTTTTTTTTTTTGAGACTGAGTCTTGTTCTGTCACCAGGGTGGAGTGCAGTAGCACGATCTCAGCTCACTGCAACCTCTGCCTCCCAGGTTCAAGTGATCCTCCTGTCTCAGCCTCCCCAGTAGCTGGGACTACAGATATGTGCCACCACGCCCAGCTAATTTTTTGTATTTTTAGTAGAGATGGGGTTTCACCATGTTGGCCAGGATGGTCTCGATCTCTTGACCTTGTGATCTGCCCGCCTTGGCCTCCCAAAGTGCTGGGATTACAGGCGTGAGCCACCGCACCTGGACCTCAAGTTTCTTTCTGCCTATCATTGTCTTTTTCTCTTCCGAGTTGACATCAACATACTGTGAGAAGCTTTAGGCAAAGGCAACTTTTAGCTGTTCTGAAACATATAGCAGTGTAAGACCATTTCATTTCAATGTATGCCAGGCAGCTACTTCATCTGGTAGGGCTATGAGGGGAGGGAGAACTAGTCCAATCCGGAATGAGGCAGTCGCCTCTCCTGAATTCCCCCCAGTCCCATTCCACATTTGCAACCTCGAGCAGATGGATCAGGTTGGAGAATATGAAAGACTCCATGCAGTTCATCCCCTAAAGCCCTCACTAAAAGAGCTTCCTTGGAGGGCTGGGCATTAAACTTGTAGGCAGCAGAGCCTTGTGGTTGAGGGCTTTGGAGCCAAGACCACCTGAGTTCTCTCCTGGCCCCACCACTTGCTAGATGTGTGACCCTGGCAAAGTTACCTAACTCGTCAGTTTTCTCCTCTGTGAAACTGGAATGGTGGTAATACCTGTTGAAGAGGATTGTTGTGATGATTAAAATGAGTCCATCTGCGTAGCACACCTAGAATCATGCCTGGCACCTGGCATATGCTCAACACATGTGACCCATTCATGGGAGGAGTGGTATCATCCTCATTATGTCAGCTAGAAGAGAATTGAGGGAACATCTTCTTTCTTACAGATGTCCACTCAGCAGGTTTTTTTTGTTTGTTTTTTGTTTTTTTGTTTTTAAACAGAGTTTTGCTCTTGTTGCCCAGGCTGGCATGCAGTAGCATGATCTCGGCTCACTGCAACCTCCGCCTTCTGGGTTCAGGCGATTCTCCTGCCTCGGCCTCCCGAGTAGCTGGGGCTACAGGCATGCACCACCATGCCCGGCTAATTTTGCATTTTTAGTAGAGACGGGGTTTCGCCACGTTGGCCAGGCTGGTCTTGAACTCCTGACTTCAGGTGATCCTCCCACCTCCGCCCCTCAGAGTGCCAGGATTATAGGCGTCAGCCACTGCTCCCAGCCCACTCAGCAGTTGTGAAAGGAGCCCAGATGATTCCTCGTTCTATTTCACCCTTTTCCCCTGCATCTTTAACAGCAAACTCTAAGAGAAGCCTCTGCTAAAGCTTTCATTCTCTTGATTCAGAGTGGGACCCTTTGGCCTTCATAAGTAAGAACTGTGAGCAGGTCAGGCAGGGCAGCCCTTGAAGCTGGTGCGGCCATGACCACCTTCATGTGCTCCTCAAAGATGGGCTCTCAGACTGCTTGCAACGCCATCATCCCACTCCTCTCTGAATCTTCCTCGTGCCGTCCCCCATTCCCTTTTATGGATCAAATGCTGTGGGTCAGGTTTGACAATGGACATAGGTACATGAGAAATGAGAGCTTCCCTTCACCACCCGCCAATCCCTTCTCTGCTCCCAAGAAGCGTGTGTCCCTCCAGCTGGGGTACAATGCAAGGGCATTTGGCTTGAAGCGGGGTTGGAGGTTGGACAAATACCGGGGGTTTGTGTGGATGGAGATGGCAGTATGGTCACTTCCTCCTGCCTTCTCCTTCCAGGTGCGCCCAGACACTCTTCTCACATCTGTTTCTTGCAGTAATTCCCTGTGTTTCATCTCTTCATCTAGGGAAAGAAGAAGAAGAGGAAAAGGGACAAGCAGCCGGGAGAGACCAATGGTAAGTGACAATCATCAGGTTAGAGGAAGGAGCTGTAGCCTGAGGACCACCCTTTTATGTTAGGTTTCCATCTGGGGGAGGCAGGAGAAATTCAAGGCCAGGACATTGTGGGGGAACCCTTCTTAGCTAGCCTTTTTGTTTATGCATTTTAATTAATTGCTTCATGACTGCCCTTTTAAAGCTAGTAACATCCATTGTTGCATGAAAAGCACATTGTAATTCTAGTGGAATGTGTTTTAAAATAACTGCAGAGCCTATAACTGGAGAGCAAGCGGTAGGCATGCCTATGCCGGGATTTATACAGTCTGCTTATTTTGTGTGTGCCTGAGAAGGGATGAGGAGGGGGCGGGGCTTAGGGGAGTAGGAGGGGGTGTGTGTGAGTGTTTGATATTAACTGGGCTGTTCCTGAATGTTCTGATGCATGCCTTTACAGTGGTAAATTACACCCATTTTAAATTAAGGAGGTTTGTCATTCTCTAGAAGAAATTAGAAATACTGCATAGGCAATCTCAGAGGTCCCTTGGAGAAGGCCAGGCTTTTACAAACAAACAAAACAAAAATTTTGAAGGCTTTGTATAATTTGTTCTTTTTTTTCAGAACACAGCGAATGTTTCCTAAATCCTTGCCTTTCACTTCCTCCGATTACAGGTGCTAATGTCATTTTGAGTCATTAAAATAGTTGATAAACTGTTTTTTAATTTTTCTTGCCATTATAGTTTTATTAACATTTAAACACGTATGACATTTGAACATTCTTTAAAATGACCATCAACACGGTTTCGTATGTTTCAGTAGATTTTTTTTTTCAGTTGCTTCTGTTTTTTTTTTTTAATTTAACCTTTGTTTTGTTTATTTATTTTTCCCATAACAGTTGTTTAAGCAGTGATGACAGTGATTTAGAGTTGAACTAACTGTGCAAATTGAATATGCAGTATTTCTTTAAAAGAGACTGGTTAAAAAAAAAAATGGAAGGAATTCAGTAATAAACCTCCTTAATCTAATGGCATTTTTTTCATTGCTCCCACTAAGTTTTCTCACGCAAGCATGCATCCGCAGTATGATTATTTTTTCCTTTGCTTTTTTTTATTTTAGTTTTTTCTTTCTTTTGCTTTTCTGCTCATAATTTGCAAGTCCACTAGCATTTTACTGACTGTGCCTGCTTAAATGCTGCTATGAGCTTCTAACTAACTCCTAACAGCTCATTCACACAGCCTGTTTACCTTTATCTTTTCCTCTCTTAATAATTAATGAAAATAGATTTAAAAAAAAGACGAACGTTCCAAAAGCTGCAATATCCCAGTACCACAACCCTTTTCTTTCTTTATTTCTTTCTATTTTGTTTCGTTTTGTTCTGTTTTTATTTGTAATTTTTTTCTTTTTTTAAACTATTGTATTCTGAGAAGAAAAAAGCATGTTACAAACTTAATTCCCTCCTTCGCTTTATTTTCTTCTTTAAGAAAAAAAATTGAGAGAAAAAAGGGAAAGCAGAACTAAAAGAGGAAAAATATTTAAGAGTTATTCCATGTCTAACTTCCCTTTGTCAGCTCGAACCAAATCTGAGAGACAGTCCTTAAAGAAGGGATACTGCAGCTTTATTTGCAACAGCTAATTTCAAAAGTTGAATAAGAATGTGACTTTTACTTTTTTTTTTTTAATTAAAGAAAGTTAAAAAACGAAAGTCAATATTTTGCAATTAGTAACCAGGTCATTGATTTATTCCCTTTTTTATTTTTATTTTTTTCTTATTTGTATCTTTCTCTTCCCCCCCCCCCCCCCTCTTTCTCTCTCTCTCTCTCTCCCTTTCTCCCACGTTCTCCTCCTCTGCTCGCTTCTCTCTTGAACTCATTCAGACCTGAGCGCTCCTAAGAAATGCCGAGCGCGCTTTGGCCTTGATCAACAGAATAACTGGTGCGGCCCTTGCAGGTGTGTATAGTTTTCCAGATTCGCTGTGCTGGTTTGCAGCTGGTCTATTCGATCCTCTCCCCCTTCTCTGGCCTGTTGCTTTGTAGCTCTGTGTGTGGATCTCAGGAGACACAGGGGAGTGGGACACTGCCAAGTGTATGGGTTCTATGAGGGATGTGCTTGTTCTCCTGCTGCTGCCAGCCAAAATGCCACTGTAAAACAGCATCACTCGTGCCTCCTCGGGTCAGCGACAGCAAACCTTAGCGCGCCCCCTCCCAGGGAATGTTACCTGCCAACCCCCATCCCTTCCTTGTGACAGCCCAGGATCGGAATCCTGGCCTAGGTAGAAGCAAATGACATCACCTTCTCCCCTCCTCTTCTCTCTCTCTTTTTATTTATTTATTTTTTCATTGTTGTTTTTTGGTTTCTGGTTGTTGTTTTGTGTGTGTGTGTTTTATTGTTTTATTTTATTATTTTTTTTCTTTTGGCTCATAGAAGTCCTTTCCTTTCATGTCCTTGGTGAGGGAAGATTATCAAATAGAACCAAGGTGATAGAGAAGAAAAGGAAGCTGTAGCTGAGATTTCACATCCAACTGAGCACGACCCACCATTGTGTTGTATTTTTTGTGTTTACCTTATGCTAACAGATGCAAATACTCCAAAGAAGTGTCGGGCACTGTTCGGGCTTGACCGACAGACTTTATGGTGCAAACCGTGCAGGTATATTACCACTGCGAGGCCTTTGGGAAAATCAAAGCATTCTGTCCTTCCGGTACCTTAGCGTGATAATTTATTTTGACCTCGTTCCCCATCTACTTCCCCTCTGGCATCAATGACTAATGATCCTCATTCTTCAAAATTTCCTTGCTAATTTTATGCCATTTCCTCTCCCCACTTTCTCTTTCTCTCTTTTCCCCCTGCTCTCATGAACAATATCCCTGGTGGCAGGACTGAGACCACAGCCTTAACAAACAAGGAGGGGCACTTATCTTTTTGCTTTGAAAGCCAGCATCCTGGAGCTGGTCCGGCCCTATGAATGCCTTGGTGGCCCGGGTACTGAGCACAGAGAGCCACCATTTCCAAAGGTTTGAATGAGTTAACACTTGGCAGCAATTGCATTCCCGTGCACTTAGAGTCGAGACACATGGAGAAGGGTTCTGGGGTAGGCTTCTTCTTTCCCTTTTTTCTTTTTCCTTTTTGGTTGTTTTATGTTTAAAAACCACATGTCTGTACGGAGGAGCTTGGTTAGCTGACATTGTTTTACAGTGCTGAAAAAGAAGCGTGGCATTGAACGGCATGCACCAGCTAAAGGGCTGCAAGCAGTGAGTCATGCAGTCTCAGACTGCAGCGTCCCTAGGCCTGCAGAATTAACAAAATATATGTGTGTATATATGTAGCATTGGTTCCAAAAGGAATCAGAACAGCCCAGAAGTGTCCAAATTAAGCACCCATGTTCCACCTGCAGGTCTCCATCCAGCCTGCATTCTCAGGGAAAGTGTAGGTACTTCCTTCTTGGTGGAGGGATACCGACTAGCTCCTGTCTCATTTCCTTTCTTTAATGACCACCTTTGGTTAAATGTGTTGTTTCTTTGTTCTGATACAAGCAGTCTTTGAATTTGGAATATTACAATGGTAGGTATTTCAACACCCTAAACACGCTTCCCTGTTTGTAGTGCCTCCCTCGTCACGTGTCCCTCCCCTTCATGACTTTGCCATGTGCTCCGTGTTTAGACGTTAGATCAGATGTGCATCCCATTACGTGCATGCCCACGAGTCTCCTGTGTCTCTTCCCCCCTTCTCTGATGCCAATACGAGAGATCGGTGAAGTGCCTCGTGTTGACCCCAGCACACATTAGAGGAGAGAGGGCCTGAGAGTATTCCCTGAGAGGGAGCCACACAGACAGCCCTCTGCCTGTGGAATGAGGGATTTGGGGGCGAGTTGAACACCCGGCAGGAGAGGAACTCCCCAGGCATTCTGTGAGATGGTAGTGTTCACAGCGCTGACAGATGTCCCTTTGACACAGTCCTGGGGTCTTCTCTGCACAACAGAAAGGAGTTTTGTGACAAAGTTGATGGAGGAGGTTAGGTATTTAATTAGGACTAGCCAGGGAGGGCAGGGACTCTGTTAAGCAGTGAATTTGTCAAAATTTTACTTGTACCAGGTGGGAAGATAACTAGCTGTGGAAGCCTGTTCTGAGATGCCCTGCCATGGCCAATGACTGGTTAACCACAAGGGTCACTAAAAGAGAGGGTTTCTCATGATCTGTAGAAATGTACAACTGACACTATTGTGTGCTCCTCACAATAAGGCCGGTTCAGGTACCTAGTTTGTTTATTTTATTAATGGGGTGGGTGGTGGTTTATGAATCCTTTTTTTGTTTTGGAAGCAGTTGCTGCAAGTCAGACTTTTTTTTTTCTTGAAGTTATTCCTAACATTGACCCAAACATGCATCCCCCATTTGGGCATAGCTTTAGCTTACACCTTGCTTACAGCCTGGGTGTATCTTCAGAGACCAGAATTTTATTGATATATAAAAAAAAAATCTGCCAACCGAAAACCTTTGTAGCTGCTTCCTGTTTGAGCAGCATGGTTTTCTAAAATGCATCTTGGAGGGGCTGTCAATAGGGCAGCATTTCTGCTGCAGACGCTGAGCCCCTGGTCCTAGGTGCCAGAGTTCCCCAGGTCCCTGTCTCCACCTGGTTTTCTTTCCAGTCTCAGCAGTGTTCAGACTTTCCCAGCAGATATTTTTCTTTGTTGGTGACTTTTCCATACCATGGAATGATTAGCAAATGCATTTCTGCTGTCTTTGAAGGATGCTATTCCAAAACAGGATCAGGAAGAACCCTTAGTTTCCTTTCAGAATAAACAAGAAGCTAGAAAGGGGTTTCTAAGAGGCCACTCCTCTGAATCGAGATGAAGCCTAGGTTGGGGGTGCTAAGAGTATGGGTTACCTTCCCCCTTTTACTCAACTTTTCCTTTTAACGTGGCTATGGCCACCCCTGGCTTAATGCTAAAACTCATAGGACAAAATGTACTTAAAAAAAAAAAAAAAGGAAAAAAAGAAAAGCAGTTGCCAACCGAGGCATTTTCTGACTCGTCAGAAATGTGTGTGCGTGCCAGCTGCCCTGTGCTCAGCCACCTTAGGAGACCCATTGCTCTGTCGCCATAGTCTTCATGTCCCGTGTTCCAGATACCCCTCTCATTCCTATGATCTGGAAACTTCCACGTCATGAGGGTGGGAGGGGTGAGGAAGGTACCAGAATGCTCCTAGCCAATCAGGGCTTCTAGCTTGCCACACAAGGTTTCTAGTTTCATTTGACATTTGTGGACATTTTAACAAGATTCTGTTTTGAGCCCACCAAGTTGCTTTTCCCATCTTTTCACTCTGCCCTAATATAGCATGGAATGCTGCTTGGTGCTGTTCCCTTGTCTTCCTGGTTGTTCTCCCTGCTTCTTTCTTTCTCCCTTTCCTTTCCTCTCTCTGTTTTTCTCTGTTGCTTTCTCAGTTTTGCTTATGCCCTCCCCCTCCCCACCTCCTTTCCTTCTCCCATTTTTAAAATGCATGGACATCTTAGTTTTTTGAGCATGTTTTGATCTGCAGGCTAA
Source organism: Homo sapiens (assembly GCF_000001405.40). Lineage (NCBI taxonomy): Eukaryota > Metazoa > Chordata > Mammalia > Primates > Hominidae > Homo > Homo sapiens. Next base: position 113,163,579 of record NC_000010.11, read on the forward strand.
GGTGGTTTAAAACTCTGAGAGGCTTAATTATTTATCTTGGTTTCTGGGATGGAAGCAGAACCCATAGTCTATTTACTCTCTCCCAGGGAGAAAAAGGAACCTTGCCAAATTGAGGGTGAGAGGGGGTGGTGCTTGCTCCCCTAGAGTTCCTTCTGACCCAGAAGGAACAGACAGACCCTGAGGCCACTAGCCCCCATGAATCTCAGCCTCTGGGAGGCAGGGAGGACTGAGCATGCTCCCTTACACCCCTCCCCTCCTTCCCTGCCTTCCTGCCATCTTGCTGAGTCCAAACCCCAAGCACAGAGGGGCATGATCAGACAGCTCTGGGGCACAGACTGAGAGGAGGAACTCAGCACACCCTTCCTTTCCAAGGCCAGTGACATTGTCTGACAGTGGTTGCCTTCAAGCAGGCAGCATCTTGGTTGCTTCCAGCGGCAGAAAGCTGGCCAGTGCTTACACACGTGTTTCCAGTTGGAGTGTTATCAGCCATGGTTCTGACAATATTCTAGGGTCCTTAGATGAGCACACTTCCTGTATCTGCATTATTTTTATAGCATTAGTGGGGTTGATCCCCAGGCTCACCTTTCCTTACCAAATACCATCCCATCAGACTGGGATTAATGGGAGGAGAAGCTTTGAAGTCACATGCTCAATTTCTTGAGTTGATTTTCCCCGACCTCATCCTTTGATGCTAAGCAAGAAGGGCTCTGAAATTCTCATTCCTATTTCTTACATGAATGAGTAGTGAAGAGGGGAGATGCTGGTTTTGGTGCAGGGCAAAATTAGTCTTTCTGGTTTAAACACGAATCACGATAACCCAAACCCAGGAAGGTCCATGCTGCGATTCCCTGGCACTTCTTCTTTGTAGTCACTTCGGTGACCGGCTTGTGCTGCACCCTCCATTGACTAGCCTTGGCATATTGACAAGAGCAGGATGCCCCTCCATCCATCCCATCCTCACCATCTCTCCTTCCAACCTTCTCACTACGGGGTGGGGGAGGGGAAAGCCCCAAATCTTAAAAAAAAAAAAAAAATCAAGTTTGAATCTTAATTTAATCCACAACCTGCAGGCCATACAACCAGTTATTCTCGTTCCTTTGAATCATTTTCTGTTTTTCTTATTCTTCCCCCTCCCCCACCTTTGTTTATCCTCTTCTACCTGTTTTTGGTGGTTTCTTTTTTTTGTTTCGTTTTTTGTTTTTTGTTTTTGTTTTAAGTTTATTTTGTTTTATTTTTGTTTCCCTTCCTCCCTTCTCACCTGATTCTGACCTCTCTTGATTTGGTGTGGTTCTTAACAGACAAGCCCGAAAGCTCTCTGGGCGCCAGCAGCCTCATGGTGGTGGTGTGTTAAAACCTTTAAGCCTCTTGCTAGCGCTGCCTTCAGCTATGTGGGCTCAACAGTGAGCATTTTGAGAGTTTCATATTGATACGAGGCGGCTGGGGAAGGAGCTCTGTCTTTCTCTTTTAAACACACACACACTCACACTCACACACTCACACACACACATCACTGGGGGATGGGGGTGGTAGTGGTGGGAATGGGAGTGAAGGGCCGAGGAAACTTGATGGGAAAGTGAGGGACTGTCTAAGCCAAAAGAGCTTTTCAGTTCTTCTCAATTTGGACAAAGCCACTTTTTGGCAAATAGATGCCACCATCTGCAGGTGGCCGCCTCCATGCTGCTCTCGTATATAATTTGGGCATGGTGGGGCATGGGTGTTTAGTAGGGGTTGGGGGAAGCAAGTAGAGAGTTCAGACTCTTAAATAAGTTGTTTGCCAGAGCAGGCTTAGATCTGGGCACTGTGAAGTAAGCGACCCACCCTGGGGGGGCGCCACTGTAATTGTCCTCGGACCACTGGGCGTGCCACCTCTGTGGGACATCCCTTAGGTGACCTCAGCTTGGGTGTGAGCATTAGGTAACTCTCTCCCTTGGCATCTGTGCCCTCTATTCACAGATAACTCTCTCCCCTGTTTCTAGGAGAAAAAAAAAGTGCGTTCGCTACATACAAGGTGAAGGCAGCTGCCTCAGCCCACCCTCTTCAGATGGAAGCTTACTAGATTCGCCTCCCCCCTCCCCGAACCTGCTAGGCTCCCCTCCCCGAGACGCCAAGTCACAGACTGAGCAGACCCAGCCTCTGTCGCTGTCCCTGAAGCCCGACCCCCTGGCCCACCTGTCCATGATGCCTCCGCCACCCGCCCTCCTGCTCGCTGAGGCCACCCACAAGGCCTCCGCCCTCTGTCCCAACGGGGCCCTGGACCTGCCCCCAGCCGCTTTGCAGCCTGCCGCCCCCTCCTCATCAATTGCACAGCCGTCGACTTCTTCCTTACATTCCCACAGCTCCCTGGCCGGGACCCAGCCCCAGCCGCTGTCGCTCGTCACCAAGTCTTTAGAATAGCTTTAGCGTCGTGAACCCCGCTGCTTTGTTTATGGTTTTGTTTCACTTTTCTTAATTTGCCCCCCACCCCCACCTTGAAAGGTTTTGTTTTGTACTCTCTTAATTTTGTGCCATGTGGCTACATTAGTTGATGTTTATCGAGTTCATTGGTCAATATTTGACCCATTCTTATTTCAATTTCTCCTTTTAAATATGTAGATGAGAGAAGAACCTCATGATTCTACCAAAATTTTTATCAACAGCTGTTTAAAGTCTTTGTAGCGTTTAAAAAATATATATATATACATAACTGTTATGTAGTTCGGATAGCTTAGTTTTAAAAGACTGATTAAAAAACAAAAAGAAAAAAAAAGCAATTTTGAAGCAGCCCTCCAGAAGGAGTTGGTTCTGTATTATTTGTATTAAATACGAGCTTGCGAACCAATCATTTTACATCTGGTTTTTAAACCGTAAGGGCACCATGAATGCAGTGCCGTTACTTTTTTTTTTTTTTTCTGTGTGAAACAACTCTTATTGTGATGTTACTTGTTATTGTTTAAATGTACAGAAACAAAGGGTAAAAATGTGTTAATATACCTTGTTCCATGGTGTTGTTCTTTTGGGGGGAGGGGACGCTACTCAACACTTAATAGAATCACAACGCTGTTGGGCCAGTAGTATTTATTGCTTTAGAGATTGCTTGTCGTACCTGTATGTCGTCCCTTTTTAAATATGTTTTCCTTTTTCTTGAAACTGTATAAAGTTTTTTTCCCCCTTAGCATAAGCATCTTATATATAACAACTCATTTGTACAAGGTTTTTAAGTTTATATATAAAATGTGTATATATATTTTTGTTTCCCCTTTTTGACTTTTTTTTTTCTGTATGAAACCCAGATGTCACCAAATGGACATTAATAGTTGCATTAAGGATCAGTAGCATTAACAAAAGTTGCTTTAAAAGCCATTATGTAAAACAAGACTTGAAAATGAGTGAGGGAATTTTAGCGACACTGTCTGAGCAGCAGTGGGAACCATCTTCGTTTCCCCTTTGAACTCCCAGTGGGATGCCCTACCCTGCGCCCTTAGGACCCGGACTGACCGTGTACAAAACTTTACGTGCCAAAATTCTCAGTGAATTTAGCTTTCTCCCTCTTTTTGATGCTGTAATTTTTGTTCATCATGTTTTGCTGTGATGTTACATAGGTAGATTTGTATGTAGTTTTAATGTCACCTATAACAAAATGTGTTTGGTAGCAGATTGTCCAGAAAGCATTTTAAATGAAGAGGTATAAACCCTTAAGGGCCAAAATTCTGTATATTAGATTACTCTTAAACGAAAAACCAGCTGCCGCTTTTATGTACACATATTACATACGAGTAGGCAGCAGACTTTAAAAATAAAAAAAACCTAGGCATGTTGATGTTGCAAAATGCTGTATAAAGCTGAAACCTGTTCATTCAGTGCCATTGTAGTTGACATGAAGCGATTGTAAAACTGTCTCCGATTTTTCTCTGGTTTATTAAAATGCTAACTATAACATTTTTTGTGAATACTTTGAATGTTTCCTAACAGTTGTGATGTTACTGTTCCGTTTTATGCTCTTATTCCAAGTTCATTTTTAATGGTTTGGAAGCCATTTTTGTAATGAATAAATGTTCATGCTGTACAGTATCTGTAGCATGCCGTTCTGGATTAATAAAAGCAACTTAGTATGTGCAGATAAAGGCTGGTCACTTGTTTCTGTGATTTGGATTTTTATCTCTAGGGAAACTGGACCTACCGTAATCAAGAAAAACATATTCCCACGTTGGAACTTGACCATACAGTTAGTGTGTAGGTGATGACTTAGATACCAGAACGTGGTCTTGGACTCTTTTGAGGGGTTGATCCCCTCCCCTCCATCCTCGTGGCCCATTTGGTGTATCTGGTTTGCATAATGTGTCATTTGCAATGGAGATGATCAGTATCAAAGGGGATCCCTGGTGTGTGTCTTCTGTAGTATTTCACCGTGCCATTCCCAGTAGTTTGTTGCTGAAAGCAAAGCACAGTTACAGAGCAAATGTCACTTTTTTGGGGGCTATAAACCAGTTTCTCTGAAATATCCTACTCATCCTCTCACAGTAGCAAGCAGAAAGAATTTAATTCTGGTGAATGAGACTTAGTCCACCAAGAGTGCACTTAAGAAACCACATCCTTAGCAGTTAAGGATCATGGGTGTGAAAGCATCCTAACCTCCAAGAGTTGCATCCTGGGAGAGATGCAAGGGTATCAAACTGCCCTTTCTCTAGCAGTGAGCGATTATTGAGTAAGCAGCTTTTTAGAAAATTGGATTAAGGTGATGCACTGAAAGGTGTGTGTGGAAGGGCCTTGCTGTATGTGGGATCCAAGTGTTCTGGCTGTACCCTGGTAAGAGCCCAAGTTCATCACCATCACTGAGCAGGGGCCATGATACAGATCTTCCCTAAGGTTTCCCCTGGATTTCATTTCTCTTGCTGACTAGATGGATGGATGGACACATTGTTCCATTTATCTAGGACATTTATACCTTCAAAGGATGACGATTTCAATGGGCATGGAACTGTTCGTGTTGCCGTTGTGGTTTCTTAAGGTGACCACAGTATCGCATCAAGGACTTAAGAGCCCCTCGGAAACTGCTTTGCTCAAGCAAGTTTTTCTTCTGTAAAATCTCGGCATTTTGTTTTTGCTTTGCTTTGTATTCCCAGGGAGGAGTGTTTCTGGTTGTCCTTCCTCATTTTATTTTGCACACTGGGCCGAGTGACCTTTGAAAACACAAATAAGAACAGTATCTGTTATTCGTGGCAGTGTGCCAAGCTGTTTATGTGCATTTTCTCATTTAATCCTAACACTACCACCTAAGGCAGACATTCTTCTCCTCCGCCACCCTCTGCTTCATTTTCTGAAAATGGATTTAGAAACTGAGGGTTTTAGGTGCCTTGTCTAAGGCCACACAGGAGGTGGTGGGGCTGGGATTTAAATTCAGATCTGACTCCGGGCCCCTGCTCTTAAATAAAGACAGCCCTTCCCCTCCAAAACAGAAGTGAGGGAACAGTCCTTTCAGAGGATTTCCTTGATTCCCCCACCTCCTCTGCCTCACACACTCGCTCACTCCCTTTCCTCTCTGGCTGTACTACAGAGTTAAGCTTACCTAAAAGCATTTTTGCTCTTCCTGCCTGGAAAACAACCCCTCATGCTTCAGGTCTTGACGAAGACGTCCCTTTGTTGGGGGAATTGGTCCGGAGCCCCTGAGGGTTGCCTGTCTCCCTCCTGTGTGGTCTTTCAGGCCTCTGTCTTCTAGTCTCCTTTGAAAGTGGCTGTCGTCTGCTTAGGTCATTCCAGCCTCACCGTGTTTCTCAACCTCAGCACTCGTGACATTTTGGGCCAGATAATTGTTAGTTGTGGGGGTCTGACCTCTGCACTGTAGGATGTTATCAACACCCCTGGCCTCCACCCACTAGATAACCTGTCAGCGCTTGCCCCACCGCCAGTCATGACAGCCAGAAACGTCTCCAGACATCGCCAGATGTCCCCTGGGGGGCAAAATCACCCTCAGTTGAAAACCATTTCTCTAGAGAGCCCTCCAGGATGACAGGATTGTGGCTTTCGTGCCACTGCTGTATGCTAGGGTCTTGGTTTAGTGCGGGGCACACAGTGGGGTGCTTGATATACATTTTTTGAAGGAAAGAAGGAATGAGGTTGGCCAACTCAACACTCGTATTGTAGGAAGCAGCAAAATGGAAACTTTCCATGAGCCTTCCAAATTTTGTGTTCTCACAACTTTCAGGGTGGTGGTGACCTTAATCCTTTCGGCCATGCTGGGATGTAACCCACTGCCCTTGTTACAAAGGCCAGAAAAAGGGCAGGGGGGTCAGTCCCTCTGCTGTCAGCCAGCCCGAGTGCCGATCTCTATAAAAATCAAAATGGGGGTCACCAAGTCACACGCTTGCCTGCCTTACAACACCTGGTTGGTACTTGGAGGATCCTTCCACCCAAGATGGAACTTCCTTTCCCCCAGGCCTGTGTTCTCAGCAGCCCAAGCTCTAGTCTTCCAAATGCCCAGCCAAGTCTTTGCCCTTCGGCACTTCCTCTCTCTGTCTGATTTCTTCTTACCTCAAGAGTTTCTTTTCAAACTCAGCATCTTCTAATTTCATCTGTAAGAGTGGATCTGCGGGTTTTTTTGTTACTAAGAGACCCTGAAACAACGTCTGGGAAACGATAACTCTCACTTTCCCAGCCACATCACTTTCGGCCTCTTACGGGGCTTAGCCAAAGATGTTTGCATATTAGTAGGGCGTATGTTTCCTGTGGCTGCCGTAATGAATCGCCACAAATGTGGTGGTTTAAAACAACAGAAATTTGCTCTTGCACAGCCTTGCAAACCAGAAGTCTGAAATCAAAGTGGTGGCAGGGCCGAGCTTCCTCCAAGGCTCTGGAGGCTAATCTGTTCCGTGTCTGTTTCAGCTTCCAGTGGCTGCCTGTAATCCTTGGCACTCCGTGGATTGAAGCCACATCACTCCAATCTCTGCTTCCATCTTCACATCGCTTTCTCCTCTTGTCTGTCCCCAGACACCTTCTGCCTCTCTCTTACAAGGATACATGTTTTTGTATTTTGGGCCTACCTAGATACTCCTGGATAAATATCCCTTCTCTTCAGATCTTTCACTTAATCACATATTTTGCTATATAAAGCAATACATGTTTTAACAGGATTTGCATATGGACATATATTTTGGGGGGGCCACCATTCAGCCCACTACAGAATCATTCTCCAACTGCTGAGTCTCAGCACAGAACCCTTCAGAATGGGCAGTTGTTCGTTCCACTATTGGTGGTGGTCTTGGATAGGCCCATGTGGAAAGCAATTTTTACAGTACATGGCATTTCATTTCAGATATTAAAAGGTTCGTTGTTTTTTTTTTTTCCTGATGATGTGGATTCACATAGGGTCAGAGAGCCTTGGACCTGGATGCAGGATTTCGAGAAAGTAAGTAGCTTGGAGCAGTGGAGTGAATCTGAGCTTGGAGGATCCCACATCTGACTCTCTCGCCGTGTGTCCTTGGGTAATTCCTTCATCTCTCTGAGTCTTTGTTTCTTCACCTAACAAGTGATGATACTGGTGTTCATCTGGACAGATTTGTATGAGGGCTAAGATGCAAAGTTGCTAGACTAGTAGGTCATAGTGTTTATTATTAATATAAAAGCCAAAGGCCAGTCTTCTATTTGTTTTCATTATTTCTTTTTTTTTTTTTTTTTTTTTTTGAGACGGAGTCTCATTCTGTCACCCAGGCTGGAGAGTGCATGGAGTGCAGTGGCACAATCTTGGCTCACTGTAATCTTCTCCTTCCAAGTTCAAATGATTCTCCTGCCTCAGCCTCCTGAGTAGCTAGGACTACAGGCGTGTGCTACCACGCCCGGCCAATTTTTGTATTTTTAGTAGAGACGGGGTTTCACCACGTTGGCCGGGCTGGTCTTGAACTCCTGACCTCAGGTGATCTGCCCACCTCGGCCTCCCAAAGTGCTGGGATTATTGTTTTCATTATTTCTCTTTGGGATTCTGCTGGTTAGTCCAGCTCTTCACACCCAAGTAAGAGAATCACAAAGATCTAGATGCAGAAGACACATCTACATGACCCAGGGACAGACATTGTGACTCATCCACACTCATTCATTTTACCTGCAACTTAATGGCCTTAGGAAAATGACTTCTAGTCTCTGGGGAGCCACAGCCCTGTCTGGGTTGCTTTTTGTGATATAGAAATGCGGCATAGAAACGTGTTTTCAATTAAAGCCCTTTGCAAAGAAATTGAGGAGTAGCCTAAAAGCCTCTCGTGAACGGTGCCTGAGGCAAATGTTGCAAACCAGAGCTGGGAATCACGAATGAACAGGGCCACAGATTGGGTTTTCGAAAGGATTCCTATCTGAGGTTGGCTTCTTTGTCTCCCATTCCATATCTGGTTCCGCACTCCCAGGCACCTGGCCATCGGAGAGGCCTGCCGTGAACTCTGGCCTGTGTCCGATGGGCAACACTGGTGAGTTCTGGCTCTGAAGCTGGGTTTTTAAAAGCTAGTACCTCGTGGATACACTTGATGGGAGATGTAAGCACTTTCATTCATTCAGTGACTATTTCTTGGGCACCTGCTTACACCAGGGACTGTTCTAGGAACTGGCATGTAAGTCTGGGTGAAGCCAGCTTGGTCTCCAGTTTTCCTGGGTTTATTTCTGCACCATCTTATAGGCTGGAGTTTTTAAGGAAAGGGAACACCAACATTCCTGAGGCCTGGACAAGCCGCTCACCTAGAAAGACATTTTATGTAAGGATAATAACAATAGAAATTGCTAAAAACTCGACTTGCATTTCTCTTTTAATACTCATGGGGATGGAAATTGCTTTTATGTTCATTTTACAGATGTAGAAAGTGACACTAAGAGGAGTTAAGTTGCTTCCCCAAAAACACATATCTGGGAAGCAAAGAGCTTAAGATTTGAACCCAGGCAGCCTGACTTAGGAGCCTGCATAGCTAAATACCATGTTATATTTCTTATTATAAAGATGGCTCATCGGGGTAACTAGGGAGAGGTGGAGGGTAGAGCCAATTTGATCCACGGCCTTGTGAGAGGGTATTGCTATGGGACCACCAGGCATTCTTTCTCCCTGTCAGTGCACAGAAGTTTTCTTACTCTGGTATCTGTGCATGTAATAATAATAACAACAGTTGATAATTATATAAATCAAGCATTTTGGACCCAGCACTAAAAGCTATATGATCCTGGAACTGGAAGAAAATTAGAAGTATATATTCTAATTTGTATATACATATTATATAGTGTTTTTCAGATTGTGGCTTGCAATGTATCCATAGGTCAGGAGATAGATTTTGTGGAATAAGACCAATATTTTTAAAAAATAAGATTGAATGGGCCGGGTGCAGTGGCTCATGTCTATAATCCCAGCACTTTGGGAGGCCAAGCTGAGTGGATCACTTGAGGTCAGGAGTTGAAGACCAGCCTGGCCAACATGGTAAAACCCCATATCTACTAAAAATGTAAAAATTTAGCTGGGCATTGTGGCGAATGCCTGTAGTCCCAGCTACTTGGGAGCCTGAGGCACAAGAATCGCTTGAATCTGGAAGGTGGAGGTTGCAGTGAGCCGAGATCACAACACTGCACTCCAGCCTGGGCAACATCGCAAGACTCCATCTCCAAAAAAAAAAAAAAAAGAAAGATGGAATGAAATAGAAAATATGGAAGACAGAATATATTGCTGTATGTGTGTACTGTATTTTGTAAAATCTTTCTTACTGTGGTTAGGGTAAGAAAGTTTAGAAGCCAAGTCTGAACATTAATATTAGCTATCATATATTGAATATAATAGTTTCAATATATAAAATGCAGTATGCACGGTGTATAAAATTCAGTTAATGGACTAAAGTTTATTGATGGGCATTTATTAAGTGTTACACCAGTATTTCCCAAAACGGGCTCTATGGGGCACTTAAACCCCATGACGTCTTCTTGGGCAAATCTGTTTGGGTAACATCTCATACTTTGCCTCCTCTTAGAGTTTCAGAATGCTCATTCATTTATAAGCCTTTATGAAAGTCTGCCAAAAAGGACCCTCTTTCACTTTACCTATCATGTTTCCCAAATGTAATTGACCATAGAAAACTTTTTTGAGAGGGTAATACTTATTAATTTCCTTCTGAATTAATGTTCCTTGGAGTGCATCTTCAGAAATATAATGCTTTACATGTATATTAGATGTCTTAATTCTCTTAACAACAATATGTTGTAGTATTATTCCCAATTTTCAGGTTATAAAACTGGGGTGTAAGTTAAATAGCTGCCATTTATTAAATACTAATTATATGCCAAGTGTATTTGTCAGCTATTTCTGCAATAATGCTGTTAATACATGATCTCAAAACTCAGTTGCTTACAAGAGCAAGCATTTCTTCTCTTGCCATTTGGTCTGTGAATCGGCTGTGACTCTCATGCGATTAGCTGAGCTTGGTACCAGGCTAAGTTGGGTTCAGGTCTGTTGAACACGTGTCTTTTTCAGAGACTAGTGGCTACCCAGGGCATGTCCCTATAGTTACGGCAGAAACATATGCGTTTTCTTAAGGACTCAGTTTGAAACTGGCACATGGTCAATTCCAACCACATTCCATTGGCCAAAACATGGCCCAGCTGCACATCAATAGGTTGGAAAAATATACTCTGCCGATATTTAAAGGAACAATACAATCAAATGGCAAAGGACATGGTTGTATAATTCTAGTATAGGGAAGAATAACTGGGCACAAAAATAATACAATTTGCCAAGGATGGCATGAATCACTTATTAGCTCCTTTAATTTGTATAAGAATTGGTTGAGGTAGGTATAGTTATTGCCCCCCTTTTATACACAAGTAAACTGAGGCTGAGAGATTTCAACCTTCTTGCACTGGCAAGAGCCTCCAATGGAATGTTGAATAGGAGTGGTGATAACGGCTTCCTTGACTTTTTTCTGAACTCAGAGAAAAATCATTCATTGTTTTTCCATTAAGTATAGTGTTAGCTGTATGTTTTTGTAGATACATTTTACCAAGTTAGGAAAATTCCTTTTTCCAGGATCTTGGCTCACTATAACCTCTGCCTCCTGGGTTCAAGGAATTCTCCTGCCTCAGCCTCCCAAGTAGCTGGGCTTACAGGTGCCTGCCACCACACCCAGCTAATTTTTGTATTTTTAGTAGAGATGGAGTTTCACCATGTTGGCCAGGCTGGTCTCGAACTCCTGACCTCAAGTGATCTGCCTGCTTCAGCCTCCCAAAGTGCTGGGATTACAGGCGTGAGCCACTGCGTCCAGCCTGAAAAATTCTTTTCTAGCTTTAGTTTGCTGAAAGTATCTACCATCAGCTGATCTTAAAAGTGAAAAAGGCAAGCCACGGTCTAGAAGAAAATGTTTGTAATACATTCATCTGACAAAGGACTAATACCGAGAGATAAAAAGCATTCCTAAAAATCAAAAGAAAAGATCGCTCAACCAATTAAAAATGGGCAAAAAGCAAAGCAAAACTGAAAAACAGAACTAGGTAATTCACAAAAGGGAATTACCAAAACATATCCAAATGGGATATGTTTTACCTTAGTAGATGAACACAGCAGCTTCATTCATAATGGCCAAAAACTGGACATGAGCTGCCTGCCCATTAGTGGTAGAAAGGATGAATAAATTGTGGTTGTCGTACAATAGATGAGTAGTTCTCATCCAGTGCCCTCAGGATTCCTCTGGATTTTTCTCATAGATTATATATGCTCCATTCTGCTGAAATGATGAAGCTGATATTGGATGAATAAGGGAAACAAAAGGCCTCTAGGTTGTGTGTGTCACATAGAACCAGTAACTAAACACGGGAGCTATGACTGCCATGTGGTCTATCAAGTGGGGCCCAAGCAGGAAGGCACCATGGCTAAGTCATGAAACAAGCCTTTTGAAAAAAAAGATTTAATGCCCCGTATTCACTTGATTTATGGAATTATGAAGGATTCAGGTTAAGCAATGTTAACTTCCTCTGGATTCTAAAGGTAGTGCTGGTTGCTTCTTAAAATAAAACCAAACAAGCTATGTGGTGCCCACCCCTCACCCACATTCCTGTTAGCTTTATGAGACCAACTATGGCAAGAAATTCTCAGTGAAAAATGTAGATGCAATGGGGCTTCTGGAATGGCCTCTAAGAATAAATAATAATAAAACAGATTAAATTCCTATTAATAACTGTTTCAGATAACACTCTGCTAGAAATTGCCCTTGTGTCTATTTGCTTTACAGGGTGCAAGGGTTGACGGGAGGGTAGAAATAAAGAATCTTGGGCATGTTACTGAGATTCGAGCTTGTTTCTGGTGTCAGGATATGGAGGGAACTCACACAGGTTCTGGGGCTCCTTGTTTAGTCCCCCTCCCCCGGGGCCTCAGAATGCCCAAGGAGGAGGTGCGGATACATCTAAGTCTTATCTTGCTGAGTAGAAATTCCAGGAGGCCTTTGTAGAAAAAAGCATGTGCTCTCAATAGAATCTGACCGCCTAGTCCTTAAGAGCTGGAAAGAAGGACCAGAGGAAACTGAAGCCCAGAGAGGGGGTCCCGGGAGTGTCTTGCCTGAAGCCACACAGCTGGGTGCTGGCTGGATCTCGGCTAGATGCCATGATTCCTTGTAATCTAGATCAGGGATCTTTCTCATAACTACCTGTTGCTTCAAATTCTCTACTGGCTCGCTTTGATGTGGGGAATGCTAACCCTGCTGCCAGCTGTAAGACTTGTTCCCGATCCTGGGTGATTTTCAGGTTTGGAGATGCCAATGCAAAATGAAGGGCTTGAGTGTGAAGCTCCTGGAAATCCAGCCACCACCTGCTAGCGGTGCCTCCGATGTGCCAGGCACCATACGTGGCTCCCAGGCATCTGCGGCAGCATGCATTATTTTATTTGTTCTTCACCCAAATACTGTGATGTAAGTCTTCCTACTCCCGTTGTCAGGGGAAGCAGTGAAGTGACGTGTTCAGGATGGGTCAGCCAAAAAGTGGCAGATCTGGGATTAAAATTAGGCGTGTGACTACAGAGTTGTTTTTTTTCCCCACTTACCCTATGAATAAGAATCTTAAGAAGAAACTGAGTCCCCAACATTTCTCGGAATCTTGGGAAACTCCATAAGGGTTAGGCTAGACAGGGACATTTGTCTGCTTGGTAGAAACAGAGCTGTCCCACTGGGAACCTAATGTCCTGTGGCTTCCACATCCTGGGTTCCGGGGCTGTGTGGAGGAAGATGCAAGTGGCCAGCCACCAGGCTAAGGGGGCCTGGCTGCTTCTCCTTCCCCTGGTCCCAGGAACTGTGGCCTCACCCAGCAGCCCAGCTGTAGTGGGCAATGGGGCAAGATCACCACCCAGGCCAGCATTGGTGCAAACTGCGATGGCTGACCCCTAAGGCCAGGTGGGTGCAGGATGGACGTCCATAATTACCAGGGCCCCATATTTGGGGGTTCCTGTTGGCAGCCCCCTGAGGTAATGCTTAGAAGACTCTCTTGGTGCCTCAAGGCCAGTGTAGGGCATTGGAGGTGGAGGCTCGGCCTTTGGAGTGGACAGCCTGGCCCTCTGCAAGGCTGTCTCTGTTTTCCTCAGGAAGGGGCTCTGCCCACCACACGGCATCCTCCCACCCGGCCCTCCCCTCCGCCCCCTCCACCTTATATAATGGCACATTATACAACATCGCAAAGCAGGTGGTATTTTTAAAGACAGCAAGTGAGCATTTTTTTTGGCCTAAATTTGGGAATGAAACAGATGGATTTTTAAGACTCTAGGCTTTTCCTATGAATAGTAACCGTTGTTCTCCTCTGCTTTTAAACACCAGTTTCAAGACCACCTCCAGCAACCAATCAGCACTCTGTTATTTAATTATAACAAAATTCTTAGCCCTGTCTGCTGCTGCTCGGACAAGTGGGGGGCACTGGATCAATTTCTGGAGCCAGACAGACTTGCCAACAACAATTTTCCTTTTCCCAAGGGGCCTCGGAGGCCTGGAGTGGGTCCCAGGTTCCTCCTCTCCAGCCTGCTCAATGTGGGCTCCCTGACAGCGAGTTTGAAAGGGTTATAGAGAGGCAGATAAAGGCCGCGCTTGTTGCAGCCTTCCCTGACAGGGCCGACCCCCACGCCAGTGAGCTCATGCCTGCCTCATTATGGCTGGTGCCAGATTTTTTCCATTAACAGGTAATTGAGTAGAAACTAAAATAAGCGAAGTTTGTTTCATCCCTTGGATTTTCTTGCTGGGATTTGAAAGAAAAACACTTTAGCATCGTTAGTGGAGGAGTGTCCTTGAAAACGTATTTATGTTTTCCAAGTGATTTGTCGCTTGGTAGGTGTAATTAGCCTGTCCCCGGCCTCTCCCTTCTTGTTTTTATTCTTTAAGGGCCACAGTGTTCAGCGAATAGGAGCTGGTTTCCTGGGCCCTTCGCTGTCAGACACCCTGTTTTAAGAGTGGATAGGTTAGGTATGCTCGCCGTAGATAACTAGCTTTTCTCTGCTCGCTCTTTCGCTCAAGTGCACACGCACCTGGAGAATCAGCAGGGGCCTGTGGGTCCCGCAGCCTCAGGTGCTACCTTTGAGGCCCTGCTCGCCTCTCCTGGATGGTGCCTGCCTCCCTCCACCTTTGCACCAGGTAGATGGCTGAGGGGCAGAGGGGCTTTCTCTCACTGTATCTCTCTGCAGCTATCTTCCTGTGTGCCCAGTCCCAGGTTTTAATTTCACAGCTTCTTCTTCCAGGAGCAGATGCTGAGGACTGACGGCGCCTGTCTCAGCTCTGGCTTGTGTTCCATTTCATGGAGATTCCCCGTCACTGCCCAGCCTCAAATTCCCCATGAAGTCCGGAGCTTCAGATGAATTTGTGAGAAAGAGGGAGAGAAGGAGGGAGATGGGGCAGGCGTGGGGGCATGGTCTCCACACTTGGGAGTTTTCATTTCACCTGGAGCACCCGAGCATCTTGTTTCCATCGTGAACCCCACTGAGATTCTGGTAAGTGCTCATGACTGTCACCCCAAAGAAAATGTAGATTCTTGGACACAAACAGCATGCCGCATATGTTTTCCGTCATTTCATGAGCTCCAGGGTAAGAATTACTGCACTAGCCATGCAGGGCAAATGAATCAATGTCATTAAAGCAAGTTGTTTCCCCCCCGACCCCCCACCCTCAGAATGCTCCACTCTTTCACACACCTGATAGAGAGGTCTTTCTAAGGGAAAGAAGCCTCCAGAAATTTGCGACTTTCTGGTGAACAAAAACTTAGTTCATCTGACTGCATTCATTTAGTATGAAACCCATGATAATTATTGTTACTGAATATTCATATGTCCCTGCTTTGTGCCCCACAGGGTGCCTTTACAACGAGGATAAGATCCTTGCTGGCCTAAAGAGAACATTCCAGTAGTGGGGCTTACGGACAGACAATAAGGATCACACAAAAGGGCCTAGATTTCAGTAAATGCCTCAGGGAGGTAAACACCTGAGCAGTAACCTCCAGGGGTCAAGGAAGGCCTCTCAAGGAGATGCTATCTTACCTGAGGCCTGAAACATGAGTTTTCTCTCTCTGCTCAAAGTTAGGGTCCTGAAGCCATCCCCCTTAGACCCTCACATCACAGTGCTCAGGCCTTTAAACACGTCTCATTGGATCCTCATGGCCTCCAAAGCTTTGGTAGAGACCCCATTTCACAGATGTGGATACTGAGGCCTGGAGCCACCTGTCTGAGGCATGGGAGTAAGGAACCAGAACTGGAGCTGGGCCTCTCAGATCCCCAAGCCTCTGTTCTTCCTTTTTTAAAAAAATAGCTCTACGGAAGTATAATTTAGATACCAGAAAACTCATTTGTTTGAAGCGTACAATTCAATGACTTTTAGGAAATTTACAGAGTTGTGCAACCATCACCACAATTCAAGTTTAGAACATTTTCATCACCCCAAAACCTCCGTTTTGCTCAGCTGTAGTCACTCCCTGTTCCCACGCCCAGCCCCAGGCAGCTGCTAATCTACTTCCCTCCTCTGCGGATTTGGCTTTTTGCACATTGCATGTACATGGAATCATACGACACATGGTCTTTTGTGTCTGGCTTCTTTTACTCAGCACAGTGTCTCAAACATTTTTTCATTATCATCCACTCCTCCCCCAAGGAGAAAAATTAAATGTAATTTAAATTCTCCTTAAAGACAGAAATTAAATACCAAGAAACATGAGTTTGTCCGGTAGGCTTGAGCTTTGGAGGGCTACAAACCACTGTAGTATCTAAGGAGATATATATATATATATATATATATATACACACACATATATATATATATATATTTTTATATATATAAATATATTTTGGTCTCTAAGAACCAATTTTGTCCCCCTTAGGGGAAAAAACCATCTCCCTTGAGAATATTTTTGAGGTTCATTCACTTGTAGTGTGTATCATCAGTAGTGCTGTCCTTTTGGTGGTTGTAGAGTGTTTCATTGTGTGGATCTGCTGTGTTTTGTTTATGCATTCACCAGCTAACGGACCTTACTTTGGCTATTAAACACCTGGCCCTTTAAACACCATGCTGAAGCATGCAGCCCACTCCCCATTTTAGGAAGAGCTCTTGGGCACCTCAGCACCACTCCTGGGGAATGGGATCATCCTCAGTGCAGTGTCCTCATCTGTAAATGGGAGGTGATCATCCCTAGGCTGCAGGGCTGCAGGGACGATGATCTGAAATAGTATCTGCTTGGTGTCGCTTAGTAGATGACCACAGCTCAGTTCAAGTTCAAGGCCTTCTGTACCTCCTGCCCCTTTCCATGGGAGAAGGTGCCCCCTTTGAAATTTGCCCCACTCAGCTTCCATCCATGTCTCCATGGATTATGTAGTGTCTGACTTTATTATTTTCCCCTTTTTTTCTGGTGTTATTCAGATCAATCCCAACATGGCTTCTTAACAGGAATCTCAAATATTTCTCTCCTTTGGTGCTTGTCTTCTGGTCTTCGTGATTGGCACATTTCCAGGGACCAGTTGATTTTATCTGCTGCTAAAACACGGGACCTCTTGTGGGGTAGGGGTGCATGTTGATGCTGCAGTCAAAAGAGCACTGGACAGAGTCCAGAGACTGTGCTTCAGACCCAGCAGGGCTGAGTGGCCTGGGCCGAACCCCAGAGGTATTTTGAATTAACTTCTCCTTTCTGTAAAAGGCATCCTCTTTACATACTCTGGCCTCACAAAATTATAAACAGCAAATGAGAAATCAGCTTGGGAAGTGCCTTAACCTGGCAAGGCCCACGGGTAAAGAAAGAAGCTGCTGGAGTCCCATCGGGGGGTCCTGCCCAGTGATGCTTTCCTGTCTGCTACGGGGGACCGGGGGTGTTGGTGGGGTGTGCTTATGGCGCCCCTGCGCAGCTCCCTGGCCTGCCACAGTGCCCAGGGCTTTGGCTCCTGCTGCTTCCCTGTAAGATGTGAAATAACTCAAAGCAGATATTGAGCCCAGTGTGTCAGGGCAGGAGAGAAACTTCAGAGCTGGCCAGAGGGAGCCTTGCCCTGAAGGGAGTGTCCTCCTGGGAGGGCCTGGGGATGCCCAGTCGGGGGAGGGGCAGCAGGCAGTTCCCTTGCACACTGTAGTTTTCATCCCACTCCAGCCTCCCCCTCCTCACCCCCCTGCCATTTTTCTATTTCTTTATTTCTTTTCTTTAATTTTTTTTTTTTTTTTTTGATACAAGAGTCTCACTCTGTCACCCAGGCTGGAGTCCAGTGGCACAATTTCGGCTCACTGCAACCTCCATAACCTGGGTTCAAGCAATTCTCCTAACCCAGCCCCCCGAGTAGCTGGGACTACAGGCACGCACCATCACATCTGGCTAATTTTTGTATTTTTAGTAGAGACAGGGTTTCACCATGTTGGCCAGGCTGGTCTCGAACTCCTGACCTCAAGTGATCCACCTGCTTTGGTCTCCCAAACCATTTTTGTATTTCCATTGATCAGACCTGCATGGTAGGGAACCAGCTGGATTTGTGATCTGAGCATAGGGGTTAGGAGAGGGAACTCTGGATTCAGACTGCCTGAGTTTGAATTTCAGATGAGTAGCTTTTTGGCTTGGACCAAGTTAAGGAACTTCTCAAAGTCTTGGTGTTCTCTGCTGTAAGAGGGGACAAAGGCACCACCTACTTCTAGGAGGCTCAGATGAGGCCACAGTGCTTAGGCCCGAGGTTAACACTTCAGCCTGATGAGCTATTATTACTATTTCTGTTGCCTTGAGTTCTCTGGGGCAGGAGAGAAGAGGACCCTGATCAAGAGCAGCCTTCTGGGAGGGAGGAGGCAGTTGCCTGCATGATGTGTTTTGGAAAACCACCAGACTCAAATTTGCAGATCACTCCCCTGGCCTGAGATCCCCTGCAAGATTCATTCAGTGTGGCCCTGAAGGCCTTTCAGCCTCTCTGCACCCCTGTTCAAAGGCAGTTGTCCCATGGGAGGATAGCTGCAGCCTTTTCAGCCTTCACAGCTGAGTCCCAGAGACAGGGGCCCTAAGAGAATACAGGTGGGTGCAAAGGGAGATAGGGTCCCCACATCCAGGACCTCATCCCTCCTGGCCCCAATCCCTGAGCCCAGCATGGCCTTCAGGATCAACTATTTGGCCCTGAATTATTCTCATTAAAGGCAGATATTGGAGCAGATTGTTCATCAAGGGTCTTGGAGTTGAAAATGATATTTTTTCCTAATAAGATATTTTTGTTTAGAGAAAGAGAGGAAAAAATAGGTTGAATGAATGAACACAGTCACACATGCATGAATATCGGGTCAAGCAGCTCAGAGTCTGTCTAAGCTTCGTACTTGCATATAGTTTGTCTTCAGAGCAACATGCCATTCCATTTCTTCTTCCTTTGTCACCATGGTGACTTGTTGCAGAGGGAAAGTGGCTTGGTCCAGTGACCGAGGAGCTGGCCCAGATCACCCTCCAACTAGTGTACCAGTAAGTATTTAACAACTAGCACTTAGGGGAAAAAGTTCTGATTTGTGGCATTTGCCAGTTTCTGTGGTGTAAATACTCCACTGTGGCTCTCTGTGTGACATTACAGTACGTGCAGTTGGGAAGAGATGCTCAGAAACACACTATCCTCCAGTATCTCTGCCAGTATAGACACAGTAATCGTATAAAACCTCGGGCATAGAGAATAGTAAAGTTATTACGGAGAGATGAGTTTTGAATATTCCTTTTGCTGTATTTATTTGTTAAGTTTATATAAGTTAATTTTAATTTTTAAATTTTTATTTATTTATTTTTGAGACACAGTTTCATTCTGTTGCCCAGGTTGGAGTACAGTGGCACAACCTCCGCCTCCTGGGTTCAAGTGATTCTCCTGCCTCAGCCTCCCAGGTAGCTGGGATTACATGCGCGTGCCACCACGCCCAACTAATTTTTGCATTATTAGTAGAGATGGGGTTTCACCATGTTGGCCAGGCTGGTCTCGAACTCCTGACATCAAGTGATCACCCGCCTCAGCCTCCCAAAGTACTGGGATTATAGGTGTGAGGCACCACTGCACCCGGCCTCATAAGTTAACTTTTTTAAAGCTGGCTTGCAAAAAAATTACTGAAAAGTTAGCCATCAGCTCTCAAAAGCCAGTATGCGCTGGATCTGGCATGCTACTGCCCCCAACTCTTGGGCTTGTGGGAGCCCGTGGAGACTCTGCAGAGGAGCTCTAGAGCCTTCCCTTTGCCAGTCTCTGGAACGTTCCATTTAGAGGACAGCCCCTCTGCATGTCCCGCCAGGATGACTGCCCTTGTTGACAGTCCTGAGTCTGCAGGATAAATGGAGCTTAGCTCACCTACGAACGCAGCCTTTGCCATGAACTGCTTCCTCCAAAAATGTGGCGGCTTGTCCTATCTGAGTCTGGACTTCTTCAGAAAGAAGACTCAAAGATACTCACTTTTCAGCCTATTCACGACGTGAGGAAATTTTAGCAACCCTCACAAAGGGAGATTCATGTGAAAGGAAAAGTGCTCAGAGGTCCAAAGAAATCAGACTGGGAATCCCACTTTTTTTCAGGGATATTGAAGAGAAGTTCCAGGGGCCAACTCTATTCTCCTGACGTCCCGTCAGGAGAGCAGGGCATTGTGGGTAACCCTCTTGCAGACAAGAAGCAAGGTCAGGGCCCAGGCCCCATGCAGGCTTCGGGCCGGCCTTGCTCCTTGTGCACAGTGCTGGGCCTGGCCATGAGAGATGCCGGCGGGGAGCCCAGGCTTTCAGGAACCTCTCCCCCTGCCTCACCCATGACTCCCCAGGCTTCTGCCGCCCATTGGAGCATTATCCTGGAAGAAAGCCACGCGGGCTGAATGAGCGGCATCTGCTTTCTGAAGGAGCCGCTCTGCTGCCCCGGAGGCTGCCTGGCTCCTGGCCCTGGATCATTGTGGAAGGACAAAGCTGACACACACAACAATCCCACGACAATCTCCTCTGGGCCCTTTCTTCTTTATTATTGTTATGATTACCTTTCAAACACTCCAGCTCCTTGGGCTCGTTATCTCTGGTGAGGCCTTTGGCCAAAGTGTGTGGGGGCCACCTCTCCCTCCTTTGCACCCCCTCACCCTCATGGGCCCGGCTTCACTGCTGTCTCTTTGACAAAATACATAAAACTGATACTGATCGGTTAACATACATGACATCTTTAAACTTTAATCCATTTTCCCTCTCTCAACGCGGCGGGCCGGCCTCTGTAGAGGTGTCTGTCCATTGTTCCCTGTCAAAGCCTTCTTGAGTGGGTTTCCCACTGAGACACTTTTGTGTGAGTCAAATCAAGATGATAGGTAGCGGAGAAGAAAAAGCAGAGACGAGAAGGTTAGCCCCTCATTTTAGACTTTAAGAAAAATCTGCCAGCAGGTGCCAGTCGGAGTGGGTAACGCACATGAAAGGCCAAGTCCAAGCTGGGTCGCCTGTGTCACAAGAGGAGTTTTTCAGGGAGAAGCACACAAAACACACATTGTCGTGGTCGCACACAGAGACATAAATTTAGGAACATGCTCACCCTTCGCCTGAACATAGTTAGCTCTGATAATGAGGAACAATGAGCCGGAATGAAGTCTCCTGGATCGAGTAGCAAGAACATTGACACTTGCTTATGCTCCCATAAAAGTGGCTTCCCTCCTCTTCCTCCTGCCATCCCTCCCCCAGGGCCAAATGACCCTCCACCACACACTGCTCTCCTTCCACACCTTTGCTTGGTGGAAGCATAGAAAGGACACGGAGCCAACAGGAGGCAGAGGACCTCTGTGGCTTTCCTGGCTCTTCCATATTGGAGAAGAATCCATTTTGGCATCTGAAGTCCGTGTAGGGGAAAGTTCAATATAGGATGCGTGTTGCCTGATGGACAAGGTGTGCAAATATGGATTCTCAAGATGGCAGTGGAAAATTGAGACAGGAGAAGGGGAGGCAGAAAGGTGAACTAGCCAAACAGAAGGCTCTGGAATCAGGCTGCCTGGCTTCAATCTGGTTCTACTACTTCTGCTACATTTAGCTGTGGGGTCATGGTGAATTGTTTCATTCCTAAGTGCCTCCCTTTCGTCTTCTGTTAGATGGGCTAGTACCAGCTCACAGACTTGGCAGCAAGATGAAATGTCTATCAACCACAAAGCACATAGAAAGTACTCAGTATGTGTTGACTGCTATTGAACCAATTCCCTGAGATAAAAAAGAAAGCAGTTGATAAGACTGTGACGACCTAAAACTGTAGGTCCTGTGATTCTCATTTAATTTTCTCGTTCATTCTTGAGATGGTGAAATGATACCCTTCTCACAGAGGGAAACCAGGGTCTAGGAAGAGTGAATGACGTATCCAAGGTGACACAGCAAATAGTGACAGGTGAAGGAATGTGACCAGGTCCCCCAACTTCAGGGGATCTGGCCCTGCAATTCTCAAGCATGGCAGAGTCAGTGGCCTGAGTATTAGAGTAAGGATGACTGTATTTTCAGACAACTTAGAAATATTGGTAGCAACAGGGGTTAAAAGAAAAATGATTTGAAAACTTCAGTTAATTAAAAAAAAAAGAAGCCAATTCCTCAGAACCTACCGTTTTCTACATCCTGGTGAGTCCAGATCTCTCGGTAATTGAGGCTCAGACCAGATGGTCTCCAGGGCAACCGGTATCGTTGTTCAGCACAGCGGTTAAAAAGCTGGGTCAAGAGTCAATCTTGATTCTGCCGTTGGACAAGTTACATCTCCTTGAACAGCTGACTTTTTTTAACGATTACAAAAATTAAGGTTTAATATGCATATAGAAATAGTCACCCTTTTTGGTGTACAGTTCTGCAAGTTTTGATGAACATATATAATGGCGGAAACATCATCACAATAAAAATATATAGGCCAAGTGCAGTGGTTCATGCCGGTAATCCCAACATTTTGGGAGGCCAAGGCAGGAGAATCCCTTGAGCCCGAGAGTTCGAGACCAGCCTGGGCAACATAGGGAAACCCTATCTCTACATAAAATTAATAAATAAGATAAAATTAGCTGGGCATGGTGATTCCAGCTACTTGGGAGGCTGCAGTAGGAGGATCACTTGAACCTGGGAGGTGAGCCATGATTTTGCCACAGCACTCCAGCCTGGGAGATATACATATACACAAACACACACACACACACACACACACTATATATATACACACACATATACATATTTATACATATACATATATATACATATATACACATACACATGTATATGTGTGTATGTGTATATATGTATATATATCTATACACATAAATATGAGTGTGTGTGTGTATGTGTGTATGCATATATACATATATAGAGAGAGAAAACATTCCCCAAAACCTCCTAAAATTCATTTCTGCCCTACCTCCAGCCCCTGGCAGCCATTGATCTGTTTTCAGACCTTATAGTTTTTCTTCACAAGGGTGTCATATAAATAGTCTTACAGTATGTGGTCTTTTGATTCTGTTTTCTTTTACTTAGCCTAATGCATTTGAGATTGCCCACATTTTTATGTATCAGTAGTGTGTTCCTTTTTATTGTTGAGTAATATTCTGTGGTGTTGAAGAACTAGTTTGTTTACCCATTCCTCAATTGAAGGACATTTGGGTTATTTTCAGTTTGGGGTGATTATGAATACAGCTACTGTAAGTATTTACATATGGGCTTCATTCCATTTAGATGAATACCTTGGAGTGGGCTTGATGGATTTTACCATCTGTGTCTGTTTGACTTTCTAAGAAACTGCCAAATTGTTTTTCAAAGTGGCTGTACCACTGTGTGTTCCCACCAGCAGTGTAAGAGAGTTCCAGTTGCTCTGTATCCTCATCAGCATTTAACATTATCCATTTTTAAAATTTTAGCCATTCTAATAGGATGTGAAACTTGGCTTTTAATCTATACAATGGGGACTGTAATTTCGTCTTCATGATATTCTTAGGCAAGGCAGCTGACATGTCCGTGTAAAGCACCGAGCATGGTGCCTGGTGTGCAAGGAAGGTTTGCCACATGCGAGCTGCATTATTTATTGTTCTGTCTAAGCCCAACATTCTTGCATGTGATAGATATTGTACATTATCCTTCTCCAAGTCCCCTTTTCTGCATGAAAACATTAGTGTGTATTGGTCCAGAATGCTACAGAGCTCTGTGAAGAGACCACTTTGTGTGTCTGTTTTAAAATCAGGCTCTGTTTTGTCTCCCTGGCTCTCTGCAAAGAGACGGAGCAATGGCTGCTGGCATCGGGCCAGGCCAGTCCCAGAGAGCTCTGAAGCCAGGCTTTGGTGAGCAGGCCGTCCGGGCAAGCCCTCCTGCCACAGCCTGAAGCCTGGGGGTTTTTCTTGGCCTCCTCCCACCCCTGCTGCTGGGCTTTCTTGCTGGCCTGCCCTGCCAGCACTGAGCTCCCAGCCAGAGGCACAGGGGCACTATACACACGGTTCCCTATTAAACACAGATCACCAAAAAAAAAAAAAAGCAAAACAGTGAAATGAATCAATCTCTGGGGGAGTTGGCCTTGGAGGTCTCGTGGAGGGAAACAAACCATACAAATGCTCCTTTCAAAGCCCAGCTGAGCTGTTGGCCTCGTCACAGTGGTCACTGCTGGAGGCTGGAGATGGTGACATTTATTCTCCCTTCCTGACAGCAGCCCCACAGAGCCGCGTTAATGTTCCAGGTAGCTCTGATACTCAGCAGCAGCCCAAGTTTCCAGGACTTTGGGCATTCTGGCAGCAAGCCCAAAGATATGACATGACAGGCTTAAATAATCCAGGCAGCGAACCTGAAGAAATATGGGGTGGACCCAAAGACATCAGGAGGCTGGCCCAGGCACGAGGCAGTGGGTCTAGGTAATGCAAATGGCAGGCTTAAAGAGAACAGGCTGCGGGCCCAAAGATACCAGACAGCGAATGTGCCTAAGGAAGCCAGGCAGTGAGCCTAAAGAAGTCCAGTGTCAGGAACAAAGAATGCAGGTGACAGGTCCAAAGTAGGGTTACATGGCACTGCTTCTATGGCACTTTTGCACAAATTAGAAAAAGTTGCCCCCTCTGAGCAAACATAGCTCTGCAAGTGCCCTGTTTTGATGGGCAGAACATTCCTGTAGTAGGACACATCATGTTTAACCCATGAGACAGCCATGGGTCCAAGGCCCTTACCTTCCCTGTCACTACCCTGGGTTTCTTTCCAAGTAGATTTTCACGGCCATCAGATGCACCTTACCTATGAGTTAAGCTCTGAGCAGGCCCTCCATGGATCACTGGGATTCTCTTTCAGAGACCATCATTTCATGGTCTCTGGGGGAAGAAGGCCTAACAGGAGGAAAGCTTGAGCTCCATGGGAAGGAGAGGCTGAGCCTGAAGTTCTAGTAGCACAGGGAGTGCTGTCAGCGAGAGAGCACCATTTCCAGCCTCCTTATTTGTCCCAGGAAGAACTGAGAACCAGGGATGGAAAAGACCTGGCAAGGACCACACCATCCCTTGCTGCCAGGTTGCTGAGGGAGACTGGGAGGGGCTGTTCGATTGGTCAGGGGGTTGGATGTGGTGCTACCGAGAACTGCTGATCTGAGGGCCAGCAAGCTACCTTTACCATTCAGGAAGATACAGGTGGATCTGGGAGGTTTTGGAGTAGGCGGCAGGGAAGCAAAACTACAAAAGAAAGACAAATTGACAACTTGAACCTCCCTTGCTTTGGCTCCTGGAACCTACGCTTTCTTAGTTTTCCTCCCACTTCTCTTGCTGTTCCTTCTCCGTCTCTTGGCTGGCTGCCTCCTCCTTTTGTAAACTTCCCAATATTGGAGTGCTGGGAGCTCTGTCCTGAACGATTTCCTCTACCTACACATTCTCTCTCTCCAGGCAATCTCATCTAGACCCATAGTGGTAAATGTCACCTCTTAGTCAATTTGGGCTGCTATAACAAATTACCATAGCCTGGGGGGCTTAAACAACAAATCTTTATTTCTCACAGTTCTGGAGGCTGACAGGTCCAAGATCAAGGTGCTAGCAGATTTGTGTCTGGTGAGGGCCCTCTTCCTGGTTTGCAAATGGTAATCTTGTATCCTAACATGGCAGAGAGCAGAGAGAGAAAACAAAAGACTTCTCATGACCTTCATAAGGGCATCAATCTCTCTCATGAGGGCTCCACCCTCATGACCATAATTAGGTCCCAAGGTCCTCACCTCCAAATATCACATTGAGGGTTGGAGTTTCAATGTATAAATTTTGGGAGGGAAACAAACATTAAACCCACAGCATTCTGCCTACACATTTTCTCTCTCCAGGTAATCTAAGTCAGACCCCTAACATTAAATGTTACCTAAGGTAGATGATCCCCAGATATGTGTACCCAATCCTGTTCTCCCCTAGAATTTCAGCCTGTGTATCCCACTGTGAAGTGACATTTTCCTTTAGAGATCTAACAGACAAATAGAAATTAACAGGGCCGAATAAATTGGATAATCTGTTTCAAGGCTTCTCTACTCTCCTCCTTACCTCATTGTAAAAGGCACTCCCATCCACTCAGTTCCTTGATTCCTCCTTCTCTCACCCTCATGTCCTCATATCTAATCCATTAGCACTTTCTATCAATTCTACCTTCTGAATGTGAGCATGTTCCAACAATTTTTCCTCCAGCATGGATCAATGTACTTCTTTCTCTTCATCATCACTGTGACCATTGTAGTTGAAGCCAACGTCACGTCCTGCTTAGACTGGTACAATAGCATCCTATCTCCTGTCTCCACTTCTGTGCTTGTTCCAAACCCTCCATTCCATTTCTACATGGTGGTCAGGCTAATTTTTTGAAAACATGATGTATATCACATAGCTTCTAGCTTAAAACCCTCCCATGGACTTCCATCTCACTAAAAGAGGACCTCCTTATTATGGTCCACAAGGCTCTACACAAACTGGCCCTTTCCTACTTCACCAGCCTTGTCTGGCACATTGCATTCAATCACATTAACCTTTCTCCTTTTCTAACCTCCCCATTAGAAGGCCCTTGTACCAGCTGTCCCTCTCCTGGCATGCTCTTCCCATTCAACTCACAAAACTGGCTCCATTTTTTTTTTTTGAGATGGTGTCTCAC
The DNA here is from genome assembly GCF_000001405.40 of Homo sapiens. NCBI lineage: Eukaryota > Metazoa > Chordata > Mammalia > Primates > Hominidae > Homo > Homo sapiens. Next base: position 113,190,051 of record NC_000010.11, read on the forward strand.
TCTGTCACCCAGGCTGGAGTGCAGTGGCACCATCTCGGCTCACTGCAAGCTCTGCCTCCCAGGTTCATGCCATTGTCCTGCTTCAGCCTCCCTAGTAGCTGGGACTACTAGCCTGCTACCACGCCCAGCTAATTTTTGTATTTTTAGTAGAGACGGGGTTTCACCATATTGGCCAGGCTGGTCTCGAACTCTTGACCTTGTGATCCGCCCGCCTCGGCCTCCCGAAGTGCTGAGATTACAGGCGTGAGCCACTGCATCCAGCCTTTTTTTTTTTTTTTTTTTTTTTTTTTAACATTTCCTTTCAGTCCTATCCCTAGAGAGGCCTTCTCCATCTATCCAGTCTAAAATGTCCACGTGGTCAAGCTCTATTACATTAGCCTATTTTAATTTTCTGTATAGCACTCATTCCTCTCTTGTTCTCATCATCTGTTATTTGCTGTCCTTTCCTGCTAGAATGCAAGCTCCCTGAAAACCAAGAACTTGTCTTTTTCCCCACCGTATGCCCAGCACTAGGCAGAGTGCCTGGCCTGTTGAAGGTGCTCAACAAGTATTTGTTTCATGGGCGAATAATTGAATGAATCAACACTCGGCTCGTAGACAGAGGGCCTGGGTCTACCATCCTTTAGCTTTGTGTCCCTGAGAAATATCTACTTATGGATTCAATCAGTACACATTTTCCAAGCCCCTATTCTAAGGAGGCTGATGGTTAAGAAGCAGTCTCTGCTGTCAGGGCACTCATGATCCTGATGAGAGACCATTTTCTAATCATGGACCCAGGGCACTGGAAGAACCCAGCAGAGGGGCCCCTCTTCCAGCCCAGAGGAAGGGATACCTAAGTTGAGACCCAAAAGATGAGGTGGGACAAGAGTGGTCCAGGAAGCAGCACAGCAGGTGCAAAGGCCTGGAGATTAGAGAGAGGAAGCATGGTCTATTTCAGGAATGGAGAATAATTGTCAATGGCTGGAGCCATACAGCAGAAAGAAGGAAAGAAAGAAGAGAGGGATGGAGATAAGGAAGGGCGAAGGGAGAAGGCAAAGCAGATGGAGAAAATGTGAACCTTGTGTTCAAGAACCTTCTATTTGGAAACAGGGAGGGGGCAGAGGTCTTGAGCCTGTCAATGGCCTTCTCTTGTCCTAGTCCTCAGGTCTTGGTCACATGACCAGTTCCCTTTTGGCTGTCCCGTATGCCCAGTGATGGCAACAGGGGATATTCAGGGTGGTCTCAGGCTACTGTATTATGACCCCTCCCCACCCTAGACAGCTTTTTACAGTTCAATAGAGTCTTTGAGTCTTCACTATAACCTCCATTTACAGGTGAGGAAACCAAGTCCCAGAGCCAGAGGGACTTGCTTGGAGCTGCAGAGCTGGGACAAGAACTGGTTCTTTGTTTCTTAGCTGGAGTTTTCTACACTGTACCACATCCCCTTCTCTCTTGAGATGTGTCTTCCAGGGCAAATTTTTTGCTACCATCTAGGGAGCATGTTCTGGAGGTCCTGAAATACCTGAACTGGCACCTTCTAGGAGGCCTACTGTCACATTCCCTCTGGTCCAAAGAGCCTTCTGTAAGCCATTGGTGCCACTGATGCTTCCAGGCCAGGCTGACAGCATCTGTTCTGACTTAAAGTATTTATTTGGAGAGTCGACTGTAGTTGAGCTGCATGTTTCTTGGCAGAGCTGGGCTGGAACGGACTTGGCCTGGCATGGTGGCTGGCTCCATGAGTTGATGCCTGGGCTGGGGAGGGTTTTATTTACACTGAGAGGGTCTCATCAGTCCTAGATGAGGTGACTGCCCCATTTCCCCCTGAGTCCCTGGTGAACGGTGTTATATTCATGACATACTATGAAGGGATGTGAGATGAAGGGAATCATGGAGGGGCAGTTTCACTTCTAGTTCTTTCCAAATCAGTGTATATCACTGGGCAAATTTCTCTGCTTCTCTGGCCTCCTGTGTCCTATGGAGACAATGCTGCCTGTTTCAGAGTCCCTGAGAAATATCAGTGAGGCTGGAGAAATGAAAACTGCTGCCAACCAGAGGGAGTTACAGTGAGGGGTCAAGAGGTGTTGGGTGGGGCAGCCTGGTTTTCCATGGTCCTTGCCTTGGTTTCCTGAACCCACCCACTGAAAGCTGAATCAGGAAGAAGAATGGGTAGCTGTCACTATCCTCAGCCATAAGAATCCCTGTGTGAGACTTTAATATTGATAACAATTTTAATGGCTAATATTGTTAGGCGCCATGGTGCCAGGCACTATGGTTTGCAAGTGTTATCTTGTGTAACCCACCTAAACCAGCCCCAGGGTCAGGATATTATTCATGAGTTCCAGACATGGAAATGGGGCTCACAGATGTTTAGGAATATAACCTAGGCTTTTAAGTGGCAAATTTGGGCTTTGAACTTAGGTCTGTCTTATTCTAAAGCCTGTGTTTTTAACAGTATCTACAAAAACAAGTTTACCAGATTTTATTGTGCTTTATTGAATGTGGGATAAGTATTCCCCAACCTGAGGATCCATTATTGACAGAATGCAGAGTGCCAGGGGAGGATAATGAAGAAGGAAGGACAGGCGAGTAATGGAAACACCGACTTCAGCTCCATAATGGGAATGGATCTGTGAACTGGAAGCAACAGCTGCAATTGGGAGGGGTGGGGTCCCAGCTTGGCCATTTTTCTGTTGGATAGCAATTGGCTTAACCTGGTTAAGAGCTTTGACTTTGAAGTCAAACATTTCTGCATTCAAATCCATGTTCTGCTGCTAGGTGACAGGCAACTTACTTCACTAATCTGTGCCTCACGTTCCTCCATTATGAAATGAAGATGACAATTCCTACCTTATCAATATTTCCTATTGTTGTAAGGAATAAAATAAGCTAAAAGAAAGCCCATGGGAGAAGGTGATGCTAACTCCAAATAATGAATTCCTAACACTGGTTAAACAGCCCTTCCCCTCTTGACCATTCTTGAAACACATACAAATACGCCCATGCCTCAGACCAAAGGTGAAGATGATTCCTCCTCAATTTTTCCAGTGTGGCTAGAGCCATGCTATATTTCTGTGGGACAATACCTGTAATATGTCTGTATCAGCCCTTCAACATGGTGACACCATTGGACTTCCCATATGGGTTAATAAAACCAACTAAGAATTTATTTATTGGAAGCATCCATTTATTGTTTAGGGTGAAGGTGATTAAAAGGGACACTAGGTTGAAGAGAGACTTTGGGAAAGAGCCATAAATCTTACTTTGAGTAGATGAAGACTCTCAAAGAAAGAACTTTGAGATTTGGGTTTGGAAACATGCAACATGAAGGAAAAGGGTTGGAAGGGTTGTGTGGAGGGAAGACTCAGAGGGGCCAGGCTGCCGATCTCAGGCACCTACAGGAGTGGAGGTGAAGGGCTCAGGCCATTCTTGACGCTCTTGGGGATGGAAGAGCCACAGCCAAGAAGGTGTTTCCTCTCTTAGAGCCTGTCTTAGTCTATTTATGCTGCCGTAACAAAATACCACAGACTAACTTATAAAGGACAGAAATATGTTTTCTCACAGTTCTGAAGTCCAAGATCAAGGTGCTGGCAGGTTCAGTTGTCTTCTGAGGGTTGCTCTGTGCTTCCAAGGAGGAATACCATATCCTCCTGTGGCAAAAAGTGGAAGGGCAAGAAGGGCGAACTTCCTCCATTAAGCGCTTTTATAAAGTCCACCTAATTCTACTCATGTGGGTGGAGCCCTCATGACTCAATCACCTCCCAAAGGCCACACCTCTCAATACTGTCGCATAGGGGATTAAGATTCAACGTGAATTTTGAAGAAGACAAAGAGACTGAAACGAAAGCAGGGCCATATGATAGTGGAGTGGCTTGCTTCAGGAGGGGCTGAGCTGAGGGGACTCTCTCTCTAGTTTTTTTTGAAAATGTATCCACTCATTGGATGTCTTATAACCCTGACAGTCATGTGAAAGAGAAAACAGAGGAGGGTGCTACTGGGGCTACTGTCTGGATAGTTCTGGCTTCTGGACCAAGGTTACACCAAATGATCTTTTAAATAGGCATCCATGTGAGTTATCATCCTGCTCCCTCAAAGATGTAAAATGCTGTTTATTAAGACAAAGATCTCTGTGCAAGGAGAATAGCTGAAGAACTCATGTTGGCAAACTCAAAGCTTTAGGGAGGTGGGCTATTGACTTGAGCCCAGGGAAACCAGTGTTGACCTCCAGGCATCTTAAGGGCAGGGATCTGGCCGTGGTACTACCTAGTATTCAATGTTCCCAGTGTCTAGCAGAATGCCTGGCACACAGTAGGCGCTCAGTATATATTCACTGAATGAATAAAGTTATATTATTGTACAAACATTTTACGGATATGTAGATACTTTAAAGGCAAAATTGGAAATATGTTGTAGGTATTGTTTTGTAAATTAATATTTTCACTTAGCAAAATAGCTTGAAAAACATCTAGGCCATTACATTTTATTTTTTTCTGAAAACAACATCTAATGACTGCATAGCTTCCATCAAATGATTATATCATAACCTAATTAGCAAAGCTTATATATTTTTGGACACTGAGGTAGTTTCCAGTTTTTTTTTACATTATCAATAATATTGTGATGAACAATCTTTTATTTAAATCTATGAATGCGCTTTTAATTATTTCTTTAAGATCAATTCCTAGAATTGGCATTACCAGTGTAAAGGGAATAGGCACTTACAGTTATGTTACATTCTGCTAAATTGTTCTTCAGAAAGACTGCCTCAATTAAACAGCCATAAATGAGAGCAGCCATTTTCACTCTCAATGTCTAGATACTATCATTTTAATTTTTAAAACTGTGCCAATTTGTTAGATAATAGAATGTTCTTGCTTTCAAATCTATGTATATTTACAAAAAATTTTTTTTCTACTGAACCTAAAGTTTTCTTTCTGTAACTTCCACCCATTAGTTCAATTCCACACAGAATCAATTTCTTATTTCAAGAGAGCTATCATGTCCCTTAAAAAAAAATCGAGTCCTTTTAAATGATACTCTTTTTTCCTGGCTAAACATTTTCACTGTTGAAAAGTGGATCCCCAGCTATTGTGATTTTCCAGATCTTTCATCATCCTGTTATCTTCTGGAGTTGATTCAATTGTGTGTGTCCTTCTTGGAGTATGGTTGGTGCTCAGAATTCAGTGTTAAACTGTGCTGGCATGCGCAGCATAGACCAAGACCATCACCTCTTCTGCCACAGACCCCTCTTCTCTAGTGGGTAGCCTAAGAGTGTGTTGACTTTATTTTCTGGAGTTTATTCATTTTAAAATTAAACATAAATATATTTTCTTAGAAAATATTGAAATATCTAGAGCAATGTATTAAAGTTCTCATCAACTTTTTTCTTATTCCCAATTCTATTCCCCTCCCTAGAGCCCATTTCTCCTCATTAGCGTATGTAACCATGTATTTATGCTTTTTTAAAAACAGCAACCTATATTTCATTTAACGTTATTTCTTGGAATTTTTCATGTCAGTACATATATTTTTTACATGGCTACGTGGTATTTCTCAGTTTGGATGTACCATTATTCATCTATTCATCAACTTCCTATTTATTGACATTTAAGTTGTTACCAATTTTTTTTTCTTTTTTTGTTTTTTTTTTTTAGAGACAGGATCTCATTCTGTCATCCAGACTGGAATACAGCAATTTATCATATTTCACTGTATCCTTGAACTCCTGGGCTCAAGGGATCCTCTCACCTCAGCCTCCCAAAATGCTGGGATTACAGGTGTAAGCCACCATGCCCAGCCCAAACTTTTATTTTTACTACCACAGATCATAAAACAGTGAATACTCCTGGGATACATGCAAGTATTTCCTTATCATAAATTTCCAGAAGTAGCTATTTAGGCCAAAAAATATCTGAATTTAAAATTGTTGATAATTATTGCCAAATTGCCTTTCAAAAAGACATTAATAACATAGGAGTGCCCATTTAATTGCATTTATATTGGCACAAATGTAACTAACCTTTAATTTTTATCAAACTGATGGGCTAAAATCAATACATTAATAGTTTAATATTACTAGTGAAGTTGACTACCTTTTAAAAAATATGTTTTCCTTTAACCATTTATATTTCTGCTGTGAAGTTTTTGCTCAGATTGAAACATTTCTAATGGCATTTCTTTTTTTCTTTAGCTGTTTTTAAATTCACATTCTTAATATCTTCCAAATTCTTCCCTCCCCCTTCTTTTCTCAGATATATCTCTCCTAGAGTCCTCCATGAGCTATTTATCTCTGTGAGTTTGAAGCATAACTGTTATTCTGGCACTTACACTGATTGCCCTATTTGATTAGTTATACTCTTTCCTGGATTCTATATTCTCTTCTTTCTTATTATTCTCTTGTTTTGTTAGAACATGACCTCAAGTAACTTTCAAAGAAGGAATGCAAGTGAGGTAAAAATTATAAGTCCTCGTATGTCTGAAAATGCCTTTATCCTACCCTTTACCCAGATTTGCTGGGTACAAAATTATATGAAGAAAATAATATCAAAGGCACTTTCTCATTTTCCTCTGGTATCCCATGTGCTGCTGAGAAATATGACCTCGATCTGATTCTGCCTCCACTGTAGGCAAACTTTTGATCTTCTCAGATTACTTTAAGGATCTGTTCTTTATTCTTAATTTTCTGAAATTTTATGTTCATTTGTCATAGTGTTATTTTTAATTCATTGTACTCTTATAATCTTGTGTACCTCAATTTTTGTAAATTCCCCTATATTATTTGATAACTTTTTCCTTCCATTTTCTCCATTCTTTCTGTAATTCCTTTTAGTCTAAGGTTAAAAAGAGAATTTTTTTCATTTAAGTCTATTATCTTATCTCTTATATTTATAATAAATAAATAATTTTCTTTTTGTTTTATTTTCTGTCTGAATTTCTCATTTTTAAGCTCCCAGTCTTGTTGATATTTTAATATCAACAATTATAGTTTTACTTTCTAGGAGATCTTTCTTACCGGGTATTTTCCTTTCCTCATTTTTTTTTTTTTTTTTTTTTTGTGCTTGTGAGTGCAGGGGCTTCTTGAAACACTGTGAAAAAATAACTTTTCTTCTGTATCCTGCATTAACACATTTGCCTTAGATTTTTTTTTCTGTTATTTATTTTGTCCTTTTCTCTCCCTTTAATGTTTTCCTCAAATATTGATAAACATTTAATTTTCTGACAAACATGGTGATCCCAGCACTTTGGGAAGCTGAGGTAGGTGGATCACTTTAGTTCAGGAGTTTGAGACCAACCTGGGCAACATGGTGAAACCCTGTCTCTACAAAAAAAAAAAAAAAGAAAAAAGAAAAATTAGCCAGGTGTGGTGGCATGCACCTGTGGTGTCGGCTACTCAGGAGGCTGATGTGGGAGGATTGCTTGAGGATGGGAGGCAGTGAATGCAGTGAGCTGTGATTGCATAACTGCTCTCCAGCCTGGGCAACAGGGTGAGATCCTGTCTCAAAAAATAGATAATAATAATTTTCACTTCATATTTAAAAATGAACTACTAAGAAAATGTAATAGAAGCCACTTTGCTAAATATTGCTGATTGGTACTTAGCCTCATTCCTGCCCTTCCACACACTCTTCTGTTTCTTACGGGGCTAGAAGCCTGAAAACTAAATTTCTCAAGTTTTCCTGCTAGCTGGACTCTGGTTAAGTTCTGCTAACAGGAAACACTTGTGAGACATTGAATGGTGGAAGTTAAGCAGAATTATTCTACCTTGACTCCATCAAGAGTGGGCACACAGGCAACTATGTACTCCAGCAGTTGACATTCAGTGGATGTGGCTCCTTTTCAGAGGTAGTAATGTCTAGCAGCATCAGTGCCAAAAGCTCTTAACAGCATTAGCAGCAGTGGAATGAAGGTGACTCCCACCATATAGCAGCAATGGCAGCTCCAGCAGCTCAGGGAAGAGGTAAGGTGGGGTGTTGGTGTAGGTTTGTGAATTCTAGGGATGACCAATGTCCTAATCTCTGGGCGACACCTTCTTTCTCTTTGAGTTCTCTAGCCCTTTTAACAGTATTGTAACCATTGAAGTCCTGTTATTGAATCTCACTTTGCTTGAACTCTTAGAATTATTTCTGTTTTCCTGATTGGGTACTGAAAGATACAGATATCACCTACAATACCAATAAAATGTCTATCAATCTATCTAATCTCTATCATCTACATCTATTCTATCTATCTACATAGTACTGGAAAAAATCTAACAAAGGTTAACAAGAAATTTAAGAAGAAAAAATAAATTGTATCCAGAGATATTAAAGTCCAAATAAATGGAGATATATATCATATTTGTGGCTAGAAAGGCTCACTATTGTACAAATGATATTTCTTCCCAAGTTGATCTATATGCTCAATACAAATTCGATAAAAATCCAAGCAGGGCTTTTTTTTTTTTCCTGAGGAACTTGGCAATCTTGTTCTAAAATTTATATGAGAAAATAAAAGGCCAAGACTAGCTACAATGTTCCTGAAGAAGAAGGGGGCATAATTTGCTTTGCCAGATATTTACACTTTTTAAAAAGCCATAGTACTTAAGACAGTATTGCTGTAGAGATAGGCAAACTGACTAAGGGCAAGCTAGCCCAGAAACACCCATGAATATATGAACACTTCACAAACTTGCATTCCTGGGGGAAAAAAAACAAATTGCTAACATTTTGTTAAAGATTTTTGTATCTTTTTTCATGAGGGATATTGGTTTGAAATTGCGTTTTTTTTTTTTCTTAAAGTGCTTGTCAAGTATCAAGGTAATATCGACCTCATAAAATTAATTGGGAGGTGTTCCCTTCTCCTCTATTGACTGAACAACTCTGTGTGAGGTCAATATTGTTTCTTCTCTAAATGTCTGATAGGCTTCATTCTAAAACAATCTGGGCCTAGAGAGGCATTTTTGTTTTGTTTTTGTGGGAAAAACTTTTGCTTTTGTTTTCTTAATGCATTAAATTTATTTTATAGATGTGGGACTATTCAGATTTTCTAGGGCCACCAGATAATGATGTCAACAAGATGGTGTAATAGGCAGCCCCAGCCTCATTTTCCCCATGGAAACTGAGATTTATCCAACATTCATGAGCAAATTTCTCTATGAGAGCTCAAAAATCCATTTTGGAGGTTCTAGCATGACGATGGAGCACAGAAATTAGAAAAGATGCACTGAAAAGGCCAAGAACAGTTTCACTTTTACCTGTATCACCCCTTTCCCAAGCAAGCACAGCACAGCAAGAGATCCCTTCAGTCCACAAGTTCTCCCATCGGGGAAAACAAGTAAAGTGAGTGTCTGATTTCCACAGCCTTTTTTGGTGCTACCTGAGAAGCTTGCTTCAGTTGTGCCTCAGCCAGAAAGATCACTGAGGAGATCAGTGTGGCTAGATTTCTTTGGGGTAGCTAGTAACAATAAAAAAAGGGCAGGGACTCTCAGCAACCAGCATATGAATCTCAAGAGCTTGCCTGTGGTCCCTGGTAGCAGGGTTTCCCACAGACCAAAACAGGAGGTCTGCCAATCTGAGACCCTGCCAGCAAGCCCAGCCACTGACTCCTCCAGCTGGCCTGCCTAGAATCTCTGACCAGGCTGACTAGTGACGGGCATTCCCTGCTGAAGCCAGTCTGTAAAGACTGGGAGAGGTGACTGCTTCTTCAAATGGGCAGAAAGCAATGCAAGGCTTTCTTGTATGACATCACCAAAAGAACAAAATAAAACTTCAGTGACTAATCCTAAAGAAATGGAGATCTATAAACTGCTTAAAAAAGAATCAGAATAATTGTCTTGAAGAAGTTCAGTGTGCTACAAGAGAATACAGATAGTGAACTAAATGAAATTAGGAAAACTATACATGGACAAAATGAGAAATCAACAACAAAAACAGAAACCATAAAAAAGAACTAAACAGAAATTCTGGAGCCGAAGAATGCAGTGAATGAACTGAAAACTTCAATAGGGATTTTCAACAGTAGAATTGATCAAACAGAAGAAAGAATCAGTGAACTTTGAGATGGGACATTTGAAATTATTCAGAGGAACAAAAAGAGGAATGAAAAAGTAAGGAAAACCCATGTAACTTGTGGGACACCATTAAGTGAGTCAATATACACATTATCTGAGTTCTAGAAAGAGAAGAGAAAGGGCCAGAAATATTATAATATTACTTAAAGAAATAACGGCTGAGGCCAGGTGCAGTGGCTCATGCCTGTAATCCCAACACTTTGGGAGGCCGAGGTGGGCGGATCACAAGGTCAGGAGATCAAGACCATCCTGGCTAACACGGTGAAACCCCGTCTCTACTAAAAATACAAAAAATTAGCCGAGCGTGGTGGCAGGTGTCTGTAGTCCCAGCTACTCTGGAGGCTGATGCCATTCAGGAGAATGGCATGAACCTGGGAGGCAGAGCTTGCAGTGAGCTGAGATGGCGCCACTGCACTCCAGCCTGGGTGACAGAGCAAGACTCCATCTCAAAAAAAAAAAAAAAAAAAAAAAACGAAAAAAGAAAGGAAATAACGGCTGAAAACTTTCCAAATCTGGGAAAGAAAATGGACATCCAGATTCAAGAATCACAAACGACCTCAAATAAGTTTTATAATACAGGTAATAATATAATAATATAATATAAATAATAAAGTTTATACTGAGACACATTGCAATTAAATTGTCAAAATTTGAGGAGCGGGAACAAGACGGCTGAATAGAGGGCTCTTCTGAACATCCCTCTCCAGGAACATCAAATTTGACAACTATCTACACAAAGGGAGCATCTTCATAGAAACCAAAAATCAGATAAGCACTCACAATGCCTGGTTTTGACTTCATTTCACTTAAAGAGGCACTAAAGAGGGTAGGAAAGAGTCTTGAATTGATTATTCTATGCATCCCACAGTAGTCAAGTGGTGTGGAGAGGGAGTCTGTGCACTCTTGAGAGAGCGTGCAGTGATTGTGAGGTTTTGCATTGAATTCAGTGATGTCCTGTCACAGCGGAAAGTAGAACTGGGATGAACTCAGCTGATGCCTGCCTATGGAGGGAGTATAGAGACCAGCCCTAGCCCTAGCCAGAGGGGAATTACCCTTCTTAGTGGTTGGAGCTTGGTTTCCAGCAAGCCTCACCACTGTGAGCTGTAGTGCTCTGAGGCCCTTAGTGAACTTAAGGGACATTCTAGGCCACAAAACCTGCAACTCCTAGGCAAGTCCTAGTGCTAAGCTGGGCTCAGAGCCAGTGGACATGAGGTCTTGTGACCTACTGAGACACCAGTCAGGGTGACTAAGGAAGCGCTTGCCCTACCCCATCCTGAACCCCAGGCAGCACAGCTCATGGTTCCAAAGGAGACCCCTTCCTTCTGCTTGAGAAGAGAGGGAAGAGTAAAAAGGACTTTGTCTTGCATCTTGGATACCAGCTCAGCCACAGCAGGACAGGGCACTGGTAAGGGTCATAAGACTCCCATGCCAGGTTCTAGCTTCTGGATGACGTTTCTAGACACATCCTGGGCCAGAAGGGAACACACTCTCTCGAAGGGAAGGACACAGTATAGGCAGGACCCATCAGCTACTAACTAAAGAGCTCTTGGGCCCTGAAGAACTAGCAGTGATACCCAGGTTGTACTGCAGGCCTTGGGTGAGACTCAGAGATGTACTGGCCTCAGGTAAGAACCAGCATATTCCCAGATGTGGTAGCTGTTGGGAAAGGCTCTTCTGCTTGAGAAAAGCAGAGGGAAAAGTAAAGGGCACTTTGCTTGTACCTTAGGTAACAGCTTGGCCACAGTGGGATAGAGCACCAAGTGGGCTCTTGGGGTCCTTGATGCTAGGCCTTGGCTCTTGGATAGCATTTCTAGACCTGCCCTGGGCCAGAAGGGAGCCCATTGCCATGAATGGTGAATTCCAGGCCTGGCAGCCTTCACCACAAGCTGACTGGAGAGATCTTGGGCCTTAAGTGAACATTGATGTTAGCCTGGCAGTACTCCTCCTGGGCCTTGTGGTAGTGGTGGCCATGGGATAAGGCTCTTCTGCCTGTGGAAATGGGAGGGAAGAATGGGAAGGACTCTGTGATGTGGTTGAGTGCTAGCTTAGCCACAGTAGAATAGAACACCAGGTAGATTTCTAAGATTTTTGACTCCAGTCCCCGGCCCCTAGATGGCATCTCTAGACTTGCCTGGGGCCTGGGAGATCTCACTGCCCTGAAGGGAAAGCAGTGCTGTGCTTGCTTTGCCACCTGCTGATTGCAGAGCCCTAAGGCCTTGAGTGAACACAGGCCGTAGCATAGCAGTGGTTACAGCAGGCCCCAGGTGAGGCCCAGTGCTGTTCTGGCTTCGGGTCTGACCCAGCTCAGTCCCAGCGGTGGTGGCCACAGGTGTGCTTATGTCACCTGACCCCCAGCTCCAGTCAGTTCAGCACACACACACAACACACACACACACACACACACACACACACACAGAGAGAGAGAGAGAGAGAGAGAGAGACTCCGTTTGTTTGGGAGAAAGGAAGGGCAGAGAACAAGAGTTTCTGCCGGTAATCCAGAGAATTCTTCCGGATCTTATCCAAGACCACGAAGGCAGTACCTCTACCACAGTGTTAGTGCACTGGGGAATGCTCTAATGCAGATATGGCTTAGATCACAACCCAAGTCCTTTTGAATACCTGGAAAGCCTTCCTGGAAAGGAACGCAGGTACAAACAAGCCCAGACATCAAAGAATACAATAAATACCTAACTCTTCAATGCTCAGACACCAACGAACTTCCACAAACATCAAGACCATCCAGGTCTTGTCCTCACCAAATGAACTAAATGAACTAAATAAGCACCGGGGACCAATCCTGGAGAAACAGAGATATGTGACCTTTCAGACAGATAATACAAAATAGCCGTTTTGAGGAAACTCAAAGAAATTCAAGATATCACAGGGAAAGAATTCAGAATTCTATCAGATAAATTTAACAAAAAGATTAAAATAATTTAAAAGAAGCAGGAATCCTGGAGTTAAAAATACAATTTACATACTGAAGAATGCATGAGAGTCTCTTAATAGCAGAATTGATCAAGCAGAAGAAAGAATTAGCTTGAAGACAAGCTAGTTGAAAACACACAGTCAGAGGAGACAAAATAAAAAAGAATAGAAAAAGAATGAAGCCTACAAAATCTAGAAAATCAAAGGGGCAAATCTTTGGCCTTATTGGCCTTAAAGAGCAGGTAGAAAAAGAGATAGGTGTAGAAGTTAACAGATAACTTCCCAAACCTAGAGAAAGATACCAACTTCCAAGTACAAGAATCTTATAGAATACTGAACAGATTTAACTCAAAGAAGGCATTTAATAATCAAACTCCCAAAGGTCAAAGATAAAGAAAGGATCTTAAAAGCAGCAAGAAAAGAGAAACAAATAACATAAAATGGAGCTCCAATATGTCTGGCAGCAGACTTTTCAGTGGAAACCTTACAGGCCAGGAGAGAGTGGCATGACGTATTTAAAGTGCTGAAGGGGAAAAAATTCTACCCTAGAATAGTATATCTGGTAAAAATATCCTTTAAACATGAAGAAGAAATAAAGACTTTCCCAGACAAGCAAAAGCTGAGGGATTTCATAAACACTAGACCCACCCTGTAAGAAATGCTAAAGGGAGTACTTCAATCAGAAACTAGAGGATGTTAATGAGCAATAAGAAATCATCTGAAGGTACAAAACTTCCTGGTGGTACTAAGTACACAGGAAAACATAGACTATTATAACACTGTAACACTATCATTACGCTGTAAAACTGTAAACATAGACTATTATAACACTGTGTAAACTACCCTTATCTTCAGTAGAAACACTAAATGATGAACCAACCAAAAATAACTACAAAAACTTTTTGAGACATAGACAGTACAATAAGATATAAATAGAAACAGCAAAAAGTTAAAAAGCGGGGGAAGAAGTTAAGTCATGAAGTTTTCATTAATTTTCTTTTTGCTTATTAGCTTATTTGTTTATGCAAGCAGTATTATTATCAGCTAAAATAATGGGTTATAAGATAACCCAAGCCTCATGATAATCACAAATAAAAACATACAATGGATACACAAAAATAAAAATAAATTAAATCATACCACCACAGAAAATCATCTTCACTAAAAAGAAGACAGGAAGGAAGGAAAGAAGGAAGAGAAGGCCACAAAACAACCAGAAAACAAAGAACAAAATGACAGGAATAAGTCATTACTTATCAATAGTAACATTGAATGGAAATGGACTAAACTCTCCAATAAAATACATAGAGTGGCTGAATGGGTAAAAAAAGAACCAAGACCCAATGACCTGTGGCCTACAAGAAACACACTTCACACATAAAGACACACATAGTCTGAAAATAGAGGGATGGAAAAAAGATATTCTATGCCAATGGAAACCAAAAAAGAGCAGGAGTAGCGATACTTATATCAGACAAAATAGATTTTAAGATAAAAACTGTAAGAGACAAAGAAGGTTACTATATAATGATAAAGGGGTCAATTTAGCAAGAGAATATAACAATCTTAAATATATATGCACCCAACACTGGAGCACCCTGATATATAAGGCAAATATTTTTAGAGCTAAAGAGAGAGAAAGACCCTAATACAATAATAGCTGGAAATTTCAATACACCACTTTCAGTACTAGACAGATCTTCAAGAGAGAAAATCAATAAAGAAACATCAGAGTTAATCTGCACTATAGAACAAATGGACCTAATAGATACTTCCAGAACATTTCATTCAATGGCTGCAAACTACACACTCTTTTCCTCAGCATATGGATTATTCTCAAGGATAGACCATGTTAGGTCACAAAGCAAATCTGAAAACATTCAAAAAGTTGAAATAATATCAAGCATCTTCTCTGGCCACAATGGAATAAAACTAGAAATCAATAACAGGAACATTGGTATCTATACAAACACATGGAAATTAAACAATGTGCTCCTGAATGACCAGTGGGTCAATGAAGTGATTAAGAAGACAATTGGAAAATTTCTTGAAACATATGATAATGGAAACACAACACATCAAAACCTATGGGATACAGCAAAAGCAGTGCTAAGAGGGAAGTGTATAGCTTTAAGCACCTACATCAAAAAAGAAGAAAAACTTCAAATAAATAACCTGATGATGCATCTTGAAGAGCTAGAAAAGAAAGATAAAATCAAACCCAAAATTAGTGGAAGAAGAAAAAAAAGATCTGAGCAGAAATCAATGAAATTGAAATGAAGAAAACAATACATTTATCTTTTTTTTTGAAAAGAGAAACATAATTGACAAATCTTTAGCCAGACCATGAAAAAAATAAGACCCAATAAATAAAATTAGTGATTAAAAAGGAGACATTACAACCAATACTGTAGAAATTTAAAGGATCATTAGTGGCTACTTTGAGCAACAATATGCCAATAAATTGGAAAACCTAGAAGAATGGGATAAATTTCTAGATACATCCAACCTTACCAAGATTGACCTATAAAGAAACCCAAAACCTGAACAGTGCAATAACAAGTAATGAGATCAAAGCCATAATAAAGTCTCCTAACAAAGAAAAGCCCAGGTCCCAGTGGCTTCACTGCTGAATTCTACCAAACGTTTAAAGAACCAAAGCAAAAATGGACAAATAGAATCATGGCGAGTTAAAATCCTTTTGCACAGCAAAGGAAACAATCCACGAAGTAAAGCAACTACCCACAGAATGGGAGAAAATATTTGCAAACTACCTATCTGGTAAGGGATTCATAACCACAATATATAAGGAGCTCAAACAGCTCTGTAGGAAAAAAATTAATAATCTGATTTAAAAATGGGCAAAAGATCAGAATAAACATTTCTCAAAAGAAGACATACAAATGGCAAACAGATATATAAAAAGGTGATCTTATGTTTGGAAAAACCTAGATTCTACCAAAAAAACTATTCGAACTGATAAACAAATTTAGTAAAGCTGGAGGATACAAAATCAACATACAAAAATTAGTAAAATATATATGCCAGCAGCGAACAATCAGAAAAAGAAGTCAAGTAAGTAATCCCATTTACAATAGCTACAAATAAAATAAAATACCTATAAATAACCGAAGAAGTGAAATATATTTACAATGAAACTATGAAACACTGATGCAAGAAATTGAAGAGGACGCACACAAAAAATGGAAAGATATCCAATGTTCATGGATTGGAAGAATCAATATTGTTAAAAAGTCCATACTACCTAAGCAATCTACAGATTTAATGCAATTCCTATCAGAATATCAGTGACATTCTTCACAGAAATGGAAAAAGTAAGGGTAAAATTTACGTGGAAACAGAATAGTCAAAGCTATCCCAAGCACAAAGAACAAAACTGGACAGCTCACATTACCTGACTTCAAATTATACTACAGAGTTATGGTAACCAAAACAGCATGATACTGGAATAAAAAGAGACACATAGACCAATGGAACAAAACAGAGAACCTAGAAATAAGTCCATACATCTACAGTGAACTAATTTTTGACAAAGATGCCAACAACATACATTGGAGAAAGGATAATCTCTTCAATACATGGTCCTGGGAAAACTGGATATCCATAGGCAGAAGAATGAAACTAGATCCCTATCTCTCATTATATAAAAAAGTTGAACCAAAATGGATTAAAGAGTTAAATCTAAGACCTCAAACTGTGAAACCACTAAAAACATTGGGGAGACTCTCCAGGACATTGGAATGAGCAAAGATTTCTTAATACCCCACAAGCACAGGGAACCAAAGCAAAAATGGACAAATAGAATCATGGCAAGTTAAAAACCTTTTGCACAGCAAAGGAAACAATCCACAAAGTAAAGCAACTACCCACAGAATGGGAGAAAATATTTGCAAACTACCCAGCTGGTAAGGGATTCATAACCACAATATATAAGGAGCTCAAACAGCTCTGTAGGAAAAAAATTAATAATCTGATTTAAAAATGGGCAAAAGATCAGAATAAACATTTCTCAAAAGAAGGCATACAAATGGCAAACAGATATATAAAAAGGTGCTCAACATCATTGATCATCAGAGAAATGCAAATCAAAACTACAATGAATATCATTTTGCCCCACTTACAATGGCTTTTATTCAAAAGACAGGCTGTAAGAAATGCTGGCGAGGATGTGGAGAAAAGGGAACCCTTGTACACTGTTGGTAGGAATGTAAATTAGTACAAACTTTATGGAGAACAGTTTGGAGGTGAAATAACTAAAAATAGAGGTACCATACCATCCAGCAATCCCATTCCTAGGTATATAGTTAAAAGAAAGGAAATCAGTATATCAAAGAGATATCTACACTCCTCTGTTTATTGCAGCACTATTCATAATAGCCAAGTTTTGGAAGCAACCTAACTGTCCATTAACAGATGAATGGATAAAAATTATGGTACATATATTCAATAGAGTATTGTTCAGCCATTAAAAAGAATGAGATTGAACTGGAGGTCATTATATTAAGTGAAATAAGACAGGAACAGAAAGACAATTTTTGCATGTTCTCACATATTTTTGGGGGCTAAAAAATGAAAAACAATTTAATTCATGGGAATAGAAAGTAGAAGAATAGTTACCAGGGGCTGGGAAGTATAGTGTGTGTTGGGGATTATGGGGTAGAGTGGGGATGGTTAATAGGTAGAAAAAATAGTTAGAAAGAATGAATAAGACCTAGTATTTGCTAGCACAACAGGGTGACTAAGGTGAAAAATAATTTAATTGTACATCTTAAAATAACTAAAAGAGCATAATTAGATTATTTGTAACATAAAGGAGAAATGCTTGAGGGGATGGATACCCCATTTATCCTGATGTGATTATTATACATTGCATGCCTGTATCAAAATATCTCATGTAATCCATAAGTATATACACTTACTATGTACTGACAAAAATTAAAAACATTTAAAAAATTGTCAAAAGTAAAAGACAAATAATTTTGAAGGCAGCAAGAGAAAAGCAACATATTACCTTCAGGGAATCCCACCCATAATACTATCAGCATATTTTTTCAGCAGAAACTTTGCGGGACAGTAAAGAGTGGGATGATATATTCAAAAGCTGAAAGAAATAAACTGCCAACCAAGAATACTAAACCCAGCAAAACTATTATCTACAAATGAAGAAGAGATAAAGACTTTCCCAGACAAACAAAACTGAAGGTTTTCACTACTAGACCTGCCTTATAAGAAGTACTTAAGGGAGTTTCTCAAACTGAAACTAAAGGATACTAAATAGCAACATAAAAGCATATGATAATGTAAATCTTAGTGGTAAAGGTAAATACATAGACAAAAACAAAATAATGTAATACTGTGACAATGATGCATAATTTACTTTTCATCTTTGTGGAAATGTTAAAAGACAAATATATTAAGAATAATTATGATCACAAAAATGTGTTAGTGGATACACAATACAAAAAGAGGTAAATTTTGACATCAATAACATGAAGTGTGTTTGTAGAGGAGGGAAAATATAGTTTTTATATGTGATTTGAGTTAGGTTGTTATTAACTTAAACCGTTTTAACTATAAGAAGTTTTAGGTAACCCTCATGAAAAACACAAGGAACAAAACCTATAGTAGGTACAGATAAGATAAAGAGAAACGAATCAAAGTGTATCACTACAAAAATCTTCAAATTACAAAGGAGGATAGCAAGAGAGGAAGAGTGGAACAAAAGAACAACAAAACAGACATAAAACAACTAACAAAATGGCAATGATAAGTGTTTACATATTGATAATTACTTTAAATGTTAATGAATTAAACTCATCAGTCAAAAGATATAAAGTGGCTGAATAAATCAATAAGGTCAACAATATGCTGTCTACAAGAGGCTCACTTTAGATTTAAGTACACACATAGGCTGAAAGCAAAGGGATGAAAAAATAACATTTAATGCAAATGGTAACCAATAGAGTGCAGGGATGGTGACATTTAGACAAAGTGGACTTTATGTTAAAAACTACAAAAAAGATAAAGATCATTACATAATAAAATTGTCAATTCAACAGGAAGATATACAAATTAAAAATATGTATGCACCCAACATCAGAGCATGCACGTATATGGAGCAAACACTGACAAATTTAAAGGAAAAAATATGCAGCAGTACAAGAATAGCAGGAGACTTTAATACTCCACTTTTAATAATGGATAGATGATCCAGACAGAAGATCAGTGAGGACATAGTAGACTTAAATAACACTGTAGACCAAATGGACTTAACAGACGTATACAGAATGCTCTATACAGCAGCAAAAGAATATACATTGTTCTCAAGCACACATGAAACATTCACCAGGATAGATCACATGCTAGGTCACAAAACAAGTCTTAAAAGTCTTAAGAAAATGGAAATCACTTCAAGTATCTTTTCTGACCACAGTGGAATGAAACTAGAAACCAATAACAAAAGAAAAACAAGAAAATTCACAAATACATGGGAATTAAACAACATATTATTGAACTATTGGGTCAAAGAAGAAATCAAAAGGGATGTTAGAAAATAACCTCAAGACAAATGAAATTACAGCATAGCTAAATTCATGGGACACAGCAGAAGCAGTACTAAGAGGGAAGTACTGATAAATGCTTAAATTATAAAAGAAGAAAGATATCAACTACACAATCTAACTTTACCTTTGTGGGAAGAAGAAACTAAGTCCAAAGTTAGCTGAAGGAAGAGATAATAAAGATTAGATAGAAATAAATAAAATGGAGAACAGAAAACAATCAACAGAAGTAAGAATTGGTTTTTTGAGAAGATAACAAATCCTTAACTAAGAAAAAAATGAGAGAAGACTCAAATAAATAAAATCAGAAAGAAAAGAAGAGACATTACAATTGATGCAACAGAGGTTAAAAAGACCATAAGGGACTATAAGAACAATTATATACCACCATGCTAGCCTAGAAGTAATGAATATCCTAAAAACCTACAACCTCACAAGACTGAATGAAGAAGAAATACCCTAAATAGATTAATATCAATAACAAATAAGGAAATTGAATCAGTAATAAAAAAAATCTCCCAAGAAATACAAGCCCAGGACCAGATGGCTTAACAGATGAATTCTACCAAACATCTAAAAATTGATACAAATTCTTCTTAATCTCTTCCAGAAAATAAAACAGTAGAGGATACTTCCAAACTCATTTTATGGGGCCAGCATCACCCTGATACCAAAGTCAGAGAATGAGACCGCAAGAAAACTGCAGGTCAGTATCCCTGATGAATATGAATGTAAAAATCCCCAACAAAATATTAGCAAACCAAATTCAACAGTACCTTAAAAAGATCCTACACCACGACCAAGTGGAATTTATCCCTGGAATGCAAGAATGATTCAATACATGCAAATCAATTAACATGATACTATGTGATTCATTAACAGAATGAAGAATAAAAATATTAGATTTTCTATTTCTTCTTGTGTCTATTTTGATAAATTTTTAAAAGAAATTTTTATATTTTATCTAAGTTTTCAAAAAATTTGTGCACAGTATTTGGTAAAATTTCTTTATTATTCTCTTAATGTCCATAGAATCTGCAGTGATATTCCCCTTTTCATTCCTGCTATTAGTAATATGTATTATTTCTCTTTTTTTCCTGCTCAGTACAGCTAGAAAGATACTAATTTTGTTGAGCTTTTAAATGGTCAAATTTTGTTAATTTTGTCTATTGTTTCTCTGTTATTTTATTGTTTTCTGCCCACATATTTATTATTTTTCTTCCTTCTACTTACTTTGGATTTACTTTGATTTTTTTTTCCTAGCTTCTTAAAATAGAAATCAGGTCACTGATTTTAGACCTTTCCCTTCCTTCCTCCCTCCCTCCCTTCCTTCCTTCTTCCTTCCCTCCCTCCCTTCTTTCTCTTTTTCTCCTCTCCTCTCCTCTCCTCTCCCCTCCTCTCCCCTCCCCTCCCCTCCCCTCTCCCCTCCCCTCCCCTCTCCCCTCCCCTCCCCTCCCCTCTCCCATCCCCTCCTCTCTCTTCCTTCCTTCTTCCCTCCCTCCCTTCTTTCTCTTTTTCTCCTCTCCTCTCCCCTCCTCTCCCCTCCCCTCCCTTCTCCCCTCCCCTCCTCTCCTCTCCCCTCCCCTCCCCTCCCCTCCTCTCCTCTCCCCTCCCCTCCCCTCCTCTCATCTCCCCTCCCCTCCCCTCCCCTCCTCTCCTTTCCCCTCCTCTCCTCTTTTCTTTTTCTTATAGGATCTCACTCTGTCACCCAGGCTTGGGTACAGTGGCATAATTATAGTTCACTGTAGTCTCAAACTCTTAGGCTCAAGATAGCCTCCTGTCTTGGTCTCCTGAGTGGCTGGGACTGCAGTCATGTATCACCATGCCCAGCTAACTTATTATTTTATTATTATTATTATTTTTGTAGAGACTGAGTTTTGCTACATTGACCAGGTTGGTCTTGAACCTCTGGCTCAAGCAATTCTCTTGCCTTGGCCTCCCACAGCACTGGGATTACAGGCATGAGCCACCATGTCCAGGCTTTTTTTTTTTCTTTTTCTAAAATAAGCATGTAATGCCATAAATTTTCCTCTAAGCACTTGTCATAGGCTGAATAATGACTTCTCCAACTGTTTTCACATCCTAATCCCAGGAATTTGTGCATATCTTATATGGCAAAAGAAACTTTGAGCATGTAATTAAATTAAGGATTTTGAAATGAGGATATTATCCTGGATTATCAAGGTGGGCTTCATGTAATTACAATGATCCTTATAAGAAGGAAGCATGAAGAGTCAGAGCCAGAGTCAGAGCAGAATGAATTGTGATGAAGCAGAGACTGGAGTGATACACTTTGAAAATGGAGGAAGGGGCCACAAGCCGAGATATACAGGCTTCCACTGAAAGTGGAAAAAGGCAAGAGAATTGATTCTTTCTTCAGAGCTTCTTGAAGGAAGCAGTCCTGCTGACACCTTGACTTCAGTGCAGTGCAACTGATTTCAGAATTCTGATCTCTAGAACTGTAAAAGCACAAATTAGTGAGGGTGTGTGTTTTAAAAGCAACCCAGTGCTATGGTTTGAATGTGTTCCTCACAAAGCATGTGTTGGAAACTTAATCACCAATGCAACAGTGTCAGAAGGTGGGTCCTAATAAGAGGTGATTAGGCCACGGGAGAATTGCCATTAATGTGGATTAATGTTATTATGAGAGTGGGTTCATTATAAAAGGATTAATTTGGCCCCCTCTTGTTTCTCTCACACCCTCTCTTTGCCTTTCCACCATGGGATAATGCAGTAAGAAGGCCCTTGCAGATCCAGTCCCTCAATCTTGGACTTGCCAGCCTCCAGAACCGTGAGTCAATACATTTCTATTTATTATAAATTACTCAGTCCACGGTATTCTGTTATAGCAACACAAAATGGAACTAAGGTACTCAGTTTGTGGTAATTTGTTACAGTAGCAAAAGGAAACTAGTACAATACTGCTTTAGTGACAGCCCACATTTTTGCACATGTAAATTTATTATCAGTTCAAAATATTTTCTAATTTCCTTTTGTGTGTTTTGTTTTTTCTGATACCAGATGTGTGTATTTTCCCAGCAGCAATCAATTCTTCAATTCTCTGACACCAAATAAGTGTCCAAGAATACACTTTAATTCTATACTGACACTAACTATACTAACTAACCAGGGTTAGTCCAGACCTCACAGATCAAGGGCTCAGTTCTACAAGATTGCCCTCACTTCAGATGCTAGCCAAAAATGGGGTCCCCAAGCTGCCCACACTTCTCTTCATGAGAATTTGTAGTCACAGATTCAGTGGTTCCCATGACTCATGCCTCAGGTTTGATAATTTGCTAGAACTCACAGAATTTAGGAAAGTGCTTTATTATATTTACCAGTTTATGATAAAGAATAGAACTCAAGAGCAACTAAATGGAAGAAATGCATACAGCAAGGCACAGGATGGGGATGGGAGAAACATAGAACTTTGTTTCTAAACCTTATCATTTAGGGGTTTATATGGAAGCCTCTTACATAGACTCCATTGATTGAATCATTGGCCATAGGTAATTTAACTCAACTTCCAGCTCCTCTTCCCTCTCTGGAGGTTGGGGAATAGGGCTGAAAGTTCTAACTCTAATCATGTGGTTCATTTTTCTGTTGACCGGCTCTCATCTAGAAGCTGTCTAGGGCTCGCCCTCCATGATTCACCTCATTAGCTTACAAAAGACTGTAAATTCCAACTGTTACAGGAGCTCTGTGCCATGAACTGGGAACAATGACCAAATATCTACTTGTTTTATTATATCATATCTTTGATCCGTTAAGTTTTTAGAAGTATGTTATTTAATTTCTAAGTATTTTCGAATTTTACTGGATCTCTTTGGTTTTTGATTTCCAATTCTATTGTCATCAGACAGTACATTCTGTATGATTTCAATCCTTTAATTTTATTGAAACTTGTTTTAACTCCAGCATATGGTCTATTGTGGTGAACAGGTCATGTGCTCTTAAAAATGATGTGTGTTCTGCTGTTGCTGGGCATAGTGTTCTTTGAATGTCAATTAGGCTAATGTGGTTGACGCTGTTACTCAGAAATTTATGTCTCGTTACCTATCTAGTTTTTCTATCAATGATAAATAAAATGGCAGAGAGAAAGCTATGTTAAATCTCCAACCAGGATTGTAAATTTGACTGTGTAAATCTATTTTGCTTTATAGATTTTTGAAGCTCTGTTATCAGAAAAATCTATACTTATTGTTTTGTCTTCCTGATATGTTGCTGCTTTTCACATTGGGAAATCCCCTTTATCTGTGATAAATTTTGTGTTCTTGATGTCTATTTTATCTCATGATAACATAATAACTCTAGGCTTCTTATGCCTGATATTTGCATAATCCATCTTTTTCTATCTATTTTCTTTCAACTACCTGGGTCTTTAGATTTAAAGTGTGTCTCTTACTGACTGCATATAGTTGGGCCTTGCTTTGTTATTATTTTCATGATCTTGTCTTTTAATTAGAGTGTCTTTTAATTAGATCTTGTCTTTTAATTAGTCCATTTACATTTAATATAATTTATTATATGACTGAATTTTGTTTTACCATTTTTCTACTCGTTTACTCATCTGTTTTTTTGTTTCTCTGTTGCTCATTTCTGGCCTTCTTTTGGATTTATTGAATATTTTAAGAATTCCATGTTATTCTTATTATTATATATTTGAATTAGTTTTGTTTTAAGAGGTAGCTATAAGGATTACAACATATTTCCCTATCTTTTCCCAATTGCCTTTCAGATTGTACCACTTCACACAAAACTTAAGAATTTTGTAAATGCATAGGTCTGTTAAGCCTCCATGCGTTACATTATAGTTGTGGCCATAGTTCGGTTTGTTTGACCCCTCCAAATCTCATGTTGAAATTTGATCTCCAGTGTTGGAGATGGGTCCTAATGGGAGGATTTTGGGTCATGGGGGCAGATCCCTCATGAATGGTTCAGTGCCATCTCGTGGTAATGTGTGAGAGTTCTTGTTCTTTTAGTTCCCAAGAGAGATAGTTGTTTAAAACAGTCTGGCACCAACCTCTTTGCTCTCTTGCTTTCTCTCTTACCATGTGATGTCTATACACACCAGCCTCATCTTTCCCTTCTGCCATGAGCGGTAGCAGATTGGGGCTTTCATTAGAAGTAGATATTGGTGCCCCCCAACCCCCACAATGCTTCTTATCCAGTCTGCAGATCGATGGGCCAAATAAACCTCTTTTCTTTATAAATTACCGAGACTCAGGTATTTCTTATAGAAACAGAAACAGACTAAGACAGTTGTCATATGTATTACATTTACTTGTGTTATAACTTCCACAATACATGTTTTATTTTTTGCTTAAAACAGGTGCATATACTTTAAAGAAATTAAGAAAAATAGTTTTTCATGTTACCCAATATTTACTCCTTCTGACGCTCTTCATCCTTTCCTGAAGTTCCAAATTTCCCTTTACCCTCAGAATTTCCTTTAGCATTTCTCATAGCTCAACTGCTGGTAATGAGTTGTTTTAGTTTCTGTTTATCAGAAGATGTGTTTATTTTACCTTCATTCTTGAAAGGTATTTTTCTGGATATAGAATTCTGGTTGACAGTTGCCTCTTTTCTGTACTTTAAAGATATCTTCCCACTGTCTTTTGGCCTCCACATTTTCTGCTGTCTGGAGTAATCTGTATTATTTCTTTCTGTTTGATGTGTCACTGAAGTCAGGCTGCTTTCAATTTTTCTTTATCTTTGTTTCCCATTAGTTTGACTGTAAGGTGCCCTTGTGATTTTTCTTTGTATTTATTCCTCCTGAAATTTGCTGAGCTTGTAGGTGTAAACTTAACATTTATCACCACATTTGGAAAAAAACCTGGCCATTATTACTGCACATTTTTCTCCTGCCCCATTCTTTCTACCTGCTCCTTCTGAGAATTCAATCAAGTGATATTACGTATTTGACAGTGTCCTGCAGATCTCTGTATCTCTGTTCACTTAACGATCTTTTTGTTCTTCTGATTCCATCATTTTTTTGCTCTATTTTCAGGGCAACTGACTATTCCTTTTGTCATATTCAATCTGATGTTAATCCCATTTTAAGAAACTAGTTTTTTTTAGTTATACTATTTCTCCTTGATTCTTTTTTTTATAGTTCTATTCCTCAGCTGAGATTTCTTGCTTTTGTTTATTCATATGAGGATATTTTCCATTATGCTTTTGGGCATAGTTACAAAAGCTGCTTTAAAGTCCTTGTTTGATAATTTTTATATTGGGTTCATCTTGCAAAGGCCTTTCTTGATTGCCTTTTCTTTTGGATATGAACTCCATTTTCCTGTTTCTTCACATGTCTAGCAATTTTGTGTGTGTCCTGGACATTTTAAACGATACATTTTAAAGACTTTGAATGTTGTTATAACCTTCTGAAGTACATGGACATTTTTTGCTTTAGCAGACCTTTAACTTGATTAACTCTAACTTCAAACTCTAGGTCCCCTGTGGTTGTTGGCTTAGCTGGACTTCTTGGAGTCTTCCTCATGCTACCATAATTCAAGTTAGTCAGCATAGCTTATTTATAGACTTGAGGCTCCTCTTCTCTGGCTGTTTTATTTCTCAGATTTTTCTTCTCATTCTTTAGCTTCTGTGGACAAATTCTGTCCCGTGGATCTTCGAGCTAGTGAAACTAGGGGTTTCAATCCAAGTTTCAGTTGCTCTACCTCTCACTGCCTTCAGGTGGAGAGCTATAACAATGGAAAACTCACCCATTGTTGCTTCTTTTTTCCAGGTGTTGATTCTCTTTCAGTTTCTGCCCGCTTTTGGTTCCTCTCCACTTCCTTCAGAAAATTGTTTTATATATTTTGTTGGGCTTACATGTGGTATCTGAAGGAGTTTATACCAATGTGAACTACTCATTACCAGAGACCCTCCCCATATACTTTTCACACACATAATTTATCCTTTTCTCTGTTAATGTCTAGTTAGTACACACACAGAAACACACACACACACACACACACACACACACACACACACACAATCTTAGCTTGCTTTTATTAATTGATTTTATATATATTTTATTAATCTTATATTTTATATTAATCTTATCTTTTATTAATCTTATGTATGTATCTTTTGTTCATCTTAGCTTGCTTTTATTAATTGCTTATATATAAAATCTTAGCTTGCTTTTATTAATTAACCGTAGCTTGCTTTTATTGTCCTGCCTCCCCATCCCATCATGTTTTCATGTTGGCATGATTTGAGATTTTTCCAAATATGATTAATTTTTATACATTTCATTATGCACAATAGTTATTTGTATTTAACCATATATTAAACAACACCATGTTTTGAATTCCTCATATACTCCTTGCTTATTTATTTATTTTTTTTTTGAGATGGGGTATCGCTCTGTTCCCAGGCTGGAGAGCAGTGGTGCAATCATGGCTGCTTACTGCAGCCTCAAACTCCTGGGCTCAAGTGATCCTCCTGCCTCAGCCTCCTGAGTAACTGGGACTACAGGCACGTGCCGCCATACCTGGCTAATGTTATTTTTATTTTTTATCTTTTAGAGACAGAGTCTTGCTATGTTGCCCAGGCTATTCTTGAAATCCTGGTCTCAAGCAATCCTCCTGCCTCAGCCTCCTGAGTAGCTGTGATTACAGGTGTGAGCCACCATGCCTGGCTCCTTGCTCATGTTGCTTTTGTTTCTGCTGAAATGATTATTTCAGAGACTAAGAGAATATAAATGTGATAACGTTTATGACTTTCTAAATGTCAGACAAAATATTTATTTTGTCCTCCCAGGTGAATGTAATTTGAGTAGATATGAGACTGTAGGTAAAAAATTATTTTCTCTCAGAAATGTAAGATATTGCTTTGTTTTTTCTATCAGTATGTTATTTTCAAGTCTGATTCCATTTTTTCTTGTTTTTTGGTAGATAATTTTTTTTCATACCTGAAAGCTTCTAGGATTTTTCATTCTATCCTCAGTTTTATGAAGTTTTGTATGATGTGTTTAGTTTAAAGTCATCTTATTTTTCTACAAACTTAGTGGGTCCTATCAATATGCAAGATCAGCTCTACAAATTTTATTTCTATTAAAATACAATTTATTTTGTATTGTGCATAATGAATATTAAAATACAATTTATTTTCACTGCTGTCCTTTCATTCTTTCCATCTAAAAATTCTATTAGATAAAATCTGGAACAACAATCCTACTAGATGAAATCAGCAAAAGCAGCAACCTGTTTTCTGTCCTATTTTGAGCTCATAATCATTTTACACTGGATTCTGCACAAATATCTCCTCTCAGTTTTCTAAGTGATTAACTTGCTCTTCATCTCTTTCACATTGTTTTTTGGTCTACATATTAATTATTTTTGTGGCCAAAATTTTGATTCCCAATATTTCTATTTTTTTTTTTTTTTGCAAATTTTAATTATACAAATTCTAAAATGTTTTTCTTTTGCCTTAGTTTTAGTTCTTGTGTTTGAGATTGGCACCTCTCAAACATCTGACAATCCTTAACTGTCTCTTTTCCTTTATATTCAAGACTCTATGTGCACCTGCCTATTCTTTTAAAATGTGACTTGGGCATGGGATTTGGGAGACAGCACTCTGCTAATGCCTTATCTCAGCATTGAAATAAAGAAGCTGTGTTGTAAACTTGAATTATGTCTTTGACATAAAACTTAAAAGACCTTGAAAGTAGACATGTGAAATACTACGGTACAAATGGATTCTAGAAAGTATGTGTCTTTGAAAATATCTGAAAACATTGTCTTATACTCATGTTGGGAAAACGGCACGGAAATGAAGTTCCCTGAAACTGGGATAGTCAAAGACCAGGATGGACTTTCAGGAAGAAAAGCTCTGGCACTTGGCCAATGGCCTTTCTTATTTAGGATACTCTCATATCCAATTTGTATATGACATTGAATTCCCCAACCCAGGAATGTAGCAGGCTTCATTGGCATAATTGAGCAGAGCTGAGCATAGTTAACGGGGATCTGAGGATGCAATCGTCTCCACTTTCTGCCCTGGCATTATCCTTGTCTCTCAAGACCTAAGAGACAATGGGAATGAAATGGATGTTATGGCTGAGCATTGCAAATTGTGGTCCTATCTGAACGGCATTATTTCTGTTGGCCCAGTTTCTCAGAGCATACTGCTGGGCCTACTTTCTGTGCTCACTTATTCTGCTGGGACTGCAGACCCTTAAGAGTACAAAAAGAACATAGGCAGTATTAGGAGCGTGAAAAGCCATTCACCACATTGATGCTTCTCTCTTGTAATACAGTGTTTCCCCCAGGATAGCATCTAATTGCTATTTGAACGAACCCACTGTCTTTACCTCACCAGCCTTGCCCAGTAGGCCATTGCAAACATTTATTATTCTTTGAGTGGCAAAGCTCTTTCCATCTGTCTCTTCTGAATTTTTTTTTTTTGAACTTCTACTTCTGCCTCCACTCCTGTCATTGACGTAATATCAAAAGTAGCAGCAACATGCAATTGATATTATCTACTCTGCTAAAGAGCTTGTGTACCTCACTAACATCTCCTTCAATGTCTTTTTTGAAGTTAGAGAGATGGAGGATTTTTTTCTTAACTTTTAAGGAACTTGTACAATTTTCTCAGGAAATCAGCATGAGAGAAAATATTTGCTAACATCTGACTTCCCTTCAATGAAACCCACCTACTCTGGAAAAACTGCCGGAATAACACATTTCCAGAAGGTTCTTTTTGGAGACAAAATGATTGTCTTATTTCCTTGACTATTTCTTAATGCACTCAGAGGAAAGGAAGAACAATGTCAAGAATGTATTTTGATGATTCAAAGAAAGAGCCGAGGCAAGAGCAAGGGCGTCTTGAGAAATAATATTTCCACCTTATCAAGCTAGTTACCATTATACGGCATAACCGTGATAGGCCAGGCTCTGTACTACAGCATCGAAGAACCTCATAATAATCCTACAAAGTAGGTCTTATTGTCATCATTTTGTTTTTATAGCTGAGGAATCTAAGGCCACACAGGTAGACAGAGGTAATAACAACGATGGTGGCTACCGCATACCGGGCATTCACAACATGCCTCACATCTGCTTAGCTCTGTTTGTGGGGATTTTACTGAATCCTTACGACTAGTCATGTGGTGGTAGCCAATGTTACCCAGAGCTTTCTGACTCTGATACCCTATGTTTACCATTTTCCCATGATTGCATTGACAATGATTAAGTCCTTGTGCATGAGCTTTCTTCATTGCCTCATTCCCACAGACTCCCTCCATCTTTCTCACACTCCAGTGCACTGAGGGGCTGAGTGCACTGAAATGAAAGGCCCTGTCATTTCAGAGGGCCTTGCTGTCCATTGCCTCACTAAGTCAGAGGGGTTGCTCAAATATCAATCCCTAGCTCTTGGTTTTTTATGATTGATTGATTGATTTGAGATGGAGTTTGCTCAAATATCAATCCCTAGCTCTTGGTTTTTTATGACTGACTGATTGATTGATTGATTGATTGATTTGAGATGGAGTCACCGAGGCTGGAGTGGAGTGGCATGATTTCAGCTCATTGTAACCTCCACCTCCCAGGTTCAAGGGATTCTCCTGCCTCAGCCTCCTAAGTAGCTAGGATTACAGGCATCTACTACCACGACCAGTTAATTACTGTATTTTTAGTAGAGACGGGGTTTCACCATATTGGCCAGGCTGGTCTCGAAATCCTGATCTCAGGTGATCCGCCCACCTTGGCCTCCCAATGTGTTGGGATTATAGGCGTGAGCCACCGCGCTCGGCCAGCTCTTGGTTTTCTAAAATCCCCCAATGTCCATCATGGTGGCTACCTCCTTCTCTCAGGGCAGGACACATGATCCTTGCTGGCCAATTGGAGTCTCCCTTCTCCTTTGTCTCCGTGACTAGTTCAGGGATGGGCATATGACTGCACGTTAATCAGAATCCACTCAGGACTTTTCTTTAAAGCCAACAGGAGAATGATTTTTTCCCCCTAGAGTTTTACAGGTTGGGTCAATGTGGATACAGGGCGGGTAGTTACCATCTTCCTTGCCACATAGAGAAAGTCTGTCTGCAGATTAAAATCAAAACACAGAGAAAGGCAGAGCTAAAAGATGGAGAAAGAGGCAAAGATTTAATGGTATCTTTTAAGCTTTTGGCTCCAGCTGTCTCTAAAAACAGTTCTACCCATGGACTTTCTAGTTATGACAGAAAGTGAAGCCTCCCTTCTTACTCAGGCTGGTTTGATTAGCCTTTCTGTCACTTGCAACCAGTAAACTGGTTCTCTGTGTGCGTGAATCCTTGATTTTTAGTGTTTGCCAATTACTGCGGTGTAATTAGTGCCCACCATGGCAGATTTCAAGCTGCTAAGATTTAACAACCAGTTTGCAAATTTCTAAATATGTAACAATTGGCTGTTGAAAGCAGGTAGCAGCCAGCTCCAATACCATTTCCCACGGGGACACTGACATGAGAGAAGTGGTCATTGGACACTTGACTGGCCTGTTTTTGCCCTTCTGGATGCCAGAAAGTTCTCAGACCTCCACAGATACTCCTGGGTGAGGAGGGAGAAATGCTTAATAACCCCAACTGGCACACTTTCAGTTCAAGGAATTAAAAGGCCTATGATTGCATTTTTCAAAGCATGGTTTGTGGCTGTCTCCCTCATCAGGACTACCTGCTAGCCCAGAGTCTTCCTGAGGATGCCTGTGTATCATGTGTCCCTGTTGATAGATGCACTCCATAATCGGAGCATTGCCATTCTCTGTGGTTTGGTGCGTGTGTTGCGTGCTTAAAGAGGGATGGAGCATTGCTTCATCTTGCCTGTGACTTGAATATAGGTCTTAAAGGGACCTCTGCCTTTCTCGAGGTCCAGGATTCAGGGGAGAAAAGGGCCAAGGAAGATGCAAGGAGAATGTGGAGGACTTTTCGTAGATTAATTAGTCTTCTCTCTCCTCTCATGCCCCACCCTCAACCTTGACCTCTGCTGCCTGGTGTTTTCCTCCTGGCTTGCTTTTCTTTAACCTGAGGCTCAGTTTCCACATCTATGAAATGGGGATAGAAATACTTAGCTCATAGGGTTATGGAAAGGACAGCATCACATCCAGCACCTAGCACCCTGCAGGCACTCATTGCCCATTATTTTGCCCTTACCTGCCCTTTTGCTGTCACTTTGACTTGCTGACAGAGCCCCAGTGGGCCTAAGACCTGGGATGGGCTTTTCAGTCCATATCCAGGTGTCTAGGAGATGCACTTCCTGAGGTGTTATTTCTGGGTTCTTTTGTAGCGACGTCATCTTAGTGACCTACTTCCTGAGGCGGTTTCCTTGGGTGCCACAGATGGTGAGGAAGGAGAATTGCGGCTGACAGAGCCAGGGATGGTCCCAGCACCCTCTCCCTCCTAACTGCAGCAGGATCCCACTTTCACCAGGGCCGTGACTCACCCTGGATTAATTGCACTGCAATTATCCTGGGGAGCCTGAGTTTCCTCTTGATGTCTCCTGTCTGGTTTCCTTTTGACCTGCACAGCTGTCTAATAGAGATGGCTTTTGCGATTTCTTAGTTAATGTGGTTCATTATTTCTAGCTCTGCCTTCTGCCTTCAGTGGCTGGAGGTTTTTCCAAATCTGAATTGGAGACTTTCATGAGTTGTGTCTTCAATCAGGGCTTGATGCTGCCTGCATTGTCTGTGGGAGAAATTTCATTTGCAAACCAGAAGTTCACAGAGCATGTCGCGGTGTGGCTTCACAAGTCGGCGTTTTCATCTTCCCTGCCTCTCTCCCGAGTCACCTCCACGTGCCTCGACTGAGAAAGAAAAAGTCCCTCTCTCCCAGACTTCCGCAAGAGCCACATAGAGCAGTAGGCAGGAATTTGTTTGCTTCTTAGCCATGCTAATTATCTGCAGAGGGCTGCAGAACGAGCGATGTCTGTTCTCTCGGCATCTTGCCTCACGCTGGGTCATGCCACAGAGACCCAGACATCTGGAGCCCCAGAAGCTTCTGATGTCAAATGTCTTTAGGAAATTACAAAAATCAAACCAACTCACCTAAAACTTTCTATTCCCCACAGAACTTGGCACAACCTTGCATAGCTTGGGGAAGTTTCTGTGGCTCACACTGATCCTTTATATGCGGAAGCCAAAGATAGTCCTGAGCAGTAAGAAGTTTCTTCAGTAACTACTTCGCAGGGTCAACCAGCCAGTTTTTTATGGAATATCGAACACCTTTAATTCTCTATCAGGAGCGGAGGTCATTTAGAAGGAGGGTGAAAACTTCTATTATCTGGAGGCTTATGATCATGGTCCAGCGTGAGAACCGGCCTCAAGCTAGAGAAAGAGAACCTCCTCGGGGAGTAAGGGCAAGTGACAGTGGGGACCCGAGGACCCAAGGAGGGAGGACCCCCGATGCTGCAACCTGAGAGGGGGAGGCCACACATTTCCACACAAGAGCCAAGATGTGTTTGAGAGGAGACAAGGAAGAGGTGGATGAAGCCTGCAGAGAGAAATAGGAAGAGTGTCAATGATAAGAAGCAGTTACAGGGGCTGTTGAGGGATTAGATTTGATGATAGTAAGCAAAGGACTGACTCCCAAAGAGGAGAGGTAGAAGTTAGCGAAGAAGTAGGAGATGTGGGATTGCTCTGTGGTAAGAAACACAGAAACCCTTGCACGTCTCAGCAGTGTTGGACATACTGACTTAACCCCCTCTAGACTCTGCTATGTGTCAGGGCTCAAGGTTGGGGGGTGTTGTGGTACAATAGTCAGAACCAATTTATCTGAGGATATCTGTGTGCCATCCTCAAAGAGTTAAACTCTCAGCTACCCAGGAAATTCCTGTGATCTAGAACAATCCATTTTCAAATGAGGATAAATAGTTAAGCTTTACTTCTGAAGACATGATTCTCATCTTCAAGGAGCTCCCATTCAATTAAAGAGATAAGCACTAATAAAGACTACGAAATTTCTTATTAGGGATAATAATTGAACACCTACTACATGTTCAGTCCTGTGTTGGATGCTTTATTTACAGTATCAATAATTTTCAGAAAACTTCAAAAGGTGGGTATTGAGTTGGCTGTGGGGGTTCAGAGAAGGAAGTGATTATAGATGGATGGATAGTCTCAAAGGATTTCCTTATGGGGAAGGAACTTGAGTGGGATCTGAGGATGAAGAAGACTTGGAAAATGGTGGGCATATTTGGAGGTTCATGGTAACTCTTAAATTGTCCTTCCATACACCGGTTCTCCTCCAAAGTGGGAAGAAATGTATTCCACTCTCCACTGTGTTTTTCAGCCACCATCTAACTGGGTGATTTCTGTGAGTCCTTCCTATACACATCAGTTAACTGCATTTCTCTGGCGTGGTGAGGGAAAAGGAAATGATAAGGGCTGCAGAAATGTTCCTGTTGGCAAGGCATCAGGAAGCAGGAAGAGAACATCCTTGCACTTGGGGATCTTTGAGTCTTCAGAGTCGTGGATTGAGGTCCAAGTTGATGACAACTCTTGGAAAACCCTCGTACTAGAGATTAGGGTGAGATGGCTGGCCATGTTGGTCTCAGTCTATGACATCCAACACTTCTAGCCCAAGACTTAGGAGGTGAAGGGAATGAGTCATGACTGTACATCTACTACTTACGTTTTCAAGATGAGGATGTCCTTTGTTTCTACGGACAGACACCCTCTAGGAACCCTTGAATTTCATCTTTGTATTCTGCAGTCAATATCGCCAAGTGTCTCTTGAACTTGCTAACAAGAAGAGACCAGAGGTGAGTTGACACTGCCGTTCTCTTCTTTTCTGAAGAAATAAATAAATAGAAGTTATTCGAGCTACGTCTCTTCAGCCTAGTTCCCTGCAGGACAAGATGCACTGAGATGCCTAGGATGGTTAATATAGATGTTTAGACTCTCCAGGCAATGACCCTTTTAGCCATAGAGCCTGAGTGTGGCCAACTCAGGTGGAAAACACTCATAGGGCGCACTCAGCTGTGTGCTGGACTGAGTGAGGAGGCAATCATGATTTGGAGTCCTTGCTCCCAGGCCCTGCAGAGTCGAGAGGGAGGGGTAAAGATGTACACAATAGCTCAAATACAAAGCACGTGCCATGGTAGGGGGCTCAAATGAAGAGACAGTTATATCCAATTGGTATAAGTCAGTGGTTGGGGGCATGAAGTACAGCATCAAAACAGGCTTTGAAGAAAGAGTAAACTTTGAGGTGACATTTGGACGATGGTAGGATTTTTATTGTTTATTTGCTCACTTATTTTTTTAAAGAAATGATATCTTGCTATGTTGCTTAGGCCAGCCTCGAACTCCTGGGGTCAGTGATCCTCCCAACTCAGTCTCTGAAGCAGCTGGGACTACAGGCATGTGCCATTGCACCTGGCTATTCACTGTTTTATTTCTGATACTTTTAAATAATAAAAACAATACAGTTCATTATAGCAAATATAAGAAGCATAAAGAAGAAAATTAAAATACTCATAATCCCAGCACCCAGAGAGAAAACACAAGTAACATTTTGATGTATTCTTCCAGATTTTTATTGATGTGTGTGTACACACACACACACACACACACACATATGCACATACATCTGCACACATACACATATATATTTCACAAAATTGGGCTTATACTGAATAAATACTTTTGAAGTCTACTCACTTAGCAGAATAATGGGTTTTCACATATCATTAAATATTCTTCAAAGACATGATTTATAAAGTTATGCATGATTGTCCAGTAAGTTAACTATTTTCCAATACGACATTCAATTTGTTTCTATTTTCTCATAATAATGAATAATAATGAATAATGTTTTGCTTAGCTTTCTTATACATAAAGCAAATAGAAAAGCTTTTTCTCTACAGAGATCGGAGTGCAGGTGGAGGTGGTGGGTAGAGGCCACTCCAGAAAGAGAACTCAGGGTGAGTGAGTGGGTGGGGACAGAAGGCACAGGGGGTGTGGGAAAAGCAAGCTGTGCTATCTGGCTGGAGAGTTGGTGCTTTTAGGGGAGCAGTGGGACAAAAACAGAGGCTGAGGCAGCTTGTAGAGGAGTGGGACTGGCTGAGTGAGAAGCACAGTATCACCTTTACTGAGAGGCAATGGGGAACCACTGATGGGCTTTGAACAGGTTAAGGACAGAATTAGAGAAGTGTTTAAGGCGGTGAATCTGAAAGTGGTGTGAGGGTGGAGTGGAGGAAGGAAGAGGGGGAGAAACTGGAGATGGGAGATGTGTTAGGACCCCTTAGTAGTGTCAAGGCAAGAGGTGGTGAGTGCCTGAACCCTGGCAAGGGCAGCCAGGATGGAAAGGAGGGGTGGTTGGAGGCCATGACTCTAAGACAGAAACTGGTTAGGAATGTGGCCTATGAAGACAGAGGCATCAATAACCTTCTGACTCTGAGCCTTAATAAGTGGGAGAATGGAGAAGGCATAAAGAAATTGAGGCCCAGAAAACACAGTGACGTGTGCAAACTCGTGACCGAGTTAGTTAGAGGTT
The DNA here is from genome assembly GCF_000001405.40 of Homo sapiens. Classification (NCBI taxonomy): domain Eukaryota; kingdom Metazoa; phylum Chordata; class Mammalia; order Primates; family Hominidae; genus Homo; species Homo sapiens. Next base: position 113,226,049 of record NC_000010.11, read on the forward strand.
AAACCAGGCTGGAAGCGAGGTGCCCAGTCTTCCGGTCAGGAAATCATGAACGGCAGATGTTAGAGTTCTCGTGTTAGATGCTAGATGCGGCACATCCTGGAGGATTAGATGTAGTGGATCCTGGAGCCTACGTCTGAAAGCGTATCAACCCAAGGAAAACTCCTGTCAGCTGTGACTCTGGTCCTTAATGTTTATTGGAACATGGGCTGAGCACTGCCCGTGGATTAAGCAAAAGGGGCAAAAATAACAATAATAATAATAATAATAATAATTCAACTTCTAACTTAGTTCTTCAGTAGGCCAGGTCAAATGAGCAGTCATGAAAGAGAAAAAGAGACAAAAAAAGAGAGTCTTGCTCGCCATTTCAAAGGAAGGGCCAGCAATGTGTGTTTTTGCATGGAAAACCTTCTTTGGCTCTCCAGCCAGAGCTGATCACTGATCCTTGGCGGCATCTCCTCTCGAGAGACGCTGGGTTAATGGAGCACATGAGGCCGTCCTGGAAGGCAGTGAACGGTTTTTTCCATTGGGTGAACATCTCATCATACATGTACGCATAGTTCCTTTTTATCTCACACTTAAATTGTGGTTTCCCTCCCATGATTGGTTTTTGCCACATCAAACAGTTTTCAACAGTTTCAAAAATCAAGACCGGTGTATAATAACAAAAATAAAACTAAGAAAAAGGAAAATAAAAAAACCCCTCACCTGATCTCTCCAGCATTTCACTGCTGCTTTGGAAATTGAGAGCTGTGCGTGGGATATTGGCAGCTAACAACCATGGAAGTAAAAAATGATTTTTGATCTCAAGGCCTAATATTATTCATATTTTTTCATAGCCTCAAACAATGTCTTCAGATAATTCAGGTACAGGCAAGCCAGAAACAAAACAACATCATAAAGGCATTATTACATACAGACACTTTCAGCTATGCTACACGCCTCACAGTGTCTTTGAACCCCGTATGTGAGAGAACCATCTCACACTCCAGGGAATACTCTTGGAGCTGTTTTTACTTCAACGAAGGGTAGCGAAACAAAATTCTTTGGCTTTAGATATGTGTTTGGCATTGGCTCTGTAGAGTTCTGCCTCTTCTTCTGTCTTTACCATCCATCAGGTCTATTTGAGAGGCCATGGGACGGGCTGAGATGTGCCCAGCTGTGCTCCCACCTGCGGTGCAGGGTCCTTAACCTTGGGTCCTGGAAGTTTGGGCCAGCCCTCCAAGTGGGTGGGGGTTATGGAACTGAGAACGGAAAGGCTTTCATCAAGAAGAATTTGGCAAGGGAGCCTTTCCCAGCCCTTGTTCCTCCCCAGATAACGCTGGCCAGCAGCATCAAATTGGATAAGGGCTGCAGACTGGGGTATGCTTAGAAAGGACAGAAGAAGCAGGGAAAGGGAGAGGGAATTGTTCTCTTGGGAAGTCTTTCCCTCCTTTTTGAAACTATCTGCTCTCTGGTTTGAAAGTGCCAATAGCATCTCAGCCAAGGAATGAGTCTTCCTCTCCTCCTTGCCTCTTGTTTCCCTGTTAGCATTCTTCACCTAGAGAAGGGTCTTAGTGTCTTTACCAGCTTCGAATTCATCTATGTTCTTAAGCTAGTTCTCCCAGCTGCCAGAACCTGGGGGGTGACGCCTGTCCTCACTTTTCACAGCATCAGCAACTGTGCCACTCATTTGGAACCTATTGTATACTTCCTACAGTTGTTAGATTTAGATGGCTGGTGGGGTGGTATACACCCTGTTCTTTAAGTTGCCAGTCGCAGATGCTAAATTTGTTATCTCTTCTCTTCTCATTTCTCCACAGCATTTAAGTTTCTGGTGCAGGGTAGACATTTAGTTAATGTTTGCAGATCATCTGATCATTCTTCCATCTCACAGAGAAAGTAAGGATTAGCTGGGCACAGTGGCTCACGCCTATAATCTCAGCACGTTGGGAGGCCAAGGCAGGTGGATCACTTGAGATCAGGAGTTCAAGTCCAGCCTGGCCAATGTGGCAAAACTCTGTCTCTACTAAAAATACAAAAAAAAATTATCTGGGCATGGTGGCAAGTGCCTGTAGTCCCAGCTACTCGGGAGGCTGAGGCAGGAGAATCGCTTGAACCCGGGAGGCAGAGGTTGCAGTGAGCCAAGGTCACGCCACTGCACTCCAGCCTGGATGACAGAGCAAGACTCTGTCTTTAAATAAATAAATAAATAAATAAATAAATAAATAAATAAATATATAAAAGAAAAAGTAAGGACTGAACTCAACAGTGTGAGTTCAGGTAGGCAAAATCGAAGGCATGAAATCCCAGGAGTTTCCACCCTCCAGTGTTGTAGGAATTTCTGAGGACTTAACAGGACACAGCTTCTTTAGCTGACTTGTTTATCAAGGTCAGGGCAATGCTATCTCCACCGAGAAGACTTGTGTTCTGTTGTGTCCCAAACCCAAAGAATTTACTCTGTGCCATTCAAAAGATAGTTGGCCCACACCATCTTGTATTCTAGATTTGCTTGCTAGTCTTGCTTTCTTTAGTAAGCTCCAGGGAGACAAGGGCTGATTCTCACATGTCATTTACAAGTTCGTCCCACCATTATTCCTTGTGTATCAGACATGGCTCTATCATGTCATATGCCGGTAATCACAGTGGGTCGAATGAATTGACCTGATCTGCTTTTGTCTCGGAGAAGCTTGCCAGGGTTTTGTGAAAAGAGAAAATGATTCATCTAGAAAGTGTCCACAAACCCTTGAAAAAGCAAGAGAAACAAATGCTTGTGGTTTCCACCATTTCTGCCCCTTGTTTTATTTATTTATTTAGAGACGGACTCTCTGTCGCCCAGGCTGGAGTGCACTGGTGCATCTTGGCTCACTGCAATCTCCACCTCCCAGGTTCAAGCGATTCTCCAGCCTCAGTCTCCCGAGTAGCTGGGACTACAGGCATGCACCATCATGTCCGGCTAATTTTTGTATTTTTAGTAGAGATGGGCTTTCAGCATGTTGGCCAGGCTGGTCTTGAACTCCTGACCTCAGGTGATCCACCTGCCTCTGCTTCCCAAAGTGCTGTGATTACAGGCGTGAGCCACCGCACCTGGCCTGCCCTTTCTTTTTCTCCATGTTGGCTCCCCTGTTCTCCCCCAACATGAGTGCTTAGCATTTCACCAGCTTTTCTTCCCAGGCAACATTTTCCCCTTCCCTGGACTTAGTGTGTGTTGAGCTAGAACATTCACTCACTGGAATCTAATTTCAGTCCTGCGAAGGTTAATTTATCGTTTTTCAGGCTGTGTACTCATTTAAAGCAAAATTACCCAGCTACTAGTCTTCTTGATAGCAATTACGTCCAACGAAAGCAAACTACTGAGCTTCATGTATTGGTAATGGCCTTTCTTTATGTATTTTTCCTTAGGGATAAAGTTGAATGGGGAAATTAGTCACATTAAGCTGGAAAAATAGTGAACAAAATACATATTTTATATTTTTGAAAAATATCCTCCTGCTACCAATTAAGGTCTTTATTAGAAACAGGTATTTTCACATTATGGGGGTTGTCTTTATATTAAACGGAGCAAACCCAAATGAATAGTTACTTAAGAGGATCTTTTTAATAAATACTCAAGTCCATTTTAATATCTAATAATAGTGGCTGCCTCAAGTATTCAAATTTTAGCATAACCAGCAGGAAAACTGTTTGATGTTTTAATTATGTCCCTGAAAATGCTGAATGGGTTATAAAAAGCAATTTGAAGAAAATAAAAGAAGGGATTTTTAAAAATTATTAGTGTTTCAGGGAAAAAGACATTTTCCACATCCCATTAAAAACCTTTCTGCATTGTAAAAATACTATCTGCTGATAAACTGGGCCAAATAAGCAAAAAGGATTTGAATCTGTTGCAAGTGTTCACATTTGGGGGAAAAAAAAAATCTGAAAAACTGAAGGAAAAAAAAAGACCTCAGAGGAACCATATCCCAAGGAGTGGAGGGCTATGGAAATTGAGCATGCCTTGAAAGAAAGGAAGAAAATCTTTTAATTATGTTTAAAATTAGCCAGAACCTTGTACTTGTCCCAGAGAGATTCCTGGGAGGGTTGGAACATTTCTGATGAACGGGCTGATGTAATCACTTCAAAAACCCCACCTGGAAGTCTGGACTTGGGAGGAGGCTGTGGGGACATTCCGGGGCTAGATCCTGCTGCCCCCAGGTCATCCTTCTGGGCAGGAATCAGGAAAGCTATCCCTGAGGAGAGGGAAGCAATGAGAAAAGGAGCCGTTTCCAAGGAATGGAACCAGATGTCCAAGCTACAGGGCTGCGAATGGGGCTCAGCAGAGGACAGGCACACATGAAACGGGGAGTGGGAAGGCTGGATTCTGGGTTAACTCTTTCTCCTCTCAGTAGGGGGGGGCCTGGCCCCCAGATGACAGGAAAGCCACCTTCCTCATGGCCAGATACAAGGTACCATGAAGAACTCAGGGAGGTAATTCTACCCAAGAAAATGGGTCCTTTCCCTGCGTTAGCTGCCTGGTGGTGGTCCAGGCAGAGAACTCCACCTGGGCTGCAAATTAGAATTCCCTGGAGGGATTCAAATCACTTTCTTCTTTTTTTAAACAATAACTTCGTCCAAGCTGCACTCCTGACCAAATAACCTAGCATCTTGGAGGTGGAGCCCAGGCATCAATATTTTTAAAAAACTCCCCAGATAGGACGGGCAAGGTGGCTTGCGCTTGTAATCCCAGCACTTTGGGAGGCCCAAGTGGGTGGATCACTTGAGGTCAAGAGTTCGAGTCTAGCCTGGCCAACATGGTGAAACCCTGTCTCTACTAAAAATACAAAAATTAGCCAGGCGTGGTGGCAGGTGCCTGTGGTCCCAGCTACTCGGGAGGCTGAGACAGGAGAATCGCTTGAATCCGGGAGGCAGACTTTGCAGTGAGTGGAGATCATACCACTGCACTCCAGCCTGGGCAACACAGTGAGACCCTGTCTCAAACAAAAACAAAAAACAAAAACGACTCCCCAGATGATGTGCAGCCAAGTTATAAAACCAGTGTCGATGTGTCCCACATTCGAGAATCACTAGGGGGGCTTGTAAACTGCAGATCCTGATCCAGCAGGTCTGGGGCAGGGCTTGAGCTTCTGCCTTTCTGCACAAGCTTTCACATTATGCTGATATTGCTCGGTGGACCATGCTTTGAGTAGTAAGACACTGCAGTTTTCTGCTTTTTGTGCTTCTTCGGATTTCTGCCTTTTAGACTAAATGATATATATATTAAATGATTAGGAGCTTAATGGTTCTCTTTAGAATAGGGCCTACTAGTAAAGTGATTTGTATTTACAGTGCAGGGACAGTTTGGTCTTAGGAGACATTTTATTCCATTTAGCTAGGTCATTATTGAATCAGGTACCCACCTGGCTTGTCACTGGGTAGCAAGAAATGCTACCATAGCTGGGCATGATGGCTCACACCTGTAATCCCAGTACTTTGGAAAACCAAGGCAGGCAGATTGCTTGAGTCCAGGAGTTTGAGAGCAGCCTGGGCAACATGATGAAACCCTGTCTCTACAAAAAATACAAAAAATGAGCTGGGTGTGGTGGTGTGTGCCTGTAGTCCCAGCTACTGGAGAGGCTGAGGTGGGAGCATGGCTTGAACCCAGGAGGTTGAGGCCACAGTGAGCCAAGATCACACCACTGCACTCTAGCCTGGGAGACAGAGTGAGATCCTATTTCAAAAAAAATCCCCCCAAACAAAAAACAAAACAAAACAAAGAAATGCTATCGTACTTGGCTTCAAAGATCTTGGTTTTGCCCATGGTGTCTTCTTTTAAGTATATTTTTGTTGTGCTCTTCTGTTCGGAAAAGCAGCCTGTTTGTTTTATTTACTTATGAACACATAATGATAACGTCCCTACTATGTGCAGGCACTGTGTTGGGAGTGAGGAAAGACTAGCTGAATAAGACTCAAACTTGAGCGTCACGCCTCAGCAGGCCTTGCACTTTCAAGTAGCATAATCGCGTTGCTGATAAGCTCAGCTCCAATTATATCTCATTGTATTGTTCTCATTTCTACCCAGAAATCTGAAATGTTTACCTGCTTAAAACCCCTAAACATTTGGCTACTGGACCACGTGTACCCTGGAGATAAGATGGAACCAACAATGCTGAGTTCCTATTATGTGCCTGACACCGTAAGAGATTTATAGGATGCTGTTCCTTTTGAGTTTTGCAGTAGCCCTGTGGGGTCAGTATCATACCCATTTTACAGATGAAGAAATATGGAACAGATAAGAAACTTGCTCAAAGTCATGTGGCTACTAAGTGGGCAGAATTAGCATTTAAGCACCATTATACCTTTTTTTTTTTCCATTATAGTCCGTTGTCTTCCTGAAAAGAATAATTGAAAGTTGAAAGAAGGTAAATGCTAGAAGTTACTTGGGAAATAATTGTTGCAGCAATGATTACAACCCTCTTTTTTTTGTTTTTTTTTTTTTTTGTTTTTTTGCTGATGAGGTAATGGAGATGCAGTCTTAATAAATATTTTTTGAATGAACAAAGAAATGAGTGAATGAATTAAAGAAAGTCAAAGGTTAAACTTGTCTACTCCTACCTTTAAATAGAGCAGACATTACCCTTCCTAAATCCTCAGCTTTGTGAGCCTTCTAGATCATGAGAAACTCAAGATTTACTTTATTTAAATAGTAATTATTGTTATGTCAATTATCATTGATAATGTTCCAGAACTATACTTTCTATGTGCCCAGTTTAGTACCACTTTATATATAGCATTTAACTTAATCTTTAGTATAATCTTTACAGATGAAAAAAACGATGTTTAGAGACATCGTTTAAACTCACCCAGTGGCCCAGCTAGTAAATATAGCAAGATTCAAGCTCAAGGCTTGGATTTCAAAGACCAAGCTCTTCCCACTTCACCACACTGCTCAGTGGGAAGCTTCCTTGGTGGCCTGTAAGAGTTTTCCGCTTTAAGGCATTTGAATTCTCTAGCTGGTGCTGTTGGAGTCCCCACACATATCCCCTTGACCCTGAGTGAGGTCTCCAGCAGACAGCTCCCAGATACTCCAATGGCTCCTGACTGTACTTGGCCAGATCACAGGGCAAGCCAAAAGTGCCAGGGAATGAATGCCCCAGAAGGACCCTCTCAATCAATGATGGATAGGAATTGGTGGATAACTACTGCAGCTTCCTTGTCCCTTTAACAGACAATTCAGAAGCGACCTCCACAGTCTCTCAGGTCTGTTGTGAGACTGAGCCCAGCTGCCTGCAAATGTAGCCTGATCATTAGTCCATTAGCGCCCTCTTTATGGTTTCACTTTCTTTCTCCCTCTAGTGCTTTCTTGGCTCAACTCTCAAATAAACAACTTATACCTAGGTTCTGCTTTTGGGGAAACTCAAACTAAGAAAGGTACTGCCTTCTTCTCAATGCTCAGAACTTAGGGAGCTCCGCCATGATGCGGGTGGCCCAAGAATAAAAAATGGCTACAATTGAGTATCTTTTTCTGTTTTTGTCTTTTTTGATACAGGGTCTTGCTCTGTCACCCAGGCTGGAATGCAGTGGCACAGTCATGGCTCACTGCAGCCTCAAACTCCCGGGCTCAAGTGATTCCCCTGCCTCAACCTCCCTAGTAACTGGAACTACAGACACACACCACCATGCTCTGCTAATTTTTAAAACTTTTTTTTTTTTTTTTTTGTAAAGACAGGGTTTCTGTATGTTGCCCAGGCTGATCTCAAACTCCTGGACTCCAGTGATCCTCCTACCTTGGGCCCCAGAGTGCTAGGATTACAGGTGTGAGCCACTGCACCCAGGCCAAGTATCTTCTTTAATGAAAGAAAAATTTTCCTTCTTTCACCTTGCTCCTTCAGAGGGAAGACTGCCTGGTGTGAAGAGTTGGTATTTAGGTGGTCATATACTTTTGAAATGGTGAATGGAGTTCCCAAGGTCACATGACTTCTGCTGAAGTGGGGATTCCCTAGAGAATTTCAGCAGAGGGTGAGGCAAGGGTACCTGGCTGCCTCTGCTCCTGGTGCCAACCATATGCCGTGGACTTCACAGCCCAGGCAGGCAGGTATAGGCCTGCACCTGCTGTAGTGCTCTTGAAGGCTTGAGTGGGGAGTGGGGATGCTCAGAAGGACCCATGAGTGAACAGGACCATGTCACCTTCTGGAGCTTGCCAAGAAAGCCCTTTATGTCAACTGGGGGCTGGGGCGGGGAACAGCAGGACAAAGCAGAAAGATAACTAACAGGGAGTTGAGCGATCTGGACTGAAACACTAGCTCTACCATGATTCTTTCAGTCAACCCATGATTAGTAAGTGTCTGCTGTATGCAGGCTGGTGTGATATTTAAAACATTTAGCTGTCACTATCTGAGCACTGTGCCACACATTAACTCTTTGATTACTGGATTATGGGGAGTCCAAAAGGTCCAGAGGAGGGTATGGGTTAGCTGGGGTACCATGGAGCACTGGGAAGGTTTGGGGCAGTGGTTAATTGCCAATGGATACAGAAACATTTCAATATCTTAACAACTGTCCCAGTCATACAGCCATGTAATGACTGAAAACATACCTGGTAATATGGTTTGGCTGTGTCCCCACAAAAATTTCATCTTGAATTGTAGCTCCCACAATTCCCATGTGTCATGGGAGTGACCCGGTAGAAGGTAATTGAATCATGGGGGTGGGTCTTTCTCATGCTGTTCTTGTGACAGTGAATAAGTCTCATGAGATCTGATGGTTTTTTTTTTTTTGAGATGGAGTATCGCTCTTTTGCCCAGGCTGGAGCGCAGTGGCATGGAAATCTGATGGTTTTATAAAGATCTGATGGTTTTACATGCTCTCTGTTGCCTACACCATGTAAGATGTGCCTTTTGCCTCTTCTGCCATGACTGTGAGGCCTCCCCAGCCATGTGGAACTGTGAGTCAATTAACTCCTCTCTTTGTCTCTTTTTTTTTTTTTTAAATAAGTTACCCAGTCTTAGGTATGTGTTATTAGCAGCAAGAGAACAGACTAATATACCTGGTACCTGGAACTATGCTAGGCACTGGGAAATAATCGTGAAACCAAGCCAATTTCATCCTTGTTGCCTAGGGAAACAGACTCTGTTCACCCCTTCACACTAATAAGCATATGATTCTACACCAGATGAAAGTTCTCCAGGAAAGAAGCTTTGCTCCGAAAGCATTAAGCACAGGAGCTTCACCCGGTGCTGGGGCCAGAGAAGACTTCCTTGAAGAACACAAACCAAAATCTATAAGCGAATCGAGTGAGCAGCAGGATGAGAACTTTCCAGAGAGGGAACAGCAATCTTGAAAAAGTCTGGGGGTGGAAGGGAACATGTTGTATTTGAAGGTTGGACAGGTGGTCAGTGTGGCTTGAACAAGGAGAATGGGGGTGGGGAGTGGACCAAGATGACTTTGGAGGCTCACACAGGAGCCAGGCCAGGCAGCACCTGCTGGACATCAGGATTTGGGCTTTATTGCTAGGGTCCTTGAAGAGTTTTAAATGGGGAACACAGTGAAGTGGTGAAGCAGAGGCCGTGACAGCCTGCTCTAGCGGGTGGCCCAGGAAATGCAGAGGACATAGGAGGGGCAGATTGGGGATAGATTGGATGGGGTGCTGGTGGTGATGGTGCCTCTCAAGGGTGTGTCCTTGGTTTCCAGTTCCTTTAACAAGAGGGATGGTGGGTGGTGCCCTTCCCGAGCACTGGGACACTGAAGCAGGATTAGCTCTGTGTCTGTGCCACTTCCTCTCTGGGGCTGAGTTTCCTCATTTATATACAGAGAGATGGACCTTATGGCCTCCAAAAGGCCATTGTCCATATTCCTACACAAGAACAATTAAAGCTGCAGTAAAGGCTATCAAGGCTGGGTGCGATGGTTCACGTCTGTAATCCCAGCCCTTCGGGAGGCTGAGGTGGGTGGATCACTTGAGGTCAGGAGTTTGTGGCCAGCCTGGCCAACATGGTAAAACCCCGTCTCTACCAGAAATACAAAAAGTAGCCGGGTGTGGTGGCACGCCTGTAATCCCAGCTACTCCAGAGGCTGAGGCAGGAGAATCGCTAGAACCTAGGAGGTGGAGTTTGCAGTGAGCCGAGATCATGCCACTGCACTTAGCTTGGGTGACAGAGTGAGACTCCATCTTAAAACAAAACAAACAAGAAAACGGCTACCAAAAGATGTAGTTTTAGGTTATGGTTATCTAAATATTAGAATATAAAAATCTTAGATCTCTTTGTCCTGTCTCATCCCTGGAGTCAGATACAATAGAGATAGGCATCTTAAGTGATATTTTTTATTTTCTCCAGTGAACTCCCGCTTCTGTGAGAGAAAGGGGTGGAATCCCACAGCCTGACATGAGCTGATCATGTGACCCCGTAGGGTCGCGGACCCTCTCTGGTTCTCAGTGTCCTTGTTTCTAAGGGGAGGGTTTTGGACCAGGATGACCCTGGGGTCCTCTGCGGTGCCTGCATTCTATGACATGCCGTTCATGGTATTATCCCGTGACAGTGCTCATTTGAGCATTCTAGGGGCCTCGTAGACTTCTAGGAAGGGTCGGACCGTTTCACCTGGCAGGCTGGGAGATCACTCAGGATGCTTTGCTATCAGGTACACCAGAAAGGGGAGGGCTACCTTAGGCCTGGGTCAGAGCATGTTTGTGGGAGGCTGGCTGGGAAGCTTACTTGTCCTTGGGTTTTGAGGGAATACCTGCCAGGTCTTTGGAGAATTTGAGAAAGGAAGCTCAGTCCAGGCTGACTGTAAGGAGGAAGGGGAGTCAGGTCCAGACTCTCAGAAACCCAGATATCCTTTGTCCTCACTAGGGAGGGACTTTTATTTTTTAAACCAAAGCCTGGCTTCTGCAGCAATGTCTCGGAAGATGTGCTGTGGCAAGGCCGAGGTGGGGCCTCTCCCCCTTCTCTTCTTGTTATTTAGTGTACAAATCCATTAGCATTGCTTTTTCTTGAGCATCCAAGATGTTACAGCCTATCACTCAAGTCATTCACATGGCCTTTCAGCCTTTCTTTAGAAGACAATTGTGTCTTCAGTCAAAGACCTCTTGACAAGAGAAAATGGAAACCTGGGAGGGCATAATGCAGCCAAGTGCTTGCTGTACACCTGCAGAATGTGACTCCGTGTGCCATTACTTCCCAAATTGTTGTGCTGAAAGATTTCTCTTGTTTACATCTCTTTATGGCCCAGCATTTAACCTTGGGGCTCCGAAGACTGTCTCTCCTCCCTGCATCTTACATTGGCAATTATTTCCTTCGTGGCCTTCATTTTATGTAATTATCTTGGGGCAGTCATCATGCAAGCATTTACTTAGCTTCACTGCGGGGCGGAGACTTCTGCCTCAAATTCCCTCCACTCTGGGAACTTGCTTTAGGTCATTTACTGATTCTAATCTTTTGGGCTTTTTTCGGGGGCTGTGCCCCCAAAAATGAAATGGAGAAAGTCTATGTCTAAAACCCTAACAAAAAGGAAGGTATTAAAAATGACAGTGATTCATGATCTCATATCAGAGTGCCCATGTCGATAAAATGGACACGGACATGTTAGAAAAAGTCATAGTGGTTGACATGGTGATGATGCATTGGTGGTTTCCAGCCAGTGAGGGTAAGTTGTTTGTAAAAAATCAAGTTTATGATGGAAAATTTCGAATTGTATATAAAAATAGGATATTTCTGGTAGGAATGTAAAATGGCACAGCTACTTTGGAAAATAGTTTGGCAGTTTCTCTCTTTTTTTTTTTTTTTTTGAGACGGAGTTTTGCTCTGTCACCCAGGCTGGAGTGCCATGGCGCGATCTCAGCTCACTGCAAGCTCCGCCTCCTGGGTTCACACCATTCTCCTGCCTCAGCCTACCGAGTAGCTGGGACTACAGGCGCCCGACACCATGCCCAGCTAATTTTTTGTATTTTTAGTAAAGACAGCGTTTCACTGTGTTAGCCAGGACGGTCTCAATTTCCTGACCTCATGATCCCCCCGCCTCGGCCTCCCAAAGTGCTGGGATTGCAGGCAATTTCTTAAAGGGTTAAACATGGAGTTACCATATGATCCAGCAATTTCATTCCTAGATGTATGATTGTAGATTTCCAAGAGAAATGAAAATATGTCCACACAAAAACTTGTGCACAAGTTCAGAGCAGCATTATTCATAATAGCTTCAAAGCAGAAATAACCTAAATGTTTATCAGTGGATAAATTGAGAAATAAAATGTGGTATATCCATATTATAGATAATTATATGGCAATAAAAAGAAATGTGTTGATACATGCTACAATATGGTTATACCTTGAAAGCATGATACTAAGTGAAAGAAGCTAGTCACAAAGGACCATAAATTGCAGGATTCCATTTCTGTGAAACGTTCAAGATAGGCAAATACATAGAGACAGAAAGTAGAAGAGTGATTTCCTAGGGCTGGCGGAGGAGGTAGGGTGGAATTGGGAGGTTATGGCTAAGGGGCATTTCTCTTTCAGGTAATGAAAATGTTATGAAATCGGCAGTGATAATGGATGCACAACTCTGAATGTACTAAAAGTCTTTGAGTTGTATATTTTAAATGAATGAGTTGTATGGTAAATTGTACCTCAATAAAACTTTGAAAAAAAAGGAATAAAAATGGAATAGTACGGTGAAGCCTGTGTACCCATTTCCCAGCTTCAATAATTACCAGCTTGGAGCCGATCTTGTGCCATCTGTTTTCACCCTTTTCCTCTCAGACATTAACATCCCATCTGTAAGTATTTCAGTATGGACCTCTAAAAGATAAAGGATCTTTAAAAATTATAACCTCGAAACCATTATCACACCTAAAAATTTAACAGTAATTTCTTAATATCATCAAATATCCAGTGTCCAAATTTCCACCTGTCTTATCTGTTTTGTTGTTGTTTTTGTTGTTGTTGAGACGGGGTCTCACTCTGTTTCCCAAGCTGGAGTGTTGCGGGGCGATTTTGGCTCACTGCAAACTCTGCCTTCTGGGTTCAAGCAATTCTCCTCCCTCAGCCTTCCCAGTAGGTGGGATTACAGGTGTGTGCCACCACCCCCAGCTAATTTTTGTATTTTTAGTGGAAATGGGGTTTCACCATGTTGGCCAGGCTTGTCTCGAACTCCTGACCTCAAGTGATCCACCGACTTCGGCCTCCCAAAGTGCTGGGATTACAGGCATGAGCCACCGTGCCTGGCCCCACCTGTTTTTTCTTTTTTTTACAGTTGTTTGAACCAGGACTCAAAAAGTCTACACATTGCAAATGGTTGAAATGTTCCTAAGTATCTTGTAATTTATAGAGTCTCATTCTTATTTCTCCTCCCTTACAATTAATCTATTCCAAAAACAAAGTCATTCGTCCCATGGAGCTCCCCACAGTCTGAACTTTGTTGGTTTAATCCCCATGGTGAAGTTTGACATGCTCCTCTATCCTCCAAATCTCTTATAAATTAATCATTCCACCTGGGGGCCTGGATCAGATTCCTAGGTGGTTTTGTGTCCTTTCACCAGGAGGTACAATATGTCTGGTAGTCTCTCTCTGAGACATCTACTGGGATAGTAAGATTTTTTAAAAAAGAGTACAAAACAGATATGATTCCTTCCCCATATGCTAATTGCAGCTGCTGCTTTATCTTACTTCCCTGTACTCATCAGAAACTTGTCCCATCCTGAGACAGGGAGTCCTGTGCTTTAAGAGAGGAGCACAGGGGGCTGGGAGGCACTTCCCTAGAGCTTCCCCAAACCACACTGCCTTACCCCAACGCATGGTGAGAGGAAACCAGACTGCAGAGTGCAGGGGTCGGAATGGCAGAGACTGCCCGGCTCTCTCCCCTTTCACCTAACGCCTGGGCTGCTGGCCCATTTGCTTCTTCAAGCACATCACCTGCTTACACACCTCCGCACTTTTACTGGTGCTGTTCTCTGCTTTGTTCATTTATTCACCAAATATTTATTGAACACCTACTGTGTGCCCAGTACCATGCAAGGAACTAATGACAGAATAAACAAGAGACTGTCTCTTGAACCCTTGAGAAGTTCCCACTCTGGTGAGGGTTATAATTATGAAATTCCTCCCGACGCAGCTCAACTGTTACCTCCTTGTGTGAGGTCTTCTCCTTCCTCCCTCCCACTCCTCCTGCAGAACTGACCATTTTCTTTGTGTGTGCCCTCTGCCCCAGATGCTGATCTAGTGCTCATTACACAGAGAAAGAGTCAGGAGCATGGGTATTTATGTTGTCTGCATGACTATGGACTCCACTAGGAAGAATCTATATCCTATTAATTGTTGCATTTTATTTCTATAACTTACTAGCTGTGTGATCTGGGGCAAGTTACTTAATTTCTCTGACCTCAGTTGCCTTATCTGTAATACGGGGCTAACTCCAGGACCTACCTCCAAGGAATGTATCGAAGATTGAGAGGATTTTGCACGCACAGCTTTTAGCTACCTTTGTTGTCATCTTTGAGTTTAATGCATTCCTTGGCACTCACTAAGTATTTGTTGAATTACTGATCAATGAACAGATAGGATGTAATCTTTACTTTTAAGCAATTAATAAACGAGTAAATAAGATATATGTGAAAAAATAGTTAACAAGGTAATGAGGTATGGTAAAAGGACTTTGGGTCAGTAGATAGAAAAGTGAAAGATGCTAAGCTTCAACAGTTGTCCCCTAGAGAAGTAGTTCTCAACCGAGGGTGATTGTGTTCTTTCCAGAAAATATTTGGTGTTGTCTGGGGAGATTTTGTTTGCCATAGTTTGGGGAGGTGCTAGTGGCAGCTGGTGAGTAGAGAGAGCTACTGCTAAACATACTACAATGCACAGGACAGCGCCTTCTGCACCTCCTGCTCCAACCAAAGAATTATCTAGGCCAAAATGTCAATAGTTCTGGAGTTGGGAAACACTGTTCTAGAGCCTTCCTATGCAAAGTACAGTTCAAAGTCCAGCAGCATCAGCATCACCTGAGAGTTTGTTGGAAATGCAGAATCCCGAGCTGCAGCCCAGACCTACTGAATCTGCACTTTAGCCAGATCACTATGTGATGTGTGTGCACACTGAAGTTTGGGAAGCAGTGCTCTGGAATAGTGCTTCTCAACCTTGAATGCTTATTGGAATTACTGGGGTGGGAGGGAGCTGGTCATGGTGTTAAAACTCCTAATGCCCAGGCCACACACCATACTGGTGAAATAAAAATCCCTGGGGTAGAATCTAGGCATAAATAATTTTCAAATCTCCCCAAGTGATTCCAATAGGCAGCCAGGGTTGAGAGTCACTGATCTGAGCCCACAGATCAGTCTGATTGGGTGGAGAGACTTGTGAATAGATCACAGGGCATGGTAGTAGCCTTCTCTGGAAGACAGAGCCCGGAGGGAAGATATTAACAGGGACCAGTTTGTTGAGAGCTGTGGTCACCCAGAGGACCCACCAAGAGAGTTTGACCTTGGGCCAGTCATTCCCCACCCCTACCCCTGATTAAATCTCCAGGGTTGTCTCAGTTTCACTGTATGTAAGAAGATCTTCCAGGGGCATTCCACCTCAAACCTTCTGAGTAGCATATAGCATGGCTTAATAAGGGTTTGATAAGCAAATTAACAAATAAATGATCTATACTAAGGAAGAAACAAATGGTATAGACGACAGATGCTCTGGGAGATACAGAGCAAGGAGTCACTCATCAGTGAGAGCTTTGTAGAAAAAATAGGATTTTAGCAGGGCTCTGGGGCCAACCCACCAACAGAGGAAGAACACACATCTGTTTCCTTTTGTTTCTGTTTTGGGAAGGGGCCTACTTAGGCTCAGTGTCTCCAAGGAGATGCATCAATCCTATACTTGCCCCAGTCGTATTTATAATTAACACAGGTCTGTATTTCAGCACAGCTGTAGATCATTAGCAACCATTTTTAAAGCTCAGCAGGTAGGGGCTTCTCCCCCTTATGGAGTCAGAGGAAAAAAGTTCCAGAACTTTCCACAGCTTCTGCCTCCTGGTGCTCTCCATGGAGTAAGAGCCCGGTTCTTTCTCTACCCCCTGCACATTAAAGCCCTTCACTTCTTAAAACAGATGATGGTTTTAAACGCCAGAATAAAGGGTTGGAAATGGGCTTAACCTCATCAAACACTTCCATATCTGATCTCACCTTCCTAGCTGCCGATCACGGGCAACATGAAAGGGTTCCATTTGCAGGCTGATTTTCAGCGTGTTTTTCTGCCTCAAAGTTTTGCCTGTAATGGCATGTGGAGGAGCAGGATGGAAATGTGGTAGGTGCTTGGTGGGAGATGGCCCTGCTTCTAGGATCTGGGGAGCTAGAGAGGTGAAAAATGTCACCTGGGCCTGGGTGGAGGATTTTTGCCAGCTTCTTTGGGAAAGCTATACTCTGCAATGAGCTGAGTTGGAGGAAGATGTTTTCTTTTATTGGAGACCCACTATCTAAAACTCCTTTTTATATTTGGGGAATTCTCCACCCCAAGAGTCTTGGAGGAGAGGAGAAGTGGAAAGGGCAGTACCCACTTTCTCAGCCCTTCTGGTAGTGAGGTCTTGGGCACATGACCTGGTTTCAGTTCATCAGACTCACCTGTCTAGGGAAAACCCATTGAAAACTATAGGGTACTGTTGCAAAGTAATAGCTGCTCCACCACTCCATCCCTTCCTTTCCCTCTTTCCTCTCCATTCCCCAGGGTAGCCATAGTGTTGGTTTTCACCTCCAGGTGTCACCTGGAGCTGGTCTTCCATTGCTTGTATCAGGGGATCCAGTCTGGCACAAGACCCAGAGACATCAAGATCTTAAGGCGAGGCAAGGCTTGAATTGCGATTTGGAAATCAGAAGCCCTGCTCGGCAGAGATAGTAGAGGCACGTCCCAGGCAGCGCTGGGATGAGGGTGAGGAGAGCAATGATGAAGTGTGACTTTTATCCCATAAGCAATGGGAAGCCATTGGAAGGTTTTAAGTGGGAGGGGTTTGTGAGTGTGGATGTGAGATTTTATGATCAAATCTGAATTTTTAGAACATCACTGGTTTCTGTAGGAGAATGGATACGTGGAAGCAGGAGGGCCAGGGCAGTCACTTAAGTGAACAATGAGGTCTCTGGACCAGTGTGGCAGCCCCCACCTCTCCTGGGTGCCTTCCTTCAGAGTTTGTATCCAGACCCTTTGTTCAGACTCTCAGTTCCCGCTGACACTCCAGGGCATGCATTTATCAGAGATGGAAGCCCTAACCCAGAGGCTGGGCCCTGGGAGAGGATTTGAGCCCTTGGCCGGTTGGTGGGGGAGACTTTGTGGATGAAGGCCCAGTCTAACTTGGTATTGCAGGAACAAATTAACAAATATAGCATCTGGCAAAATATTGTACTTGGAGAATTCTAAGGTCATACCCTGAGAGGTGCTTTGAGTGTCTTTGAGCCTGGATGTCCCTGGGAGGCTTGGCTCTCCCATGCCACATCCCACAAGTAATTGCTAAGTGTGAACGTGTCTGATGACAGAAGCCTCACTTTTCCCCCAGACTTCAATTTCATCTTGGGAAATTCCCATGGAATTTCTCCTTTCTCTGCTACTCTCCTGTGCTTGTCCTCACTGTGTACCCTACCCCTCGTGTAGGTCTATCTGTGGATCTGGGGGCTAAGCCTTTTTGGTGGTGGGGGCTGGCCTCCCTTAGGGTCCCTGGGTCCTGGGATAGAGAAAAGCCAACCCCACTGTTGGGTGAGATGTAGTCACCTGCTGCCAGGTCTAGGAGGAGGTCAAGTTGCTGGGCATTGTTCTCTGCTTCCGAGTGGACCTGCCCATGGTACTCAGCCCCTCTTCTTCCAGGAGAAAGGACCAGCCAGAATGAATCTGAAACAGAGAAGAGGGTGGCTGGAAGTGACCTTGGGCTGGAACCTCCCCCATGGGAAGCCATCAGCCCATCAAATCACCTTTCTTTTGGGCTCAGGCTTTGATCTCCTCCCAAATCCAGGTCAAAGCGAGGCCTTGGGCATCTTTTCCGGAAAGCTGTCACCAATGCACCTTTCTCTGTGTCCCCAGGCCTCTGGCCAGCACTGGGTCCTCCTGGGCCCTCCCGCTCCTACAGCATGACAGGGAGCTGCCCGCTGGCACACGGGCCAAGCAATTAAGAAACTGTATTTTTCTCCTCCTCGCTTCCCTAATTGTTATTTTTGTCCCTGCTTTCAAACCATCCCCGGTTTTTATTTCATCTTGCCCCAGTGCGGTGCGCCTGGCAGAAAAAGCCAGCCCACTCAGTGGGAGGCAATTTTCCCAGCGTGTCCGGCGATAATTCCAACACGACCGCTTTGTACATATAATTATAAAACCAGGGGCCACCAAAGTGCACCTATAGAGCAGAGTCTTGACTGTTCTTGGTTCTGTTTTAATTATTAAGCCTTAAAGCAAAAACTAGGTTTCAAAGAAAACTTTCTGTACAGCCCTCAATAGAGTTAAAGGAGGAACATTTTAAGCTGATGAGCTGACACTTGTAGAAGCAAATATATTAAATAAATCATGATTCGTTTTGGGGGCAAAGTCTGACTTACATCAACTCTGGAAAAAATGGATCTTAATGAGTGACAGTTGGGTGTTTTCTGTCACTTCCTGAGGTAATGGCCGCAAGCTGACATTGCTCAGTGGGTGTCTCATACTTCTGAACAAAAGTTTTTTGGAGTGAGATAGACAAGGTAGAAATCCCAAGGTGACTAGGAGGAATGTCTAATGAGTGGAAAGACATATTTACTGGCAGTCTGTATGTAAGCTGTGACAGTTGACAGGACTTGATTGTAACAAATATAGTTGATGAAGAAAAGGCTGACAGAGAGGGGGCCGTCGTTGGGGGAGAGAGTCAAAAGCCCTGCCTTGGCTGAACCCTGTTAATGGTAAGTTGGATACAAAGCTCAGTCATGAAAGGGAGCTGGGATCTGGCACTGATGTCTAAACACAGAAATGTGCTGAGCTTGCAGGAGGTCGTAAGAGGTTCAGACTTGTTGACCTTTTTGCCCATGACTTTAGAAGCTGGTGTTTCTGGTAGCATCTGGGGCCAGAAGATGACCCCCGCTCTAGGAACGTAGGTGACCTTGGGGCCCAGGATATCCATGTCTGGGGCATGGACAGGGCCTTTGTCCTTAATTCATGGAAGGCTCACCTGGGTAGCTATCATGACCAAGAGTCACTGGGCTCTGGCCAGTTGACCCCAGTGGGCACCCGTAAGGCACACTCGAGGTGGGAGGGAGATTGGACAAGAAAACATTTCTGGAATCTTCCATTCTTGTGTGTTCCTGACCCCCTTCATTCTACTACTCTCGTCAACCTCCCCCCTGCTCAATTTCTCCTCTGCCCCCCACTTCCACCCTCTCCCCAGCACAAAAGGAGTGATTGGCCTGGAAAAGGCAGAGCTGACTGGCATATTAAATCATGACACTTTGTAACTGACTGGTCAGGGCTTCAACAATCGGCTTGCCAATGAGCTCTGCACTTCTTCCCCCAGGCAAATGTCACACTGAAACTAAACAGGATCTTTTTTTCATCCTACATGCTGTTTTCTATGCCACATATTATTTTATAGTTGAAAATAGGCTAACTCTTTAAAATGCACAGAGCCTGCTGTACTTTTATCATGGGCTTATTTTGGAGGAGAGGCTGACTGAGGAGGGGTGAGGGGTAGTGGAAAGAATGTGTCGACTGGTGATGAGAGTTTGACCAACATCTTGACCTTGCCTTGTTTGAATGAATGAATGAATAAATGAAGGTAAAGAAATAGACATTTTTAAAGATGGAAAGAGAGATGGATGGAAGTGATTAGAGCATGGGAGGCTAATGAGCCGTCCACATCAGAAGTTGAATTCTTTTGCTGTGCGTCCTCATCAGCACCTTGACTTGTCATAATCACCATCTTTCCTATTTTGATTGGCCAGGGCAAGTATTCCTTACCTCTGTGTTGATTTTATATCTGCTCTGTGATTTGGAAAATGGGATCCATTTCTGTTAATTCCTCAGATCTCAAGTAAAGTATCCATTTCCTGACTTTGATATTGCTCCAATTAGAAAACCCTTAGCAGTAGTCTTGGCTAACACGACCCCACTTTCTCCAGGTTGGTTCATGTGAACTCCACTCACTGCCTTGGAAGGAGAGCTTGGGTAAGACTAGCTAAATGGAGCCCTTCACTGGCCATGAGGTGTCGCCCAGCTCAGTGTCAAGGACACTGGTTGACTGCAGCTCAGTGGGTCACTACTTCCCACAACTCCCAGTGATGCCTGAAAATGTTCCCTACATGGCTCAGCCACTTGGGGTGGTAGAGGAATAAGGGATTGTGACTTACCCAGAAGTTAGGGCTTCTTATTAACAGGGCAGCCATTTGTAGAATGAGATTTGGGGATGAGGGGGAGGTGTGGATTGAGTAGAGAGGGCCTTGTAGCTCGGGAAAGAGGATGCATTTGGTTTGAGATGAGGCAGTTATGATTTGGGAAGGAATGGAAGGCAGTGGTTTCTCTCTTCTACCCCAGAAGCATAGGTCTATTATTATATAGTTTTACTTTTTTTCCCTTGAGCAAGTAACTTTTTCTTTCTGAGCTTCAATGTCCTCATCTATAGAATAAAGTCATTCATTAGTCTAGATGAACTTGGATGTGACTTCTGGCTCAAAATCTTTCGGATTTCATTACCCACCATAGCATGAAGGTTAACAATGAGAAGAGAGAACAGAAGATGAGCTTTTCATTAAACTCTCAGAGGTCATACCTGTATGTCCAGGGCTCTCTGAGAGAAGGACGGTTTGGGACTCCTAAGCTATGAGACCTGGCCTCAAACATTTTTAAGGATGAGCTCCCAACATTGTCCAACCAGAGTCAAGACTGCCTGGGTATGGCTCCCCAGAGCAAATGGCCCTCCGGACTGATGTGTTTCCTTTGCTTATGGATGGTGCCAGGCAGGCCTGAGAGACCCCTGGTGAGAAGGCTTGAAGGGGAGTTGCCTTCTGGAGCTGTGGGTGGAGTCTCCAGGATGGGGCATGACCCACTTTCCTGCTGTAGAAAATACCTCAATACTGCTCCACGTAAGAGGCAGATAACTCTGGGAGGGCCTGGCCAACTGGGTTCAGTCTTATCTGGTTTAACAATGGAAGGGGAAGACTTTTCTCAAAGCTTCTCCGGCTCCTGGATATTTTTCCATTCCTTGCAAAAATTGTTTTCGTGTGCGGATCCCCAGCCCACTCTTCCAAATTCACCACGCATCATCTCCAGTGCTGGGGCAGGCTTGAGTTCTGACTTCACCTTGGCTGAGAACCAGCTGTGCAGAGAAGTCGTGGAACCTTCCCTAGATCTCAGCTTTCTCTGTGTAAAATGAAGGAAATGAACAAATTCAGTCATATTTTAACTTTTAGTGGTCACTTTTAAAAAGTGACTTTCCATCCCCAAATAAACCCTCTCCTAGAACCCCAGTACATGTATCAGACAAACTTGTAGTTTGATTGAAGATCTGATTGAAATGGGGCTGGGACCCCATCAGTGACTCCAGGGTGTGCCTCTGCAGCCCCCGTAGCTCACAATGGGGATATCACAGGTCTGGACAGCCAAGGCCCCTCTTGGCCCGCCCCTCCCACCGCATCTGAGCTCCTGTCGCCATCTGCCTGAACTCATTCTGAGTGAAAGAGAGTTCATGGGATCAGCAGGCAGAAAGCGATTTTCCAGGGGGCTGAGGAGTCTGCAGTGGGCTGGAGCACAGGGGGGTTTTTCATTCCTTGAAGCCTTAAATTATTGACTGGGGAAGGAACCACATTTGTGCTTTAATTCCAGATAAGCACATTCTAGCCATTCCGGCTGCATGATGGTTTCCCCTTCCAGCACCCCCATCCTGATGTGTGGAGAAGGAATAGCACCTGCTAGAATTAACTCTTCCATCTCCAGGCCTTCAGTTTTTTTCAGGAAGAGGCAGCAGAGAGGAAGAGCCAGACAAGAGGCTCTAGTCTTCTGAAAACCCTCAACACTGGGGAAAGCACCCCTTGTTTTGGAAGGCAGAGATGTCACCAACACAATTCATCTAGGTGCAACATCTAGGGAACGCCGGAGGTTGGAAGAATTCTAGGAAGAGTTGCCCTCCATAAACAATCTGATTCCTCTTTGGAAATATTGGTGGCTGTGACTATGGGAGTAAGTTGGCTCAAAAACATGAGGCCTCACTCGGTTCCTTCCATTGAATGAGAGGGACTCCAGCAAGTGGCTTTAATGATATTGCAGAGAACTAAACCGCGCTGAATGCTTACCAAGGACTTACAATGAAGCCTCATGCGAAGAGCTTCACAGGGTTTATCTCACTCAGTGCTCACAGCAACTCTGCGAGATGCGTCTTTTCCTGTCTCATTTTCAGAGGAGGACACCAAGACCTGAGAAGGCTAAGAAAACTGCTCATGATCACATCTATAGTTAGAAATGGAGCCAAAACTCAAATTGGGGCTTTGCAACTCTCTGGCAATCCCATCTACTATCCTGAGTCGACTGTCATGTCTTCAATTCAACCACAGGCCAAGGAGATGGGCTGTGATGGATTTCTGTCCTGCTGGGACACTTGCTAGCTGTGCCAGCCTGGGGACAATAATTCCTGCCACATGGGGTTGTTCTAAGGACATGTGAGACACTGAGCACCCACCTGCAGTGCACACTAGTTCCCTGAAAATAACGGAGCTGGACACTGGGGTTACTGACAATGCATCAGGCATGCGTGGCTCAAGTGTTCCATACACATCATTTCATGTAAAACTCACAATGATTCTATGAGTTACTCATTTTATCTCCATTTTCCTGATGAGAAAAGCAGCACAGAGAGGTTAAGAAATTTACCTGAAATCACACAGCCAGCAGCAGAAGTAGATATGAAAGTGGGCAGTCTGCCTGCAGAGCCTGCCCCCAAAACACCGTGTTCTATTGCTTTCTCCTTTTTCATTAATCATCTCAACACATATTTAGGGGATGTTTATTATGTCCAGCACTGTGCTGGGCACTGAGGCAACAATGGTGAACAAAAACATAAACGTGGTTTCTGCTCCCTTAGAACTTATATTCCAGAGAGAGAGACAGACAGTAATCAAATATGTGTAAATATATAATAAATGTAGAATTGCAACTGAAGAAAGATTTATGGACAAGTGCTGTGATGCTCTAAGAGCCTATGATAGGGGACTTAGTTAGGGAGGACAGGAAGGACTTCCTGGAGGAAGTGGCAATTTATCAGTGGTGAGGAGGAGTCTGGGCGTGTAGGAGCATTCCATGCAGAGAGAGCTAGACTTCCGAGGGCCTCTGGCGGGAGGGAGCTTGGGAAGGTGTGCAGAGCATAGTGAGGGGAACAGGAGGCAGGGTTTGCAGGGCCCTGTGCAAAATGAAAATGTGGGCTCTTAAAAAAATTATTAAGAATCTCAGGACAATAAGAGCAGGAACCTTCAGAGTGTGTGTGTTCTTGGGGGTCTTGTTGGTTGCACAGGTCACATGTCCTATGAAGCCAGTCCAGGTAGAGAAAAGGCTGGGGAGGGAGTTGGGCAGATCATAGAGCCCCCAAGTCCACCTCCAGGATTCCCAGTCAGTATTCTGAGAGCAATGGAAGCCACCGAAGACCTCACCTGTGGGTGGGACCTGCTCAGCTCTGTCTCTAGAGGGACCCTCTGGCTGCTGGGTAGGAAAGTGTTTGCAGGGGACTGGGTGGGCGAACTCATAGCAAGCAGGAAAAGAGCCAAGTACCTGGGGAAGTTCTCCACCTCCCCAGGCCTGGCCTGGTTTTCTCCTCCACGGGAAAGGAGAGTGCCGCCCACTCCCTTGATGACCAGAATGCGTGGGCAGAGATCTGGGCCGTGGAGCCTTTTCATGGCCGACGTGCACGGACCTGGCACAAAAGCTCCCCGATCATTTCCTACTGACCTCCCAAAGGCTGATAGATGAGCGTGACTCCCACCAACGTCCAAAGCCAAGGGCATGGGGGCAGCTTGTGAGTGGGAGTTTTGAAGAGCTCTTTTTTTAAAAGAAGGACCCCAGAGCTGAGGACATTGAGAACTGAACCCCTGAGCCTTTCGCCTTCGTGTTCAATTTCAATGCGAGATGGCTGCCCCTGTGCATATATATATATATATATATATATATATATATATATATATATATACATGATAAAGCAAAACCAACCAGAAATGTCTCTTCTCTGAGCCACAGAGAACTTTTCTGAACACCAAAATCAATGGCTTTTCCCCCCATCCTGGTGTGTTGTATGCAGACAGACATTTTACTGTGACAATTATAATAGCTCAGTTGGAAATTACCGTCTGGTTAGGCAGCTGAACCCATGCCTGGATCCAGCTTCAAACGCAGGTATCAGGGGCAAATTAGCACCGACATCAAGTTTTGGATTTTGTAAAAAGTGCTAGGTTGGGAGAAGAGTAGTGTAATTGTTCCCGTAGCTGAGGGTGAAGGTTAATACCTGGGGCCTTGGCTACCTGTGTCCGGGGCTCTCTTATACCTCACGGTGCACTCTTTGTAGACTGCCAAGCACACTGAAGCTCATTATATTTTCAATCTTCATTGAATTCTTCCAGAACACCCATCCTGTCTTTGATTGCTATCAAGAAGGAACAGCCATGATTCCCAGAGTATCAGAGACCCGTCCTTTCCCTTCCGCATGCTCCCCTCACTCAGAGGGAGGCCTCTGTCTCTGCCCAGGGGTCTCTGGGACTCGATGGCCGAAGACTCTGTTGTCTTTGGGGACCTCTCTGTTTAGGTTAATTACACAGATGACAAGGCATTGATGCCTCCTCTCCGGGATGGTTGGCAAACTTGACTAGACTCAAAACGAACCTCTTTGATTCCATCTGCAAAATTAGATCAGATTTGATAAAGTAAAGATGTACCCTTTGAAGTATTCCCCATCAACATAAGTGCTAAGAACACTTGAGTGAAGGAATTTGAGCAGTTTTGAAAGCAGCAGCATAGCAACTTCAATGAGGATTGCAGCTAAGGGCATGCCCAGAAGGCACAGGACTAACTGCATCTATCCTGCAGGCAATAAGCAATTGCTAAAGATTCCAGACTTCTCAAAGTTCAGAGTTCAACGTGGAAAAACTTTGTTGAACTTGTGATAGGCTGGGCTCTGTGGTTTGCATTCTGTTTTCAGAGGCTTTTAGGGTCCCAGCAGTTTTTCTGTTTCTGAGCTGTGTCTCCGCACCACAGGAACAAGGCTGTTTCTTTCTCTTTAACTACCATGCCGAGGTATGAATTAAACTCTCAGCTGCTTTCCTGGGGTATGGTCCCTCCAGAGCTACAGGGCAGGACATCAGCAGGTGAAAAGTGACTGTTTATCCAAATGAAAGGCAAAAGATCTGTGTCAAAGCCCAACTCTGTCACCACCTAGCTGTGTGCCCCTGATGGAGTCCTTTAGTGTGCCCGAGTCTCAGCTTCCTCATCTCTCCAATGTCCCACGACAGCTACAAGTTACTGAGTCCCTTCTACGTGTCAATCAAATCCCTAACTTGCAATCGAACTATGCCCAAATGCGGTTATTGGGCCCCTTCTCCACACTGGAGCCCACACTTGGTGCTGGGGAGGAGATGCTAAATTAATCGCTGCATGGTCCCTCTAGGTCTAGCAGGGCACAGAGAGACCTAAACTAAGGCTATAATAGAAAGTGTCGACTGTGGCGACAGGTGCACGTATAAAGTGCCATGGGAACTCAGAGGAAGGAGCAATTAGCTCTGCCGGAAGGAGCCAAGGAGAGGCGCGGAGGTGAGAGGTGAGGATTTGATCTGATGAGCCAATGAACAAGAAAGCATTTTGCAATTTGTGGAGAGTTATAAAAGGAAAGCTTTTATTCTGATATTAGGTAACATGAAACAGCTTGCAATTTGGGTTATTTTCTCTTAGCTTGGAATGGATTGATGGTAACTTGGGAAACTCTTTAGCTTCAAAGGTATACAAGGATGCTGTGAGGGTTTGAATCCAATAATCAATGCTAAGGGGAAATATTTTTATTAAAAAAATTAAAGTGTGTGAGCATTAGGCCAGTGGGAGGGTTATCAGACCTGAAATGCTACTGTTTTGGGTAGTTTAGATACCCAAACGTGGGTGGGGCCCTTGTGCTGTGACCCTGAGGTCTTCACCTGTCTTGAAGGGAGCTGGAGGTTCAGATGTTGGTTCATACTGTTGGGAAATCCAGGAAGGCCCAATAAATACAGTCGTGTTTGTTTGTTTTTCTCTGGTTCCATATTGAATAACAGCAGTGAGAGTGGGCATCCTCGCCTTTTTCCCGGTCTTGAAGGGAAAGCACTCAGTCTTTCACTATTAAGTGTGGTGTTAGCCCAGCTGTGGGTGTTTTGTAGATGCTATTTATCAAGTTGAGGAAGTCTCCCTCTATTCCTAGTTTGCTGATAAATTTTTATCATGAATGGGTGTAGGCTTGTGTCAAATGCTTTTCCCACATGAATTGATATGATCATGTGGTTTTTCTTCTTTTATCTGTTGATATAGTGGATTATATTGATTGATTTTTGAGCGTTGAACCAGCCTAGCATACCTGGGATAAATCCCACTTGGTCACAGTATATAATTCTTTTTACATACTGCTGGATTCAACTTGCTAATACTTTGTTGAGGGGTTTTGTGTGTAAGTTTATGAGAGATACTGGTTTGTGGTTTTATTTGTACTATGTCTATCTGTTTTTGGTATCAGGGTAATATTAGCCTCATAAACTGAGTTGCTTTCTGGAAATGCTTTCTGGAAGAGATTGGGTAAAACTGGTGTTAATACACTATTTTTTAAAGGCAAGTCTGTTATCTTCAGTAAATCTATATGCAACCCAGAAGTACCTCTTGGTTAGTATGGCAGGAAAGATGGCTTAGTAGCATACTCTGAAACCAGAGCAAACCACAGACCAGAGTCCAGCCCCCTCTAGAAATTGTTTAAATCTAACCTCACCTTACCATGATTTAAACATTTTGTGCACCTCCCTTTACAGGTCCTCCTTAATTTTGGATTTTTTCTTTATTGTGCATTTCCCTTTACAGGTCATCAGTTTGCATCTTTGTGTGTTCATTCAGCGCATCTGGAGCACCAGGTACTTAGCTAGCTAGACATGAGGGGCCTGGTATGACGTGCTGCAAACCAGCCAGCCTGCCTCCCTCCCTTCCCCCTCCCTCCCGTCCTTCTTTTTTCCCTTGCCCCAGGTAGAGAGTCGAGTTTAGCAGCCTACCCAGTGCAGGGCGCACATCCCCTGAGGTCCAGGAGCTGCACTGCCCGATCCCCAGTCTTTACCTGCGTTCCTCCTGGCTGTTAGCATGCTACTTATGCTCACACGTTTGATAGCACATTAGCTTCCTGCTGCTGCACTAACAAATGACCACAAACGGGATGGCTCTAAACAACACAGCTTTATTATCCTCCAGTTCTGGAAGCCAGATGTCTGAAAGGAGTCACACTGGGCGAAATAATTTGTTGGAAAATGATTAGAGCCTGTGCTTCTTCTGCAGGCTCTGAAGGAGAACCTGTTTTCTTGCCTCTTTCAGTTTTTAAAGGCTGACCATATTCTCTGGCTCTTGGCCACCTTCCATCTTCAAAGCCAGGAATGGATGGTCTATATCATTCTTTTAAAAACAATTTACTTTTTTTTTTTTTTTTTTTTTTTTTTTTTAGAAGAGACATGTTCTCACTCTGTTGCCCGGGCTGGAGTGCAGTGGCATAGTCATATCTCATTGCAGCCTTGAACTCCTGGACTAAAATGATCCTCCTTCCGAGCCTCCTGAGTATCTGGGACTACAGGCATACACCACCATGCCTAACTTTTTTATTTTGTAGAAATAGGGTCTCATTTTGTTGCTGAGGCTGATCTTGCACTCCTGGCCTCAGGCAGTCCTCCCACCTTGGCCTCTCAAAGTGCTGAGATTACACGTGTGAGCCACCTACCTGGCCTCTGCAATCACTCCTACATTCTGTATCTCTCTCTTGCCTCTTTTTTTCACTAATAACGACCTGGTGATTATTACACTGGGCTCACCCGAATTCTCCAGGATAGTCCCTCCATCTCAAGGCCAGCTGATGAGCAATCTTAATTCCCTCTGCAACTTTTGTTCTATTTGCCATCTAATCTGACAGGCTCACAGGTTCTCGGGATTGGATGTGGACATCTTCATGGGCTATTACTTATAGAGATATATACATTGGATACATGTACACCATTAGAAGATACACAATATTGTTTTGACTGTGCAAGTGTTCTTTATTTACATGAATGGAAAGGGGCTATAGATCTCTTTCTGACTCGTACTTTTTCATCCAAACCAGTATTTTAAAGTTCTATTCATGTTTACGTGTGCATGGGACATTGCCCCTGACTTCAACATTGTATTCCATACAAGACCTCCTCCATAATCTTCTTATTCAATTCCAATTGGTAGACATCTGGATTGCTTCCAACTCCTCTCTGTTATAGACAATGCTGTGTTGAATACTTCATGCCCATCCCCTCGCGGATCTGGTTGGATTTTCTTACGTGTCGCTCATGCCCATCCCCTTGCGGATCTGGTTGGATTTCCTTACGTATCACTAGGTGATGTTAGGGTGCCGCCCACGTGGCTGCCCTTGTCTACACTCCCAGCAGCAGTGTGTGGGAGTTCCTGTTCCTCTGTGTACTTTGGGCCTGTTTTTGCTTTGGGGTACCAGCCCCCACCATTTCCTAGTTGAGAAGCAGCCTGAAAGAGAAAACAATATTAACTGAGCACCTACTCTGTGACCTACTAGGTGATCCTTTGTTGGAAGCTTCATATACTTTATCGTGTTTCATTTAAAGACAATCCTATATGGTTAATACCATCAAACCCATTTTGGAGACTGAAAAACTAAAGCCAAGAGGGATCAAGTTCTTTGCTCAAGGTCTCATGTTTAGTAAGTGGTAAATCTAGAGTAAAATCCAAGCTGGGATAAATGTCCACTCTTAGTACTCCCATTACACCCTGGGCACACCTGGTTCTTCACAGATATAATAACTCTAAGTTAAATTCTTTGTATGGCAGAGATGGTTGGAGCATGGGCTTTGGAACCAGACCTCAGTTCAAATCCTGGCTCCAGCACTCACTGGCTACATGATTTGGGGTAAGGAACCTAAGTACTTTAAGTCTTGGTTTTCTCATTTGGAGATGGGGACAATGTCCTTCGATTATGTTTGCAAAGCACTTCACAGTGTGCTGTGCCTAGAAGGGCTACATAACTGCTAGGTATTCCTACAGTATCATATCTGTGTCTCCCCACCCACCCCAGACTCAAAGCTCCTCAAGGGTAAAGATTGGGCTTCATTCATCTCTGTGCCGGCTTCA
Source organism: Homo sapiens (assembly GCF_000001405.40). NCBI lineage: Eukaryota > Metazoa > Chordata > Mammalia > Primates > Hominidae > Homo > Homo sapiens. The sequence goes on from NC_000010.11 coordinate 113,255,319, forward strand.
GAGCAACAAGTTCAGTGCTGTCGATTCAATAACCGTTGGTTGAAATACTCAGCTCCAAACCTCACTCTAAATAGAACTGACAATTTTTAGTCTTTGGGGTGAAAATCTTGGATCCCCAGGATGCCTATCAGGGTAGGGGAGAAGAGGGTCTTTGACTCGCATTTCTTTAGTGATCTTGGCTAAACCTTCTTCATAATATCTGTTCATGCTGGTCACGCCCTCTCTCTCCTGCCTAACTGGTCTTTTAAATCCCACTTTTGCTCCCTCTTGGGAATCAATGTGCGATTCCCCTCTGCGTTGTGGAGACTTCTCTCTTTGGGGGAGGGGCCGTCACATTGCCATCAGCACTGCATTCCCTCCTCCGCAGGAAGAAGGTTCTGCACAACTCAAGACTTTGCTGTCAATTAGGCAATTCTGAACCTGTGCGATTTCCTTGAGTGCTTAATAAAAATTGGGTGATTAGTGAACCTCAGGCAGCACTTTCTTAAATAGTCATTAAACAATCATTACAGATGGAAACAGCCACAACCGGCCGCTGTGAGGGAGTGTGTGGCTCCCTACAACATAATCCTTTTTCAAGTCAGAATGAATGTGTAATCAAAGCACAAAAGGGAACAGTTTCAAAGTTCTGAGCTTTCTCAGACAAACCTATCATACATCCAACCGGCCTAAATTGGTGCCCAAAAATGTTCAATGAGAATTGACACACGGTGTAGTGCTCTAAGTAATTCATCACTTAAGTCAGTTTGGGCTTTTTTTTTTTTTTTTTTTTCTCTCTCTCCTTTTAGGGATATCTTCACACCCTTTCAAGTTTGAGAAGTTGTAATTGAGACAGGTATGCCTTGATATTTGAAATAAGTCCTCAAGAGGGTTTCTGAAGGCTACTGGGGTTCCAAAGCTAGACCTAACATTTAGAGCTGTGTGACCTTGCAGAAGTTAATTATTCATCCTGCGCCTCAGTTTCTCCATGGTTAAAACACAGATGATAGCAATGCCTGCTCCATAATAAGCATTTATTAACTGTTAGTGGAATTACCCCCTATTTTTTGATGTGAGTTCTCCCAGAGCAGAAAGGGGGTCATTTAATGGTGAAGACCTCCCTGCTCAAAGATACCATCTCTCCTCCATACTCCACCAGTTATCAAACTTTACTGTGCGTAAGAATCAAAGAGACTTGTTTAAAATATAGACTTGGGCTGGGAACGGTGGCTCATGCCTGTAATTCCAGCACTTTGGGAGGCAGAGGCACAAGCAGTCCTTCAGCTCAGGAGTTCAAGACCAGCCTGAGCAACATAGTGAGACCCCCATCTCTACAAAAAATAAGAAATAACAGATACAATGCTGACCCCTGGAGCCCACCAGGAGAGATTCTGATTCAGATAGGAGTAGGGGTTCAGAAACCTACAGTTTTTAACCAGCACCCAGGTAATTCTAATACAGATGGTTCAAATGCCACACTTTGAAAAGAGATGGATTAGTGTTATTTAAAAGACAGGGAGATAGGGCTATAGTCATATATATGTTAATGTGGATAATTCAATCAGATTGCTTTCTTGTCAATGCTTTAACCAGCTGCTCTTGAGGGAATAGTATTTTTTTGATAGCTTGGAAGGAGAGAGGAGCAACTTTGATCATAAAATATACTTGGAGAGGATGAACCCTCGATGCTACACCTTGGATAGCCAGAGGTATCAGCCTGCCAAAGAGTGGTAATGGTAGAGGAAGAAGTCTGAAGACAAACATGGCTAACTTATCTCTAAGATGTGCTTTGTGGCAAAGATGGCCCTTTATGGTACTGAAAATTGTTTCGAGTCCTTTTGGTTAGTAATGACTGTTTTATATCAATTAGAGCTCTCTCTAATCTTGTTTTGTGGTTTTTCAGACATATAGTGTGATTTCTTTCTTTCTTTCTCTTTCTTTCTTTCTTTCTTTCTTTCTTCTTTCTTTCTTTCTTTCTCTTTCTCTCTCTCTCTTCTCATCTTTCCCTTCCTTCCTTCTTTCTTTCTCTCTCTCTTTCTCTCTCTTTTCTCTCTTCTCTCTCTTCTCTTCTTTCCCTTCCTTCCTCCCTCCCTCCCTCCCTCCCTCTCTCTCTCCCTTCCTTCCTTCCTTCTTTCCTTCCTTCCTTCTTCCTTCCTTCCTTCTTCCTTCCTTCCTTCCTTCCTTCCTTTCTTTCTTTCTTTCTTTCTTTCTTTCTTTCTTTCTTTCTTTCTCTTTCTTTCTTTCTTTCTCTCTCTCTCTTCTTTCTTTCTTTCCTTCTTTCTTTCTTTCTTTCTTTCTTTCTTTCTTTCTTTCTTTCTTTCTTTCTTTCTTTCTTTCTTTCTTTCTTTTCTTTTCTTTCTTTTTCTCAGAGTCTTTCTCTGTCACCCAGGCAGGAGTGCAGTTGCGCTCCAGCCTGCAGTGATCTGGGTTCACTGCAACCTCTGCCTCTTGGGTTCAAGTGATTCTCCTGCCTCAGCATCCTGAGTAGCTGGGACTACAGGCGTGTGCTACCACAACTGGCTAATTTTTGTATTTTTAGTAGAAATGGGATTTCACCATATTGACCAGGTTAGTTTTGACCTCAAGTGATCTGCCTGCCTTGACCTCCCAAAGTGCTGGGATTATAGACATGAGCCACTGTGCCCGGCCAATATAGTGTGATTTCTTAAGAAAAGACGCTGTTCTGGTTTACTTATTATGGTCTTTCTTCCTGTAGGCATTATGTTCTTAGTATGAGGGCTGGAATTCCTAGGATTTCTCTGGCTTTGGATGTTAAATAATTTAGAAGTACAATGTGAGGCTATTCACAGGAAAGCTGTGCCTTGGTTGATATCCTGGCAAGATTCCCTGTGGAAGTGATGGCAGGGACGTGGGCAGGGTGAGTCCAGGCCACCTAGGTTTAGAAGCATATCAGCCCCAAATGTCAGACATGCAAATCTATGTATTTCCTCACAGGCGAAGAGTGTGAAGAATATTTCATTTTACCTGGAAAATCACACAGTGCAATGTACACATGATACAACTAAGTTCATATGTTGGATGGGGTTAGCTGATAGCAGTGTATAGATTAAACAAGATCTGGTACTTGAGAACAATTTAGTCTGAAAGCTGAGAGTAAGGGTTGAGGTGTTAGATCAGTAAAAAGAGAAGATGCTCTTTACTCCACTGACCCTCTATGTTTATAGCTGAAGAATTGATTTCATTTCCTTAAACTTTTCATTTCTGGCTATAAAAGTGATACATGTTCAATGCTGAGCATATGGAAAAATGTGGGTATTTTAGCTTTCTAATATTTGTTCTTAGCAACACACAAACATACACACATAGATTTTATAAAACTGCAATATTACTGTAGGAGCTATTCTGTAGTCTGACTTCTTTTTATTTACAATTATCATATGGAAAAAGTTTCCTATTTTATTTTATTTTTTTGAGACACAGTTTCACTCTGTCACCCAGGCTGGATGGAGTGCAGTGGCACGATCTGGACTCACTCCAACCTCCGCCTCCTGGGTTCAAGCGATTCTCCTGCCTCAGCCTCCTGAATAGCTGGGATTACAGGCATGTGCCACCACACCAAGCTAATTTTTGTATTTTTAGTAGAGACAGGGTTTCACCATGTTGGCCAGGCTGGTCTGGAACTCCTGACCTCAGGTGATCCACCTGCCTCGGACTGGTGTTACAGGTGTTACAAGTGCTGGGATTACAGGCATGAGCCACTGTGCCTGGCCAAAAGTTTCCTGTTTTAATAGTTAATTTTAATTCTCTATTATCAATGGCTTTATTGCACTGTATCTTTTTATTAAGCAAATCTCTCTCATTAGGCATTTAGATTATTTTTGTTTTTTCTACTATACAGACTTGCTGTGATGAAAATTCATATATGTGGATCTTTGTACACATCTCTGATTATGTCCTTGGGGTAAAATTCTTAGAATTGCTTTGTCAAGGGGCATGCACATTTTTAAGGCCTTTGGCATGTATTTGTCACATTGCCATTCAGAAAGGTCATTTCAGTTTTCATTTCTACCAACAGTTAGGAAAGTACCCATTTCCCAGCCTCTACCAACTGAGTATTGCTAATGATTTCTTTTAAAATATCTCGAAATATCTTGTCTTCTTTAGACAACTCCTATAACTACCATATCATTTTCCCCCCCAATCTCTAAATGGTTGTCAGCTATAGTTTGAATAAAATTATGCATTGTGCCAATTTTCTGAGATGTGGACATGGCAGCTTATGTGGCAACTGCTAACGTTCCTGACCTCAAGGGATGAACATTTAGAGTAGCAATCACCCTGTCCCCTCCCCAGCGAAGAATCAGACCAAACCCATCTTCTCCTGGTTCACCTGGAACACTAATCAGATTAAGCCATCCCTAACTGGGGTGGGAAGCATTATGTACAGAGGGATGAACGTTCATTTAGACAGTGCCAAAAATAACTCTTGCATCTGTAAACACAGGGACAGACGGATGATCAGATGGAGTTTCAAGTGCGGTCTCACAAGAGTTGTGTAGTTTGCTCCTCTTCACAGAAACTCACACGTTTCCTAAAGTCCAGATTTTGGAATTTGCTTGGAAAAGGGATATTTGTGGCACCATATGTTTCTCCCAGCCCGACTGCCTTGAAATCTAACCCCTCTGGGTTTATGACTCTTGGATCCCACGGCGACCTCAGTGCCAATGGGCTGTGAAACGGGATTAACGCTCAGGCCAGGCTTTCCCTGGGTCGGCATGGACCCTTGGATACAGAGGCTGCCTTTCCAAGAAAGCCTTGCCATCCTTTTCTGAGTGCAGTCCGGAATGGCATATGAAAGCACAGAGGCTCCCCCGCTCCCATCTGAGTCAGAAACGCAGGAAGGCTGTGCGTCCTCTTGCTTGGATTTATTCCTGGCACCCGGGTTGTTCAGATTTGTAACCTGAAAGGTCAGGAGGGGAGAGGGAAGTGAGACAGAGAGGGGCGGGAGATGGGTTCTGTCTCAAGTGAAAAAGCAGTTAGAGGACACCTCAGCTGGGAGTCAGGAGGCTTGAGTTCTAGTTCTGCCACCACAGCTATGGGACCTCAGGCAAGCCATGGAACCCCCAGGGCCTTGTTGTTGTCACTGTTGGCCAAGGTAAGAGTCCTTACAGCTTTGACTTTCTAAGCATGAAAAGGGGGGACGAAGGAAGATGGAGGCAGGATGAAATGAGACCTTTTAGAGCAGCACTTCTCTACTTTTTTCGTGTCTTGATGCACATAAAAATAATTCTAAGAACTGCCAGGCTGGGTTAATTGGAGGAGGCTTCTCTGAGCTGGAGGCACTACCTCGGGGGCTCTGGCTGCCTTGAAGGCTGCGAACATTGTGTCTCGGGCACACCAAGGGGATGCTCTGCTTCAGAGGACTGAGTCCTCAAACATCATGGCGCACATCTCCAACTACGTTCCCAACAAATGGAAACGATACTATACCGGGGAATAAGTGTCAGGTAAACCCACAGCATTCTGACTTTGCTCGGAATGGCTTTAGTGACGTTTTGAGAAATATCAGATTCTCTTCTCAGACTTTGTTTTCATTGTCCTGCTTCCTGCTGCGGTCTCCATGCTTATTCTTTCTATTGGTGGGGAAGGGTGGCCAGGAAATAGGGTCCCTAGGGAAAGGAGGGAAACAGGGCTGCCAGGGAGGAGGGAGCCCACAGTCCAAGAATCCTCATAATTTCACTGGATTTTGTAGCCAGAGAACACCCAAATCATCTCTGTGTCTCCAATTCTGAGGGCAGCTGGGAGATGTCCAGCTCTTGAAGTCCTAGGTGGGAGTGAAGGGATCACGCATTCCACTTGGGTTCCTGCCTGTCTTTTAGGCTTTTCCTATTTTGCAGTATCAACCCTTTTAATGTGCCTTGTTTATTTTTCCCATACACCCTAAGAAATGGTGAGGTAACTGGGCTAAGATAATTGCTGAACACCTGCAGACGCAGGCCCTGTGCCGTGAGCACGGCTGAGCGAATGTAGGACTCATGACCGCACGGATCAGCTGGCTGTCCCCTCCCCCACCTCCTAAACACCTGCAGAGGCCTGTCACTTGGGACAGGAGGGCCTATTAGGGTTCTTGTAATTGAGATGGGGTGAGGGAGTTTACAATGGCTCCAGAGTGGGGGAGAGAGAAAGACGGCTTAGATGACAGGAAACTGTCTCCTCAGCTTCGTGGAATAGATTGAACAAGGTGGCCTGGGTAATAACGGGGTTAGCTAATCTAGATAGTAATAAGGGTAGGAGAGTCCGTCATCATAATCACAGCTAATGGATTCCAGATGGAGGGATCTAATTGTTCTCATTAGCATGGTTGCACACACACGCATCTCCACGCACACACACGCTCACACTCTGAGAGGCCAATTCTGCCCATGTACCCGACTTTGCTAAGTACTGTCGGATAAGAATAGCCCAACCTGCAGAGCTTGACGGAGAGCGTTGTCAGTTACATCTTTTCCCATGTCCCCTTCCACAACATCCATGCATACGTAATGGTTTCATTAACCTTGCGACTTCTGCAGATGAGTTGAAAACCCAGGCTTACACGGCCAATTAATTGGCAGTGCATTTTGCACAGAGCATGGAGGTACCTTTCTCTCCCACTAAATACTGCCTGACTTTTCGGCTGTATTTCATACGTGCTAATGTAATGTTGCTGAAAGGAAATATGGCCCAAAGCAGGAAACTCCCTGCCACCCCACCGGGATGCAGCTGTTCATTTGGTTTGGGTTGTTAATTCAAACCACTCCCAGGTGCCTATTTCATATTATCTCTTGTTTAGAACAAAATAAAATGAAACTGTCAAAGCCTTTCTGCCTCGCTCGGTCCTGGGCTCAATAGTCCCATAAAGGGACCTGTGCAAGGAAGCAACTGCTAAAACTTGCTTTTCCTCAGCAAGACATTTGGGTCTCAGTTTTTCTCTGGGTCCTCCAGGTGAGACCCCAACCTGGAGCCGATAGACCTTCTCATGGAAAGGTCTTCATGGTCGTCCTGCTCCGGACCTGCATTCCTACTTCTGGGCCTTTGCTCCTGACCTGCCTTGCCAGGGGCACTGTTTCTTTCCCATTTCAAACTCATCTCGCAAAGCCTCCTCTCTGAATCTTCCACTGAGACCTCTGATTTTCTGGTTTGGACTTATAGTAAGTGCTCAATAAATGCTAGCCATTATTAATGTTCCTACTTCATGAAGCAAGTCAGTTGTTCAGTGCTCATAAAATATTTAATAAAGAACTCTCAAGTGGATTTGCCTATGATTTGTGTATATCCCGGTATGCTATTTATAGCCATGCACTCGCTTTTTTATATGGTGAATGCCTCCCTAAGGTGGACTTTTATGTTCTTTGTCATCTGCCCTTGGCCACTCTGCCAGTGGGCCAGAAGCATGCACCGAGAGAGGCCCAGAACCAGAGGAGGGGAAGAGAAACTGAGGCTGGGGAATCTTTGCCTGGAGCCTGGGAATCCTCCTGGAGAGGAGGGTGTATGGCTTTTAAATCCTAGGCTGTTAAAATCTTCAAGACTCTTTGCTTTCTATCCAAAGTGATCTCTTGTTTTCAGCAGCACAAGGAGAATGGCTCTTTGGGGTGACTTTGTTTTCACAGCAGAATTTCTGAGGCTCAGTTATATGGCATCAGGGTCTGTGAGTGGCTGTCACCCCCCCCCCCTTAGTGAGAAAAGGTGTCTTCCTGACTGAACCAGAGCCTTGACCTCAGCACCTAGTCTGCTCGAGGCCTCTGATGATGGGCGGTGACAGGGCTTGACTTTGTGTCCCCACCGGAATCTCATCTCGAATTGTAATCCCCATAATCCCCACATGTTGAGGGAGGGCCTTAGTGGGAGGTGATTGGATCATGGGGGTGGTTTCCTCCAGGCTGTTCTCATGATAGTGAGTGAGTTCTCATGAGATCTGATGGTTTTACAGGTGTTTGACAGTTCCTCCTTCTCTCTCTGTGTGTGTCTCTCTCACTGTCTCTCTCACTCGCTCTCTCTCTGTCTCTCACTGTCTCTCTCTCTCCTGCTGCCTAGTGAAGGTACTTGCTACTTCTTCTGCCATCACTGTAAGTTTCCTGAGGCTTCCCCTGCCATGTGGAACTGTAAGTCAATTAAACCTCTTTCCTTTATAAATTACCCAGTCTTGGGTATTTCTTTATAGCAGTGTGAGAATGAACTAATACAAGAGGTCTTCACATCTTCCCTGCATGGCCCTGGTGAGTTGTGGTCAGCTGTTGTATAGCAGGAGGGAGGTGGGCTCAGTCCCCTTCCTTGGTGCTTTCTGAAAAGGTTGCCCAAAAGAATCCTGCTTTCACTCGCCACATGATGCCCTGGTTTTTTTTTTTTTTGTCTCTCTCTCTCTCTCTGAATTCCCTTGACTTCCTTTATGTAAGAGCCAGCAAGCAAGGGGACAAGGAGGCCAAATTGGCTATACCTTGTGTTACTCAATCAGGAAATTTCTGGAAAACAGCATTTCAGTAAATGGGATCTTGAAATGCTAAGTGTGATACCTTTTTGTTATTGTTGTTTTTGCATAATCCTTAGAAGGATCTGACCACCATAGACTGAGGTCTGTGCTGTTCTGAAACCACTCAGAACCAAAGAGTGGCTGGGCTTGGTGGCTTACACCTGTAATCCCAGCACTTTTGGGAGGCTGAGATGGGAGGATCGCTTGAGCCCAGGAGTTTGAGACCAGCCTGGAAAACATAGGAAGACCCCCATCTCTACAAAATTAAAAAAAAAATTAGTTGGGCATAGTGGTGTGTGCCTGTAGTCCCAGCTACTTGGGAGGCTGAGGTGGGAGGATTGCTTGAGCTTAGGAGTTTGAGGTTACAGTGAGCTATGATTGTACCACTGCAATCCAGCCTGGGTGACAGAGTGGGACCCTGTCTCTTAAAAAAAAAATACAAAGAACATTCATGATCCAGAGAAGGAAGCCTTGCACCTTGTGTTAGAGAGCACATTTTGTATTTTGAGCTGCTTTTTCTATAGCCTGGGGCCTGATTGATTTTGGGTTCAGCCTAACATCTTGGCCTGGGGTCTTGTGGAGAGTTGAGGGACTTAAACAATTCAGATCCGAAGCCCTTGTGTGTGTGTGTGTGTGTATGTGTGTTTAGCACTGACCTTCCATCTGTTGACAATCAAATACTGAACCTATTAAGAGCGGCAGGTCCCCAAGCAGGGAGGAAGGAAGGAATTTCCCATAATCTCTGGAGACAAAGGGCCTTTTGACTGCACCTGGGGGTGAATGGGGACCAGCCCGGGTCAGACGGAGCTGGGGATCAGATGAGCGGGAGAGCAGCAGGTGGGGGTGTGTGCACGCACCTAGCTGAGTTCTGATTTGCCACATGAAGGGGAGTTGGGAGAAGGAGAACATAATAGAGACTGATTAGTCCTGAGAGACTCCAGAATCAGACACATGGGCCCCTGCCTGGTCTCCCTGAGCCCCCTGTATTTTCTCTTTCCCATCGTCTGTGCCTGTCTCTTTGCCTTTCTCTCCCACTAGCCTTTCAGTTTCTTGAGAGCAGGGGCTGTGTCTCCTCATGTTTGAATGGCCCAGCATATAGCAAACACTCAGCAAGCATTCATGGAGTAAGTACAGAGACCCAGAAAGAGGAGTGCTCAGAATAGGACCACAACTCACGCCCACAGAGCCTTTGCATGAATTAGAAAAATGTCACCCTTACAGGCAGACACAGCTCAGTGGGCATACATAGTTTGGTAAGCGAAGAACCCCTCTCTTGGCCAAGTGTACTGTACAAGGTACGTTCTGAACAAGTACACACAGTGGTCATCCCTATGGCGTAGGTATCAGGGATGATGTCTCAGGACCCAGCCTTAGGGACACTTTAGGCTGTGCTGTGCTGATGGGTGCTGGTCTCTCAGGGAGGCAGGAGATGGCTAAAGGCAACATCCTACCCCAGGTAACAACGCCCCCAACCTTAAGATCCGCATACGGGCATTCGCCTCCGACAGCCTTGTCCAGTCTCCTCTTCCAGGGCCCTCTCTCTGCCCTGTCCGTTTATATTATTCTCTGGCTGTTCTCCTTCTGCATTGGACATTTGGTCCCCACTGGGGCTTATTTTGGCACATCTTTAGTAGAGAGTTTACAGTAATCTTTTGGTTCATCCAGACCTCAGTTGAAATCCTGGTTCTGCCCCTAACCCACTGTGAGCTCCTGGGAAGATGTTTTAATTCTCCAAAGAAGTCATCTCAGCTGCACAATGGGGACATGTTGAGGTTATGTGGTGATGCCTCTGCAGGGCTCAGTATGTGTTGGACAGAGAAGCCGCTTCCTGAAAGCTCCGTGAGTCTGTACCAGAGATGGTGGCCCTGAAACCCACTTTGAGGGGTTCCTGCTTTACCATTTCTTTAGATTCCATTTCTTGGGGGTGGCCTCTACAGGGAGCCTTCTGGAATGCAATTCCTAGAGTGCTTCCTGAGAACTCCAGGGTGAACTGCCCTAGACAGATCTCTCTGGAGAATGGGGGAAGGGTGCTGCCAAACTTCAGCAGGTTCCTGGGACTGATGTGACCTCAGGAGTGGCTAGAGGCCCTGGCTATGACGGGTCCCCTCCCACAGGCCTTCCACCCACCCCAACTGTCTCTCCCTTGTATTAGGAAGACTGGGGTCGCTGACTTTATCAACGGAAGTGAGCTGAAATTGCAGTGAAGATTCTGCCTCTACATAAGGAAAATCTCGACAGTCATGCAGAGCCAGAAATGTCCTTAGAAAGTGTCTAGTCCTTCCCCCTTTGCTTTGCAAATCAGAAAACAGGACCCGGGAGGTTAAGAAATTTGTTTAAGGCTCAGTACCCCTTCTGCTATATCCCAGGGCCTCCCTTAACTGTGAGATTGTTTACACTCTAAACTTGCCCTGCCATGGGATTGTGTTATAAAAATTGTTGAAAATGTGATAGCAACCCATGTTTAAGTTTCTGAGGGGTTGCAGGAAGGCCTTGCCCAATCCCGCCCCTCCCCTTCATGACCACATTCGTCTCCCACTCTTCTCCCTGCAGACCATCTCTGATCGTCACACACACAGGCACCACTTTCATTCTTGTTTGCAGGTGCTTGTTTCAGATGGCTTGGGGCTAGAACCCAGGGAAGCAAAGGGAGCCAGCGTTAGCTGGGGGCCCACTGTGTGATGGATATTATGGTAGATTCTTCACACATATAAATGTCCTCATTTAATCCTCCCAAGCACCTTAAGGTCAGCTGAGAATTGTTATAATGGATGGTTATTGATTTAATGATTAAATGAATGGAAGGATGACTTACTGTTAATTATATAATACTTATTATTTTGCTTGGCCCATATCATCTGCATTGCTCTGAAGGATTCTCATCCTTTTGCTCCTTTTCCTCCTGTTTTCTTATCCCTGTGGTACCTATTCTGAACGAACCATAAGCCTGTGGATCTAGTGAGAGAAACACATTCGTATCTCTGTTGATTTGTTGATTTGAAGAACCCAAACCTCAGAGTATAAGAAGAAGATTTGGTGTATTTCTCAACTCACAAATCCTGCAATCCTAGCATATAAACAATAATCTGTATATTCTTAGCTTTCCAGAGAGACAGTGGGACAGGTCAAAGGAGTGAGTGATTCTTCTTCCTTCTTCATGGATGTTACATTTCCATCAAGTGGGTGATAGAAAATTACCCTATACAGAGTAGAATAACATACTGTGTCTGGGTAAGGATGTGTTTCTATTTCTATTTCTTTTTTTTTTTTTGAGACAGAGTACAACTCTGTCACCCAGGCTGGAGTGCAGTGGTGCAATCTCAGCTCACTGCAACCTCTGCCTCCCGAGTTCAAGCGATCCTCCTCCCTCAGCCTCCTGAGTAGCTGGGACTACAGGTGCGTGCCACCACGCCTGGCTAATTTTTGTATTTTTAGTAGAGATAGGGTTTCACCATGTTGGCCAGGCTGGTCTTGAACACATGACCTCAGGTGATCCACCTGCTTCGGCCTCCCAAAGTGCTGGGATTACAAGCCTGAGTCACTGTGCCTGGCCTGTGTTTCAATTTCTATTTTGGCCAGCTATTTGTATGATTTATACTGACCCTTCCTGTTTCAGTTTATTCAGCTATAAAATGAGGCTATACTTTCTGCTTAGTTGGCTTCAAGGTTGTGATTTTCAAAAGATTTTGCCTTGTTTCAGCTGATTTTGTATGGTATGCTGGGAAAAGGTGCATAGGAGAAGGATGAGTTGATAGACTTCAGTTCTAGTCTGAAATCAACTTCATACTTGATCTTCCATTCTTGACTCCAGAAGGTTCCCTGTAAAGTCCACCGTTCAAGATGGATCTGCCATTTCTCCACTTGCAAAATGGAAATAAGAATGATCTCTATTACACTATCTTTGTATGTGATTGTAGATACTGAAATGAATTGTTAGAAACAAAAGTGCTTGAGAATGATAAAGTGCTACCCGTGCCAAGCGAGGGCTAATAATGATAATGCCAGTTGCTCATTCTGCAAAAGTTTCTTTAGCTTGTGGATGACTCATTTGAAAATGGAAATTATGTGGTTCTGTTTATTTGCTTCATATTTTGTGATTTAGTTCTCAATTTGGCACACAGGCAGACAGTTTAGGAGGATCCAACTATTTTCAACAAATACTGTTATTATTTCCTAAAGCCTCGGTCTCTGGGCAGTTTGAAATGTTGGTCCAAGTTCACCTATAGGCAAGGGGTATTTGTTGAGCCTCAGAGGGAAGAGAAGCTTTTTTCCAAGGTGGGACTGGGGTGCAGCAAGGGAAAGCAGAGACAGACAAGAAGAGGAAGAAGGTGCCAAGAATTAGAGCTTGTCCATGGAGGCAAGCCAGAGATGAATTAATCATGACATGCTGAAAAAAAAACAAAAAAAACAAAAAAAAAAACCAAAAAAAAAAACCCAACAAAAACCCCCACAGCAAACAAATGATCCTGGCTTTCATTTACCAGTCAATCAAATGGCAAAGAAACCTTATGCCTCTGTGATGAGGAAACCAGATCTTTCATCCAGTTGGGTCTGCTGTGAGTCAAGGGGAAGAGACAGTGTAATGACCAGGCTTGACCATGACCATTTGGCTTGCAGCAATCATCAGAGCCTTGGACTGCAGTGAGAAAGACCCAAGGATGAGCAGGGAGCCACACGCACTGCCTCATGCTCTGTGCAATGTAAACAGTGGTACATCTGGGCACCTCATGTTCTTATACCTTGGAGTGGAGTAGAAACCAGCCTGTGCAAAGATGAGCCAAGCCTGGGGAGTGATTTGGAAGAAGCAGCAGATGATGAAAATGTTTAGATAGGGCAGTGTCTCCTCCAGAAAGGGGGCGCAGGGTTGCATATTTCCATAGACCTGAGGGTTGCAATCTTTCTAAAGCAGCCTGCTCTGGCTTCATTCACTCTCTGGCAATGGGGAGTGAAAATGGGGAAGAAATCTGAGTAGTGTTGGTGGTGGTGGTGATGGTGGCAGTATCCATAGAAGCTGTGTGGGGAGTTTATTGACCAAGGCAGACGAAGTGTGATAGTAGTTACTGTTCCTGTCTGCCAAGCACACATGCATTCTCCTTCCCTCTCTCTAGTAGCACAAACTGCCTTCCATGTAGCTGGGTCTACATCAGTCCCAACACTGCCTTTTCCTGGCCATATGATTGGCTAAGGAATTAGCATATGTCCCAACCAGGGCCAATTGGAGTCCTTCCCTGAGATCGATATATGGATGCTGGGAGAAAAAAACTGGCCTGCCTTCTGGTGAGAGAGTTAAGCTTTGAAGCTGTAGTTTTGGAGTTTCTGGTGGTGAGCTTTCTCACTTCATGGAGAAGGCCTGTCCACTGCAGGAAAGAATAAGATCATCATTCAGAGTAGCCGAGCTGAGAGATAAAGAGCCTGATGACATCATTTCAATCCCTGGATCCAATCATGATAGAGGCTAGATGTGTCCCTACTTTCCCAGTTAAATGAAACCCAAAAGTCTTTCTGTTTGTATAAGCATATTTGAGCTGGGTTTCTGTCACCTGAACCTAGACAGTCTGGAGGAGGACAGTGTGGAGGCAGGGTCAGGGGAAGGCAGGATTGAGCAGGAGAGAAGTCAAAGGGAAGGAAGCATGAGTAGTAGCCTTCTGTAGGAAGCTGGGAGCTCACTCTGGTTTTCTGAGGCTTCATGAAGCCTGAGCTCTGAGAAAGGACGCTCACTGTAGAAAGACACCTCTGCTTTTGTTGAGGAATCAGTCCCTGGCTCCTGGAATGTGGATATCTACATATATTCAGGTTCTGTACCTCCGTCCCCTGCCAGGCCACTCCTTGGCCAACCAAAAAAACCCATGAGGAATGTCATTAGTTAAGATGCTGAGGTTAGGCAGGTGAGCTTGAGAGTCAGACAGACTTTGATTTCTAACCTCAGTCCTTACCAGCAGAATGGCCTTGGACAGATGACTTAAGCTCTCTACCACAGTTTCCTTGTCTCTCAAAAGAGGCTGATAGTTAGAGCCATCTCAAAGGATTGTTGTGAGAATCCAGTCAGCCAATGGATGCCCAGAGCTTTGCACCATGGGAAACACCCAATGGTAATGGCTATTCAATTCCCATGAATGGGGGAATGTATGAGGTGGATTATGAGACCCCCAGCAATTCAGTGCATGAAGGCGATAATATGGAAGAACCCCATTAGTATACTGTTAAGATTTTTTTGAGTGATAAAATTTTCGAAAAAAGTTTACTTAATTTTTTTTTTTAAAAAAGGAAGTTGGAAGGCATATACTCCAAATAATGGAAATCAGGGACAAAAAGAGATACTTATATGCCCACATTCATAACAGCTTCATTCACAATAGCTAAAAGGTAGGAGCAACCCATGTGTTCATCAGTAGATGAGTGGATAGGTGACATGTGGCCTATAAAATAAATAATGTTCAGCCTTAAAAAGGAAGGAAATTCTGACACATGCTACCACCTGGGTGAACCCTGAAGACGTTATGCCAAGTGAAATAAGCCAGTCACAAAAGGACACATATTATGTGATTTCACAGAAAGCAGAATGATGGTTTCCAGTGGCTGAGGGGAAGGGAGAAGGGGGAGTTATCATTTAATGGCTATAGAGTTCCAGTTTAGAAGGTTAAAATGAGTTCTGTGGATGGATGATGGTGATGGCTGCATAAGTGTGAGGGACTGTACTTAATGCCATGGAACTGTATCCTAAAAAATGGTTAAGATGGTATTTTACTATAATTTAAAAAATAAAAGAAGACATTAGAGCCATATGCATAGTCAGAATGCATTTTTATTTTAATGAAAGTATTAGGTTGGTGCAAAAGTAATTGCAGTTTTTGCCATTACGTTCAAATACATACATTTTGTATAAGTATGGTGGGCAGAGGAAAGAAGGAGGAATGGACTGCATGCCAAATTGTTTACACTGCCTCTATGTGGGATTGGGGGACTGGAGGGAGAGGTGTCACTTTAGATACCTTAGTATTGTCTACAAATTATTACAATGATCAAATATTCTTGCCATTTCAATGACTAATATTAGATTATAATCATTTGCATCGAACTTTTACACTTCGAAAGTGCCTTTGTGGCGTATAAAATGGTGCGGCCATTTGGAAAACAGCTTGGCAGTTCTTCAAATGGTTGAACATAGGCTTCACATACAATCCAGCAGTTTCTCTCCTAGATATACACTGAAGAAAGCTGAAAACATCTGTCTACACACAAATGTGCACATGAATGTTCATAATAGCATTATTCATAATAACCAAAAGTGCAAAGAGCTCAAATGTCCATCAACTGAATGACAAATGAACGGATAAACAAAATGTGGCATGTCCATATGATGGAATATTATTCAGCACTAAAAAGGGATGATACACTGACATGCTACAACATGGATGAAACTTGAAAACAATGTGCCAAGTGAGAGAGGCCAGACACAAAAAGACCACATATTGTAGGATTTCGTTTATAAGAAATGTCCAGACGAGGCAAATCTATGGAGATAGAAATTAGATTAGGGGTTGCCAGCGGTTGGGGAAACTGGAGGACAGAAAAAGCCAATGGGTGTGAATTTTTTTTAATTGCAGTAATGACAATGTCCTAAAATTGATGGAGGTGATGGAAGCATAACTCTGTGATTCTACCAAAGCTATTGAATTGTACACTTTCAATGGGTGAATTGTACAGTATGTGAATTATATCTCAACAAAGCAGTTATAAAAACAAAACAAAATCACAAAATCTCTTTATAAGTCATACAATTGGTTACTTATACCAAGCTTAGGAGGCCAAAATTAAATGAAGAAATACACCTAAAGAGGCTTCAGATCTCTGGAGAAGGTTAAGTATGACAAAGCCTTGGCCTGGACTGGCATACTTTTTCATAATCCCCACCAGTAAAAATACCCCACGAAAGACAAGGTCAAAAGTCTCTGAGGGAGACAGCAACCCAAATGTTATGTTCCTCAGCGAAAAAATCAACAAACTGGTACATCCACACAACAGAACACTACTCAGCGATCCAAAGAAACACGTGACTCACACACGTGGCAACCTGGGCGATCTCAAATGCATCCTGCCGACAGAAAGAAGCCAGTTTAGAAGTCTAGATGCCACATGACTTCATTTATAGGACATCCTGGAAAGGGCAAAACCATAGGGATGGACCACAGATCAGTGGTGGCCAGGGGGTTGTGGGGTGAGGGGAGGGTTTGATTTTCAAAGGGGAACAAAGGAACATTTTGGAATGACAATTTCTATATCTTGACTCTGGTGGTGGTTACATAACTGTATGCAATTATCCAAACTCATAGCACTGTATGCTAACAATAGTAAGTTTTACTGTTTGTGGATTTTAACTTAAAAATGAGGGAAAAGGGGCCAGGCGCGGTGGCTCACGCCTGTAATCCCAGCACTTTGGGAGGCCGAGGCGGGTGGATCATGAGGTCAGGAGATCGAGACCATCCTGGCTAACAAGGTGAAACCCCGTCTCTACTGAAAATACAAAAAATTAGCCGGGCGCGGTGGCAGGCGCCTGTAGTCCCAGCTACTCGGGAGGCTGAGGCAGGAGAATGGCGTGAACCCGGGAAGCGGAGCTTGCAGTGAGCCGAGATTGCGCCACTGCAGTCCGCAGTCCGGCCTGGGCGACAGAGCGAGACTCCGTCTCAAAAAAAAAAAAAAAAAATGAGGGAAAAGGACATGAAAAGCACACTTGGATGTTCAGCTCTGTGGACAGGCACTGAGAAGAGGTATCTGGTCAAAAAATGGGGGCTGTCTGCAGGATGCTGTGACACTCAGGTGACCCATAGGTCAGCTGGGGCTTCCCTGTGCCTTGGAGCTCCAGCCTGTAAATCCCCAGGGCTTTCGCAGCTATGTCTGCTCCTTCCCAAGGCTGTTTGCGCTCGTGGTCCCTTGGCCTCTAGCATCTGCTCACACCGTGGGCTTTTTGCCCAGCAACACCCTGTACTGACCTCTTCACTGGTTTCCCTGAAATCCAGGCACAACAGGCACTGAGAGCTTGTCTGGCTTCCCAGAAGCTAGGGATGGACGCCACAAAAAAGGGCAGCTCATACCATCCTTGTCTTCCTTTCTTTCCATTTCTGTTCCCCATTCCCTTCTCTTGGTTTGCTCCTGGGAACTCCAAATCCTTTGCCCTTTTTTATACGGAGCATTTAAGCTTTTCCCAGCTCTTCTTCCCCAGAGATGTGCTCCAAGCTGATCAGGTCCTCTGCAGAACCAGAGGACTTCTTTTCATTAAAGATCTCTTTACTATTATAAATTGCATCGCATTTTTTCCTATTATACTTGATAGTTGGGACCTGCCTAGTGCTCCTCAGCCTGGATGAGCAGCCCCATGCATTTCTGAGTTCCAGTCCTTCCAAAAGCCTTCAGAAAGCACCCAGCCCCAGTCCAGGCCTCTGCTCGCTGATGAGGTTGCTTTGCCATGTGCCATCTCTCTCCTGTGCAGCTACAACTGTCACTCCCAGATGCACTGAAAGGTCCCCACACTGGCTCTGTGACACTGCAGTTTCTCTCCTGCCTTCCAAATTCATTACAGCAATTTGCAGTTGGTATTTCCTCTTGTCCTTGCTTTTCTTTTTGCTCGCATCCCCCTTTCACTTCCTCCATTTGTCATCTCTGTCAGAAGACAGGCCCTGATTGTTCCAGGTCCATAGCTTCAGCCGAAGCAACTGCAGCCAGCCCCCATTACTGGGCTAATTAACTGCCGGGCTGCCTGAATTCCAAGGTCCTTCCAGGGAAGGGCTTGCCTGCTCCCCAAAGAGGCCACTCCGTCTGGCACTCTGGGAGCGCCGCTGCAGCACCCCAGCCCGGCTCCAGAAGTCTGGGCCTTCTTCCCGTTCCGAGAGCCCTTTCCCCTCATCTCTCAGAGAGTAAGCGTGAAACAATTTCCTCTTTTCACAGGGGCTCGGTGGCAGGCAGATTAATGAATGCGAGCCCAGCACAGAGGCCAGCCTGCCAAAACCGTCTGCAATGCATTCGGTTGTCCCCACGGCGGGCTGCAGGAGGGACAGTCAGAGGTGACAAAAGACACAGAGCTGCGCAGTCAAGTTCCCAGCAGCGGCTGCTGCTCCAATGTGACCTCAAATTCCACTGCAGAAATGATCTTCCATCTCCAGCTCCTCCAATGCCCAAGTCCAACACCCCCTCCCTGAAAGCCTCCACTCCGGAGAAGCCAGCTCTGAGCTCCTTGCTTGATGTTTTGTGAATAAAGGGCCAGCAACAGCCGGTGGCCCCTGCCATAAACACCCAGTGTCTAGCATGCTCCCATTAAGGCTTTGGCGTGGGGCTTCCATGGAGGGGCACAGAGATTATGAGGCCCTCTGGTTCGCAGGCTCTCCACCAGGCCCTCTGCTGCCTGCCTCTGTTATAAAACTGCAGGGCATGGGCGAGACTAGTTGGGTATTTTTAAGAGGCTGTTTTTTTCCTTTCCTTCAGTGCAGTTTTTAACAAACTAGTGTATAGAACTCACTCCTCAAAATGGGAAACAGATGGTCCTAGTGTGGACCTTGGGGATATTTGCTTTGGAAACGCCCAGCATGACAGAGTCTGTGAAAGAATTCTCAGCAGCTGGGTCCCGCTGGGCCCAGCCAAGTGTTCAGGGAGCCTGTTGCTCCCTGAAAAGGTGGTTGCCAGCCCTGGAGTTTCCCTGGAGGGCTTTGCAGCCATGACTGTGACAGCAGGAGCAGACGGTGATCTTGTGAGTTACTCCCTGCCCCCTGATGGAGTGGAATTGTTACTTTCCGTTTGTGGGTCAGTATCCCTTCCCCCAAGGCTGGTTGATAACCGAAGTTAATCATATCTTGGCTTCTTCATGGCAGAATTCTCCAGCCTGTTGGGAGGGGTGCTCTTCTGTATAGGCCCCTGTGTCTGAGCTGCCCAGTTTAGATGCTCGGCTCCCGAAGGACAGATAGCTAAGGCCCAGCTAGTACCATGGCTAGGTATTTTTAAGAGGAAGTGGGATGAATTTACAAAGCCCAGAAACATTTTGGTCACACAGTCACACACACACACACACACACACACACTTACACACATATACACACATGTAGACACACTCCAACATACACACATACCTCACAGATATTTTTGTTTTATCTTTGCCATATTCATGCTCCTTACATAACATGTGTTTTGACTTTTTAGGACTGGGACTGTTTCAGTTAGGAAAATAGCCAGGCTTCCAGATTGTCTCATTTAATGTTTCTAATTTTAAATTATCCTTTCATCTGATATCGATATTACTACATCAAGTCTATTTTTATTTGCATTTGGTTGGCTTATCTGTTGTTATTCTTTTTTTTTAATTTCATGTCATTTTGTTTCCAGGTTGAATTGTGGGTAGCATACAGCGGGATTGTAAAAATCTGAAAGTTTTAGACTTTTTATAAAAGAATTTTATCCATTCACATTTATTGTGATTATAGATATGTTTAGACTTATTTCTGAGATTTTATTTCTTGTTTTCTACTGGCTGTGAGATGTCTGTTGTTTTTTGTGTATTTGGATAGAGTTTTTGTGTTTTGGTTAAACTCTTTTTTTTCTCTAGTTTGGAATTTATACATGCTATTTCTCATGTTCTCAGAGTAAGAATGGCACTGGGCTGGGAGGTAAGAGACAGGCTCTATTTGCAACTTGGTCATTAACTATGTGACTTTTGGGTAAGTTACTTTCCCTCTTTGGGCTTCAGGTACCACTACCATAATGAGATAGTTGGATTAAATGATTTTGAAGGCCTTACCTAATCACATTGATGATTTGGTGGTTTAGAGAAGTCTAGAGGATAGAGGAAGTTTTGGTCTGTCCAGGGAATGTGAACTTTCAAAATTGGAGGGAACATTTCCACCACCACTCTTCAGTGAGGTATTATATCTGGTTGTCAGATGAACTCAAACTTGAGCTTTATTGGCATGGTTCATCTTTTCAGGCAACAATTGGGCTTAGCTCATCCCTCATTTGGGATGATCATAAGTGGGATATTTGTAACTTAGCAGTACCTATGTAAAAGTTTTCACTCCTAGACATGCTCACCAAATATACTCCCCTAAATTTCCAAGCCCCCTTGCAGTTAGGTAGATCAGGTAATTAAGCCTTGCCAATGGACTATGAGCCAAAGTGATTTCACATTGTGGAAAGTGTTTCACTTTTGGGTTAAAGCATTTAAGAACTAGTATCTGACCCTTAGTACTCTCTTCTCTGATGAAGTTACTGGTAACGGGTCCTAATCCAGACCCCAAGAGAGGGTTCTTGGAAAGAATTTGGGGTGAATCCATAGAGTAAAGTGAAAGTGAGTTTATTAAAAAAGTAGAGGAACAAAAGAGTGGCTACTCCATAGACAAAGCTGCCCCAAGGGCTACTGGTTGCTCATTTTTATGCTTATTTCTTGATTATATGCTAAACAAAGGGTGGATTATTCCTGCCACCCCTTTTTAGACCATATAGGGTAACTTCCTGAGTTTGTCATGGCATTTGTAAACTGTCATGGCACTGGTGGGAGTGTAGTGGTGAGGACAACCAGAGGTCACTCTCGTCACCATCTTGGTTTTGGTAGGTTTTAGCTGGCTTCTTTACTGCAAGCTGTTTTATCAGCAGGGTCTTTATGACCTGTATCTTGTGCCCATCTCCTATCTTATCCTGTGACTTAAAATGCATTAACTATCTGGGAATACAGCCCAGTGGGTCTCAGCCTTATTTTAACCAGCCTCTATACAAGATGGAGTTGCTCTGGTTTAAATGCCTCTGACAAAGTGACCAAGGAGATATACAGATGACATAGCTCTATCAGCCTGGGTCTCTGAGTCACTGTGTGGACCATAGTTCTTTCTCTTTGATTTCCTTTGGACATACAATATTAACAAGAAACAAATTTATATTAAGCCACTGGGATTTTTTTTTTTAACAACAGTGTAACCTAGTCCATTCTAATATATGCTATAAATACTCTTAGGGCATTATTAAGTATGTGCAATGATGTAGTTTGGCTGTGTCCCCACCCAAATCTCATCTTGAATTGTAGCTCCCATAATCCCCATGTGTCATGAAGGGGACTCAGTGGGAGGCAGTTGAATCATGAGGACAGGTTTTTCACATCCTGTTCTCATGATAGTGAATAAGTCTCACGAGATCTAATGGTTTTATAAAGGGCAGTTCCCCTGCACACATTCTCTTGCCTGCCACCATATAAGATGTGCCTTTGCTCCTCCTTCGCCTTGTGCCCTGATTGCGAGGCCTCCCCAACCATGTGGAACTGTGTATCAATTAAGCCTCTTTCCTTTATAAATTACCCAGTCTTGGGCATGTCTTTGTTAGCAGCATGAGAACAGACTAATACATGCAAGTTCTGTCTTTCAACTTGCCTGTCAACTTGGATAAAAAGTGGATGGCTAACCAATTTAACTCATTCCTCTGACCCTAGCACTGGTAGCTTCAGCTGCCAGAACCCAATCACAAATTTGTAAAATCTCCCACCTCAGAAGTATTCTCAACATTAGCTCAAAGGCACTTATTTTCTGGTCTCTCATTGTTTACAAAATCTTGACTCGCCCTTTATGGTACCTGTCCTCTCAGTTCCTCAAACATGCTGAGCTCCTTCCTGCCTCAGGACATTTGTGAAAGCTGTTCCCTGGGCCTAGAATGCTCTGTCTATACTTTTTCACCTGGATAATGCCTAATCCTTTTTTAAGTTTTATCTTCCTCAGGAAAGTTTCTTTCTTCTTTTTTTTTTTTTAATGACCTCCCCAAGCTAGGTTATATGCTCCCACAGCATCCTGTGTTTCACGGCACACGCAGGGCACAATCACAATTTTCATTAAACAATTAAACAATGAGTCGTGTAATCATTTGCTTAATGTCTATCTCCACATTGGACTCTAAACTCCAAGAATCAGGAACAATGTTCATCCAGGGCCTAGCACAATACCTGGTATACAGTGGGTGCTTAACACATAAGGCATAATGAATGATGATGATTTGATATTGAGATGAATGAATGAATGGTCAGTCCTCAGGATTTAGAGAAAGTTTCCACAAACTTTAGTGTGCATTAGTCAGAATCATCTAGCAGGCTTTTTTTTTTGTTTGTTTAAACAAACAAACAAAAAAAAACAACTTTACTTATTTTTAAATTGAAGCAAAACATATACAACATAAAATCTTTTATTTGAACTGTTTTTAAGTGTGCAGTTCAGTGGCATTAAGTACATTTGCATGATTATGCAATCATCACTACCATCTATCCACCGAGCATTTTTCTTCTTGCAAAAATGAAGTTCCATCTGCATTAAACAATAACAACCCATTCCTTTCCCTACTCTACCTGCTCAGTTCCTGGCAACCACCATTCTACTTTCCATCTCTATGTATTTGCCTTCTCCTAGAGGGCTCTTTAAAACACAGATCGCTGGGCCCGACTCCCAAAGTTGCTGATATAGTACATCTGGTATGGGGCCTGGGAATTTGTATTTCTAACAATTTCCCCAGTGATGCTGATACTGTAAATCCAGGACCACCCTTTGCAAACTCTGCTCTGCAGGATCCTTAGGTTGCTACCTCCTACTAAGTTTTCATCACATATCCTGCACACGTTAAGAGTTCAGAAAATGTTGGTGACAGATGAGTTGATTACACTCAGCTGTCCCTGGAAGAACAAGTGAGTTGTTTTGGCTAAGGCATAGGATCATAACTCTGCTCATTATATTCAGCTGGGGAGATTTTTTAAAAATACAAATGCCTGGGCCCCACTGTAGACAAATGAAATACAGTTTCAGGGAGTGGGACTTGGGTATCAGTATTTGTTGAAATTTTCCAAATGATTCTACTGTGAAGCCAGGGTTGAGAATCACTGGGTTACAGGAAGGAAGTGAAGGGAGGAGGATCTGAAGAGGCAGATGGGAATCATAAAGAAAAACACCCGCAGAGATAGCACCCTTTGGTTTTTGTAGAAATGCCTTTGTGACTTCAGCATGGAAATGATTCTTTGCCAAGAATCATTGGTTTTTGTACTCAGAAGGTGGGTCTCCCCTCCAGGGAGTCCCTAGAGAAAACAATTCTCTACGGATAGGTTATGCTCTTCTCAGAGATTTGGATTAACAGGAAAAGATTCTCATACAGGAGCTGACCTCTTCCTAGCCAACTTCCCCTCGGGCTATTATTTCTGGACATCACCTCATATTTCCATGAGTGTACAAAGTTATCTTCAGGTATATATCACAGTTTTCTTTTATGCCTGCTCTAATTCACAGCCATCATTTTGGAGTTTTCTCAGTAGTTTTGAAATATGTGTCTTCTCTATATTCGTTGGTTTAAAGTAGGAGAACCCTTGGTTAACATGCAACATAACAACTAAATTAAACCCAGTGAAGGCTTCATTCTGCAAAGGAATCTGCTTATCAAGTTTTTCTCCTCTGGATAACTGAATCTTGGCAGCAATAGTATAGGCCACTGCCACTCAGAGTATGGTCCACAGACCAGTGCCAACCAAGAGCTGTTACCATTCTGCAATGAGACCAAATATTTAGAAACATCTGTGGTAATCTGACAATGATGTGACATTCAAGTGGGTTCTTAGCAGACTTCCCTCGGTGAACAGGGAATTGACCAGCCCGGGTATTTTTGACCTGGGTGGTGAGTTGCAGGGGCGGGGTGAGTTTTGGATGGGTGCTACATAGTAGGGATGCGTGTTGGTCTGTGATCCCAGTCAACTGCTCTTTTTCATTTGTGTGTTCTAACAGGAATGTGTGGTTTTTTTGTTGTGAATTTCTTTTGTGTTTCTCCAATGACTACTAAATTTGAGCTCCTTTGCTTATGTTTATTGGCCTTTTGTGTATCCTATTTAAGTGCCTGTTCCACTGCCTTGCCCATTTTTCTATTGAGTTTTAATCTTTTTCTTATTGGAGAGTAGGATTTAGTTTAATATTCTAGATATAATTCTCTTGTTGGATATGTGGTCATTGGAAATTTTTTTTTTTTTGAGACGGAGTCTCGCTCTGTCGCCCAGGCTGGAGTGAAGTGGCGCTATCTCGGCTCACTGCAGGCTCCGCCCCTCCGGGGTTCACGCCATTCTCCTGCCTCAGCCTCCCGAGTAGCTGGGACTACAGGCGCCTGCCACCTCGCCCGGCTAATTTTTTGTATTTTTAGTAGAGACGGGGTTTCACCGTGTTAGCCAGGATGGTCTCTATCTCCTGACCTCGTGATCCGCCCGCCTCGGCCACCCAAAGTGCTGGGATTACAGGCGTGAGTCACCGCTCCCGGCCTGGAAATTTTTAAAAAATGTCCTTACCCCAGACAGGTTGAGAAGCAAGATCACTGTGGGTTAACCCT
The DNA here is from genome assembly GCF_000001405.40 of Homo sapiens. Classification (NCBI taxonomy): domain Eukaryota; kingdom Metazoa; phylum Chordata; class Mammalia; order Primates; family Hominidae; genus Homo; species Homo sapiens. The sequence continues at coordinate 113,280,115 of NC_000010.11, forward strand.
GAGGTTCTATCCATGACAATACCTTGTGAATTTATTTTTGAAGATCAGAGTAAGGAGTTCAAAATTGGCTCTCGAGCTCCTCGGTCAGGACTCTGAAAGTTGCAAGTATCATATGCCCAATTCAAAATAGTTCAAGCAAGCAAGAAAGTATATCAGCTGACAGAACTGGGATAGATTCAGATATGTGTAGGTCTAGGTGTTCAAGGTTGTCTCTCTCTGTCTCCCTCTCCCTCTCCACAGTCTCTTGCTCTGCATCTTCTGTGCTGGCTTTATTCTCTGGCAAACTCTCTCTGTCTCTGTTGGAGAGAATGGCCCGCAAAACTCCAGACTTACATGATTATTGCTTGTCTCAGCTTGAGAGACACCCTCTGTCTTCCAGTGTCTGTATACATGCCCCCAAAGGACTTTGATAGGCCATGCTTGGGCCATAAGTTCACCAAGGGAACAGTCTGAGTCATGAGTTATCCCATACCAGGGGACACAGAATCCTGAGCCTAAGATTTTCAACCAGAAAGTGTGTGGACTTAAGGAGGGTCAGTTCTCAAAGAGAAGGGATGCAGCGTGGACCCACAAATAATAACTGTCCACGACCTCCACTATAAAGGCAAAGGGCAATCTTGGGAACTGTTGAAGCAAGGCTTAGCAGTGTGTGTTTATGTGGTAGTAGGGGAGGAGGGAGGTATAATGTGGCCAGTGTGGTGCTGGAGAAAGATTAATTTGGCATTACTGGGTTGGTAGGGAGTACTGAGGGACTAATGACAATGAGAACCATTAGGTGAATATACATTTAAATATGGCTACTTCTTTTCATGATTATCTCATTCCTTTATTCCTTCACTTACTCATGCAACCAATATTTGTTGAGTACCAGTCCTATTGCTAGACTTCCCTACTTGATGATATTACTTTGATAAATAAGACAGATGTAGTCCCTGACCTTATGGAGCTAAGAGTTCCGTCATTAAGTATCTAAAAAGGGTTTTTTCCTAAAAAGATAATGTAGCCATCTTCTGTGACAGGACACTGAGCAAAACCAGCGGGCTGGATCATGCTAAGAATTCAGAGGTCAGCAGTTATTATCATGAATGGTAACTCCCACCAGAGGCTGAGATAAACCCTGTTAATAAGCATGGGATTTATTTCTGAGCTTCCTGGCAGCTAAGGCAAAAAGGAAAATCTGGTGAATTATTTCATTCTTATTGTCTGATGCCAATTCATTGTGGAAAGAAAAGCATTTCCCTGGGTCTAAGTACTTGGAGGAATTTATTGTGAGACCATATACAAAATATTTTGAGTAACACCATAAAATCATATCCCCTAACCGGACAAAATGACAGGGGCCTCATGCAAGTATTTCAAACAGCATTTCTAGTCTACCCCCCTCAGTTTCTCCCCAAATCAGTCTCAAACAACATGGAATCAGACTGACATCACATTCCTGGGCAGGAACTGCTCTTAGAGAAGCCTTTTCTAACTTCTTCAAATAGAGATTTGATTTTTCCTTTTGTTGCTTCTATAGCCTGTCTATATACCTATGATTCCACTCATATATCCACATGACTTTGAATTGACAAATTTTTTCTCCTCATCTTCCCTTCCCACTAAATTTCAGTTACTTAAGGTAGATCCCATGTCTTCTTCAAGTCTGTGTTCCTAGGATCTACCATATTATCCAGCTTAAGTGTGATGGGAATGGCTGGAAGGAAGGAGGCAGAGAGAGGGAAAAAGGAAGAGAGAGGAGGAGGGCATCTCTTCAAGGAGAGAGAAGAAAGAGAAGTCGATCAAGAAGGTCCCAAGTCTAGGCTGAAAGAGGCCAATCTGATTCAATCCAGTGAAGGCAGGGAGTCACATAAGGGAACTGCAGGAAGGCTATTCATGGAAGCGAGGAGCCAATGAGAAGAATAAATTAAAGATTGCTCCATTTTAAGAAGACTTTAAGAACTTAGCATGTTCAAAGAAAAAAATCAATGCTTAATGGAAATTGCCTTTAATCAGTTATGATGAAGAGATGAGGAAGTTAGTATTTTGTGTGCAAACTCTTTCTATTGCCCCACCAAGAGCCCATGGTGGGTCCCTGGAGTTGCTGCTCAGGAACAGGAAAGGCCAGGGCCCAGGGCATGGCTATCCCATTCTTGTTATCAGTGGGCTTGGCAGGGCGTTTTAGGATGGAGGCAATGTGCGCCATGGCCTTTGGTATAGCTGGGGCCATTTTAAGTCTTCTGTTAGCCCTGGGCACGTCCTCATTTTGGTTGGCCCACTTCATATCCTGTCAAAAATATTAAAGGGACCCATAACATAGCAAAATTTATTTTTGGTTCTAAAAATCTTCAAAGGATTTTTATAATTTTGCTTTTGAAAATATATGGCTTGAAGTCACTCATTTATTTTGTAATTAGCCGTGGGTTCTCAGGTTTTGCAGCTCATTGTACGTGGCAAAGCAAGAAAATCTAACCTTCAGATTGCCTTTAAGTGCTGTAAAATTTTAATGCATACTAAATTTAACGAGTAATGACATTCATGTATATGAATTCAGCATTTACTTATTTTTAGTTTGCACTTTGCTTCTAGTATTTTGATATTTCAGATCCCAAGCACCTTTGTAAGCCCTTGCAAAGTTTGCAGGCCCCGGGCACAGTGCCTAGAGCAATTTGTGGGTAAAATGGCCTCACATACTAAGGGCTGGCACATGTCAGGCTGGACAAACCTCTCTTTAGATGTCGGGGATTTGATGTTGAAAGAAGGACACAGTTATTTCCCTGCTGAATTCAAGGCCTCATTAAAAGGGGTGGCGAGGGTATTTTTTAGCTAACTGTTTTATTATAAAAGAGTTCTGCTTTGGGGACAACAGTCCTGACAGCGTAGACCAGAGTTTATGTCCTGGCTGTCCTCCCAGTAACTCAGTAACATGCAGGAGTCACTTGAACTCTCAGAGACTTAGTTTTCCTATCTATGACATGGAGCCCATATATCCATCTGTCCTTACTCCTAGGGTTGTTTTGAGGATCAAATGAGATAATCTACAAGAAAACTCTTTATTGAAAAACACCAGACATCACAATCATGTAAGAGAGCTTAGAACAGTCATTCTCAATGCTGGATGTGCTTTGGAACCATCCCAGGGGTTTTGAGAAAGATCTGAAGTCTGGGCCAGTCTGGAGGCCAATTAAGTCACATTTGCAGGGGAGTCAACACATGGTGGTGTCTTTTCTTAAGGGCAACTTCTTCTGGTGATTCTAATGTGCAGCTGACGTCAGGGACAGAGGTGCCCCTAGAGGACATCTGTGTCCACTGCTGGGAATGGTGAGTAGGTCAGCCTGGCTTCCAGGTTCAACAGCAGCTGTCCTTTAGCCCTGTCCTGTGGCAGGCTTCTGGTTCGTTCGGCTTATCCGGCCTCTTGGCAATTGATTCTGTGAGTTTGGCAAAAAATGGTTTGGGCTCTCCTGGCATGCGGCCAGGCTGTGCCTCCCAGGCTTGCAGTTGCACCGGCTGTGTAGGCAAGTTTGGGCCAATGGACAATGAGCAGGAGTGATGTGACTCCTTCCTGGGCTTACCCAATGTATTAGTTCCTGGGGCTGCCATAACAAATCACCACAAACCGGGTGGCTTAAAACAACGGAAATTTATGCTCTCACAGTTCTGGAGGCTACAAGTCTAGAAATCAAGATGTTGGCAGGGTCATGGTCCCTCTGAAGGCTCTGAGTAGGACCCTTCCTTGCCCCTTCCAGCTGCTGGTGGCTCATTCCTTGGCTTGTGGCAGCATTACTCTCATCTCTGCCTCCATCTCCACATGACCTCCCCCAGTTTCTCCTCTTCTGTCTGTATTTTTCTTCTTCTTACCAGGACACTTGTCACTGGATTTATAAAAGGCCCACCCAGTTACTCCACAGTAATCTCATCTTGAGATCCTTAATTATATCTGCAAAGACTTTCTTTCTAAACAAGGTCACATTTGCTGGTACTGGGGTTAGGACTTGAGCATATATTTTCAGTGGGGGTGGGGGGAAACCACAATTCAACCCATGACATCCCCAGATGACTTGACTTAGAGGTGGATGTTCCATCATCATCTTTTCAAGCACTTTCTCCAATTCTCTTACTTCTCATCACTGTACTCACTGCCCATGGGAAGGAGAATGTTAAATACGCTACTAGGGTTGGACTAAATTAATATTCACACAGGGATGCAGTGAGGATGAAGATGTAGTTTATATCCTAATATCAGAGCTGGATGCCTGGCTTATGAGCAACCCACACTCTCATTGGAGGTGAGTGAGTCTAGCATTGATTGACCTCTGCCAGACTGGCACGATCTTGGGCATTATTTCCTTTGGCTGTCAAAACAACCAGCAAGACGGTTGCTGCTATCACCACTTGTACATGAGAAAATCGAAGATAAGTTTGCCCAGCAGATCCTAAGATGATCTGAGTGTGAGTTTATTTGGGTAGTGACTCCAGGAAGAACTGATGAGGGGGTCGAGAAGTGAGACTGGAACCGGAAGGAAGCCTAAACCAAGTGTGCTATGAGCAGGACAGTGTTGCAGCCAGCTGGGGTTCAGTCCCATTGGGGACCTCTGGGCATCAGGTAGAGCCCACCTCAGAGGGGTGAAGAAGCTGGACCATTTATCTACCAATGTCCACCTGATACAGATGTAGAGCTATTTCCAGAAGTGTTAACTCCCTGGCTCCTCCAGCCTGCATTACTAAGAGGCAGAACAAACTCTGGTGGCCAGAGAGACTGTCAGACCAAGATTTTGTAATAGAAAGCTACTGGTGCCAAGGGAAACAGGCAGGGGCTGAGGGGCTCAGGGCGGGACACCGATGCCATCTGCCGCAGAACTAAAGAGCTTTTGCTCTTGGTGCCATGCTACAGTGCCTTGTACCAACCAGGGGCTCTACTGTCTGCCCACTGCCTGTCCCGTCGTCAGTTCTCATGCTGAAGTCCCATGCTGTTTGCAAGACTTCCTGAAGCCCAAAGACTTGGAGATCAAGTCCAGAAGATTCTTTTCTTAGATGCTTCTGCAGTGTGTGTTTTGTGTGACGGGTTCCGTGTGACCCAGTGACATGCATCATACTTGAAATATTTCCACTGCTGACAAAATAAATCAGCTCTGCCCACTGTAGCGCCCAGCTTATTAGGGGAAAATGGAATAGGGGCATTAAATATTAAGGCTGCATATTTTCCTCTCCCTTGGCACCTTCTATGCCGCTGATCACTGCCCAGCCAGCGCAGCTTTCTGTCTTTTTTCTTCTGAGGATGATTGGGGACAGGCGGGACCTTGACAAGGCAGTGAGGGGCAGATGTGTGCAATGGCACGCCAACCGGCTTCTAGGTCCCTGCTTGGGAACATCCCTGCTTGGCACCCGATGCCAAGGACTACAGCACTATCAGATTTCATGCTCATAGAAAGCTTCCTGCTCCACATGTGCAGCTTGGAAGCATTCACAGTAGAGACAGTGAAGTTTCTCGAAGGAAAGTGGTTTCAGGAGAGGCGAGTTGGAGAAAACAAACCTCAGCGAAGCAGTTGATAAATCCTGAACTAAGAAACAGATGAGATCACTGGCTTTGCTTCTTGCTTTATTAATTTTCAGCAAACATGCAATAAAGGCACCCTCACTTCTAAGCCCAGGCTAGTGAGGATGTGTGTGGACAGGCAGCTTTTAGGCCCCAGAAAGAAATTCCTCCAGAGATGTTGGTGTTTCATTCGGCTAATCTGTGGAAACCTCTGGACAAAAATAAAAAATAAATCCCTAAGAGGGATTCTCTTTCAGAATGCTGGGAAGTTCGATCTCTTAGTTGTTTTTTAATTAATTTTTTATTATACAAGTAATGCATTAATCCAATTTTGTAAAAATTAAATCATTTCTCATAAGGCTAGAGCAGCCTCTCCAGCCTCATGTCCTGATGCCCTCGCGCTGCCTGAGAAGTGGGTGCTGGGGGGTTGACTGCAATATGATCACGATGAGGTGTGCTTAGGTTTTCACGTTTGTTTTTTCTTTGTTCCTGATGCCCCTTCTGAAAAACACTTCTGTCATTTTCAGGTGAGATCTATTGTGGTTTGGTCTCCTCTCTCTCGTCACCAGACATCCTTCCTCCTTCCCCCATGACACCGACATGGGGGCGGGATGAATTTCTTCCGATGACCATTTTTATCCACTGCATCTGAGCTCAGGAGACTTGGGGGGCTCTCTGCATCCTTTGGCATCAGGGCGGATCTTCTCCACCTAGCTTTCAATACTTGTCACAATCTGTCCCTCTCTGTTCCTCTCTGGTCCCCTTGCCTCCTGCCCCTGGCCCTCTTGTATCTGGTCCCTCTGGGGCAGTGCACACACCCCTCGTGTGGCCCGGTCCCGGGCCTTTGCTCCTGCTGCTCGTCTCTCACCTCCCCACTGTGGGTCATGCTGTTGTTTCAAGACGAGGCATCCTCTGAAAGGATTCTTTGTGTGTGTGCTGGCCTTTCTTCCTGGAACTCATCTCCAGTTATCATTAGGGGCTTGGGGACTTTAATCTCTCTGGTGGCTATATTTGTTCATATTCTCTCTTCAGTCACAGAGACTCTTTTAGGTCAGAGTCAATTGTCATCATCATCATCATCATCATCGCCGTTGTTGAGGCCTGCTGTGTTCCAGTCTTTGGGTACGTCCCTTCCATCATCTCACTTCATCCCATTCCTGTTTATGGCTAAGGATCTGTGACTGGGAGAGGCTATGTCCCTTGTGAAAAAAGTCCCATAGCTAATACAAGTCAAAGGCAGGATTCAACCTTAGGGCTGCCTCCCAAGCACATGAATGATAAGAATAAAGGTTTGATATGAACCTGATGGTGCATGTCCCCTAATTTTGCTTAATCAGTGGCCCTGGTCCTGGATATCCCATATTTGTATCTATGCAGGGTGCTTAAAGGGCAAGCCTTGGAATTTGTGGTCCCCTCTGCTTGCCCTTTGCTCAGGTGCTTGGAGAGCTAAGATCTGAAGGGGGTTGGGGGAGGGCTGCCTATCAGGTGGGCTTAGGCCTCCAGGGACCCCAGCGAAGCTGTCAGCAATTTAGGTTAAATGAGCGTCCAAAGGCCAGCACTGCGGAAAGATCATGGGAAGACATTATCCACGGTTGTTTACAAGTGAGACTGAGAAACTCCTTAGTGGCTTTCTTGAGGAGGGAAGACATGTCCCTTCAGGGAAAATTAGGCAAATCGTGTGCCTGTTTGGGCCATGCAGGCCCCAGTCCTCACGGGGAAATTAACTTGTCACTGGCTTGGCTGTCACTTGTGCTCTTCTCATGGCCTCCTGTGTTTCGGCATCATTGCAGCCGCAGGGAGCACGTGTGCATGAATCCTCATGCCTGGCACCTGCATCTGGGGAGAGGAACTTCATTTAGGGCATGCCACAGTCTGGCTGGGATGTTCTGGTGATTCACTGTACTCCCACAAAGGATAATAACAGATAACCTGTCCCCTTGTCTGCACCTGCCGAAGCCTCCTTTAGCCCTTAGGGCCCAAAAGTTCTCCCCTGTTGAGCTGCTCTCTGTCATAGTCTACCTCTCCCAATCAGAATGAAGGGCTGTGAGACTGTGAGAATCCCTGGTTCCAAGAGCATGAGCAGATGGTGCATGAAACAGTGGCTCAGTGGTCAAGCAAGTGTGAAAAATGCTCTTATGAGTATCTTGCTGCAGGACTTCTCAGAGCCTTCAATGTGCTAGAGGGGGCTGACATCATGTCCCCCAAATCTTTGATCATGGGACCCTTTTTCAAGTTCAGTATCCACTTCCAGATGGTGGTGGTCCATTCCTCACACCATAAAAGACTGATGTGGAGAAAAAAGTGAGAATTTTAGAGTTCAGTAGAGCTGGGGAAGAAAGTCTTCCTCACCTCAACTGCTGCATGTCCCTGGGCCTTTTGGGCCTCATTTCCTCATCTTGAAGCACGGAGAACAGAATGTCCTCAAGCAGTTGTTGAGAAGATTAAATGAGATACAGTTCTTGGAGCATTATTCTTAACCAACCCCAACATTGTAACCTGTGACATTGTACTCCTTGCTAATGGGACTTTATCAGACTGACTGGGATGAGAGCTATTTTTGTATGAATTTGTTTCCTTTCCCACAAGATCATGAGCTACTTGAGGGCAAGGGCTGTATCTTAGCTCAGCAAGGTGCCTGCCTCCTAGAAGGTGTTTGATATACAGTAATTACATTCCTATTGAATCTTGCCACTTTTTTGATGTTGTGGAATTGCAAGAGTCTGTGGATCTCTTGGGAAATTTTCAGGGTTTGGCAAAGCTTATGCAGAAATAATTGACCGAGGAGGAGTAAGTGGATCCTCTATTTCTTTTAAATCCATTCAAACCTTGTTGTGCATAGATAATTTTAAAAACTTTTTTCTCTATAAAAATAATCATTGCTCATTGTAGAAAGTTTAGAAAATGTGGAAAAGCATAGAGAAGAAAATTAAATCGCATAATCCCAACTACTGCTATTACTTTAAATATGCATCTTTTCAGTCTATTTCATTGACTTTGTGTGTATATATAAATATGTATAATATATATTTAATGAGAATGGATTGTTTTGTTCCAATTGTATAACCTGCTCTGTTCACTTAACAATACTTAGGAAATATATGTACACATCTTCAGATATTCTTCTGTATCATTTTAAATGGTTGTCACTGTCTGGCATTCTGCTATTGGACATCAAATGATTTATTTAAACAATCCCTTATTTTGGTGGTTGCTGTTCTTCTGTACTACAAACCATGAAACAATGAACATTCATTTGGAAAATCTTTGAAAACATCCTTGATTATGTATTTAAGATAAAATTTTAGAAGTAAAATTGTTGAATCACAAATTAATAGTAGAATAGTGGAATTCTTAACCAAGGAACATTTGGTATTTGCCAAGTGTTATTCTAGACAAGAGGTTGGTAAAGTACAGCCTGCAGGTCAAATGTAGCCCACTTCATGTTCTTCAAATAAAGTTTTATTGGAACACAGCCATGCCCAATCATTTGCATATAATTTGTGGTTGCTTTTTGCTCCAAAATGGCAAAGCTGAGTGGTTACAGTGAAGACTGTATATCCTGCAACACTTAAAGTATTTACTAACTGGTATTTTACAGAAAATGTTTGCTGTTCTAGATAATGACACTGTTCTCAGGCAAAAGCTTATGGCCAGCGTGGTAGCTCACGCCTGTAATCCCAGCACTTTGGGAGGCCGAGGCGGGAGGATCATTTGAGGTCAGTAGTTTGAGACCAACCTGACCAACATGGTGAAACTCCATCTCTACTAAAAATAGTAAAAATTAGCCAGGCGTGGTGGTGAACGCCTGTAATCTCAGCTACTCAAGAGGCTTAGGCAGGAGAATCATTTGAATCTGGGAGGTGGAGCTTGCAGTGCGCCGAGATTGTGCCACTGCACTCCACTCCAGCCTGAGCAACAGAGTGAGACTCTGTCAAAAAACAAACAAACAAACAAACAAACAAACAAAACTTGAACTTTTGCTAAGAAAGAAAGAGCAAAAATACTGATGAGGTCACTGGTGACCCTTCTAGCATGACCTCCTAGGTGTTAAATTCTTTGCTGACTTTTTAGTCCTTACCCACTTACTCTTTTGTGTATTTCAAACAAAACACCATTTCCTCATTATGAAACTTTTGCCTATACTGTCTTCAGCAACATTCTTCCCCAGGTCCTTGCAGAGTTTCCTTATTAGTTTGCAATAGAGTCCAGTGGCTAAGAACTTGTACTGTGGAGACAGATTGGCCTGGCTTGAAATCCCAGCTCCTTTGTTTCCTAGTCTTTGGCCTTCAGCACCAGTTTCATTCTCTGAAAAATGAGTGGAATCAACACCTATTTGACAAGTTCCTAGCTCTGCACCCAGCACATACTATGTGCTCAATAAAGGATGGCTTTGTGTCTCCGTTACCTTTCCCAGCATCTCTCCTGTACTAGTCTATTCTCACACTGATATAAAGATACTACCCGAGACTGAATAATTTAGGAAAGAAAGAGGTTTAATTGACTCACAGTTCCACATGGCTGGGGAGGCCTTAGGAAACTTACAATCATGATAGAAGGGGAAACAGGCACCTTCTCCACAAGGCAACAGGAGAGAGGAATGAGTGAAGGAAAAATTTGCCAAACACTTATAAAACCACCAGTTCTCATGAGAACTCACTCACTATCAGTAGAACAGCATGGAGGAAACCACCCCATGATCCAATCACTTCCCACCAGGTTCCTCCTCAACACCTGGGGATTATGTGAGTTACAATTCAAGATAAGATTTGGATGGGGACACAAAGCCTAACCATATCATCTTCCCTGCCTGCTTTCCCTTGAAATGATGGTGTTCCCAGGGCTCTCTTTTCTTTCTATTCTGGCTTCCCTTTGGTTGAAAATTACGCTCAACTGTGGCTGAGTCCTCTCTGCCCTTTTTGGGTTTTACCCATCTCTGCATATTAAACATTTGTAAGTTTTAGATCATTACATGGTGGCCAATAATACCCCAGTCTAGAAACTCAGGTACAGTTTTGTCCAAAGCTATCAAAAGACTTTTAAAATAATTATTAACCTTCCACCTTGTAAAAATCTAAACTTACAATAAAACTTGTGTTTGATTTATATAAAAATTTCTGTCTCAACTTATTCTCCCCACACCTGCTCTCAAGCCATCTCCCACACTCCCCACCAGAGGTATATATAGATAGATAGATAATTTCTGATAATTTCATAGGACTTAAATTCAACAGGAAAAACATGAGTCCAATTTTTTCTGGCCAAAGGATGCTTCCAGAAGGTTTGAAGGCATATCATTCTCATCTTCCAAATCACAGATCATCCTCCAAAGAATTTAACTGCAATCAACTGTTGAGTTTTAAAATGTTGTCTGATTTTCCTGAAAAGAAACAAGAAACAAAATGCAAGCACACACACATATTTTAGGAGAGCTGGCGCTTCTTACTGTGAGCCACTTATCATGATCCAAAAGGTTTACTCAGAGGCATAATTAATTGGAACTTATTTCAGTGGAAGTTATTTCCCTTCATCTCATTACAGAAACAAAAGAAGATTACAGGCCAGGGGATCCATGAGGTTTCAAGAGAGGCTATTGATGAATGAAGTTGGAAGGAGTTGATACACGGTCAGAGATGGTTAACATCCAGAAATTCTTACAAAGAAATGGCAATTCTCTTCCATTAATCCTGTCTTGCCTCTTTGATCTTGAATGATACCATGGCTGCAAGTTAAGTGCAAAACGACCCTGGTGTTAAAGGCCTTCAAAGATCTTGCCCTGGAGAAAGATTCTTCAAGAATTTGGAAGATTAAAAATAACAAAAATGATAATAATTATTTTAAAAAAAGCAGTCAAACCAACAAAACAAAAGTCAGAAAAATGTGAACAAGTAGAGGATCCTTTAGGAAGGTTTTATATAGCTGCTGAATTGTAAATCTGCCATCTGTGCTTGTTATGACAAGGACACTTACGTTAACTTATCACCCCAGCAATTGTGACCCAACATTTACAGGCCCAACATGATTCATTTCCCTGGGGATATGGATCATGTTGGGCCTGTAAATATTGGGTCACAATTTTTTTTTAAGATAAAGTAATTAAATTAAGGAGAAAGTTGGGGGAAGATACCGTTTGGAGGGCACTTGAAAGATTTCTTATTAGATGACCTACTGATTTTTCTTTTGTCCTTTTCATTTTTCCTAACGTTCTAAAGAGCCTCTCCAGGGCTCTCAGAAAGAACTTTAGTAAGGAAGCATTGTGGAAGGTTAAGAGCTCCAATATTTGTGGCAACTATTTGAGATGCCAAAAATTAGAAGGGGCTCAGAGCACCTCTACTCTCACTTTGTATCATCTTCTGACCCAACAGACTGAGCCCCCAAATGTTTCAATATTCTTTTAGCTCTGGAGGTGGCTTAAAGCCATAAAACATTCTTTTAATTCTGGAAATGGGAGAAGAGGAACAAGTATGGCTGTGGAGTGAAGATATTGTCACCCGGCACAGCTGGTGGTCAAGCTCCATGCTCAAAATTGTCCAATTAAAGAAATGAAAAAATGTAAGCTCTGTCAGGAAAAAATGCAAATAAGGTGGCTCGGGGTTAAGATTTTGAGTGGCTTGGTGATTAAAATTATGCTCTTGTTTACTGGAGGAAATGGAGTTTTTAAAAAAAATCTATATACAGTTGGGTGAATTAGGCAACCATCCATTATGTAATAGGGTAACAACATAATCCACCCTAACGGCTGTGAGGCCAGCCAAAGCCATGGCAAAGTTGAGGGACTTGGGCTTTTTCACTTTTCCTGCTTTAGCTCTTGGAAAAGCAAGTGTTTCAGGGAGTTCAGTCTTTCTCTCTCTGTTCAGAGTGTGATGTCTAATGGTGCTTTCCCTCAAATTTGAGTTCTCGTTTTTAGTACAGAAGGAAAACTTCCTCTGAAACAGCACCTATCATTTTTGTCCTCACTAGAGGGATTTCATTCCCTGGTTTTGTATCTGGACATCATCCAATGTGATTCGTTAGGACAGAGGACAGGGAGCATCTACCATGGTTTGTGCAAATTGAGGCATTTGAAGCCACTGGACCATTTTAGAAGTCATTTCATTGAGACAGAAGGGATAACTCCCCTTCGTCTTCCAGGCACTTCCAGACTGATGAAGGTATCCCGAAAACAAAATAGAGTCAGCTGCTTTCTGTTCTGTGGAGGTTGCATTGAGGTGGGCTTCCTCCTCACACTGGCCTTTCTGTTGCCCCAGCTGGTGGGAGAGTGGGTAGAGCTGTAGAGGCTTGGGCAGGGCTGGGAGTGTGTGTGTGCGCGGGTCTGTGTGTACAGGCCTGCATGTGCCTGCACTGTGCGTGTTCCAAAGGCTATTTATAGTGGACACTACAGTGCACTTCCCATGTCTAGCTTCAGGGTCAAGGTGCTCATTCACCCAGCTACTGATGATGTTGGTTGTGGGAGGTTCACAGCCAGGAATTGCCCTCAGCCAAAGAGAGCTGCCTGGCTCAGGTATATGTCCTGTCCCTGGGGCATCATGTACGCAATGACTGGTCCATGCAGGGGCACAAGGCCTCAGTCCCCCACCTGGATTCGAGACAACATTGAGAGCCCTCCCAGCTCCAGAGCTCCCTATAAGATCAGTAGAGGCCTCTGCTGTGACTGTATCACAGCTCAACTTCTCCCTCTGCCCGGTCCTGCTTCCCCCGCACCCCTCCCATTGTGGATCCTGGAAGTGTTCCCCATTATACCTCCTGCAAGCCAATCTGTCTCAGTCTGTTTGTTGTCCAGGGAACCTGTCCACTGACCACATGTCTGCTCCTCTTTAAGTGGATGGTAAATAAGAATTGGCCAATGCATTGCTGGTCTGCTGCTGCGTGATCACAGTGGCAGCTGGATTCCACAAAGTCACCAGGTGTTTCTGGAGACAGTGTTAGTCTCAGGACCCCTGCTATGGCCAACTGTGGGGGTGCAACTTTAGGGACTTGGGGATGTTGGAATGTTTCCTCTCATGTGGCCTGTCATCCTGACTCAAATTCCACCTTTTCGCTACACATTTCTTTTTACCTGAGGACTTTTGGGTTTTCCAAAGTTTTCTGTTGCAAATGTCTGGAAGTCACAGTGTGTTTCTGTGGAGACAGCACATGTTCAAGCCCCAGCTCTGCCGCTTACCAGCTGTGTGATCTTGGAGTTGACCAAGCGTCTTTCTGGGCCTCAGAGTTCTCATATGGGAGGTAGGGCTCTGGGGATGTGTCTGCCCACCTTACAGAGCAGTTGTGAGGTCCAACAATTCTGCGTGGGACACCAGTAAGGGCACTGGGGGAAGTCCAGGTTGGGCAGGAGAATAACGCCTTAACACATCAGTTTGTGTCTTAGTGGGACTTTATCCATCAGCCCCAGCCAGGCCCTGCCAGAGAGGAGCTCAGAAGAGAACTGAAGGAGGGGACCTAGGCGGAAGCTCTGGTTTTGAGGCCATGCAGAGTGGAGTTTAAATCTCATTTCTACCAATGATTTGGGAAGACTACTTAGCCTCTTTGTGCTTCAGCTTCATTATCTACATATTAGTATAACTGCAATCATAGGGTTGTTTATGAAGAGTAAATGAAGGAATTTGGACAAAGTATCTAAAGCATACTTTAGGAACTCACTAGCTTTCACTAGTGGCAGAGTGGAGTAAACTCCCAGCTTGATCAATTACCAGCTGAGTGACTTCAAGTGAAATATTGAATAACCCTGGGCCTCAGTTTACTTGTCTGTAAAATGGAATGATACCACCTACTTTATGTGGTAGTTTTTGAGGCTAATGTAGACAAAGAACCTGGTAGTAACAGCTCTTATTTTTATTTTATGAGACAGAATCTCGCTGTGTCACCCAGGCTGGAGTGCAGTGGTGCGATCTCGGCTCACTGCAACCTCCGCCCCCAGGGTTCAAGCAATTCTCCTGCCTCAGCCTCCCCAGTAGCTGGGATTACAGGCATGTGCCACCACACCTGGCTAATTTTTTGTATTTTTAGTAGAGATGGGGTTTCACTGCGTTAGCCAGGATGGTCTCAATCTCCTGACCTCATGATCCGCCCGCCTTGGCCTCCCAAAGTGCTGGGATTACAGGTGTGAGCCACCGCGACCTGCCAGCTCTTATTATTGTTATTATTTCTAAGGAGGTTTATTTTTTATTGAGGATCCCAGATCAATAGCTGCAACACAATGATCCAATGGAGAAGTTACGTGGATTATTCGCTATGGTGAGCCCCAGAATGAATGGGTCCCAGCATTCTCGCTGAGGATGGAAAGTTCCCAAGTGATTTCTCTTGCCAAATTATTTGTTTCCTAGAAGGGAAATAATACATGGAACTTGGCCACCCTGGGCTCAAGTCTCACTGTTTTCTGGGAATCACCTGATGTCAGGATTTGCAACATGAATACCTGGGCCAGGACAGGGAGCTCTGCCAGGCCACAGACAAAGGCTCCTTTGGTCCCTGGGGTGGCTTTAGCCACTGCTTGGCCAGTTGTCTGCCAGTTGACTCTCGGGTGTCATGTGACCACCCCTACTCAGAGATCTTCAGATAGACTTGAGTCGTTTGTGGGCATTTTGTCACATCCACAACCTTGTGAGGGTATAGAAAAAGTACATTTTCACCACAGAATACCCAGATGGACCCCATTCATACCAAAGAAATTTGCCTTATGCCAAGGGAGAAAGCAGGTGTTGTGGTACAGAAAGAGCACTGGGCTGGGAGTCCACCTGACATGTTATGACAGGCCTTGGCCCCCTCTGCTAATGGGCCCAGGGACTGTGGTTGTAGGGAAAAGAAACTCATACAATTTAGTCTGAGTGAAAAAACAGGGGCATTATTATCAGCACTCAGGGGCATTTCCTGGGACCTCTTTGCAGGAAGTCCACCTGGCCTCACAGCAAGTGGGAAGACACCATCTCTCTCTGACATCCCATAGGTGGCTGTGTCTGCAGCTCCCCGGACACTTGCTCAGCTCTCCTCCCTGCAGACCAACTGTCCTTGCCAGGCCTACTTTCTGTGCCTTACTTTGGCCACCACTGGCTTTGGCTGACTGTGACACTGACTCCACACTCAACACTCGAGGCTTTTCACAACTCACTGATGCAGCCGAGACCAACAATCCCCTTGTTTAAATAGTGAGGAGAGAGAATTTGACTGGCTTAACTCGAGTCACGTGTTTGCTTCTGGTCCAATCAGCTGTGAGCTGGGGCAGTGGGTCCCATTATGCCGTGGGTTGCTCCTCCTGGAGCTATGGACCAAGTAGGCTCTCCTGCAAGGGGATGCAGGTGGCAGAGAGAGAACGAACATTTGGAAAAATTGTTTCAGCTTTCTGGGCTTTATTTTCCTCTACTGAAAATAATCATCATTATTATGTTGGTCATTAAGTGGCCAATTAAATCATTTTGCATATGGAACCCAGCTGACCTTTCCCTTACCACAGCCCACCCCACTTCTGCACCTGTTCAGTCATCTGTGGCCACATACTAATAATCCTAACTCCATTTCACAGGATAAACGGAGTCCATTCTTTTTATTCTTTCCTTCTTTTCTTTTCCTCATTGCAGTAAGAATGCTTAACATGAGATCTATCCTCTTAAATTAGTAAGTATACAGTATATTATTGGTGATCATAGGTTCAGTGTTGTACAGCAGATCTCTGTAGCTTATTCATCTTGCAGTATTCGTCTTTCTGTAATTGGCTTCATTAACTTAGCATAATTTTTTCAAGCTTCATCCATGTTGTCCATATTGCAGAATTTCCTTATTTTCTAAAGGCTGAATAGTATTTCATTGTATGTTTATACCACATTTTCCAATTTCAATTATTTGAATAAATACCCAGAAGTGAGATTGCTGGATCATATTGTAGTTCTAGTTTTAATTTTTTGAGAAAGCGCTATACTGTTTTTCTTTTTTTTTTTTGAGACGGAGTCTCTGTCGCCCAGGCTGGAGTGCATGGCGCGATCTCGGGTCACTGCAACCTCCGCCACCCAAGTTCAAGCAATTCTCCTGCCTCAGCCTCCTAAGTAGCTGGGACTACAGGCGCTTGCCACCACGCCTGGCAAATTTTTTGTATTTTTAGTAGGGATGGGGTTTCACCTTGTTGGCCAGGATGGTCTCGACCTCCTGAACTCGTGATCCACCTGCCTCAGCCTCCCAAAGTGCTGGGATTACAGGTGTGAGCCACCAAGCCCAGCCTGAGAAACCGCTATACTGTTTTTCAGAGTGGCTATATCATTTTGCATTCCCACCAATGGTGTGCAAAGATTTCAATTTCTCCACTTCTTTGCTAACACTTGTCTTTTGTTTTTTGGTAATAGCCATCCTAACAGATGTGAGGTGATATCTCATTGTGGCTTTCATTTGCATTTCTCTGATAACTATTGATGTTGAGCATTTTTTCATATACCCGTTGGCCATTTTGTATGTCTTCTTTGGAGAAATGTCTATTCAAGTTCTTAACCCATTTTAAATTGAGTTATCAGGGTGTTTTTTTTTTTTTTTTTTTGTACTACTGAGTTGTAAGGGTTCCTTATATGTCTTAGAGATTAACCTCTTATCAGACATATGATTTGCAAATATTTTCTCCCATTCCATAGATTGCTTTTTCACATTGTTGATTGTTTTCTTTGCTGTGCAGAAGCTTTTTAGTTTGACATCGTCCCACTTGTTTACTTTTGGTTTTGTTGCCTGCATTTTTGGTGTCATATTCATTATAGGAAGTGCATTCTTCAAGAAAGTTCTCTTCTCTAGGGCATTTCTGGGACTCCTGAGGAATGTGTACAGGTTTCTTAAGTGGTGGCGTGTCATCCCCTGCAGGCCACTTGCTCTGCATTCTTGCCCCACTCGAGCTCAGCTGGACATCTCCAGCATCCTGTTTTCCAGGCTGCAGACGCATATCTTTATCCCTAATATGGATGTGAGCTCCTTCCTTCAGGGCCCGAAGCACAGCTGAAATATGATGGAAATGGTATAACTTTACTATTTGGGGATAATGGAATTTAACTAGAAGAATAAGGTTTGCCCTGTGTAGCTTCTATGGGGCTTTCATAGGCTAGAGGACCCTGAAGAGACCTTCAGAACATTTCTGCTGATGAGTCCCAGCCACTCTCAGAGAGAGGAAGAGCTCCATCCCTGAGTCCCAAGTCCACCTCATCTCATTCACCAGGAATCGTCCCATTTCCCAGGAAGCCTGCCAATGGGCTTCCATTTTCTTTCCTCTGAAGGGAATGTCCCCTCCGCTGCCCCAACCAGGCTGCTGTCTGACCCCACAACCTCTACCAAGTGGTCACACTTGTCATTGCCCCTCTCCCAAATCTGGCTTCTTCAACTAAAGTAGCCTGCAGGAGTAACTCAATTGCCCGGACCTGGTTTTGGGGGCCAAGCCTGGACCAGGGTCCTTTCATCATCTGCCAACATTCAGAAAAGAGAAGATGGGGCCTGCATCTCCCTCCTGGTACGGGCAGGTCTTGGCAGCAGATCACCTGTGAGCTCATTCTTGGTCAAAAATACAAATGAAACTTCCAAGAATAAACAGTGATCTTCAGACATAGGACACTGAAATCCCATGTTTTACAGAAAATGAATTTCTGACTTTAGATTTCATCTGAGGAGTCTCCGATTGACATTTGTTAATGATATGCATTAGAATGAGAACTGGTCCTACCAGCACTACCAGGAGGGCCCAGTGACATGGCCCCTCCTGAACAAAGGGAGTATCTGCTCAAAGGTAAATTCATTTGTTTTTTCTTTATGGACTAAAGAGATTATCTGACATTCCCCAAATGGCGATTTTCCACCTTCAATATTTAAAGCCGCAGTCTCTTCCAGGTGCCCCGCTACAATAAATTATGTTCTTTGATCCTCCCAACAACTTTGTAAGGTAAGGTATGATTTTCTTCCTCTTGGAAATAAGGAAACTGAAGCTCAGGGGCATGTGATAATTAGCCTAAGGCTAGTAAATTGCAGGGTAGGATTCAAACCCAGGTTGGACTCAGTCCTTTGGCCTACATCAGGCTTGTCCCATGGCTCTTCCAGGTTACAGTTCTGAGGTCCTTATGATACTGGGCAGCTCTGATGCTAGTGTGTGGGAAGGCAGGAGGTAACTCTCCAAAGGGAACTTCTAAGGAAGGACCAGCTGTGTCATGTGCAGGGCCCACTGAAGGATGGCAGTGTGGGGCCCTTATTCAAAAGTTTCTAAGAATTCAAGGGCCGGGCGCCGTGGCTCATGCCTGTAATCTCAGCACTTTGTGAGGCCGAGACAGGCAGATCACTTGAGGCCAGGCATTTCACCAACATGGTGAAACCCCGTCTCTACCAAAAATAGAAAAATTAGCTGGGTGTAATGGCGCATGCCTGTAATCCCAGCTACTGGGGAGGCTGAGGCATAAGAATCGTTTGAACCCAGGAGGTGGAGGCTGCAGTGAGCCGAGATTGTGCCACTGCACTCCAGCCTGAGTGACAGGACGAGACTCTGTCTCCAAAAAAAAAAAAAAAAAAAAAAAAGAGAATTCAAGACCCCAACAGCATAGCTTTAAACAAAGCACAGGGCCCTTGTGAGCCCTGGGCCCCATGCAGGTGGCATGCCTGTGGAGCTGGGGAGCAGGATGAGTCACCTTGCTCCTGCAAGGAGTGCGGGCTGCAGGGTGATCTGGCACTGTGGGAAATGGGGCAGTTTTCTAGTGAGTCTTCTCCGCCTGCTCCCTGTCAGGTGACATGATTGTCAGAAAGAGCAAGAGACTGAAGTGTCGAGTGTACCAGATAATTTTTGCAGTTTAGCTGCTTTTATTCCTTCCCTATTGTTGTTGTTTTGAATAATCTGTGTGGCTTTTGAAGAAATTGCTCAAACCGGTTTGAGCCTTAATAAGATATGAAAAAATTGGAGGCAAAGGGTTCCTGGTGATAAAAGCACAGCTTTCATGTGGCGCTGCAGGCGCCGGGAGCGGAGAAGCCGGGTACGGCGCACTCATCAGAGGCAGGTGGGCGGCCAGAGTGCTGTGCGCAGTGGGACTTGGCACTAAACAGCAGAATGACAATTGGAAACATAAAAGCCAAGGCAGAAAGTGAGAAGGAAATAGAGAAAAACAAACCCCCAACTCAACTACAGCCACCTGAATGAGGAGGAAGGTGAGGGAGGAAGGCCGCCGGTAAGGATCATAAGTGGTGAGCAGCCCCTGCTGGCAGGTGAGGTCTCTGGTGGTTCCCCCCAGGACAGAGGTATTTGGGCACCTGGCTGGGACTCCCCAAAAGGCAGTTTGCTAGAGAGGGACTAATGTGAACTGACACCTCCAAAATTCCCAGGTCATTGTTGTCTAACCAGCTCCTCTGAAAGCCAATCTCTGGCTTGGCGCTTCATCAAAGGTCCGTGACCATCCTATGTGCAGCTTGGAGCTGGCCTTGGGGATACAGTGGCTAATAGTCAGGTGAGGTCCCTGTCCTCCTGGGATTCTCAGTCTGGGGGAGGAGCTGCACAAATGGGCAGACAGGTAGACTTGCAGGGGAGGTGCTGAGGGGTGTATGCAGAAGAGCCATCTCACCCAGAGATGACCTCTCCCTGGGAAAGCAACATGTGACATTTCCATCCAACAGGAAATCTGAAGGATAAGTAGAATTTATCCATGAGTTGGAGATGGTGAGGGTGAGGAGGGGATTCCTGGCTATGGGGAAAACATGGGCAAAGGCCAGGAAGCAAGAAATGGGATGTTGCATTGGAGTGATGGAAAAACCTTTTAGTCAGCAAACATTAATTGAGTGGCTACTATGTGCTGCAATGCTAGTGAGCCATCCCTTATGCTTGACTGTGCCACTCCCAGTCACTTGCTTTTCCACTTTGAGACCCTTGCCTGCTTCCCTGTTTTCTCTATTCTTTCCATCCCACAACATCAATTGGTCCCCTCCCTTGAATTTATTCCATGTATTAGCAGAATACAAATTTAATTGCTATTTCAGAGACCAAAATACCATTGACTCAAATAAGAAAGAGGGAAGTTAATTGTGCTGTCACAAGACTCCCCCAGAATAAGCAGCGTTAAATTAGCCTAAAGCTGTCTCCTTACATATTCTAAGTTCAGCCTAAAGGTTTCTCTGCGCACAGTGAACTGTAACCTAACTGGATGTCTAAACAGACTGTAACCTGCTCTTGTGCCAATCACCAAGTTTTGGCCAATCAAACTTGGACAACTGTTACAAACCATGTTCAAATAAGGCAAATGTGGAACTGTAAACAATCCAGCTGTTTCTATACCTCACTTCCGTTTTCTGAACATCACTTTCTCTTTTTTTTCCTCTCTGAAACTATTCTGGTTTAGGGGGCTGCCCAACTTGTGAATCATTCTTTGCTTGATTAAACTCTGTTAAATGTAGTTTGTCTAATTTCTTTCTCTCTTTCTTTCTTTCTTTTTTGAGACGGGATCTTGCTCTGTTGCCCAGGCTGGAGTTCAGTGGTGCAATCATAGCTCACTGCAATGTCCGCCTCCCAGGCTCAAGTCATCCTCCCACCTCAGCCTCCTGAGTAGCTGGGACCATAAGTATGTCCCACTGTGTTTGGCTAATATTTGTATTTTCGGTAGAGATGGGGTTTTGCCATGTTGCCCAAGCTGGTCTAGAACTCCTGAGCTCAGGTGATCCGCCTGCCTTGGCCTCCCAAAGTGCTGGAATTACAGACGTGAGCCACCATGCCCGGCCCAGGTTTTTCTCTTAACAGCAGTTGGTTGTTGAGGTGACTCCACAGAGGTGAGGACCCAGGATCTTCCCATCTTGTTCACAATTCAGAAAGTGTCCTTGAATACATGCTTTAAAATGGCTCTCCACTACGTTGGCTTTTCCTGAGACAAGACAGAAAGAGACAGAGCAGTGCACACTCATTTCCTTTGCAGCTATGTCCCGGAAGTTCTGGGCATCATTTCTGTTCACATCCCCTTGGCTAGAGCTTAGTCATGTGACCAGGCCAGATGCAGGGAAATCTGGGAAATTATTCCCCGTGGCTCCCATGCCCAGTGAAAACTCCAAGGTTCTCTGTCCATAGAGCAAAGAGAGAAATGGATATTGGGGTAACTAGAAGTTTCTATCCTATTCCATTTCTGATTTGTGATCTCAGAAATCTGTCTTCACACTAATCCCGCCATTATGACTCTCTTGGCGCCCCCGCCTGTCATGTGAACAGAAGACAGGCCAAGAACATCAACACTCGAAAGTCAAGTATCATCCTGAGCTCAGGCTAAAACTCACAAAGGTCAAGTCAAGGGGTAAAGCATTTATGGAGGTGTTTTAGGTCAATAAAATTCCTCTTCTCAGGTTAGGGCAAGTGAAACCTATTCACTTTATTTAAAAGAGCTTTGTTGATTAAATGCCAAGTCAGTCCTGTTTGGACCTTAAAAGCTCTCAGTTCAGACCGTGAAGGCCAAGGGCTTGCCCGTAAGCCCTTAATCAGGGCCCAGACTGAATTCCTTAGGCTTTATTCCTTTGCAGGGCAGAGAGGGAAAAAAGTGGTGGATTGACAAGGAAAACTGGCTGGTGGTGAATGTGTTCCCCTGCAAGAAGCCCTTGGGAGCGTGAGAGGTAGGCCATCCCTAAGTAGATGGATTCACCCAGGCGCAGAATCCAGATAATCCCATAAAACACTTCTTGTTTTTGTGACTAATCCAACTGTCATACTCTGTTTCCAGGTGCTCAAGCTTTCAAAAAGTGTTGCTGAGTCTTGATGTTCACTTTCTGGTTTGTCCAGAATTCATTTTTCATCTCAACCCTATCTCCAAGCTGCTTTCTTATGTATCAGACAATAACATGCTAAGTAAGGAGAAATCAGGAAGGCAGCAAGGCTGTCCCGTACACTCAGTGTTTGTAATTTGGGTCTTATCTGCTGTTTGGGATTGTGCGTGTTTCCCAGTTCCCTGCCTTTCATCATACTCAGTGGCATGATGGTTATTTGTGTACATGTCTCTCTCTCACAAGAGGAGGAGTGATTCTGAGGAATAAGGCTCCATCCTAGTTTGTGTGGTCTTTCCAGAATCCAGATTGGTGCCGGCACGTGGCAAGCATTGAATCAATGATTATTGAATTGCTGACTTCATTCAGACAACCAAGATTGACCGTGGCGCTTTTCAGTTAATCCACTTTGCCATTGTCAGCATTAAGTTATCAGAATGCCATATTTTTGTTGCATTTGCATGTTTTCTAGATGCAACCCCATCCATTCCCTCCTCCTAACTTCCCTGCAGAGTCTATTGCTATTTTTAAAAATGGAAGGAGTGTTTATCAGAGGTTGGAGAGAGTCTACTCATTATAAAAATTAATAATATGGGAAAATTGTTTGGCAATTTCTTATCAACTAAGCATATGTTTGTCTTAATCCCCAGTAGTTACACTCTTGGACATTTTTCTCAGAGAAATACAAACCTATTTTCAAAACCTATTTTCAGACAAAAACCTTATATGAATATTCATAACAGCTTTATTCGTAATAGCCTAGAACTGGAAACAATCCAAATGTCCTTCAATGGACGAATGGTTGAAAGAAACTCTCATGTATCCATACGCTGGAACTCCACTCAGTAATAAAAAGGAACAAAGTTTTGAGACATGCAATATACTAGTTTACTAGTGCTGTCATAACAAAGTACCACAAATGAAGCGGCCTAAGTGACAGAAATTTGTTTCACTGTTTGGGAAGTTAAAAGTTCGAGATCAAAGTGTCCGGAGCACGTGAGGTCATGCTGTCTGTGAAGGCACTAGGGAAGGCTTCTGGTAGTTCCTTGGCTGGGGCAGTGTAACTCCAGTCTTTGTATAGTGTTCTCTCTGTGAGGTGTCTGTGTCCAAATCTCTCTTTTATAAAACACCAGCCATATTGGATTAGGAGCCCACTCTACTCCAGTCTGACCTCATCTTAGCTAATTATATTTGTTATGACTCTTTTTCCAAATAAGTTCACATTCTGAGCTACTGGGAGTTGAGACTTCAACATCTGAATTTTGGGTGGGACATAATTCAACCCATAATATGCAACAACGTGGATAAGGGCGTTATGCTGAGTGAAAAAAAAGCCAATTCCAAAAGGTTTCATATTATACAATTCCATTTATGTAACATACACCATTTGGTGGTTGCCGGGGGCAGAGACAGGAATGGGAGGATGAATATGTAAAGGGTCACAAGAGGGAGTTTACTTGGAGTGAAGAAATTGTTGTGTATCCTATTTGGTGGTGGTTATGCAAATCTATATGAAGGATCGAATTGCATTGAACTAGCAAACACACACACACACACGCACACGCAAAAACTGATGAAAGCTGAACAAGGTCTGTAGTCTAGTCAACAGTACTGCACTATGTGAATTTTCCAGTTTTGATATTGTGCAAGAGTCAGAAATGATGTCACAGCAGGAGGAATCTGAATGAAGGACTGAAGGGACTATTCTATGTGCTGTTTGCATCTTCCTGTGAGTGTAATCCCCTCAAAATTCAAAGTCAAACAAAATGAATGATAAAACTATGTTGACAGCCGGGATGGAGGAAATGAAAGACTGGGAGTGTGGGTAGGATTAAACAGTTTCTCCTGATAGGGTCACCATCCTCAAAAGGATCGTTGCCCCCTAAATTCCCTGGCATTTGCAGTCATGCCACCTTGCTCCTCTACGAGCAGTAGAGAGATGTGTGTATGGGTGAGACAGGCAGCACTGGGCAGAAAGGTCAGAGCACAAATACTTACCTGTTTGCCTCTAGACTTCTACCTTGAACTTGATTTCCCAGATTTTCAGATTTGCTCTATCTTGCTGGACTTGCTCCATGCTCTGCCACTTGGATGAAATGAACTGCCTCAAAGTTGGCTTTGCCATCTTTCATCCTTGGTTCAGGTGATCCAGGTTCTGGGCTGGCTCTGTCTGCTGCATGCATTTAGACAAGTCGCTTCTCCTGTCTTTGCCTCAGTTTCCTCAACTGTCCAATGGGGGTAAATCATCCTTATCTAATCTTCAACTCTGGAATATCCTAAAGCTTTAATTATAATTGCTGGAAGTTTTCATGCAAATCAAGTTCCATTATAATGACTTCATAATAATAATGTGGTAGTGATTTAATTATTAAGCATCTCCTACATACTAAGCACAAACATTACTTCTTAATGCTCATAAAAATCATGCAAGGTAAGTGTCACGGACAACCTGGGGGTAATACCAAGCACATTCCATGCCTGCTTAGGAAATTGCCCGCCCTGAAGGGGCCAACATTCCCTGTTTGACCTAAAAGCTAAAGGAATCTTTGTTTGAGTCTTGATCCAGGAGACCGGGAGCTTTGTTTACTTTCAAGGGTCCACATCACCCTTTTACACAAGATCCCTGGGGCAGGGGCATGACTGAGTCAGCTTGACAGGCTCATGAGAGCTGATTGTACACATCTCTTCCCAACCCTGGGCTCAGTGACATCACATTCCGGCTTGAAATTGGCCACAGTGGGAGTATTTGCGCCATGGAAATCAGCAAATGCTACAAATCAGAGCTGTGTTTGTTTCCTCCGAAAGCCAGTTTTCCAGCCTGGGATGATCCATTGCAAATGGGATTTCTGGTGGTATATTAAGATGTCCCCAAGTTCCCAAGGTGGATGGGAGGGTTTGGCCACCAACATAAAATACTGATTATGAACATACTTGAGAAACCAACTCCACAGATTACTAGCTGTGTTACCATGGGCAATATACTTACCCTCTCAAGATCTCAGTTTCCTCCCCTGTAAAATGAGAATATTGACAGAGTCTGCTTCCAACCCCTAAAGCACTTTTCACAATGAGGGCCCCAGTAAATATTAGCTTTTATTGAACTGTTGGTTACTTCTATTTTTATTATAAGGTTCCTGGTCTCTATAAGCAGGCAGCTTTTAAGCTGTTGTCCACACCACTTTTCTAAAAAATAATTTGAATATAACATTGAGAGGACAGATTCTGGAAATTTCCACCTGGGTTCAAATCCTTACCCTGCTACTTATTCACTGAATGACTCTGAGCAAGTGACTTAGCTACTCTATGGGCCAATTTCCTCACACGTAGGCTGGTGATTATAATAATACCTACCATTTAGGGTTGTCCCAAGGATAAAGCGAGTCAGTGTGTATAAATCACAGATATCAGTGTCTCACTCGTAGCATTATGTAAGTGTTTGCTGTTATTATTCTGAAAGTTAGTGCACTGGGTTGAATAGTATCTCTCAAGAATTCATATCCTTTCTGGAACCTCACAATGTGGTTCCAAGTAAGGACTTGGAAAGACGGATGTATGTAGTAGATGTGTAGTAGGTGTAATTAGTTAAGATGGCATACGGGAGTAGGGTGAGCCCTTGATCCATTATGACCCGTGTCTTATAAGAGGAGAATGGACACAGAGACAGACACACACATACATAGGGCAGATGATGTAGACAAAGAGAAAATGCAACGTGACGTCAGAGGCAGAGATTGGTGTGATTCAGCTGCAAGCTAGGGATGCCAAGAATTACTGGCAACAGCAAGGAGCTAGGAAGAGGTAAGGAGGGAGTCTCTCTAGAGCTCTCAGAGAGAATGACCCTGCCAGCACTGTGATGTTGGACTCTAGACCCTAGAACTGTGAGACTCACTTTTGTTGTCTTAAGGAAATGAATACAATGAAGTGGTACAACCATAGCTCATTGCAGCCTCCAACTTCTGAGCTCAAGCAGTCCTGCCTCAGCTTCCCAGGTAGCAGAGAGGTTTGAAGGAGGCTGAAACACCCTTATCCACTGCCATCCTTTTGAGCCCCACTGCTTGTGTTTTTTGATGTCCTTTCTGCTTTTGCTCTGGAGGCTCTTTCCCCAGGCTCGGGCCCCCGCAGCAGTGCCCTCCACTGCTTTGAATTCCTCACTTTCTGCAGCTACAAAACAGAGCTTGGTGTGTGTGTCCTGCTGGAAGCTCACTCAGGTTTCACGACACTCCTGTGTATCCCTGTGGACCACCCTAGGAGGTCTCACCTGGAAAGATGATAAACATATATACCACCTTGAACGACAAATCTGAGTTTGTAAGTGGCCTAAAGCGTTCACTTATTTTGCACATACCTCTCACCGTCTGAGATGCTGCCTTTCTTTGCCAAAAAATATATTTTGCTGACTTCTTTCTTTTTAATGGTTGAAGGCAAAGCTTTTATAAGCCGTATTCCCACATGCCACCTACTGATGCCTTACCCATAGCATGGTGGCATCATGTGCTCACCAGCACTTATGGAAAAGAAGTGCATGTTCCCAGTACTGGTCTGAACTTTTATTTACATCATCTCATTTAAACTTCCCAGTGACCCTGAGAAGTCATTATTATTATCTTCATTTTACAGAATAGGGAACTGAGACCCAGGAAGATTATGTGACTTAGCCAGGGTCACACAGCCAGAGTCAGGGTTGGGATTTTATTTGATCCCCTTCTGCCTGACTCGGGTGTAAATGGATTTGCCACTATACCAGTGTTTGCTAAAGTGTGGCCTAATGTGTGGAATATCTGTCCTATGCATGTACCATTAAAAGGGGTTTTGTGATAAAAAAAAAAATGCTTGAGAACAGTTGTAGATTATAGCTCCCTCCTTAGGAATGCCAAATAAAATACAAACACCAGGTTAAATTAGAAATTTCAGATACATAACAAATGGTTTGTGAGTGTAAGTGTGTACCATACAATTCAAATTGAGCAGTGTCCTCCCCCACCCTCCTACATCTGGCAGCTCTATTCCTGGATATTTACAGACGTATGTTTGTAGATTAAAGCTTTCAAGAAATGCTGTGGTAAACAAACCTGTTTGATTTTGTTTAACAAGACATTGTTCAAGTCTATTTGGAAAAGCTTCTTTGGGATGCAGTTTGGGAAATACTGCACTGTATACGTGACTGCCTCCCCATCAGTCTATCCGTTTAGCTTTTGAAGTGAAATAAATCCAGTTAGCCAGGCCTGGTGGTGTGCACTTGTAGTCCCAGCTACTCGGGAGCCTGAGGCGGGAGGATCACTTAAGCCTGGGAGATGGAGGATGCAGTGAACTATTAATATGATCATGCTACTGCACTCCAGCCTGGGTGACAGAGTGAGACCCTGCCTCTAAAAAAAAAAAAAGAAAAGAAAAGAAAAAGTGAAATATGTCCATGATGGATGAATTTTTTTTTTCACTCCCAAGGAATTCCAACTGCCACCTTGCCACCTTGCCACCTTGACTGGTACTTTATGAGTGTAGGACAACTACCTAATCATTTCTAATCCTGTCCCCTCCAGTTTCACACATGCTGCCAAAGAAATCTTCCTAAAATTACCCTTGATTCATGCCAGCTTTCTGCTCAAAACCCTAACAGGATCCCCTGTTCCCCTCTAGTAGGAAGCTTGGACCTACTCTTTGAGAGTCTGGATAATTTGGCTTTGGCCAACTATCCCCACTCTCCATCTCCTCCTCCCTCTGCGCCTATAGACTGCTCACCCCCATTCCCAAGGCTTTGACACTTTTACCTTAGAAACTTTATTTGTGCCCTCCTCTGGCCTGGAAAGCCCTGACCTTCATTCTTCAGACAAAGGCCTGGCTCCTGCCGGTTCTTGCCACCAACTGAAATCTCTTCCCGTCTCAACCCAACCAGCTCATAGCCTGGCCCTTTCATTTTGCCCTTGTGTTAGTTACATTAAAATTTTGTCTTGCTACGTACGTGTTGTTTCATTAGCTATATATGTTTTTTATT
The DNA here is from genome assembly GCF_000001405.40 of Homo sapiens. Classification (NCBI taxonomy): domain Eukaryota; kingdom Metazoa; phylum Chordata; class Mammalia; order Primates; family Hominidae; genus Homo; species Homo sapiens. Next base: position 113,308,320 of record NC_000010.11, read on the forward strand.
ATGATCAGAAAAATTCTGTTATCTATTATATTTAACATTTTATGGTTTTTGGTGGCTTTTCCTTTTTCCATTTTAAAGCTTGGGTGGGTTTTCCTTTTTGATGTTCTTTTTTTAGAAAGATAATTTATTGAAGTGGAATTCACCTAACATAAAAGTACCCATTTTAAGGTGAATTTAATACCTTCACAATATGATGCCACCACCATCTTGATCTAGTTCCAAAACATTCCCATCACTCCAAAGTAAAACCCCTTATCCATTAAGCAGTTTCTTTATGTAACCCCCAAGCCCTTAGCCCATGGCAGCCACCAATCTGTACTCTGTCTCTGTGGTTTATCTATTCTGAATATTTCATATAAATAGAATCACAAATATGTGACCTTTTGCATGTGGCTTCTTTTGTTTAGCATAATGTTTGCAAGGTTCATCCATTGTAGCATATATCAGTGCTTCCTTTCTTTTTAAGGCCAAGTAATATTCCACTGCATGTAAGGACCACAGTTTCTGTACACATTCATCTATCGATGGACATTTGGGGTTTCCACCTTATCGATATTGTGGACATTCCTGTGCATTACTTCGCTTGACTTACTTTCCACAAGAATTTCTCTAAAGGAATGCTACTAATGGGGAAAATGGAATCTCAGAGACTCAAAGTAACTGCCCATTGGATTGTTTGGGGAATGGGGAGGAAATAGATGGCTCCCTCAAATGCTGGTAGTAATGCCGAAGTTGGGAGCAGGGGTGAGGAAGGCAGTGAGGGATGGGGAGGTACCCAGAGCTTGCATCAGCAGGAAGCCACCACTACCCCTGGGCCTGCAGGGATGAAGGGAAGTCGCTGTGCTGCTGGGATCCGGAGAGTGATATGGGACAGGGCTGCCTGGCAGGAGCCAAGGCCTTCAGAAAAGAAACACACCAGCTAGAATCTACAGCCTAGGGGAAGGGAGCTGGGGGAGCAAATACCAGGATCTCCCTTTCTTCCAACCCTCCAGCCTCCTGCCAATGCCTCCTATTGGCGGAAGCCGAGTGGAAGCCGGAGGGTGGGGGAGCCAGGCTTCTGGGCATAGAGTGAGTGCAGGAGGATGGAGAGTGAATCTGGAGGGCAAACTGAGCCTGTCTGGGATAGCCTTTGTCACACATGTCACACAGCCAGAATCAGGACTGAAAGGGGGATCTCTGACTCCAGATCCCATGCTCTTCCCAGTCCCAGAGGCACCTGCCAAATGACACAGCTCAGACTTTCTACTGCTGGGGCCTTTATTTCCCTATCCTTCTGAAGGAGAGATCCCAGGGAGGCTGGCATTTGCAAAGGTGCAGGACCTGGTTATTTGGCCTTCTCTTCTCACCTCCCCCCACCTCCTCCCACAGGGGCCGCTCAGGGAGTTGGACCTCCAGCACTTTCCCCGCTTTGCTGTGTAACCCGCATCTGCACACCAAGTGCGGCAGACCAGTGGGCCCCTGGGGGCTGGGGGCTTTTCTTCTTTCTCCCTTGTTCCTGTTCATTTTGGAGCCGTAAGAGAGCCATGGAGAGAAAGAACTGAGAAAATCAAGGGCTGAGAGACTGTTGTGAAAAGAGTCCGTGGAGACAATACAGTGAGTGCTTAGTGAGGTCCTGAATGCAGGGCTTATGGGGCTGTGCTGAGCCCTCAAATAGGCCTTTTGTGCTCCTTTCTATTGACTGTTACTAAACCCTTCAATGGGCTCCCATTGTGCTTGGAATAAAATCCAAACTCCCCACCCAGGCCCACAGCGCTCCAGCCTCATCTTATACGCTGGCCTTTCTCTTCTCCCCACTTGCCTTCCTGCAGCTCCTGGGCACACCCAGAAGTCTCCCACTTCTGGAACTTTGTACCTGCTGGCTCATCCTCTGCCCGGGCTGCAGCTTCTTGCATTCTCCCCAGGGATGGCACCTTTTTCTGCTTCAGGTCTTGCATGAAACATCACCCCCTTAGAAAGGCCAAGTTTTCTCTTTTGGTACCTCTGTATTGTGCCTGTCTCGCCCTCTAAGCTGTCAGCTCCATGATGACACGGAGCTCGTTGGCCTTGTTTACTGCTTTATCCTCAGTCTCTAGCAGAACCCAGCATAAAGCAAGCACTTGAAATGTGCTTGCTGAATCAGTAAATGCAGGTTATGCTTCACGGCAGAAGTAGAGAGTGGTGAACTTTTTTTTTTTTTTTTTTTTTTTTTAACCACTCAGCTGTTTAGATTTGACTTCTCCTTTTGGATTTCTGGTCTCAGATAACGTACAAAAACATCTCTGATCACTTGACTTGGGTGTTGCATGCTGTCTTTCGTTGGCAGAGGTTCTGGATTTTCGTCTATGGTTTCCTCTGTAGTTGTTATGATACAGAAATATATTCATTGCTTCAGAGCTGTAGTAGTGAGACTGTTCATCACAGGTCTCCGTAGGTTTGAGTTCTGGCTACTAAATAGCCACGGAGTCTTGTAAATAGATCTTTCTTCCCTCCATTCTGCTCCCCTTCTTCTCTTCCTGCCTCCCTCTCTTCCCATGACACATGGCAGGTGTTAAAAAGGTATTTGATTATTTTGATTAAATGATGTGATATTGACCTTCATCTACTAAGAAAGAGTATCTTGCTGGCACCTGTTGATAACTTGTAGTTATTGAACATGAGTGGCTAACCTGGTTCTGATTCTTATCTCTCAACTCAGTTCATCGTATTGTTAGGATCTGAAATCTCTTCTATATTAACCTTTTATTGTTTGACAGAGACCTAAGATTTTTATAATGTTCAAGGATGGTTGTGGGTACACTATTAGATGCCATCATGGGATGCCATCATGGGGTGCCTGGAAAAGGTAGATCAACATTTTGTACCAGTTGTGCCACTTCCAAGTTGAGAGGCTGAAGGCAATCTCTTCACCTCTTGGTCTTCAGTTGTCTTGGTTTTCTTATCTGTACATGAAAATATATAAAGGCTGTAGGTTTCTAAAGTCCCTTCCAAGGCCAAGGTTTTATCATTCTATCTCGCCTCTTACCTTCCTTTCTGTAGTAGCTCTGCTTTCTTAATCTAATCAAGAAAGGTTCAAATAAAGGGAGCCACTGTCAAGATGCCTAAGGAGAAATCAAACCACGTGGACAGATTAGGGCCCAGGAAGCAGCTCACCTCCACCCATAAGTGCACTTCCTTCAGTTTCTTCTCTTCTTTTCTACTTTCTCCTACCCCTTGTTTGCTTTCTTCTTCTTTTAAAACTCTAAACAGTGAAGGGAGAAATATTCTAGGTGCTCAAAACTCAACACACTCATCTTGCAGTTTAGCCGTGCACAATGGAGAAATCCTCTTGTCCTCAATGAAGTGCAGCTATTGTGATCTTCTATAAAGGAAACAATCGTCACTGTTCACATGGGTCCAGTTGTTTATATGTAATTCATTCAGCGTTGCGTTTGGCATACAAGACTTCTTTAAACCTCGCAGCCCAGGATCCATTTAGTTTTAGAAATTAAGCCAAATTCCTTTTTTCCTTAAGTGCCTTTTCTTATTCCTGGATAAAATCAATAGACCATGAAATATCTGTATTGAAAAATGATATGACCAAACTCTCTCCGAGAATTCAGGGGTTAAAATGTGGTTTGAGGCTTAAAGGCCCATTAAGGTACTATTGGATTATGGTAAAATCCTTCTGAATGTGAACTTTCCTACATTTTGATTTAGAAATGTAATTCAGCTCCAGGTCCTCAAAATCCAGATGCTAAATATTGCTTTTAGTATACATTAGTGCTGAGGAAGGCAGTGGCATGATGCCTTGAAAATATGATTCATTTGGCCTCTACTTTTAATGACCTTGAAAGAGGATCATTTTCCCACTTGGCACTGAGAGAAAATGATAACCCAATTATCAACGAGGGAGTGTTATTAAATTAATATATGCCTCAGGTAAGGTATGCATGAATTTTCTTAGAAATCTACCATCTTGATTTGGAAATATGCATCATAAAATGTTGTCTAAGAAACTCTATGTCATGAAGTTGACAACCCACATTTCACAGATGAGAAAACCGGGACCCCAAGAGGGAAATGACTTGTCCAAGGTCACAGAGTAGCAATGCTTTGATCAAACTGGGGAAACTGACATTCAGTGAGCATGACGTTTAGGACTTTGCAGTGCTCAGAAAGACTTAGCTCAGAATTTTTTTTTTTTTTTTTTTGAGCCATAAAGACTGTGTTATAATAAGACAGGAGAGATTATACAGATTGAGGCTCAGCTCTGTCACTTACAGCCCTGGGTCATTAGCAAACCCCTAATTTTCTAAGCTTTAATTTCCTCATCTCCAAAATGGGATTCATGGAGATAACAGAGACGATGGGTAGTGGTGAGGACATAGTGCAACAGCACAGGAAAGCTTAGCTTCATATACAGCAGGGTGTTTGATGAAGCCGTGGAATCATTGTAAAGGGGCTTCTCAGCCACACCTTTACTAATTCAGAAATACAGATTTCATAAGTACAGTCAATAACCCCAGAGAAAAATTCAGATTCTATATTGCCATATATATTGCCAGTAGTCTGTGTCGAATTTTTAAGGATTGAAAAATGACATGTGGGGTTGCCCTATATGGGGAGTTCATAGTAAAATCCTCTAGAAAGCATCTCTAAACTGGGCCAACACTGATGATCGTAATAGCCATATGCACATGTAATAGAAATTAAAGAGTTTTTGAATATAAATGCCTGGCACTCAGAAAGCAACTAACAAATGTCTGTTGAATTAAATTACATTGAACAAGGCAGTAGGGAGGTCTTGCCACCAGATTTAACAGAAACCAGGAAACAGACACTCCATTTAAGCCTTCTAATCCCATAAAGCAGGGGTGACAAATACCACTTTCATATTCCATGCCCAGGGCAGACATGACTAATCCATCCCAGCACTCATAGCTCCCAACCTTATATTCATTTGTATGTGTGTCTCTCCCATTAGGCCATAGGCCCTTAGAGAGAGCTGACTGAGTTCTCTTTCTTCTTTACCTCTGGCAAGCTTCACAAAGAATGCAAATGCTTACTAGATGGATAAGCTCAGAGGAGTTTAAGAGGTTGCCCAAGGCCACCCAGGAAGTAAGTCTGATCTGCGGCTACACTTCCTTCTCCGGCGGGGAGAACTGGAGTGTACTGGTGTCATGGAATAATATTGTGAGGTACTGATGGAAGCCTTGTGAAAAGCATAAACTGAAGCATAATTTACATGTGGTAAATGCAGAGCTTTTAACTGTACAGTTGTATGAATCTTGACATATGAATATACCCACATAACCACCCGCGAGTCAAGATACCTTTCATTCTAGAAAGTTCTTTTGTGCTCCTTTCCAGTCAATTCCTCTCCAGAGACAACCTGTTCTAAAACTTCATAACATTGAATCCTAAAGTGTGTACTCTTTTGTGTCTGGCTTCCACTCATCATAACGTTTTGGAAGTTCATCTGTGTTGTGGGTCCATTCGTAGTTTCTTCCTTTAAACTGCTGAGTGCTATGTTATTGTGTGAATACATCACACGTTGCTTGTTGCTTATCCATTCACCCAGGGGCATATGTGTTACTTCCAGTTTAGTCTGAAATGGCTCCCAGTGGTCCACTCCTGCAGATGTTTGTATCCTTGTGTAATCTCCTCCCTTTGTGTGTGCCACACCCACTGCCTTGCTTCTAACAAGGAGAATACTGGAGAAAGGGATGAGATGTCAGCTCTGAGATTAGGTGTTGTAGGGCTGTGACTTCTGCTCTCTCACTTATTTTTACTTTCCCACTCACCTATTGTGATGAAAACAGCCACGGTATTGTAAGCCAGAGTTGCGTGTGGCAGGGAACTGAGGAAGACACATAACCAGCAGCCAGGGAAGAACTGAGGCCCTCAGACTGACAGCCTGCGAGGAACGGAGCACTGTTGTAGCCACATGAGTGAGTTTAGAAGCAGATCCCTTTCCAGTGGAGCTTTGAGATGACGGCTTCCCTGACCAGCATGGTAATTGCAGCCTTGTGAGAAACCCTGAGCAAGAGGACCCAGCTAAGCAGAAACTGTGAGACAATACATATGGTTGTTCAAGGGACTAAGTTTTGGAGAAATTTGTTATGCAGCAGTGGATAACTAATACAGGGTTATTTAAATAATACTGTGGAAATTCTTGAACAGATGTTTTTATGGGCATTTGTTACATATGTTTAATAAATATCTTATAATCCCTTTTAACTCCATCGTTATCACCACCCACCTGATCCATTCAAACTGAGCTATGAGGCACTCATTGCCCGGGGGGAGGGTTGTCAGAGTGGCACAAAGGCATTGCATTTTGTACTTTGAGTTTTTGTGAGTTTACAAAGCTGAGGTCAGGGAGAGTAAGAAGATCCAAGAGACTAGCTTGTCTCATCTAGAAGAGGTACTAATTCCCTGGGTTAGGTAAAGATGGTGAGCATGAGGGGAGAAGCTAGAGCCTGTTGGGACTCCAATAAGTGTCCTTGTCCTCTGCTGCTCTTCCCCTGTGGAGCTTCAGTGATAGACCCTCTGGATACACTTGGAGATCTGGAACAGAGGGGACTCATTCCTCCCATCCATCCATTCCTTGCTGGGTCCTAGGAGAGCTCTGGGTCCCAGATTATCCCTGTGCTTGGGTGGGTACCATGGGCAGTGGCAACCATGTTGGTGAGGCCTGTTGAGTCACAGAAGGCTTGAGACAGCTCCAGTGAATTTTCCACAGCCCCAGGGAGAACAATTATAGTGACCAACATTTACCTTTGCTGGAGACTTCCTGAATGGGAGCAGGGGCAGATACTGTTGACCAGGGACCTACAGGACTGAGACTGCATAGAAGATGCTGAAGAAGACAGATGATTGCCAAGAGTTAGATCCCCCTCCCTACCATCCCTGGAACTTGGATGCAACCCTGAAGAAGATAGGATAAAAAAATGCTGAAGTCAATGAACTCACCTACATTTAGTAAGATTAGTTTCCTTCTGTCGTTTTTGCCTGAGGAGCTTGACAGAAATTAAACTGAATTTCATACAATTAAAGAAAATGACTTTTTCTTTTACATTTGAGTTTTTGTGGCACATGGGTGTCGTATCTGCTACCCTGGCACTGTTCAAGCTTATAGCAGCATTGCTGAAATCAACGTGGTAGGAGAAGGCACTAGAGGCTGGGCGCCATGGCTCACGCCTGTAATCCCAGCACTTTGGGAGGCGAAGGCAGGTGGATCACGAGGTGAGGAGTTCAAGACCAGCCTGGCCAAGATGGTGAAACCCTGTCTCTACTAAAAATACAAAAATTAGCCGGGTGTGGTGGTGCACACCTGTAATTCCAGCTACTCGGGAGGCTGAGGCAGAAGAATCGCTTGAACCTGGGAGGTGGAGGTTGCAGTGAGCTGAGATTGCACCACTGTACTCCAGCCTGGGTGACAGAGTGAGACTCCATCTCAAAAAAAAAAAAAAAAAAAAAAGGCACTAGAACGGGGAGTTGGAGAGGCCATCCAGTCAACTGCCTTCTCTTCATGCTCCAGTGATTTATCTTTGGAAAACTTGACCCTGTCTGAGTTTATCAGCAACTACTTCTTGGTGCAGCCACTGGAGATTCCCAAGTCGTCATCCTCACTGAGAGGCATAGCAAAATATCTTTCGTTTGGAGTACCTTGTATGCCCTTACAATCTGTCAGTATGTCAAGGAGACCTGCATTATAGGGCTAGACATAGTTCCTTTATTCAATGAGGCCCCTGATCTCAACATTCACAGAAAATGGGTCTGGGATGTGGTCTCAGGATCTCAGATCACTTCAATGTGCAAGATGCCAATAAAAAAAAATTAAAATGTAGAACCCCCAGTGTATCCCAATAGAATGAAAAGTACCAATGCTTTGAAATCACACAAATTTGGCTTTTAATAACTGTGTGGAAGATCCTTAAGTTTTATTTTCCCTCTGATATAGATATAATCCTTCAAATGGACTTGGCATGAGATTAAAATAAGAAGAAAGAAAGATTAATGGTTAAAAACACAGGCTCTGGAATCAACATCTGGGAGTATATACTCTGCCTACCACATATGTGTTTCTTTGGGCAAATGACTCAACCTCTGTCTTCTATTTCCTTTGAAAAGGGACATTAATAATATCTATCTTATAGGATTGTATTGGGGTTTGGAGATGTATGAACACATCAAATCTTTGTTCCTTGATGAAGTTTGACACTAATTGAGAAAAGGACACAGGAGTCAGGTAGATGGAGATGAAAACACCACCTTTAGGACTTTCATAAGCGAGGCTGGAGGATGTGCTTGGGTTCATGGCAAGCCAGCAACGGTGAGCTGTGGAACGCCGAAACCATATGGAGACAGACTATCTTCTCAGACAAGGCAAGTGGAGATTCAAAGCACACTGCCACTTAGTGGTCCCAGAAGGAGCAGAGCCTGCTGCAGTTAAACTTAAGGAGTAGAAGGACAGAGCTGAATGGAGACTCTCTGCAAGCAGGTCCATCCCAAAGAGAAGCAGAGAAAGGGACAATGCCACATATACTCTGTTCCTCTCCCCAAATCCTTCATCAATTAAGCCATTCTTCCTGTCTTGGAGGGTACAAGGAGGGGAGGAGGGCCAAGAGTGGTGTGTCAAACCAAGGGCTTTCCCCCTGTATTAGACTGTTTTCACACTGCTGATAAAGACATACCCGAGACTGGGTAATTTATAAAGAAAAAGACGTTTAATGGACTCACAGTTCCATGTGGCTAGGGAGGCCCCACAATCATGGTGGAAGGTGAAAGGCACGTCTTACATGGTGGCAGACAAGAGAGAATGAGAGCCAAGTGAAAGGGGTTTCCCCTTATAAAGCCACCAGATCTCATGAGACTTATTCAGTACCACAAGAACAGTATGGGGGAACTGCCCCCATGTTTCAATTATCCACCGCCTGGTTCCTCCCACAACATGTGGGAATTATGGGAGCTACAGTTCAAGATGAGATTTGGGTGGGGACACAGCCAAACCATATTACCCCCAAAACACAAGGCGGAAATTATGGTTTCCCTAATAGACCATGGACATTAAATCAAATGCTCACCTGAGAGGAGTTTAGCATGGTACAGAGTGCTTGGCAGATACACTGCAAATCTTAGCTCCCTGCCTGAACATTCATACTCTAGAATTCTTACAAAAGGATTCAAAAAATACTACTACTCAGAAATAAATTAAGAACTTGATATATTGCTGGGTCCACCAGTGTCTCATCTGTTTTTCTTTCTGCACTTCGTCATCTAGAAGAAAAGGGAAAGCACATTTTTTGAGGAGCTGGACTCCCAGTGGGCTTGAGGACTCTCTGCAGCATGTCAAGCAGATATTGACTTTTGAGCCGCACTAGTGTAGCACGATCAATGTACACCGTTCCTGGCCCCTGGCTTTTTCCCTTGCAGAGCTGGCTCAGCTGTTAGCCACGGGGCTTCGCAGGGCACCAAGTCATACTATTCTCCACCGCACAACAATGTCAGTGCCATTGCCGACAGCACGGAGAGCTGTACTAACAGAGCAGAGAGAAGCCCCGTGGGGGTCAAGGAGGGCCACAGCTTCTTCTCCAGCTGGGCCTTTGCCAAGAGCCTCTTCTGGGCTCCTTTTCTTCTGTGGATCGTACTTCTCACTGGCATCCTGCAGCCACCCCTACTTGTGTTCAAGTCTGGAGAAATAGCAGGGAAGGTGATGCCCTGAGACATCTGCCTCTGAGGAGCCTCGTGTGTGTGTGTGTGTGTGTGCATACGTGTGTGTGCATGTGTGCCCATGTGTGTGCATACCCCTGTGTGCATGTGTGCATACGTGTGTGTGCATGTGTGCCCATGTGTGTGCACACGTGTGCCCATGTGTGTGTCTGTGTGCCTGCGTGTGTGCCCATGTGTGTGCATGTGTGCCTGTGCACTCCTGTGTTAACTTGCTGCTGGCTGCCTGACTGGGTCCCTTTCTAATCTATCAAGGCCAACAGCACAGTAGGGAAGAACAACAGGAGCTCAGGAGCCAGATCGTCAAAAGTCAAACTTAATCGCTTACTCTCCTTATAGCCTGGAACAAGTGACTCCTTAAGCCTCAATTTCCTCATCTATAAAATAGGAATGATAGCACCTGTCTCTGCAGTGTCTATAATACATAGAGAGCATTTTAGAGGGTGAGGAGGAGGGAGAGGATCAGGAATAATAACTAATTGGTACTAAGCTTAATACCTGGGTGATGAAATAATCTGTAGCACAAACCCCCATGACACAAGTTGACCTATGTGACAAACCTGCACTTGTACCCCTGAACTTAAAATAAAAGTTTAAAAAGGAAAGTAAAAAATAAGTATGCATTAAATATGCTGTTGGGTTTTAAAAAATTAGTCTCCTGTCTCAAAAAAAAAATTTAATACTTGGCACACGGTACCAATCAATAAAGTTTAGCTTTCTTGTTGTACCATTAATATTGTCATTTCATAATGAATTTGAAATATTTTACAAAAAGTATGCACAGGAAATCATGTATTTGAACAAAAATCACCATTGAAAGAGAAATGGGAATAAGAATAAGACATGTGTATTATGGCAGGTACAGTTTAGCACAGAGAGGGTAGCTGTGGTGGGAGGAAGCAAAGAAATAGGGTTTTAAAAAGCAGAGTATAAGATTATATATAGTTGTCATAATAAGTTGTCAGTTTGGTTCTGAGCTTCCTGGCAGCCAAATCAAAAAGAGAAACCACTCAGATCATGAGAGATATAACCTTAACCAAAATTTAAAAAATTAAAAAGATCTAGCTCATATACTTTATTTCCTGAAGGATCAGATCACAAAGTTAACAGCATAGGATTCTGGATGGATCAACATTGCCTTTTGGCTTTGTTATGTGTGTGTGTGTGGGGGGGGGGGGTGGGTGGCAATAAATAGCTGTTTGCTCAACTAAATTTGTTCATAAATCATCAGGGTATTACCTATTATTCTGAAAGTCATTTCATTTTGATTAAGTTATATGCTTCACATTTAAAGGTTACAAGTTCCTATGTCCTGTAGCCTGTTTTGCTTCTGATCTTGAAACAGTTTGTAAAGGGAAGTTACTCTCCTTGGCTTTGAAAGTGAAGCTCTCCAGATAAGTGCATTTATCCTACTCTCACTGAAGGTGAGAGACCTCCCAAAGTCATTTATGGCAGTACTGGCCCCTTCTGTTCAGCCCCAAGTTAGTCCTATGAGGTTTGTGCCTCCCCTTGCCTTCTGAACTTGGGTCTGTTTCCCATGAGCAGCTCTTGGGTTCTCTCAAGTCAGCACTGGTGCTTGGCCTCCCTGTCTCCACTCATGGCTCCTCCTTCAGGGCTTGGATTGGAGTGATCCTGGTTCTGCCATGGTCAGTCTCAGAATGGGAATTCTCAGCCCTGCATTGGGATGCCACCCTCTGAGTCATCGAGGGCAAAGGCACTGAGCCAAATGGAAAATAAGATGTCAGAAATCCATACTGATCCTGGGAGTAACTCTAGGAAGAGAGTTGTGGTGGACGCCTTCTCACAGTGGCTCTGAATGCTCCCGTTTCCACTGTGTATCTGTAGCAATCATAACCAAGCACTGGTTATTTGCAGCTCACAGATTGCAAGGGTTACCATGGTTCTGATAACAGGCCTGCCCTTGCTCCAGTTGAGTTGAGTGCATGTGTGATCAGAAGCTGTTTGTGCCCTAGAATTCATTACCATGTTTGCACTGAAGCCAGGCCCACCGTTGGCTGCTCTTAGCCAATGAGACACAACAGGGATGCTAAGGCCAGTGTGCTCGTGGGGAATGCAGGACTTCTCTGATGGGTAATTTTGGCTGGAGGACTCCCCAGTGGCCTTGCCAAACTTTCCTTAAGCTACAAAGCAATCCAGGATGCTACTGCCCAAACTTCGTTCAGCTGGAACACCTACATGTGGCCTCTCCAAGTGGCCCGGGCTTCCATACAGCATAGTAGGCTCCCACAATAAACATCTTGAGAGAGAACCAGGCAGACACTGTATCCGCTGATATGACCTAGTCTTGGAAGCCACACAGCATCACTCCACACATACTATTCATTGCAAGCAAGTCACTAGAGCCTGCCCATATTCAGGGGGAGGAGAACTAGACTCTACTTCCTCATGGGGGATGTCTCCAAGAATGTGTGGACATGTTTGAACTCACACAGGGAGTGTCGTTTGCGTTTTTCAGAAGTCTTCTGGTTCAAACTTGTGGGGTGGGGATGGGCTTTCTTAGGTTCAATATTCGTATGCGGAGATTCTTTTATAAGGGGTGTGGAGGTACAATGAAATCTGAGTAGCTTCGAGGTCGTCACAGATTGTCTTGTTACTAGCTTGCTTGTCTCTTGCATGCTGTTAACGGGTTAGTTTTCCTGACACTCAGAACAACAGCCACACGGTTAGTTGGTGGAAGACGTAGGACTTGAACAATTGTCCCCTCACTCTCATTCTGGGTCTCTTTCCATAGCACTGGGATGAACTGAATTCTATGCTTCTCCCATCATTTCAGCTTTCCAGAAAACCCGACTAATGAGAAAACCAGGGACCAGATGCCTGCCTGCTCTAGGCATTGAGACTGATCATGTCAAATGCCACTGAATTTTCCTCTTCACTGTTAAACCTGGAAGTTTCTTACTGCCAACCATGTATGTATGTATTTAAAAAAACTCACAGCTGGTCCTTTGTTGCTGTCTGTTTTCATTGTGCCTTTCTTCTCCTCCAAGTCGCACATGAAGATGTTTTTCAAAAAAGCAAGTTAAGAAAGTGAAATTAAATCACTGACATCTGCCACTCAATCTCACTCAACGGCCTTGTTCCCTGCATTCTTGTGGGCAGAATTTAGGACTTTGTTATTATTAGTTCTTACTATTTCTCCTTTTGGGAGGATGGGCGGGAGGCCAGTAACGAAAAGGAATATAGACAACTCAGTGATTCCGGTACAAGTTTCACTTCCTGAGAGTGGTGGTAACTATTTTGATTTTTTACTTGGTGAAATAAAAACAAGGGAATTACTAAAGCGAAACACATTGATGAAATAAAGACTCTGTATTACTTTATAAAAGTAAAGGAAAACTCTGAGGACAGAATTCTTTATCAATAAAATGAAACAGAGTTAACAGTTATATTTTTACACCTTCTCTTAAAAGACAACATCTTGACAAACCGGGTGTGAAATAACATTTAATTTCACAACCGGGGGCACTTGAATTCCATTTTTGTGGCAGTGCTATTGTTAGACAATCAAAGGCCGAGTCTTGGAACATGTGTGGATGTCATTCCAGGGTAAGAGAAGAGAAAATTGTTATTGTTTTTTAGTTAAGAAAATAACTTACATTATGTAAATTATGCTAAGTAGGCAACTTACACTAAGTAGGCAACAACTGCTACACACAAGCTAATAGCACATCTCCGGAAAAGCTGGTGATTAGGATTTGGGAGGCTTATACTGTTTTCAGTATGGATACCAGGCTGGTGCTGAGCTATCTGTTGTCTGGGATACGTATTCCTTTTCACCATTAGAATTTTCGTATGCTATTGCGTATGTGGTTGCATCTGTACAAGGAAGGTCACTACCGTTCTTTCACTGGGTTCTCGGAGTCGTCCTGTGATATTCTAGATCAAGTTCTTGCTAATTCAAGCCCACGTTTCCGGTCACACCAGTGTTCTGGTGCCTCCACACTGTTCCTCTGGGCTGAGATCTCAGGTATCAGGAGATGCTGTTTAAAAATACAAAGCAGAACCTGGGGGAGGGGGGGCGTTTAGTATGTCTCTTTTCTCCAAGCTCCACAGGTGGTTCTGGGCCACTCTCTAGGTTAAGAACTCTGAGTGGACATTGGTGGAAAGATGAAGAAAGAAATAGACTTGGAGAGTCTCAGCATCTTCAGAGGTCATGAAGTCCATTCCCCTCATTTTCCTCCAGAGAGGTTGAGTGAGTTTCCATGGGAAACACAGCAGATAGGTGGCAGATCTGAGGCCAGAACCCAGGTTCACAGGCCTCTGGACCTGGCCTCATCCCTGTGCCAGGTCTGTGTTTGTAGCTAGAATCTTGTTGGGCCAGTTCTGTTGTGCTGAGGCCTGGGGTGGGAAGGAAGGCTGGGCTACCCTAGGCTTGTAGGCAGAAAGTGGGAGAAGAAACACGAAGAAATGAAAGAAACCAGAGAATCCCACTGTCTCACACAGTTTCTTATCCCCGGGATGAGTTAGAAACAGCAAGTTACTGACACTCAAGTCAGAACTGAAAAGTTGTGGCGATTGCTTGGAGATTCTGTCTCGAGATTTATTATTCTGTAAGATGGTGAGCGGCTGCCTGGGCTGCTGGTCTGAGCCCTGGGCTCATGGAAACGCCTAAGGAAGAGGGAAGCTTTTAGAGTAAAGCCTTGTCTTTGGAAAACATAAAAATGAGCAGCCGACCACCCTGGGGGCCTCGGTTTGCTTCCCTTCTCATGAAAGGTTGTCCTTTCTCGCTGTGTACGACAGCAGATCGGCCTTTCCAGCCAGTTCCATGTGCTTTGTTTTAAAGGTTTAAAAACAGAATTATAAGGCCTTGTAAAGCTGTGATGAGACATGGCTCTACCTTGTACATTCACATCGTGTAAAAGAAAGGGAGGCTGTGTTGAGTTGTGTCTGAACGTACAAAGTAACTGCCTAAAATGAGCTTTAAATGCCCTGTGGATGAAGCTCACACTCTGACGCATGACATTCAAGGCTTGTTTTGGGAAACCTCTGCAGACTCTCAGCCACAGCTTCCTCCACAGCCTCTGTTCTGATGTGCCCAGCTTGGCTGACTTCCTCATGTCATAGGGCCTTCACTTGCCTGGAGGTCCCCCTGCTAGGATGCCTGCCTCCTGCGCACTTCAGTGGCTTAACTCCTATCTATTCTTCAGGACTCAATTTAGGGCCATCTCCCCTAGAAGGCTTCTCTGACAATGCCCTTCCTCCATCTAGGGATGAAAAGGACAAGGGGGAATCCAGAAATTCCCAGACTTGTAAGGTTAAAGGATGTATCTCTAGCCAGTAAAACATTTTCAGATGAAGACACAGCCCTAGAACAAACACCGAAAGAAGAGCTTGGTCATCATCCATTGGTTGTGAACTCTGATTAGTTCCAACTTTCCCCCTTTAAATCCTTGCATTTGCACAATTATTTCAAGTTAAAGAATCCTAAGGTGGACCTGCCAAGGCGCAATAAGTTCAAAGCACCTGTAATTAAATCTATAGAAAGAGGGGTCTGGGAAAAAAAAATGTGTGGGTGTTGCTATTGGCCCATGGAGCTTCCTGAAGTCAAACTGATTAAAAAACAGTAACAAAAACCAAAGTTTCTGAGAGCTCTGTATTGCACAAAGTGCTGCCAGCCTGGAATAAAAGACGCTGATTATTTCAAGACAAAAAACAACCTTTGGGCCTCCAGTTTTTATGGGCTTGAAGAAGCTGAGAAAGCTGCCCAGCCACCAAGACAGGCATATTCTCCAGTGTAAGATCATGGGAAAGGAAGGGCTTCCCAGCGTGTAATCAACCATCAGGAGCCAGGGAGAACCATGATGGGGGAACTACTCCTGGCAAGCATAATACAGGTGCAGTCACGAAGCATTCCTGACCCTCAGTGTGGGGCCTCTCAATGATTGCTGACAGTGATTTCAGAATTGCAGCGAACTACTGTATTAGGGTACTCCAAAGAAACAGAACCAACAGGATACGTTTGTTTGTTTGTTTGTTTACAGGAACTAGCTTACAAGATTGCAGAGTTGGCAAATCTAACGTTGGGCAGGGTAGGCTGTCTGGCTGAAGACCCAGGGAAGAGCTGCGTTTCAAGTCCAAAGGCAGCCTGCTGGCCGCATTTCTTCCTGGCTTGGGTAAAGTCAGTATGTGTGCAAGTAAGGCTTTAACCTGATTAGATGAGGCCCACCCATATTATGAAAGATAATCTACTTTGCCCAAAGGACACCAATTTAAATATTAATCTCTCCCAAAAAATACCTTCACAGAAATGTCCAGAATAGTGTTTGGCCAAACAGATCTAGGCACTGTGCCCCAGCCACACTGATGCATCAAATAAACCATCACAGCCACTGAGCACTGCATGTCTCCCATTGTTCCCTTTCTGACTGGAGGTGTTTGTTGCAGCTATTTTGTCCTTGAATTGTGTGTGGGTGGGGAGGGAGTGTTAATAACTTGTCTTTAGTTCATAGGTCTCCAAAATAAGAGGAGTCACATCCAAATTTGGTATATCATGGGATTGTTGGCTTTAAGCCTGATGCTGTGATTGGATGAGACTTTTGGAGTGTTTTTGAAAGGGGAGGTAAACATCATTTTTTGGTAGGAGGAAGGTCAATATTTGTGACCAAGAGGGCAGACTGGTAGATCAGATGATGGTACCCAACTTTATTCACTCTCTCCCACTCTTTACATTGTACATTTCTGTCTCATTGTCCTTGGTCTTGGCCACTGGACTTGTTTTGGCCAATGAATGTGAGCAGAAGTGACTGTGCATTAGTTCTATGCAGAGCCTTTTGAAGGCATCACACGTTTCCACTTGTCTTCTCCAGCATTTGCTCTTTTCTATGAGGATATGAGGCTTCTTCAGCCTAGGAAGGAGAAGAGAAATGAGAGGACACAAGTTGCTGAGCCAAGCTAATCTCAGCAAAGCCCAGCTGAAAGCCACAGCTAATCAACAGCCCTCACTGTTCCTGAGCAAGAAATAAATGTCATTGAAATCATGGAGATAGTGGGGATGTTTGTTACTATACCAAAATCTGTCACATACAATCAACATAGCCTTCTAATCCAAATAATCCAGGGCAGGTGAACAAATGCCTCCTTTCCAAATGGGAAGGTTTTAAATTAGAATTACACAGTTACTCTCCTGGTCCCTTGCCCTATTTTGTCCGTATTGAAAGAACAGGCTGGGCACAGTGGCTCACACCTGTAATCCCAGCACTTTGGGAGGCTGAGGCAGGAGGATTTCTTGAGCCCAGGAGTTGGAGACCAGCCTGAGCAACATAGGGAGATCCCCCCACCCCACGCCATCTCTTCAAATAATAAAAATATGAGCCAGAAGTGGTGGCATGCACCTGCGATCTCAGCTACTTGGGAGGCTGAGGTGGGAGGATTGCTTGTGTCCTGGAGGTGGAGGCTACAGTGAGCCGTGATTGTGCCACTGCACTCCAGCCTGGGTGACAGAGCAAGCCTCTGTCTGAAAACAAAAAAATAGACAAGAGATATTTTAAAAGCATATTAAGGGCCTAGATATTCTTCTTACAGAATTTTGGGTGCCATCTTGAACTCTGAAAATTCAACACGGATGGCTCAAGGCTGTTGGTGTTGAGGAATGGATGCAGTCCGTGGTCACCAAGCTGCTAAGGACTCTCCAAGCAGTACCTTGAATGAATTTCCCAAATGAAATGAATGTTGTTAAAGCATTAGGTGACTCAGAAAGACCTGTGTGGAGAAGGTCTTCTCTATTTTCTGTTAGGCTTACTGACTCCTCTTTCAGTTAGTGTTTGGGCTTAATAAAAAAGAAAAGAATTTGGGGTTTCTTATCTTAACAGCATCAACAAATTCCAAAAGGCATCTTCAATTAAAAATAATAAGAAAGCACAACCTTTGCCTAAATCACTTGGGTAACTTGTTTTCTGGAAATGATAGACAGTCTTAAATCCCATTCATTTTTTCCTATTCTTTTTCCCAGTTCTTTGCTTAGTTTGGACTTGGAAACTAAACTAGTCATTTTCGATTCTGGTTCCCAAGCCCAGTTCCTCCATAATTGAGCTTAAGTTTCCCAGCTCTGTGGGAGGATATAAAATTATTTCTGCTATTATAACTTGGGTTGAGTTTTTTCTTTTTTAATAAGAACATTCATTCTGAGTAATAAAAGACTCCAATTCAGTAAATGCAAGCAGTGACCTTGCATGAACAGTCATGATGCTGGATCTTATACAACTGATCTGGATATTTTAAGAGCAGGGCAGGCCAATGAGTTTTCATGTAAAAGGTTAGAGAACTAGGTTAGAGGAAAAAAAGTCTCCGTCTCATCACTGTGACTCATCCTCCCCCCGGGACTGGCAGAATGACTCAGGCTTTCAAGTAGGTGACAATGCTTATAGAAAAATGTGACCTAGCGGTTTTCATCAGGACTTCTCAGTTGGCTGGTTGTCACCCTTTTGATTGTCCTGAGTCCCTGAGGAAATCTGGGTATTTTGGGAGGGTATTTTGGGCCTTTTCACAGAAAGGTCCAAAGGACCCTGCTGACAGTTCACAAGAAACCCTCTGAATGTCTAGATTCCAACCTTGACACTCACAAAGGCTGAAGTAAAAAGAGTTGAAGGAAATTTCTGATTAAGCCACCAGGGGAAATCAAACCCCAAGGCTGTATTTCCAAGCCCACAAGGCCTGCTTGGAAAAGCACCTTACTCATGTCCAGAATCAGAGTCAGTCTTAAGCTGAGGTCGGCTGGCTCCAAGCACACAGCCAGATTTCCAGGCCCATGGCTGTAGCCTTTGTCTCTGTTCCATCTGTCTGGAAACAGGAGCCATTGATTTGCAGAAAGGGGCCACCAGGAGGCTGGGGTTTAGTATCAGCTTTTCCTGGGCCAGCTGGGTCACTTCAGGCTGATTTCTTTTTTGGTTTATGTTTTTCATCAGCTGAATGGGGATGATCCTATCAGCCTCCTTTGTTGAGTTACAGTCAGAATCAGTAAGATAATGTGCTTGGAGCCTTTGGAATGCCATGGAACACAAAGGCACTGAGAATTTCAGCTATTATGTTATCGATGAGAGGCCCTGCTGTTAGGCCTGCTGATGGCTTTCAGGCAATTTCTGTGTCTACACAAGCATGCTCAAAGAGTTTACAGATGGAAGAAAACAAAACTGGAATTAGATTTGGTAGACACACACATGCCCACAGTATGTTCCCTGAAAAAGACAATTTGGACATACTCAAGGTGACACACTCCTTGCCCTGTAGTTGAGGCTGGGATGCTTTCTCAGTCTCTATCACCCGCTCCTCTTCCTCTTCTGCCTTACAGATGGCAGAGCCAATGTCTCAGTCCTCTCTTGCTCTCTCTCATTTCAGCTGCAGGCTTCTCTTGTCACCTCTCCGAGGATGAATTTCGGCTCCCTCTCTCACTGGCCAGGTATAATGAAAATGTTGCTCAAATCAAACTGGGCCTTGTTTCATGACACTTAAAGCTGGTTTGGCACATTCAGAAGGAGGAAAGTTTTGAATCCAAAGACCTCAAAGAGTAAAATATTGCAGATGAGTTTATTTTTTATTTTTTTATTATTTTTTTATTAAGGGGCAGCAAGGGGCACCTACATTAAATCTCTATAAAAATGTTCCTTGCTCTTTATAAAAAACCCACCCTTGCTCCACTGGCTGCTCCCTAAGTTGACCAAGCTCTTTCTCTCTTACTGCTGTCCATTCACCCAGCTCCTTTATGTAAACCAACTTATTTTCCTGTGTCTTCTCCTATTTACATACCTACTTCTTATCTAGGTAAAGAAATGGTGCCAGCAGAGGGGATCCCTGTGGTGGGCATGGACTGAGGTTTGGGAATGTTGGGAGAAGATCATTTCATTTGACTAGGCATACATAACCCTAGGTCACCTCTACTCTCCTCTCTACCTCCTAGCAGGGGAGGGACTTGGTGGCAGTGTGAGTTCTAATTTGATCTGTGAATCATGACACTGAGATGATGAGCCCTAGGCTGAGAGTATGACATGGGTGGGGGTCAGTCAATTTTGCTTGTCCCAGGACCACAGCCTGCACCCTCCCACCTTCCTCTCCCCCTTATGGGACTCTGCTATTCTGTAAATCAGCCATAGCAAGGGTGCCAAGGACCAGTGGACACATGCATCTGGTGCTCAAAGTAAGACCCAGGTGCTGCTCCTCTTTGTCAATCAGCACAAACCCCCACAATAATTGTACTTGACATTGGGTGATACCTTCCAATTGGATACAGTTTAGAATTTTCAAAGCATTTTTATAGGCATAGTTTCTTTGATTCTCCAACAGCTTCCTGAAGTAGTCACATCTTTCAATCATTCAACAAATACTTGCTGAAAGCTCTGTTGAGGGTGATTGAGAGGTTCCTGGGACATGGGGCTTTCAATTTTAAAACGAGGTCAGTCCCAGGCAAACCATGACAAGTTGCTCACCCTTCTGCCATTCTAGGTGCAGGACCCCCAAAGCTGAACAGGACACAAGTGGTCCCAGCACACATAGCAGCTGCACACTGATTATTTCCATGCATTTTATTTTCTGCTGCGTATTGAACTGAGCTGTCACAATCTGAAATTCTGAAAATGTTAAGTCTTGATCTCTATTCTTCAGGTTTCTGATTCATTCATTAGGCCCAGAGCTAGTTTCTGGGTAGGAAAAGACAGAAAGGTGAATGAAGTATTCTCTTGGCTTTTAAAGAGCGTATGGTCTGGTGGGAGTGAGAAGATTTAGGAAAACAATTACCAGCTGGAGCTTCTGGGGTCTATGTCTTTAAGGTACCCCACTTCTCTCCCTTTTTGCCTCCTCTTTTGATGTCTCTGCTGCCTCCTGCACATCCTGTCCATGCACTCTCAACTTCCTTCTCTGACGGTTCTTCCTCCCATGGTGACCTACTCCACTTCAATGTCTTCAATCATTACCTCTATATGGATGCCATCAATTAGAATTGGGATTAATATAACTAAACAGATTGAATGCCAATTATGTACATTCACTGAGAAACACTCTGATCTCAAATAGGCATCCCAGGAAATTCCACCTGGGAGGGGATAATATGGTGACCAAGAGATAAGAGTTTCTGTCCAGTTGTCAGGAATGTCATTTAATTGCTTTTCTGGGACAGATGAGCTTGGAATGAGTTTGGGCAGCAGAAGCCAGATTCCGTTGAGTCACAGGCTTCCTCTAAAAGTCAGCCACTCTTCCTATACATTTCAGAACAACCAGGGACCTTGCTAATTGAATAGTGTCCCATTATGTGACCAGATCATGCATTTCCAGGAAGGACAAAATAATCCAATTTGTGTTGAAATGTCAGCCCAAGCTGCAGATACTCTTTTGGTATGAGCTGTTGCATTTTCTTTGGCTATTGTCAACAGTGTTATTGCTTAAGTTGGAAAGCTATCTGAGGCATTTAGCGTGGATGCTCATCTGCTTGAAGAAGTACCACTCTCAGCTCATTGCTTTTCTGAGTCATGCTTTCTGGTTTTCCCTGGCATAGTTGGCTGGGAGTATTGAGGGGGTAGATTAATCTCTCCCTGAACTAGATGGAAAGCCTCACAGAAAGAGTGATCTTTGTCACTTCTTATTTAGAGTGTGGTTGTCATCCCCTAAAATGCTGTGTCTGGTTGTTTGGACTCTTTATTCATTCATTCTCCCATGAACATCTATACAGTGGTTACTAAGTTCCAAGCATCCCCTGGGTACTGAGAAGACAGCAGAGAACAGAACAGTCTGAGAAGGTGGCATCTGACCTGAGAGCCATGTGATACAAGTGGGCAGACATGCAAAGGTCTGGGTGAAGAACCTTCTAGCCACAGCGACGGCAAGTACAGGCACCCTTAAGAGGGAAGGAACTTAGTTTGTTTGAGGATCAAAAGGAAGAACAAAGTAAGCCTGGGGGTGGGGGATGTGATGATGAGGACAAGAGAGGGAGACAGGAACCAGATGACACTGGGCCTTCGGATTCCAAATGCAATGACAAGGAAGGCACTGGAAGTTTTCTAAGTAGGAAAATGAAGAGACTGATCTGATTTTTTTTTTTTTTTGAGATGGAGTTTTGCTCTTGTTACCCAGGCTGGAGTGCAATGGTGCGATCTCGGCTCACTGCAACCTCCACCTCCCAGATTCAAGTGATTCTCCTGCCTCAGCCTCCTGAGTAGCTGGGACTACAGGCACACGCCATCATGCCCAGCTAATTTTTTGTATATATATATATATATACACACACATACACACACACAAATATATATATATATATATATATATATATATATATATATATACACAAATATATATATATATTTTTTTTTTTTTTTTTTTTAGCAGAGATGGGATTTCTCCATGTTGGTCAGGCTAGTCTCGAACTTCTAACCTCAGGTAATCTGCCCACCTTGGCCTCCCAAAGTGCTGGGATTGCAGGTGTGAGCTACTGCACCCGGCCTGACTGATCTGATTTTTAAAGAATCACTGTGGCTGCCTTATAGAAAAATGGGTTTTAAGGAAGCAAAATAGACTAATCAAGAAAAATACTGCAAATTCTAGGGGAAAATGATAGTGGACAAGGGTGGTGGCAGCAGAATAGGAGAAAAATTGATAGATTCAGAGTATATTTGGGAGGTGACATTTGCTCATGGGTGGGTTTATTTTTGGGTGGGCGGGTGGGTGGAAGGAGAAGAAGAATTCAGAATAAGACATAGGCTTTGGCTTGAGCAAAAGGCTTGAGAAAAAAGATAGCGTTGCCATTGACAGAGATATAGAGGACCATATGGAAATCTCATGTGTGGATCACATGTCTCCAGGTGCTGTTGCCATTCTTCAGTAAAATGCTTTTCCTGGGCCAATGATACATGATCCTTTTGGTTTCATGTATGTCTTAGTCTGTTTTGTGCTGCTATAACAGAATACCTGAGACTGGGAAATTTACAGTGAATGGAATTTATTGGCTCATGGTTCTGAGGGCTGGGAAGTCCAATATGAAGGTGCCAGCATCTGGCAAGGGCCTTCTTGCTGCATCATCCCAGGGCAGAAAGCAAAGAGTGAGAGAGAGAGCAAGAGGGGGCTCACCCTTTTATAATGACACTAATCCCACTCATGAGGGTGGAGTCCTTATGGCCCAGTCACCTCCTACAGGTCCCACCTCTTAATAACATATTTAGCATCTACTACATACAAAATAAACAGAAAATTGCCCAAGATTTCACTTTTCAAGTGCTGTTTCATTTTCATAATCACTGACAATAACAACAGTGATGATAACCAGTCCTTTTTTTTTTTAATTTTTGAGATAGAATATTACTCTGTCACCCAGACTGGAATGCAGTGGCATGATCATGGCTCACTGCAGCCTCGACCTCCCAGGCTCAAGCTGTCCTCCTGCCTAAGCCCCCAAGTAGCTGGGACTACAGGCATTTACCACCAGTCTTGGCTATTTTTTTGTATTTTTTGTGGAGAGGAGTTTTGCTATGTTGCTCAGGCTGGTCTCAAACTCTTGAACTCAAGTGATCTGCCTGCCTTGGCCTCCCAAAATACTGAGATTACAGGTGTGAGTCACTGTGCCTAGCTGACAGCCAGTCTTTAGTGAGTGTTTGCTAAGTGCCAGGCATGGTTCTAAGTGTTTTACATATATTATTTAATTTAGTGTTCACATAACCTTGGAGGTAAAATGGGTATTTTACTGTACTTTTAAATGAAGAAGCTGAGGCTTAGAGGGTAAAATAACTACTCAAGGTCACACAGCAAGGAAGTAGCAAAGCCTAGATTTAAACCGAAGTCCTTTGATCTCTGGCCTGTGCCCCTAAGCCCCTAGTTCCCTAGTTCCTCTTGAGGCATTGGCTAAGATGTTACTCCAGCCTCAGAGCTGGGCCAGGTGTGCCAGCACAGAGCTGGATGAAGCACCTACCCACAGGTAGCCAGGTACACCTACACCTGGTGATAATGCTCAGCCTCCCATGAACTGAACATGCTACGAGTGCTGCAGGGACAAGGAGAAATCATTATGGACTCAGGCTGCTGAGAAGGCCTCCTGTTGGAAATGGGGTTGTACCTCCTACTCCATGAGATAATTTGGAAATAATCTGGAGGCATTTTTGTTTGACACAGTCACTGACATTCATTCACGGTACAGGAGGAGAATAAAGTGTCAGGAATAATAAAGATTCAGGCATGCACACATGAACTATCCCACCAAAAATGCCAAGAAGGCCATTGAGACCACGGGCAACTAGATGAGTCTCTGAACTCTAGACACTGAATGGGAAGCACTTCTCTTAGAAGAAGCCAGAAAATATTGATGGTTGTTGACTGTGCTCATGAAGCCCTGATTTAGGATTTGGATTGAAAATCTACATTTGCAACTTCAGAGATCTTATAAAACCTTGGATAAACCATTTGGATGTCTGTTGGGGCTGAGATTTTTTTCCCTTCCCTTCATTTTTTGTTTTTTCTGGTGGGGAGCAGTAAGACAAGTACTTAACTGGGAAGCTACAGCTGGCATTGCTGGTATTACAATCCACTTGAGAGCCCTTAATGAAGAATATCTGATTATATAAGGAAACTAGAATCTGTTTTCTTTTCATTTAATTTGACGTTTTAATGATGCTGCCGGTTATTTGAAATATTCTATTTCAATATATGCTTTATTTATTATACTTTTACCCTGAGGCATGCTGGCAGAGGGTGACATATTTAAAAGTCTGCCCTCAAATAATAAATTTCCACTGGAAACTGGAGCAGAAAAGTTTTATATTAGAAATGCTTTAGAATCTTTTTAAAAAATCAGTCCAAACTGGATTCCAGAGATAAACATAAGGTGACTTTTAATTTTTTGCAAAAAAAAAATTAACTCAATTTTTGATTTTAAAAATATACTAAAATCCAACTAGAAACAGAATAATGTTTTGCGTCAGATAAACAGAGACACTGGATTTTAGTTCTAGTTGTTAGTAAGCAGAAAATTAACAAATTGTATCTTTGAAGGCAGTAGCAAAACTGGTTTTATCTTCCTTCTTCTCCCTACTTTTATTTCAAATCAATAAGGACTATTTGTACACTTGCCTACCTCTTTATACACTGTCTCCTAGTCTGAGTTGCAAGCCCCCTAATCACAGAGACTTTATCTATTTGTTTTTTCTCTCCTATATTCTCAGCACTCAAATAGACCCTGGCACACAATAGTTGCTCAATAAATGTCTGCTCAGTGTGGTGGGCAAAAGAATGGCTCCCCAAAATATTCACATCTTAATCCCTGGAAATTGTGAATATTTATGTTACATGGCAAAGGGGAAATAAGATTCCGGAAGGAGTTAAATTTGCTAATCAACTGACTTTCAAATAGGCAGGTTATCTAGTTGGGTCCAATGTAATCACAAGGGTCCCTAAGAGTGGAAGAGGTGGGGGCATTAGAGAAAGTTAGAGTGATGGGATGTGAGAACGCACACAGCACTTCCAGCTGGCTTTGAAGACAGAAAAAGGCCATCCCCAGCAAGGAATGTGGGTGGCCTCTAGAAGGCAGAAAAGGCCAGGAAATGGATCCTCTCTTAGAACTCCCAGAAAAAAACCCATAGCGCTGTTTACACCTTGATTTTAGCCTAGTGAGATCATGTTAAACTACTTTCCTATGTAAGTGTAAGATAATAAATTTGTGTGGTTTAAAGCAACTGAGTTTGTGGTAAACTGTGCCAGCAGCACACCTGGTGAAGGAATCCCTGTCCCACCTGTTATTCACCTGTGTGATAAGCATTTATTGAAAGATCTTCTATTCATCTCCAGGTTCCATGGCAGGCACTGGGCTGATCAATGCTCTTTCCCATCCCAGGGCCTTTGCTCCTACCCTTTCCTCTGTCTGGAACTCCACTTCCATTTCCTAGCTTAACCATCTCCTCCAGACTAGGGAACGTATTTAAGTCCTCTCACTTTCAGAAACTACTCCTTGGAAGCACTTACACCAATTGTGATATTTGCCCCTTTCCTGTAAAAGAGAATATGGACACAGAAAATTATATATAAAATATAGCTTTGTGAATTATTTTAAGGTGAAAACATTGACACAACTACTCGGGTCAAGAAGTAGAATTTTGCCAGTCAACCCCGAAGGACTCTGTAGGAGACTTTTAGCCTCCCACTAAAAGTCACAACTCTCTGACTCTCACGTTGTTTTCTTGCTTGTTTCATTATCTTCCTCTTTCCTCATTTTATTACCTGAGTGTGCATCCCTAGATCCCCTAATTTAGTTTTCTCTCTTTTAGAATGTATTTTAAGTTTGTGTCAATCTACAGATTCCTCCTCTGTCTCCTTTTTCCTTCCTTGCAATTTATTTGTGAAAAAGAGATTGTCCTTGCAGTGGAGTTTCCAACAGTCTAGTTTTTGCCGATCACAACCCCTAGGTGTAATTTAACATGTTCCTCTATCCCTCATGTCTCTTATAAATTGGCTCTAAAGTTGGCTCTAAAGGTTTGATTGGATTAAGGTTCAGTTTTTATTTTTATCTTTTGGCAAGACTGCTTCATAGAAGGTGGTGTGTTCCTCCATCCGGAGGCTTATAATCTGGTTGTCTTTCTCTTTGATGTTAGCAGTTGTTAATCTCAACTTCTAGATCGATTCATTCATTATAAGGATGGCAAACTGGTGACATTCTAATTTATTTTCTTTCTTTGTTTATTAGCTAGGACATTTCTAAAAAGAGATACTTTCTGTCAACTTCTGTTTAGTTACTCAAGGATACCGTTTGTTTTAGAAAGCCAGGATAAACGCTTGATTCTTCCTCTTTATTCATCATGCATCAAATTAATGATTAGATTCCCTAACTTCCTGTGATTGTTTAACGTCTTCCTCTTCTGTAACATGTACCCCTCAACCCTCACAAGAGCAGGACCTGAGTTGATCCTAGAGCCATATACAGGCCTGTGACGTATTAGACACTTGTTTGTATTTATGGAATGAATGGGTGAGTGAGTGGAGTAAATTCTCTGTTCTTTCCTTTGTCTTCCATTTCCTGGCCCCTCAATTTATCGTACATTCTCCTTTAGCTCCATGTAGCTAAACCATGGATTAAAATGATTTGGATCGAAAACATAAAATTAGCAAGGAAATACCCTCAGAGGCATGAAAAGTAGCTGCTCTACAGTGGCTCTGACACAAAAATACTAATTCAAAACATTTAATGTGGATACCTTGTAAGAGACCCAGATGGGTTTTTAAACAACATCTACTTAAATTTTTGCTAGTCTTCTAAGTGATGCACCTTAGGGGTCTTTCTAATGAGATCCCTAAGAAGATATAGCATTAGTATGACTAAGAATTAACTAATAATATGGAGTCTGCTTTTTGAATGGTTCAAAGTGATTCCACATTGGCTCTTTCTTTTGTCCTTGAAAATACCCCTGTGAGGGGCCCAGGCTATGAAGTATGCAGGGAGGGACAAGAATGACTATTAGCTGTTTAAAACAGGCCTAGGGAGGGTAAGAGACTCACCAGTGCCTCATGGGGGATACACTTAGGGCTAGATATTTGTCTATATAGTGGGTTATGTTCTAAGTAATGCTGGAATTTGGAACTAGAATGAGCCTTAGAGATTATCTAATAGCATCATATGTATGTTACATATTGTCACAATAATGCTGTCTGACAAACAGCCACAAAAGTTTAGTGGCACACAGTAACAAGCATTTATTGCTCCTGTGTTTGGGGTCAGCAGCACTGCTGATCTTGGCTGAACTCACTCATGTATCTGGGGCTCACTTGGCTGACAAAGGCTGACCTTGGCTGGGGAGACCAGGGTGACTCAGCTTTGCTCCATGTGTCTCTCATTCCCCAGGATGCTGGGTTAGCGAGAAAGTGGAAACCCCAGAGCCTCTTGAGGCCTCCACTTAGAACTGGCAGATTGTTGTTCTGGCTGCTGCATTCTGATAACTAAAGCAAGTCGTAAGACCAGCCCAGATTCAGGGAGTGGCAAAATGGCCTCTATCTCTTTAGTGAGAGAAATTGTAAGGTCACCTGACAAAGAACATGGGTTCAGGGAGGGGTGAGAAATTGGCCCCTAAATGAAATTAGTCAAGCACCCCATTATCTCATTTTAGAGAGGAGCAAACTCAGTTTCCCAGGAGAGCCAGCGACTGGTCCATGTTCACTCAGCAGAATGGGGACTAGAGCCCAAGACTCTCGTCTTTCACTCTGGGGGCCTTTCCATCTACCCCAAAGGCTGCAACTAAAGGCAAAGGCATAGGAATTGGCATTCATTTTCCTGTTCAGCAAATAATTCCTAATGTGCACCACTGTGCTGTGTACTAAGAAATGGGAGCTCATTAACAGCTGAGTGTGAATTTTAGTGAAATGATTACTTCTCCCATTTACCCAAAGGTTTGCTTCGAATAATAGAATTCCAGGCAGGTGGAGGAACAGGTTCCCCACCTGTCCTTCCTTGGTATCCTAGAAGCCATGCTATAGGAAGCCACCCATTCCACTGAGACAAGAGACTCCTCCTGATGTCTAGAATATAAGTCCCTCATTTTTCTGCTTTGAATGGGAAGGTCATCTTAGTGTCTCTAGAATGGGAGCCCTTCCCTTATCGTCCAACAGGTGGTTTCGGCAAAGGTGGGTTTTTGTAGCAGGGCTCCCCCCTGACTCAAGGAGAAAATAACACAGTCATTTTTGGGGTCTGTTTAGTCTCAAAGGGAAATGACTTACTAATTAGGGTAAGAGACTTTACAAAAATATGTTTTTGATTCCACTGATGGTCAGTTACAAGCGATAACACTGTTAAATGTAGTGCCTAATAAATCTGGGAAAACTACCCAATAAATGTAAGTAATAACAATGATTAACAATAAATTAAATGCAGAGAACCAGGAATGTACCACATTATTTTTAACTAGTTTGGACCATCGGGTTCTGATTATTCAGTTTGTCCTGTACACCTGGAGTTTATTAGAGTGTAATACAAACTAAACGGTCCCTCAGAGAGGCCATTGAAAGGACTTAGTATAAAACAATATACAAGTTTAATAGTGGTAACTGACCTTTCTTTCTTTTACAAAAACATATCTTTGTAACTTGAGCCCCGAGGAAATGTAATGCTTTTTACCTAATCCTGATTGTTAATTTTCCTTTTATTTAATTTAGAAGGTTTCATCTGTTTCATGAGATAGGAAGACACAATTTATATTCAGTAATTCTTCCTGCTCTGGAAAGAGATCCAAAATGGCTAAATATTTCTTTCCTTCTGCTGTGTCTATTACAAGAAGAGGGAAGAACAGACATGCAGTGCATTCACTATTAATGGCAGCTGGTTAAAACCCACATTTTTAAAAATAGCCAGATGAAATGGGTACATGTGTTTATAATCAAGGTACATTTGACTAATTTTCCCTAAACCTTTAAATATGACTCATTCTCAAATACCAGAAAATTGGGCTCTTTCTCATTTGAGGACAGAGAAGGCAGGCTCTCTGATGGGGGAAGCTTTTCCATCATTTCCCCAAATGCCTATCTTTCTGATGCTATCTAATAGGACTACCGTATTTCAATGACAGACTCCTCCAGTTTTAATGACATCTCTGTGGGTAGATACCTTTCTCATGTGGACATTGTTCTAATGTTTTCAGTGTTTTCCAGAAGGGTGCTTTCGGTGCCGCTGTACCTAGGGTTTCTTACTTCCTCCATCCCATACTCTTATCCCCAGACTAAATGTATTTTCCACAAAGGGAATCTTAACAAGGGTCAACTCTTGTAAATGTCTGAAACCTGAGGTGCCCCCAACAAAGCTGAGGTCTGGCAAACAGTCCATAAAACCCTGCCTTAAAATAATTAAATGAAATGGTTACCAGGGAGGGCAAGAATGGCATTGCCCAAAGCGTCAACAGAGTGTGAGACTGTTTTCTTTAGCCCGCTAATCAATAGGGCTGGCCTGAGGCCTCCCGGACCCCTTCGGTAGAGCCCCAAACTATATCTCACAAGCTGACTGTCAACCTTCATTTCATAATCAAAACCATTTTTGTTCAGAAGCTGGTCTTTATCTCAAAAGATTGAGAGAGTTCAACTTACATTTAGAAGAGGAATTCTGCTCCAAAGGGAGGGTAGCTTAACTTTCTAAACAGAAGGCTCGGGTCAAAGCAAAAGGTGGATTGATTTCTCTATCTGCTCTAGAGAAGTTGTACTCCATGGGCAAAGAGGGGAGGTTTGAGTTCTTGGAGGAGCATCAGGTAATTCACCCTGGCTCTCCCCTTGGCTGGGTAGGGGTGGGGAGGAGGGGAAGGGAGGGGAGAGACATGGAGTTTCTAGATGCTTTGAGAATCTTCCCTGGGAGAAGGTAACTAATTATCCCACAGCGGAACTGGGAAGACCTCTCTTCTCTCCTAAATTGTTTAATAACATGACAACTACTCTTCCCTTGGGATGTTTTGGGTGCCAAACACTGTGCTAGGGGCTGACACTCATCTACACATTTAATCTTCATGCTGACTCTATGGGATACATGCTATTAACCCCTCCACTTGACATCCCAGTGTTTCCCCACCTTGTTTGGGGGCCAGCTAGAGGATAGGCAGTTGTGGTGACCATGAACCTGCACTACTCTGATCTCCTGCTGCGAGGAGCATAAGCGACTGGTGCTCCAGCTGCTGTCTCTCCAGACCCACCACCAAGTTTGTGCTGAGGCCGTGGTTCCTGTGAGCTGCTCCCAGTCAGTGACTGAGTGTGGGGACACGCAGAGGCTCATTTCTGAATGATCTAAGACTCTTCAATAGGCAACTTTGGCTTGAGGCCTCCCTGTCAGCCTGGCCAACCCTTTTTTGAGCTGGCCAACTGCCTGAGGCTTCCTACCCAGTCTTCCTTCCTCCCTCCTTTCCAGGGTTCAGATCTGCATTGCTGTCTGAAGGCTCCCCTGCCTTCTCCAGAGCCCTCCCTTTCTTCTTCCCGGTCCTTTCCTCAATAATCATGTCTAGTCCTGTCTTAGAAGTCTGCTTCTCAGAGGATCCAAAATCACACCAGTCAACATAACAACAGCTATCACCCTGAGTAATGGTGGGCTCTAGACTTTGCTTTTCAATTGTTCTAGGTCCTGTGACAGCTTGGCCAGGCAGTCTGAGTGTCAGAGGAGGAGGCAGTGACTCCCTTTCCCAGCTAGAAATCTCTGTAGGGAGGTCACAGTCTGCTCCCTGGTTCCGATGTTTTTGGCCTTCTCAGGCACCTGTGGTTGCTTGGCCTCCCCTCCCCTCCATTGCTCTCAGCCTTGCTCTTGCCTTCACCTTTCTCCAGATGGGGCCCAGCTGCCTTGCCGCGTTCCCACGTTGGAGGCCTAGCAGGACTCTGGCTGCACTCTGTTCTTCCCTGGATGAAAATTCTCCTCAGTCCTCCAAAGTCTGACTAGAATCTCTCCCTCCCTTCTCAGATTGGGAGAGGGCCATAGTTCTAAGGACAGGATTGGGAGCTGCATTGAGTAGGTTTGAAGTCCAGCTCTATGACTTAACTGCTGTGTGATCTTGGCGAGTTACTTAACTTCTCTGAGCCTCAGTTTCTTTACTTGTAAGATAAGGATAGTAGTATTATCTAATTTGTGCTGTTCTTGTAAGGATTAAATGAGTTATTTAATGCAAAGCCCTTAGCTCAGAGCCTAGCACATATAAGGACTCAATACATGGTAGTATTTCTTGTGGTTAGAACTATTACATTATTATCTAACTAGCACCTCTCTAGGGATCAAAGATAGGAGTCCAGACCACTTTTCCCACTAGTTTTAAAGCTTAATTTTCTTCTAAGAAACCAGAGGGATTGCTTACTGAACCAGATGTCAACAGGGATCTCCACATTTCAGTTGAAATATTCTGCCATGAAATTTGGGGTTTTAGGAGGTAACACCATTACAGTCCTGGGGAAACCTTGGCAGTTTGAATGTGACCTTTCATTTTTGTTGTTGTGCGACTCCTCTGAAAGAAAGACTGCAGAGGAGAGAATGAGCTCCATGTTTAATAGCTTGCTTCTGGGAAGAACTTGAAACATCTTTGTGGTCCTCCAAAGAAGACTAAAATGGTGCTCCTAGTCCTTCCTTCTGCCTGCATTTTGGAGATGAAAGCCAGGTTTTTTAAAACAAAGATGAGTATTTATTAAAGACAGTTATTTTCACTCACCAGCTTTTGGGGGAATTGCACTCATTCCTTTAGAAATTTGCTAAGTTTCCCAGGCAAAGAGGGTGTGTCCTTGCCAAGAAGACACGGAACGCTCTTTAGCCCTGGTGGTTGCTCCCTATTGTCTCAGACAAAGTACGGTTTCATGTTGTAACCATTATTTCATGTACCTTACAGCCAATAAAATAATCACAGAGATGATTTGGTCTCAGTGCTTAAGTCATAAAGCCTCTCTGCCATCAGAGATGGAGGTTTAATTGTGAGTGACGTTGGATGAGAACCTGGTTCTGGGCTGTATCGGAGTTATCCAGCTGTTCTTTCATCACACATCCAGAAAGCCAGTCATACTTTTCTCCAGCTCATCTGTGCATTCTTGATCCTGCCTCTAACATTTTATTTCGAATTCCCCTGATAGCCTCAGTGAAAGTTCCCAGCAGAGATTGATTGCAGGGCATGACCCAAATTTGTAACTGGCCACAAAACGCTGTAAAACAAAGTTCACCGAATACCTTCCAGCTGATTGTAAGTGATTTTTGAAAATGATCTGGTTGTGTTTTTCTTCTTTTTTCCACATAAAATGTCTGAAAAGAGGGACTTTTTGCCAAGCTCTGATTTTTGTAACATCATCTATAAAGCCTGACAATACGGACCGCATGGAACTAACTGCAGGTGGTGGCAGCAGCCCGGCCTCGCTAGTGGAGTTTTGTTTGATGGGACATGACTATTTAACAGAATGAGAGCAGAGGGTAGGTGTCCTGGTAAGGGAGGATGAAGATCTGGGTAACAGCAACTCTTGGGAAATTCCTTAGTGTTCCTAGTGGGTCTTTTCTTCATTTGTAAAATGAAGAAGAGCATTAGTCAAGCTCTGTCTTTGCAGAACCCCAAATCTTTCCTGAAAATGGAATAAGAGAGGTTACTCCAGAGATGCAAAATATAATTAAGTTACTTGAGAGAAGCTTCTCAATTTTAAGCTTTTGCTCACACATGTCTCATACTTTTGACACCTGCTACTAGCTAAAAATGAATAAGCATCAAGTACGCTAAAGAAAAAATTAAGAACTGTGGTCTTAAAGAAAGAATTTACCTTCTCTGGTGTCCTGAATACATGTAATTTGGTCATATTTTTATCAATAAAATAGTTCCTGGTTCATACCATGGAATGAAATGCATCAGAAAGTATTTGCTGTAGACTCAGGCATGTCTGGGCCTGCTGGGAGGCCAGTGGATTGTTCCCTCTCAGTGGATTGTTCTATCTCCGTGAGGAAGTGAGGAGCTGCCTGGTTAAGAGCTTGTCCTAGTGAGAGCCATGAATTAGGACCAATGGAGCAGTGCTGGGGTAGGAGGGGGGTTCTCTCATTTAGACAGCCTTTTCATTTTGCCCCCAAGCCTTATCCCTGTGTCCCCAGACATGGGACCTCTGTGGATGCTAACAGAGAAGGCACTGATCACACAAGACATCAGTGGCCTTGGTGCTAATGGCTTCAGTAGCCTCAGGAGAATGGGTCATTGGTACCATTGGTATCACCCTTAGCATCAGTGGCATTGGTACAGACTCTGGCTGTGTTCAGTGGGCTGGGGCATTGACACTGATACCCTCGCATCAAATACCATCAAGATCCATGATACCATCCCAGGACCATGAGTACTGGAAGTTACACTGAGCATCCCATGGGAGCCAGCAGTAGTGTTGATTTCATAGGGCCACGGGCAGCAGGGCAGCCTGAGAGATATGTGAGCCACCCGTTGTGATGTGGCCTGGGCTGGGAGCACAGAGAAGCCATCAGTCATTTCATCCTTTTGGCAAAAGGGAGCCATTGAGAGTTTTTGAAGGAGGGACTCTTGGTCAGAATTGGACTTCAGGATGATGCTCTGGCTTGGTAGGGGGCAGGTTGAACAGAGGGGCAAGGGAAGATAAAGGCAGGGAGACCAATTAGGGGGCTACTTACAATAGTCCACTTCAGAGATTCATACTAAGGGCCTGAGCAAGGCTGAGCCTTAAGGGGGTCATAGCAAAACTGGGGCAGGCACCACATCCAGCTGAAGGGATGTCTTACCGATCCCCAAGGGGCATCTTGACATCAAGTGAGTTTGGGACTCCTGCTCCCTGGGTTTGTGCCACACATCTGGTGACACAAGCCAGAACCAACTGGACAGGCATTAAAGAACCTAGTGAACCCACTGCTACAAACCCAAGCCATTGTCCTCACCTCAGTGCCAAGCTGCCTGCTCTTTGGGGCTGCTTTAGATTAAAAGGGATAAAAGATGGGGCAGAAATGGCCTGTAATCCATGGGCAGTAGAGTGCTCTGGTCTCCTGGGGAAACAGTGGGATCTTCTTTGGGTGTATGAGGTGCCAGAACCAGGATGGCAACGAGGGATCTAGCTCCTGTGCAAACATTGCCTTCCCTTCAACTGGAAGTAATCAAGAGCTAGGCTTAGCTTGAGCTGCTTTTCCTAGAGCTATGCATGTAAATGTTGACACAATCCCAAATGATCCCATTTCTTTATTTTCCCTTTTATATTGGGACAAAGGATTATTTTTCTGGCATCCAGAGGATGAAAAATGAGGATAAAAAAATGGAAGCCTATTGTTTAGTAGAAAGAGACCTGGGCAGATAGGGAGCCAGGAGCCCTGAGCCCTGTTCCTGGCCCTGCTCGTGACTCACTGCATTGACTTAGACATTTATTTGCTCATTTGTACAATGAGAAGTTTGGACTTGGTGATTATGAAGGCCTCTTCCAGGCTACATGCTCTGAGTTTTAGCTTCATGAGAAGCAGATCCCCTGCTTCTGGTTAAGGAGAAATGTCTTGACCATTTCTGGTCTCTTTAGTGAGAAAATATGAGTAGAGGTTGAGAGCTCAGGCTTTGGGTTTGGAACTTGACTCTACAACAAACAAGTTGGGGCCTTGGGCAAGTTCTTTAACCTGTCTGAGCTTCAGGGTCCTCTTCTGTAAAATTGGCCCCAAATACATACTTTGGGGTTAAGATAAGGTTTCCATAGATAATGCTTTGAACACAGGGCATGGCATACATGAAGCCCACAATGAATGATGGTGGCTGGCGTTGGTGTTGTTGTTGAAAGGACTAAATGTGGGACAAGGCATCCTGATGCCT
The DNA here is from genome assembly GCF_000001405.40 of Homo sapiens. NCBI lineage: Eukaryota > Metazoa > Chordata > Mammalia > Primates > Hominidae > Homo > Homo sapiens. The sequence continues at coordinate 113,343,236 of NC_000010.11, forward strand.
GACGCGGGATCCGGAGGGGGTTACTGACACCTCCTGTGTCTACACCTTTCCCTGTGAAGTTGGGTCTTCATCTGCCAGACAGTCTCCTTTGTCCTCTGCAAGTTGAGGCTCACCAAGGGGAGAACTGCAGAGTTCTCAGGCAGGAAAAATATACCACTTTCTTTTTATGTTAAAGATCCAGTCAATGGGCAATGCATAATATCAGAAAATACAGACAAGTAAAAGTCCAGACATGAAGAAAGCATATTTCCACGGTGGTAGGCCAAACAATGCCTCCTTCCCCCATTCCCAGAAGATATCCATTTCCTAATCCCCAGAACCTGTGAATATGTTACCTTATATGGTAAAAGGGACTCTAAAAACATGATTAAGTTAATGATCTCGAGATAGGGAGATTATCCAGGATTACCTTGTGGGCTGAATGTAATCACAGGGGTGCATATAAGAGGGAGCCAGGAGGGTCAGTGTCAGAGAAAGTGAGGTGATGATGGAAGCAGAGGGAGAGATGGGTGTGTGATGACAGAGCAGAGGTCAGAGTGATTTGGAGCTGTGAGCCAAGGAATGCAGGTGGTCTTTAGAAGGTAGAAAACATAAGAAAATGGAGTCTCCCCTGGAACTTCCAGAAGAGGCCCAGTGAAACTTTTTTCAGACTTCTGACTTTCGGAACCAGAAGATAAATTTGTGTTGTTTTAAGCCACCAAGTTTGCAGTCATTTGTTATATCAGTAATAGGAAACTAATACATGCTCCTCCCCCAAACTAATACATGCTCCTCTCCAGTTTGGAGATTCCTCAAAAAGCTAAAAATGGAGCTACCATATGATCCAGCAATCCCACTTCTGTGAATATACTTAAAGGAAATCACTATAGTCAAGAGATATCTGCACTCCCATGTTTCTTGCAGCACTGTTCACAATAGTCAGTATTTGGAAGCCACCTAAGTGTCCATCAACAAATGAATGGTTAAAGAAAATGTGGGACATATACACAATAAAGTACTATTCAACCGTAGAAAATAATGAGATCCTGTCATTTCAACAACATGGATGAAACTGGAGATCATCACATTAAGTGAAATAAGCCAGGCCCAGAAAGACAAACATCACATGTTATTTGTGGGATCTAAAAACCAAAACGATTGAACTCGTGGATATAAAGAGTAGAAGGATGGTTACCAGAGGCTGGGAAGGGTAGTGGGGAGGTGGGTGGGTGGAGGGGGGCGAGGGAGCAGGTATGGTTAATGGGTACAAAATAATAATTAGAAAGAATGACCACACAACAGGGTAACAACTTATCATTAATAATAATTGTATATTTAAAAATAATTAGGAGTGTAATTGGATTGTTTGTAACACAAAAGATAAATGCTTGCAGGGGTGGATACCCCATTCTCCATGATGTGATTATTTCACATTGTATGCCTGTATCAAAACATCTCATGTACCCCACAAATATATACACCTACTATGTATCCACAAAAATCAAAAATAAAAAAAACTGCCCCCAGCTGATCCCCAAGTGTCCATTACAGGTGCTTGTGCAAACAGCTATATAAAGAAGTATTGCACATTGCATTTAGTTGTTATGGCCTTCGAATCTTTTTAATCTAATACCCTGCTTTTTGATGTCACTGACTTGTTGAAGAGGGCAGGCCAGAGGTCCTGTAGGATGTCCTCCAATCAAGATTTGTCTAGTTGACTCCTTGTGGTATTATTAAGCTTGTTCCTCTATCCCCTGTGTTTCTTGTAAGCTGGATACCATATCTAAAGTCTTGATAGATTCAATTACACACTTTGAGCTAAAAGACAGCATAAGTGATGCTATATACTTAATGTTGCATCACATAATTTCTAGTTGACCTACCAGACTATTTGCTTTTCTAAAGACTGTCCTTAGGACCAAAACACCAGGTGTTATGTGAGGTTCAGAGGTATCAGGAGAATGAGTGACTCACTTTGATTTGGGGTGACCCAAGTCCTATTAAGAAATACAGCCTACAGAAACCACTACATTCAAGGCAACTGGTTTGCCAGCCTAATGGAGCAGAGTCACAACTCAACTCCAAGGGAGGGCAAACAACAGGAAGAAAACTTGCAGACCACATTCAGGCTCATAAATTACTGTGAATGAGCTTGAAGAAAACAAGCAGGTTCAATTTCAGCAGACCTTTCCCAACTGGGTGTACCAACATCTGACTGTTTAGACATCATTAAAATACATTGCACCCAATATGTTTACCCACAGTCATCTCTATTACCTGGGCAGGTCATTCATCAGCTTGTCAATTTAAATGGATTTCTATATGTAAGTGACTCCCTAATGTGCTGAGAACTTTTGAGGGGAAATTGTAGTACCAGCATATTAGAAAAATGCAAACTATGCAAAGTCTTGTTTGAGGGAGCATCCCTATTCAAATCAAATGAGGGACAATGATATTTTCTGTCCGAACTCCTATTTCTGTTTTAAGCTATTGTCATTATTATTACTAACAACAATAATAAAAGCATCATAAGGGGTTTATAGACAAAACTTCTTTAGGTGAAAATTGTGAAATTAACATTAATTTCTTGGCCTATGGTTGAACTATTGCATTTTAAATGTGTGTGTGTGTGTGTGTGTGTTTTCCCTGCATCCTATCCAAACATTTCTCTCACATAATTAAATGTGTTGATGACATCACAGAAACTGAGCCAATCTTTTGGTTTATATCACTTTCAGGAGATTTTAACTCTAATTCGAGTTTTCCAAAGTCTGACCAAATCTGAGGTGCTCTCAGCAGGAATATAGTATTTCGAGGGCTCATTGTAATGCGTAATGAGAAACTCTTTGTGTGCAGTGTGCCTGCTCTCTCTCTCTCTCTCTCTCTCTCTCTGCCTTTCTCTCTTTCCTCAGCCCCAAAGCCTAAAATTTAGATGGGTCTTAGTCAGAAACTTGTAGCATAAAAAAGCATGCTTTTGGCAGAGTCCACGAAACAATAATGCTATGTATTTTACCATTGGGGAAAAAAGACAGAAGGAGGAAACTTTGGAAATTAAAGATATAAGCAGAATGAAATTAACCAAAGAATGCTGGATAGATTTTTTTTTAAAACAAACTTTCTAAAAAACACTGGGAGACAGCATAATCTTCAAATCACAGCACTGCTCTTTAGCATGAATTAAAGATGTGGTGAGTCTATGAATGGACATGGCTTGCTTAATGAGAACACCAGATGCCCACATTTAGGAAATGTAAAGAAAGCGAAACCCTTGTAAAATTTTATATATTATCCCTTTCACCAAAATATGAAAAACAGATTAGAGGGAGAAAGGAAAATTTCTTCTATAAATACATTTGCAGAAACACTGGACCAAAGGAGACGCTTGTTTAAATACAACGTTCAAGAGAGAAAAATCGTCAAATAAACAAGAATCCTCACTTTCAACAGGGCAGCTCAAACATTTTGGGTCGCCAGGCTCTAAAGCAGGATTGCCTTCCACCCTTCCCTTGGAGAGTGCCTTTCTGAACTCAATCTTCTTTGGCAATCACAAATGTTAGGAATAATAAATAAAAGAAGCTGTAGATCTGGAGCCTTCTTGCAAAGACATGCAGACATTATAAAGACATTTTAATCAAGTGTCTATTGAAATCTATAGGTTTACGTTTGGCCTAGGTCTTTGAATTACTTGTTGCTTTTCTTAGCATGCTTTTTTCCTTCCTTCTCCTTTCAATGCAGCTTGGATCCTTGCAGCTCTCAAATCATAGACAATTTGCCATTTGCAGGGTTGTCATTGAACTATGGAGAAAAACACACCCTCAGGCTAGAGACCCCTCTCTGAAAGGTCTGGCTGAAAATCTGAGCCTGTGGAGCATGTTCCTGCTACCTTCAGCAACAAGGACTCTAACTGCATAAGGGGAGAAAACACCTTTAATTCATGCTCGATGGTTTTAAGAAAATTAATGCTCTCTGTTCTTGGAAAAAACAAAATAGCACAACATACTGTTTCCCTTAGTCCCTTAGACTCAGTGATGTTGTTCTTAAGATTCACAAAAGAATTTGAACCTGAAACATCCGGTAGGAAAGTCAGTAGGCTAAAGTGGATGGAGAAGTTCAGGTCTGGGCACCTGGTATTTTGCATTTAGTCACTTTTACTAGTTGTATTGTCTTGGGCAAGCCATTTGATTACCCAGAGCTTCTGTCTTCTCATGAGTAAATGGGGATGAGAAGCCTGTCCCTTTAAACCTGTCCTCCTGTGGAGTGCTGTCTGGGTCCTGGGGAAATCTTCCAGAGCCCTCTATTCCTATTCCTGGCTTGTTCCTCACTGACTTCTGAGTTGGTCCCCTCTAAACCCAACCAGGAACTCAACTTTGGGACCCAGCCAGGGTCCAGGCTGGGCCCTTTGGAAAGGCGTCCTCTTAGGCTCTCCTGTACCTTGGCACTTGGCTTTCCCTTCAGCTCCGTTTGGCTCTCATCCTGCCTCTCAGCCTCTCCAATTACATCATGTTGGAACCATCCACACAGCTGGCACTAGTACCTCCTTCCCACCCCTATTCTGCTACTTGGCAAATTCTAGCCCTCTGGGAAGGTAACTTAGTAACTTTAGCTAGCATTCATAGTACTGGGTCCTTACGAAGCGCTTTAAGTGTGTTACCTCACTTAATCTCATAAAGCCCTGGGAGGCAGATATTATTATCTCTCCTTCACAGAGGAAGCTGGCATAGAGAGGTTACCCAATCTTCCCAAGGTCCCAGAGCTTGTGAGGGGTGGAACTAGGACTTGACCGTAGATCAGCGGTCAGCAAAGGGTCAGACAGTAAGCATGTTAGGCTTGGTGGGCTGATTGGTCTCTGTCATAGGAACTCAACTCTGCCACTGTGGCGCAGAAACAGTGCCACACAATATGTAAACAAATGGGCAGGGCTATGTCTCAATCAAACTTTGTTTATAGGCATTGCAATTTGAATTTCATATAATGTGCATGGGTCACAACATATGACTACTCTCTTGATTTTCTAAAATCACTTAAGATTATAAAAACCATTCTCAGCTCCCAGGTCACACAAACATAGGTGGTGTACTGGATTTGGCCCATGGGCCATAGTTTGCCAATTCCTGACCTAGGCTGTCATTTCTAGAGCTCATGGCCTTCACTGCCAAGTATTATCATCCCCTTTTACAGATGAGGAAACCGAGCTCAAGCAGAGATAGTAAGGAGAGGGTGATCCAAACGCAGGCATTTGGACTCCAGGGTCTGGAGTTTACCTCCAAATAATGGCAAGAGAATGAGGGGTTGCTCTACCTGCTTTTTTGAAGAAAAATGAGATCATGAAGATCCGATGAGATCATGCACCTGACACGCATAAAAAATGCACGTGATAGTTTTTTTAAATGTATAAAAGCTCTTATAAACTGTACAATATAAGCAACTGAGATTAGGCTAGCTTCTAAAAACAAATCTCCTAGTGGAAAGTGTGTTAATAGTTTTTATTTATTTTACAAACATTTATTTAGTACCTAGTTTATGCCGAGTATACTGGGCTCTAGTAGCTATGAAGATGGTGGGTAAGAGAACTTAGTTTAGTGGGAGAAGAGGGACATTCTTGTAGATGACTAGGACCCAGATGGTTAACTGCTACCAGGAATGGGGTGCTGGTGATAGACCCACAGTTGGGGACACAAGGGAAGGTGCACTGAGGGGTGCCATGCATGGATGCTGGGAGTTTCGAGGTAAAGGGAGAAAAGACTTTCAGGCCGAGGGAGGATCCTGTGCAAAGGCACGGAGGCATGAAAGATCAACGTGGCTGTAGTGTAAGAGGTCAGGGACGGAGGCATGAAAGATCAGCGTGGCTGTAGTGTAAGAGGTCAGGGTATGAGTGGTAGAAATGAGGGTAGGAGGAAGGTAAGGTGGCTGAACAAGGAACTTATGGTCAATGCTAAGGCCCTAGACCTGATCCCTTGGGAGCCAGGATGTGTACTGGGAGTACTCAAAACTAGGAGGTATACTAAGGAGAGCCCAATGCCATAAAATAAAGATGAGGCTGCTTTCCCTGAGCATTCATTTTAATTAAAGATTAGATTGAAATAGTTGTTTTTAAGTGAAAGTAAACAAGAATATATTGAATATAATGCAAAGTCCCTATTAAAATTAGCTATAAAGGGAGGCCGAGGTGGGCAGATCACGAGGTCAGGAGATCGAGACCATCCTGGCTAACACGGTGAAATCCCATCTCCACTAAAAATATGAAAAATTAGCCAGGCGTGGTAGCAGGTGCCTGTAGTCCCAGCTACTCAGGAGGCTGAGGCAGGAAAATGGTGTGAACCTGGGAGGCGGAGCTTGTAGTGAGCCAAGATCGCTCCACTGCACTCCAGCCTGGGTGACAGAGCAAGACTCCGTCTCAAAAAATAAAAATAAAAATAAAAATAAATAAAATTAGATATGAAGCATGAGATTTCAAATAGATTCAAAATAGACCACTTTAGGTCCCACCCCACACCTCCACAACCTTCCTGTTAGAGAGGATAAGGTGGAAAGTCCTGAGAGGCAAGTGTTGGGGGATCAGAAGACACTGAAAGTTAACAGGATAGTGACATAATTGGATTTGTGTTGTAGGGTTATAATGCTTGTGGTGGCTAGGAGGAAAACTGGGAAGGGAGATATCATGGGCTTGGAGATCAGTTAGGAAGCTCCCAGAAACTCGGGAAGGAGCGGGACTGAATAGCCTATTATAGGAGGAGTTTGATTTTGTCACTAAGTGTACGTTCTTGTTCCATCAAGAAACAATGAAAAGAGAAAGAATTTGCTTGGGAGTCAAAAGACCAAGATTCGAACCCCTGATTTTGACTGGCTGTGTGACCTGGGGTAATGCACTCAGTCTCTCTGAACTTCATTTTATCTTCCCAATGAGAAGAACTATACCTCTCTTGCCTACTTCTGAGAGCCTTTGTTCGGATCGTCTAAGATAATATCTATGAGAGCTCTTCGTAAAGGGCTTGAACATCACTGGTGAGTTTCTAGGTAACAAAAGGCCAGAGCTCTTTCTGCTTGGTGACCTCTCCAAGAAAAGGCAATTGCTATTTTTTCCCCCTTCTTCAGCTGTTGGAGTTGCGGATCAATTGCAACCAGGCTAAACAAAAAAAGGTAGTCATACATGATCAGCAAAATGGTCCAAATGATGTCATCCATCAAGATAGACATCGCAATTTGCCAACTATTTTCTCGTAAATCAAACCATTGTCCCTCAAGGAAGAGGGGCAGGGCTGGAGGAGCCAGCATGGCAGCCCTTATCAGCAGACCAGACGCAGGGAAGCGCTCCCTTAAGGATACAGTAATTATTTTCACTTGATGGGAAATAAAGAGGGGCACCATGGGAGGGAGCGCTGGAGAGTGTCTGCCTCACTTCATTACTACTCCCCAGGCATAGGACACAACATATGCTTTTCATTGGGAAGCCAATAATTTTGAATCGTGGGACAGGTGAAAACTTAAATGACATTTGCAAACCTTGATTTATTTCTCTGCTTAACTCTGGAACATGCTTTAGACTCAGCTCTATAAGTTTCCATAGATTAGTGGTCAATGTCAAGTATTTTCAATGACATACTCAAGCGTTTCCTGTCCCTATCAGTTAATTAAATATTTTCAGTACTAATCTCTTCTTATTGAAATGGTTTCCCTTCTTTTGGTTATGGGTTTGGAAAACAACGATATGAAGCATGTGCTTTATTGAAAACAAAATAACAAAAATAAAAAAGAATACTTTTTCCCCCACGTGCTATTTTACTCGCTGGAAATCTCATTAAAAGTTATTTATGAGCTGTTAGGGATCCCATAAGGATTACACCTAATTCAGTCTGTAAAGCTTTTGAGTTTCTTTTACATGAAGGACCTCCTTCCCCATTATTCTACTTTCGTTTGCACCCAAATAAATACTGGAGATTAACTTTTTGGCAGAAGAGGGTCCTCAGTCCCTAACCTCACATCACCCAGGCAAAGTTTAGACCTTCCTCCCCTTTCTGCTGGACCCACTCTGATATGACCAGGGTAAGAGGTCAAACTTGTGGCAATGGATAAATTATCATTTTTATTATTTTAAATGTTTACTGAAGATAGAGGGGCCGTAGGTATCATTTACCTCCCTGGGATTTGTAATCTTTGCGATTAGCCATGTAGTTAGTCCTAATTGACTATCTGATTTTCTTCTACACCTCCTCCCCCAATTCCCTCTGAAATAAGAAAACTGAATTTTATCAGAATGAGTAATTTCACAGTTCCTTTATAGGGCCTGTATGCCTGTTATTTGCTGTTTCTTAGAACTTGTTCTCAGGTAGCAAAGACTGAACTGCTAATGTAAGTGACTTTTGTCCTTCTAGTCTCTTTAATAAAATATTCCCCATACAAATGTGTTTAATTTCCAAAGTATCTGCTTTGTATTCATATTTCCAAAACACGGAGAAGAATGTAGTCACTCAAGTAGCCAAATATTCAAAATTAGATTTTGGCAGTTAGAAAATTGGCATAAACATTTAGAAGTAGCCGGGTGCGGTGGCTCACGCGTGTAATCCCAGCACTTTGGGAGGCCGAGACGGGCGGATCACGAGGTCAGGAGATCGAGACCATCCTGGCTAACACGGTGAAACCTCGTCTCTACTAAAAATACAAAAAAATTAGCAGGGTGTGGTAGAGGGCGCCTGTAGAGGCTGAGGCAGGAGAATGGCGTGAACCTGGGAGGCGGAGCTTGCAGTGAGCTGAGATCGCGCCACTTGCACTCCAGCCTGGGCGACAGAGCAAGACTCCGCCTAAAAAAAAAAAAAAAAAAAAAAAATTAGAAGTAATAAGGACATCGTTACCGTTAACTATCAGATGCCTGATATACTCATGGAACTATTCCCTATTGTTATGATTACCAGTGTGCCTGCTCTCTTTTCTACGAAAAAACCTGGGCCTGTGGATTGCTCATTCCTCTCCAGCTGTCTGCATATTCTTCATATGCCAGCTCATCTCTCCAACGGAAACACAAGGCACCAGCAATACCATGTCCACGCTAAACCAGCAAGACACATTGAGTATAAGCCTGGACTATCATGCTGGCCACCATGAGGATAGGCAGCAGTGGTGTCTTCACGGCCTATAAAATCTTTCCATCTTGGATCTCAAAGCATTTACAACTATGAGACTGAAACCCCTGCCTCTACCTCTCCATTTGGGCAAGAGTTGGTGCTACCGAAAGAAGACGAATGGCTGCATATTTTAGGAAAGCGTATGTTTTTTCCTTAATCTCAACCATCTGGAGATTTTTAACATTCCATATTCTTTACAGAATTCTACATAAGAGGTCAGTTTAATTTTTTAAGAGTTGTTTAAACATCCCAAGTAACACTGTAAGCCCCCAAACAAGAAACGGCTCTCGGGCTAGACCAGGGAAAAGCACATGGATTGTTCGTGTTTAGTCTAGTACGGTGGATCTCCTCCTTGGCTGCACCTGAAAGAAAGTGACGGCTGAGTCTCACTGACCTGTCTTCCCCATCCCAGCGTCGTTGTTTGGTTTTGTCTCATTTTGTCTTTAGGATCTACAGATGAGGCTAATGTGGCAGCAGGGCTCAAGAACCACCAGATGAGAACTATCTGTGTTTGATGATAAGGGCAGGCTTGGATGTTACCCTCTCAGTATTCTCAGTGCTCTTCCCTGCTAGAATTAGAAACAGAGGCTGGGAGCAGAGGCTCACACCTGTATCCCAGTGCTTTGGGAGAGTGAGGCAGGAGGATTGCTTGAGGACAGGTGTTCAAGTCCAGCTGGGGCAACATAGCCAGACTTCCATCTCTACAAAAAATTTTTAAAAATTAGCCTGTATTCCCAGCTACTTGGCAGGGTGAGGCAGGAGAATTGCTTGAGCCTGGGAGTTTCGGGCTACAGTGAGCTGTGATCGTACTGCTGCACTGCAGCCTGGGCAACAGAGCAAGATCCCAGCTCTCAAAAAAAAAGTAACAGAAGAAACCTACGGACTCTGACTCAGAGTTGTTGCTCATTCAGCCCTGGTCATGGATTGAACAGTGTCCCCTGCCTCTCCTGAGAAAAAAAGAGTCCTCTTCTCCAGTACCTGTGAATGTGGCCTTATTTGGAAATAGGGTTCTCGCAGTTGATCAAGCTAAGATGAGGTCATTAGGGTGGGCCCTAATCCAAAGTAATTGTGTTCTTATAATAAGGACAAATTATCTGTGTTACAGTTCGTTTTGAATTTGTCTAGCAGGTTTTCTGGTTTTTACCAGAACTTAATCCTGATACCCCTCAAAAAGGGGCACATTTTGACACAGAGACAGACACGCATACTGGGAAAATGCTGTATGAAGCTGAAGGCAGAGATTGGGGTGATGCTTCTGCAAATGAAGAAACCCCAAAGATTGCCACCAAACCACCAGAAGCTAAGAGGGAGGCATGGAACAGATTCTCCCTCACAGCCCTCAGAAGGAACCACCCTGCCGACACCTTGACTTCGGACTTTTAAACTCCAGAACAGTGAGACTGTAAGTTTCGGTGTTTAAACCACCCGGTTTGTGTACTTTGTTATGGCAGCCCCAGGAAACTGATACACCTGGTGATTCAATTCACTGCACTTTCAAGGCCCAGGCAGTTGAAGCCTAGGAGATGAGGCCTCACCCTTGACCATATGCAGTCCACCTTAAAGAGTGGCAAAGTGAGGACTGCAAGCTGGTGGTGGCATTTGATCTGAGCTTTGGAGGAGGAGTGTTTTTTTGATGAGTGAAGGGAAGCAAAGATATGGAAGTAAAGGTATTGCAAAGGGAGGGGCTACCTCTGCAGCAAGTCAGGGGGTCTGATGGAAGGCAAGAAGAGCAGCCACTGCCTTGGAATCAGCAACAAATCTTGTACCCTGAGACTGTGTGTGTGTGCATGTGTACGTGTGTGTTGTGTGTGTTGTGTATTTTGTGTGTGTGTGTGTGTGCATAACACAGATTACTTCAACTTGGGAACTTGTCTGACCGATCCAATTTCTCTTCCACAGACTCAAACTCACTGCTCCAAGCACTATCCTAAGTCACTTGGCCCCCAAGTGTGTGTGTGTGTTGGGGGTTGGGAGTTGGGCCAAATTGAAAATAACAAAAATAATGTGAACACCCATAGAAAGCATATTCTGAATGAAGCACTCTGTTAAATCACATTTGCTCCTACGATGACCCAGTGGATCTTGGAGGCTATTCTTATCCCCATTTAACAGATGAGAAAAAGATAAAGCTCTAAAAATGGAGTCAGAGCTCCATGGTTCGATCCTACGTGTTTACCGCTACGCTGTATCGCTCCCTAGCTTATGCCTGGGGATTACTCCTGGGGAGGGGTGTGTGAAGGGAGATGGAGAGATGAAGACTGACTTAAACCAAATGCACACCTTTGCTTGACTGATGCAGAGATACGGGGGTTAGAGCAACCTGGGAGGCTCCATGCCTGTGTGGGCGCACAGCTGCCTGCTGACTGTTTCCAGTCCCCCTTCTGACGGTTCCCCATAGGCTGGAGAAATCCACTCAAAGCAGGGTGTGCTCTCCGATGGAAATCCAGCCTTGTTCTTCCACTCAAGTACTATAGGGGAAAGCAGAGAAGGGAAGGGAAAGACACATAGAAAGTTTCAGCATATGAGTAGCATTTGCAATGTAATCTATGTGTTCTGAGCCAAGTTACTGTACACACTCTGGGGAGAATTAAAAATAAATGACGAAACATTTTGAAACATGGCTTATACCTAATTAATCATGGAACTTAAGGAACAAAGAATGCATTTCTTCAAAATTTTCAGCATTTTCTCTATTAAGTGGAGGAGGTGGGGGAGGGGAGGGAAAATCTCCATGCCCTGTAATGGATACACTGTGCACTTCATTTGGGGGAAAGAATCTCTTAATCTTCTTTGGCCTCCTGCAACCTCTGAATCCTTACATCTTTAATACTTCATGTTGAGCATTTTCATATTAAAGGAACTGAAAGTTTCCAGATCATGAAATATTCCTTAGCTTTTTGTCTCTTGATCCCTTAGCCTAAACAATACCGGTTTTGGAGATTATGAGATCACCAGGCATTTCTTAAGTACCCATGATATTGTGCCCTGGGATTCCCGTGTCCTTTTTCTATGCCGCCGCCACCCAGAGACATCTGTGGGCACGTCCCGCTTTGAAGGCAAAGCTTTTGTACTATGTCCATGTTACTCCACATGCCCTCCGACTCAGGAGCCTTGATTTCCTCATTTGTAAAATGGGGATAATAATAGATAGCTCATTGATTTAATGTGAATGTTAAATAAAATAATGACACAAAAGAACTTAGCCTAGTGCCTAGAACATAACCACTCAATAATGGAGTGTGTGACTGAATTTTCCGAATTCGTTTTTCATTCTCTTCCTATCCATGGATTTGACTGAGTCCCATCTTGCAAGGCCATCCAAGGCACTTCTTTAGAGCCCTGTCTCACCAGTAACAGAGGTGGGAGTCAAAGATGACTTTGCACTTAGTAGCCAATGTCTTCACTGCTCCTATGGGAAGCCAGAGTTTTACTCTTTCCCCTGAATTTTCCCACAGTCATTCCATGAGCTAGTTATGGACACAACTTAAGGGGAACTGGAGATGTGTGTGTGTGTTCATTCCAAACAGTGTCACTGATTGACAGCATGGCTTTGGATAAGCTGATCAGGTTGCTTTGATGCAGATTCTCCACCCCCACCCCACACCTTTGTTGAAAAAGAACCAAAAAATAATACATACTGTATTAAATTATTAAAGGGGTTGTAAGTAAAACCTGAAGCCTGAACTCCTTCCTTCCCCAGTCCCATGTAAAGATTGAGAAGGAAGAAGATACTGGAGTCTGGGGTTCAGTGGTAGGACTCAAGTGCCAATGGAGGTGGTGCCAGGGGCAGCATCATAACTGGATTGTGCCCAAGGTCTGGTGTCAGCTATGTTCTTTGCCCTCTAACCTCCCTTGGTTCCAGCTCATTTTTCATCTCAGCTCTCCAGCATTTCTTCAGACTCTGTAAGCTGCCCACATCTTCCCTATATATTCCTTTTCTGCTTAACTGTCACTGTTACTTTGCTTGCAAACAAAAACCTAGACTGAGAAAAAAAAAATAAGATCTTCTCAGCACCTACTGTGAGCCAACTACTTTGCAGGTTGAGGAACTGAGACACGGAGAGTTAAGGTGACGTGCCTAGGTCACCAAACCTGTTAGAGGTGGTACTGTGATCTGAACCCCCATCTGTCTACATTTCCATTGGGTTTTCTCAGCAAAAAGATACTCTTGAAAAGTAAACCTCCAGTCCATAACCACCCACATCTGCATTGAACTTGCCTCATAGCTAGGGCCTTTGGAGGGTTATAGTTGCGACCCAGACACATTTTCTTCCCCCACTCCCGCCTTAACTTGGTGATTGGCTGTTGTAAATTGCATCGAAAGTGATACGCCTTTCAGTGCTGAGAACCATCATGGGTCTGTGCCTATGATGTAAGGGGGAAAGGGATCCAAACAGTCGAGCAACATGAGTTTGTGTCTTTTGTAACAACTGTGCATTGCTTGTGTGTGCTGCTAATTATTCCTGATTCACATGCCCTCAGTTGATGCTTTTGGAAATTAAATGGGCATGCCTTGTATGGTGTGGAGAGAGAGGCTTGCTCATTTTCTCTCCTTTCACACACTGCCCTTATGCCTGCTGTTGCTCCAACAAGTGGCATCATCCTTAGTTCCTGACATCCCAACATGGGCAGTCAGATGTTGCTGTCTGCTTTCAGAATTACAAACCCACCCACTTGTACTTCTTTGCAGGAGTGAGGTAGCTTGCCAAAGAACGGGAAGTCACCAGAGTGAACATCGTGGAGCCATTGACACCATGTTCTGTTTCTTAACCAAGGAGGAGGCTAGCCACTCTCTGGGCACCTAACTTGCAACAGCTCCCCTGGAGATAGACCCACATAAAACCATTTTATTCTTGACATCACTCCAGCATTTCTGCAGAGCATCAGTCTGGACAGAACTTGGTATTCTTGCTTCTTTTCCACTGACTTTTTAAGAAGCCAGTTATTGAAGATCCAGGGTAATAAAAGCAGCTTGAACTTCATTACCCTCTCTCCAGCATTAGATACTGAAGGCCACGGTGAGTGATACTGTGTATAAAATACGAAGCAGAGAATTAAATGCAACTTGATGGTACATGTTGTACCTTAATGAAAACAAAGGCTCAGGAACACTATTTGTGAACGTGTTACCCAATAAAGTGTTAGCAATGGAGCTCATAAAGCTGCCAGCCAGATTTAACCATTGTGTGGAGCTCTGTTCAGTTGGGCTGGGCAGAGAGAGTGAGGTCTGTTCCCTTTATCACAGTCACTGGAGGTTTTTATTTAAAACACATGGAAGAAAGACACTTGGGTTTGGCACCAAAATGTCTTGTGGTAAAGGAAAAAAAATTAGAAATATCCAAAAGTACTTAAAAAAAAACTAGGGGGAAAAAAAAACATATGTGAAGAAATTAAGATGGGCTGACATAGGGTGCCGCGTTAGCCGTTTAAAGTGATGGCGAAAGCAGAGAGCAACGGGCTTTCTCCACGGCAGCTGATAGACACGAGCAATTGAGCAGTTCATACCCTCTCTGTTGTCCCTGTCACAAGATTTGTAGGTCATTCTCAGCCAGCCATGGGGGCTAAAGGGCACAGGTTGCGACCTGCTGATTTACCAAAGTATGATCAACTCACACAAATTATAGGCGTAAGAGAGGCCTGACAACTTCAATATGATGCGCAATGAGCACAATTATTTGTGACATGTGAAACCAGTGTGAGACCGTAATTCTGTCACTGCATGACAAGGCATTATTAGCCGGGGCAGGCAGCGGCTTGAACCAGGAGCAGCTGGAGGAGAGGCAGGGAAAGAGAGAGGGCTCCATAGGGGAAGGCCCGTGACGGGCTTTCTCTCCCAGAGTGGCAAATAGCAATGGCCCCTTTGTGGAATGTGGAGCCGCTCAGGAGGATGAAGTCGCCCTATTGCTATCTGGTCTGTTGGATAATAAAGGAGCGTTTGGTGGGAAGGGCAGAGGGGAAAGCACACCCTGTGGGCCTGGGGCTGTGCACAACCAAGGTGTCTTCGTTGAAATCGGGCGTGGTATTTTTCATGAGGCCAACTGAGGTGTTGTTTCTAGTGGGCCAGATGAGGTGGAGTCAGGAGGACAGGGAAGGACAGAGTTTCTCTTGCTGAGCAAATGCCTCTGCTCCACCAGGCTTCCCTCCTGTCACGTCCTGCCTGGAACGTGCAGTCTGACTGCTGAGTGCAGGAGGAGGCAGAACTCAGGTCCCCTGGGTTTTCCCCTGTCCTTAGAGATCTTGCTCCCTGTACCATAGTGGCTGGGCAGCTCAAGGAAAGTGCAGGTATACACTTCCCTTCTGGTGATGGCCATAGATGTTTCTGCCTAAGGGTATAGGACAGGTGGGTGGCTGTTCCCAGCAACTGGACCCAAGTAAGGCAGAGCTTCCTCAGGCTGAGCATGGAAGTCATGGGACAGCTGGGCTGCCAACGAAGCTTTCTGCAAAGGGAGAATCTGGCCCGTGTTCTGCAGGGTCTCCTGCGGAGGGTAGCAGCTACATTTTGGGCCTTCCTGGCTCAGTGACTTTAAGCCTTGTGTTGAGTAGTGGATGGCCCTGTGACATGCCTTCATACGGTCAATCAGTGTTCCCTGAGCACCTACTGGGCATCAACCACTGCCCAAACCACAGAGGATCTGAATGCGAAATGCCTCTGTCTGCCTATGAGAGCTCTCTGTCAATGAGGGAAGATAAGACAAAAACAAATAATTAGAATACGTTATGTGAACAGGTGCATGCATAGGAGTCATGGCTGTACAGGGAAGGCATGGCTGACTTTCTCATATCATTCAAGTGTCTATTCAAATACCCCGTGCAGAAAGGGCCATTTTGACCACACCATCTAAAATAGGTCTTCTCCCTCTCAGCCTTTACCTCCCTACTCTTCTTCACTTTCATTGAATTTCTGAAGGCCTGAACCAAGAGCATGTAAACCAAGCATAATTAGCAGCACATACAAATAATACAGGGTGGCTACACAGAGACTGTTGTCAGCAGAAGTCAGTACTTGACATTATATTATTTTTTTTGATTATTTATTATTCCTCTTATTGCAACGTAAGCTTCAAGAGGGTGGGGACTTTGCCCTGCTCCCCTCAGAATCCCAATTGCCTCTGCAGTGGTGTCCATAAAGTACTTGCTCAATAAACATGTGTTGAATACAGGAATGGCAAACTTTGTTTTAGGTGTTCTTGCTTTTACATACATTGACCCGTTAAATCTTCCCAGCAACCTGAGGCAAGTCGGTTATCTATTGTTGCATAACAAATCATCCCAGAGACTAAGGCTTAAAATAACAGTATTTATTATTTCTTACAATTCTGTGGTTTGGCTGGGATTCAGCTGGGCCAGTTCTTCTGCTGGTCTTGCTTAGGGTCTTTCATGAGGCTGCATTTAGTTTAGAGTTTGGTCAAGCCTTGATGTTCAAATGGTCATTCATCCTCAGGGCATCTGATCATTCATTAGTCTAGGCTGGACTTCCTTAAAGCCTGGGCTCCAAGGGAGAAGAAGCAGAAGCTTAAGGCCTGGGCTCAGAAGTCTGAGAATGTCACTTCCTCCCCATTCTATTGGCCTGAACAAGTCCTGAGGCCAGCCCACATTTAAGGAGAGGGTAATAAGTAGACTCCTCCAAAATTAAAGCAAGGAGTGGTGTTCATGAAGAGAGATGGGGAATTATTGGCAGCTGTACCTGGAGACTGTCTACTATACACTTGATCTTAGTCAAAGGGCCAAGAAGCAATAGGACTCTCTACTATATTATAATTAACCTTGCTTCACAGTGGAGAAACTAAGACTTCAAGGGATAAAGAAAAGTGCCCAAGAGCACAGAAGAAACGAGTGGCAGAACTAGGATGTCAATTTCAGAACAGTCTAATTCCAAATTCAATGTTCTTTGCTTACTGATGACTGTTCTTAATAGCTCTTCTTGAATCTCACATGGTAGACTGATAGCCCCCATGGCCACCCCTCTGCTTTTTTACTTTCTTAGCATAGTGGCCAGCGTTTAGGGAAGGATAGAATATTACAGACCCAGAATTTCTTCCAGCCTCCACAACTAATTAACTGTATAAGTTTCTGAACCATTCTGAGTGTTTCTTCCTTTTCTGTGAAATGGGATAGTAAAGATACCTGCCACACAAGATTTGGGGGAGGCTTTAATGAGACAATATAAGTAAGGTACTCTGTACAATGCAGGCACCTGAGTTTTAAGGTGCCACATGTGTCTCCAGCTGAACCCAAAACGAGCCTTCACAGACGAGTTTTGTAATTATATCGGGTCATTGAGCACACACCCACATTTAATTTTAATCCAAAGATATGCTCTGATATCAGCAAGACTGCTTCTAAGGAACTGGCTTGGTCTAGGATATGGTCATCACACTCACTGCTGTGAGACTCTGTCTAGTTGTCCTGACTTCCTGTACCTATAGAGAATGTTTCACCAAAAAAGGGGATGAACAGAAATATATGTAGCTCTGATGGTGGGATTTAAGATAGGTATAAATCTAAGTATCAGAAAGCTAGAGGGATAAAATGAATAAATATCCCCTGAGGACAACTTGTGCCTCATCCTGGGTGCCCGGGATTAGTCAAGACTCTTTTGGTTATTAGAGATGACATGCCAACACTGATTCCAGCCAGCTTAAGCAAAAGGGGGGAATTAATGGTCGGGCATGGCTGGACTCAGGGGCTTATACAGCGTTGTCAGAAATCACTCATCACCATTGCTCAGTTCTGCTTCTCTAGTGCCCTCTGTTGTAGCCAGGCTTTTTCCTGGGCAGCCTTTGATTTGCCTCTAGTTCTATGACCCAAATAGTAGCTTCCTTCTCTTCCTATTTCACATATATACACCGAATTATAATTGGCTGAGGTTGAGTCAGATGTGCTTCTTGACCAATCACAGAGTCCTAGAAAGTGGAATCTGTTTGGCTAGCCTATGTCAGGACTCACAAAGTAGAATCTAATTGCCTAGTTTGTGTCAGGGCTCGCAAAGTGAAATCTAATTGACTTGGCTGTCAGGGCCCCCTCCGTGGCCCAGGGGCAGGACTTCCGTGATTAGTCCCCCTGTGGATGAAGGGACAGCTCTGCCGAGGAAGTGGGGGGTACACTTAGCAAGTTGTCTTGAAGGCAGTTCCAATGTAGCTAAGCTCTAGATTTACCAACATCTCTGGGAAAAGACATTTGTAAGTGTGAACACAGTCCATGTAGCTGCTCCTCCGTGGTTTGGGTGAAGGGCATTTTCCTATTGATAATCCCTTTGTGCCCCACTTGCTATGTTTATTTATGGATATTTATTTTCCTACCAGTTGAAGGAAGTACTAAAAATAGGGGTATAACCATCAACCAAAGTTCCCAGCTTCTAATTTAACAGCCAAATGTCACAACATTTATTTTGCATCCCCTGGATTAACCAGCTCACTTAGTAAGCCAACGTTTGTGAAAAAGATTATATTTCTTTTATTTGTTCCCAAATGTTGCCATTGTATACAAAAATGAGACAGTGTTCCTTTTGGGGAGAAGTTTCTACTTTGGGTTTAAACCAAACAAAATAATATTTAAGGCAACATTAAATAAATTATTTATCATGTTGGTCAACGTTTTGGGGAATATAGCTTAGATAAACATATTTTTAAGGTCAGCCACTCTAAGGGCTGGGTTTTATAAAAACAACCTCTGAGGAGCTTTAATAAATCTTTTAAAAAGAAAAAAAAAGTCAAGCACTTGTTTTCATTGCTGAATCATTTCTATTGCTAAATAATGGCCATTCAAGAGGTAAGCTTCGCCAGGAGGTCCTGATAGCCACACTGAGAAACTCACATATTATGAAAAATCTGGGTGATGGCAGGCATTGTTGGCCATGCTTAGATTTCTGTTAAAGCAACCCAGTCCTTTGGTTGCATTTTAAATCAGATCAATGGACAGAGCTATCTGATTTGGGTCATAAAACTGTCAAATGAAGATAAATTCATTCCTAGTCAATGGGAGACTTCAGAGTAGAAGTAGAATATATGTAAGTAAGAAATAATGTATTTCTATTCCCTCAAAATAAACAGGATTACCAGATTCATTGAGTGCATTTAATTCACCTCCTGGGTCTTCCATCTCTTCAAATTACAGCCAAAGGCATCTTTTGGACTCATTTCAATAGAAGTGGTATTCCTAATGGTATTCCTCAGTCAAAGAGGGGTATGGGGAGGAAAGAAAGTTTGGATTAGAAGAAATGGAAATGGAAGGAGAGGGCCAAAGAGACCAGTAAGAAAGGGAGAGCACCAGGAGGAGAGGAGAGGCAGAAACAGGACATGGAGAAAACCCACCTTCGCAGGGACTGGGGAGAGACCAGCTTTGAGGCACTGCTCACTGTGGCTCTGGTTTCATTTTTGGAGTGGTTAGTAATCTGCCTGAAACTTGATGGGCTCACATGACCAGTTCTTATCTATGCAAAGAGGCAGTTTCCCTGGTTCTGGTCCCAGTTCCCCATGGTTTTGAAAGGAGAGCTGGGGTGGGGAATGAGCCCAGAGATTCTGAGTCTTGTCTCTTCCAAGGGTGGAGCCTGCAGCAGAATTTCATGGTTTCAAAAAAGAAGATTATTTCTGTTTATAAGTGAGAAGGAATGTCACTAAGGAGTTGAAGAAGTTGAGGTTTCATTACCATAAATTGCCTTAGGGCTTGAATGTTCAGGAGAAGAGAGCCTGACTAACCACATCTGGGGCTTGAGGTTTTTTTGAACTGGTAATAAAAATAATCTCTGCAAAATATTTTGAAAATATTTGATAAACACAAGACTGAGGCTGCTGCCTACATACATGAATTTTTTTTAAAAAAATGTTTGAATTCAGATTAGCAACCTGTTAGCAACCAGCCAGTACTTGGGTTATACACAAAAGGGAATGTAGAAATGCAGGTTTCAGAGCAATGTGATACTGAGTCCAAATCCCAGCTCTGTCATTTATTAGTGGTATAACCATGGACATTCTACTTCACTTCTTTGTGCCTCAGTGTTGTCGTCCATAAAATGGAAATAAGTGCTCTTTCAAAGAGTATCCATGGGAAATGAACAAGGCAAATTGTATGGAAATTATATTATAACAGAAAATTATATAAACTATATAAATTATAATAGAGAACAAAAATGGCACTAATACTTCTGTTCTCCCCATCTACTTACTTTCCTTTGATGTTGCAGATACCTCATTAAGAGGTAGAGTCGATGTCCCCATCTCTCGAATCTTGGTTAACTATGTGATTTGCGGCATTAGCAAATGCAAAGCAAGCAGAGATTTGAAAATTGCTTGTCCATTTGAACTTTCTCTCTCTTGCTGGGCTTGGAACACTGAGTTGTATGCAGATGAGCCTCAACTAGCCTACTGGAGGATGATAGCCAAGTCCCCTGCTGATACCCTGTCACCTACCAGTTATGTAGAGAGGCCATTCCAGATCACCCAGCCACTGGCCCACCTATCAACTGACTACTGTGGCATGAGAGGGACCAGCAACAGAGATTAGCTTAACCAGCTTAGAGCAAAGACCACCCAGCCAACACACAGCATTGAGAGCTAAATTTAAAAGTAATTGTTTTAAGCCACAAAGTTGTGGGGTGGTTTGCTATACAGCAAAAGTAAATTCATCAGGTGGCATCCACCCTGTTATCCCCCTTGTTGATTGGATCAACCAGTCATTTAAATAGGATTTTAAACTCATTTTTGTTCAAAGTGATTTTTTTTTTTCTGTAGAGACAGCCTAGGGGATGGCAAGCCTTCTAGTAGCTATTTTGTACAGTCATGTGGCTTAAAATAAGTTGCAAAAGACAAGGAGATTTAAGACATCAATAATTTTTTTCTGAAACTATTTTAAAGTTGTTCCTTCCATCATATTTAAAAAGTTTAGCATCGACATTCTCAAAGCTGGAATAATGTGCAAAGTGAATACCATGTGCTAAAGCTCACTGAGGTTCGATCGTAAGATCAGTTGAAATAGAAAGTAGCTCTGAAACAGTTCTGGAATCCTTAACCCAGGGAACCAACTGGAACTAAAGGAAATGAAATGGAACTAAAAGGGATGAAACTGAATAGGAGGAAGGCCAGTGCCTGGGAGCTCATCTGCATTCTCTGGTGGGAGAAGCAAGCTTTGCCAACTTCCCAACTGTAGAGGAGATAAAAGAGTTTATGGACCAAAGCAAAATGAAGGCTTATCCAGATAATTTAGGCCAACAGCACACCCCCACCTGAATTCACCAGTGAACTGCAGACAAAGTGTGTCTGACGGCTTGTGTTATCTGGATGGCTGTCTTGTTCTTCCACTGTCCTTTGAGTATGTCTGCCCTTTTGCATTCTGATTTCCTTTTATTGTCCACATTGTTTTAATCCAGGTTGCTGTTCTATGAGATTTTCGTGGTAGGGTGCTTGGGTAAGTTCTGGAAGCAAACTTTTGGCCTGAAGAGTACAAAGCATTTATTTATTTATTTATTATGTATTTATTATTCAATTGTTAAGTGCTAGAGACTTTGCTAGGCTTTAAGGATGCAACAGAACCAAAAGAGACAAAATAGCTAGTCTTGCAGCTTAAGTCTGGTGGGGAAAAAGGTTTATAACAAAGTAGGTATAATAATGTGAGAAGTGCTGTGATTGGGGAAGTACAAGGAATTGTTGGAGAATGTAGGATGAGCACCTAACAATGACTTGGTTTAAGTGGCCAAGAAGCACATCACAAAGGAAGTGGTTCCTAAGATGAAAGACAAAGAACAAGTAGCAGGTAATGTGAAGAGGTAAAGGAGAGAGTATTATGAAGCCTAGCCTGAGAGGGTATTGGGGAACTGCAATATTGATATGGCCAAATGCTTGAATGAGCATCAAGTTGTCAGTGGAAACACAGTACCACTGACTGGAAGAATGGTAAACACCAAAACCATGGCCAAATCATGGACATGACCTGCTTGTTAATTCCATCCCAGAATCATGGTTAATTTCAGGTAGTGCGCTGATTGATGCTTTTGACAGTTGCACTCTGTGGCCAGAGAAGATGCAGTGGGAACATGTTAGTAGATTGTTAGTTTTCTGAATGAGGATCATCAAGTCAACGTAAGTACACATCCCTGAAGGTTAAGGCAGACCCTGTAGCACCCTCCTCCTACTTCTCTCCAATTAATATTCAAAAGTAGGGTGAGGCCCAGAATTCAAAGAAATATGACTGTCATGAAGTGGGACTCCAAGAGATTTAAATTTTAAAATTCCTTGTAAAAAATGTAGGCTACTGACCAGAAGCACAGGTTCCCGGTGTGAAGCACAGGTGAAAAGACCCCTGCATTAGTTACTGGTCCTGTATAGCAAATCATCTCAAAACTCAGTAGCTTAAAACAGCAAACATATATTATCTTACAGTTTCTATGGGTCAGGAATCTGGCTGCAGCTTAGCTAGACATCTCTGGGATTGTGGCCTCTCATGAAGTTGGAGTCAAAGTGTCAGCCAGGGCTGCACTCTCATCTGAAGGGCTGACTGGGGAGGATCTGCTTCTAAGCTCACTCATGGGGTTGTCGACTGGATTCAGTTTCTCCTGGCCCTTGGATTGAATGCCTCCATTTCTTGCTGGGTATCAGACAGAAGCCTCTCTCAGTTTTAGCCACGTGGATCTCTCCATAGGGCACCTGATAACCTGGCAACTGGCTTCTCTTAGGGCTAGCTTTGCAGTGACAAAAAGCACCCAAGATGGAAGCCACGGTCTTTTTATAACTGCATTTTAAGAGTGAAATCTCGTCACTTCTGCTCTATTCTATTTGTTAGGGACAAGTCAGTAAATTCAGTCCACACTCAAGAAGAGAGATTTACACAAAGGGCATGAATACCAGGAGGCTGGGATCATTGGACGCCATCTTAGAGGTTGCCTATGACATTCTCCAAACAAAGCAATGATTGTGTATGTTCTTCCTTTTGAATATGCCAGAGTGTTTTATCCTAAATGGGTCTCAGGATTAGAGGGAACCAGAAAGGTCATCTAATTCAATTCACATTTAATAATATGTCCCATACTCTCTGTGCCAACTCAGCTTGAAGGCCTCCATAGAGTTCTCCCTGGTTAGGAAAGTCTTCCTTGTTGCAAGCTGAAATGTGGCCAAAGGGCCCTGTGCTTTGCTTGATCAAAAATTTCCATATCCCTCCCCTTTCTCCCAAAGACAATGAGGTATTTAACTAGAAACACATTTTGTTTCTTTGTTCATATGTCTACTTTCTCTTTTTGCTTCTCCTTCTACTAATTTTAGGAGATTGATTTTCTATCCTATCCTGATACAGTCTCTTATTAGTTCTAATTGTTTGTGGATTCTTTTGGAGTTTTTAATGTGGGCAATCATAAAATCATAACATCTGGAAATTACAATTTGTCTCTTCTATTCCATTCCATGGACCTCACTTCTTTTTCTTGTCTTTGGCATAAGCCAGGATCTCCAGAGCTGTGTTGAGTAGAAGTGGACATCTTTGTCTACTTTGTAACTTTCCTCTAACTTCTTACCGTCTTAGTAACAGACTCTTTGCTCATGAAAGACCCAACTATCACTTCCTTTAGGATTGCTAATGAAAGGAATCAAGAAATTTTTTAGCCCGTTCAGGCTGCTATAACAAAATACCACAAACTGGGTAGATTTTAAACAACAGAAATTTATTTGTCAGAGTTCTGGAGGCTAGAAAATCCAGGATAAAGGTGTTGGCAGATTCAGTATCTGGTGAGGACCTGTGTTCTGGGTCAGAGATGACACCTAGCTGTGACTTCACGTGGTGGAAGGGGCAAAGGGCCTCGCTCCAGCCTCTTTTATAAGGGTGCTAATCCCATTCATGAGGGCTCCACCCTCATGACCTAATCACCTCCCCAAGGCCCTGCCTCCTAACACCATCACATTGTGGGTTAGTATTTCAATATATAAATTTGTGGGAGATGGGGAACATAAATATTCAGTCCATTGTAAAAAGGCTGGAAACTTAGTCGTGTTTTGTTTTTTTTGGACACCCATGGAACATGGAACATTATCTTCATTCAATTCAAGCTTGAGCTCCTTTTCTATGCCATGTGCTGTCCAGGTGCCGGGTTGGGGGCTCTTGAAAAAGAGTTCGCAGTCTTCCCAGGAGAGGTGATGACACAACCTCATCATCTTCATTATCGCAGGAAGCGTGGGCAAGACCCAGGGGCGTAGGAAGGTGGGAGAAGCTATGTCTTCAAGGAGAGTCAGAGAAAGCTTCCCAAGAAGGTGCCCTTTGAGGTGGCTCCTGCAGCGGGAGGTGGAAGCCTTGATTCTCTTTCAGGGGTTCTTTGGCTGATCAGCTCTTTTTTCCTCGCCCACTTGGAATTGCTACTGCATCCAGTGTGACTTAGGTCTATGAAGTCCTGCAAAAAAAACCACAAGCCAATCCAGGTCTCCTTTCCTTTTCTTTCTTTCTTGTGTGTGCATGTGTATGTGTGTGCGTGTGTGTGTGATAAAATGAGGTGGGAAGTGTGGACACATATGAAACCTCATTAAATGGTGGGTATCGAATGGAGAAACATCTCCTTTTCATTTATATTTAATATGTCCATGGGCTATTGTCACACAAGATCTTCCAGTCGAACCTTCTGGATAAGTTAAGTCTTGGGCAAAGTTGATTTGACTTTTTTCACACAGCCAGTAAAAAGCTTAACACAAAGGTATGTGGGAAGAAAGAGACATGAGATGTGGTGCTGGTGGATCTCATCCCAAGATGGGCACCCAGTCATCCTCTATTTTCTTTATATTGCCTCAGAGCAAATGGTAGCAACTGATGTTTATTAAACACTTACTTGGTGCCAGATGCTGTCCTACACGTTTTATATGTGTTACTCATTCTTCAAATAACCCTTTGAGGTAGGTGCTATTATCAGCTCCATTGTGAAGTTAAGGATGAGGGAAGGGGAGGGGGTTTGAACCCAGGTGCCGTAATTCCAAAAAGGTAGGTGCCCCAAGTACTGCACCAGAACACTGTTGGATAGGCCACAATGCCTGTGGCTGGTTTCATGGGCTTTTGATGGGCTTGCCAAGATCTTGTTTCCCCAGTGGGATGTTGGCATGCCACACCTGCAGACTATGAATTGTGTGTAGCTCCCATGTTCCCCTGAGGCTACGCTTATGTGACTATCTAGGTAGAGTTGACTCAACTTGGTCTTTCCTCCATCTACTGAAGAGCACAGGAAGTTTCTCCCTCTGACTGTGGTTCTTTCTGAAACCGTCCTTGGCTCTCATGCAAAACCAAGAAAAAGAAATTCATTTTCATTATTGGGAAGAGAGTCATCCACTCTCACCTCCTTCCCAGGGAGTCCTTGTAAAAGTCATCCACCCTCACTGGACAGGGCAGAAATGGCTCCTCTCCTCCATCTCTGCTGGAGTTTTTCCTGCCCTCTTCTCCATTGGGCCATGCTGAGTATCTGGACCCTACCTGACATGCAGAGTAGAGTAGTCCCCTAGGATTTTCATCTGACCTTCCCCAGAGGTGCTGTTCCTCCCTCTGCTCCATCTCCAATCACACATATCAGGCCTGCCTGGCCCATGTCCTCCCAGTCCCCAGAGCACGCCCCTCGGGATGGGCAGGCCTGGAGGGCTGCACTCCCTCCTCTTTACAATGCAAAATTAACATTTGCCTTTTAAGCCACGAGAACTTTCTTCCCAGGTTTACTTTTGAATGAAATGTAGTTAGGGCTTAATTATTTGCCCATTTCACATCACTGATCCTGCTTTACAACTGCTACAGCAACCAGAAAGGTGGGCTGGAGTTGGGAGTGAGATGAGATTGTACAATTTGGAAAGAGTTCCGATATGTTTAGAAACCACTGACAGAGAACAACTGTTTCTACCCAGGAAATTCAACTCTCTGCCAGGAAAGTAGAACAGAACAGTGGATATATGGAAGGGAGAGTGAGATAAAGCAAGGAGGACTGCAATTAACATTCAAATGAACGTTGGACGAAGCCATACTGAAAACTTTGGCATCTGGTAGATTTCAAGCTCAAAGATTAAAATCTCTAAGTTAGGAGAGCAATTTCTGGTTTTCCAACGAGTACCTCTAGGTAATAATTTTCAGGGAAAGGTAGCTTATAACACTGAACGTAATATTAACATCGCAGGCTGCTTGCCCAAACTTATTTTATTTTCATTTGCATTATTGGCTTGAAAACTCCCCTGAGTCCCCGATCCATATCATGTTGGCACATGTTCTCGCAGAAACTGAAATGCTGAGCCAGCATTTTACTCTCACTGTTTTACTTGACTTGGGAGAGGCCCAAGGAAATCTAGGTTGCTACAGGAAGAGTGATAAAACTCTCAGCCCTACTACTCAACAGATTATGCCCCCAGGGGGCATGTGGTGGGCTGGATACTTTTCAGCTGAAACCCAAGAGCAATGTTTGTTCAAAAGTCTCCATGATATATCTATATTTATTTATGTTTTGCAAGAGAATTGCGGGGAGGAGTCAGTTATAATCATGTACCAATTTGGATAATTGCTGATGGGGTCCCTCTACTAGTGATAGAGATATCTATGGGTATAATATTTTTCAACCACATTTACAGTTGTGATTTATTTTCATTCTCACCAGATGGTAAACCAGGTAAGCAATCTTGCATGCCTATTTCACGCAGGTGGAAACCAAGGGACTTGCCCTTAAGTGGCAGAACTAGATGGGGAAGGACAAGACAGGGTTCTGAACTCTCTGACCTTCACTTCTATATTCAATTCTACTTCCTTCTTACTCTGAATATCCTATACCAGGAAAGAAAAAGCCATCTGTGTGATCTCCCAAGGAAAGATCCCAATCAGTATCAGCCGTTCTAGTCTATTGCCCTCCAACAAGGCTGGAACGTATGAGAAAAGCTTCCCTCTCTGAATTCACTCCAGCCCAGAAGGGCGCCTTAGAGCCTCCTGAGAGGCAGCCACCATGTACTGCTTTACAACAGAACATGGCCAAGGAGTGTCCACCGGACCCCAGAATCCTCTAGGCAGACCCAACCTCTAGCTCATTCCTCACTGCAGGAGACATTTAATTTCTGGTTACATGCAGGACCTTGAATTATTATTATTTTTTTAATGGGAAATTATCTTCTTCCTCCATCTGCCATGATGTGAAATTTTGGCAAGAGTGTAAGGTCTGGTACCCACTTTCCACATGGAACCTGAGGGGTTGGGCTCCTTCCTCTGGCTACTCTTTCATGCAAGCAGGCCAGGCAGAAGGGTGATCAGTTTCTCTCTCCTGGTGCCTTGAATCTCGACTGCACCAGCCTGTGTTATCTACTGTGTTTCCTGCTTCCCGCTTCAGGCTTCCTACTTCCTAATCCTCTGGCTGGCTTCATGGAAGAGGGAGGTGGTGTTGGAACCTGGAGGATGGAAGGCTTTCTGGGTGGTTGGAATGGCCTGAATAGAGGTATGGAGTTGGTTCGGAGTACCATCTATGTATTGGAAAGGAGTAGGAGATAAAGTTGATGCATCAGATTGGTATCTGTGTTTGAAAGGTCTCAAATGGAAAGTCAAGGGTTTGGAAAGAACAGCACGGGGAGGATGAGCACCTGCACAGTCAACCCTGTAGGGGACGACTGTATCCTATTCCATTCCTCTCGCCCCCTGAGACACTTCCCAGCACACTTTCCTCCTTGGTGAGCTCTGAGAACCAGGTTGAGGCTCCTTAGATGACCACTGCATTTCTGGTTAAAAGAATAGACTAGACCTTCCCATTTCCACAATGGGAGGCCAGGGAAACCTTTGCAATTACTGTTGAATATGGTCACCCGATGAGCTCTCTACATTAGCACTATCTATTCTCTTTCCACCCTCAAAAGCTGGTGACCAGCTCCTGCTAATTCTACCCTGCAAATATTGCTCATAATTGTTATCCCTCCCTAAGGCATGAACTCGATCAGCCCTCATCATATCGTTCTTGGAGTGGTGTCCTAGGCATCTAATTGACTTTCTGGTGACAGCTGTACTGCGTCTCCCATAATGTACTCAAGATCCATCCATTGCAATCCACCACAGAGATTGCTCTAGACCTCAATCCCATGACACATGCAATATCCTTCATGTCTGACCACTGTGTTTGAGATAAATCTGGCCTCCTGAATTTGGCATGGAAAACCTGTTGTGATTTCATGACCTGAGATCACTCCTGTTTCCCTATTCTTTCTTCTTCACAATGTCTCCCTGTCTTCTATGCTCTCTGCCTTTGCAGTTGCACGTTTCCATGATTTCACACATGTTGTTTATTCTCCCTGTAATGCCCCCTTTCAGTCTTAGGTTATACCTAAAAACATGGTCTTATCTTGCCAGACTCTGGTTAAATGTCATGGTGGGCACAATGCTTAGCATATAATCGTTGCTCATTGTCTAATTGGATCTCTGCAAAACCTTTCTGACCTCCCTTTGTCCCCAGTAACTCCTTTCTTTGGGTTTCTGGAGTTCTTTGCATGGATATGCCCCTACTATAGCATGTCTTATATTGTCTTATAACCTCCGATTCCCTCATTACACAGTAGGTTACCTGAATGTATAGGTGTAGTGTGTGTGCGGGCATGCATGTATGCACATGTGTGTGTGTGTGCATACATCCCCCCGCCCCCCACCTTGCATCCCTTCCTCTGTCCTAATAGCATTTTCTTCCAGGAATTCTCACTCCTTCTGAAGAACCCTCTGCAGGCATTTTATCTTACTGCCCAGTAGAGCCAAGCAATGGTGGACCTAAGTTTGGCTAGCTGGGCCCTCGCCTCTGAATCCTGACTGAATGGCAGAATGAACAAATGGTTGGTGCTCCTTCTTTACAGTAGCAATGCCCAGATGAGAAGATCAAGGGGTTCCTGCCACAGAGACCTTATATCTGGTTCCTATCCATCCCTAGCTGGGTTCTGTGGCTTTCCTCTCCCCCACTGTGTACCTCAAATCCTTCCAGTAGATTCATTTTTTTTGTTGCTAAGTTCATCAGTGTTCGTTTCTGTTGCTTGCAACCAAAACGGCTACTAATGTGATGGGATGAAGAAGTTAGGGTATCTTCTCTGAGATTCTGAATCTCTGTGATTGCTGGTAATGCAAGGATAGGAAAATTCTTTCTTTCTTGAACAAGAAACAGAAATCCATTCTAACTGGCTCAAGGAAATGGGGGTGGGGTGGAGGGGGTGTAAAGATACAGAGTCTTCATGGGAATCTAGAAAAAGTTGAACTATTAGGTTTGAAGTAGGAAAGGAATGAAGGGCCTCCTCTCTCTCTCTCCACTCCTGCTTCCCATTCTTTTCTGTGCCATTACTGATGTTCTGTTCTATTATCTCTCTCTCTATTGGAGATTCTGTTTCATGCAAGCCCATGTAGAGGTGCTGTCAGTGCCTTGCACAAATGCCGTCAACACTCATCACTTCTGGGCACAATAGTTCATGGCTTAACTGCCAATACTTGTGACTCTTTGCTGAGGGCTTTCTTACAGGGCAGGCCAGTAGTGCTAGGGAACTAACACCCCTTCAAGCAGTTCTCGACCAACAACTGATAGCAGTTAAAGGATAAATACCCCAACTCCCTCACCCCTTGGCCAAGATAACTCTGAAGCACATGTTCTGCTTTGACTCTCAGAGTTCCCCAGCAAGGCTACCCCACAGTGAAAATGTGTTTCATTGGCTCCTACCCTGTCCTGTCCCACTTTCCCATTTCCTAATCAGTATTTTCTGGGACCACCTCCCAAATAGACTCAAGGTTCTACTTCCGTGGGAATACACTAAAATAGACCATTATGCCCCTAGCCTGGTATTGACATAACCATGCAACTCTAGCACCCATAGCTCACTAGCAGTTTCATTCTGTCTCACTTTGTTCATATCCCCAACAGAAAGATTGGCTAAGCACATCTCTTTAAGTCATGCTCAGAGGGGGCCATGGATGGTCACCCCAGGTCAAATGACCACACCGGTCCATCTTAACCAAGAGGAGAGGGTCATAAGGACAGCTGCTCAGGTATGGGTAGGTAGGCACCTTGAGACTCAACTGGGCTACTCACCTTTCAGGGAACAATCACACAGGTGGTTGCATGGGAAACTCAAAAGGAAAGACTGTTTATTGGACATCAAATTATTATTTTCAAACAATACTTTGATAGTTTAAGTACAGAAGACTAAGAAACACATGGATTAAATTGCCATTGAAATACACACTCGCGTTTGAAAACCAGCAGAATATGTGCTTGGTAAGGGATTTTTTTCTCCTTTTCTTTTTGCCAAGCCACCAGATTATTTGGATAATAACTCAGGAATTTTTCACAGCTCTGGAGGTTTTACTCCTACACCCTCCATCCCTTTGCTTCAGTTTTCCCTCACACAGAGTTAATTAATAAAAGCAACATTTATCAAGGACATCAAGTCATTCTGTATGTGTGTCATAGGGTGTTGCGGGTGGCTGTGATAATCTGCAAGACGGATCCATTTCAGGGAGATCTGAAAGACTCTAACACTCATTGCACACCTACTGTGTGTTGGGCACATTGTGCTGAGCATTTAATATGATCATTTAAGCCCTGGGAGGCCCCTACCAGGTGGGCGCTGTCACTGTTCTTCATTTACAGATTAGAAATTGATATTTAGGGTTAGAGGTATATTTCCCAGGTATGGACAGCTAGTAAGTGGCAGAACTTACATTTGAACTCTCTCCTTCTGTCTTCAGAAACCACTGAGTGAGGGCAGGGCATGGTGGCTCATCCCTGTAATCCCAGCACTTGGGGAAGCTGAGGTGGGACAATTGCTTGAGGCCAGGAGTTCAAGACCAACCTGGCCAACATAGTGAGATCTCATCTCTCTCTAAAAAAGAAATCAGTGGGTGATCCTACCCTCTCTGTGTGTAGAGATTCATGCAACCTCCCCATTGGAAAGGGATTCTAGTACCACCCCTTCATTTTACAAAGGAGAACACTGAGGCCCAGAGAGTTCAAGCTAGATTATTTTACTTGGGAGCCTGGTTTAGACAGACAAGTTGTTAGTCAGGAGGATTCATCTGGTTGCTTCTCCAGGTGTTAAATGTTTGACAGATGCAAAGGAGAATCCACCGGTTATAGCTGTAACATCCAGCACTCAGGCCTAACCCTGCACACTCAGATGGAATTATTTCTGTAGGACTTGTGATCATAAGGACAAGATTTGTTTATCACCACACTGGTGAGAATATTGGGGGTTCCAGATGTGGCTCTCTACCAAAGGGCCACTGGATGGCCCACCAGCCCCCAAATATCTCTCCCAACTCCTGACTTGTGCTCCAATATTTCCAACAACAGTCCTTCCTTTGTGGTACTTCATGGTACTATGTGGTGTCTCCAGGTAGCCCAAGACCTAGTGAAAATGTGTTGCAAAGGAAGGAGAAGAGTGTAAACTCTTAAAGTGAATCAACTTGGTGGATTTACTAGCCTAAGAGCTGACAGTCCAGTGGGAGAGAGATGTACTTTTTTTTCCCGGCCAAGAAGGTAGGATGAGAAGACCACTGACTTGACTGCTATCACCTGGCCAGAACCAGAGCCACACAGAGACATGTCATCATCAAGGTTCTGCTGGTGGAAAGGAAGAGAAACCCATTCAAACTAACTTAAGCCAAAAATGGAGGCCTTTTCTAAGGACTTGGGGGTTTCTTATGCAACCCAAGGGAAGGAAGTGCTGCTGAGCCCCCAGAACCAGAAAGACATCAGGTACTAGGGTGGCCCCTCTCTCCACCTTCCCCTGGCCCAGGCTGGCATGTCTCTTGCCCTTGCTTCTCTCTGGGGTTCTGCGACAAATTTGGCAGAAGTTGGTCACTCCATTGCATCCAGGATGATTCTAGTTTGAGAGCCTAATGATAGTCAATACATCCTAATTCCAAATTCCTGGGAGTGAAAATATAATTGATTCAGCTTGAGTTTCTGTAAACTCTTGATCCAATTCACTGCAGTCAGGATGGCTCAGCAGTGTAGATTGGCTCTGGTGGCTAGAAGGGATTGGTGTGACCTGAGAAGAAATCCCCAAAGCTATGATACCTTGAAGAATGTTGCAGAGACTGCTAGTTGTTCCCTGGTATCTCTTTTCCCTTCTTTGATAGCAATAGAACCCTTTGACTTTTAGCTAAATACATGGTCTCCCAAAATGATGACTGTATTTCCTAGCTCTCCTTGCAGTTAGGTAAGGCCCTGTGCCTTAGCCCTGGCTAATGGATTCACACATAAGTGGTAGGTACTACTTCTAGAGAGGGGTCCTTATGAGAGGGATCATACCGCCTCCCTCCCTTTGCTAGAATGTGAACACAGTATAGAGAGAGGAAGCAGCCATCCTGAACCATGCAATGGAAGCCTTGAGTGGGGCATGGCAGAGCAAAAGTACTGACAGAGTCTGAGATCCTGTGGATTGTGGGCCACTATTTCAGCCCTAAACTGCTCAAGCAGACTTCCCTGTGACCGAAAAATAAATGTCTGTCTTGTTTATGCCATTGTTATTTTGGGTTTTCTATTATTCTCAGCCAAACAAATCCTTTATACTAGGGGACATATGGAGAAGCAAACCTGGGGATACTCTCTCCTTTACCATTTTATGGCTATAGTGCATGGCTATAGTACACACATGCACGTGTGCATGTGTGCATATACACATACAAACACACCAGACACCATACAGCAAGGATGGAGGGAACATTTCTTTCACCTGCATGGCCCCTAAGCTACATCTTCTGTCTTACCTTTGCAATAAGGCCTATGGCTTTTGCATCTTCCTCCTTGTGGGTATTTGAAGGTCATTGAGATATTCAAGGGGAGATATTCAGGATTTCTGAGGGGGTGGTATTTCCTGCTAATGGACAGATTCTTTCTCCTGCTAATGACAGAAGAGCTTCTGGAGAGCATCGGGACCCTTTGTTCTTTGTTTTCAAGGAGACAAGTTATTATTTCTTTCCTCTGAAGAAGCTTCTCCTACCATGGGTGAAATATCACAAATAATTAGGCCAAATAGCAATGCAAGTCCCACTAGAAATAATGCATCCATTATTTCATTTTATCCTTGTCGTTAGAGCTTCTGCCTGATTTAAGTTGGTATAAAGATAGCTGTGGGTATTCCCTGCCTGAGAACTCTAATCATTCTCTTTATTGAATATTTACCATTTCTTATTTGATTCTTCTTCTCTTGATCCATTGTTTCACAATTTAAAAGTTCTGCTGCTATTTTGATCTCATATAAAATCTCTATAGTGCCACTAATGCCTTGTTGCTGGGCTTCCCTTAAGTCTTGGGGAGGCATCTGACAGCCAGATTGAAAGGCTCATGTGTTGTGGTGACTGGGTGCTTTTAATGGTGTTAATGAAGAAGTGGCTCCCTACAGAGTCACCCAGTGGTCTGAGTGAGTTAAACAAGCTACTTAGATACCCGGGACAGAGGACAAGCAGGAGGACCATAAAGACCAGTGTCAACCAATATTTGTATTTGCTGATGAGCTGAATGAAGTGCACATGATTTTTAAGATAAATATTCTGTTACCATTAGAGACAAGATGATGATTAAATTCTGGAGAAGGAAATAGCATCAAAGGTATACAAGATCTAGCCTTGGTTTATGCTTCAATTCTAAACTTTGAGTTGTTGCTTCTAAGTAAATCGTCGTGATGATTTAGGAGACCTTTATCAACCCATACAGGAGTGTTACATGAGTCCCCACTATGTGCCAGATGTCATGAATCACATAGAAATATAAGATGCATTTCCTGCCTCTGGAGGCCCCCTATTCCAGTCTCAATAAAGAAGCAATATAATAAGGACATATCAGCTGTGTTTATAAATAGTGAGACTAACTCCACAAACCAAGACATCAATTACCTATGTTGGGAAGCCAGTTTAAAGTGATGTGAGAGAGTGGAGACGAGGAGCATGGTCAAGAACTTCTTAGAGGTGTTAGATCTCATACAAAATCATCTGGGTAAATTCCAAGTGAGTATAATAAGTGAGATAATTAATATGATATGCTATGATACAATAAGATGGGGTAGTGGTCTGGAGTCAGAAATACCAGGGATCCAATTGCAGCTTCTCTGCACATTAGCTATGCCTATGACCTTGACCAAGTTACTGCTCTTCTGAGCCCCAGTATCTTCATACGAAATAGGATAATAATAACAGTAGAACCTACATCACAGGATTTTGTGAGGATTAAATGAGATTATACACATATAGGGCTTGACTTATAGTAATGCCATTGGATCATAGCTTTGTTCTACAACAATGTCAGTAAGAGTAAGCCTAAAGCTAAAGGTTGTAACAAATGTTCATTTGATTAATCAACAATTCACTCAATTGCTACTTATTGAGTATCTACTTTGGGCCATGTTCTGGGGATGTAATGATGAGTCATAAAGGATGAGGGCTCTGCTCTCACTAAGCTTACAGCATGAACGGAGAGACATACATCAGTGAACAATGGCACTATTGCATCCATGAGAATTAATGGAGAGAAATACTTCAAAGAAAAGAACTACAGTTTAGTGACAGCTGACCAAAATGGAGGGTCTAGAGAAGGCTTCCCAGGAGAAGTGAGGATTGAGATGAAGTCTGAAGAAGGAGTGCGAGTTTCTAAGAGCAGAGGACAGGAGAGTACCAGTTGCAAAGACAGACAGAGAGAAGAGGAGGTGCCAAAGGAAGGTGCGGTCAAGAGATGGGGAGGGAGCAAAGGAGAATCAAAGCTGGGGATGGAGGAGGGGTGTCCAAGGAGTAGTCAAGGCCAGAGATCAACAGAGCAAGAGTTGAAGCTAGGGTTGGGGGTGGCGGGGAGGAGATGCACAAATCATGTGGGTCCTGGAACCCATGTTAGGGAGGTTGGTCTTTACCCTTGCAGTAGGAAGTGACACATCTGAATTGAGCTTCAAGAAGATCATCTGAAGGCATCCCTCAAAGGACGTCCCATCTCCTCCGCATAGCATATCATCCGAATAACTTAGTTGGAAGCAAATTACACTGAATTATGTGAAAGCTGCCTCCCTTGCTTATGTCTTGTGTTCCCACAGAGAACACAAACTCTCCAGGGGACAGAAACATGGCTCCGTGTGACTTGTACAGAATCCTGACAACACTAGGTGCTTAGATTGGCTATGTGCCCAAGTGTAAGACAAGCCTGAATATAAGGCAATGTCTCGTTTTCCAAAGAGAAAGCCAACTGGAATATATAAGCTTTTATAAAATAGTAAAATCCCTACTTTAATACTAAATGCATCGATTTATTTGCATATAGCACATATTATATAAAATAATATAAACATTTAGAAATAGAGATTCCCTAATCTTAAAAAAAAGTTTAGGTCATGAAATAATTATATTCACACTCTTCCCGGGCACCTTGGTCATTTGCCTTCGTTGTCACCGAAACCATTTTTGAATCATAACTCAGTTCTCCATCCCACATCATCTTCACTTCTAAATTGTTCAAGACACAGCACTTTGAATGATGTAAGATGCTGTCACTGAGAATTTTATTTGTGGCCCCAAGAGATTTTTTCTGTTTGTCCTATGGGTGGATATTTATGAACTCCACAAGGTCACCATTTATAATATGCTTTTTTAAGAAAGGCAAAGTTTAAAAGACTTGCTTAAAATACTTCCCATGTATTTAATGATGAAGTCATATCCTCAGAAATAACAACCGAATCTGCATGAAATATTTTGCCTCTTTTTTCCCCCCTGATATTATCAGATGATGTCTGTAAGTTTCCCCAACTTATTTCCCCCAACAACTATCATCCATTGAGATCTCTCTGGACTAATGTCGTTCCCCAAACACTTCCTTGGTGCTCAGAATAAAGTAATTGAGAAAGCATCAGGAGCGAGAAACTTTGTAAAAACTTATATACTATAGAACAGCTTTTGGGGAAAAACTTTGCCTTACAATCAAACTTATATAGCAAGTGTTTATCAAATGAATATATTTGCTTACTTCCCCTTTGATCATGACTTAAGGGACACCACAGGATGACATGGAGACTTTTGCTGGGAGAAATATTGTGTAACTTTTAAGAATCTATTTTATTTACCTTAAGCCAGTGGTTCTCAAAGGAGGGTAATTTTTGTCTCCCAGGAAACATTTGGCAGTGTCTGGAGGCATTTTTATTCATCACAACTAGGAGAAGGAATGCCTTTGGTATCTAATGGGTGGAAGCCAGGGATGTTGCTAAACATCCTATAATGCACAGGGAAGCCCCCCAACAACAAACTTATCAGGTCCTCAATGTGAATAGTGGCAAGATTGAGAACTCCTGGCCTAAAGTGAGTCAAAGACAATTGGCTTGAACTGAGTCAAGAGCAACGGTGGCACACCAGGGCTTTTCTACCTCCCGACATCCCTCATGAGATGAGAAGGTAGTCTCAAAGTCCTGAGTTTTTCCCTCTTCCTTGAGGCTGAGTTATTGAAAACAATCCTTCTGCTCTGCCATCCACTTTTCCTCCGCCTCTCATCCCAAGCCCCAAGTCCCTCTGTATACAGATGAATGGATGAATGAATAGCTGAATGAATGAATTCCATATGAAGGATGCCAGGGTACCCAGTCTGGCTTTGTTTGC
Source organism: Homo sapiens (assembly GCF_000001405.40). NCBI lineage: Eukaryota > Metazoa > Chordata > Mammalia > Primates > Hominidae > Homo > Homo sapiens. The sequence continues at coordinate 113,379,871 of NC_000010.11, forward strand.
TCAGAGAGCGTTGGTTCTCAAGGGGTAAGAGTAGCTCTTGGTCCTTACCAGGTGCTTCCTAGATCTTCTGAGACAGAGCCATAAGATTCAGATGGTTCTAGAAGTGGAGCAAGTGTCAAAATGAAGCATGTTGGATTAAATTGAGTTGGTAAGAGCATAAGCCCTGGAGCCAGGGGGGCAAATCTTTTCTTTCACTCAGTAGCTGGGTATCCATGGGCAAGGTCCGACGTCTCTTCATTTGTAAGATGAAGAAGATAATGGTACCTACCCCACATGGGTGGTGTGAGCACTTCTTGAGATTATGTAAGTAAAGTGTTTGAAACAGGCCTGGCATGTGACGAGTACTTATTAGTGTCCACCATTAGAATCACAGTGTTAAGCTTTTGGAGGTCATGGACCACTTTGAGAAGGTAATCAAAGCTGAACCTCTCCCCCTAAAATAGATGTGCATATGTACACAAAGTTGAGAAATCAACTTTTGTGAACCTCTACTATGAAAGATCACCACAGAATTCACAATACTCTTGGGACTTTCTGGTGTATTCCAATTAATGGGATTCTCCTTTCTCTGAAATTCTTCACAGCAAACTGACAATGCCACACAAGATAGTCTCCAACTTTATTCTATCTCATGTTGCTCATGAATAGTTTATACTTACAGTTTGTGTGTTGGTCTTCACAATCAGACCATAAATTCCTTGGAGACCAGGACTGGATGTGATGCTTCACCATCCTTTATAGTAATGGGACAGTGTATGGGTCTATGGTTCTAGGTCAAGCTGGCTACATTAGTTTCACCTGGGGAAGATTTCTGGGTCTCACTGCTGGAAGTACCTGGGAATGTATTTCTTAAAGTTCCCTAGTTTGTGGTGTTCTCAGCCAGTTTGGAGAACCCTTTTTGTTGCAGCGAGTAATCACAAGGAAATTTCTAGTTGATTATGGAGACAATAGCATATCCCACTAGATACCAGGTGCTGTGTCTGGTGCTTTCCAAGTATAGATTCCTGAAAGCTTAACAGCCCATTGAAGTATGTAGACAGTATCATCCTAGTTTTAGCATATGAAGAAACTGAGGCACAGAGAGGTTGAGTAACTGGAAGTAACAGAGCTGATGGAGTTCAACTTCTCTGACTCCAGTGCTCATGCCCTGAAGCCACCCACGCTGCCTCCATACTGGCGGATTATGAGATAATGCATTGCCTGGTCAATAACTCTCCTATTCACTGGGGTGGTTGCATTGTGAAATACACCCCATGTCTTGGGATCCCTCGAAATCTTTGGTCATTAAGGGGTTTGAATTTCTCTGTTCAAAGATTTGCCTGACTGCAGGCCTTAAGGTACAATGTGAACAGAAAAGGTGAGAGCACTTGGGGGAAGGATCATGATCACAGAGTCAACCTCCTCTGACAGGTGAGCCAAGGAGACCACCCACAAATCCCTTTGCAGGGATCACTTTACTATTTTGCTATTTCGGTTGCTGTTAACTGACAATCAAGCAAAGGCTGCTCAGCCAATGCTTCGAACTGGCTGGGAGATAGTCAAATAGTCATTTTAAGCACGTTATTCTAGACCTCTCAGAGTCCCAAGAAACCTATCCTGATGCCATAAGAAAATATGTAGTCCTGTATACTTTGTCCCTCCCCTCCTCGTAGTGATAAATACACAACCTGCAGCAGTGAAAGTTGGAATGCTTCCCTCCACGTGGAGCTGCATCAGCTGCAGGTGGGGCTGGTGCCTGATCCCAAGCTGGCTTGTGTTAGCCTGTGGCCATGTCCTCGCCCATGACTATGAACCGTAGGGGAGTGGGGGGCTGGATCAGTCATTGGTCTTCAGTTCACCCCCTTTTCATTTTAACGTCTGTCTCAGACCATTTGAACACATGTTTAGGAAAAATTGCCTCTCCCTTTCCAAACTGATCCTGATGGATACTGATGTTTTTATGATTATTAATAAAATCTTCAAGACAGAATTTTATGGGCACACAGAGACTCTAAAAAGTCATTCTTTGACTTGAAAAATTGTATATGGTAAGGATGCTGGAGGAAATTTTTAATAAGAATGTTCAAGTGGAAAGTCAGGGTGCAAAAGACAGAATTGTAAGAATCTGCTGCGGTTCCTTTCACCATTGAATTTGCTTCCTGCAAAGGCCTTCACGGTATGTGTTTCCTCAAGATAGCACACCCCCAGGAAGTGTCTTCGATGTGAGTAATGGTTTCAGTTTCGGTGGGCAGCCAGAAGTCTCTTTGGGAAAATATGTCGTTAAATATTCTTTGGTTTGTTTTTTATGATCGGCTTTGCTTTCTGCCCCCTTCCTCTGTCCTTCCCTCCCTTACTTCAATTCTGTCAACATCCTCTTTGAAGTTTCATGGATCTGTTCACCGAAATTGGGTAAAATCAAAGAGACTTAAAAAGAAACCCCAATTCCTTTTTAACCTCCAAGTGAGAATGGGTTGAAAAATGAGACACACTCGAGGGGCATGATGAGTTAAACACTGATGTGTCTCATCCTCAGAGAACAGGAAGGGCAGATCACCCGACATCTGGTTAGAAGTCAGCTTCATAATTCATGCAGATATTGTGAAGAAAATTCCTCAGTGAAGCCTGGAAAAATTTAGCTTTGCTCAATGCAAGGGAATAAATCAGCATTGTTTCCGCGTGCAGCCCTTGTTTTAGAAAGCAAGGGTAGCTGTAAGCAATACTGAGTCCCACCTGTGAATGTCCTCTTTCTCTGCCACCCCTACCTCCTCCACCTTCTCCTTTCCTCCTAGTTTTGGGAGTCCTGTAAAATCCTGTATTTACACTGGGATACTGGAAAACTTGGTCATTACCAGCACATAATGACAGGTTGGTTAATTAATGGTGTGCATTCAAAAATGGGAGTAGGACAAACAAGACAGCTAATTTTGATAATGAACAGATTCGAAGCAACCAGATGACAGTGTTCTCTGTATATAGTTCCACACCAGCCATGTTTTTGTTTGGATTCTGTGTTAATTTTAGAAACTGTAAAACACAACATGCCAAATTGGTTGATTGAAATAGTGCTACTTCCCAGAGGCTAACAATCTGTTGTCTCTTGCAAGAGGCAAGAGGTTGCAGCATAAGTGCTTACTTGGTTATAGGCAAGAGCCTCCACGCAAACCGGGGAATTGAGACAGTTGTCCAGGAAATTCAGTGCCTCAGTTAACTGGCTGCTTTGAGTATTTTGATTCTGCTTGATGCCTGTCTGCGTATTCCTTCATTCATTTGTTTATGCTGCCATTCATTACATATTGGTTCAACTCTCTTTGCCAGTATAGACCCAGATTATATTTTGATCGGGAACATTGTCTTTTTAGTCAAAGTTACAAAGAGTATTTTCCCTAAAGACCAGTCAAGGAAGCTGGCCATTTCAAGTAATCTACAAATATTTATTCCTGAAGGAATACTAACTTTTTAGGGACCTTTTAAACCCAACAAAATCTAGTTGCTGGGTTTAAAATGAATAGAAGGAAGGACGGAAGGAAAGAGAGAAGGAAGGAAAGAAGGGAGATGGATTGGTTTGTGATTTTTAATTCAGACAAACTTTGAAGAAACACCCTTTCTTTAAATAATAAATACTGGCTGCTAATTTGTTGAATTTTAAATAATATGATAAAATGGTACTTAAGGAAGCTATACACAACAAAGATAAACATTTTTGCTCTCATGGGATCTCTATTTAAAAGTAGAAAAGATTGTTTTAACAGAGCGTCATATAATAGCAAATATGGTAGCTGGCTTATTAGAAAGTCATAAATGTTTATGTTTGACTCACATTTTGTAAAATGTTGTCACTGAGCGTGGTTATATATGGCAGTTTCTTGTAGTCCGTCTCACTAAAATTAACTGTTCACTAGTAAAAGGTTCACAATACTGGGTATAACTTAATGAGAATTAAAACAAGCTCCTCTTTTCAGCAGAGCTTTTGCTTGAGAGAAAAGTCCCCCCAGAATATCAGGGAGATACTTCAGATAAACATTCAGAATCACCTCCTGGCTAAGCATGTGAGCCAGGAAAAAAAGAAAAAAAAAAAAAAAAAAAAGAAAAAACTCAGTCAAGACCCCCATGGCAAGTGGAAAGGATTTGAAATAGCTCATAATTTGGGCTTTGAGCTATTCTGCAGGGTTGTTAGCTGTTTGGTATGATTCGTTTTATCCAAGAGCAGTTCCGGATTGTCAGGCATCCTCTCTTATTGCAAAGATAAATAAATAGAAATTCAGACATTCGGGGAGAATTTGACTTTTATTTCCTTCTTCCTCATTAGAGCCTATTTGGACCCTCACCCCCACCCCCACCCCCCTTTTAAGCCTTTCCGTTTCATGATAACTCTTTCAAGAAGAGAAACAAGCATAAAACAAACAACAGTTAGAAAGAAGCAACCACCTTGTTGGGGATTCCTGTGAATGTATTTAGAAATGAAACACTTCTTGCTTTTGCTTTAATAAGCATTTAGGAGGCTCTACTATCGGGCCATGAGTAATGAGAAAGAGGTATGGTTTTGATTTACTACTGTAGTTTAAATAGACTTAGAATCCAGTGAAATTGTTTTGTTCTAATTCTATCCATTTTTTTCTCAGTTCACCAACTTCTCAAAGAAAGACTTTCCCCAAGTAGCCGGCATTTTCCCAGTATGATAAGGCAAGCAGCGAGAAAGTTTTGTTGTTGTCTTTGTCTTGCTTTTCCCCACTTCAAGCCTCTGAGGCCCCATGGAAATCCTTGGAGTACACTTGGTTGAGTATGGACCATTCTAAATGAAATACAAATCAAAAGCATCCTTTCACTGGCCCCTTTAGGTTCTTAAGCAGAAGAATGTTCTGATCACTGAAGCCATTTCAAGACCTGAAATTAGAAAGTAATAAAAAATATCACACTCTCCCTGGTGGGTAGGACATATAATTGGTTCCCCAGCAGGACTTCAGCTCCAAGTGAGAAATGCGTAGCCTGTGGATCCTTGCTTTCAGAAGAACCACATGCAAACACTACCAAATAAGTAAAAAATAAGCAAAGGGAAACAGGAAAACCAGAGACAAATTCAGAAATAAATAGCCAAGGGCTAGAAAGAATAAAGAAAAAAAAAAAGCATTAACCCCAGATGTCTTTAAACACAAAAATTTGTGCACAAAACACCAGACGAGACGGTAAGTTTATGTGTTTAGATCAGCTTGGACAAACACCGCTGTTCAGGACTGCAGTTATTTTTTTGGATTCCATTCTGGCTGCAAGATGTTCTTGGGGAGAAAATGGACTGTGCTCACACAATCCTAACTGTTTGGGATTTGACTTAAAAAACTGGCCAGGGCCTTGATTTGCAGCTCACTCTTGGCCTAAGCCCGGCGTTCCAGCCGGTTGGGTTTTGTTGCTCGTGGAGTTTGGAAGCCGAACAGTTGGGGTGTGCTGCGATGGACAGGGCCACTGAGCACACAGAGCCTGGTGCTATGCTGCCACCTTCTGTCTAATGTGTCATAGCAAGAGGTGGCTGAGCTCTGGACTGCCTAGAAAACTCGGTGACTTTCTGCCTTTGAGAGTCAGGTCCTCTATAATCTGCACATTCCGGAGCAGCAGTGCCCTCTCTTCCTGTACACCTGTGGGTTCAAGGCCTTGGGGGCTGGCCCTTTGATAGCTTCTTCCAGAACCCACGCCAGTCTGTTTGTTTGCCTCTCTTCCTCATTCCCTCCCTCTCTCCCTGCCAGATCTTGAAGTTTCCGTAGGTAGAAGGGTCTGGAAAAACGAGGTTGAAGGCAAAGACAGGGCTTTTCGTTTTCAAACGTCAGCACACTCTTGTCTAAATTACTGCCAAAGACAAATGGGATGAAGTGGAGGAAAGGAAAAGTGAGATTGAATAGCAGGAAAAAAGCCCTGACAGCAAGATCTATTGCCCTGTGGAGAGGTGTCCCCAGGGGTGAGCTATTGGTTGAGATATTTAAAACTTGAGTGGACAAAACATTAGACCCTTCACCACAGGGAACAATTCTACAGCAGCCCCTGGGACCTGACCCTCGTGAGCGCAGAGGTCCTTCCCAACTCTAATTTTTTATGATTTCTCAATTGACTTCCCATTCTATAAAAAGTATTCTGTTGCTGCTCAGAAACCCAACTGCTTTGACATTCTGTTTGAGGTCGGGATGGTTTCAATCTACTTTCAGTTGTGTGCAGCATTGAAAATGCCCCTATACCTACTTTTTTTGAGCCAAAGAAATGTAAATTCATATAATTAAGCCTAGAAATATGTATTTGAGGAATGACATAGGGGACACTGCCCTTGACAACTGGCCAAGACATGACTCGCCAAGCACCCGGGGATTTGCTGTACAGCCTTTGACAAATGCTTACCCTTTCTGAGTCACCAGTTTTCATTGGGTTGTCTCACTGGTCAGGATGAGAATATCTGATGCCAGTTGGGAACATTTTGGAAGGACTGTGGTGGTGAAAGAAATAGCTTAGTTCTGCACCTGATTGCCAATCACTCCTTGTTGTGAGGATTGTACACTTCTCAGCTTGCAGGCCTGGATCAGGGGAGACAAAAGGAGGGAGAGAGGTGAGATGTCGGATGTGCGGTCATGGTCTTTGCTTGCAGGTTCTCCCTCCCTGGGGTGACTGGGTTCAGCCATCCAGCTGATTATTTTTAGGCTCTTGTTAATTGCCAGGCATGGAGCTAGGAGCTTGTGTGTCAGAGTGGAAGTGAACAAAAACAGTGGAGAACAAATGGAGTCCTCAGGGATACCTATCTCAGTGGCTTCGAACTGTTCTTAGGGTAAAGTTTAAAATCCCACATTCTGCAAAGCATCAGGTGATCTGGCCCTTCCTGCTTCTTTGATCTCTCCTTGGACCTTTCTCCAGCAGGCTGAGTTCCCTCAATTTTCCTTGGTGAGCTCTGTTTCTTCTCATCTCAGTGCCTGCCTGGGTGCTCAGCCCAGACACTCCTGGTCTTGCCACCCCTTTCACCTGGTCAGTGCTGCTTCTCATCTTTCAGTTCCCAGCTGTAAGGTCTCTTGCCCAGAGACGCCTTCCCAGACCTCTGGGCTGGGGTTCAGTTTCTCCAGCATGTGCCCCTCTGGGCCTTGTCTCATCTCTATCCAAGCACATGCCATTAAGGGTGAGTGCAGGACTGGAGGTTTACTATGGATCTCCTTGCCAGCCCATGCTCCGTGTGACAGGCAACTCGCTTGTCTTGTCTTTGCCTCGCAGGGCCTCCCACAGGGCCTTGTTCAAAGTATAGCTGTTGAGTGGATGAACAAATGAAAGGCTGAATGAATGAAGTGCTATAACATTGGTAGGCACTGTTGCAGAGGTTGAGATAAGGAATTGCACCCGGAAGGGCTTCCTGTAGGAAAAGTTAAGAGTTTCTCTGTTAAGAAAGGTCTGGGGGCAGTTTCTACTGGTTACCCTCCTCACCCCATCCCCACCAGCCTAGGAATGGGGTCAGTTTAAAATTTCTCATTGTAAAATAATACATAGCTGTAGTAAGAAATTCAAACATTACTGAAATGTATAAGCACTAAAAGTCACCATCCTTGCCCCTACAGACATCCTACCCTTTTGGGGATAACCATTACTTCCCTTCCTCCCTCCCAGATGTTTTCTTTATACCTTTTCCTCAGTTGTGGAATTATTTTAAAGTGTTTTATTCTGCCCCAAAAGGTGTATGACAATGTCCTAGAGGGCCTGACTCATTATTTTACTCAACTGGGGATTTGGGGAAAGTCTGGAAAAGTTTGCAGGCCAGAGTTTATTTCCTAGGAGCCAATTTCCCAGCCCTGGGACACAGGGGTTTTGGTCTGGAGAGACCTTTTTCAGTAAGTACAGTGACTATTGATTTCTGCCACAAAGAAGATTGATATGCCAGGAAATCTTAATAGTATGGAAAATATGAATAGTTTGAATGCATTTATGCTCAATAATTCTCAAGTTTAGGGATCGCTTTAATTACACACACACACACACACACACACACACACACACACACACACACACACACAAACCCTGGAGCACAGATGTTGGTCTTCTTTATGATGAGCAGGATAGGGTGAAAGGGGAAGAGTTAGTGATGAGAGCTGATGTTGGTGAGGGCCCTTCATCGGGCTAAGTGCTCTCTCTATATGTATCATTTTATTCAAGTTCCCTGACAACCTTGTGAACTGGGCCCTGCTATTGTCATTCCCAGTTTACAGATGAGGGAACTGAGAGTCAGAGAATTGAAGTATCTTACTCACGGTCAGCAAAACAAGTGAGGGTCGGAGCTAGGACTTCCACCCAGGCCAACTGGCATGAGAGCCTGCAGGCTTAACTACAAAGCAGTTTTGGCACCTGCCTAAGTTTAAGACTGCGGGATGGGATATGGAATCAGAAGACCTAGCTGTATTCCCTCTTAGCTATAGGAGCTAAAATATTCTCATTTCTCAGAATGTCAGTCTCAACCCTTATAAATGAGGATGATAATTGCCATCCCACAGGGTAATTGGAGCTACTAAATGGAAGTTTTTGGTCAACTCCAGCACACTGTTCCATTTTTATGAATGCCTCTTAGGTGGCCGGGAGTTCAAGACCAGCCTGGCCAACATGGTGAGAGCCCGTCTCTACTAAAAATACAAAAATTAGTCAGGCATGGTGGCACATGCCTGTAATCCCAGCTTCTTGGGAGGCTGAGGCATGAGAATTGCTTGGATGCTTGAACCCGGGAGGCAGAGGTTGCAGTGAGCCGAGATTATGCCACTGGACTCCAGCCTGGATGACAGCAAGACTCTGTCTCCAAAAAATAAATAAATAAATAAATAAATAAATAAATAAATAGAAAAGAAAGAAAGAATGCCTCTTAGCTAATTTCACAGTGGCACTTCTCAAGATGGCTAAGATTGGTAGGAACCCTTGAGTAGAACAATTCTAAACGACAGGAATCTCCCATGTCAAAAAAGGGGTGGCTGGAGAGTAATGGCTGTCCTTCTTTTTTTTTTTTTTTTTTTGAGACAGAGTCTTGCTCTGTCACCCAGGCTGGAGTGCAGTGGCACGATTTCGGCTCACTGCAAGCTCCTCCTCCTGGGTTCACACCATTCTCCTGCCTCAGCCTCCCGAGTAGCTGGGACTACAGGGGCCCGCCACCACACCTGACTAACTTTTTAAAATATTTTTAGTAGAGACGGGGTTTCACCGTGTTAGCCAGGATGGTCTCAATCTCCTGACCTCGTGATCCACCCACCTCGGCCTCCCAAAGTGCTGGGATTACAGGTGTGAGAGTAATGGCTGTCCTTCTAACCACACCGTCCACTCCCGGTCTCTTTCTCATTCCCGTCTCCAGCTGCATGGTCATTAGTGATGTAGCTTTGTGTCCATGGCAGTCTTTATGATGACTGCTTTCTTTTTTTACAATTATTTTATTGTCTTTGTGAAGCGATTCGTGCCTCCTGTGAACAGTCAAATAACACAGAAAAGTAAAAATAACCATATTTTAAAATACTCACCTCAGTGCTTTCAAGACACTTCATTTTTTGGTTCTTGGCATGTGGGTTATAGACTGTATTACTCAGAATAGATTTTAAAAATAGCATACAAATACCGTCCTTCCCCGAAATCACGGTGAGGAAGGACTTGTTGTGAGATGTTAGTAGGCAGAGTAAATAAGCAAAGAAAATCCTCTTGAATGAATCAGGTGGGTCTCCCCACCTGCTGCTTTGGGTTATTCGAGTTTCAACACTATGCAAGGGGAAAACTGACCTTGGTTTATAGCATGCCTTGTGAAATGTCTATTTTTTTTTCTTTAAAAAACCAAACACTGGCAGAGAATGTAAATGTGCCTTCTCTCCCTCTCCATGGCCTCTTTCCTCTAGCAAACACGTGAAATCTCACACATATTCACGTGCATGGGGGCCGACTGTCTGATTCAAGATGACAAGGCTGTTCTCCATGTGTCTGTCAAAGAAGCCAAACTCCAAAAGGCAAACAAGACCAGATGGGAAACCACAGGACCAGCCCCCTGCCTTTGCAGTGTGTTGTCACCTCACTTGGGTGGACAGCCGGTGCAGAGATGAAGAGGGTCTACCCTGTTTCTGAGTTGCATTTAGCAAATAGGATGGCTTTCTACTCCTAACTCATAGGGCATCACCAGCCCACGGCTTTCCTTAGCTTGACCACCTACAAGCCACTGGCTGGGTCCCTCCACGGCTTACCAGCTTTACCTTCCCTGCTGCAGAACAGATTCTAGAAAAGAACTCAGGTCCACTGTGCGAGAAACAGAACAGGCCAGCTGCAGTTGTTTATTGTGGATTCCTGGACTGCCTTCCTGGCTTAAGTCTGTGAGGCGAGGGGAGATCATGGAGTTCTTCCTCGCTTTGGCTGTTTCAATATCTGCATAGATGCTTTCTTCTAGTGAACAAACAGACATAATAGTAGCAAAACTCAGAATATCTTCAGTGCTTTATAGTCTGCCAAGCACTTTCACATTTGTGAACTTCTGTGACCCTCTCAGCCACTGTAAGAGGAGCAAAGAAGGTGTTATCCCTATTTCACAGGAGGATACCGGGACTCAGAAAGGTCAGGTGATTTGCCTGTGTACTGATGGGGCTAGGACTTCCTACTCTCCACCCCCTTCCCTTAAACATGTCTCGAGAGCTCCCAATAATCCAACATTCTCGGAGCAGAAGATGAACTTGGAGGAATGACCTGAAGCCACCTGCTGCTAGGGCCCCTGACTCCCTCATGCCCACTTTCCCCTTTGGGCTCCGTTTTCAGTCCCCTCTTGGGATCTGTGTGGGAACAGTGTGCCCAACACCTGGTATAGCTGCATGGCCTCCTTCTCCTCCCCACATGGTGGCTTGTCACAGTCTGGGCAGAAAGTTGACAGTGACTGGCGGCTGATGTGTCTCTTTGAGGACTACCAGGGAGCAGGCAGGCTGGCATTTTTGGGGGGCTGTCCCAGGTAATATTTTTCAGACTTGTTTTTGAAAAACCAAAGTCTGGCTAGTGTCTTGCTATTCCAGAAGGGGTGGCTCTGGGTAGCATCAAAAGAGGTGATCCTGAATTGTCCCAGGGTAGAAACAATTGCTGAGAAGTGAAACCTGGTTTTTGACTTGTAGGAATTTGAAGAAGTAATGCACAGGAGTTGCATTGGCCTTTAGTTCCAGCAGTCGGGGCCGATCAAAGACCCCAGTGTGTGTGATGACTCTGGCCACTCATTTCTACTTGGACTTGCTCCAGGACCACACACAGGTGCATAACATCTTTTCACAAAGGCCAGCCACTTGGTTTTTATTTGCATAAAATTCCACCAACCCATCCAGGATACGCCTTATTTAAGCAGTCTTCGGTTTGGAATTCTAAAGAATCTCACCCTCTTTTCCTGCAGCAGGCTTCTCTCCTGCCCCCTTCCCAGGCATTGCTGTCTGCTTATATCAGAAGTGGTCAGATAAGGACCAGAGGGTAGTTGGGTGGAGCAGCAGCAAACCCCCTGGTATACATTGTTTTCTTGTTGGCTGAATATGAAAAAATTGCTTATATATTAATAATAGTAATAATGCACCAAGCACTATGCAAAGAACTTTGTAAACATGATCTCATTTAATTTTCAGACCAATCAATTAGGTATAAACACATTAGTATTCCCATTCTACACAGGAGAAAAATTAAGGCTTATGGAAGTTAGTTAGCTTGCCCCAAATCATACATTGGCAGCTTGAGAGCGGCATCTAGAACAATCTCACTCCAGAACCCTGCACTTTGAGTCACTGCCCACATAGACTATTGAGTTTCAAGTTCTAGATGCAACCTGGAAATAATACTTATATTTTGGCCTTATCTGTATTTCTGCAAGTAAAATTTTACTAACAAGCCCCCTCAGGGACAGAACCTAGAAAGCTGGGCCTTTTCCCCTGCCGATTCTAGAGTTAGTCTATTCTGTAGTCAGTAACTCAGCCACTTTGAGGGTGCAGCCTGTCCTATATGAGGGCTCCACTGTAAAAAAGTAAAAGCTCTCAAGTACAGAAATCCTTCTTCTGAACCAAGTGTTGCCAGATAAAATACTGATGCCCAGTTAAAATTTGCATTTCATGTAAACATTGAATAAACTTTTAGGATAAGTATCTCCCATGCAATATTTGGGCTATATGCATCCTTAAAAAGTATTTATTGTTCATCTGAAACACAAATTTAATTTGGTGTCTTTTTTTTTTTTTTTCTAAATCCCTGTGGAACTCAAAACAAATATATCTGAACCAATCAAAAAACTGTAATGTGGGTCTGGTATCCAAGTGCATCTCAGAGACATGGTTAATATGGTTATAATAATAATAATAATGACAGTTAAGCACTGGAACGTTGGGATTTCTGTGAAGCTTCTATGGTTTATGTGGGATCGATGACAGACATTCGAATTAGAATTGGCACAGAAAATCTGGGACAGATGGTTACTGTATAGATAGGAGGTGACTTTTGACTTGATTAGAGTGATTCTCAATCCTGGCTACATACCAGAATCACCTAGGGAGTTTTAAAAAGTACTGATGCCTGGGCCCCATGACATGCTGATAGTAAAATATTCTCACATTCCAAGGCTTCCCAAATGGTGTAGGTGAAACAGTGGTACAGGAGTTCAGAAGAGGGGATGCTGTACAACTGGAATGGTCCCATTGGCTTCCATGGAAGAATAGGGGACCCAATAGGCTGAAGGATGGAGAAAGTTTTTATAGGCAGAGAGGAGCAAGGAGACTATGCCAGGTGAAGGAATGGCTTGGAGAAGAGGGTTTGAAAGAAAAAAGTGTGAGCCAGGTACAGAGGACAGACCAGTCAAATTAAAGTGGCACATCTAACTAGGAGCAAATTTGTTTAAATTAAACTTATTGTTTCTGTGTAAAAAATAATAGGCCAGGCACGGTGGCTCATGCCCGTAATTCTAGCACTTTGGGAGGTCAAGACAGGTGGATCACCTGAGGTCATGAGTTACAGACTAGCCTGGCCAGCAGGGTAAAGCCCTGTCTCTATTGAAAATACAAAAATTAGCTGGGCGTGGTGGTGGGTGCCTGTAATCCCAGCTATTCGGGAGGCTGAGGCAGGAGAATCACTTGAACCTGGGAGGTAGAGGTTGCAGTGAGCCGAGATCATGCCATTGCACTCCAGCTTGGGCAATAAGAGTGAAGCTCTGTCTCAAAAAAAAAAAAAAAAGAAATTAATAATACATTAATAATACATGAAGTTGTGGCATTTTATAAAATGCAATAAAACAAGATAGAGAAAATACCATTGCCTGTCAATCCATCGTTGAATGGAAATCACTTATGAATTCGGGCTACTTTTCTATGTCCTTTTGGACATTGATGAGAACACACCATACCACAATCGTGTACCCTACATTTTTAAACACTCGATCACAGGCATTTCTCCCTGCCATTAGAAATTCTTCATGAATGTTTATGCTGGCCTCACTGGTCACCATGTTATCCATGTAGCGTAAGTCTCTCAACCTTTCTCTCACAGTTAGACATTCTAGTTGTGTGCAGTTTTTTACATATTTGGATGTTGATTTGAGATTTACAAGAAGTGAGTGGGAGAGACTGAATATAGGACTTTCCCTAGTAGCCCATGGTCTAAAAGAATTTGGAGGGACTTGCTTCAGACCGTGCCTTCTTAAGTCCCAGAGAAGAACTTTGAAGTCTTTACCATCCAAACCAGGCTTCAGATTCCTCAAAGTCAAAATGGCGCCCATCTTGGGGTACTCTAAGCAATGTGTGATGCTTTCCCTCCCCAGCCCGAAATCACAATTCCTAACAAATAGAGGTGCTACTCACTCTCAGTACAGACCTCTGTCTGGCCAAGAAAGTACTGTTGTGACCTAGGATTTTTTTTAACACCCAATTAAATTTGTGTAATTGGATAGAACTGCAACTTCTTTGCCTCCAGCTGATTCATAATCTGTTTCACACCCGAGTGTTGTTTTTCTTGATTTTTAGTATTTTTCCCAGAGTAGTGGAGATGGGGTACAAGGAGAGAGCCCTTTCCTACTTTTTGATGTATCGATTATTTTTCTACCATTTTTAAGAAGGTACAGGTGGTTGGCCTATCATTAATTTTTCTTGGGCCAGGACTCTATTTGAACCCAAGTTTTCAGCACCCGACTATTTCTGGAGACTGCTATTTAAAATGTCTAGGCATATGGAAACAGTCCAATTAGGAAGAAACAGTTGGTCAAGCTGGAGACTCAGCTCACGTGCCAGCTATGAACAAAATGGAATTTTGTCTGAAACTCACTAGGTGCAATTCCCAAGGCTGTGGGAATGACAAGTAGATCATGCTACTGTGTTACATTCTGTGGGTTGGAAAATAAACTTAATTGAGGGGTACCAAAGAAGCTTGAAGTGCCCTCTTAATATTTAATGATTTTTATCAGAGCTCCATAGTTGAATACGAAGTAAATAGGGAGGGGTATTTTTGGCCTCCATCAGGTTGTATTATCTAGACCTCTTTTCTCCCTTGGGACAACACCCCTGTCTCGCTTGCTGAAGCTGTGCATATTCCTGACCTGAGCTGACAGTCATTCACTCTGTAGAAGACTCGTATGTTGATGAATGCTTCTCAAACTTGAACATGCGCTGGAATCACCTGGAAGGCATGTTAAACTCCAGATCGCAGAAGCCCACTTCTGATTCAGTAGGTTCTGGGGTGACAGGGTCCAAGACTATGCAGCTCTAACAAGTTCCCAGGTGATGCTGTTGCTGCTAATCAGGGGACCCATTTTGAGAATGACAGTGTTAGACTTCAAAGGTGCTTCCTTTAGAAACATCTAGTCTGAGTATTAAAAATTCACCTTCCGCCTCTTCCTTCTCATCAGTCCTGCTACTTTTTCCTCATGGGTCCAGACTAGCCTCAACGTTCTCCTGATACAGTGGTTTAGAACCTTGCTACGTATGTGCTCCATGGACCAGCAGCACTGGCATCATCTGAGAGTTTGATAGACATGTTTGGAATCACAAACCCTGCTCCAGGACTATTGAATTATAATCTGTGATATGATTTGGCTGTGTCCCCTCCCAAATCTCATTTTGAATTGTAGCTCCCATAATCCCCACATGTTGTGGGAGGGACCCAGTGGGAGGCAATTGAATCATGGGGGCACATCTTTCCTGTGTTGTTCTCCTGGTAGTGAATAAGCCTCATGAGATCTGATGGTTTTATAAAGGGGAGTTTCCCTACATAGGCTCTCTCATTCTCTCTTGTCTGCCACCATGTAAGATGTGCCTTTCACCTTCCACCATGATTGTGAGGCCTCCCCTGCCACATTGAACTGTGAGTCCAGTCCATTAAACCTCTCTTTCTTTCTAAATTACCCAGTCTTGGGTATGTCTTTATCAGCAGCGTGAAAATGGACTAATACAATCTGCATTGAAGAAGATCCTGGAGGATCTCTATACACAATACAGTTTGAGAAGTGTGGGGCTAGGCACCCAGAGTTACACTGGAGTTGAAGTCTATTTGCTTACTGTAACCCAACCACTTCATTGTGGAGCTGAGGAAACAAGAGCCCACAGAAATAAAATTATTCACCCACTTTCAAGTAGCTGACTCTCCTTGGTTTTGCTAGCGTGACAACTTAAGATGTTAGCTAATAACCTTAAAAAAGCAACACAAATCCCCTACCTCACCTCCTCTAATAATATCATTGCATTTTTAAATGGTCTCAGAAATGGAAAAGTCTGAACTCGAAGGGCAGGTGCTCTAATGATTAAATGGCAGGCAGAAGAGTCAAGACAAATAGCACTTTCACCAAATGGATGCTGACACACAGCCACTAGAAACTGCTAGTAATGCAGCCAACTGATCTCCCCCTACTAATTCCTGGCTGGAATATGGGCTATAGGACCCAAGCCTTGATACTACTCATGCAGATGCTCTGCTCTACACAGAACAGGGCAATCAGGCCTGCACTCACTACCCTCATAGTCCTAGAGAGACACCGGCACTCTTTCTCTCAAAAACATTCCACAAAGCCAGCATCACAGGCAGGTTCGAATAGAAAAGACTATTGCTTTAGAATGTAGCAAATGTAAAATGTACATTTGTACAGCATTGTGCACTCAAAGATGAGAAGGAAAAGGCCAGACATGGGCTTGAATGTAGGGCTGGAAAGGCCCACAGTGATGCATCAATCCACAGGTCCTCAGTCCTGGCCAGTGGAGCCACTGGTCACTTTGGGGGCATAGGATACAGAAGGGAGGATGGGCTAATAGACCAGGGTGGGAGCAAACCTCAGGCAGGGATAGAAGATGGAAGGGGTGTCCAGTGCTAGGAGAGGGTGCGCATGTTCACCATGGATTTATGTGCCAAGTAGGCCAGAGTTAATCTGTCCCACCACCATCCCAACTCTTAGAGAAACAGAGAGACCGATTCTTAACTTTATTTTTATTATGGGGTCCTTAGAGAGTCTAGTTAAGGCTATGCAATCTCTCTTACCAGATGTAAGTGACATTTGCATTGTTTGCATCTGTGCATACAATTTCAGGTGTTTCATAGCCCTAGAAGCATGAATCTCTAGGGGATCCAAGGATCCCACATGAAAAATTCTTGATCAGTGACCTAAGTCAGTGCCTGTCTAAGTCAATGCTGGCCCTTCAAGTCCAGACTTTTCCATTTCTAAGACCTGTTTAAAAATGCAATGATATTACTAGAGCGGTGGGTTTGTGTTTCATTTTTAAGGTTATTAGGCCTGACTCACATGGCTGGTCAGTGGTGGAAAGAGTACCAGGCCTCCTAACTCTGTACAGGGCTCTTTAGACGACCCCAGAGAAAGACACGTAAGGTGATCCAAATTTGGGAGCTGAACCTACCTGAACTGAAGGAAGCCTTGAAATAGTATCTTTTTTTGATTTTCTAAGTGCCTTTTTGGAAGTCAAATGAAAAGCCAAGGTCTTAATTGACGTATTTCATCTACCAATACATATTAAGCACCTACTATGTAAAAGACTGTTCTAAACACGAAATAAAGCAGACAACCAGTCAGATACTGGCCCTCCCTTTGGGATGTCTATGGTCTAGCTGGGCAGACAGAAAAGGAACAAGTACTAATTATTATAAGTTGCTGCTAAATGAGCATTATAAAGGTTATCTTGAGCTCGTTTGGAGAAACTGTGCTAAATAAATGATTAACTTTAATACTATAAATAATGTTAAACCCTTGTGTTTATGAATAATTAAAGGTGCTTCCATTATAGAAACTCAGAGCTCAGGGCACCTCCTGTTCCTTCTCAGAGCGGCCGTCCTGGCTTGCAGCTGCAACTCCACCATCTCCCTGTGGGTTTTCCCTCAGTGCACGTGGGCTGGTGCCTGTCTCGCCTGTGGGAGAGATGTGGGTGAGCCGTTTGGAGCCAAAGTCAGACTCTCCGATCAGAGTACTCAGTAAATATTTACAGTATTTCCTTCTCACATCAAATGCCGGGGATAATCAGAAAAACTAATGAACTCAGGCTGACCCCTGTTGCGCTATAATAAATATTTATGTGGTGCATTTTGGGAGGCTGGCCATGGGACTGTGAGGAAGTGGCTGTGGCACTTTCTTCTAAAGAAGTCATCAACATCGCTCTATTTCCAAACATCCAGAACAAAGTCAGGGGAGAGTGAAACATCCCACTGGGGGATGATGAATGCTTGAGCCCTCTTGTATCCCGGAGATTGGCAGCACGCTGTTGGCAGGTCGGTAGTGAATTAGTGGGAGCCTGTGCTTTCTGGCAAGGCTGCTGAGTCCATCGGAGTTGGGAGATCAGGTGAATGGAACTGCATATTTTGGGCCACTCAAGTTTGCTGTAAATGCTGTTGCCTTTTACAGTATTTAAGTTCCAAGTGTACGAGAAGGCTATTGGGGGGCCCACTTCCTGAATTGGTGACCAGACTAGAGTGTGAGGCAATGACTTGGTAGGCTATGATGATAAAGAAAGATTCATAACCCCAAACTTGAGTTGGGAGGCACTGCTGAGTTATGCTTAGAAAAGGGTCCAAAAGCTTCCAAGGAATTTTGCTTCTTTTAAAAAATATCCAGGTGAGAGAATATGGCTCTGTGCTAAGTTGGGTGTCTGAGAGCTTTGGTGATCATTACATAGAGGTGTTGGAATCTGCCGGGCATTGCTTGCTTTTCTCTCTGTTTGCCACTTGGCCCAGTTGTGTTAAGCTGCTCCAGGACTCCCAGGGTATCTGGGGGAGCTGGCTGAGGTCTCCGCAACTTGTCTTTTTACTACCACCGAGGAAGAAACTAATGTCAGCATGCTTGCCAGATGCAGACGGAGTTCTGTGCTCACATATGGCATCTCGTCTCATATCTGGGAAGGAAATGTTGAAATAACCTAGGAAGGATACATCTGGAATGGAGTAGAAATGCTATCTCCTGCAACATCTCTTCTCAAGATTCTCTTTTCTAGGAAAGGTGGCCCAGAAGATCAGAATTCAGACCCTATGCTGGCCAAGATTGGGTCCAAATCAACACAGGTGGGGCAGGAAAAGGGACAAGGAGAGGCATGCAGATTGTGAACTCCCCCCAGGCAGAAACTCAGTTTGGATGATTCATATTTATATCCCTTCTTCCCTCCCAGGATCAAGACAGGTGGTAATTTCTTACCAGTAGGTAAAAAAATTCAATCATTTCTCCATCCTGATATACATGTGTGGCTTTGGTTGTATATACAAGTATACCCAACCGGTTTGGTCATTTGCACTCACTCAGTTAATTAACACATTTGAGAGAAAAGTTGTTTTTAATAAAAAGTTGAAAAAGGCTTTTGACTTTTGGGGGATTGAACAAACCCACAAAATTAGTCAAAAGGATTGAACCAATTTAAAGATAGAATCAGCCATTCCTACCTAGCTCCAAACATAAGTAGGTGGCAGATGTTGGCACACACACCTAGCCATGGCTTGGGGTGAAGAAATCACCACTTGGCCAAGATGCCTCCATGCTTCCTGCACTCCTCAGACTCCTCCAGATGTGGCTCTGCCATCTGGGAAAAGTCATCTTCCTGCCAATGTCTTGGAAACTTTAAGCTAATGGCCCGTTGCATTGTAACTGTGCATTTGGGGTTTGCTTTCCAGCTTTTTCCTGGGTGGCTTGAGGAAGTTCATGCATTAAAGGACAATGCTTGGCCAAATAAAGGGAACTGAGCTATCTCATGGAAGTGGAAAGAAGAGTCATTGCTTTGAGGGACTTGGCTAAGTAGATTTTTGGATTTGGGCAATGACCTGGGCTGGACATTTTTAGCAGCAGAAGCCAAAAAGGAAATGCCCTGGGCGACATGGTGTCTGCCCTCTCCTAGCAGAGAACATACCCATTCATTAGCATCATCTGGTTGGGGGTGGACATGGAGAAGTCTGCAGGCACAGGGAGAATCAGGAGTAACAGTCTGTAACTCGGTGGATTGTGATGTAATTTTCCATTATCACATGAAAAGCCAGAGGATGATTTCATTCCACTTTTGTCTCCTAAACAATTTTGACTTCCTGTTTAACACTAAGTTAGCACTTCTCTGTGGCCAAGCTGTGACGTTTGTTGAGGACTTGTCCCCATGATTTTCTGGTTTTGGGATCCCCACGTCTATCCACCCACTTGGTCAAATCTGTGAAGTTTCATGGTCCTCTGAGATATGTCCCAGGCAAGGTGGGTGACGGATATCTCTAGCAGGAGGGAGCAAGAGGGACTGATCACTTGATTTCTTCATCTATACAATGGAGATGATTTTTCTTGCCTCTTGGAATGGTTATAAGTATGCAATGAGGCCATATTTGTGAATCATGAGTACCTCCTGCAACTCCAGTGCAGAGGAGGTGCTCAGAGAATTCCAGCATCTTTCCTCTGTGGCAGAGCAGGACCTTGCACACAATCACAGGATTGAGAGCCCTGGAGGAGGGTGGAGTTCCACAAGGCTCTGGTTGGCAGGGGTGGCCTTTTGCCCATCTCTTGCCGCAGTCTCCTGTAGATAGAAAGACCCAGGACTGTGCTTCTTAACTCTCTTTTTGGGACGTGATCTATTTGAGAATCAAATAAAATCCATGGTCCCTTTTCCTACAAAAATGAACATGTAAGTAGGAATGACGGCAACTTTTATGGAGTACTGACCCTGTGCCAGGCCTTATGCTGAATGTTTCCATGGATTATCTAACCTCTGAACAAGCCTCAAAGGCAGATACTATTTATTCTCGCCAAATGCAAATACTGAGGCATAGAAAGTTAAGTAACTCAGCCACAGCTATACTTTGTGCATTCGTTTCCTAGGGTTGCCATAAGGAAGCATAGCTGGTGCCCTGAACAACAGAAATGTATTCTTTCATGGTTCTGGGGGCTGGATCTGAACTAGAGCTCAAAGTGTGGGCAGGGCCGTACTCTCTTAAGGTAGAGTCTGTGCCATGCCTTTCTTCTGGCTGCTGGTGTTGCTGGCCATGCTTGGCAGTCTTTGGCTTGCAGCTGAATAACTCCAGTCTCTGCCTCTATGCTCACATCTTTCTCTATGTCTGTCTGTGTCTCTTCTTCCTCTTTTTTTAAAAGGACGCCAGTCATGTTGGGCTAGGGATCCCACCCTAATGACCTCATTTTAACTAATTACATCTGCAAGGACCCAATTTGCAAATAAGGTCACATTCTGTGGTATTGGGGGCTAGGACTTCACCATATCTTTTTGGAGGACACAATCAACCCATACCACTTACTAAGTAGTAAAGTCAGGGTTGAACCTGGGTACCCTTGCTTCTGAGCCTGATTCTTTAAACCCTA
Organism: Homo sapiens; assembly: GCF_000001405.40. Classification (NCBI taxonomy): domain Eukaryota; kingdom Metazoa; phylum Chordata; class Mammalia; order Primates; family Hominidae; genus Homo; species Homo sapiens. The sequence goes on from NC_000010.11 coordinate 113,400,611, forward strand.
TGTTGAATTACTTCCCTAAAAACACACAGATGCACTCACGCCAAAACATGGCGTATGTCAAGGGGTTCTGGACCCCCTCCCCAAAGCCTACCATGGACATTGGATGGTTACAGTGACCTTCCCTTCCCATCCAGAAAACTTGGCTCAGGAGGCTAGACTCAGGGACAGGTACCTGGAAGGCCAAGGATAGGAGGCCAGGGCAGAAGAGGGAGGGCAGGGGGAAGTGCCCTCCCAGCACCTGGCTCAGGAGGCAGGGGTCTGAAGCCCTCCACCTGGTGAGTGGCCCAGAGTGTGCCCTGGACTTGTGGGCACCATCCTCAGAGGAACAAACAGAAACCAGGATAGAATTTCCTCACCACCACGATTTTTAAAGCACCTATTTCGTTTCCCAGCACAGTGCTGGGAAGCAGGGATCCTAAGGGGTCCTAAATTTAGAAACCATTTTGGCCCTCCAAAAATTTAGGACCTGTTAGTATAAAAGTCAAGAGATGCTGTGAATCAGAAACTTGGTGAGTGGGCAACAGCCAAGCAGACAAACACAGCCAAATCCAGCAGAAATAGAGAGCCCCAGGAATCAAAGAAGGGGATTAGGAACATACAGAAGGAAGTGAGAATTCAGGACAGCCGTCAGGGCAGCGAGCGCCGAATGCTCCAGCAAGGTCAGGACGACGCCTGGAATCCAGGCCGTTCTTCTCACTGATCTCGGGCCTGCCCGGCCCTTTCATGCCTCTGTGCTGTCGTCCATGCTGTGCCTTCAGCATAAAATGGCCCCTGGGCCTCCTCTGTGTCAAGCAAGCTCCCCTTCATCCTTGAAATTTCCTAGAGATTGAGCTTCAGTGCCACATTCTTTGCAGGTTTGGCTGCTCCTAGCTCTATCCCCTCCACCCTTTGTTCTGTTATCACTGGGGGCCTCATGTCCCCGTTTATGGCCTGCCTCACCCGGTAGACAATGGGACCTTGAAAGCAGAACATCACCTTCTTCACCCTTTGATCTCCAGAGCACAGGATAGCACCTGTCTCCTAGTTAGACAATCTGTGTCTTTGTCTGTCTGGGCTGCTAAAGCAAAATACCTTAGAGTGGGTAATTGAAAAACAACAGAAATATATTGCTCACAGTTCTGGGGGCTGGGAAGTCCAAGATCAAGGTGCTGGCAGATTCAGAATCTGTTAAGGGCCCTCCTTCTCCTAGATGGGCCTTCTTGCTGCATCCTCAGGTGGTGAAAGGGTGAGAGGTGAAGGAGTGCCCTCAGGCCTCTTTTATAAGGGCACTAATCCCATTCATCTGGGCTCATTGAGAGGCCCCCCCCCCCCATCTTAATACCACATTGGAGATTAGGTTTCAACATAGAATTTTGGTAGGGGCATACATGTTTAGACCATAACAGTCAGTATGTGGGGAGGTTTGTTGACTGGATATATGAAGGCCTTGTAATAGGCCCAAGCTCACAGGTAAGAGTGAGGAATTGGGCATACCTGTTTGAAAGGAATGGCTGGCGAGACATAGGAAGACAGGTGGGTGTGTCTTCATCTGATGTCTCTTTAATCAATGGCTTCATGATGAAGGCTTGGAGGCGCATGTCCCAGGTTTAAAACCTGGCTTCTAAACATCTGTGTGTCCTTGGGCAAGTGACTTGACCTCCCTGATCCTCAATTTTCTCACTTGTAAAATGGCAATATTAACTACACTACCTACTTGGCAGGGGTGTGTGTGGAGGGTGTATGTGAGAGTGAGATGAACTCATGTAACATGTTCAGCACAGTACCAGACACAGAGATAAACATTCAATAAATAGTTACTGTTGTGAATAATATTGTTGTCACTGTGATAAGAATGATTCAAGTCGAACGCACCTAAACAGCTATGATCCTAGGTTAGCTTAATAAGAAACATTTAACCCAGCCCCTTTTGTTGGGCACAGCTCTCAACAACAGCTACAAAAATCCTTTCAAGATTGGCAAGAATGTTCTTTCAAATGATGCAGGCTCTTGACACAATGTATATTTTCAAGACCCAAAAGTTTCCTGAAAAATTACATGTTCAGGGGTCTATTACCCTTTCAACAATAGTTCACGAATCCTGAAAGTGCAGTGTTTGATCCTTTCTCCTCAGTAAGACTGAGATGAGGAAATCATATTCATTGTCAGAGTCAGCTGTGAAATCCTCAGACGGCAGAGGGAGGAAGGGGCTCTGCAGGAGGGCGAGCCCCCTGGTGTGAGATGAAAAAGGAGCAGGAAAGGACAGGCACTCACCCAAACTCCTCACCAAGAGACTCCTGGAACTTTCCTTCTGCACATTCAAAATGTCTCTTTTCCTTTCAAATACAGGTATGTATTTCTGAGCTGTGAGCATTCTGAGACCATTCTGAAGTGACCTGGCACAAAGTTGTAGCTCTGGGCTCTGGTTCTTATCCCATCACCAGTTCACTGTGTGCCTTTCGACAAGTTACTTAACCTCTCTGAGCCTGGTTTCCTTAATCTACAAAAGGTGTACTGGACTTATGGATGAAGGCACTTTCCAGCTTTGGCCTTCGTTGATGTTTATGTCTAGGAGGTAGCTTTTCTCTCCACCGGTGGTGTGAAATTGCTGTTCACATTGACAAGGTCAGCCAGAGCTGGGTTCAGGTCTCAGCATAATCTCCTAACCAGCCAAGGGACTTGGGGCATGTCTCTTATGATCACTAACCTTCAGTTTCCTCTTCTGCAAAATGACAGAAACCTTACCTGCCTGGCTGGGCTCTGGGGAAGACTAAATGAAGTATCTTGTGTTTCTAGCCCAGACTCTGGCACTAGCCAGGCCTTGGAGAAGTTCGGTTTCTCTTTTTTCCTAACACCCATCTTCCCTGACTTCCTTTCTCATATAGTTGTTCTGCCACTTCCTCCCCATTTCCACAAAGCCCAGACCAGGAAAGTGAAAGTCAGGGTTACCATCCTTCTCCTATGAATCAATGGACCAGCCCTGTTTTCCACTCCCCTGCCCAAAATTGTGGCTAAGCGCCCTTTCCAAATTCATGAGCATTCCTCTGATGATGATGATGATGATGTAAGCAACATCTATTGCATGTGGCAGGCTCCAAGCTGAGTGCTTTGGGGACATTCTTTCACTTCTCATACATGAGGATGGTATTATAACCATTTAACAGATGAGGAAACTGATGCCTAGGAATGATTAATTGGTAACTTCCCCCATCAGTAGGAAAATAGTCAACATCTTGGGTGGGATCCCAATCTCTTGATGGCCTAGGTGTTTATCCCTACTGCCCTGATAATGAACCTCCTGCTTCTCAAAACCCTGAACATTAGAGTGGGCTTAAGTCAAAGCCTTTAGCCAGGTAGGAAGGAACAGGATGTGCAAGCATGGTGGGCCAGGGAGGACGGCAGCCAGCAGTGATGGTGTCACTGGGTTGGGAGTGAGGCTGAAGCCTGGTGGCCCCCTCCCCCACACCTTCTACCTACTTTGGCTCTGTGGCTGTCACAGTGTGAAAAATGATCTCCCAGTGACATTGACAGGCCAGACTCTGATTGGCCGTTAGCCTCAACTGTGCCAAAGCTCATGCACAGAGCTGGGAGCTGGGAGCTGGGAGAAGCGAGGCATGAGGCTTGGAATTACCCAATGGCCGACTGTGACCCTGGGAGCTTAGCTTATTCCCCTGCATCTTTCTGCCTGAGAAAGGGTGAAGGGGAATCTAGTTTCCAGGATGGGAGCTGTCACTCTCATTTGTGTGTGTTTGTTTGGTTTTTTTTGAGACAGAGTTTTGCTCTGGTTGCCCAGGCTGGAGTGCAATGGTGCAATCTTGGCTCACTGCAACCTCTGCCTCCCGAGTTCAAGTGATTCTCCTGCCTCAGTCTCCCGAGTAGCTGGGATTACAGGCACCCGCCACCACGCCCGGCTCATTTTGTATTTTTAGTAGACATGGGGTTTCACCATGTTGGCCAGGCTGGTCTCGAGCTCCTGACCTCAAGTGATCCACCCGCCTCAGCCTCCCAAAGTGCTGGGATTACAGGCATGAGCCGTGTGTTTGTATTTGCTGCCAGGAACTCCTAAGCTGCAATGTGAGGAGGATCTGGGAGTGGTGTGGCTCCTCTCTGGCTGAATGAGTGGAAAAGAGGAAATGGGGAGTGGTGCTTATGAACCTGGGGCTGGAGAGCAAGTTGCTTCCAGTTGTGAGCAGAGCTAGCCAAGGCCCTGGGCTAGTCTTTCTGCTTCAGGTGTACATGTCAGCCTGGGCCCTGCCAGGAATTCTGCACTTTCTTTCTTTCTTTTTTTTTCTTTTTTTTTTTTTTTTTTTTTTTTTTTGAGACAGGGTCTCACTCTGTCACCAGGCTGGAGTGCAGTGGCACGATCTTGGCTCAGTGCAACCTCCGCCTCCCAGGTTCAAGCGATTCTTCTGCCTCAGCCTCCTGAGTAGCTGGGACTACAGGCATGCACCACCACGCCCAGCTAATTTTTGTATTTTTAGTAGAGACGGGGTTTCACCATGTTGGCCAGGATGGTCTCAATCTCTTGACCTCATGATCGGCCTGCCTCAGCCTCCCAAAGTGCTGGGATTACAAGCATGAGCCACCGTGCCCGGCCCTGGGATTCTGTGCTTTCTACCTGCATGGTTGGCTTGCCTTCCAAGGCTTAAGGCAAGATTTTTCCATTCCAGCCCCAGTTCTTCCCCATCAGAGGATGCTAGGGTGGGTATCTAGGCCAGGAGAACTTAGAGGTTGTTAGTTTTACCTGGGTTGGAAGCCTAGGGCTACAAAGTCAGCTGTGTGACCTGAGCAAGACACTGAAGTACTATAGGCTTCAGTTGCCTCATCTGTGCAGTTGGCATAAAAATAGGCCCCACCTTTTAGGTTAATTGTGTACAAGATGTGGAATGTAAAGCACATATCACTAGCTTGACACATGGTAGGTGCTCATTTAATATCATTCTTATTGGTAGCAGAACTTGCACAATCTCTTAGACATGTCTTTGGGTCATAACATTAAATTCATAACATTAAATTCAACTTTGCAACCTTGCAGTAATCTACTTGCCCACACTCCCAAATCCAACAAGGTGCCCTCTCAGACAAACAGAGGTCTACCAATGACCATGACTGAACTTTATCCAGCCCTGAGTCCCAGGCAGAACAATAATCACATTTATTATTTGTGAACTTATTTAATCTTCAGTATAACCCTGTGAAGCAAGTACTATGTTGTCTTCATCATCCCCAGTTTTATAGGATGAAGGGATGTGCTCAAGTGAACATGGCTACTAGGAGGAAGTCAAAGCCAGGATTTGAAAGCAGATTTCCCTGAGTCACTAGGTGTTGCTGCCTCTCCCATCACAGCTGTGCAAACTCCAGCCACTTCTCAGCCCCTCTACTCCATCATCTGGTAAAGGAGAGGGCTGAAGATTTCAGAACGGTGGCGAGGGGAAGTTTTGTCCAAAGTCAACCTCCAGGATATTGGACACAGATATCGTCAGTCTCTGCAGAGGTGGCTTAACTTCTTCCTTAGCCTACAAGACAAAGCACATGTGCTTAACATTCCCTGTGATCACCTTGAAGCCAACACAAATGCCAAATTCTCAGTTCAGTGTAATAGAAGGAAAATGTACAGTCTCTGTACTAGGTTGAATCAAATCCTCCCAAAATAGATGTCAAGTCTTAACACTTGACACTTCTGAATGTGACCTTATTTGGACACAGGGTCTTTGCAGATAAAATCAAGTTAAGATGAGGGCATACTGGATTGGGGTGGCACTAATCAAATGGCTGTTGTCTTTATAAGAAGAGGAAAATTTGGACAAAGACAGAGACACACAGGGAAGACAGACATGTGAAGATAACAGGCAGAGATCGGAGTGATGCGTCTATGAGCCCGGGAAGGCCAAGGATTTCTGGCAACCACGGGAATCCCAGAAGTAGCAAGGGAAGATCCTTCCCAAAAGCCTTCAGGGGGAATGTGCCCTACCCACATCATGGCTGCAGACATCTAGCTCCCAGAATTGGGAGAGGGTACAATGCTGCTGTTTCAAACCACCTAATTTGTGGTAATTTGTCACTGTAGCTCTAGGAAACTGGTACAATCTCCTAGAAGGGGAATGCTTGCATCATCCTAGAAACCATTTCATCTAAATGTATCTGACAGATGGAGAAACTGAGGCTCAGACTTGTGCACCAGCCAGGGTGCATAACTCAGGGCAGAGCAGTAGTCACACCGTGGCAGATAGGACAGGTGGCTGGCGGGTGTTCTCAAATCCTCAGTGAACGGCTAGTCCTCAGTGTCACCAAACACAGTAGTGCTTCTGTGCAGTGTGGGGCTGGGGGCTCCATGACACCAGGCCTCCAGCCTCTCTGTCTCAGTCTTTGGCATGAGTGCTGTGGGCTCTCTGGGAGTGGGCCCCCTTCTCTGGAAGATGCCACGGGGCTCTAACAAAAGCTGTGCTCTGCACCCCTCTCAGCACTGCATGCGCTCCCCGAGGCAGATTGAGACCTGTGCAGTCTGTGGGTGGTCAAAGCAGGTTTTGAATGTCAAACAGACTTTATGGGCTCCGTTCTTCGTGCTGTGGAGAGGCCCCCTGGCTGGGGTGGGATCGTTTATAATGTGGTTATGTATTTGAAAGGCTTCCATATGAAAAGATGCTGGGACAATGGCATCGACTTGGCGTTCTCTCTCCTAAGTTGAAATATTGAATATACCTGAAGACTTAGTTAACGATCTTTGGGGAGAAGGCATTAGAATCTTGAAGAGGTTTTCTGATGCACCAAAGACAATGTCAATACTGTCTGAGGCCGCCTCCTCTCCAACCCCCTCCCTGCCTGGGGACTGCAGGGGAGGGATCCTGGCTGATGATTCTGCCTAGCGGTGCTACCTGGGAGTCAGACAGTGCTGGCAGATTACGACGCTACAAGAAGCCTCTAGAACCAAGCCCACTACCCTATTTAGGGAAATGCACTTTGCAGCTCTAATTGTCTGAATATTGGAGAGGTGGGATTTGGCCACACAGATAGTTGCCTCATTTGTTTAATTTGTAGGGATAAGTCCAACTCCTTCCTGATGACAACACAGTGTCCAGCATCTTTTTTGGGGTAGGGATGTGTTTACCTTCCCCTCTTATTCATTTGCCTGTAATTATTCATCTGTATATTATTCAATGTTCATTTTTCATCCATGTGCCTGAGTGGATCATGTGGAAAATTCATTGTGAGTAGTTGAAATCTTTGCCTTTTCATTAGATTTTACCATATTTTCACACTTCTAAGTTTTGTTTTCTTCTTAGAAAACTCTATTGAAATATGAAATCGCTGTTTTCCTCTTAATAACGATTACAGTCAATTCAATGATTGACCATAAGATGAGAGATGTTATTTTAGGTTTAGATTGCTGTGTGAGACCTGTCATCAGAGTCAACTGTGCTGAGCTTCCAGAAGCTTCTTTCCTGGCCTTGAGAGAATCTGAGGAGCAGAGGTGGGTGCTGGCACCCTGACCAGCTTTATCCCTCTCTTTTGTATATTTTACTCTTAAAAAAAAGGTAGCTGCTGTTGCTTTGAATAGGGGAGAAATACTTGCTTCTCCTGCAGACAACAGCTGGGGGGAAACTTGTGGAAACAGACTCACGTAGGACTAGGATGCTGCTATCCATGGTCCACTCAGCAAAGATAATCAATCACTTTGACTGAATAGATTAGATTCTTCAGGAAAACAAGTATTTTGAACTAGGGCCTGGACTTTCCCCATTAATTGACCGGTTAGTTGCCTGAACTGATTTTTCCACCTACATACAGGTAGATTAGCCTCTCAGTTCCCTGGAGGAACTCAGATCAGGAAGTTTCAAGATGGAAGTTCCCATAAGAGATTTCTCCAGATCTCTCCCTCCTTCACCTGCCCCCTGCCCTCACCACAAGGCAGCAACCTTACAGAAACGGCCCCCTTGGCCCCTTCCCATGGAGGAGCACGAAGATGCTCCAGGGCAGAACTTGTTCTGCCCTGTGAACCCAGGGTTCCATCCAGCCTCCCTGCCCCCACCTCCAATGTATGCGCTGGATAAAAACGATGAGCCACCTCCTTCCCACCACTGCCCCCAAACAGAAGTCTAACCAAGCCTATGCCCATGATATAGAAATTCTTGCCTCACCCTGGGGTTCATAGCATGTCCTTGTGTCAGGTCATGCAGTCGGTTTTCTAAGGCAGATGAGAATTCTGAGGGTACTCACATGCCAAAGGAGAATACAAGAAGCACCATCCCTCTCCCCAGCACTGACCAAATTCACCCCACAGGCCCTTGGCACAGCTGACTACCCAGACGCCACCGGCTTGGCTTCCTTTTCCAGGGGCGTCCCCATGAGCTCCATGTGGGGCTGTATCCCCACCTGCTCTGCCCTCCTTTTCTTCTGAACATCTCCCCAACCTCCCCACCTCTGACATCACTCCCCATCCTGGAGTTGCCTGTCCTCAGCCAAGAGCCGGCAACATGACATTTCTCCCTCCCAGGATGCTTCCAAATCCCTTCAGAGGCATCTCTGTCAGGGGGTTCCGAGGCGAGTGTCGCCTCTCAATTGCTGAAGAATATATTAAACATTCCTGATAGCGACGCTTTACTCTTAAATACAAAACCAGCCCTTTTCAAAGGCCCCCTGAAGGGCCAAGAACATGCCCTGACTATAGGGAAGGAAACATTTTATCCAGGCAATTCTTAAGCAGAGAAACACCCAATTGATTCGGCCACTGAAGTGTGAAATCATTTACACAGCGCGCCGGCAGGGCAGCCACACTGTGCGGAGGCTTCCCGGCCGAGCTTGGGCCCAGCTGGCCCTTGGTAATCATGGCCTCTGCTCTGGCTGGGCCAGCACTGCTGTGGTCAAGGCCAAAGCTGAGGCACAGACTTAGTTCATTAGTGTGCCCATGGCTGGTGGGGAAGGGCACCCAACAGCCTCATGCCTGCAAATTAATTGTATGCCAGCGGCTTTGCAGAAGCATCCCTGTTGGGATGTGGCACATGGCATGGAGTCAGTAAGTGTTGAATCTTATCACTAGCCTCATATTCATTAATATTACACTAAATCTGGCCAGGAAGCCCTTTATGTGAAGGGGGCCAGAAGCCAAAATGAACTGCTTGCATCCTGCTCGTTGTCAGGAAGGGACGGTGCAGGGAAGTCAGCATTGCAATGAATGCTTTTGAGTAATGTCTACCCTGGAGTTTTTTCATGGAGATTCAAATCAGCTTTGTGGAAAATGGGCTCTCGTGGCCAACAGGGCAACATGTCACCAGAGGTGTCCAAGCAGAGGCTCGGGACACTCATTTCTGTCCTTGGAGGAGGAATCTTAGCATGGCAAGAGGCATCTGAGTCCCCTCACCCCCAGCAAACCCTTGCATATTGTATCGGTGCATTAACGAGAGGCCATTTGTCTTTTGTCAATTTACTCCTTCTACAATTTTATATTGAGTGCTTACTAGGTGCTCTGCTAGGTACCAGGAAACTATCCAAAATTTAAAATGTGAACAAAAGAGATCACACACAAAAAATGAAACAGGATGACATGAAAGAAGAGTGTGTCTGCTGTAAATGGAGTGGTTAGGGAAGAGCTCTCCTAGGAGGTGACATTGGGTCTGAGACAATGCGAAGGAGCCAACTATGCAGAGAACAAGATTCTAGGCAGACGGAACCATAAATACCAGTACCATGAGCCCAGGCATAGTTCCATGTAGTGGCTGAATCCTGTAACCAAGGGGAGCAGGCAATGAGATAAGACTGTACCTGGAGATGGGGCCCAGGCTGTGCAAAGCCTTGTGGGCCAGGACAAAAGGAGATGAGGTTTTATTCTAAGAGCAACAGGACGCCACTGGAGTGTTTTATGTAGAGATGACTTGACATCATTGGATTGACGCAGGGTAAGCATCTTCCAGAACAGTACCTCTTTTTGTCATTGTGTCTTTCAAATGCTGAGAAAATGTTTTGCATGGGTAGACCAAGGGAAGAAACAACTCTGCTAGTGAGTCCATAGAAGTAGATGCAGAGACCAAAATCCTGTTTTACAATGCACTGGGCTTTGAAATGCCTTGAAAATATTCCCAGCCGATTCCTGACTCTTTAGGGCTGCTTTCAGCTCACTTGAGCTGTAATGAAGGTGGCCCTTATCAGCCTGAGCTTGAGCTGCCTTAATTAGACCAGATTCTCTATCTTTAAATTGGTCTTACATCAAAGCGAGAGTTATAATTGCAGGTGAGTTGCATTGTTATGTAGAATACAGCTGCCAGCAGGTTGTGTTAGGATTATTGAAAAGCAATTTGCAGGGAGGTCTGTGGGGGAAAGGTAGTTCACCTCACTAAGCCTAAAAAAAAAAAAAGAGCAATAGATAGCTGGAGGTCTTGGAAAAACATGTTTAACAAGAGGTATTATTCAGTATTTTACCAGCTCTATTTTGCATGCACATCTGGCTTAAGCCACTCCTGGCTCGGAAACACTGGGCTGTTAAGTTCCACGTTGTTAGAGGTCATTACTGGTCTGCATTTGATATGGCTGAGGGATTGGTTTGCAGGGGTCAAAATAGGTTATCAGGAGAGCTCAGGCAGCTGGAGGCAATTCTGAGGCTTTTCACCAATTCCCTACTCTTAAGTTTTGGAACTGGGAGATTTTAGACTTACAAGGTACTCGTGGAAGACACTTGTCTAGGCTGATTCCATAACTTGGCTACTGTGGATAGTGCCGCAATGAAAATGGGAGGGCAAACATCTCTTCGACATGCTGATTTCAAATATTCTGGTTAAATACCTGTAAGTGGGATGGGACAACATGGATGGTGTGTTAGTCCGTTCTCACGCTGCTAATAAACACATGCCCAAGACTGGGTAATTTATAAAGGAAAGAGGCTTAATTGACTCACAGTTCTGCATGGCTTGGGAGGCCTCAGGAAACTTACAATCACGGTGGAAGGGGAAGCAAACACGTCCTTTTTCACATGATGGCAGGAAGGAGAAGTGCAGAGCTAAGGGGGAAAAGCCCGCTTATCAAACCATCAGATCTCATGAGAACTCACTCACTATCATGAGAACAGCATGGGGGATTCAATTATCTCCATCTGGTCCCACCCTTGACACACGAGGGTTATTACAATTCAAGGTGAGGTTTGGGTGGAGGCACAGAGCCAAACCATATCAGATGGGACTGGAGGACATTATGCTAAATGAAGTAAACAGGACACAGAAAGACAAATGCTGCATGTTCTCACTTGTATGTGTAATCTTAAAAAAAAAAAATGAACTCGAAGAAGCAGAGAGTGGAAAGATGGTTACCAGAGGCTGGGGGTGGGTGGGGAGAATTGGGAGATGATGTTCAAAGAGTACAAAGCCTTAATTAGAAAGGAGAAATAAGCTTTTTTCCCTTTGAGATATATTGCAAAGTATGATGAATATAATAATGTATTGTACATTTCAAAATCACTAAGAGAGTAAATTTCAAATGTTCTTAGTACAAAAAAAGATAAGTATTTGAGATGATGGATCTATTAGTTTATTGAATTTTTCCAGATTATATTCATAAATCATAACATCACTTTGTACTCAATATATATGACCATAATTTGTCAATGTATAATTAAAAAATTAAAAAAAGACATTTGTCTTGATTTCTTTGTTTTGAAGGACGATTGTTTTCGTGTGACCAGTTACAAAGTCTCATAGGAGAATCTTTTCTTGTCAGTGGAGGGAGATTGCCATTCAAGCCCTGTGGAAAATGTGGACATGTTCCTAGGTTTAGGGAATTGAGGGGATTAGTGAATGGCTTAGTCATAAAAGAAAATGTTTCACAACTTAGAAAAGACTGCTCAAGTGAAAGGACTCTTCCAATTCCAAAGCACAACTTTTTTTTTTTTTGATATCCAAATACTGCCTTTGTTAAATGAGATCTTTTTTTTATTATTACTGTACTTTAAGTTCTAGGGTACATGTGCACAACGTGCAGGCTTGTTACATATGTATACATGTGCCATGTTGGTGTGCTGCACCCATTAACTCTTCATTTACATTAGGTATATCTCCTAATGCTATCTCTCCCCCCTCCCCCCACCGCACAACAGGCCCCAGTGTGTGATGTTCCCCTTCCTGTGTCCAAGTGTTCTCATTGTTCAGTTCCCACCTATAAGTGAGAACATGCGGTGTTTGGTTTTTTGTCTTTGTGATAGTTTGCTGAGAGTGATGGTTTCCAACTTCATCTATGTCCCTACAAAGGATGTGAACTCATCATTTTTTATGGCTGCATAGTATTCCATGGTGTATATGTGCCACATTTTCTTAATCCAGTCTATCACTGATGGACATTTGGGTTGGTTTCAAGTCTTTGCTATTGTGAATAGTGCCTCAATGAACATACATGTGCATGTGTCTTTATAGCAGCATGATTTATAATCCTTTGGGTATATACCCAGTAATGGGATAGTTGGATCAAATGGTATTTCTAGTTCTAGATCCTTGAGAAATCGCCATACTGTCTTCCACAATGGTTGAACTAGTTTACAGTCCCACCAACAGTGTAAAAGTGTTCCTATTTCTCTACGTCCTCTCCAGCACCTGTCGTTTCCTGACTTTTTAATGATTGCCATTCTAACTAGTGTGAGATGGTATCTCATTGTGGTTTTGATTTGCATTTCTCTGATGGTCAGTGATGATGAGCATTTTTTCATGTGTCTGTTGGCTGCATAAATGTCTTCTTTTGAGAAGTGTCTGTTCGTATCCTTCGCCCACTTTTTGATGGGGTTGTTTGATTTTTTTCTAGTAAATTTGTTTGAGTTCTTTGTAGATTCTGGATATTAGCCCTTTGTCAGATGAGTAGATTGCAAAAATTTTCCCCCATTCTATAGGTTGCCTGTTCACTCTGATGGTAGTTTCTTTTGCTGTGCAGAAGCTCTTTACTTTAATTAGATCCCATTTGTCAATTTTGGCTATTGTTGCCATTGCTTTTGGTGTTTTAGACATGAAGTCCTTGCCCATGCCTATGTCCTGAATGGTATTGCCTAGGTTTTCTTCTAGGGTTTTTATAGATTTAGGTCTAACATTTAAGTCTTTAATCAATCTTGAATTAATTTTTGTGTAAGGTGTAAGGAAGGGATCCAGTTTCAGCTTTCTACATATGGCTAGCCAGTTTTCCCAGCACCATTTATTAAACAGGGAATCCTTTCCCCATTTCTTGTTTTTGTCAGGTTTGTCAAAGATCAGATGGTTGTAGATGTGTGGTATTATTTCTGAGGGCTCTGCTCTGTTCCATTGGTCTATATCTCTGTTTTGGTACCAGTACCATGCTGTTTTGGTTACTGTAGCCTTGTAGTATAGTTTGAAGTCAGGTAGCATGATGCCTCCAGCTTTGTTCTTTTGGCTTAGGATTGTCTTGGCAATGTGGGCTCTTTTTTAGTTCCATATGAACTTTAAAGTAGTTTTTTCCAATTCTGCGAAGAAAGTCATTGGTAGCTTGGTGGGGATGGCATTGAATCTATAAATTCCCTTGGGCAGTATGGCCATTTTCACGAATTGATTCTTCATTTCCGGATGGAAAATGCACCATTAAGGGAGAACCGTGTCCCTTCATTAACTACTGGTGCATAGTTCTTTGCATATTACTTATGATGACCAAGAAGAGAGTGTAGGAACTAGTCAAAGAATAGATTTCTGGGAGTTTGTCTTAATTTGTTGTTGAATAAGAGAAGCAAACTAATTGTTCCTGTCACTCAACCTGATTTGATACAGTCTCTGCTAAATTAGAAGCTATGTATCAGATCTCCCAGAAAATATTCAGAGATGCATAATAAGAAACCTTAATGAAGATATATGGATGCATTTCCCCACCCCTTTCCCACGTCATGGTTTTTAGAGCCATTTGCAAGCTTGAAATATAATAGTTTCTCCCAGCAAACTCTGACCATTGGCGACACTGATAAAGTTGTGTTGTCTACAACTGTGTCTACAGCCCACTCAAACAAATAATCACTTCAGTGAGCTGGAGGGTGGGGACAGCCATCCATCAAAGGTTTGGAAACACTCCATTGTGTAGCTGAATTTTTCACTTTTCAACTGTTTGTTCTGGTGGTGAACAATCTTGGCCTCTGGGGAAGTAGGTGACCTCTTGCCTCTTAAGTTGAGCTAATTTCCCCAGGCAGGAAGGCAGCTTCATCTCTACAGGGTTTAGGCTTGGGGAAGGTGAGGTCAAGTTAGTCACCAAGGACAGGGAATCCAGGCCTTCACTCCAAACCACATTCACTTTTCTGATCAAACTGGCTCATATGATTCCAATTATTTTTCCATCCTCTCCAAGGGCAGTGGGCCATGGGGTAGGCTGATGACCTGTGAAATTTCAATTTTAAAAAATGAAACTGATTTGGATTTATTAAAAAGTCAGCCCATTTCTCTGGTTCTGTGTAGATGTACAGAGGACAGAAAAGGCTGCCAAAAAACTGGGTCCCCTTCGAAGACCAGCAACCCCCCAGCCCCCAGCTTTGGCAGCCACCTCGGGTCAAATTTCTATGCCCAGGACACATGGAGAACTCTCCTATGACTTGATAGAGGAGCAGCCTGAATCCCCAGAGCCATACATGCACTCATGACCACATCAGCAGTATAACCTGGGTGAAGTTGTGTGAGGCTGAGCCACTGCAGACATCCTAGAAGACGTGGGTTTGTCAGAGCAGAAGAGACTTAGGTCAGGACCCACTGTGCTCTGACCTCCACCTCTTGCTTCTTTCCTTCCCCCGTTTCAGGCTGATATTACTGAATGTGGTGTCTGCAGGAACTGGGAGTCTGTTCTGGACTTCTTGGTGAGTGCGTAGGCTGGGCAGGGAGAAAGCATCTGAATATGCTGCTGTTCCACTTGGAACTTTCCCCTTCCTCCTCTCAGACTCCCGTATTGACTCATCTGTGACACAATCTGCATGCTCTTTGTCTTATTGGCTTCACCCTTCCCTTAGAAAGCTGCTCAGTTGTTGGAGTGTGATAAACTCAGTGTATAGATACATGCCCCAACATGGATAGATCTTCAGAACATGATCCTGAGCTTAGTAAAAACAAAATAAATAAAAATAAAATACACAGGATAAGACACTATGAAAAGTACACACACGTGAAGCAGCAATATTTATGAAACAAAAAGATCACCTTAAATGCATTAGAAGAGCTGCCTATGGGAGGAGAGGAATGGAAATGGGCTATAGAAATACAAAGAAGAAATAAAACAAACGAACGACTGAATCATTCCACCAGTGATGATAATGTACCATGAGCTGAAGAGTATGATTAGCTCAACCTCCTGTCCTAAGCAGAAAGTGATGAAAAGTGATGCCATGTTGACCATCTTCTAATGATAAACATGAGGTTGAGGATCGAAGTGATGCCATGGTGCCAAGATTACCAGCTCAGCCTGGATCATTCCATGCTCATGGGCTGCATATCCAGGCACAAAGGAGCTCACCAGGGGAAGCCAGGAGACATGCTCCCTAGCCCAACAACTTCCAGAGGAAAATGATCAATTCAGAGGGGACTGTTTCTCCTTTCCCGACCACAGACCCTTCACTGCCACCTTGCAGTGTGAGTTGTTATGGGGCTGGGAGCAGTCTGAGCTTCAGTTTCACCATCTGTAAAATGGGAGCAATGCTAGTACCTCTTTCGTAAGGCTGTGGTGAGGAGTGAATGTGTGAATGTGTGACCTGCTCTCAGCATACTGCATGGATTTTTTTTTTTTTTTTTTAAGACAGAGTCTTACTCTGTCACCCAGGCTGGAGTGCAGTGGCACGATCTCGGCTCACAGCAACCTCCACCTCCCAAGATCAAGTGATTCTCCTGTCTCAGCCTCCCAGGTAGCTGGGATTACAGGCGAGTGCAACCATGCCCAGCTAATTTTTGTATTTTTAGTAGAGATAGGGTTTCACCATGTTGGCCAGGCTGGTCTTGAACTCTTGACCTCAAATGATCCACCTGCCTCGGCCTCCCAAGGTGCTGGCCTCTGCATGGCTCTCAGTAAATGCTCACCATCATCATGCTCTTGATAATATTTGCTAATAATAGCAACAATAGTGATAATCATAATGATGATAGTAATAAATCTTGCCACAGGGAGCATTTTTGGCTTCCTTATGTAAGCCTTGCTCAGAAGCTCCAGTTTTCTAGTTATTCTGAAGACTGTGGTGTCCAGCCAGACAACATGAAATTGATGAAATCAAGGAAGCCCTCTGAGATTCTGGAAGATGGAATATTCTTTGTCTTCTCTCCAGTCTGCAGAGAATCCTAAAGGGCTGGCCACAGCAAAGGAACTCCTGGCAGCCACATCAGACACCAGGGTGAGCCATCTGAGTCCAGAATCTCAGCAAGAAGGAGGAGCTAGGAGAGAGAAAGAGGAACCATGTGCAAAGTTAAGAATGAGTAAAGAGGCCAGGCGCGGTGGCTCACACCTGTAATCCCAGCACTTTGCGAGGCTGAGGTGGGTGGATCACAAGGTCAAGAGATTGAGACCATCCTGGCCAACATGGTGAAACCCCATCTCCACTAAAAATACAAAAAATTAGCCGGGCGTGGTGGTGGGCACCTGTGGTCCCAGCTACTCGGGAGGCTGAGGCAGGAGAATCACTTGAACCTGGGAGGTGAGGTTGCAGTGAGCCGAGATTGCGCCACTGCACTCCAGCGTGGCAACAGAGTGACACTCCGTCTGAAAACAAAAAAAAAAAGAAAAGAATGAGTAAAGAATAGCTGGTGACCCAGACTGTATGCTCATCCCTAATGGTACATACAATTCTCTTAGAGTCTTCATTGTACAAAGCACTTTAATACTTCTTATCTCATTCGAGCCTCTTGACTCTCTTCTGAGGGCGTACAGAACTCTCCCTTTACAGATGGGAAAACTGAGGCCCAGTGTGTTCCAAGGCCAGGAAGAACATTAGTTGTAGATCTGGGCCTAGAACTCAGGCATTCTGATTCCCAATCCAGAGTATTGTATGGTAATAATGGTCATAATGATAATGACAGTTACTACTCACAAGTGTCTACGTGAGCCAGGCACTTTTTAAGAGGGTTTGTGTTTTATTTAATCCTTATAACAGACCTATGATATGAATGTGCTTACTGTCCTCATTTCATGAATAAAACAGCTAGGGCTCAGAGAGGCTAAGTAACCTACCTAAGGCTGCACAGCCCAGAAGCGATGGAGGAAGGGCATGAACCGGGATGTACATCACTCCTCTTGCCACCTTTTATTGCTATGCTACTACCTTGAGGAGTAATTTCTACTGCCTGGGTCTTCTCAAGGCAAAGAGCTTCCACAGACCCAAGGATGGGTTCATGCCCACCCCTTAATCTAAGTTTAAGAAACAAAATATTGTGTCTGAGGGCCATGGAGGAAGAGGTGGCTGTAGTTTCTGCAGCTAAGGGCTCTACCGTCTGAACTTGGAGACCTGACTAACCAGAGATCTCTATGCTGCACAAAGAAGTCATTCTGAGGTGGGCTGGCATTCTAGGGAAGTTTTTGGGGTGCCAGGACCTCACTTAGTGTTCCATGCCTCTTTGGTTGACTATCTAAGGTTCACTGGAGTTCAGCATGTCACCAAGACCTCCCTCCCCTATGGTCTAACCTTCATAAAGACTACACTTCAGACTGTGGATTCATCATAGGAGCTGGTGTAAAATGGCAGGATTGGGTCTAGAAGAGCCTCACTCTGAAGGTAAAGGCAAATCTCTGTCAAGAGAAGTCAGGATTGAGTCAAGTATATCTTGACTCTGCACTTAATACTCATCCATTTCTTAAATTTGCTTTTCTTTTCCTCCATTATCCTGTTACCCCCAGCTTGGAAATGCATAGAGATGACAGAGCTGCAGTCATTATTGAACTAAGATGAGAACTAGATGTCCACACCTAAGAACACAATTTGTCCAAAAGGACCTGGGAGATGGCAGGGGGTGACCACAGAGGGTTACTCTCCTTGCTATATCTGTGTCCCTACCCCCAAGTCATGCTTTTATTTTTCATCTGCTCATTGCTGGAAAGTCTTTGTGAAAGAAAGAAGGAATATGGGCTAGGACCAATGATGGATAAGATTTGGAACACCAGGAAGACTGGGAAGGGTGCTGATGGGGAGAGTGTATGATGCCTGTGGAAGTAAGAGGTGGCGAAGGGCAAGGTGTGATGGGCTTAGGGTGGGCACCAAGTTTGGCTGGAGGGGTAATGGCTCATGGAAAGGGAGAGGCAGAGAAGAGCCAGAAGGAGGCTTTGAATGCCAGGAAGTACGTTAGACTTTTGACTTTCTTTGCATTCCCCAGAGCATGTGCACTAGAACTCTGGTTTAGCAGCATGCAGAAAGAAGTTCTGGGGGGCGGGGGGAGAAAAGTCTGCTCAAATAACTTTTAGAAACACTATGTTAAATTAAGTTAAATTAAATGGGTTTCTTTATTGCAGCATTTGTCACAACCTTTATTATAAAAATGTACCATGTGACTCTTCATTGGGGGAGGGTAACTTATACAGCATTTCTCAAATTTATTCTACCAATAAGCCCATTTTTTTCAAGGTAAAGTCTATGGGATTTGTTAAATGGGTCACTCTGGAAAATGCTTTTCCATATGAAATGGATTGTGGAGTGATTGGGAGAGAGAACCAGAGAGAAGGTAATTTCACTCTTGGTTTACCATGATGCCTACACAAGCCTCCACCCTCCTCAACCCCAATACCATACCCACCTTTCACCCAGAGATATTAAGGTCTGAGTTCTATGCTTAGTTTTACCAACTTCAGAAACATCTCTGCTCTGTAAATGGCAGTAGAAGCCTAAGCCTTGACTTGTGAGTCTTTGCAGGATGCAGGGTACTGACTCTCATTTCAGTTTTGAAATTATTTCACCAACCAGTCAATGGTTTCAAAACCCTTTGGAGTCATGAATCCGTTTGAAAATTTACTGAAAGCTATAAGCCGTGTTGTGAGGGGGAAGCTCATAGATTCATAATGTACATAAAATATTAAGGGCTGAGGCCCATCCGTGGACTATGTGCATGCAGTGTAGTCCACACATTTGTCCATCTGTTCCTCTGTTGGTTGCCACCATTTTCCCTTGTTCTGGTTTCACTTGGATGCTAAATGGGCAGCCCAATTGGCCCAATAACAAAATTGGCTCTGTGGTCTATACATCATCTCTTTGCCTGGGGATTATCCAAACTTGCCTGCCTGAAGCCATTTCCTAGGGTGGTAGTGAGGATAAGCACATGGAGAATTCTGAACTTGTTTTTAATTTAACAACTTTGCTTTCATTTATAGAGAATGGAAAAATGGAGCAGAGATGCCCAAGAGACTTCTGTGCTTCACCTATTTCTAAAATTGGAGAGGGTGGGGACTGAATGGAGGAGAAGTTTAGTGTGGAGTCTTCCCTGGACATGTTTTCTAAATGCTTTTCCTCAAGATTACTTTGAGGATAAAGTCAAGCAACATATTGTTTCTAAATATATTGTTTCTTGGAGAAAGAAGACACACCTAGTAGCAATTCTCCCTGTTCCTCACTTTACTTTCCCTTTTTCTGAATCTGATAGTTTTTATCATTCCTTTATTTTTAACCTCCTTGTGTCATTTTCCTTCATCTATCTCTTTGAAGTACCATAAAGTCATTTTGGGATATTTTAAAAATTCAGTCTGGAAGTCTTTATCCTTTAATATGATGGATTTGATCCATTCACATTTATTGTGTTCACTCAGCTGCTTGGATTTATCCAAACTATTTTTTGTTTGTTTGGTTTTTGACTTGTCAAATCTTTCTGTCTTCTCAATCTGTTTTGTATTGAGCATAGGTGATGAGAGAACACATTGTGTTGTCTTTTAATCTTATATAAAAACTACATATGGGTGCTTCCCTGACTTCCTTAGGAAATCAGGAAATTTTATTCCTTTGTGTCCTGAGTCTCCCAATCTTTATTTTTCCCTGAGGCTTAGAGATCAAGTATAGGAAGGACAAAACTGCGTACTGAGCCAAGAAGAGAATGGAATGTTGCTCCCCTAGTCTTTCTGCCCACATAGAAATGGGGGAAAGGGTAAGGGATGAGATCAGAGAGAACAACAAGCAGAGAAGGTGGAAACAAATGGCTTAAAGATCCACTAGACAGAGCGAGATAAAGCTTCACAATCTCAACCATAGAATTTTATTTACCCAGTTAGGGACCCTGCTTGGGTGGGAGAGGGATTTCAGCCTTTTGAGTCTTGAGAAATGGCAATAAGAGAAGTGGCTTTCTTTCTGCCCCTTCCCTAACTATCAGAGCTTTTCTCTCCCATGACTGTGGCTAATGACCCGGCACTTGGAATGCACCCCACGGCTTCCAGATGTCAGCAATTGCTTTTGGTTTCCAGGAGACTAAACCAGCCCATAGCTCTACCAGCTTCTTCAATGGTTGGTCCAATAGGCCAGTGGCCACACATTTGCCCTAAATTTGGCTGAGCTCTGGGAAGAAGTGACCAGAATTGTGCTGAACAGATTGTGCATGTATGTGTGGCCCAGCCGAAAGCTCATAACTCACGCCCCAAGAGACACAACCCATAACAAGCAGCTGTAAATTGTTCCATCCTTGTGCCTTCAGGGAGAGGTCAAGAGTTCTCACACAGTTCTTTTAATGGAGGAGGAAGAGTCCAGTTCCCTAGTGCTCCCTCCAGCCTGGAAGAGCTATGCACACATAGACAAATACTTCAGTGGAAGGATGAGCCACAGAGGCCTACAGCAGATCCAGGGAGCCAAGGTCACCAAGCTTGCTCACGTAGAAGAGAACCAGGTCGAGCCAGTCAGCCTGGGATCCATGGCAGACTTTATGCTTTGTTCAGATGGAAACTGCGCTTTGCTCTAGGGTGCCTGGCTAAGACTGCCTGCTGCAAGCTGGCTTGGCCAAGACACAGAACACATACATACAGGCTGGGCTGGGGAAGCCTCACAGTCTGCACACATTGGCTGTGGTTGGGCCATCCAGAGGCCAGGGCCCTGGATGCAGTTCAATTCAAATGGCATCTATTCAAGACAGGGATCTCTGCTAGGGTGAGCGTTGGGAACCCAGCAGTTTCAAGACACAGCCCCTAGCCCACCTCACCTTCAGAGCATAACACGGTGTTGGGGAAGTGAGACTCACACATGGACATCAGAAAACAACAGGAGAGCACAGACCAAGAGAACAGCCCGGAAGAGTGTTCTGTGGGCTGTGAAAGTCTAGGAAGGCACAGGGAGTGATTAGGAGGCCAGGCCTGGGCTCCTTTCAGATCTGGGCTTGAGTCTGTAGTCTGTTTCTGTTTATAGATATTATGGCCTTCGTTAAGGCATTTTCTTCACCTGTAAACCTATCTTATAGGATTTTGTGAATATTAAATAAGGTAATATCTGTGAAGTGCTTAGCACTGGGCAAGACAAATAATAAGTGCTCAATAAACAAATGAAAGCTATTTTATTCTTAGAAGAAGTGATTAACTTCAAGACCTCTGAGGCATCTAAGGGAGCAGAGAAAGAAAACATTTAAGGAAAGAGGAACAAAGGGCATGAATATAAGTTGATAAAAGGGTCTAAGCCCATAGTGTTTTTTTGATAGAGAGCAGTGGCAGGGAGTTTTCATGCATTCAATAAATATTGATTAAGTTACTATTGGCCAGGCAGCGTGGAATACAATGGTGAAGTAGGCAGAAGTAATCCCTGTTCTCACTGGCCGTGTGGAGGAAGAATTGGGGGAGGGTGTTGAAATATTCTGTCTAATCTAATACAATATTTAAGTCAAAGCTGAGAGCTTTGATATGGAGAGGACACACAGTGGGCCTAATGTTTGCCATTATGTATTTTTGAAAAATCTTGTCTTCAGAACTCCATTCCTAGAAATTCAATTATGCAGAATGTTATACAGAATTAACCAATATCATGGGACTTTCCGGAGCTCCTGAAAAGTCAAAAAACCCTCAACATTACTCACCACCTAAGGTAGGGGGCATGGAATCTGCAGAGTGGTGAACAGTCAAGTGGACTACCCTCTCCCCGCCCACCAATGTTGGTCTGTTCCTTTTCTATTGAGTCATAACAGTGCTGTTTTGTGATTTGACCACAGTCTAGGGGTAATCTCATCCTTCTACTCAATGGTAGGTTCAGGAATGTTATTCAATTGAAGACAGTGCAATGCAATATGGGAAGAGGTTGCCTGGAGGCTTTTGAGAAAGTCTGTCCTTCTTGTCAATAAAGGGCTTTCAGAGAGTATCATTCTATGCTATCTCTTGACAGACATAACAAGACACCTCACTCTGACTGTTACCAGCCCTATTACAATCACGAGGGAAGCTGCCTTAGGAGGACACCTACTCCATGGATGCCAGAGTGAGATATGGGAGAAACATGGGTCCCTGGTGATCTAGTTGATCCTCCAGAGACAACTGTAATCCCAGATACCTCTGGACTTTCTGCACTTGGGGTATATGATACATTCCTTAGTGTTTAAGCCAGTGTGAATAGAGTTTTCTATTATTTGTAGTTTAGCACATCCTCATGGACACAATTGATAAAACAGAACCAGGGAGTTTGTAAATGGTTATACCTCCAGCTGCCTTCATCAGGGCTTTGGACACCCCCAGAGGAAACATAGCCCAACTTCTGCTCACCTGACTGCCTACAACATGCTCTGAGGAACACTCATTCTTGTGTGAATAGAGTCTTTCTAGAAACAACTTGTGGTGATATCAACCTTTTGGATTTAGTCAGATTTAATCATAGCAAGCACTTTTCTAGACCTTGCTATGCATCAGGGACTCGTCTGAGCCATTTACATTCTTCATTTAATCTTCTCAACAACTCTGTGAGGCAGGTCCTACCATTATCTACATTTTATACTGAGACACTAACTTGTCCAAAGACACACAACAAGTAGGTGGCTGAAGCTAGATTCAAATTCAGTTGGTTTGGCTAGAGTCTGTGCCACTAGCTGTCTTGCTACTCATTTGCAGTGGGTTATGGTCCACAGATAATAAGTGTATAAGGAAAGAGGCAGAAATGTGCAAGTAAAATAGAACTCACTTGAAATTATAAAATGGGAAAAACACACCTTTAGGATTTCATCAATCTCCAGGGAAGATATTGCTTTGGAGAACAAAGAGTATTAGTTGTCAGGCAGTTGACTGTGCTTGTTTGGCCATTACCTCATCTCTCCATCATTTCTCTATGATTGTCTCTCTTTTCATCTCTTCATCTATGTTAAGGACAAGTGAAACAACAATCCACTGTATTAGACAAATTCTGCAGCCTCTGACCACATTACTTGTGTAAGAATTCCGTATTTTCATCTACCACACAGGCAAAAAGAAAGCTCTGATATGTAAAAAAGCCCCGTGTGAGCCTTCCACTTCTCTTCCAAATGGCTCGGGCTCCCCCCACTTTTTTAATTTTGCAAAATGTTTGTGTTGCATCTCCAATTTCCCATGGAGTACGGGCCGGCCAGTTCGTGGAACAAAGACTTGTGGGGATGGGATGCCTGGCCTGGCCTGGCCGCCATGGTGGGCTGCAGGTGCTGGGGAAGGCTGGCCAATGGAAGAGACTTCTTGGAATAAGCCTGACAAGTTGCTGCTGGCCCAAACCTAGGGCCTCATCTTCCTCCAGCTTGGCCCCAGGTCACCAAAAGGAAATGTAGTTAATTTTCAAATCCCTCCCGGAGCCAAAGAGAATTCCAAAAAAACAGCCATAAACACTGAAAGAGTCTTGTCTGATTTAGGAAAACATTCCACTGGACTTAAAATGAAATATCCTGTGACTAATCTCATGTAAGACTGGGAATGGGTCTAACTGTTCGGTGTGGTGGTCAGCGAGGAGACTCCGGAGAGAGACCATGTCCCTCCCCCATACCACTCCAGGGAAGGCAATAAATCAGCCAGGACTGAGTTTTCAAACAAGGATTGCGAAGGGTTTGCTGTTTGATCCTCAAGACTCCCCTTTTCTCCATTTGTCATTGATTTCCCATGAAGAGAGTTTGTGCAACTGAGTCCCCCATGCAATCCTGGCACTTTGCAAGCCAGTAAATAAAATCCAAATGTTAATTCTTATGAGCACAGCGTTCCCTGCCAAGAAATGAATAATGCGCTGTGAAAGAAACAGCATCCTGCATCCTTGGACGAGGGAACAAGAAGCGGCGGGACAGAGTTGGGGAACAGGGAGTTAGGAGGGAGGTAAAACCTGAAAGAGAAATGCAAAGGGAAGAGGAAGAAGGAACTAAACCACCTTTTAAGGCATTTGTCTGTCTCCTCAACTTGAGCATAAGCTCCTTGTGGCCAGGCCAGGCAATAACAATAACTAAGGACTTTTGGGTCCCAGGTGACTGCCCTGGATAGAGTATTTTCCATATATGTTCACTTGATCATCACAGTGATCGATGAAATAGGTTCTGCTCTTGTCTCCATTTACGAGTGAAGAAACTGAGGCCCAGAGAAGTTAAGCAACTTGTCCTACATAACAGAAAAGGGATGAGGCCCATGTGGGACACCAGATCCTAGGCTCAGTCCCACTGTGCTCTCCTGACACAGCGGGGAGGTGAGGTGTGGGCAGCGTGATCATCTGTCCCAGTCTGCCTGGTCCTGAGGGAGCAGAGCTTCTGCTAAAGCCAAGAATGTCCCTGACAAACTGGGACTAGCTGGTCACCCTCGGTGTGGGTGGATTAACACTGAGTAACCTTTGTAGGTGTTTATGACAAAGTGGTTTCTCAGAAAAGCAGGCACTGGTGCCTGTAGTTCAGTGTCTATTAGGTGAACTGGCAAATTGGTCTAGTGAAGGCAAGCCTATTTCTTGCCCATAGGGCAACCCCAAAATACCCTCCTCATAAATGACAAATGAAGAAAGAAACAGAAATATGGCGCATGCTACTGTTGTGTAACAAGACCAAAAGTTTCCCCTCAAACAATCTTCCAGGCAAAGAGGGAAGGAAATCAACTTACATTCCAGTTCTGGAGTGTCTGTAAGTAAATGATGATTTCTGTTTATTATTTATTTAGCCAGCAGGTCATTTTAAAGGCACAGAGGGGCTCTTTCTGCTTCCCACTGGACCCATGGAAGGCAGGAGAAGGCATTCCTGAACAGGGACCCTGTTCCCATTGCTGGCCTGACACCTCTCACTTGTGAGTTATGCTACAGTTGAGCCTCTTGAGGAGTAAAGTGGATCTTGGAGTCCATCCAATAATAATAGTTTCTACAACAAACAAAGGCGTGCATGTGTAAACAGTGTTTTCATTTTTGTTATCTGACCGGAGCTTCTGGAGACCCTGTGAAACAGGGCAGATGAAATGAGTTCCACGTTCCATGCTCCATGATGCGGGTCTGAGGTTGGAAAAGTGACGCGATTTCTGGAAGATGACACAGTGAGGGAGCGTGGAGCTAGAGGGCAAACCCATGCCTTTTGGCTCCACATTCTACACGCTTTTCATGCCACCCTACTATTACGGTGTCAGGAGAGTATAACTATCTCAACACCATAAAGAGCTTATGCACGCTCCTTGAAGTAAAGGACTGTGTCTTGTACACCTTTGAATTTCATCTTTCAGTTCCTTTCCCTGATCACAGGGCTTGGCACATAGTAGGTAATCATTTACCCGCCATGAGGCAAACGGGGTATAATATTTTTTTTTGACATGAGGCAGAAAAATATCTGAACTACAACATCAGCCAGTTGGAAGTTTAAATCTTAGCTTAGCTGTCTACCAGTGTAACTCCAGGCAAGTTACTTAACCTCTCTGAGCCAACAAACCCTTCCCAGGCAGAAGTGCAGGTAGAAAAACCCTTAGCACTATTGCGAGAGCTGGTGCTTACAGCTGGGAGGCCAAAGAGGCAGCTATTGTTGTTTTCCAGGCCCAGGATTCTGGGCACTTGGTTATGCTCAGCCTGGTGATGGAAGTGTTACGACCCAGGGCACCAGGATCTGATGTCTGGAGGCGAGTGACTGGCCCAGATGCTTGCTGACCCCCTGTCATGTTTAACTCACCTTGCCGGCCAAAATAAGAGGGAATGCATTTGACTCAGCCAATGCATTTACAGTGCCACTGGTGACCCCTTCTGTACGTGCCTGGGGCCAAGCTACAGGTGATAATTAGCTCTCAGAAAACGGAAGGACATTAACTCCAGCATCTTGAGTCCATTCCAATTGAGATAATTAAATAAAGTGCCCACAGGTGGATCCAGTTAATGAGGCATGGACTGGGCTTCTGCGGAGCCATCCAGGCAGCAGGCAGGGAGCTGGGGCAGGAGCTGAGTGTGGAGGACGGAGACTAAATGCTGCAGGAAGCACAGAGTGCTTCTCCCTTCTCAACCCTCAGTTTGTCCCTGCCCTCGATTTCCCAGGCCTATGGTTGTCCTTAAGAGCAATGTGCTGGGGCCAGGGACTTTGCTCCAGGCTGGGCTCTGCCTTTAGTTTAATGCATAATCTTGGGCAGGTCTTTTCACTATCCCCAGCTCAGTTTCCTCAGTGATGAAAAGAAGGAAGCAGTTGGGCCGGGCGTGGTGGCTCACACCTGTAATCCCAGCACTTTGGGAGGCCGAGGTGGGCAGATCACCTGAGGTCAGGAGTTCAAGACCAGCCTGGCCAACATAGCAAAACCCCTCTCTACTAAAAAATACAAAAATTAGCTGGGCATGGTGGCAGGCACCTGTAATCCCAGCTACTCAGGAGGCTGAGGCAGGAGAATTGCTTGAACCCAGGAGGAGGAGGGCGGAGGTTACAGTGAGCCGAGATTGCACCATTGCACTCCAGCCTGGGAGACAGAGCAAGACTCCGGAAAAAAAAAAAAAAAAAAAAAAAAAAAGGAAGCAGTTGAAGACACAGCTCACAAAACTGAAAGAAGAGGTTGGAGACAACTGGATTCAGTCTCATTCTCTCCTCCTTCCCTCTCTGTCACCTCTAGTTTCTGCTTCTCTCTTTCTGGCCTCCTTCTCTCTGCCTATAAATAGGCTGTCTCCTCCTTCTGCAGCCTTCAGCAACTCTATATTCACAGCCATTCAGTGAGAAGACATGAGACAGAGTAACACTTCCTCCCAGTTTCAAATTCTAAAATCCTTGGGGAGGACAATGGTTGGCCCAGCTTGGATTATAGGTTCAGCTTGTGGACCAATCATTGTGGCTGGGAGAGGACAGGAACTCGCATTCATCCAGAGACAGATCTATTGATAGATCACCAGAAGAGGGGGATAAATTAATCATAAGCTGCAAAGCCACCCTAACTGATATCTGCTATGGTGACAAAAGTGTCATGCATATTGACTCTTCTTTCCTCTAAGAAACAGAAGCAGTTTGTGTTCCTTGCGCATGTGTGTGTGTGTGTGTTTGTGCACGCGTGCATCTGTGTATGTGTATTGGTCATCTGGAACAGGAATATATATTTTTCTCATAGAAACAATCCTATAAGTGGTAGTTATTCTTCCAGATCTAAGAAGAACTTAATTGGATGACTGTGGGCAAGTTGCCAGCTCTCTTTGAGCATCAGTTTCTGCATCTGTAAAATGTTAATAATAATAGCACTAGCCCATGGGTTGTTGAGGTAATTAAATAATTTAGGTAGACTCAGTCCTTAGCACACCTCCTGGGCATTAGTAAGAATTCAATTAATGGTAGCCATTATTATTACAAAGTGAAATGCTGTACATATGTACTTCTTTAAAAATAGTGGAAAATTCACTTATAATGAAACTAAAGAGACCAACAAGACTTCTGGCCAAAATACTTGTTTTTCTTATCTCAAGCATTGGTGGGTGAGGAAAGGCAGATTTAATTAAAGAATGGACAGAAGCATCTGAAACAAATCTCGGGGCACTTTCAGGGACGTTAAACAGTGGATGTGCTTCTTATGGCTCATTTTGCTGATATCTCTCTTTTTCCTTTCCTGTCATTAACATTTGCTTCCTAGTGGTGTTAGAGACTTTCTAGGAGAAATAGGACAGAGAGGAAAAGAAAAGAAACAAGAAGAAAGAGACTAAAATAAAGGTTATCTTGATGTGCCTGGGAAAGAAGTGACACAACCAGGGCTGCAGAATAGAGTTCCTTACTGTCTGGACCTGTAGACAAAGAACTGGACAAGATGAAATCACCTGTTCCATGGGGTGGAAGACAGAGCAGAGCAGGGCCTGGAATGGGCATCATTTGCCTGAAGAGGATGGGAGGGGAGGAAGTGGCGAAGGAGACCAAGAACACATCTGTGAGTTCTTCAAGAACTCAAGAACAGTGCATGCATCTCAAGGAGGAAGCAGGGGGCATGTGTAACTGTGCCTTTCTTTGGGCGTTATGTTTGAGTTCCCTTCTTTGACCCGATGAGCGCTCTATTCTGCAATTATACCTTGCTGGGTGAGTTCTTCCTTCCTGAGACCCATAGCACTTGGTACCATGCTGAGCCCCCATTAGACAATCTATAGCCCTTGGAGGCAGTGAGTATTTACAAACCAAGGTTGCTCAGCTCCTAACACTTCTCCCTGTGGACCAGTCAAGGTGCTCCTAATACTGACGCTACAGCAGGTCTCAGTCGATTCAGTAGAAAGGAAAGGGAATTTTCTTTGAGTTGCTTTTGTCATTCATTCATTCAACAAACATTTCCTAAGGGCCTGCTGTCTATAAGGCTGTGGTGAGTACTGAAAACATATCAATGAACAAGACAGGCAAAATCCTCACTCTCCTGTGGTCTACATTCTGTTGGAGAGAGAGATGAGAGACCACTAACTGTTCGTAATTTGTGGTAAATGCTACCAATCAAATTACAGGAGAATATATAAGGGGTACTTGATATAACTTAAGAAGTTAACATCTTGGTCCCCATTTCAAAATCAAGATTCACATTCATTTTAGAACTTTAGATATTTTTATAGTCATAAAGGAAGTATAGTCTCATTATGGAAAACCTGGAAAATATAGAAAGTGTAAAGATACAAAAATCTTCCATAAACCACTGTTAAAACCACACTTATTTTATGCCTACTTGCAATGATATTGCATACAGTTTTGTAGCCTGCTTTTTCACTTCATATTACATGGTGAACTGCTTCTCCAGTCATAAAAATTTAATTTAAAACATCATTTTGAATAACCATATCATATGCCATTATATAGATGTACCATAAATTATTTAATCTTTCCCTATTGTTGAGCATTTGGTGTGTTTCTATCTACTACTACAAATAATGCTTCAATGTCTCTCCTTTTTCCCAAGTTTGTGTTTGAGGTTCTGTTGGTTTCTTAGGATAGTTTCCTAGTCAGTCAGTCCACAAATATTCATTGAGCAATTATTATGTGCTAAGCAAATTTCCTTTTGCTTTTCTAGTCTGATCCTTCTGGTGCTCTACAGAGGACTTGACTATGCAACCCTTGACTTTGTTCCCCTGATTGGATGTGCCTGTTTACCCCCATCTTGTCTTGACCTCAGTTGTACCTCTGGGCGCAGTACCTGAGAGCCTCCCTGCCTTATTTATCTTTCTCTCAGCATCATGTCTGTTTTGCTCCTTTGTCCTTCATCTCTTGCCACCCAATCCCTCTAGGACTGTGTTCCATGCCTCGCACCCAGACTTTCTCTGTCATACCTATTCCTTTGGGGACTGGAGACTGTGGTGGAAAGGGTCCCCAGAAATTGAACTAAGATCTATTTTGTGTATGTATGCATATGGGTTGAGGGGGAGGAGGGATGGGGAGAAGAGAAGCAAATAATCCCAAATTGTCAGCATATGGCAAGCTAGCAAACAGAAGTCCAGGTAGAGAAAACCAGAAACTGACTTGACAGCTTCTTGACCATTTCTTTGGATGGATTGAAGAAGGACTTGGGTTTCAGGACATGTCACTGACCTGTCCCATTGACTGTTCCTAATGGGTGTACTTGGAAACCTCAAGAAAATTCCAAGAATACTGCAGTAGATTGATTGTTTCAACAGCCCTAACTCATGCTCTCCTTTAACCTAGGCCCTTTGCCCTGTAGCTGTATCATCCTTCTCACCCTGATTCTAACTTAGCCATGAGACTGCTTGCCCATAGGATGACAGCAAATGTGATGCATGTAGAGGCTTGAAAAAGTGCATACCTATTTCTACCAACTCTCTCACATAATCGGGCTTGATCTCCATCATGATTCCCATAATGCCATAAGAACATACCCCGGCTAGCCTACTGGAGGGTTGTAAGAACCACAAAGAGCCAAGACCGTCCTAGACAAGCCAGTGTCCCACAAATCTGTCAGCTGACTATAGACACATGAGCAAACCCAGATAAGATCAGTCAAGGCTGGCCTTAGTTCACAGAACTGACCCATAGATTTGTGATGAAAAACAAAAAAAAACCATACATGAAGTTTTGGGGCTGTTTGTTACTCAGCAATAACAAACTGATAGGGTCACTGTATTGGAGAGAAGAGAAAAGGAGGATAACAGGGGAAGAAAAGACAGGGCAGAAGGAAGAGCAGCAGGTCAAAGCACCCAGAAAAGCCCAAGCTCTGGATTCACATTCAGCAAAGTCATATAGAAGCTCAATTGTGCAAGAGGGTTGGCAGAAATAGGCATACACTTTTTCAAGCGTCTACTTGCATCACTCCTATGGCTGAGCCTGCTCTTTGATCTCCAGGCTACCCCTTTCACTGTTGGAATAATCCCTTCTGAGTCTCCTGTTGAGCACTTCCAGGAAGCAGAGTTGCAGACTTTTGAGAAGCAGATGTCCGCTCATCCTAATTCTGAGAAAAGTCCCAGAACTACATAACCATCAAGAGAGAGCACTGGAATCTACACCTGGGAACACTGGGGCCTGCCCAGCAGCAGTCAGATTTCCATTTGTCCTCATCTATACTTTTGTCTTCTTCCTGTTCATGTGTCGGCCCCCTGAGCATGGGTTTCACTGCTCACCCCTCACCTGGAGCAGCCTGCAAGAATTTATCCCATTCTGAAGTCATTATAGCCCCCCAAAGGTGGGCAGCACAAGGTTGGGGAGGCAGGTGGTCACTGAGCTGGATTAATCCACCTCCAGCACAAACATATCCCTATTCCTACCCTATTTGCCTTGTACTTGTGTCACGGGTGCACATGGGGCTGCGAAAGGCATCCTTGGGGTTATCTGAAGCACACAGACAGCACTCACTCAGTGCAAATAAATGGCTATCCTTCCTTTCTAGTTTCCTTTTTCTCCAAGTTTGCTTCCAAACTAGAGAAATGCAAGTCGCCCTCCACTTTTCCCTTAATATTACATGGTGGTTTCAATCTCATTATTATTGCATTATATGTAGCACATCTGTTACTGGTCAGGAGCCAACAATTTAATTCTATTAGATACATCTATACAGCGAAGTGATAATCTACACCAGGTTTGTGGAACAAGCACTTAATACTTGGCAGCGAGCAGCTAACGACTTGATACACAAGCGAGAGAATGTAGGAGGCCCCTCGTAGCTGAGGGTCGAAGGCGGCCAGAGCGCTCAGCCACATTCTTCCCCAGGCCGGCATCCCAGTGTGGGAAAGGAGTCAGTCAACGTATTGTTCCAACATCTGCAAGATATTGATGGAGAACGGGGGAGGTTAGGAGGGGCGGGAGAGGGGAAACGTTTACCTAACCAAATGCTAACTCTTCCAAGGGGATTCATGTCAGCACAGGCTAAATGATGTGAGAGCTTCAGGCACATGTGGTAGTATTTACCCCCCAAGAAATGGACACAGATTCGTGTCTTGTTCAGTAACTCTAGCACCTTAGATGTGCCTTCTGCAGTTGCCCGAGTTCTTATTTGAGTTTCCTGGCTCCATCTCTGCATAAGAGAGAATGGGTTTGCTCTCGGCACTAAGGAGCCAAAATGGGCGCCATGTGCAGGGACCTTTGGCCAGGGCTCTGACCCCACAGAAACACAGGCTGGGTTGGTTCCCAAACACCCCATCTCATGCAGGACCAGTAAACAGCCACTCCTGCTGCCTTGTGCTTCAACTGACCACTTTTTGTCAGTTTCTCCTTCTGCACTTTGACCCAGAGAGCTGGAAGGATGAGGAAGGAAAGATAACAGGATCATAGCTGTGTCTTCCTTCCCGTCTATCCAGGAGGAAGGGTCATTTTAAAATCAAAAGTTGACAAAGGGAGGTGGGAAGGTGAGAAGAAGTCATGTCTCATATTTTATTGATTCTAGGTGAGATGTCAGCAATTTTAAGATGCCCTATTATTTTATATACCACTAATAAAAAAATGTTGACTTTTCAACCATGATATGCCATCAGTTAAAAGATAATCCCAATTTTAGAGATGCTAGAATGTGCATCTTGGGATGCCCAACCTCGGGGATCTCCCGTGACTGGCAATTTATGAGTTGTGTGATGGTGGACAAATTATTTAACCTCTTGGTGCCTCAATTTCTTCATCTGTGAATGGGAATAGTAAAAGGAACCCATCTCATTTAGTAGGTGCAAGGATTAAATAGTAAAGTATGTAAAGGCTTAAAAGATTAAAAGAAAGCCTCTGTAAGTGTTTCCTTATGATATAGCCTTGAACATGTTGCTTAATATCTCTGAGCCTCAGTTTCCTCAGCTACAGTATTGCAGATAGCAATACTGTTCTATTTATTTTCCTTTAATGTAGACTAATGTCTGGACCTGCACCAACCAGGAGGGTGTGTGGACAAATGGAAGCTGGTTAAAGGGAAGAGTCCATTGTGATTGGTGGGCTCCCATGCCAGCAAGCCAAATCATCCCTTTCCAGTCCTCCTCCCAGCTGTCCAGGCTACAGCTGAGGGCTCTTCCTGGCTGACCCTACTAACCATACCAGCCTTCCCTCCTTTCCAGAAGCTTTGGGGCAATTCTGGGCCCTGTGGTTATGGAAAGCACTTAGACAATACCCTCCAGGACCTGTTTTGTCATTGGCCACCTGTCTTTGTTGACATGAACTGCAATTCACTTTCCATCCCAAATATGGTAGATTTATGCGTTTTGTTTCTGGGGTGCTTTAGGAATCATTTGCCAATGATTTTCCATATCGACTGTCATGTTTCATTTTCACAATGGCCCTGTAAGGAAGGTAGGGTAAGTATTATGATTACCGCTAGCTAAATGAGGAGACTGAGGCCCAGAGAACTCAAGTGACAGCCCCAGCTCACATAAAACGGGTTCACTGAGAGCTATGTCATAGTTGCATATATTTATGAGGGTAGATTGGACTTCTGGTCACCCGTATTCAGTGCCTGTTGACATCAGATTTGGCCATATAACTTCATTGGTCAGTGAAATGTGAGCTCTGTGAAAGAAAAAGCTCTAAGAGCTATGTGTAATTTGCCATGTGTTTTTCCTTTGGCCAGAAAGTTGGCAAAGTTCCAGATAGAGGCTGCTTTGTCAACTGGGCCCCACAGTGAGGACAATGTGGAATGGAGTTACAGTTGGCCCCCAGGGGATGTGTAGCATAAGCAAGAAGTAAAGCTTTGTCATTGTAAGCCATTTAGATTATGGGCTTGTTTGCTACCACAGCAAAACCTCTCCTATCCTAACTGATACAGTACGTTTGCTGAAACATACCCTCCACTCACAAGACCTGTACCCTGTGCTCTCCCTCCATGAGACATTTGCTCTCTTAGAAGGTAGTTCAAGTGGCCAAATAATAGTGACCTCTGCTTCATATTTTAGTGCACATCCCTCTCCTTCATAAAGCCCGATTTGCTCTTTATGAGCACAAAATCAAATGATTCTGACCATGGACTGAAGCCACATAGTGGTCAATGATGTCAGAACCTTAATATGCAAACATGCTAATAATTTCTCTTCTCCTTTCTTCCCATCTGAATTCCAATGTGATGGTGGACAAATTATTTAACATCTTGGTGCCTCAATTTCTTCAACTGTGAGTGGGAATAGTAAATGGAACCGTTTGAATTCTGCCTTTCCATTGTTCAAAGAATGTTCTCTGTCTGGTCACCACAGGGTAGAGCTACCATCCTGTTAATCTTTAATCTCCATGTGGACACATGATAAGGGATGGAAGAAAATGTTCTAGGCTAACGAATCTCATGGAACTTGGAGGCCCTCACCTCACTCTATCTGGAATGCAGTGGGGGCTCTTGATACACATATGTTGGATAAATGATGATTAATGAGTAGAAAGTCCTGCCAGCTTTGGAAGCCATTTCAGAGGAATTTTGAAGCTAGAGAATTATTGTGCGGTAGAGTCAGAAAGCTTTAATTGTCTCAGCTAAATTTCTACAGTCTTTATGAAGGCCAGGTAACCTACTATAAAGGCCAGGATTCCCCCCACCTCAGTTTCTCCATGGAGAAAATAATGGAAAAGAAACCAACAGGAGTTCGAAGGGACATAGGATGATATGATGCAAACAACCCAGATGCCACAGTCAAGAGACTCAAGTTTGAGTTTTGTTTCTGCCCATCGACTGTGTGCTGCTAGGCTAACCCCTTGGCTTCTCCAAGCCTCAGTTTTCCCACATGTGTAACAAGTGGATTGGGCTAAATGATTTATAATGCTCCTTTTAGTTTTAACCATGTATGCCTATTGTTATAAGTTGAATTGTGCCTCCCCCCACCAATTCATATACTGAAATCCTAATACCAAGTATCTCAGAATATGACCTTGTTTGGAGATAGGATATTTACAGAGGTAATCAAGTTGAAGTGAGGTTATCAGGATGGACCTTAACCCAACATGACTGGTGTGCTTATAAAAAAAAAATGGAAAATTTGGACACAGAGATACATGTATCACATACAGAGAGAATGCATATGAATGTGAAGACAGCCACTTACAAGCCAAGAAGAGGGGCCCGGAATGGATCCTTCCCTCTCAGCCTTCGGAAGGAACTGACCTTGCCAAAACCTTGGCTTCAGACTGAGCTTCCAGAAGTATTCATTTCTGTCATTTAAGTCACACACCTTGTGGCATTTTGTTATTGCAGGCCTAGCAAACTAATACACCTCTCAATTTCTTCAGGCCATGGAGGTAGTAATAAATGGGCTAGGCTTTAGGTCAGGATGAGAAGAAATTTGGTAAATAAAAAGTGAAGCAGGAAAGGAAGATGCATTCCAGGCAAGGAAGGAGCATCAGCAAGCTCCAAGGTGGGCCCCCACCTTGTGTGTTTGAGGACATTGACACAGCTCTTGTGTAGGGCTGGAGAGGCTGGGCGAAGGTAGATTATAAAGCTAGATCATGGGAGAGCTTGTTCTTCATTAATAGGCTGACATTAAATACCTTGATTTTTCAACAGTCTGGAACTATTACAAGTTTCTGAGGAAGGATTCTCTGGTGGATGTGGGGTTCGTAAATGGTCAAAATTTAATCAGGACCAAGTCTGGTTGAGCAAGGGAAATCACCAAGTTGGGACAATAAATAATAAAGTAATGAATAGTTTTTCTAGAGTGGTTAGTTTTGTGGAGTAAATCAATCTCCCTCTGGCTACACAGTTGAGCATATTGCTTCCTGAAGAAGCTATTATGTTGGTCAAACTTCTGACACTCTCATCACTGAGCAGTGACACCTTCATCACCCATCCCTCCACCCCCAAAGAAGTGACTCACTCCATCTTGGCATGGCTGGAGGCACCCAAATGGATTCATTTCTCCCAGATCTGGGCATCAGCCTCATTCCTGAGACAGTCAGCCCAAGTCAGGCAGAAAGAATACTGCTGTGTCTGACCGGCCAGAAGGTGCATCTGCCATGAATTGTATTGCCTTAGACCTGCCACACGGGACCCCAGCCTTGACCTGACTGCACTGTGGTCATCCCATCTATCCCAAGTCCTTCCTGGGTTTCCATTCAAGTTTTCCCACCACTCTGGATTTGGGGCACTGAATATTAGCCTAGTGCCTTGAGCCTTGATGACCTCCCAGCCTTAGCTTCTGGCTAGGGTCTCCCTTCAGACAGTGTGGGCCTCATGTTTGGAGAAGCATGGTAACATAGCCCACTCCCCAGATCCAATTCTTGTAGTCACTGATTCCATCCAGTCTGGGTTCACTCTGCCAGTTTGTATCATATAAAATTGGACTATGGGTTGCCCTTCTGCCAGGCAGTCAACAGCCTTCCAGCCAGGTCAATTTCCTGTCGGCTGCCGCCATCCTGGACCGCCAGGGACCCTGAACAGCTCACATAAAGCTCCCTTCCACACGGTATAACCACGATCTTTCATGTCCACACTGACTCACTCCTGATCCTCAAATGCATATGGAGAGCTAAACGCCTGGGTTTGAAGGTACCTGGGGACCTGTAGATAAATGATGGCACTCAGAAGCCAGGGGCTCATGTTACCCCAGAGCTGCCCACAACTGGCTTTCCTCACCCTAAGTGCCTTGGCAGCAGTGTCTTTTTCAGCTCTGCATCTCTGGCTTAGTGGGGAGCCAGTCCAGAGCTCTGGAACAAAGGACATGAGATCCAAATCCGATTCCAAGCGAGTGAGTGACAAGCAGCTAATTTCCAAAGCTGTGTGGTGGACATTTTTTCTTCCTTCAACCCTCTGGGAGAGAAAATGATGCAAATGAGATACCCCAAGGGAGAGTAGCTTGTTGTAACTTATGATTAATCTTGAAAAACCACGAGTTAAGTATTCCAGTCCTGGAGTTAACCTAAAATAAGGAACGTGATACCACTCACTGACATGCTCACTGGCTCCCCTGCTCCTAGAATCCTAGATGCATTTGCCCCATGCAGCTCTCTTGCTGCTTAAGCCAGTGGAGGGCACCTTTGTTGGGATCAGCTAGGAAATGAGCAGCCTTAGAGTCTGTCTTGAGGAAAAACTCCTCTAACCAGAAGAATAGCCCAATGAATTGTTACAGATTTTTCTTTTTCAAGTACTTGATCTCACTGTTCTTCATGACAGCATGATGTTGGGAGCCATCTCATCCTCTCCTGAGTCCAATAAAAAGGCTTCTGAAAGAATGCTGAGCCATGGCTCACTATGGGTAGAAATGGTAATGGTAAATGGCACCTGGGGGAGAAAGCACTGGCCATCCCACCTCTTCAAAAGTAGGGCATCTATATGACCTGAAGAGGGCTCTCTGCCGGGTGACCACCTCTTTACCGTGAGCAAATCATTTTACCCCTCTAGGCTTCGGTTCTTCACCTCAACAATGGGACTGGTATTGTTCATCTTACCTCCAAAATTTCTTGAAAAACAAAGCCACTGTGGCAATAATATAGTCTGTGCCTCAGTTCCTTCTCTTGGGGTTTTTATGAAAATTAAATGAGCTAATGCATGCAGAGTGCTTAAAGTCGTGCCTGGCACACAGAAAGTGCTGTATAAATGTTGGCCATTATTTTTATTGGCTTTTAATAAAGCCACACTAAAGATGATGAAAAGTAGAAAGTGTGGCTCCAATAAAAGCATGAATTACCTCCCTATTATTGCAGCTTTTAAGATATTTTCCTGAGTAGGCAATTGGGCAAGAGGGTTCTTCAGCCCAACTGCGACTGGTTGAATGCTCACATGCCTAGGTCACCCTACAAGGGAAGTGGAATCTTTGGACAGGTCCATTTTGAGCCAGGGGGATTTTCAACATGGACCTCTTGATGATGAGCCATCAAAATGTAAGAACATTTTTTAAATTAACAAGTAATGAAGACAAGAGTTAGCCTTGTGCCTTCCTCCCTCCTTGAGCCTAATCTTGTTTTCGAAATGGACCCTCTTGGAGTCCACGAAGGAGTGTTGCTATTTCCCACATTTCCTGTTAATGATATATTTAGGGTTTTGTTTTTCTTTAAAAGTTTGAGCATTTGTTGTCTAATTTGCATCAGACTATCTTAGGTCAAAGTGGTGAAGTCAAATATGTGTATTCTTTCATAGACCACCCAGTCTTCTCAAACAGTGCGTCTTTTTTGGAGCCTAGGCGGCTTTGCCAGCGGTAACCAAAGACAGTATTAGACCCAGTCATGTCCTAAAGGGAAGGAGGCAGCCTCACTGGCCACAAGCACAAGAAAGCCTAAGTTGGGGTACTGGGGTGTCCAGGATTGGAAGGCATTTACATTAATTGGCCACCATTTACAGCTTCATTCCCAGCCCTGATTTTAATTAGCTGCTTCCGGATTGAATCTCCCAAATGTTCTGCCTCCATCCTTGTTTAATCCTGCAGTCTGATGGGCCCTGACTTATGCACATCAATACTGTTTACAAACATGAAAGCTGCCCAGCAGTGTTTGAACTTTAGGTGCCATCATTGGTTATCGATAAGGAAAGGCAGCCCTGCAGGGGGTGCATCAATACTACCAGGTCAATATTCCACATACAGGCAAGATCCAGGCCTTTCTGCATGGTCAGGGGGAGGAGGTGGCTGTGGGCTGGGTATCTGACTCACATTTCTTTGCCCTGTATAATAAGCATCTTTTTCCCATTCTGAGTCACTCACGGATCCCTAGGGGTTGATCCAGTTACTTAAGAAGCTTCCAGTTGGGCAAGAGGACAAAGCCACCATTTTGGAAGAATATATATATTTTTTTCCAGTGGACACATAGGGCCATGGTTCTCCTAGGGTGCTAGACTTGGAGTCAGTTTTCTGCAAGGCTCCTACACTAACAAGCTATAAGATTTGGAGCAAGTCATATCCTCTCTTGGCCTCACTGTTTAAAT
This sequence comes from Homo sapiens, assembly GCF_000001405.40. Classification (NCBI taxonomy): domain Eukaryota; kingdom Metazoa; phylum Chordata; class Mammalia; order Primates; family Hominidae; genus Homo; species Homo sapiens. The sequence continues at coordinate 113,439,098 of NC_000010.11, forward strand.
CTAGAAAATATCAGTTTCAATGGTTAAATGTGGTAACATATGCAAAAGTGTTTTTATAAACTGAGAAGGATCAAGTGTGTTGTGCAATGGGAAGTGCATGGTCTATGAAGCCAGACATAGGTTTAAACCCCAGTTCTTGTAGTTACTGGCTGGCTATCCTTTAGTAGTTTGCATGTTCTCTCTAATCCTCAATTTACCTGCATGTTAAATGGGCTTAATTATGGTACAAACTTGGAAGGCTGTTTGAGGATTAGATGGATTAAACATCAAAGAATGTATCTTAGTGCCTGGACCTAAGAAACACTTAATACATTTTAACTGTTTCTCCATTATTAGGGCTATTTTTATTGAATTATCATCATTATGATTACAATTCCAAGGTCTGTTCACTTAGCCAAGTGACCTTGGAGAGGTTACTTTCCTTTCTCAGCCCTGGTCCCCTCAGCAGTCAAATATAGAATTAAATGGAAATATTGTAAAATAGATGGGGAGGCATATTTTATGCACTCAATGCATGTTAGTTCTCTTCCCCTAATTTTTGTTGTCTTTCTTTCCTCTTGTGGAGAGACAGATCCTTCGTTTCTTCTTGCAGCATTCTTTATAAATCTGAAGGAAGCATGCTTAGCCCCTTCATTTCAAGTCAGGATTGAAAGATCTACCCCAGTTGAGAAGAGCAAGCTTTCTGCGCCCTGGCACCAGGTCGACTTCCCTCAGGAGTTGCCTCTGCTGGGCAGTTTCCACAAGGCCCCTCTGAGTTTTTTGTTTTTGTCTTGTTGACTCTTAAACATCTCTTCCTCTCCCTCTCTGTATTCCAGAAAGTATTTGTGGGGAGCAGCTTAGTCGATTCAGGACTTCATTCTCAAAAGTTCCCATATAGGACTCCAACTTCCAAGGGGGTGAGACCCACAGCCCATGTACTGTGCAACTGGGAAATTATGTGTTTCTGTGATTTCTGCAGTCAGAAGCCCCCAAGCCACATTTATCCATTTACAGTTTGCTGATATTCTGAGATGCCTCAGGTTTTCACTGAGTTTATTAAATTGCTGGGTGGCTTGGAATTAGCACCTCCCCCAACTGCACTGACTCTCGTAAACCAATAGCTAAAAATCTGCCTTCCAGAAGGGTGACCAACTCATCCAGACTTGTCTGGGAGTTTCTGCCCTTGTGCACTGAAAGTCCATGTCCTGGAAGTCCCCTCAGTCCTGGGCAAGCTAGGACAGTTGGCCACCCTACCTTTTGGCGCAGTCAAATTATCTTCCCTTTCAGTGGATGATGCAACAAAAGAAAATGGAAATTGTGAGGTTTCTCTACCGAAAAGGAATGGGGACACCCAAAGAGACCCTGGGCTCCCTGTTCTGAGGACTGGGACTTAAATAGCCTCTCCTCCCTCAGAGAGCAGGAGGCAGCTCCTTCCTACAAGGGATTCTGTAGAAAGCACTAGACAATATGAATGGTGTGATGGGGTGAACAGTTTGACTTCTTATAGAGTATGAGAATCCCTTTTCTTCCACCCCTCACCTCTCCTTTGGGTCTCACATGAGACCCCGGGGGGCAGAGCAGTACCCATCATAAATCCAAAGAGAATGTTGGTGTCTCTTTATTTTATTTTATTTTATTTATTTATTTATTTATTTTTGAGATGGAGTCTCGCTCTGTCGCCCAGGCTGGAGTCCAGTGGCACGAGCTCGGCTCACTGCAACCTCCATCTCCCAGGTTCAAGAGATTCTCTTGCATCAGCCTCCCGAGTAGCTGGAATTACAGGCACCTGCCACCACACCCAGCTAATTTTTGTATTTTTTAGTAGAGACGGGATTTCACTGTGTTGGCCAGGCTGTTCTCGAACTCCTGACCTCAGGTGATCCAACCGCCTCGGCCTCCCAAAGTGGATTACAGGCGTGAGCCACCGTGTCCAGCTGTCTTTGGGTTTAAGAGTCATAAATACTACAGTTTCTTAGAGAAACAGCATATGCCATTCTACTAAATATGAAAAAAAGAAAAAGAAACTCTTGAGAATAAGTTAAATATAAGCAAGGCACCCACAACACTGATGCCAAGTTCCTGGTGTAACTGATGCTCCTGTGGACGTTAGCTTTTAAATGAATGAGCAAGCGGGCAAAGGACGTACAGTAGCTAATGGTTCCCGAGTACTCGGTGCATACCAGGCTCTGTGCTGACCACTCACAGGCCTCGTCTCATTTGCTCCCAGCAACCACCTAGGAGGCAGCTACTGTTATTAGAGGGATGTCACAGATTAAAACACGAGTTTCACAGATGTTGAAGTAACTGATCTAAGGTTGTGCAACAAGTGAGTGGCCAGACAAGACTTGGACCCTGGTCATCAGGAGACAGAGCCACGCTTTTGCCCACTGTGGGGCACTGTCTGCCTGTCTTGTCTTCCCTGGCACGGCATAATCAACCTCACCAACTGTCCCACAGATTTTTACCATGTTCTCCTGAAAATTACTTCAAAGGTGCTTTGCTCAGAATGACCCCAAGCAGACACTGCTATTAATGACAGCTGGGGCGCACACACATGCATGCATGTGCACACACATGTGCGCGTGCACACATACACACACGCCACTGCTAATGAACACAAAGAGACTCAAGTAGAATTGTTATTAAACCTGCAGCTTTGCTTTTAGCCTTGAGCTTGCCAGGCACTTGTCTCAGTGACTTCTGGCCAGAAGTTGGGCGAGGCAGTCTAAATTTGGAGTGATCATAGAAGGTGGTGATGAAGGTGCTGGAGCTTGGAAGGCAGGGCCATGAGGGAGGCAGAAGGCTCTGTGTGGGTTGTGGCTCCTGCCCATAACTCCTCAAGGCTTCGGGAAAGGTAGAACCATTGAGTGCAGGCCTTGGGAACAGTGAAGGGGCCAAAGACAGCTCGCATCCCCAGAAGCAGATGTGCAGGACTGGGTGAGGTGGAAGCTGGGAACCAGAAGCCAGGAGGTGGGCTCTGGACTCCAAGGCTAAGCTGGGAGGGAAAACTGTGGAACTGGGAGAAGAAGTCAAGTTCACCTAAATGCATCAGGGGAAGACTGCTCCAAGTAGTGTCTGGGTCATGCATATTCTTGCAGTCCCTGAGCTTCTAGCCACATATTTTCAAAGGCCCAGACTCTTCTAGCTCAGGGCTCTGAGCGGAAGGAGAGCTGAAGCTGGAACAGCTAAACCCTAAAGAGTCTAAATGTCACTGCTGGAAACTCAGGAGCTGAAAAGAATATGATTCTGCCTCAAAGGCCCTTTGAGTTCCTCCCCTTTCTCTCTCCACTACCTCAGTTTCCCTCCTTGCCCCTTCCCATCCCTCCTCCCTCTCCCCCAGCCAAAGAACATCAGCCAGTTTATTTGGGGCTTGCCAGCTCTCAGAACGGGTGTGACCCAGAGGTATGAAGCTGGAAGATACAACTTCCTCAATGTTCTCCTCTAACTGGAAGTGAGAACTGGGGGAAGACGCTCCCAGTGGTGTGTGGTTGAGTGTTGGAAGGTACTTCTTGGGGACACTCACTTGCAGCTCTAACTTGCTAGATTCCTCCATGAGCTGGAAGTGCCTTTATTTACCTTTAAGGCAGATTCTTCCTCAGTGGCACAGGGTAGACTGCCCTGTGATTTCATACTTGTGACTGGGGCCTGTTCTATGAAATTCTGGGAAAAGTTTTCATCAACTTTTCCACCAACAAGTCAGAGCAGGGTCTGGCTGACTGTTACCGCCTCTTTCTCCAAAAGGGAGGGAACGTGTCATTTTGAAAACATGATCTTCACAAGGTAACGCATTAGGCTGCAAATCTGGACTTTTTTCTCCCCCTCCCCATCTACCTTTTTTTCCCTTGCTAATTGGCAGAAAATTAATGAACAAGGTACTGATGGAGCAGATGCTTCTTGTGGAAAAAGGCAGAATTGGAGTTTTTCTTACCTTCCTTTTTTTTTTTTTTTTTGAACACATCAAGAAGGTAGTAACATGTGGCAGGTCAGAAATTAAGAGAAGGTAACAGTACAGACTGTAAAGAACACAAAGGAGTTGGGGATGTGTGTTTGTGTGTGTGTGTGTGTAAGTGTGTGTGTGTGTTTTCTCTTTTGTTTCAACTTCCTTGCATCTTTTTTTTTTTTTTTTTTTTTTTAGCTCATATTCGGCTGCAGCTCATAATTAGCAGCTAGGCCTCTGGGACCTAATTAACCAATTTAATTAACAAAAAAAGCACACAAGTCACCCTGACATTTGTCAGCCATTAGGAGGGATGTCAGACTGGCAGTTTCAGCTGACACATTAATGGTGATTAGCTCATTTGTGACTCACTTTTACTCCAGGATCCTCCTAGAGAGGCAGCCTCTGAGCCACACTGCCCAGAGCTGTGGGGTCAGGAGCTTGACCTTCAAAGGTCAATAGAAAGCCCCCTCCTAGCTCTCCTATTGGGTCAAGGGGCCCCATCCAAACCTTTGTGAAGATGTGTCTATACTGCTCCCAAGTTTCCGCTGAAGTCCCTTTGGAAAAGCCCAACACTCTTGGCTATTTCTCCAGGGAATGAGAATTCAGCAAAGCCTTCTTTATAAGGGAAGAAGCTTTTTAAATTTTATTATCATTGTTATATTTGGCCTGTTGGTTCCCATATTTACTTCCTGCACTTGGCAGGGTTGCTGTAGTCAGCTCCACCAGGCGGTTTCTTCATTCAGGCACTGCCTTTGTTCTTGGAGTTGATTAATTCCACTATCTTATATGATGCAGACAGGTATTTATATAGTGCCTTGACTATCTTTGCCTCTGATCTCTCTTAATTTAACTCCACTTTCCCAGAAGCCTCAATTTACTAATAAGCCAGGAATCCTGTGTAAATAAAAAAAAGCTCAGGTGCATAGGTTGACAGATAAAGGGAAAGGTGGTGAGGTCCTAAAATGCCAGAGCCCTGGTAATATGTCTCCCAGTGTCTTCCTCCCCTTTGCCTTAGTCAGTCCCCAAGGAAGTTTCCAAGGGCCTGGTTTGCTGGCCTGAGGAAATATAAGCACCAAGCATCATTTAGAGGTTGTGCTTGGCTGCATGTAACAGAAAGCTCAAGAACAACTCACTTAAACACATGGGAATTTATTGTTCTCACCTGACGAGGTCTCAAGGCAGGCAGGCAGGACTGGGACTGGTACAGCTGCTCCATGACTTCATAATACCTCCAGCTCCCTCTGTCCTTCTTTCCCACTGGCCTTAGCATGTACGGGATTTCTCTCTGTGGTTGCAAGATGGCAGTTCTTATGCTTCCAGGTATCATGATTGCATTCCAGGAAGGAAGAAGAGGGCTTAGAAAAAGAAAAGACCTTTGTGAAATCTGCTTTAAAAACAAAATCGAGGAAATAACAGCTTTCCAGGAAGACTTACCCAGCAAATACCCATTTTCATTGACCAGAACTATGTCATGTGGCTATCCCAACTACAAAGGATGCTAGAAATTGGGTTATTCTTGGATGAATACATTGTGGTCATGAACAAAACTGGGATTCTCTTGGTAAGGAAGAAGGGAAGGACAGCTATAGGCCAACTAGCAACGTGTGCCGCATCCATGGATTGAGTTCCTACTGGGGAAACATATTTCCTTGTAAGAACCCTGCGGGGAAGCGGTGATGATATTCATGTCTGCCAGATGAGACAAGGGGTGCCTAGTGAGGTTAAATCATTTGCCTAAGGTCACACTGCTGGTTAATAGTTGGAGTTCAGACAGACCAGACCTGAAGCTTGGGTTTTTCTCTGCCTACACCACGGTGCACTAGTCATGGGTTCTCAAATACTCAATCTGTAGCCACATAGTGGGAGTCCTGATGACCAAGATTTTGTCCAGCTGAAAAACAGGATGGGAAACTCAGAAGACACTCTTGCCCTTCCAGTGTGCCTCTGTTGCTTGCCTGGTTCCAAGCCACATGTTAATAACACCCATATGGGTTTCATTTCCTCCAGAGCTTGCCCAAGTAAGCCTCCAAAGCAACCTGGCTTGCCATCCTCTGCCTCCTCCTGCCAGCCCCTAACCCCTGCTCACAGGTGGAGTTGACCCATTCAAACTGGAGACACCCTGGGCTGTGCAATTAGGCTGGAGAAGACAGACCCCATTTCAAAAGGTGACTCCCTACCATTTTGAAATAGGACTTCATTAATTGCATTCCCCTATTGATTCATTACCATGAAACAGCCTGGAGTGCTTGCCTGTAGCCTAACCTTTCTCAACAGAGGGAGCCAGACGTTCTTTGCAGGTAATCTACAGGGCCCAACAGCAAATATCTGGAATCGGGACTATTCATGCATGAACAATATAGCAGCTCCTTATTGTTACACGCATTGTTCTCTGACAAAGAGCAACGGGCAGGTTAAATCTATTTTAGCTGAGAAGGCTCTACAGAAATCCTTGCTACCGAGCATTTGATACTGATCACAGAGTCACATCAGGGAACAGCAGCTGAAAGGAGAAAGTCATTTTTATTTCTGAACTTTAGAGGAGACAACCTCTCCTCCGCGCTGGCTCCCCAGGACCTAGGCCTCTAGGTGGGAGTGAGGATTTTGTTTTGTTTTGTTTTTTAATGCCACTCAATGAGAATGAGTTTCTTAAGGGAATCGGGGGCTGGACGGTTAGGGGGAAAAAGGTATTACACAATGTCGCATTCAGGCAACATATGTGAACTCTGGATTCATTCAATTTTAAAAACGTGTTCTCAGGGGAATCAAGTCTGTGAGCTGTGAATTATAACGAAGGGCGTGGCAGCCTCAGGGTTGGTGGTGCCTAAATGGTACCATTTGGAACAGCAGAAAAACAGGAACTTGATTCTGCCTTGGATTTGCCTCTGCTCAGCCGGGCAGTGGAAATGCCACTTGCTCAATTCACCCTCCTTCTCCAAAGGGTGAGCCCATTGAGACTGAGACTTCTGTAAGGCCCAACATGCATGAGGGCTGGGAAGAGATGGGCAGGGTGAGATATGGATGGAAGAAAAATTATTTAATCCAATCCTTATATTACAGCAGCAGAGACAGGACCAGGGCGAGGGTGTGCCTTGCCCTTCTAGTGAGTGCTGAGATTAGAAGCCAACCCACAACTATTCATCCTCCATGGTAATTTTCAGTAAGAAGCATGGTGTTGAACTGGGCCAGGAGGATGGCAACAATTTAGCTCGGGGGCTGGTGGGAAGGACAGTATATCCAAATCATTTAACAACCAGTCCAGGGTGGGCACCACTAGATCGGGCAAAGGCATCAAGCAAGCATAATGGACACTAACCACAAATGCCATTTGTGCCCCCAAGTGGGTCCTGATGCTGACTCTCAGGCCTCTCTAGACCTCAGTGAAACCATCATGGAACAGCCCTGGGATAGAGCCATGTGAAGGAAGGAGCAGCTGACAGTCACCCAGTCACTGACTGATGTGTCAGGAAAGTAGGTGATTCCATTAGTTGGTTGAAATTGTTTATTCTACAAATATCTAGAAAGGTGCATGAAATAAACAAAGACCAACCAAGTGAGGGAAGCAAAGCCTATTTATTCAGAGCTTGCTATAGCAAGGGAGTCAGCCACCACCCTTTGCAAAGACTCAAGGGCAGGCCAGGGGAGTGGGAAAGCTTTATAGAGAGAAAAGGGAAGCCTCAGGTGTGTGCAGATTTGAGGCTGTTGGTTTTGGGGAGCTGTGTGTGGGATAACTAGAAAGGGGGCATCCTATCTGATTGGTTGGGGTGCATATTTGGCTTTCTCTGGTTGGTCCTTAAGTTGGAAGTGGAGACAAAAATTAGGGAAGTGTCAGTTATTAATCAAGTCCCATCTATTTGAGGCAGATTGTTACAGGGGTTGCTGTTTAGCTTCCTGGATTGTCACTAGAGAGAGCAAACTGGCTTCCCATAAATCCGACTTACAGCAGACTGGCTTCCTGGGTTGTTTGTTGTAGATAGGAGGTTGCTGCAGGTTGTGGGTCAAAGTTCTATTTTTATACATGGTCTGAACATTTTCTGTTTGTATATTCAGTCTCTTAGTCCCCGGATTGTCTCTAGCTTGGTTCAATTATTTCTCCCCCACCATTCTTCTCCTTGGGAAAAATAAAAATCATTATGTATATAGATTCACTCTGAGGTACCTTCTTCATAACCACAACCCACTTCTCCAGGATTTCAGCCTGAGTGTTTCCAAATGAAAAGTTTCTCTGAAACTTAAAGTTGAAACTGGCTGCTTTGTTAGCCATCCAAGGCAAGAGATATACTGGGGGTCTCACATCTGCCTTCCTTCTTCTGCCCCAGCTTTCCACACAACCAAGCAGGATCCCAGTCAAGTCCAGGGCAATATCATGTTGCTTTTGGCTAAGTGCTGCACTTCCATGGTCTAGGCTCTGATGCTAGATGCTGGCACTCCCACTCTGTGATAACATGTGCATGTTTAGTTCTGTACAATTTTATCACGTGTGTAGGTCCTGTATCTACCACCACACTCAAGACACAAAACAAACAAGCAAAACAACAACAAGATACAAAACAATTCCCTCCCACAAAGGTAAAGATTCCTACTCTTGCCCTTTTATAGCTACCCTCACCTCCCTCTCACCCCCACCTCACCTCCTATCCCAGACCTCTGGCAACCTCTAATCTGTTCTCCATGTCTATAACTTTGTCATTTCAAGAATGTTATGCAAGTGAATTCATGTAATATGTAACCTTTGGGATTGGCTTTTTTCACTTGGTGTAATTCTCTAGAGATTCATCCAGGTTGTTTTGTGTAGCAACAGTTCCTTTTCTTAGGTGAGTAGCACACCATGGTATGGATGGACCACGGTTTGTTTAACCATTCACCCACTGAAGGGTATCTGGGTTGCTTCTAGGTTTGGGGTGTTCTAAATAAAGCTACTATGATCATTCATGCACAGTTTTCTCTGTGAACACAAGTTTTCGTTTCTGTGGAGTAAATGCCCCAGAGCATAATAGCTGGGTCATATGGCACTTGCATGGTTAGTTTTGTTTGTTTGTTCGTTTTTGAGACAGAATCTCGCTGTGTCACCCAGGCTGGAGTGCAGTGGTGCAGTCTCGGCTCGCTGCAACCTCCACCTCCCGGGTTCAAGTGATTCTTGTGCCTCAGCCTCCCAAGTAGCTAGGACTACAGACACATGCCACCATGCCCAGCTAATTATTTTGTATTTTTAGCAGAGACAGAGTTTCACAATGATGGCCAGGCTGGTCTTGAACTCCTGGCCTCAAGTGATCTGCCTGCCTCAGCCTCCCAAAGTGCTGAGATTAAAGATGTGAGCCATGGTGCCTGGCCACATGGTTAGTTTTATAAGAAACTGCCAAATAGTTTTCCAGAGTAGACATTCCCACCAGCAATGAATGAATGATCCAGATTCCCACCAGCAATGAATGAATGATCCAGTTCCCCACATCCTCTCCAGCATTTAGTATTGTCCCCACTTTTAATTTTAGCCATTCTGGTAAATGTTAGTGATTTCTCATTGTGATTTAATTTGCATTCTTCTAATGGTTAAAGATATTGAACATTTTTTCATGTGTTTGTTTGCCATCTGTATATCCTCTTTGCTGAAACGTCTATTTCTTTTGTCCATTTTCTACTTAGATTGTATGGTTTATTTTTTGTTGGGATTTGAGAGTTCTTTTCAAAAAATATACTCTAGATACCAATCCTTTTCAGATATGTGTTTTGGGCATATTTTCTTTTAAATTTGTTTTTAAAGGCTTTCATAGGTTTGCTTGTACCTCTGCTACAAACTCTGTTTTTCTAAGATCTTAAATTCTTCAACCTTAAATTTTTCAGCCATAAGCATTTTGGGGAAGGTAATGTGTGAGTTGGAGAAAGACCATCACCTATCCACACAAAAAGCCAACCTGTAAATAGTGGCTGAGTCAAATGAGCAGGCAATGTGCCTCATCTTTCTTAAGCTGCAACATCAGCACCAGCTGTTTTAATGGACTCTTTGAAAAATGAGGTTTTTTTCCCTTCCCAAAAACACACTGGCATGCAATTCAATTCATTCACTGCTCATTTAAACAGGCTAGATACATTCTTGCCATGTCCAAGAAAGTCTATATATCCCAACTCTCCCAGCTATCACCATCCCAGGATACAAACTTGGTCATGATTACTTTTAAGGGCAACATTAGAAAGCACAAGACCTCATTATCTTGACTGCTGGAAACGAGCCCCTCTTAAAGAAATTACCATGCGATTATGCAAGCCCCTGAAGAATCCTTGCATGTTTGGTATTACTTCATGCCCATGCATTCGTGAAATGTATCCCAAGTGCCAGATGCTGTACTAGGTGATTGAATCTAATGGCAGACACAGCTGGCAGGACCCCTACACTCATGGAGCAGATAATCCAGTGGCCACAGTCCAGTTTGTCAGCTGTGATCCTCAAGCCCTCTTTCTTCTCTCTTCTGGTTTCCACTTATTCATACCTCAAAAATGCTCTTGAAGAAACCTTACAGTGGCCACATGAGAATAAATAGTCTTGTCCAGTCCAAGGGTTCTGACACCAGATGTGCCCACAGTTCCCAATCCTCAGATGCTAGGACGTCTCTGGGTTCTGTGCAGCGGTGTGGGAAGGTTCCCTCCCCATCAAGGTGTAGTACATGGTCATCTGTGCTCAGATGTGGCCCTGCTTGTGCCCAGAGCCTCACAGAGCCCGAGATCCTGTGCTCTCTCACACTTTGTCTTGAAAACTCATGTATTTATGGACCTTGCTGCTCTAATCATGGAAAGTTAAAACTCTTACAGGAAGGCTGCCAGACTGGATCAGACACTGTACTCTCCTTCCATCTTCCTCTTTCCGTTGAAACAATAGCCCATTATACTTAGAAACCTAGTTTTTAGAAACCCGAGTAAAGTCCAGTTGCTTCTAGTAATGTCCAACTGAATCAAAAAACAGTAGGCAGAAAAGGTGATTGAATATTTTTGGAAAGGTGTTTAAAGTTTGGGTGGACGGGGTTGAACAGGAAAGGTGCAAAATTGTCTTTAGTCCAAGGAAGGCACAAAAATGAAAAGATTAAAAATAAAAGGGGGTCTCCCATGACAAAGACGGACTTTGTAAGGAAAAATGAGAATTAGGCAAGGTGCAAGGTAGGAAAAGACCAACAAGCATTTATGGAGCGTTCTTAAAGATCACCCTCCACCTCGAGATGGCAGGTTTAGCCACATTCTCCCAGTGAGTAAGGGCGTTGTCACTGTAATTTAGACCATACAAATGATGTCAACTTGAAAGCCCTCCGGAAACTTCTCTGCAGGTTTTATCTAATATGTTTTTACCTAATTCGTTTCCTATAAAGGCTACAGATATATTGTGTTTGCCTTCTAAGGTTGTTGAGAACTAGAACAAGTGTGACAATTGGAGAAAGTACAGTCAGGAAAAGCCGATCTCTTTCACGGAAGGGACTCTGTTTCATTCCTCTTTATCTCCCCATTACTTTTCAGTTTGACACAAATTAGGTACTCATAAATGTTCTTTGAATGAACAAATTAACTTGCTTGTTTCAGGTCATAAAGTGAGTCATTGCCTGGGACAGCTTTCCTCTACTATGTTCCCAGATACAACAGAGAGTTACAAGTATTTGAGGCAAATAGGAGTCTGTGATCAAATGAGATTTGGTCTTAGGGAGCCACAGTGCACGTTAACATAATAAAGGCTCCAAGAAGTCCTGCAATAAAAAGCCCATGTAACTTTTTCTAACTCTGCACTTCTGAAAACTTTTTCTGACCATGGAACCCCTTTATTTCATAGAACAAAAGCTTCAGCATCTTGCAGAACCAGTGTTCCTCAGAACACGTTCAGGAGCTTGAGTTAATGAGGCAAAGAAGAATGGCAGAGAGCTCAGCAAAAACAAAAGGAGAGAGAGATGTTTCCTGGGATACATGGGAGTGATAACTGCAGGCACTTTGGTAGTGCCAGAACACAACCTATCAAGTGGGAAGGGATGAACAAAGAGGTTTGAGAGTGTGTGATGGGGCTATTCCTGCAGAGCACACTGGCCTGCCATGCCATGGAGCTTAGGTTTAACCAACTAGACCCTTTGGAGTCCTGGCTCTCTGCACAGTGCCGTAGAATGATGGGGTCACATTTGAGGTCTAGGCAGGCTGTTCTGGTGGTTGGGTGGAGAGTGGGTTAGAAGAGGACATACAGGATGACCAATTAGGTGGTTGCCTTGGTGTTTGGGTAGAAGATGGACTCTGATCAGCAGGCAGTGCATGGTTTCTCTTACATCTTAAATTTCTCATAGCATGATTTCTCTTACATCTACAGCGTAAAACAATCGTGATTGATATTACGTGTCAAATAAATTTCCAATAAAATTTTCATTGTAATCTCAGCACCCAATTTACTGATCTATTTTGGGAATGCTTCTACATTACACAGGATGCTTTTAGGTCTAAGAGACAGAAACTCAACTCAAACTTGTATACACACCAAAAGAAATATATTAACTCACATAATTGGGAAAGTCCATATAGTCAGACTTAGAAGATGTCACCGGGATTCTCTGTCCTACCTTCTCTTCTGCCTGCTTTCCTCTGGGCTGGCTTCAGTCTCAGGTGGCTCTCCCCATGTGGGGGCAACTTGGCCACCAGCACTTCCAGGCTGAGGGGCAAACAGTTTAGCTGCCTCCACAGAAAGTACATTGTCCACCAGTTCCAGCAAAACCTCAGGATTGATTTTCTCTGGGTCTGGCTGAAGATACATACCCACCTCTGAAACAATCACTTCTCCAGGGTGTGAAGTCCATGTATGGATCTTCCCTGGGCTTCACACCCTGGAGGAGTGACTGTTTCAGAGGATGGGTGTCACATGCCCATCCCCAGAGATGGTGAATGGAGTTGGACTAATTCAGACCAGAAAACGGAGAGTAAGGAAGGGGTGGCCCCCAAAGGAAAACTCAGGATGCTATTATGAGAAGAGGTGGGAATGGATGCTGGGCCGGCAGAAACATCAGATGTCCACTACAAGTTACCGAACATGTCTTGAGGGGAAAATAAGTTAGCTGTTTGAGTCATACTTGATACCCCATTGACCCAAACCCTCCAACCTCAAATATTCTGGCAATATATTTTTTTCTTTATTAGAGAACCACTTCAACCAATGCTCTGCCAGGATGTCCTAAAAACCAAGGTGGCAAGAAGAGCGCAGGAGCACCTTGCATGCGGAGCTGAGCTGAGACCCCACCTTCTTCAGCTCAGCAGGGTTGGTGGATGTTACTGTTGTCCTGCTTGAGTAGAGAAAGCTCTTTGGAGACATTAGTATTTCCCTCTCCTGTGACCTAAAAAGGGCCTTCCCTCAGGGGTCTCACTGGGGTTAACTTCACCCCTGATTGGCTTGAGACAATGAGACCTTCCTCAAGCTCAGATGAGCTGGGAACAGTGCTGGAATGGGGTCCAAGCCCTCAGGGACCCCCTGTCCCACAGATTAGCAATCCACCCACCCAAGTCAGCTCACCTAGGGGAAGTTGAGCATGGGCTGGTCAGAAGCAAACAGCATCATAAAAGCTGGTAGAATAGCCATTTCATAGTTTTCTAGCATCCTAGTTTGTTCACACACGGAGCTGACAGATGGCCCATTTGGACTGAATTGGGCATTGGCCCAATTCAACAAACATTTACGTGCCTTTTTTTTTTTTTTTTTTTTTTTTGGCTTGGGGACAAGCTAAGTAGTAACATTCTAGTCGATTTCATCAAACCAGTTAACACAGCTTTGTGCTGTGAGGAGACTTCAGGCTTTGGAGTCAGACTGACCTGGGTTTAAGCCCAGTTCCATCACATATTTGCTGTGTGGCCTTTGGCCTTCATTTCCTCATCTGTAAAATGGGGATGCTAATACAAGGGCCTCTGTCTCAGGGCTGCCATGAGGGTTACACGAGGTGACGTATATCAGGACCCATAGCCCCACCATAGAAGACACTCAGCCAAGGCAGTGGCCTCGTTTCCTTCCTCCCTCAGCTGACTCTCTGCTGACTTGACTCACCAGATGGTTGGACAAGTCCTTTTCCTGCTATATCGAGATGGGCACTGACTGTATCTTGAATGGTCTTAGATAGCATCTGATAGCACTGATACTCAGTTGAGTTAACTCTCTGAACAACTCCTTCGGGTAGTAGAAAGAGGAAGGAGTTATTAGATGAAAATTGGCCATCATTTAGCCAAACACACATCTTGAAAGGCAGCCTGGGGCTTTAATTATGACTCCAAATGCGGGTTCAAGCCTGTATATTTAGCTTTGATCATTGTGGCATCTAGATCCAATAATCATAGCAGACACCAGGTACTCAGCTAAATACTTAACACTGTTTCCATACTTCATTAATGCCCACCACAGTCCTGTGGTGATACCGATAATATTATTCCTTTTTACAGATGAGGACGTGAGACTCTGAGAGGTTAAGTCAAGGCTGCCACATCAGTTGCATGCGTAGTCCATGTGACTAGTACCCCCTGGCACTGTGGGTGCATAACAGTAACGAAAATAGCAGGCAGCACTCATTTGGAATCCGCAATATGCCACACATTCTCACATGTATTAATTCTTTAATCCTCTTGCAAAACTCAGAGACCACACACCAAGGTCAACAGCTAATAAGTGACGAATCTTTTAGAGTCTCCTCCATAACACCCTACACTTTTCCTACATAGCACTTTAAAAGAAAATAATTTCAACTTTTATTTTAGACTCAGGAGGTACATGTGCAGGTTTTTTACATGGGTATTTTGCACGATGCTGAGGTGTGGGGTACGATTGATCCCATTACCCAGGTAATGAGGATAGTACCCAGTAGTTACTTTTTCAGCCCTTGGTCCCTTCCGTCCCTGCTCCTCTAGTCCCCAGTGTCTATTATTGTCATCTTTACATCCAGGGGTACTCAATGTTTAGCTCCCACTTATAAGTGAGAACCCTACACAGCACTTCTTGATTAATCTTGATTAATTCTACCCCCTCCCATTAGATGCAAGCTCCCTGACAGCAGAATAGTCATTCTTGTGTCCCCAGGACCTGGCAGAACACTAGGCTCATAGAAGGTGCTGAATAAATCTTTATTGAAAAACGAATGAATGAATGAGGTGTGTAAGTCAGATACCAGGAAGAGTTTTCACGGCAAAAAAAAAAAAAAAAAAAGCTGTCCTTTATTTCACACCAAATGATGGGAGCATATGTGCGGGGTGGCAGTGGGGTGGGAGCCTGAATGCTGGCATTGGTGCCCGGCCATGCCCCATCGATGAAGTCCTCTGGGGCACACAGACTGAGGCTGGCAGGGACGAACTTTCTAAAGCACCACAAAGTTCCTTGGCCCCCACACAACGTCTGGCCCCAAAGCCTTCATTTCTCAGATAAACAAAGACAATCCAGCCCAACTTCCAACCTGGCCACCGGCCAACAGGCACTTGGGTTCAAGACTGATTTTGTTGAAACAGCTGAATGTGCACCAGGCAGACCCGGCCCTTCTGCTCTGGATCCCTTCTCTCTGTCTCTGGCTGAAGACGAGAGCATCCTGGGGTCGGGACTCTTAATCCTCCTAACCTAAGGGAGGATGTGCGCCTGACACAGGGCCAAGGCCCCCCGACACCCTGATGCGCGGCCCCGGGCCCATCTGGAATGTTCAGAAATGCTGCCATCTTGTGGCGCCTGCAGGCCGGAGCAAGGCACCTTCCGGCTGATCTTGAAGTTGATTCCTAGAAGATGTTGCTCCAAATAAGCACACACAGACTGTGTGCATTTGCATTGCCACATGCTAAGCCGCCTATACCACCCACTCACTGCTACCCCAGGTGTGTTATCTGCTTTGGGCCAGCCTGAGGTAAAACTGTCAACACTGAAAATCATTACCTTTGGCACCTCCCAGCTCTCCGGAAGTTATCTGGTCTGTAGACAACAAGTCCCTGAGGGAAGTGGGTGGGGCACAGGGCAGGTAAGTTTTGACAGAAAAGGAAACTGGGCACAAAGTCTAAGGTGCTACAACAACAACAACAACAACAACAACAACAACAAAAAGATGGGCCCTACAGGAGCCTGCTGAGCACAGAGTTACTGAGTTGAGCTGTTGGAATCACAGTGGTAAGGGGCCCTCCCCGCTGGTGCAACAAGACACAACAGAGTGTAGTTATTGTGCACTTGGACCCTCGGGTTAGCTAACCTGAGTTTGAGTCCCCATTCCACCACTTGGTAGCTTTGTGACCCTGGTGAAGTTGCTTAACCTCTCTGTGCCTCCATGTTTTCAACTATAGAATGAGGGAAATAAGTTGTAATTACCACAAAGGATAGTTTTAAGGATTCAGTGATATTTGTAAAATATTTATATAGTGTTGGTGCATTATAATTGTTAAATAAAAATTAAATCAAATGTTGTGTAGATTTGGAAGCAGGATTAATTTATCCCGTACCTATTTTATTCAGCACCCTTGCCCAGTGCTAGGTGTCAGAGGTGCAGAAATGGAGTTCCAATTGTGGCATATATACAGTTACTAGGGAGCAGAGGTGAAGGCAGGCTGAGGTTTAAGCAACTACCTTATTATTCCCCAGCTGTGAAGCCCTGGCAAATGTCCGTTCCCCATCCTGAGTCTGTTTCCCCATCTTTGTGTTACTGGTGGAGGATGTCCAGGTTCTTGTTGTTTTGAACAAAGAATTGGACAAAATGCACAAACGAAAGAATGAAGCACCAAAGCAGATTTATTCAAAGGAAAGTACACTCCACAGAGTGTACTCTACAGAGTGGGAGCGGGCTTCAGCAAGTGGCTCAAGAGTGCTGGTTACAGAACTTTCTGGGGTTTTAATACCCTCTAGAGGATTCTCATTGGCTACTTGATTTACACCCTGTGTAAATGAAGTGGTGGCCCGTGACCAGTCTGATTGGTCATGGAAGGTGAAGTTACATCCAACGCAAATGAAATTACAAAGTTACATCCTATGCAAATGTCTGATTGATTGTGGGAGGGGACCAGAGACTGAAGTGAAGTTACAAAGTTTCACCTGTATGCAAATGAAGACTAGGCCCGCAACAGGACTTTCCATTTTTTCATCTATGACATAGAAAGCAGGGAGTGCAAAGGGAGTAGCCTCTGATCGTTTTGTTACTTGAACATGGAAAGTTGGGGTTTTCCTTTCAATTCAGTTCCAGGAAGTCAGTGCAAATCAGCCTTAGGTTCCCTGCCCCCACACCCCATTCTCCTGTCTCATTTGAAATGAGGGTATTGGACTATGACAGTGTTTCTTCATCCTGGCTCCTCATTCAAATCACCTAGGGGGCTTTTAAAAACTATCAACACTGGGCCTTACACTTTCCCACTCTGACACTGATAATATTTAGTCAACAAATATTATGTGAGAATCCAGGCTGGGAACAGTTTCTGCTAGGCACTGGGCTCCCTCTGGGGTAGAGTTAGAGGATGTCATCCTGTCCTTGAAATAGTCTCAGCCCATGGAGAAGTGCAAGTATGCAGGCAACTTACTGAACACAAGTGGAGACTGAGGCATGTCATGAAAGAAATCTATACCAGGACTCAGAAGGGAAGGCAGAGGCAAGAGATGGCTCTTCCACCTTGGAGGTGGGGTTGAAACTGTTGCAGGTAGCACCTGAGTTAGCCAGAAAAAAATAAGGGCAGAGGGGACAGTTTCTCCCAAGACTTCCTAGCCCATCCACATGAGAAAATCAAATTGAGCCTTTATTACCACACATTTTTAATAAAGGAAAGAGATAGATAACAAAGAAGGAAGTAGAAACTCGCACAGTCTGCCATCCCAGCATCCATCCTGGGTCCCAAGGCAGGGTGCTCTTCTGGTCGAGGGGTTCAGTCCCAGGAGGGTTACAGCAGATGCTGGATGCGGTATTAGTGACCTCTCCCGGACCACAGTCCCATGCCTGCTGGGACCCTATTTCTCCAAAGCAAAAAGCCAAAGGACTGAAAGTGCACAGGTCACTTCTGCCCACAATCATTGGTGAGAACTAACTAAACACAGCCAGCTCCTGGCACACCAGTTAAGCAAGCGGCCTCTGCAGCTCAGCACATACTTGGGACATATGCTTCCCGCTTATAGCTCTTGCAGTTCAACAACACAATTCATGCTTCCTCTTTCCCCATCTCCCAGGTGAGAACATCACAAATAGAACTTTCAAGAATGCAGTCTATGGGGATGAGGAAAGGCTTTGTAGAGGAGGTAGCGTGAAGGGTGGTGGGGCCCAAAGGACCAATGTATAGGCTGTATGCTGTTTGCCGAATTTCTCAGCTCTTTGCCATCCATGCTAGGCTTGTATTTCCTTTGTTGTCCCTGTGTAGCCTTGTGGTTAGTTCTGACCAATGCGTGTGGGCAGACGTGACCTGTGTCACTTTTGGGCCAGAGCACTAGACCCTCCAAAGCCCTCTCATTCTCTCTGATACAGTGACTATATTGTTTGAAATGATAGCTGCTCTGCCACTCTAGGCCCCTCCGTGATTACGATGAACAGAACCCCCTGCCAACCATGATGAACTTGGAGGATGGGCAAAGAGATAAATCATGTTATTTTAAGTCACTGTGTTTGGGGGCTGTTTGTTACTATAGCATAGCTTAGCCCATTCTGACTGATACAATGGTCATGATTTAGATGAATGACTGGCTATCAGAGAAGAAGATGTGATTTTGAACCAGTCACGTTTCTTCTCTGGTCTTCACTTTTCTCTTGACATGGTGACATCGTCCTGGAAGGCTGAGCCTACACTCAGAAAGGAGGGAAAAGAAAGAGTCGCATGCAACTTTTATACAATAGGTCCACATAGACCTCTGTGTGTCTTTTCACACTAACCTGAGGAAATGGAAGAGCAGGTGAACTTTCCACTTGTTGAGGTTGGAGAAGGATGACTCCTCTGCGTTCCTGGTTTCCCACTTCATCCCCACCCCACTACGCTTTCATGCCTGGCACCAATTGTACATGTTCAAGCAATAGTTTCCATCTCCGGATGTTCATCAGAAAGGTGGGTAGAGCTATTTTTATTTCACCTTTTTACAAACTAAAAATTTATTTACACATTTTAAGACAAATTCAGGGCTCTGCCACAGTCTGAGTTTAGATTCACTCAAGAGTCCATAGTCTACAATGACAGCCTTGTACAGAGAAAACTGACACTTACCACAATGGCCCTGCATTGGGGTAAAGTCCTAAAATGTCTTCAGAAAATGAAAGAAAGATACAATTGTATGTGAAATATCTTTAGTGATTGAAGGAATCTTAGAAATCATCTAGTTCAACACTTTCAGGTTACAAATGAGAAGAAATGAAACCCAGAAAGAGAAAGGAAATGACTTACTTCCTCAGAGTGCTTGGGAGGTAGGTCCTCTGTCTTCTGGGACAGAGGGAAGAGGCTTGCCAGGTGCCCACTGACTCAGGTCCAGGACAGTGGCACACGTTTGTATGTTGTTGTTAAACTGACTTTACCAGTCCCCATGGGCTGGCGAGGCTTAGAGCGTTTTGGGTGATAAAACAGGAATACGTCCCCGTTTTATTGATTAAGGCACCAAAGCTCACAGAGAGTTCAATGCCACGGCCAAAGTGTTAGGGCTAATCAAAGGCAGAGCTGGGGCCAGGCTGTGTTCATTTCCTACGTGGCTGTAACAAATTACCACTGACTTAGTGGCTGAACACAACATACATTTCGTATCTTCCAAGAGCCAGACCCGGGTCTCACTGGGCTAGTCAGGATGCCAGCAGGGCTGTGTTCCTTCCAGAGGCTGCCGGCTAAAAACCATTCCCTTGCCTTCTCAATCTTCTAGCAGCCACCCGCATTCCTTGGCTCATGGCTTCCTTCTTCCATCTTCAAAACCAACTATGTTGCTTCTCTTGGACAGCTCTTCTGTGGTCACATCTCTCTCTAACTGCAGTCAGGAAAGGGTCTCCCCTTTTAAGGACTCGTGTGATTAGAGTGTGATCACCAGATAATCCAGGGTAATCTCACCATGTTATGGTCCTTAACCTTAAGCACACCTACAAAGTCCCTTGTGCCACGTTAAGGTAACATATGAACAGGTTCCAGGGAATTAGTCAGGCACATCTTTGAGGGCTCCCAATTTAGAGCCCTGGGCCATACACCAGGCTGTGCACCTGCCCTCCTTCCCTCCATGCCCTCCCGGATTCCCTTCAAACACAGGGAGTGACTTCACCTCGGGCTACATCTGCTTCCAAACTGCTCAGCACGGTTCT
Organism: Homo sapiens; assembly: GCF_000001405.40. Classification (NCBI taxonomy): domain Eukaryota; kingdom Metazoa; phylum Chordata; class Mammalia; order Primates; family Hominidae; genus Homo; species Homo sapiens. The sequence goes on from NC_000010.11 coordinate 113,459,243, forward strand.
CACCCAAACCCACCATTTGATTCAGAAATTACATGCAGGACTAATTGTTGCTTGAGGCTCCTTATGAAATGGGGATCATTTATAACAAAAAAAAAAAAACCCAGCACAAGGCTTCAAGGTATGAAATAAATTGTTCCAGGAGGAGACAACACACACACAACCACAAACATATCATTTGAGCCCAATACTACACCTCCTACCCAGAAAAGCAAAGGCCTCCTATTGTTAAAAGGACAGTGAAGGTACGTCTTCTTATTTTATTTTTTTAACCCAATAATAAAATGGAGGCAGGAAGATGAAGCAGAGATGTTCCAGATGTTCCAGGTGCTGAGAACAGGGCTGGTTGTGCCCTGAGAAATCACAGCAAGCTCTCCTCTCTCTGGATGTCAGCTTCCGCTTGTTTTGAAGGAGGAGAGAGGTTACCTGCAGACTCCTCTCGTGGTAAGAGCCATAATGTAGTTTTCTCATTATTAAAATGCTTGCCTGCTCCCAGGGCCCCTGGGAGGCCTAAATGAGGAACCAAACGAGAGGCTCTTAGCACGGGGCCCAGCGCTAATAAGAGCCAGTCAATGGCAGCTCCTGCTGGGATGATGATGATGATATTTAACTCGCCTTCCCCTCGCTGCATGCTCTGTATTCTTCACCTTATTGAATTCTTACAGCAACCCTATGAAGTGGGCATTCTTCTTACTCACATTTTCTGCATGAGGACCTGGAGGCCCAGAGCTTGAGTAAGATTCCACAGCTTTTCAGAGGCAGAGCTGGGAGACAAACCAAAGCCTGCTGAGCCGGGAATCTCTGCTGGAACCCTCAGTGTACCTCTCTGAGATGTTGACAGCACCCCCTACAGCTCTGAACACTTTTGGAGCATAGCAGGTGCTTGAACAAATCATCAATTGGCCATTTTGTCAGCAGGAAGAGAATTCAAGAAGAACACTAGTGATTATTCTTTTGAAGAGTTTGAAGAAAATCCAGATAAAAGAAGAAGAGTTTAACCAAATTGGCTAAAGATACATAGGCCTTTGAAAAACAGGGATTTTTAAAATGAGAAATGTTTGTCAATTTTCCATCAACAAACACTGGATTATTACCAGATTAACATTCAGTGATAATCTACAGTTGAAGAATGCGACCCAGCACCCACCTAGTTTACCCTGGCTGTCAGGTAAAGTTGGGATTCAAGTCCAACAATCTTTGTTGAAAGAATTCTTTTATCTCTTCGTGTATTTGACTTATCACTCTTGCTTTGTGGTTTTTTTTTTCTAACTTTATATGATCTATTTCCTTCTTTTTTCATTGTCTTTTCTTTTCTTTTTTTTTTCCTCTATCAGCCACTTCAAACATTTTGGCAAGTGTATGTGATCCAATGGGTGGGGAATTCTTAGCTTACATCTGAACAGCCTTTACCCAGGGAGACAGGCATGTGGGGACCCATCCAAGGACTGTGGATCCCCAGGAGAAGTCTATTTGAGGCACAGAAGAACCTGCTGGGAAAGGCAGAAGGGACCAATTTTGGAAAAAATGAGGCTCCTCCAAGTGCAGGCTGTCACTCAAGCTAGCCTCCAAATTCACCTACCAAAGCTGAACCTGTGTCCTTGGAAGAATCTTGATAGGGTTTGGCTGTGTCCCCACCCAAATCTCATCTTGAATTGTAGTTCCCATAATCCCCACATGTATGGGAGGAATCTGGTGGGAGGTAATTGAATCATGGGGGCAGTTACCTTCATGTTGTTCTTGTGATAATGAGTAGTTCTTACAAGACCTCATGGTTTTTTAAGGGGCTTTTCCCCCTTTTGCTCAGTCTTCTCCTTCCTGATGCCATGTGAAAGAGGATGTGTTTGCTTCCTTTTCCACCATGATTGTTAAGTTTTCTGAGGCCTCCCAAGCCATGCTGAACTGTGAGTCAATTAAACCTCTTTCCTTTATACATTACCCAGTCTCGGGTATATCTTTATTAGCAGCGTAAAAAATGGACAAATACAATCTGGAACAAAAGAGGGGGAAAACAGAAAGAGCAGAACATCTTGTTTCTGACAAGATGTCAAACAGACAGAGGCTGCTGGTTCCTCCCCTGACCCAGCCCTGCAGATGCCATGGAGGCAAGAGGAAGGTGAATGGAACTGAACATGCCTTTGCAGACTGTGAGGAGCCCTGAGGACACAGAAGGCTGGGCCCCCAGCCTGAGGAATGGGGGCACCTAAGTGGAAGAGGTCAGGCCCCAAGGTCTGGAAGTGCTTTTTCATTTTGTTCTTTCCTCTTTCTCACATTGGCCAGGGAAGTTGGCTCCTTTCTTTTTCTTCTCTGGGAGCAGCAGGAGACCATCAGGTGACTCTAGCCTAGCAGGGTGGGGCACCAGCTCCCCTGAGAATGGAAGCATCTCCAGCTAAAATCATACTCTGTGGTTTATCCTGCCCTGTCCGGATTCCCTGTTTTCCCTCTCCTGAGAGCTCTTCTCCAATAAATCACTTAAACAAGGATGCTCACCTCAGGTTCTGCTTCTAAAGGATTTGACATAGTGTGGGAAATGGAAATGCATAAAGTGACAGAAATTAGCTGAACGTAACAGTCATATTAAATAGGTTAAATTCACTGATCAAAACAAAACAGAGATTTCCAGGTTGGACCGAAAATAAAAACCATGCAAATGAATAAAAACAAAGGCCCAGAAACATGTGCAACATAATTAGTGGGTGTTTATAAAACTTTGCATTTAACACAGAACATACATCATTTTTGAGCACACATGAAACATACAAAAAATTGGCATAGATTTGCCATAAACGAAGCCTCAATAAATTCTAAAGAATTAAGATTAATGTCTTAATCATGTTGGGGAAAATGAGAAACCAATATCAAATTATTAGTTTTTAAAAATTATGTCTGTTAGGTATCTAAAATGTATACTATTTAATAATTCTTGTGTCAAAGAGGAAATCATAAAGGTAGTTCTAAAATACTTAAAGCTAAGAGAAAATGAAAACACTATATATCAAAATTTTCGCAGTGGATGAAAGAAGACACATTATGTCTTTAAGTACATTTGCAAAAAACTAAAATTACTAAAAACAAATATCTAAGCTTTCAAATCTAAACTGTTTAAAATTGCAAAAAAAAAATTGAAAGAAATAATGAAAATAAGGATAGAAACCAATGAAACAGAGAACAATAAAACAAAAGACGGGACTAACAAGACCATAAGCTGCTATTTTGAAAAGATTAAAAAGAAGCAGCAAACTTCCGGCAAACTTGATTTTTTAATTAAAATTTTGATTGAGAGAATTGCAGATTCACAGGCAATTAATTGTAAGAAATAATACAGAGAGATCCTATGCATTCTACCCACTTTTCCCCAATGCTAACATTTTGCAAAACTGCAGTGCAATATCTTAACAAGGACATTGACATTGATACAATACACTTATTTTATTCAGAATTTCCCAGTTTTACTTGTACACATTTGTGTGTTATGCTTGGTTCTATGCAGTTTTATTACATTTAGATTCATGTATTCACCCTCCCACTCAAGATACCAAGCAATTCTTTCACCGTAAAGATCTCTCACGAAAGATTGATTTTTTAAAAAGGGAGAGAATATATAAATAAATAGATACATAAGGAAAACAAAAATGTCTAGATGCAGTAAGAGACTAGAGACTATATGAACAACTATATACCAAAATATTTGAAAACTTAGGCAAAACAAATAAAATGCCAGAAAAATTAAAAAGCCAAAATTGGAATAAGAAAAATAGAAGCATTTAATAAAAATAACTAATAAAGTAATAGGCACAGTGATCAAATAACTCTCCATTCTAGGTCCCAGTATCAGTTTTAGATGTAAGCTCTATTAAATTGTTAAGTAAGAGATAATTCCTACCTTACACAAGCTGTGTCAGAAAGCAGAAAGAGGAAAAGCTGTCTAATATATTTTATGACAGAAATATGCCTCGATTGAAAAAGTAGATAAGAACAGAAAAATACAATATCCTAGAGAAACATTAGCCAACAAGATCCAATCATGTAACTAAAATAATAATGACAAAGTAGAGTATATTTCACAGTATAAAGATGGCTTAACCTCAGAAAAGCTCTTAATGTAACTCACTAGATTAATGTACTGAAGAAAATGTCCTAAGAATAATTATATGGTTATCTCAATAGATCCAGAATATGTTTTTAATAAAATCTGACACCTAATTATGATTTTTGTTAATTCAGAAAAAAAGTAATTTAAAAAATCTTTCCTTAACTTGATAAATGTTTGGTGCCAGAACTTGGACAAAAGTTAAACTTAATGAAAAAAATTCAAATATGTTCCATTAAGATTGCCAACAAGATAAAGATACATGCTGTCATTTTACTAAATAGTACCAAGTATCCTGTTTAATGCTACAACATAAAAAAAGGAAAAAAACAGAAATTGAAAGAATAAGAAGAAAAACTACCCTTATTCGCAGGTGATAATGCACATTTCCACAGTGAACCCAACAGAATCAATAGAAAAACTCAAAAGAATTACAAATTTGACAAGATTGTTGGATGCAAGAGTAATTTATATACCTTAATGAAAAAAGTCATCTCTGACTTCCACGTATGGTCATGTTGAAGTAACTGGGACTGGACTTACTGTGCTATGATAAACATCTAGAAAACAGGATAAAGTATTTGAAACAGCTGTTTTCAGGCATCGAATAACAGGCAGCACAGGACTGTGATCTCTGAAAAAAGACAAACAAATGAGGTAAGTTCCATAGTCCCTGGCCTTCTGCCTGGAGGAGCATTCTGGAACAGACCACAGGGAGGGGGACCCCAACCAGCACAAGGCTGCCTCGCTGAGTGGGAAACAGATCAGAGTTTGATGAGACTGAGGAGACTGGGATTTGTGGGGGCAGAGAACCCAAGAGGAGGGAGGTACATAAAGAAATAATTCCATGAGTTTCTGCTGACTACTAAAATGTGCACATGTAAAATAAAACTCCATGAATCCAGGCAAAGAATGTTGGGGACCTGTAAGGCAATCAATTTCTGGAGTTCATATATGGTGTGGAGACACTTGAGTTCTCACCAGCTAAAGAAGAGAGTCGGTGAACACCGGAAATTTTCAGTAGAGTAGCTAAAAGAGTCAGACCTTAACAAGAAAACTAGACTAGCCCAGAGGAGAGTTTACTCTAACCCTACTCCAACAAAAGCTTAAACACAAGCCTCAAAAGAACCAAGCTGATCTGTAAGTACCTAAACTGCTTGTTTCCCAGAACAAACCCAACTTTCTGGAAGAAAAACAACAAAATCCAGCGCCTAACAATATAAAATTCTCAATGTCCAGCATTCAATAAAAATTAGTTAAAATGTCAAAAAGCAGAAAAATATAACCCATAGCTGAGAAGGAAAATAAAAGTCAAAAGAAACAAACATGAAAATGACAGAGTTGATGGAATTAGCAATCAGGGGCTTTAAAGCAGCTCAAGAATTTAAAGGAAGATATAAACACAATGATGAGAAAAATGAAAGATATATATTTTTTAAACCCAAAGGAATATCTAGAGATTAAATAATACGGTATATAAATGAAAAAAGAATACTGGGTGAGATTAACAGTAAATTAAAAACAGCAAAAATTCTTTTGCTATGAAGACATAGCAATAGAAATTATTCAAAATGAAGCACAGGGAAAAAAGACTAATTAAAAATGAATATAACTTCTGTAGGACACTATCAAATAGCTTAATATCCAATGGTTCTGATCTTTTGGGACAACATCAAAGAATCCAACATACACAAGATTGTAGTTTTAGAAAGAGGAGTCTGAGAGTGAGGAGGACATAAAAAGTGTTTGAAAAAACAATAGCCAAAATGATACAATTTTTGGTAAAACTCAGAGATCCAAGAAAGTAAAAGGTTTATAAGCAGGATAGTTACAGTGAAAACTACAACAAGGTACATCATAATCAAATTGCTGAAAAACAATGATAAAGATAAAATATTTAAAACAGCCAAAAAACCCCAAATTATATAAGGATTATATTTCCCAATCATTTTTTTTGTTTATTGCCCTCTCCCCAGGAGATTTTATTTTATTTTTTATTTTTTTTTTAGATGGAGTCTCACTCTGTCATCCAGGCTGGAGTGCAGTGGCATGATCTCAGCTCACTGCAACCTCCACCTCCTGGGTTCAAGCGATTCTCCTGCCTCAGTCTCCCAAGTAGCTGGGACTACAGGCGCCCGCCACCATGCTCGGCTAATTTTTTGTATTTTTAGTAGAGATGGGATTTCACCATGTTAGCCAGGATGGTCTCCATCTCCTGACCACGTGATCTGCCTGCCTCGGCCCCCCAAAGTGTTGGGATTACAGGCGTGAGCCACGGCACCTGGCCCCCAGGAGCCTTTAAAAATACATTTGACCCCTAATTGTACCTTTCCATGAAATGTTAATACCATGGTTATATTGTGTATCTATTTATATACTGTATGTTTATCTGTGTTTTGTACACTAAAAGGTAATTGTTTTGTCCCCTCCCCAAGAACCAATTTCCCTGTCCCTTAGGGCAATATTACCTAATTTGAGAATGCTTATGTGTAGAGGAACAAAGAATAGCTGCAGATTTCTCCTCAGAATATATGGAACCCAAAAGATAATAAAACATAAAATTCTATGTTCGGCAAAATTAATGTAAAAGTAAGACTGTTTTAGACAAATGCAAGTTGAAAGAATAAATTGCCTACAGATCTGCACTTCCAGAAACTTGTATCTACATTTAAAAAAAGAAGAGTACCAGAAATAGTAAATATATGAGTAAGTGTAAAATAATTTGTCTAATTTAAAAAACTTATTTACAAGATAATTGACTTTTTTTATTTTTTTTTTTTGAGAGGGGGTCTCACTCTGTCACCCAGACTGGAGTGCAATGGCACTATCTCAGTTCACTGCAGCCTCAACCTCCCAGGCTCATGCAATCCTCCTGTGTCAGCCTCCCAAGTAGCTGGGACTACAGGCATGCACCACCACACTCAGCTAAATTTTTTATTTCTGGTGGAGGCAGGGTTTTGCCATGTTGCCCAGGCTGGTCTCAAACTCCTGAGCTCAAGCAATCCACCTACCTTGGCCTTCCAAAGTGCTGGGATTATAGGTGTGAACCACCGCACCCGGCCAAGATAATTGACTTTTAAAATCAAACTAATAATTATTTATCAAGCAATTTATAACATGTAGAAGTAGAATGTATTACGAAAATAGTGCACAGGATGGGATTGGAGAAATTGAAGTACACTCTTGTAAGGTTTTTATATGCAAAGTGGGATAATATTGTTCGAAGACAGATGGCAACAGGTTAAATGTGTATATAGTAAACTCTAGAGTAACCACAAAAGAATAAAACAAAGAGTTATAGTTAATAAGCTATTAGTAGAGATAAAATGTAGTGTGAAATAATACTTGATTGGTCTGAAAGAAGGCAGGAAAAGAGAAAAAAGAAATAAATAATAAATGGGAGAAAAAGAAAAGAAATTACAAAGTGGTATATTTAAACTCAATCATTGTCAATTATATTAAATGTAAATTATGTAAACACTGCAATTAAAAAGCAAAGATTGTCAGACTGAACCCAATTATTTCTTGTTTCAAGGCAAATAAGGAAATATTTTTAACTTTATGAAAATGTAAACAGAACAAGCTAAAATTTATAGAATGCAGCTAAAGCAGTGTTTAGAGGGAGATTTGTAACCTTAAGTGCTCCTGTTAGAAAAGAATAAATTTCTAAAATCAGTGATCTAAACTTCCATTATAAGAAACTAGGACAGGAAGTACGAGTAAACTTAAATTTTGTAGAAGAAAGAAAATAATAAAAATAAAAATGGAAACTCATGAAATAGACAAAAACAGAAAAAAATCAATAAAATCAAAACTGTTTTCTTGAAAATATCAATAAAACTGATAAGACTTTAACCAGACTGGTGAAGGAAAAAGAGAGAAGACAGGAATAACTAGTATTAGAAATGGACAAGGAGACACTATCATAGATACTACTGACATTAAAAAGGATAATAAGGGAATATTATGAGCAACATTATGCTAATTTAACTTAACAACCTATATAAAATGAAAAAATTACCTAAAAGACCCAAATTATGAAAAAAATAAACTCAAGAAGAAATAAGAAGCACAAGTTGCCTTAAATCAATTTTTAAAATAAGTTTGTCATTAAAAATCTTCCCACAAAGAAAAATCCCAGCTTAGACGGTTTCACAGGTGAAGTCTAACAAATATTTAAGGAAGAAACAACTTCAATCTTAAATAAATTCTTTCAGAAAAGAGAGTAAGAGAGAACACTTTCCAGTTCATGCGGTGAGACTGGCATTACCTGAGTATGAAAACAAAGCAAAGACATTATAAGAAAAGAAAATCACCGGGTGCAGTGGCTTACGCCTGTAATTCCAGCACTTTGGGAGGCTGTGGCGGGCTGATCACCTGAGGTCAGGAGTTCAAGACCAGCCTGACTAAAATGGAGAAACGCCGTCTCTACTGAAAATGCAAAATTAGCTGGGCGTGGTGGCACATGTCTGTAATCCCAGCTACTCGAGAGGGTAAGGCAGAAGAATCGCTTAAACCCGAGAGGCGGAGATTGCAGTGAGCCAAGATCGTGCCATTGCACTCCAGCCTAGGCAACAAGAGTGAAACTCCATCTCAAAGGAAAAAAAAGAAAATCATGCACCAATATCCTCCCCAAACACAGTGCAAAAGTGCTTAACAAAATGTTAGTAATTCTATTTTAACAATGTGTAAAATGGATAAATATACTGTTTCCAAGTGTGATTTATTCCAGGAATTCAAGATAGTTTAATATTCAAAAATCAATAAAACATCATGGTGAAACTCTATTTCTACTAAAAATACAAAATTAGCTTGGCGTGGTGGTATGTGCCTATAATCCCAGCTGCTTGGGAGGCTGAGGCAGGAGAATTGCTTGAACCCAAGAGGCAGAGGTTGCAGTTAGTCAAGATCATGCCACTGCACTCCAGCCTGGGAGACAGAGCAAGACTCCATCTCAAAAAAAAAAAAAAAAAAAAAAATCAATAAACATAGTTCATCTTAGGATAAAGTAGAAATCTCATATGATTATCTCAGTAGATATAGAAAAGGCATTTGATAAAATTTAATACTCATTCATGATAATGAATATCAACAGACTAGAAATAGGAACTTTTTAAAAGTGATAAAGTTCTTCTACGAAGAAACCTACCGCTAACATCATATTAATAGTGAGAGATTAAAACTTCTTCCTTAAGATTGAAAACAAACGAAGGTAAACATCTCTCACCATGTCTGTTCAGTACTGTAATGGTGGTCCTAGGCAGTGCAATAAGACAAGAAATGTTTAAAATAAGAGGCCTACAGATTGGAAAGGAAGCAGTGAGACTGTTTGGAAATGACATAATTATATAAAAAATCCTGAGAATTCTCTAAACGAGCAACTGAAATTAATGTACCAATTTAACAATATTTTGTAATACAAGGTCAATATACAGTAATGAATTGTATTTCCACATACTACCAAAGAAAAATTAGAAAATAAAATTCTAGAAAAGGCAATTCTAATCTATAGTGACAGAAAGTAAATCGGGGATTCCTTGGGTGCGTGGAAGGAATAGAATTGACTACAAAGGGGCATAAGGGTATATTTTGGGGTGATGGAAATGTTCTGTATTTTTATTGTAGTGGTGATCATGTAGGTATATATGTTTATCAAAACTCATTAAATCCTACAATTAAAATGAGTATATCTTACTTTTTATAAATTTTTGTTTTGATAAAGATGATGTTCAAAAAAGTAAAAAAAAAAAAAAGGGAGAGTTTCCACTATATTAGCAATAACCTACTAGAAAAATATAATAGAACTCAAGTTATAATTCCTAATAGCCCACCCCCATCCCCACCTCAGGAGTATCTAGAAATTAACCTAAAAATATACAAGATCTTTACAGAGAAAAATCCGGATAAAATAAGACCTAAATAAGTAGAACCCCAGTACATGGTTTTATTTTATTCTATTTTATTTTATTTCATTTTATTTTATTTTATTTTATTTTTTCTGAGATGGAGTTTTGCTCTTGTTGCCCAGGCTAGAGTGCAATGACACAATCTCAGCTCACTGCAACCTCTGCCTCCCAGGTTCAAGCGATTCTCCTGCCTTAGCCTTCCAAGTAGCTGGAATTATAGGTATGAGCCACCACGCCCGGCTAATTTTTTGTGTTTAGTAGAAACGGGGTTTCACCACGTTGGTCAGGCTGGTCTCGAACTCCTGACCTCAGGTGATCCACCCACCTCGGTTTCCCAGAGTGCTGGGATTACAGGCATGAGCCACCGCGCCCGGCCAAACTCAGTACATGTTTATGTACATGTTGAGATGTCAGTTCCCCCTACATTAATTCTTTAAATTGTACTCAATTCTAATAAAATTTCATCTTTCTGGATCTTTAGAAAAATAAAGCTATATAAACAGCTAAGATAATTTTGAAAAATAAAAGAGCAAAGAAAGAAAACTTTGCCGTGTTCCATATCTAGACATTACAAAGGTGGTAATAAAGATAGTGGGATACTAGTGCAGGAACAGACAAATAGACAACTGGGATAAAGAAAAGAACTCTGAAAGAGATTCATAGTCTGTGGTAAGGAGGCACCAGTATTCAGTGGAGGAAAAAAAAAAAATGAATTATTTAGTAGTGCTGTTGGGGTAACCGGCTCACGGGATGAAGCTGAATAAAGTTGTAGCTCTAATTCAAACCACATTCAAAAATGACTCAGGAAAGACCGAAATGTGAAAGAAAATGTTATGAATTCAATAGAAGAATGTAAAAAAGACTATCTTTTTGACCTAAGGGTGATAAGGATTTCTTTAATAAGACACCAAAAGCATAAATCACATGACAAAAATTGGTGAACTTGACTACATCAAAATTAAATATATCTGTTCAAACGTGGCCACTAGAGCCGTGGTTAACGAACGTGTTGCTGCAGATGGGGAGGAGGTAATGAACGCTGTCTAACCTAACAAAGGAATAGGCCCTAGAATATAAGATACTGCAAATTAACAAGACAAAGACAGGAAATCTAATGGAGGGAAATGAGCATTTGCTGGAAGAGGAAACTAGATGGCTAATGAGTTTATGAAGAACTGATTAACTTCATCAGTAATTAAAATAGCAATGAGATGACATTGGGAAACATTAGAAAAGTTAGAAAAAAAAGATCAGGTGTCAGGGAGGATGTGGGGAAGCAGGAGCCTTCCTAGCAGCCAGCACTATGCACAATTCTCCAAAAATACAAGGACCCCATGTCCTTTGGAGATAGACAAGGGTCTACAGCCATGCTACCATCAGTGAGCTCAGGATTGCTAGCTGGCCCCTTGGGCAAGAGTGGCACAGAACTGTTTCAAGTAAAGCAAGGTGGAGCTGTACATGAACTACCAGGTAATCTCCAGGGCTGCCTGGATGTAGGCCAACAAGAGAGACCATGGTGGCATTCAGATCCTGGGGCTCATCCGGAGGAGATCTGGGGACATTCAAGAGGAGGGTGTAGCATGCACTAGCTTTCCACTTAGGAATGCACACAATGGGGGAAATACAGAAGGGTCATGGGACGTTGGGAACATGAACACCCACGCCCTGCTTCTCAGTCTTCCAAGGAGGGAAAGAAGCAGGCAGATATGAGATCCTCAGTTCTGACTCTTCTGGTACTTCCAACATGCCTTGGGACCCTCTGTAGGGGCCATTCCTGCCTCAGAATCCTCATCCATGCTGTGGGAGTGGCCCTGCCCCTATCCACCTCAGAGGCCAGGTTACATAAATATGACGGCCTGTAATTTCAAAATCCAAGTAGCGGGTTGGATCATTAGGAGGAGTTTGCTGGGCTGCTTTGAGGTTTGACCTATTTATTTTTCACCAGGAGCTTTTTTGGAAACATTCTTTGTTAAGGTTTTTCCTTCCCTCTTCCTTTCTTCCCTCTGACTTTGACGTCAACACAAAAGCCAGCGTGGGCAGAATTTGGGCGTTCGGGGACACTGCAGAGCAGTGAGTCTGTTCCTGGCCCCTCCCAGACTCTGGTCTCTGCAAGAGTCCCATTGAACCCCAAGGACAAAGGACAAGGCTTCTCATCCTTTGTCCCCTAGATCTCTCACTTTCTAGTCTCCTCTACCCAGCAGCCCAGGTCTGGGGGTACCAAGCAGAGGCCTCAGGGCCCCACGTTTGCCCTAAGCCATCTAGGTCCAAGGTGTAGTCACACTTCTCCAATCTATTACTCCATAAAGAATTTCAGCTCTGTAAAGTGTGCCCCAACAGAACATTCAAGAGGCGGAATGGGTTTGTCCATGGGAGACTCTGGCTACCATCTTCACATCCCCTAAAAATTTCCCCACCTGGCTGACAGATGTCTCAGAATTTGTCATTAGAACTAAAGTCAAAGAGGAAAAACTTCAGCCCTGACAGTATCTCATTAAGCCTTATCAGCTATTTACACCTCAGTGTGAATGTGATGCCTGGAGCTTTCCTGAGAGGAGAGTGTGAGAAGATTGTAGAGCCCTCCAGAACCCTGCTGTGTTAGTCCATTTTGTGTTGCTATAAAGGAATACCTGAGGCTGAGGCTGAGTAATTTATTAAAAGAGGTTTATTTGGCTCACAGTTCTGCAGGCTCTACAAGCATGGTGCCAGCATCTGCTCAGCTTTTGGAGAGGCCTCAGGAAGCTCATGGTAGAAGGCAAAGAGGGGGCAGGCGTGTCACATGGCAAGAGACGGAGCGAGAGAGAGAGAGAGTGGAGGTGTCACACTCTTTTAAACAACCAGATCTCACATGAACTCATTAGCGTTCACAGGATGGCACCAAGCCATTCATGAGGGACCTACCCCCAAGACCCAAACACCTCCTGCCAGGTTCTACCTCCACCATTGGGGATCACATTTCAACATGAGATTTGGAGGGGATAAACATCCCAACTATAACACCTGCCAAGTAAGATGGGGACATCTAAGGAGGAAGGGGACACAGATAGGGCAGTTGAGGCTGCCACAGACAAATCTCACCCACCCTGACTGGTCCTGCTTGGGACTGGCCTGAGCAAAGCCTACCAAGCCCCCAGGATGCTGGCCTGTCCTCTGCCAGGCTCTGTGGCCCCTGCTGGCACTGGGGTGTCAGACCCACTTGACTCTCCCGATCTCACCTTTCCACTCCCTCACTCTTTCACCATCTCTCTGCATAAATCTCTCCTCCTTTTCATTGCCTCCTCAACTTTTTTTTTTGAGACAGGGTCTCACTCAGTCGCCCAAACTGGAGTGCAGTGGTGCTATCTCAGTTCACCACAACCTCCACCTCCCAGGCTCAAGCAATTCTCCTGCCTCAGCCTCCCAAGTAGTTGAGATTACAGGCACATGCCACCACGCTAGGCTAGTTTTTGCATTTTTAGTGGAGACAGGGTTTCATCCTGTTGGCCAGGCTGGTCTTGAGCCCAGACTACTGGCCTCAGATGATCATCCGCCTAGGCCTGCCAAAATGCTGGGATTATAGGCATGAGCCACTGGGCCTGGCCTCTTTCACATTTTCTTTCATGCTGCTTTCATTCTCTTCTGCCTCCTCTATCTCACTTTTTTTTTTAAACCATGCTCAGTCTGCTAGAAAAATGGTGTTTCTCCATCTACTCAAGCCATTTTGATAGCTTTCAACAGGGAAACATTTTATTCTATGTGGATGCTACACATTCGATAAGCATGCACTCCTTTTCTCACCTTTTTCCTTCTATACTTCTCTTCTCTGTGAACCTCTTCTCTCCTTCTCTTTCTACATCTTCTTTTCAGCTGCCTGAACATCTCAATTGTACCATGTTGGCAGATCCTCACTCGTCTGATATTTTATATTAGGTGCATCTGCTTTAACTATTCCACTTAAAAATTAAACCCATCTGCCCCAAACTGAAAACAGCCTCTCCCTGACCAGGGACAATAAATATTGATGACTTGAGGCATGATTAGCTTTTATGATGTTTGATGACAACTGGTATCAGTTACAGAACTTACATCATTTAATAAAAAAAAAAAAAAGCCCTAGTAGGGATGTTGCATGTCAACAGACATTATTAGATGTCAAAAGAAATACATGTTCTTCAAGAGCCTAAAATCTAAACAATGTGAGGGGCTGGGGAGGGGTTCAGAGGGGGAAGTTTGGACAACTTTTATGTGAAGTTAGGAGTATCGTTTCTTTTTGTGTCCACCCTAATTTGTCCAGTTGAGTTTTCTAGAGCCCTACTACAGCCACCACCAAAGACTTCTTCAAGAAATTCTCTTCCTTGATACGATTTGGAAAGCTGAGCTTATTTGATGTCCCTCTCCTCCAACAGGAGACCTCTCAGATGCCTCCATTTGGGAGAAAACTGAATATGTCAAAGGGCACCAGATCTGGGAACCAAAGGGGAGATGAGAACACTTGCGCCCTCTTTATTTTTGTTGTCAGTATGAAATCAGGACTGTCTGGCTCTGTCTGAGGTTTAAAGCAAATAAACCAAGATCTGGTACGTGAGCCTACTGTGCTTCCATTTATACCCCAATGCGTTAAGTATAAATAGCATTATTAAGAAGGTGGCTGCCAACATTTCTCTTTACAGCACATTCAATCTTTAATAAAAAGATGGGTGGAAATATTTTACTGCTATTTCAACTGTATTTATGTGCTTTAGGGAGCTGGATTCTGACTACCTACTCTACTTCCGGAGACTCATTTGGGTATATTTAGAAAGATCTTAAATTCCTGTGGTCTTGAGAGTGGTTTGGTGAATTAAACCCCTAGAGACTAGAGACTTTTTTCTTTTGGAACAGGGTTTTACTCTGTGTTCCAGGCTGGAGTGCAGTGACAGTAACACAGCTTACTGCAGCCTTGACCTCCAGGGCTCAAGCAGTCCTCCCAGCTCAGCCCCGCAAGTAGCTGAGACTACAGGTGCACACCACCACACCCGGCTAATTTTTGTGTGTGTGTATTTTTGGTAGAGACAGGGTTTCACTATGTTGCCCAGGGAGGCCTCGAACTCCTGAGCTCAAGTGATCCACCCACCTTGGCCTCCCAAAGTGCTGGGATTACAGATGTGAGCCACCTTGCCCAGCTTAAGACTTTTGTCGTTGTAAAGGGTAATATGGCTACTTCAAGTTCCTAACTGACCCCTCTCCCATCCCCAGTAGTTTATGCTACGGGAGAATCAGACTCCTCTTCAATCACTGCAGCTGTGGTCTCCCAAGGAACGTTCTGGAAAAAGAGAACAGAACTGCAATGGAATGCAGAGATTTCTGCTGCTTGATCCTGCATTTGTAAAACAGGGTTACTATTAATATCTATCTTATGGGGTCTTTGTGGAGGTCACAGAAACATTGTTTGTGGAAGTGGTTTGAAAATGGAAAAGGGCTAGGAGTTCTCTCTGCTGGGGAAGCAGCACGTCACTGGGAGATCACTGGGCTGAGGTTGCTACTTAATAGCTGGGGACTTTGGACAAGTCTTTTACACTCTCAGAGCCTCAATTTTACCATCTGGGAAGTGGAAATGATAATACCTCTTAGGCCTCTGGTGCAGATGCAAAGTGTCTGCAACTGTTTAGCAAACAATGAAGTGCCGCATTCTTTCATTCAGAAATGCCTTGCAACATTGACTGTGTGCCAGGCAAGCTGCTAGGAGCTGGGGATGGAGAGAGAAATTATCAGAAGAGCAGTTCTGACCTTGATGACACCACTCAGCAGCTCTGGCTTCAGAACCTGGAGGCACCACCAGGCTATAGAGAAATTTCAGCAGTGGTGGAGGGAGGTGGGAAGAGGAAGTTTCAAGGAAAGGTGTGAAAGAGCAACTGGGTTTCCA
This sequence comes from Homo sapiens, assembly GCF_000001405.40. Classification (NCBI taxonomy): domain Eukaryota; kingdom Metazoa; phylum Chordata; class Mammalia; order Primates; family Hominidae; genus Homo; species Homo sapiens. The sequence goes on from NC_000010.11 coordinate 113,475,111, forward strand.
TTGTCCAGGCCATGCAGTGTGGAGAGTGGGGACGCTGAGGAGCTGGGAGTCTGTCCTTTATTTGATGAGTGGTCTGAGGCCAATGGAGGCACAGGAATGGTGCTGAAGGGAAGGAATGATGCTGGGCTTGGATCAAGTAGGGACACAGAGGCTGGAATGATGTGTTGCAAGACCTGGGATGAGAAGAATGGTGAGAAAAATGCAAGGTTTATTAGGATTTTTATAGATATTGTGGTTGTGTTCATGTTTACATGATTTGCACTGTTTTTGTGCAGTTAAGGCTGGAATGAAATGGGAATGCTTGGAAGGTCCTGAGTCCAGGTCCAGACAGGCCCTCTTCACTCCGGCCTGTTATCCGAATGATCTTAGCCACCAGAGGGAGAGGGCTGGGAGGGCAGACATTGGCAGGATTCTCTCAGGAATGACTTTCCTGTGATTTGTCCAGCAATTCCTCCCTGCAGCCAAACCAGAAATACCACTGAACCTGAGGTATTTGGCATGGGTGATGCATTCTGAATCCTTGAAGGGCAAATAGCTGTAAAATAAAAATGGTTCCCTTAAAAGTTCACTGACTTAGTCCTTGGAGCATGTGTACAGAGGACGGGTCCAATAAGGCTCTCACTTTTTCCAAAGGAGCGTCCCCAAGCTAATTAAGAGCAAGTGCAAACAGATGGGAAAGGCATATTTCCTAATAGAAATAGGCTCTTCACCACAAACCACCATCGAATTAATAATAAAAAAAAATCCCCATCTCCCCCTTAGTCCTTCTTTTGGAAATTGTCCCTTCAAGTGAGGTGGGCATGCTGGTTGTTTTACTCCAAGGAATTTAAGAGAATCAACATGTTTTCGTTTCCTGGTTGCATCTGCGGTTGAATTGCTTAAAATATTTCACTTCTTAAGGTAACCTCGGTTTGTTATGGTAGATTTTTTTGTTTTTTGTTTTTTGGGTTTTTTCCTTGGAACTTTAAAAAAAAAAAAAAAGACAGAGAAGACCAGCTCCAGGAAAAGAAAAAGAAAAAGAAAAAAAAAACCCAAAAAAATACAACTTCTAGTTGTCAGAATCGGAATGCTTATCAGTTATGCTGGGAGACAATGAAAACATCAAAAAGCACATACAAGCCATAAAAAATTCAGGTCCTCTGAAGCAATGTGGGACACGCTTGGTTGTGCTCCTCATTTGCATGCCAGTACCCACAGTGCTTTGCAAGCTCCTAGATCTTTCGGAGCAGCCCCAGTGTCTGAGCTCTAGGGAACAAAGTGAAAGGTTGGAGCGTGCTTCTGGGGAGAGAGGGACGTTTGTGTCTGCACAGAAAAGCAAGGCGGGTGTGGGTGAGAGAACTTCTCCCCCCGTGGTGATTAGCAGCCAGCCTTTGAGGGCTTAATCACAGGCTTGAGAGCTGTACCTGGCCTTTTGTCTTATCGTTCTGTTGCTTTTTTGCCTTCCTCTTCTTCCCTTTCCCCAGAATGCTGCAACGGTGAAGGTAGACTGTGCAGGGAAGAGGAGAAGGATGCCAATCTTTAGAAGTCCTGGTTGTGCTGCTATATCCCTTGCCTGGAATTGGAGATTTGTGTGCAGTGTGTATCTTCTGGTGCTGGTCCTCACCTCAAAGCACCTTGGCCTTTACATCTGTTCCCATGGACAGTCCATGTTTGGTCAATGTGAAGAACTTAGAGGTGCCATCGTGCCTTCGGCTGGGGGCAGGGGTTCCCCTTAACCTTGCCAGTGGGGCAGCCTCTGACCTCACTCTTCCCACCCACACACATTGCCTTTCCCTCCAAACCTTGCTCTTCAAAGAGTCCAGCCGAGCCATTGTCTGGATGGTCCAAATTCTCGAGGTGGCTTGGGGATACAGGACTCAAACTAAGAGCTGGGGGAGGAGAGAAGTAAATTTGGCTCCTGACCGGGCCCCCTCAGCCTTCTGGGTGTATCACATACCACCCTCATTTCTCCTGCCCTTTCCAAGCCTGTCCTGTGGGGTCAGGAGATACAGAAGGGTTGGTGACTATTATACAACTTGATTTTAACAAGACCAACTGTTCTGGGGCATTACAAAATACATAAAAAATAAAAGTAAAGCTCAATCTTTGAGGTTGCTACCTGGAAAGTTTTTCTCTGGGTTTGTACTTTGATTTTTGAGCTGTGCTTTTCTCAATGCTGCAAAGGAGTTCTTAGGCTAGATTAATTTAGCAGTAGGAAGATCTGGGCAGAAGAGTTAATGTGTATACGTGTCAGCTCTCAACCTACCCCCTGAAACTCCCAGCTTCAGAGGTAAGATAAAAGTCTGCCCCTACCCACAATTTAGAAGCAGGCTGCCCTGCAAGCCGGATCCAGTCAACAGATTTGTTTGCTTCAGCCTGTACACACTGTTGTACAGTGTGTTGAATCAGTTTCCAACATTTTTTGAATCAGGGGCTTTATAGCATTTCTTAAGACATCTGAAGATCTGGCCACACAGGCCGACATTTCTCATAGGAACCACCAGCCTGGGTTGCATAGATAGAGCCCCCTAAGTGGTAGGGGGTTGGGGGAGGTTGAATCTTCTCCTGCTGGGCCTGCAATCTCTGGTCCACCACAGTCCCAAAGGCCTTTGGTCTTAGACTGCCCACTCCACTTCCAGATGTTCCTATCCCGCTCTTGCAGGTCTCTGCACGCTCAGCCTTGGCTGGGCTCATAGACAATCCCTGAGTTTTTCCACTTTGTTATCCATAGCATTGGTATAAGGGTGTCCAAACCCTCAGCTGTGACAACTTTTCATAGTGGGGATAGAGAGGAGGCAAGACTGAGGGCCCTGACTCACAAGCCCTCCCAGCTTTTCTGTCCCAAATAAAGCAAATGCATTTTTTCACCTGCTAGAGCCCGAGGGGTTCTCTCTGCCCCCACCCACCTCCTCCTGGAATACATATTTCCTTTCCTCTGATACCTAAAGTATTCTGGGGTGAGGAGTAGTTTGCAAGATTTGGATTTTTAAAAATTCTTTCCCAGATTTGTTGTGTCTAATTTGGGCTGCAAGCGGTTTTTGGTGTCAATGACTAACCACTGTTTGGTCTGCACAGCCATTTCTGTTGAACTTGGATAGCGCTGAAAGCCCAGTTTCCCCCAAATAAAGTCTAAATACATTTACACATTTATTCCCACATGCATCTTTGTGTTTCTGCCTGTCTCCTCACACCTCACACATGTGTGTGGATGGGAACGTCCTGGAGAGAAAAGGGGCAGGTAACTTAAGCTTCTACTGTGAACTTCAGAAGAGAAAAAACATCAGCAAGTTGACCCAGTTGGATGGTAAGAGATAAAGATGCTTCCAAGAAAAGGTGTTAGAATGAGAGTTTGGATTGGAATTTGGTTGTTTCCTTGTGATCTAACAGACAAATAATATCACTAGACAGAAAAATGGGACATAAAATAGAGAGTTTAGGAAAATATGTGAAAAAGGTCACTATCAAAATTACCCCTCTCCCCAAATCCAGCTGGGATTCTTTATCAAAATCAGAGCTTTCAGTAGGTTTAATATTCACCAGTTTCTGAGACAGTTATAACAACAGGTGATGCCGGGCTTTAATAACACGGATGATGACAGTTACCATTTACATATTGACTCCTTTAATCCTTACAACAACTCCATAAAAGTGATATCTCATATACCCATTTTACAGGCAGGAAAACTGACGCTTAACATGATTAAGTAATTTGACCAAAGCCCGAGAGGTGGAAAGGGATAGAGCTGGCATTTAAACCCATGCTGCCCTCCAGCATATCCTGGGCTGGGACAGCAGAATGGGTACCCTCCTTGCCAGCTGGCTGGAGTAAGAATCTGACAGACAGCCCACCTTGGTCATGACTGGCTTGGGGACTGGCACAGTGGAGAGCCCGAGGGAGACAAATGGCATATTTGGCCCACAATTCCACTGCTAAAAGTGACCCTCAGGGATGTGCCATGAGAGTCACTGCCATGAGAGGACCAGTGGCTCCTCTCCTCTCTGATGAAAACTTGGACCTTTGGAGATTAGCCCCACTCTAGGCTATTTGATAGAATGGGCCACAGCCTGGGCAATTCAGGTGAGTTTTGTTGTTGTTGTTGTTTAATAAGACACGGTCTCACTCTGTCACCCAGGCTGGAGTGTAATGGCACGATCTCAGCTCACTGCAGCCTCAACCTCCCAGGCTCAAACAATCCCCCCACCTCAGCCTCCTGAGTAGCTGGGACTGCAGGTGCCTGCTACTAAGCCTGGCTAATTTTTGCGTTTTTTGTAAAGACAGAGTTTCACCATGTTGCCCAGGCTGGTCTCAAACTCCTGGGCTGAAGCAATCTGCCCTCCTCAGCCTCCCAAAGTGCTGGGATTATAGACATGAGCCACTGAGCCTGGCCTCAGGGTGATTTTTTCAGCCTAAATACCTGTGGCCAAGCCATGGGACACTGAAAGTGCTCACTGCCTGAGGGTGCTGGGGTCTGACTAAGCTGATGCAGCCATGCCTGAAGCAAGGCCCAGATGGACAGAAGGTCAGAACGGAGAGAAGCCACGTCTTCCTCTGTGTCTTATCTGGAGACGGTTGGGAGGGTGGAACGGGGAGGCTGAACTCTGAAGCATATGACTGGGGACCATCAGTGACTACGAAGTTGGGGCTAGGTGACTATGTAGTGACTGTCAGATGTTGGCAGCTGCTTAAACAAGCTGAGCTGGGCTGAAGGCTCAGCTTTTATATACCCCTTCCCATAGACATTGAGCACCTAAGGGGGGAGGCATTGTACCGGGGACCGTGGGAGAGACCAAGATGGACAGGCGGGTTCTCTCTCTAGCCACTTACACAATTCCTCTTTGGGGAGCCAGCTCTAGAAGAAACTCAAACTTCAGTGAGTGACAGCAAGTCATTCTAATTGGGAAATGTGCACCCAGGGTCAGGGATCATGTGTATTCATCTTTCCCATGCCCCATGTGAATCACAGAGCTGGGCCTTTAGTGGGAGTTAAGTAAATGTTTGTGGATCAATGACTGCTTCAGTCAATAATTGAATTTTTAGGGGCTTTTGGAAGGACTTGTGGGAGAGGAGGAAATTGAGTGTATGTTGTATCTGTTAAAATTAAACTTGGTGCTAGTAACAGACATCTGAATTAACAGTTGCAATAAATAATTAGAGGTTTATTTTTCTACCATATAACAGTGTCTGGAGGTTAAGAATCTATGGCAGTATGGCATCTTCACGTCCATCAGGGACCCAGCCTTCTTTTATCTTTCTGCTCTTTGGTCTTAAACTCATGAATTCCAACCCCAAGATTGCCTGACGGTAACAAGATAACTACTGGAACTCCATTGATTACATCCATGTTTTAGGTAGGAAGAAGGAGAATGGGGAGAAAGACAGCCTTTCTAGAAGGCTCCATTGACCTCCACCAACATTTCATTGGCCACTTCTAATTTCGAGGGATATTAGGAAATATATTCTCTTGTCTGGGCACATTCTCAATCTGAGTAAAATCTTGCTTCTGTTAGGAAGAAGGGAAGAATAAATCGTGGGTAAAAAACTGCAGGCTCTGCTTTGCAAGATTGGGTCTTCTTTATGGAGAAGGAGAAGGAAAGGTATTCAGCAACACAACACTTGTTTCACTCCTGTCCTCTGAGATGCACAGGTTTGGGACATTCTTTATTGTGACCTGATAATGTGGCAAATATAAGGCATCGGAGCCTGGGGCACTTAATTAGTTCCTTGACTATTCAAATCCTCCTGCCAAGGGCTTGGTTAATTGCATGGACTTCTCCTTCATTATTTTCAGCTGTTTAAAGTGCCTCTAAGAACACTCATCCTCTATTTTGTGTAATGAAGCCTCTGGTGAAAAATGGAGTCTGACAGGTATGTGGACAGAAATGCCCTGCAGGGGCAGGCAGAACTGGCTGTGTTAGCCGGCAGGTAGATGGACAAATAGATGGATAAAGTCTTTGGTAAACATGGAGCATTACTCAACAGCAAATTTACCACCTCTTGCTGACTCAAACCAGCTCTTGCAGAATACTTAATGACTTCTGCTAAACAAAACACTAGAGTTTCTCACTTTTTAAAAAGTCTACAAAAATGAAAGCTACTGTGTAAAATGAGTGCCAAATTTCCACTCATATGTTTGTTCAGCTTTCTTTGCTTTTCTCCCAAACCATAACGAAATAGACGCTATCAATTTTCCCAAGATGGCAACCTAACAGCTAGCCAGGTGTTCTCAGATAAGAAGGGCTCCCTTGACACAAAGAGTTTAACGGGGTTGGGATATTTTCCAGTTTTCTTTTCCGAGGGCTAGGGAAGCTGGATTGAGGTTTCTGAAGAGGAGAGGCAGGATGGTGAAATGGGAGCCCGTGGGCTGCTTCTGCCTGTTGTTCCTCTTGACAAACTTGCTGAAGGGGTGGATCCCCCCCTGCTGAAACCACCAGCTTCTACTGGGTGTGCTGGAAATTATCAATCCTTGAAGGAGGTGAAATTATCCTAAACCCCAAACCTCACCAATATTCCAGTCCCTGGAGAAAGGCCTACTGAAAGGAGAATGAATTATTTATGTCATCCATACTAGTAAGTTTTACAAACATCTTCCTTTCCAGTTTCACTATAAACTCCATACCAATAGGAAAATGTCATTATTACTCCCTGTTCTAGCCCTTTGCCCAGAACATAAGCAGTGCTCAGTTTGCTTCTTGGTTATGTAGGTAATAGCATTTAGTTTCTTTCTGGAACAGCGTCCAACTTGGCTTCTCCCTTACCTTTTGTTGTACTTTGACATATTTTCTCCTAGACATTTTCTTTGTGTTGTTTTTTTTTTTCAGTGACTGATGCTCTACTGGATATGAAATCGTGTATGCTTTGTCAAGTAGCATTTTAGGATAGTATGTTCCCATTTGTGTTAGTATAGGCTAAGCTGCTGTAACAAAGAGGCCACAAAACACAGAGGTTTAAATAAAATAGAATGTATTTCTCTCCATACGACAATCTTAGGATAGTCCAGGGCAGGTAGGCAATTCCGTTCCACAAGGTCATAAGGAGAACAGGCTAGAGGAGCAGCCCTCTCTTCCTTAACATGTAATTTCTGAATTTTGGTCCCAGTGAGTCCTGTACTTTTCATCATTTCCGAGCCAGAGAGAAGAGGGAAAAAGAATAGAAGACAGGCAAATTTCTCATAAAAATAAAATCCAGAAGGCACACATTTCACTTCTGCTAACATCTCATTGGCCAAAACTTAGAACCTGGCTATAGTTACCTGCAAAGGAGGCTGGAAATGCAGTCTCTAGCTAAGCAATCATATGTCAGAAATTGGCATTTCCAAATACCCAGTGGATATTCATCAGGATATACAAATGAGAAGTTGGAATTCCTGGGAATTCTTAGAAATTTCTGAAATAATAAGTTATCCTTTTAAAAAAAAAACTTTTATTTTAGGTTCAGGGATACATGTATAGGTTTGTTATAAAGATAAACTCGTGTTATTCTGAAAAGACTTCCATTTGCAGACATCGCTGCTGCCCAGAACTCCCTGCCACCAGCCATGGCCAACCCCACTGTGTTCTTCAACATTGCAATTGATAGTGAGTCCTTGGGCTGCATCTCCTTCAAGCTATTTGCAGACAAAGTTCTAAAGATGGAAGAAAATTTTTGTGCTCTGAACACTGGAGAGAAAGTATTTGGTGATAAATGTCCCTGCTTTTACAGAATTATTCCGGGGTGTGTGTCAGGGTGGTGACTTCACACACCATAATGGCACTGGTGGCAAGTCCCTCTACAGCAAGGAATTTGATGATGAGAACTTCATCCTAAGCATACAGCTCCTGGCGTCTTGTCCACGGCAAATGCTGGACCCACCACAAATGGTTCCCAGTTTTTCTTCTGTACTGCCAAGACAGAGGATGGATGACAGCATGTGGTCTTTGGCAAGGTGAAAGATGGCATGAGTATTGTGGAAGCCCTGGAACGCTCTGGGTCCAGGAATGGTAAGACCAGCAAGAAGATCACAGCTGCTGACTGTGGACAACTCTAATAAATTTGATTGTTTTATCTGAACCACCAGATCGTTCCTTCTATAGCTCAGGAAAGCATGCTTCCACCCCATTTGCTCACAGCATCCTATAATCTTTGCACAGTCCTTTGGGTTCCATATTTTCCTTATCCTCTTCCATGTCTAGCTGGATCGCAGAGTTAAGTTTATAATTACAAAATGAAAACTAAGTAACAAGAAGAAAATAAAAGACTTCCAGCAATTTTTATACTCTTTAGTCATTACTGTGGATATCTAAAAGAAATTGGTTTAATAAATAAGAAATATTACATTTAGCAAATTTATAAACAACTATAGCCTGAGATAAAAAAAAAATCAAACATTAGAAAATACCAGTGAACATTTTTGGGTAATATTCAAAGAATGTGACATTCAGATCTCCTAGCAAGGTTAAAGCACTACACAGAATCACACATTGAAATTGCCAATTAAGGGCGTATTTTGCTTCCCAAATTTGTTATTTCCTAGAACATCACTAGCAGGATTTGAATAAAGTATACATACATATAAACCTAATACTGCTTATTTTATTTCCAAGAATGACTTGCCATTAGCATCAGTCAGGGCCAAGAACACACACTTAGAACAGGACAATGGCTACAAGCAAGATTGACTGATCAGCTCTTGACCTATGTGCTCTCCTATGTGCTATATGCTCTTCCACCTGCCAGCCTTTCCTGCTCTTGCTTTTCATTTGACATTGATGGATTCAAACCAGTGATGTCTTTATGTTGATCATTAAGCCTTGATTCCTGCAGGATAATTACAATACTTTTTCCCAATTTCTTGACTGATTTTTCTTTCGAGATTTGGAGAAACATAAAAAATTCTCAAGAAATACTGGGAAGGAATTCCAGCGTGGAAACACTAGTCAGGGTGTATGTATGAAGCAAAGGGAGGAGGTTCTATTACTAAAAGACAGGAGAAAATGGGCACTCAGAGTCATCTCTGCTCAGGACTAGCTAACAATTTATAGGCTCAATGTGAAATGTAAATGTGGAGGACTCTTGTTATAAAACTATTCAGAATTTCAAGGTGGCAGCCATGGAGCATTAAACCAAGTGTAGGGCCCTTGTAAGTGTGGAGCCCTGTATGACTGTGTAGGACCCACACCCATGAACCTGGCCCTGTCTCTGCTACATTGTGTCATTTAGAAATCTGAATTGATGTCCGTTTTAGTGGCTGCATAATATTTCATTGTGCAGATTTACCATAATTTCTATAACAATTGCTGTATTCTTGGATATTTTTATGGCATTGAATGAAGCAATCTTTTCAACAGCCCTCAGGAGCTGCAGACCACTGTTGCACGTGGGCTGTTACCCACAGGGTTTGAGTATGAGCTAAGGCAAGAGAAGCAGAAACCAGGACCAGATGGGAACTCCCAGGAAGAAGGCAGCATGGTCATGAGCAACATCAAAGACATCAAAGATAAATCAAGCCAAGACAGGGTCAGAATACATCAGTAAGGGAAGAATGGCAGACAAGGCAAATGTGGGCCTGTCCTTAGAGGTGGGGCCTCCAATAAGCTTCCCAAGGAATCTTGCTCAACCAAGGGCAGTTGTTGCCTTTTGCTTGGGGCAACCTGGTTCTTCCCAGTGTATCTTTGAGCTGATCTCTCCGAATTTCAAAGAGCCCATGCCTGCTCAGGCCATCTCTATTCATGTTGGATGACTGTCTCTCTTATAAACTCTGGGCAGACTACGAATCAGTCCTTAGGGGCTAGGAGAGGAGAGGAGAGGATATGCTGGATGATCACTTTCTGCAAGTCTCCAGAACCTCCTGTTGACTTCTGTGTGATGGTCAACCTGAGACGTCTTGTTCAGTGCAAATGAATGTGTTCTTTTTGGCTGACACATTTAGTAGGAACAAATGAATGTGAAAGAGTAGGAGATGCTATAAGGTAGGGAGGAGAAAAGCATAGGGAACAGTTGTCTCTGGGTCCGAGACATCTCTGACACTATAATTTATAACCCAAATGATCTCAGTCAATGCGCTTAGCTTTTCTGTGCCTCATATGTAAAGTGGGAGCAATGTCCCATTTATCTGAGGGGTCAACACACCTTTGCTGTAAAGGGCCACATAGTAAAATAAATATTTTGCACTTTTCAGGGCCTAGAGCTTTTGTCACAACTACTCAACTCTGCCATTGTAGAGTAAAAGCAGCTATAGACAATATGTAAATAAATTGTGGTGGTTATGTTCCAATAAAACTATATTTACAAAAACAGGTAGCTGACAATGGTTTGCCAAATCCTAGCCTGTTTCATAGAACTCTTGTGAGAATTAAATGAGGTACGTGTGTCAAACGCTACTGCAGGCCCTCCAGGATAAGAGTCATTGTCATGAGGAGTAGGACAGACAGAGAAGAGCAGGTGGGAGAGTTGCTCACAGCCTCACAGGCTTTCAGGACTGGCCCCCCGTCATTTGCTAACAATGCCTCTTTTGACGATGTCCAAAGGGTCTTCCTCATCCACTTTTTCTTCCTAGGAGCCAAAGTACCAAAAGGAGGAATTTTGAGGCTCTATTAAACAGTTATAATGAAACATTTATCTTCTATATTAGTCATTCTGTGTAATTATTTCTGAGGATGAATTCTTTCCAAGATATATTTACAGACACATGGCTGCAACCATGAGACACACCACTGAGAATTTTCCAGCTCTTCTTTTCCATGCTCTATGTTCTTTTTTATTCTTCCATTCATTTTTAAAACATTTTATTGTGGTAAGAACGCTTTACATGAGATCTACATTCTTAACAGATATTTAAGTGTACAATATAGTATTGTTATCTCTAGGCACAGTGTTGTAGAGCATATCTTTAGAACTTATTCATCTTGCATAACTGAAATTTTATTCTTGTTAAATACCAACTCTTTTCCTCTCTCCCCCTAGTGCCTGGCAACCACAATTCTATTCTTTGCTTCCATGAGTTCAACTATTTTAGACACCTCTGTATGTTCTTAAAAAAAAATCTCTCCTTTTCAATATTGTCAGCTAAGTCCTCCCAGGGGAACACTTGGGGAGAAGTTATCTCCAGCCTGAGACCCCCTTGGTAAGCTGCAAAAAGTTGGAGGTCACTCAGAGTAATGGTGTCTAAGCAGAACTTGATTTCTGCATTTTTTTTTTCATCATAGAATCTCCTAAAGAGCATTTTAAGATGGAGAATCTGGTCTTGGGTAGGACCTAGGAAACTGTCATTATTTAAAATGCCCCAGGACTGTATAGTCCTAGCTACTTGGGAAGCTGAAGTGGGAGGATCATTTGAACCCAGGAGTTACAGGCTGCAGTGAGCTATGGTCGTATCACTACGCTCTAGCCTGGGCGACACAGCGAAACCCTATCTCACAAATAAATAAATTAATAGTCCCCAGGTGATTCCGTGGCCCAGCCAAGTATCTTCTTAGTTCTAGGCCAGCCTCCTCCACTTAACCTCTCTGTAATAGTTCCCAAACTCCACTCTTCAAAACTCCTAGCCCCACAGTTGCCTGCATTGCCTCCTCTTTTCTTTGTCTGCTTGCTTTGTTAGCCAGAAGGCAGAGAGCACGAAGGCATGTTAGTACCTGCAGTGATGGCTCTGCACTCCAAGAAGGAAATGAGTTCTCATCGGCTTGGCCAGCTGGGAATGCTGGAACTGGTATTCTCAGCCTGTGGACTCAAGAGAGCACTGGGCCAGGAGGGTTTCAGTGTTTCCAAGTCAATGCCAAAGGCACGTACACCGGTGGATGGGAAAGACATTGATTTTTCTTGAGATAATACCTCAAGTGTATTTGTTCAGTGTCTTTCAGAAACAAAGCCTTGTCTGATTTATTTTTATTGTTTTTTTGTTTGTTCCGAGAAGACAAAGCTTGTCTGACTAAAGCAAACCTCAGTGTTTTACTGTTCAGTAGCTCCTGGGAGTCAGGTTGTTCACATCCCTCTGTTAAGTGCATTGATGCTTCAACAGATACTTAGTGAGCACCTACTGTGTGTCATTGTGGGCTATAGATAGCTTTGGGAGAGTCAAAAGACCCGGTGGTTTCTGAGATGGCAGCCTGGCTCCTGGAGCCTGCAGTTCCCCATGGAGGGGCCTCTTAGTTCTAATCCCAGTCCTGCACAAAGAAACCAATCCCAGACAAAAGTATTTTAAGAGCACTTGGACAAAATGCTCAGCAAAACAGGTTTGTTGTCTGGCCTTGATGTCTCACTTCCTGTACCTAATTCTTGCCTTAGTTCCAGCAAGCATTTATTAAGTGCCTGCCACATAACACTGTGCTAAGTGCTTCCCACCTGCTGGCTGATTTGATTGATCCTCCCACAATCATAGCGGGTGATATGGTTTGGATTTGTGTCCCCACCCAAATCTCATGTTGAATTGTAATCCCTATTGTGAGAGAAGGGGACTAGTGGGAGGTGATTGGATTATTGGGGCAGATTTCTCCCTTGGGACTGTTCTCATGTTCATGAGTGAGTTCTCAAGAGATCTGGTTGTTTAAAAGTGTGTAGCATGTCCTTGTTTGCTCTCTTCCTCCTGCTCCAGCCATATAAGACGTGCCAGCTTCCCCTTTGCCTTCTGCCATGATTGTAAGTTTCCTGAAGCCTCCCCAGCCTCCTGTACAGCCTGTGGAACCATGAGCCAATTAAACCTCTTTTCTTTATAAATTACCCAGTTTCATGTATTTATTTACAGCAGTGCAAGAATGGACTAATACAGCAGGTATGATACCCATAAGACAGATGGGGAAATTGAAGCTTGAGAGACGATTTGCCTGACAACAAAGCTAGTCCTCCCAACTCCTGTGCTAAACAGACTCCCATAGCTTCTGTAACTACCCAGCTTCTACCATAGCTTCTGTCACTACCCAGTTAATTGTGCTCCCAGGTCAGATCTCGTCTTCTCCTTTAAGCCCTCAACCCTGGCCTTTAAAAATCAAGTATCCTGTCACCATGATGCTTTGGTGGGGAAATAGTGCATTCATTATTCCAAAAGAACAGGCCTTGTGACTAGAAAACCACTCCTTTCCCTCCAGGTCATTATTCTTTCTGGGGAATCACTAAATCCTGCTACGCCCCTGCTTCTCAAAGTATAGTCTCTGCACTAGCAGCAGCAGCAGCACCTATGAACTTATTAGAAATAAGTAAATTTTGGGGCCCCACCCTGGACCTACTGAATCAGAATCTCTCAGGATAGGCTCAGGAATTGTGTTTTAATAAGTTCTCCAGGTGGCACTGATGCATGCTGAAGTTTGAGAACCACTGGCCTAGATGGGATGCCTCAGGTACTTCAATAATAGCACAGTAGTGTGCACTTACCACAGACTGCTGGCTCTATAAGATATCCTGACAAGGGACAACAAAGACAGTGAGGGTGGCACTTCTGTGTTCAACAATGTGTGAACATTGCATATTCTGCTTCCCCCTTGGAAATTCTTAAAGATATTGGCATACTTAAGACCAGAAAGAGTCTTGCAATAGGAAGAGCTGCTTAACTTTACTCAATCACTATCTCCTAAATTGAGTTTTAATTTTAATTATGGAGTTTTTCTACTTTTTTATAATTTCAACTTTTCAGGGGATACATGTGCAGGTTTGTTACACAGGTATACTGCATGGTGCTGAGGTTTGAGGTACAAATGATCCTGTCACCCAGGTACTGGGCATAGTACCCAATATGTAGTTTTTCAACCCTCACCCTCTAGTAACCCCCAATGTCTGTGTTCCCATCTTTATGTCCATGTGTACCCAATGTTTAGCTCCCACTTGTGAGAACATGTGGTATTTGATTTTCTGTTTCTGCATTAATTTGCTTAGAATAATGGCTTCCAGCTGCATCTATATTGCTGCAAAGGACATGATTTCATTCTTTTTTATGGTTGTGTAGTATTTCGTGGTGTGTATGTACCAGATTTTCTTTATCTAGTCCACCATTGATCAGCACCTGGGTCAATTACATGTCTTTGCTATTGTGAATAATACTGCAATGAACATTCAAGTTCAAGTGTCTTTTTGATAGAACAATGTATTATCCTTTGGATATAAACCCAGTAATAGGATGCTAGGTTAAATAGTAGTTCTGAGTTCTTTGAGAAATCTCCGAACTGCTTTCCACAGCGGCTAAACTAATTTACATTCCCACGCACAGTGTGTAAGTGTTCCCTTTTCTTCGAAGCCTTGCCAGTAGCTGTTATTTTTTGACTTTTAAATAATAGCCATTCTGATGGGTATGAGACAGTATATGCCATTGTGGTTTTGATTTGCCTTTCACTGATGATCAGTGATGCTGAGGATTTTTTCAAATGTCTGTTGCCCACTTGTGTGTCTTCTTTTGAGGAGAGTCTGTTTATGTCCTTTGCCCACTTTTTAATGGGATTATTTTTTGCTTGTTGAATTGTTTATTTATAGATTCTGGATGTTAGACCTTTGTTGGATGCATAGTTTGAGAACGTTCCCTCCCATTCTGTGGGTTGTCTGTTTACTCTGTTGATAGTTTCTTTTGCTGTGCAGAAGCTCTTTAGTTTAATTAGGTCCCACTTGTCAATTTTTGGTTTTGTTGCAATTGCTTTTGAGGACTTAGCCATAAATTATTTGCCAAGGCTGACGTCATGAATCTTTTCTTTTACAAAATACCTGTTGATATCCCAAGCAACTAGTAATGTCTAGCACACTTTGAAGTGTTGATCACTATGATCCTCAACTGTAGATGACCCTATAGCTTGAGCATATTTAATCAGAATTAAATTCCAATAGCCATATCAAAAATTGAGAACATCATACAGAATTGTTTTAAAAAGTCACTTTTGGATCCATACAGAACCCTGTGTTGCACAATTCCATGGGACAGCCCTGTGAACAGGGTCCCCCGGAGTTGGGCAACCCTGAAGTATGGGCCTATCATCAAATATTGGATTAATGAAAGGCAAAGGAACTAAAATGTTTCCATCTATCAGAAATAATTTAGAATCCAGGGGCATAGGGGAGTCTAAGGAGAGGGTTTCCAAGATATTTAACTCTCTTAACTTCATGGAAAATATTTCAGGATGAACTTTGCCAATTATAACTAAGCCAATAAATACAATTACATTAAATGTAGTCATATTCCTGCTCCTTTGAGCCTAGCTAATTTTACATTATAAAAGCATTTGATGAGAACACTTTGTATTTAGGTAACATCTTTCATCCCCAAGTCTCCAGGATCTACTTGAGAGATGATTGGCAAGTAAATTCCCCAATGCAGAGGTCCCTCCTCTGGTGGAATGGTGAGTCTCTAATAGAAGAAGGAAATTTGCTGACACTGGAGTCACTGGCTAACTATTGAAGATGGTATCAAAGCTAATCAGCAGACAGAAGAGCCAGTCTGGAGGACATGACTGTGGGCTTTATATTTCTGTGAATTAATTTAAGAAAAATAAAAGGAATAGTTATTTCTTGTTCTCTTTGTGGTGCTCTAAGAATTTCACATTTAATCATGAGATGCCTGCTACCTCCAGGCCCCACTCATGCCTAAGAAGTGCCCCAAATTACTTTGCATTAGATGCTGGTTCCAAGTTCAGCAGGGAACCAGAAATGTTAGATGCACATAAAAGTTGGGCATAGGGAGGAGGTGAGAAGGGCCAGCTTTGAGTTCCCTTCTACTTGGCAGGTGTCTTCTTTTTCTCTTATTTTCAAACAAAGTTTATTATTTCCTCCTCTATGAGAAGAATATATTCTTATTATAGAAAATTTGGCAAAAATAGAAATGCAAGAAGCAAAGAAACTCCCATGATCCAAAGAGAATCACTATTAACAATTTGATGTATTTCCCTCCAGTCTTTTTTCTATGCATTTTAAAAAACAGGATTACAGTCACACTGTATGTACAATCCTGATTCCAAGGTATTGTGGTACAACCTAGGCATATGCCCATGTTTCTTTTCAAACTCCACATTAACAAATGACACCATATACTCTTGAAGGCAAGGACGGGGTCAGCTCTTACTCATCATAGTGACACGAGGACCTAGTACAGACCTTGGCACACAGTAAATGTTGTTGAACAAAATAAAAATGAAGAGTAGGTCATGAAGTGGATATACCAGAATTTATGTAACCTGGCTTCCAATGCAGACATGAAAGTGCCTCCAATTGTTTGCTGTGTTAGGCAATGCTTAAATTTTGTTGTGCTTATTTTCTTTTTCTATGTTGAGATTATTACCTAGAGCAGATACTGTCAGCATCTAGCTGTTTTCCCTCAACCTTTCTGAGGGGCACCTGCAGACAGTCCATGGGCAGTCTGCTGGCTTCCTGTGTCACCTGTCTGAGTTTGTTCTCTGTCGGTTGAAGCATACTTGGTCTATGGACATGTGGAATAGCCTGAATGTGCTCATGTTAATGTCCCTGAGCAACCCTCAGCCAATGGGAGTGGGAGTTACTGGGTAAACATTCCAGCTTCCTTGCTTCTCAGGGTGACAACTGTAAGGTGTGTTCTACACAGTCTGTCAAGTGGTTCTAGAAAGATGGAAGCCCCAACTAGTCACAGTGTCCAACTCATTAGCGTGTCCATATATTGGCTTTCCTCTCATCCTTGCTTTCCACATTCTCCATTCCCTCATCATGCTTCCTGGGATCACCTCCCAAAGAAACTGCTTGCACCAAACCTTTGTCTCAGGCTCTACTTCAGGGGACCCCCAGCTAAATATTATTAACGTTGGATAGAGTCTCAGAAGCAGAATTACTAAGTTAAACCAGATGGATTCCTTAAAGATTCGGGACACATATAGATTGGCAAGTAATTTCCATATGGGGGTTTTCAGAGCTCTTTTACTAATCTCTGATTATACTCAAAGAATCTAGACCCTGAACTAGACCCTCAGGAAGAGGAGGAAAAGAAGTCAAAGCACTTACCTGCCAGGTCTGCACTGTAGGATTGTTAAGCAGTTTCGTTTGAGTTTGTTCTTTTGTTGTTCACTTTTCTCTGTTGTTTGCCTTGCTTCATTTTCTCCTGTGTTCCTGGACAGAGGCCAGTGGTTATAGAATGTTCCCTTTTGTCTCTACAAATGGAAAAAGGGGGAATTGACTGCAGCAGAGAAAAGAATCTGGGAGGAAGGATGAGTGAAACGTTGCTTTGGAATATTTCAGCCTTGGGTCTCTGTAACAACCAGTTTGGTATTTTCAAGGAAAATGAAAGAAATAGACTGTGCTATAAACAGGTTTTTGTCATCATTAAACCCTTGCAATCTATGAAGAGTATGCACTGTTGTGTTCCAAAATAAAGCTGCATGTTTGGGGATTGTCATAGTGACCTAGAAATCACAGTTTCTCCAGGGAGACATAGGAATGAAGTTTCCTAACAGCTTTACCGCTAAAGCCATGGCTGCACACAGAAAAAGGACTGAGCCTGTTTTTCCAGAAATGAGAGACAAATTACCCTTTTTCCTAAGGTTGCCTGGACATTCCAAGAAAGCCTGGTCAATCTTTGCTGGATGGACATGGAAAATAGACGGTTGAGCACTTACCTTTTGTGTCCAGGTACACAAAATCCTTATCTATCCAGTTTTTGCACATTACATGTGATGGAGATTTTTTCTTTTGTTTTTGTTGTTTACAGAATGAAGAGAAGGATGCCTTGGTCAAGGTCAGCTTAAAGTCAGTTGTTAACTTAGACGTGCCCTTCCTCCAACCAGAAAATGGAAAATGTCAGATGCCTCCCAATTGTCCTGAGTCCGTGCATCCTTTCTAAAACTTCCCCAAGCTCTTCCCCACTCTTGAAAATTCTAGCTTACTCATACATCCATTTTTTGGGGGAAGGGAATCACACCACACCCACAAACTGGATGCTTGGCTGCCTGCAGGAACAACTCCAGCAGAGTTCTAGGTTGGGCTGATGTGGGAGCACCCCATGTTGTGGTGGAGGAGCTTATGTGGCAGAGACGGCTTCATGTTTACCAAACTTGACTTCTTTTTCCTTCTAGGATGCACAGCTAGACAATGCATCCCAGCCGCCATCACTGTTCCGTGGACCACGTGATTGGCAGAGGGAAGATCTATGTCATTTCCAGCCCTGGCTCTGTCTTCTCCACCCCTTCACACTCTGTCTTTCCACCACTCTTACAAGTGGCTGTGCAGCACTCCCAGGCCGCATGGGATGAGGGAAAATGATGGCAAAAGACTGGTCCTTAAGTCATGGCACAGGAGTGACCCACATAAGAGAACTCCTGGCCAGAGACATCAACACGAGACATCACATGACTGAGAAATAGTCTTTCATCATGTGAAGGCATTGACTTTTGGAGTTATTTGTTATTGCAATGAATCTACTCTGACTCATACATATTGCAAGTATCTGTTGCCTCTTGGCGTGTGTATGAGTTCGCCTACATGGCAGAGTCAATTCTGCTGTCTGTCCCACCAAGCTCACCAAAGCTATTTGCATGAAGGATCCTTCAGTCACAAAACAGTGAGAAGGGCATGTGAACAGCATGCAATCAAAGCATGTTCTCAATATCATGAGTGCACAGGAGTGGAAGTGTTCAGTTCAACTGTGACCACAGGGATGAGAGGCCACATGGCATGAGGAGGGTAGTGACTCCAATCAGATGTGCAACCCATAGAACCCCAGACTAACTTTTGGACTATCTTTGCACTTAAGGAAGCATCAGCCTGGCATCCATTAGCAACCCAGAAGCAGTTGGAATCTGTATTGCAGTCCCATCATAATGCAAAGCAAAATTTACAATTCTTTTCCCCTTCTTCTGAGATATAGTGCACACCCTCGGCTGCTTCCCAAGCCTCTCTTCTCCTCTATGCCAAACCCACCCCCTTAAACCTCTCCCTAAACCCATTCCAAGCTGTTATTCTAAACTTCTCCACCTCTTCCTGCCTTTTCCCGACTACTCTTTTGTCCCAGTAAATAACTCTCCACCTTCTCCTCTGCAAATCAAGCCGGACTTTCTGGCCTGCCTGGACTTAACATTTCCTGTTACGACTCATAGGCTCAATTCGTGAGTCGATCATAGACCCAGAAAGGTCCAAAAATGAAAACAGATTCTTCTTAGGGGTGTGTTGAGGGAGTGGCTATAAATATTTACACATTATTATCATTACTTTTTTTGGATCACAGATTGTCAACTCCACTGCTTGTGAGTTAGGCAATCTTGGGTAAATTCTTCACCATCCCTTAGCCTCAATCTCCTGCCTTGTAAAATGGGGTTTATTGACCTTCTCAGGATTGTGGTGGGGAGTAAATGAGATGTGGTATGTGAACGTAGTTTGCATATACCCAGCAGTAAGCAATGTTTTTTCTGCCCTTTCTGAACTCGTGGCTCCTTTGCTTTATGTGAGCAGAGTTGGAGGTGCAGGCCTAGCCCAACGACATAAAGGAAGGTAAACTGAGATGCCAGTCGTCAGCAGCACCCGGTTTTGATACCAGCTCCTCTGGATCTCACTCTTGAGTTCCCTGGTCAACTTTCAAGTGACCTTGAAGGGAGAACTGCATTTCCCGTGCCTCCAGCAGAGTGTTTCCACCACAAGGGAAACATGCCCACCCCTTGTCCCCCAGGGTGGGTTGCGAAGGTTAATGAATTGGTATTTGTGAAGTGCTTTGAGATCTGTGGATGAAAGGCCCTATGAAGTCAAAAGCGTTGGGATGATTATTAAATTGCCTTGCCTGAGGTCAGACAGCGCAGGACTAGGGGAGCTAGAAAGGGAAGACTCGTTTCCTTTCTTCCATTCCCCTGCTGGAACAACTAAGACCGTAACCTGTTCTTGTTAAGATGGGCTGTCCCTCTGTGGGTGGATGTCCTCGGGCCTCACATCCTGTCTCTTTTATTCCCAGCACCCTGGTTAGGACCAGGCTCTGGCTCCTCACCAGCCTGCTCATTGGAATGCCAGACAGCTCCCTCGCTCTTGGGGAGAGCTCTGGTTTGCTGGGTTTTTAGAAGCTCAGGGAAACTGTCGTGTGAGAGACAGACATTTTCACTTGACCGTGAGACCCTTCTTGAGAAAGAAGGGGCAGTTTCTCCTGTGCCAGCTGGACACCAAAACAAAGGAGGAGCTTTGCTGTGGCTGAATTTGGGGGGTTGCATTCTGCACCAACCAGCTCTTTTCTAAACCCCATTTTCTTTTCTCTGTCTCTCTCTCTCTCTCTCTTTTGCTTTCTCCATTCAACCAGCTTGGCAGTTGCAATATTTGTTTTCCAAACATTTCCTCCATACCTTTGTTTTTTCCTTCTCCCACATTGGCTGTTGTATAGACACCTCATTGCTATTCAGACACCTGTCACTTTCAGATGTCAGTGTGGCTGTTGCCACACTGATTAGTTAAGATGAAGAAAAAAATGCAGTGGCATATAAATAAAAACTTAGAGACTGTCACATTGTTTAAAAAGGGCCCACCTCCCAATGCCAGATCTCGGCAGAGCAGCGTCCTTCTCTTTCCTAGGTAACCCAGCTAAGGGGACCACTTATAATGTCTTGTTTTTAGTGATTAAGTGGTTAATGATTTAATGAACTAAAAAAAAATCTCATTTGTTGCTTCCCTTGGACTTGGAAAAAACCTCAAAGAGCTGATTTTCTGTGTACCTCAGTCCAATATTGCTACCTGCTGGGATACGAACACAGTCTCTAAATAAATTGCTAGTGGCCTTAGGCGGGTGGAAGAGTCTCCCTTTGATCCTGCTCGAGCGGATGAAGTCAAATGTTCAATCAATCAATCACGTTCATAACTTGCAGCTACAATCGAGCTGACAACAGCCTATTATTTATTTTTAAAATCATATATTTCATTATTGCAAAACACACAGGCTCTCACGAGGGGGAAAAGACTAAATTATTGATAAGCCATATAGATGACGGAGTTTGTTGTTTCTGACACGCTTGTCACTAACTATTGTCAGGAAGGATTTACTAAGATGTAGAGTCAGGAAAGTTGGCGAGGGATGTACGTCGTGCCAAAGCAGAGATGAGGAGAGGAAACTCTAATGGCCTCTCTCTCTCTTATTGAATTCTTGTAGGTAAAAGGCAGCTGAAGGCAGAACAGGTTTCTATTGCAAAGCAACACTTGAAAAGCCCCCAATTTGATTGCTACAGAGCAGGAGATTTGGTTCTCAAAATAGCCATGCGTTTGGGAAATGAATTTTTGCTGGTGTCTGTGCATTCCTGGAAATAACAATCGTAGCTCTCCAGCATTCCCACATGGGCCAGGGCCAGGCATATTTATTCAATATTGTGTGTTGGGGCGGGGGCGGGGGAGGCGATGTGCAAACGCAGCCTGAAGAAGCTGGCGTGGGGGAGGCCAGCTTTGGTTTCCTCTTGTTTTCGGAGGTGGGAGAAGATGCTCTCCTGCCGTACCTCCGCCAGGCCCCTGAGCTGGCAGGGCGTCTGCAATGGAGGTGTCTTCCCTACAGACCTGCGATTGAACTTCTCTAATGGGTTTAGGGGAAGGAAAAGCAGTCAGAAAACTGCTGACCACTCCTTTCCGTGTGCTTCTCTCTTTTCTGTTTTCTGGGTCACTAGCTGGGGAGGTCGTGGCAAGCTGAGATCTTAAAGCTGCCATTGACCCCCTTGTCTGAACAGTGATGAGTTGGACTGAAAACTCTCCCAGACGCCGCATTGTCACCTGGTTGTCACCTCCACCATAAGAAGGGGGTTGCTCCTGGATTTGCTGGAAGAAAAAGCCCCCTGGTCTAAAGGAACAGGAGATGTTTTGTTAAGGGAACTTAAATGTGCACACAGACAGATCCAATCCTAGAGAACAAGTACCATTAAAATGGAACAAAAACAGCCATGGAACTAAAGATTCCTAACTTCCCCTCCCTCCCCGCCCCCACTGGTACTTCCTGAACTCAAGTACAATGTAAGTAAAATCGAAGCTCCTTTGGAAGTTCAGTGAAAATTTGACTTGCACTCCTAAATTATTCGCTAATTACAAGATGATCTCCCAGTTGCTGGGGTGGGGAGAGACAGTGCTACGTGTATACTCTAGAACTAAAGGTTTCTCAAGGCCAAAGGGCCCTTCAGAATTAATTTTTCCCCCCATTTCATAGATGAGAAAACTAAAAGTCAGAGAAATTGGAATCAGACATCCAGTTAGCAGCAGATAGGGGACCAGACCCGGGGCCTCCAACCCCTTCCCTGAGGTGGAGTCGGACACCATTAACAGAGCTTAGATCAGAAAAGAGGCAATTTGATTCCTTATAGAGTGCTCTGTCTCCCACGTTCTGCTGCCTGCTGGTGGAGTATTCCAGCATGCATTCGTCTGGTTTTAACATACTAACTTCATTCAGAACCCAACCAGAACTCTCACTCAATCACATGTGCTTTCGCAATGCTGACCCCCGACAATGAGTAGGCAAGGGTATTACAGGATTAGGATTTGGAAATAACTTCTGAATCCATAAGAAGACAACTGAACCCCTCTTCTGGGAGTCGGGGGCCCTTGCTCCCAGCTCTGTACTACCACTTCTCTGGTGTGATGGGCTTGGCGGAAGCTGCCCCTTCTGGGCTTCTGTCCAGGAGGTGAGGAGTGGTCGTGACAAAGTCCTTGACCACATTTCAGCCAGGCTCCTCGCCCTCTGCTCAAATATGCATCCACCTCAGCCCCAGTCCTTGCTGGGCCTGCACATCCCAGTTTTAGAGAAAACCCTGCTGAGTTGGTTTAGAGAAAATCTCCCACCCTTGATATCTGTTCATCATAGGCTGGCTTCAGCAAGAATCCTCTTAGTCCATTTAGCAAGAATCTCTCCCAACATTGGATGAATCCCCTTAGCAATTTTCCATCCACTGACTCCACACCTCCACCCCACAAACCTACTCCCTGACTATCAATCTCCACTGGCTCTGTTGCTGTTGTATTCGGTATGGCTCTCATTCCATGCTGAGGTCTCTTTTCCCCTACCCCAACAGGGTTCTGAATAAAATTCATTTTTACCACTTGAATTACTGTCCAGTTCTGATTCTCTTTGACAATCTACACATCCTTCAAGTCAACTTCTAAGTCCAAAATTCTGCATAAAATTCTATATAAAATCCTATTCAGTGATATTTTCCATTCAATTTATTTATTTATTTATTTTTTATTTTTTATTTTTTTTTTTTTTTGAGACGGAGTCTCGCTCTGTCGCCCAGGCCGGACTGCGGACTGCAGTGGCGCAATCTCGGCTCACTGCAAGCTCCGCTTCCCGGGTTCACGCCATTCTCCTGCCTCAGCCTCCCGAGTAGCTGGGACTACAGGCGCCCGCCACTGCGCCCGGCTAATTTTTTGTATTTTTAGTAGAGACGGGGTTTCACCTTGTTAGCCAGGATGGTCTCGATCTCCTGACCTCATGATCCACCCGCCTCGGCCTCCCAAAGAGCTGGGATTACAGGCGTGAGCCACCGCGCCCGGCCTCAATTTATTTTTTGAACATTTTGCCACCTAGGATGGCACGTATGGAAACTGAGTTGACCAAAGCCATTGATGCACCGGAATAAACCATTTCTTACCATCTTCATGATACAGTAGAAATAAATCTTCACAGAAACCAAAAAACAAAGCAAAACAACGACAACAACAAAAACATGGCTTCACTGGAACAAAGAGAGCTGTTGAACTTGGGTGTGGCATGGAATCTGTCTGCACCTCAGTTTCCTCATCTGTTCAATGGGGAAACTGATTTCTTTTCTCCACACCCAGTTGGGGCAGATTGCCATGAGGATCTAAACCCAATGCATAAGTGAGGGGAGGGAAAAAAAGAAGCTTAAAGTGCACCACAGAGGTAGAGCAGGAGCATTATTGGGTGGTGGGAATTTGCTCTAGATGAGAGAGAGCCTGCTGCAAATATAGGATTACATTTTTAATTACCTTCAGATGCCGACCTATGTAAACAGGCCTGTTATGCCTCTTTGGGAGGGGATAGGAGAAACGGATGGGATGGGACTCATTAACTTGCTGGCAATGCTTTTTTTGTGGCAGTTTTAAGGAAAACCTTTAGGAGAGGGAAAAACAGCCGCCTCTGTTCACAGCTGCAATGGCAAAGAGATGCAAAAGAGCCGGTCCTTCTTCCTCTTTCCATCCTTTTCTGTTTTCTGTTCTGGGAGGTGCATTTGTCCACTTACAGCACTTGGCAACTTCTCTTTGGCAATGTTCATAAACGTTGCAGTGCAGGCATTTCCTGTGTGTGGTTTTTTTCCTTTTGAAGCTTGTTTGCTGCACCCTTTGGTGAGAGTTGCACCTCAAGGAGGGCTGGAGTACCTGTATAGTGCTGGATTGTGCAATGCCAGACGGATGGCTTTTTTTTACCCCTGGCAAGATAAGACTCTATGAAGTATGATTTTGTTAATAGTCTCTCTCCCAGTCCTGGTCCTCTTGGGAGCCTCCCATGATTGGTCAGTTGGATGATTATAATGGGCACTAATTATACCTGGAAGCTAAGGTATAGCAGGCCTCACTTACAAAGCCCTTGGTGATAAGGATTTTGGTAAATACAATGAGACGAAAACGACTTAATCTTTCTAAAAGGACAAAAGAATTACTTCTTGAAAAATGAGCAACTTAAGAAAACGGTTAAACAGAGGAAAGAGAAATGAAACAGAAATGCTTCCAGCTTTTTACCGATGAGGAGAGAAGAGGCAAATTTGGATTAACCCTGTGTGGACTGCCGTGGACTCAGTTGAGAGCAGTCATCATCTCGTCCTGGATGGATACTAAGAATGTTCTGATGACACAGTGACTCCCAATAAAGGGAATTCTCAAGTGTGAAAGCCAAATACAGCCCTTCTTTCTAGACCCTAAATATGTACATTGAAGCCAAGAAATAGCCCCAACCTACGCCCA
The DNA here is from genome assembly GCF_000001405.40 of Homo sapiens. Taxonomy (NCBI): domain Eukaryota; kingdom Metazoa; phylum Chordata; class Mammalia; order Primates; family Hominidae; genus Homo; species Homo sapiens. The sequence goes on from NC_000010.11 coordinate 113,499,898, forward strand.
GATACAAAGGCCCTTAGTAAGGCTTTTCTTCCTTCTGAATGATTCATGAGCAGCTATGCCCCAGACCGTGAGGCTGATCTTTAGCCTGTAGCTCTTCCCCCTAGAATTTATCAACCACGAGTGTTCAGCAAGGCCAGGATGACTGTAGGAGAGCACGCAGAAGAGGGAGCTTGTGCACAGAGAGGCAACGAAGGCCACATGAGTTCCAGAAGGAACTTCCTGGAAGGAGGGGTTCTGAGCATAGGGAGCAGAAGGAAGCCATACAGCTAAGGGAGAATTGAGACTTGCTATTTCCAGAGGAGAGCTGATGCCAGTGTTCCACACACCTGTGTGGACTTTCCATTGATTTCTTTCCAGCAGCTGGCTTGCTTCTTCATGATTTTGGAATGACCCAATTAGGCAGGGCTGTGGTAGCTTAGTACCGCGCTGCTCATTGGAGCATCTGGCCACATGGACCAGGACACCCCCAGGCCTAATCTCCAATAGACTCTCTGCACACCTAGATGTTTTACATCCAGGAAGAAAACAATTTTGTGGCAGACAAGTTCATTTGGTTCAATCGCTGAGCCAGTGAGTCCAGGAGCCCAAGTTCAATGTTCTTAGACTTGTCCACAGGCCTCATTTGGTCCAACCCTGCCACTTCACTGGCCTTGATTCCTACGGTTCTACCATCTGTTCACTCTGATCCAGCCACTGGCCTTCTTGCTGTTCTGCACACAAGCCTTGCTCCTGCCCCAAGACCTTCCCACTTACTCTTCTCACTACCTGGAACACTCATCCCCCAGAGAGCTTCATAGCTCCCCACTCACTTCCTTCAGGTCTCTGCTCAAAGGCATGTTCATTGTCAAGCTGTCCCTGAGCATCCTGTACAAAATGCAACAGCCTCCTCTCCCCAAGGCCTCACTCCCTCCTCCCGACCCCCTAGAGATTTTTCTGCAAAGTGTTTATCACTATGTAAACATTCTGTTCCCATTCTGTTCACTTGTTTATGTGTTTATTGTCTACCTTCTCCACTAAATGAAGCTTCATGAGAGAGAAGACTTTGTTTTGTTCATGCAACAGTACCAGAACTCAGCACAGTGCTTGGTCTGTAGCTGGTGTCAAAAAAAAAAAAAAAAAAAAAAGTTTGGGCCAGGCGTGGTGGCTCACTTCTGTAATCCCAGCACTTTGGGAGGCTGAGGCAGGCAGATCACCTGAGGTCAGGAGTTCATGACCAGCCTGGCCGACATGGTGAAACCCCATCTCTACTAAAAAATACAAAAATTAGCCAGGCGTGGTGGCAGGCACTTATAATCCCAGGTACTCGGAAGGTTGAGGCAGAATTGCTTGAACCCATGAGGCGGAGGTTGCAGTGAGCCAAGACCGCTCCATTGCACTCCTGCCTGGGCAACAAGAGTGAAACTCTGTCTCAAAAAAAAAAAAAAAGTTTATTTAACTGAATTTGAACAAAAATCCCCACACATACCAGTTTAGCTGGAACTCTTCTCAGACCACATTCTAAGGCAGCTTCTGAAGACATGTGCTCTTGGGGGATATTTAAGGGGACCAGCCCTTTCTTTGCTATAACTGAAACACGAATATGGCCCACGTATCGTACTGAAAGGATGTGATTATAAACTAAAAGTAGATGTGGATGACAGAGACCTTGCCCTCTAGCAGCTGGCTGAGTAGAACCTTCAAAGTTGCCTTGTGTGGGTCCTTCTCACTTTTGATCTATTTTAGCAGAAAGTGGTATCCAGACTTTTTGCCAGAATATCGATCATTTCACTAGATTCTACTAGTCTAAGTTGTCAGAGAAGGAAAAGGGATATTGTTATGTTGTTCAACAGAAATAGACTAAAATAGGCAGCCTCAGTTCCTGTCTTCCCCTTTGCAGTGAATAGTAGCAGTACCCCCCAGCCACACTCTGGGCTTCCAACTCAGGCTCACTGGGATAGATTGTGTTACTCACAATACTTTCTCTCCTCCTGCTCTTTCATTGTTCACTATGAGTTCCCATACCATTGATGTTATACTTGGCTGTGGGACTTGCTTTGGCCATATAATAGGGACAGAAGTGACAGTGTGCCAGCTCTGACCCTAGGCCTTCAGAAGAAGCAATTTTTTTTTCTACCTTCCCTTCTTGAGGTTCTAACACCCAACATGAGAAGAGCCTGAAGAGCCATCAAATCAAGAATGAAAGCCCCAAAGAGGAGACCTGAATCTAGTGCACAGCTTGAAGCAGAACTGCCCCAGCCAACCCACAAAACCATGAGTGAAAAAAGCACATTTGTTGTTGAGATTTTGTATTGTTTGTTACTCAGCATTGTTGCAGTAATAGCTGACTAATGCACTCATTAAGAGCTTTCTAGTGGTCAAGACTGTCCAAGATTTCACTATACATCTCTCCACCCTTTTCTTCCAAGTGACTAGCCTTGAAAGGGACAGGTACCAAAGGTATCTCTGTCAAATGCACTTTTGATACAGTTACCAATGTTAGATAAAGAAAAAGGCATTACCTAAGACTAACTGGAGTAACTGGAAGGTACAAGGCAAACAAAGAAAGGTAAAGCATAGATTATGCAGGAGATGATTGAGATAATGACTGATACATTTTGACTTTTCAGCTGTCATTACTGAGATAGATTGGCTTTGCTTGCCTTTTGTCCTATATTTCAAAAGCAAGTCTCTAAATTATTGACTACTTTGGTGAACTCAAACACTCTCTAATTAATGATCTAAGTTTTCCTGGATAAAGAAAAAAAGGCTTCATCAGAATAAAAGCTTCCATCATGTGACTATTTTCTTATTTAATCCTCATCTTGTTCGAACAACAAGGCTTTGGGTTGTCCTTGCCACCGAGCAGCAGGAACTCTGTAAGGGAGGGAGGGAGTGGGACAGATTTGCTGGAAGATAAATTGGGATCATGACTTCCTTTCAGATTTTAGAAGATTCTCTTGGGCACTTTTACACAGACACAGAGTGGTGCTCACTTCTAAAATAAGACCCCAGAATCTCATCTGCTTCTGCTGGAGGACAATGCCAACCTTCTCCATGGCTGAACATTGTAACACACGTGACCCTTCCATTTTCTGGCTCCATCCGGCAATAATACTAACATCGGTTGAGTGTCTACTAAGTGCTGGGTGCATGATGAGCATGTCATGTGCCGTACCTCATTTGCAATAGCCCTGTATAAGAGGTACCATTATTGAATTCATCTTACTCATGAGAGAGCAGATACAGAAACGTTAAGCCCCCCAAGATCACACAGCTGGTGAGTCAGGGAGCCGGATTTAGACTCAGGCAGTCTGCTTCTGAGTTGGTGCTCTGAACCACTGGGTACCAGAAGCTTCCCTCTGAGTTTCTGACAAAAAGTATCATCTACAGCCCCTGGCTCCTTTCCAGCTACCAAAAGGCCAGCTGAGCTCCAAAGGATGCATGGTCCCTTCATTCATTCATTCCTTCATTTACACACACACACACACACATACGCACGCAATCTGTGCTTGGGTTAAGGAAATGCCTTGGATCATCGGAAAAGCATGGACCTTGGTTTTTCCTGGTTGTTTTACTGAACTGCACTTGGGGCAGGTGGGCCATCAACATTCACTGAGGATGCTGTAGCTGAAGATAAAGTAGCTGTATCATTTTGTCACTTGGTATTGTAAATATGTCACTGGGGCTTTGTCCTTGATGTAACCCAGTGACTACTGCATGAGGATTCATGGGAGAAAGTGATTTCAGGTGTAATATCCAACCAATAGGTATGGATGCACCTTATGGACACCTGTAGTCTTTGCCACTTCACATCAACTCTCAGGAACTTAGAGACAAATGTCTTTCCCACCTCTAGCACATGGCGAGAGTGCCACAGCCCCAAATTTGTGAGTTAACCGCTCTCTCCAGTCACAGAGAAGTCTTCTAGCTTTAGTTTTCATTGCCTTCCTTTTTTGACCTGTTTTTAATTGTTCTTGCTATATTATTTAGGAATACATGTATGATTTGTGTAATGGTATGCTTCTCCAGCTTAGGGCATAGGCATAGATATGGTATCATCTCTTCTATTTTTTTCAGTTCATTATTTGAACACCATCCACTTGCTACTAGCAGAATGTCCATCTTGACGGCTTCCTCATTCCTGAATCCTTAGCATTTAAATGAAGAAGTGAGCATTTTTAATCCTTCCTCTAAATGCTGAATAAACAGAGAATTGCGGTGGCTGAGTGGTATGCTGAGTTGTTGTTGTGGCCACTGCCATGGGGTGTCCCTGCTGGTCCTCCACAGAAAACTGCTGTGTTCAAGATCCCTGCCAGGATCTCGGCGTGTTCCACCAAGGACCTCATGTTTGTTCTTTTAATTCACTATCATGAATTGCCAATTCATCCTCAAAGCATGACAAAAGCCAGGGTACCAGCCATCAGCACACACCATGCTGGGCCAGTCTCCCTACCCCAGCAAAACTCCTGGGACCTTGGGATGAGCCTGGGTCATGAGCTCAGGATGACATTCCCTTTTCTGATCTCTACGACCAAGAAATTCTTTTACAGAGCCCCTTGCTTTCTTTCTTGCTGGAGAACTTTGGCCAGGTCTTCGAATCTCAGGGAGCAATGTGTAAGGTTCTAATACCATCCTTCCCAGAGGGTCCTGAGCTCCTAATGCAAATGAGTGTTCCCCATTTCAGAGGTATCATCCCGCTGAGGGCCAGTGGAGCTCTCCAGCATCAGTGCCTGGCTGACCTCACACACCTTGCATGTGGTCCTGAACTTTGAGTCATCTGGCCTTGTGCAACTTGGCTGCCAATAGCTACATTTAGCACTATTCACTCACTTATCCATTGGTGACTATTTGGTAAGTGCCTACTACGTGTGTATGTGTCAGGGCTGAGGATGCAGCCTCTGGTGGGAATGGCCCCCAGCCCTTAAATAGCCCCCAGCCCTTAAGAAGCTTACAATCTAGTGGGAGAATACAGGCAATGAGGTATTAAAAAATAAAGCATTTACAAACATTGATAAGTGTGAGGATGAGTAGAAGAAATGATTAGGGGCTCCATTCTGGGTCATTGGTTAGCCCAATGCAGAGTTCCCAGAAGCTGAAAAGCTCAGTAGAAGTGGAAAGCAGGAAGAACTTGCAGAGGTTTCTGCCACACAAGGTGAGTCTGTTTCCAAAAGAATAACCAGGGGTACTTCCATATAGAATGAGCCAGAAGCCTTTAATGAGGTTTATTCTTATTACCTTTGAAACAAAAGTTAAAGAAGTAATAACTGTATAGCTCAAAGTGGCCTCGGAGACCTTGTAGTCCAACACCATCTTTTCTTTGGGAGAGGGTGATAACCAGCATCTAGAGAAGGGAAATAACCAGGTCAAAGTCACACAGAAAGTGATGGGAGAATTAATCTTAACTTCCACACCAGAAGAAGGCCAGGTCTTCCATTATTACAAAACCTTGGGCCTCAAAAGAAGAGAAGAGTCTTCCATGAGACTTTACCATGAAGAAAGCAAAGTGATCAACTTCCCCTCTTTGTGTGGATGACCCTCTTAATCTTTTAACTCTAAGGTAATAAGCATGAATACAAAAAACTAAGTTGCTATTTGATGACAGTATCATGCTTTCAGACCAGTTCTAAGATCACTTACCTTCAGATTGCTTGTAAAGTAAATAGAGGTTGAGTATCCCTTACCCAAAATCCTTGGGACCAGAAATGTTCTTTTTGAACATTTTCAGATTTTGAAGTATTTGCATTATACTTATTGATTGAGTATCCCCTAATCCTAAAATCTAAAGTGCAAAATGCTCCAATAAGCATTTTCTTTGAGTATCAAGTCAGAGCTCAAAAAGTTTCAAATTTTTTTTAGAATTTTGGATTTTGGACTTTTGGATTAGGGATACTCAACCTGTAGTAAATGTCCTTATGGCTATGACATTATTGGTTGGATTTCTTTTACATGCAGCCGTAAGCATTCCTAACGGATAAAGGTTCTTTTAGGGATACTTGTCCTATTAAGCTCTTAATACATTAACTGTTACCAGGACAGTAGGAACACTGTACAGATTTGATCAATAAATAGGTAAATATTTTTTTCAGATAAAATTCACGTAACAGTAAATTCATCATTTTACCCATTTTAAAATGTACAATTCTGTTGTTTTTAGTACATTCACAATGCTGTACATCCATTACCACTACGTAATTGCAGAACATTTTCATCATTCCAAAAAGAAACCCAAATCCATTAAGCAGTCACATCCTATTTCCCCACACCCAACCCAGCCCTTGGCAGCCACTAATTTCCCTGTCCTTTATAGGCTTGCCTATTCTGGACATTGCATATAAATGGAATCATGTAATATGTGACCTTTTGTGTCTGGCTTTTTACAATTAGCATAATGTTTCCAAAGTTTATCCATGATGTCACATCTACTCAACTTACAATAATTTGGCGTATGATTTTTCACTTTACAATGGTGGGAAAGTGATATGCATTCAGTAGAAACTGTACATCAAGGTAAGGTAGGCTAAGCTGTAATATTCTGTAGGTTAGGTATATTAAATGCCTTTTGGACTTAAGATATTTTCATTTATGATGAGTTTATCAGGAGGTAGCTCTACCATAAGTCGAGAAGCATCTGTGTCTGTCCTTTTTAGGGCTGAAGAATCTATTGTATGGACATATCGGATCAGGTTGAGTCATTCATCAGTTGATGGGCATATGGGTTGTTTCCACTTTGGGGGCTATTAAAATGGAGGCTGCTATGAGCCCTTGTGTACAAGTTTTTGTTTGAACATATGTTTTCAATGATCTTGGGAATCTAGGAATGTAATTGCTGGGTTGTATAGCAATGCTATGTTTAATTTTTTTGAGGAACAGCCAAGCTATTTTCTGCAGCAGTTGCATTATCTTACAATCCTAACAACAATGTATGAAGGTTCCAATTGCTTCACATCCTCACCAACACTTGTTATTTCCCTTTTTAAATTTTAGCCATCCTAGTGGGTGTGAAGTGGTATCTCATTGTAGTTTTGATTGGCCTTTCCCTATGTCTAATGATGTTGAACGTTGTTCTCAAGTGCAATATGGACATTTGCATATTTTCTTTGGAGAGATGTCAATTCTAGTCATTTGCTGAATTTTAAATTGGGTTGTCTTTTTCTAATTGAGTTTTAGGGGATCTTTTTATATTCTGGATATTAAATCCAATATATGATTTGCCAGTGTTTTGTCTCATTCTGTTTTTTGTTTTTTCACTTTCTTAATATTTTCTTTTGGTGCATGGAAGTTTTTAATTTTGATGAAGTTCATCCAATTTTCTATTTTTTTCTTTTGTGACTTGTACTTCTGATGTCACATTTAAGAAATCCAAGGTCATGAGGTTTTATACCTATGTTTTCTTCTGAGAGTTTTATAATTTTAACTTTTATATGTAGGTCTTTGATCCATTTTGAGTTACTACAAATTAATTCTTTTTCATGTGGATATTCATTTGCCTCAGTGCCATTTGTCTTTGATTTGTTTTGCTTTGTTTTCTTTGAAACAAGGTCTTGCTCTGTTGCCTAGGCTGGAAGGTAGTGGTGTGACACTGCAGCCTCAACCTCCTGGGCTCAAGCAGTCCTCCCACTTTGGCCTCCCAAAGTGCTGAGATTACAGATGTGAGCCACTGTACCCAAGCCCATTTGTTGAAAAGACTATTCTTCCCCATTGAATAGTCTTGGCACCTTTGTTGAAAATCAATTCACCAGAGATGTATGGGTATAATTCTGGACTCTCAATCCCATCCCATTTATCCATGGGGCTAGCATTACACCCATACCTCACTGTTTTCATGACTATAGCTCTGTAGTAAGTTTTGAAATCAGAAAATACGAGGTTTTCCTCCCAGTATTGTTTTAGCTATTTTGTGTCCCTTAAAATTCCACATAAATTTTAAGATCAGCTTGTTTATTTCTGCAAAGAAAAAAATCTCACTGGAATTTTGATAGGTGCTATGATCTGAATGTTTCTGTCCTCTCCTTCATCCACCCTCTACCCCACCTCCCCTGCAGTTCATTTATTGAAATTCTAACCTCCAAATGATGGTAGTCAGAGATGGAGCCTTTGGGAGCTGATTAGGCCATGAAGCCTCTGTCCTCATGACTGGTATTAGTGCTCTTAAAAAAGATAACTCCCAGAGCTAGCTCTTCCTTTCCACTGAGGACACCGCAAGAAGGCTCCATCTATGAGCCAGAAAGTGAGCCCTCACCAGACATTGAATGTGCCTTGATTTTGGACTTCCCAGTCTCCAGAATTGTGAGAAATAAATTTCTGTTGTTTATTAGTGACCCAGTTTATGGTATTTTGTTATAGCAGCTCAGATGAACTAAGAAAATGGGCATTGCATTAAATCTGTAGATTGGTTTGAGTAGTATTTCCATGTTAACAATATTGTCTTCCAATCTATGAAAACAGGATGTCTTTCCATTTATTTAGGCATTTTTAATTTCTTTAAACAATGCTTTATAGTTTTAGTGTACAAGTCTTAGGTTTCCTTAATTAAATTTATTCCTAAGTATCTCATTCTTTTTGATATTATTGTAAATGGAATTATTTTCTTAATTTTATTTCCAGATTGTTCATTGCTAGAGTATAGAAATACTACTGATTTTGTATATCAGTGCAAAAGTAATTGTGGTTTTTCCATTGTTGAAATTTGCCCTTTGATACTGGAATACTATTCTTAAATAAATGTGATTATGTTATACATCATTTTAATGCACATTTCTCACTTTATGTTTTTGCTAATGACTTATTACTTGCTATTTATTTTATATTTATTTTAGACTATGGAAATGATATTAGACAAAAAACAAATCTGAGTGATCTTATTTGAGTTCAAAATGGGTCTTAAAGCAGCAGAGACAACTCACAACATCAATGACGCATTCGGCCCAGGAACTGCTAACAAATGTACCGTGCAGTAGTGGTTCAAGAAGTTTTGCAAAGGAGAGGAGAACCTTGAAGATGAGAAGTGTAGTGGCCAGTCATTAGAAGTTGACAACGACCAATTGAGGGTAATCTTCGAAGCTGATCCTCTTACAACTACATGAGAGATTGCTGAAGAACTCAACATCAACCATTCTACGGTTGCTGGGCATTTGAAGCAAATTGGAAAGGAGAAAAAGCTTGATAAGTGGATGCCTCGTGAGCTGAGTGAAAATTTTAAAAATTGTCATTTTGGAGTGTCATCTTCTCTTATTCCATGCAACAACAAAGAACCATTTCTTGATCGGATTGTGATGTGCAATGAAAAGTGGATTTTAGGCCGGGCGCTGTGGCTCATGCCTATAATCCCAGCACTTTTGGAGGCTGAGGGGGGCAGATCACCTGAGGTCAGGAGTTCAAGACCAGCCTGGCCAACGTGGTGAAACCCCATCTCTACTAAAAATACAAAAATGAGCCAGGTGTGGTGGTGCACACTTGTAATTCCAGCTACTCAGGTGGCTGAGGCAAGAGATTCACTTGAATTCGGGAAGTGGAGTTTGCAGTGAGTCGAAATCGCACCACTGCACTCCAGCCTGGGAGACAGAGCAAGACTCCATCTCAAAAAAAAAAAAAAAAGTAAAAGAAAAGTGGATTATATACAACAACTGGCAATGACCAGCTCAGTGTTTGAACTGAGAAGAAGCTCCAAAGCACTTCCCAAAGCCAAATTGCACCAAAAAAAAAGGTCGTGGTCACTGTTTGGTGGTCTGCTGCTGGTCTCATCTACTACAGCTTTCTGAATCCTGGCAAAACCATTACATCTGAGAAGTACGCTCGGCAAATCAATGAGATGCATTGAAAACTGCAATGCCTGCAAGCCAGCATTGGTCCACAGAAAGGGCCCAATTATTCTCCACAACAATGCCTGACCACACGTTGCACAACCAACGTTCAAAAGTTGAATGAACTGGGCTATGAAGTTTTGCCTCATCTGCCATATTCACCTGACCTCTCACCAACTGACTACTACTTCTTCAAGCATTTTGACAACTTTTTGCGGGAAAATGCTTGCACAACCAGCAGGATGCAGAAAATGCTTTCCAAGAGTTCGTTTAATCCCAAAGCACAAATCTTTATGCTGCGGGAATAAACAAACATTTCTCATTGGCAAAAATGTGTAATGGTTCCTATTTTGATTAATGAAGATGTGTTTGAGCCTAGTTATAATCATTTAAAATTCACAGTCCAAAACCACAATTACTTTTGTACCAACATATATATATATATCATATATTTTATATCTATATATCATTTTTAATACATATTCTGCAACTTTGCTAAACTTGTTTGTTAGCTCTAATAGTTTATTTTTTGCATGGCTTCTTTGGGGTTTTCTACATATTAAGATCATGTAATTTTCAAATAGAGGAAATTTTATGCCTTCTTTTACAATCTGCATGGCTTTTATTCCTTTTTCTTGCCTAATTGCCCTGGCTAGAACTTCCAGTACCATGTTAGATGGAAGTACTGAGAGCAGGCATTCTTATCTAGTTTCTGATTTGGGAGGAAGCTTTTAGTCTTTCACCACTGACTATATTGTTAACTATGGATTTCCATACATGCCCTTAAGGTTGAGGAAGTTCCCTTGTATTTCTAGTTCATTGAACTGTACATTTCTTCCCTCTATTCTGTCAGTTTTTGCTTTCTATATTTTGGGGCTCTGTTAGATGTATATTATTTATAACTGTTACAATCTTCTCATAAGATTGACCCTTTTATCATTATATAATCTCCTTCTTTGTCTCTTACAACAATTTTTGCCTTAAAGTCTATTTTATCTGATATTAGCGTAGCTATTCCAGTTCTCTTTTGGTTACCGTTTTCTATAATATCTTTTTCTGTCTTCCCACTTTCAACCTATTTGCTTCTTTTAATGTAAAGTAAATATCTCATAAACAGCATATAGTTCTACCAAACCTTGTCTTCTAAATGGAGACTTAAACCAATTTTCTTTCAAAGTTATTGTTACAGAAAGGCTTTCATTTTGCTATTTGTTCTCTATGTCTTATATCTCTTTTGTTCCTCAGTTGTATCATCACTGCCTTCTTTTGTGTTAAGTAGATATTTTCCAGGATACTGCTTTGTTTCTTTTGGTATATCTTTTGGTATATATTTTTTCTTAGTGGTTGCCATGGATTTTATAATTAACATCTTAATTTATAACACTCTGGTTCAGATTTATACCAACTTAGCTTCAACAGTATTCAAAGTCTTTGATTCTATATTGGTCTGCTCCTTTTTTATGTTGCTATTGTCACAAATTACATCTTTGTACATTGTGTGCCTATCAACATAGGTTCGTAGCTGTTATTTTGTGCAATTGTTTTTTTTTTTAAATTATATAGGAAAAAGAGGAGTTACAAACCAAAAATAGATTGATACTATTAATATGTTTTATATTTACCTATGAAGTTACCTCTAACAGTTTTCTTTATTTCATTGAATGGATTTGAGTTATTATCTGAAAGACATTTCAGCTCAACAGGCTCTATTTAGTATTTCTTCTAGGGAAGATCTAGTAGTGACTAATTCTTTTCATTTTTGTTTATGTGGGAATATGTTAATTTCTCCTTCATTTTTGGAGCATAGTTTTGCCAGATATAGAATTCTTGGGATAGTTTTTTTTTTTTCCTCTTTCAGTATTTTACATGTATCTTCCCACTGCCTTCTGGCCTCCATTGTTTCTGACAAAAAAATTAGCTGTTAATCTTATTAACAATTGCACATGGTGAGTTGCTTCTCTCTTGTTGCTTTCAATATTCTCATCTTTGATTATACAATTTGATTATACTCTGTCTCAGAGTGGATCTCTTTGAATTTATCCTATCTGGAGTTTGTTGAACTTCTTGGTGTGTAGATTAATATTATCATCAAAATTGGGAAATTCTCAGTCATTATTTCTTTAAATATTCCTTCTATCTGTCTCTCTCTTCTCTCCTGGGATTCCCATTATGCATATGTTAGTTTTCTTGATGGTGTTCCACAGTTTTCTTAGGTGGTTCACTTTTCTTCGTCTTCTTTTTTCCTTTCTGTACCTCAGGCTGGATTGTCTTAATTACCCTATTTTTAAATTTGTTGATTCTTTCTTTTGTCTGCTCACATATGCTTTTGAGTGCATCTAGTGAATTTTTCATCTTGATTATTGTACTTTTAAACTCCAGAATTTCTATCTGGCTCCTTTCTAAAATTTCTATCCCTTACTGACATTCTCTCTTTGGTAATATGTCATTCTGATGTTTGTGTGTGTGTGTGTGTGTGTGTGTGTGTGTGTGTGTGTGTGCGTGTGTGTTTTCTGTACATGATTTCCTTTAGCTCTTTGAGCATGTTTACAATAGTTGATTTAAAGTCTTGGTCCAGTAAGTCCAACATTTAGGTGTCCTCAGGAACTACTGATTGCTCTTCTTCCTGTGTATGGGCCATACTTTCTTGTTTCTTTGCATGCCTCACAATTTTTGCTTTTGTTGTTGAAAACTGGACATTACAGTGTGGCAACTCTGGAAATCAGATTCCCCTCCCTTCCAGAGGTGTTTTTTATTTTGTTTTTTTTTTTTTTTTTTTTAAATTGCTGCTTGGTGTACTACTTGTTTGTTTAATGATGTCTCTGAAGTAATTTTGTAAAGTCTGCATTTTCTGTCATTTCTGACTACTGAAGTCTCTGTTCTATTAGCTTAGTAGTCAGCTAGTGATTGAGCAGAGGTTTTCTTAAATGTCTGGAACAGGCCAGGTGGAGTGGTTTATGCCTGTAATCTCAACACTTTGGAGGCCACGGTGGGAAGATTGCTTGGGTCCGGGAGTTCAAGACCAGCCTGGGCAACATAGTGAGACCCTGTCTCTACAAAACAAACAAACAAACAAACAAGCAAAACCCAAAATAGCCAGGAATGGGGGCACACGCCTGTAGTCCCAGCTATGCAGGAGGCTGAGGTGACGGAATCACTTGAGCCTGGAAGTTGAGGCTGCAGTGAGCTATGATTGCTCCACTGCAGTCAAGCCTGAGCAAAAGAGTGAGCCTTATCTCAAAAGAGAGAGAGAGAGAAATGTCTGAAACAAACAAATGAATAAACAAAATAAATCTTCTGGTCTTTGAAAATGAGCTTTGTGTGTATGTTGGAGGATACCCTCAGCACTCAGCCAGGCAGCTGACAACTCTACCTCAGCCTTTATTCCCTACTTATGCCCCATCTGAAGGTCAGCCAGAGGTAAGAACTTAGGCCCTCCTCAGGTCTTTCCTGAGCATATGACTAGCCTTGGGCATGCATATGGTTTTCTAGATTCTGAAGAAAGTGTCAGAACTTTCCAAACCCCTTATTTACCAAAGCATTTTATTGCCCAGCTTGGTTTTGGTTAGTCTATTGTTTGCCCCAACTGATAGCAGTGACAAAATATAGAAGTATAAGAGAAGGTCCTTTGCCCTAAGGAGGTCACAATACTTAGGATGAATGGAAATTCTTAACAAAATCTTCTGCTTCTACATAACAGTAAAATATTACACCCTTCCTTCTGCCTTTCAGACTTTCTGCCCTCCTCTCTCTTCCTTCCCCCATCCTCCCTCCCCCACTTCCTTCTCTCCTTCCACAAATGTAAGATGTGCTAGGCACTGCCTACACAATGAAAATACAGCACTAAACAAAACAGACTTGGTTTTTACTCTTAAGAGACTTACAATCTAGTGGTTGAGTCAGAAATTCAAAAGCATTCACAAATGATGAATTACCATTGAATCTAGGTAATAACAGAAGCTTATGATCTAAACTCAGAGGTCATGAATTGTATCCTTAAAGAAAAAAAAAAAATAAACACTTGGCCAGGCACGGCGGCTCACGCCTGTAATCCCAGCACTTTGGAAAGCTGAGGTGGGTGGATGACCCGAGGTCAGGAGTTCAAGACCAGCCTAGCCAACATGGTGAAACCCCATCTCTATTAAAAATACAAGAATTAGCCAGGTGTGGTGGTGCATGCCTGTAATCCCAGCTACTTGGGAGGCTCAGGCAGGAGAGTTGCTTGAACCCAGGAGGCGGAGGTTGCAGTGAGCCAAGATCACGCCACTGCACTCCAGCCTGGGTGACAAAAAAGACTCTGTCTCAAAAAAACAAACAAACAAAAACATTTAATGTAGATTAAGAAAGGGAAATAAGACTTATTCAAGAGAAGAAGTAAGGGGAGCGTTCAGGAGGAAGGACCAGGAGATATGCAAAGGCCATGGGACAGGAGTAAACGTGAGAGAGGGCCATGGAAAGCAGGCCAGTGCACTGGGCACTGAGAGGGAAGGGAGGCAATGGTACAAGGTGGGAGTTAAAAAGGAACAGAGCAGGCCCGTGCCATCCAGGGTCTTTTTTTTTTTTTTTTTTTTTTTTGAGTTGGAGTCTTGCTGTGGTTCCCGGGCTGGAGTACAGTGGCATGATCTTGGCTCACTGCAACCTTCACTTCCCAGGTTCAAGCAATTCTCCTGCCTCAGCCTTCCGAGTAGCTGGGAGTACAAGCATGTGCCATCACGCCCGGCTAATTTTTGTATTTTTAGTAGAGATGGGGTTTCGCCATGTTGGCCAGGCTGGTCTCGAACTCCTGACCTCAGGTGATCCACCCACCTCAGCCTCCCAAAGTGCTGGAATTACAGACCTGAGCCACCACACCCAGCCTCCATCTGGGGTCTTGAGGTACAGATTTGGACTTTACCCTAAAAGCAATGGAAGCTGTAATAATCATAATCCCCAGTGGGAGAAGGCTGTCCACACTTATACTCTGAGACTCCAATGTGTCTCAGAATGTAACTTTTTTCCTGTAACTAATGTCAACTTACCTTGTCCCTCCACTGCAGGGGAATAAAAAAAAAAAAAAAAAAAAAAACAACAACAAACAACAACAGCAAAAAACTCATACTTGACATTCTTAATTTAAATTGAATTTAAAAGAATCTCTTTAAGGTTAATTCTTTGGGGCAAATATTTGGTCTTTTCAGAATGTGATCTCAGTTAATTCTGGGTTTTTCTCAGCCCATCTTCAGCCCTTCTCCCTGCAACAGCCTAGCCTGTCATTGTTGTGGTAGCTGTTTGTTTGTTGTGGCGGGGCTCTGTTTCACCCTGGCATGATGGGACAGGCACGTCCAATGGGCTTCTCCTCCTTATGTCACTCCTTGCTCTCACCAACCTCTCCAGAGATGTTTCCAATCCCTGGTCCCTGGTGGCTGGTACCTGCTGAGGTGAAGCTGGGCCCCCTGGTTCCTGCCAGTCCTCACACTCTCTAGCCTCCTTTCTCTCCCTTCCCTCCCTGCCTCTGGTTTCATGACCATGTGATAAGCCAAACTCTTGGGAGTTAAGGTTGGACCATCAGACGTGGTCCCTGCATTCCGATCCAGTCATTCGGATGGGTTGCTTTGATGCACCCCATGCTCACGCCCATGCTAGGATAACTACTTTGTTCCAGTCTGCCCAGCAATTTCCGGTTTTAAAAGTGGAAGTTCCATGCCTGGAAAGTCCTTTGGGGTCAGGCTATTCAAATTTCTTGGTCTCTCAACACCTATTCCTCCTCTGGCCGGTGGCTGGAAGTCAGGTGGCCAGGGTTAGGAGTTACAAAAAGAATATACACTGCTCCAGATAAGGAAGTAAAGTGGTCCACACTTAGTCATAAGACTTCAATGTAGATTTCATTCCACCTTGCTGAGAATACATAACATCCTCGCTTGTATATTTGCCAAAGAAGAGGCGATTCACAGCATAAATGAATTTGATAAAAATAAATAAATAGATCGCATGCTTTAAAGTGTAGGGATTAAGTAGCTAAGCCTTATGCTGAAGTCAGAAGAAAAACAAGAATCTTAGGTCATGTATCTAAGTTTAAACAAACATCATCTAATTCTTATTTATTTGGATAACACTTTGGAGCAGCAGAAAAAAAGTCAAATGTTACAGTTTCGGCATCAAAAACATATGTAAAGAAGCTGTTACTAACCCACGCAGTTGATGGGAACTGCCCTTTTGGAAGGGGTACGGAAGAATGCCTTTGTGCTGCGGAGTTTTTATGTTCTTGACTTACCAGATCAAGGACAGATGTGAATGTATTTTCAACTTCATAACCAACAGGGAGTATTGCAACCTAAGCAGCTGGGGAAGAAAGCTGTGTATAATACAACGTTCTTTCTAGAAACTGACTTTTATTTTAATAGGCAAACTGGGAGCCATTGAGGGTGTATATTTTGATTCACTGGGAGAAATATGGTTTGGGGGTGTAAGATGGGGACATCTTGGAGTTTCTCCTGGTGTTAGGAGAAGTCCCTTTTTGTCCCTGACAGAAGAGGTCCCTCTTTAAATTAGTGCCCAGCTGTGTTTTTTGTCAGGGGCCCAAACCTGGCAGGAACACAATTTGGAGGTAGAATCTGCGCATAGGATTACTAGGTGCCAAGTCCCGTGCTATGCTCTACATGTGTTATGTCGTTTGATTTTCAGAATGATCTTTTGGGGAAGGTATTGCAGGTCCTAGGCCCTTATCCAAAAATGCTTGGGGCCTCATGTGTTTTAAAATTGACCTTCTAGGCTGGGTGTGGTAGCTCCCACCTGCAATCCCAGTACTTTGGGAGGCCAAGGCCAGCGGATCACTTGAGCTCAGGAGTTTGAGACTAGCCTGGGCAACCTGACGAAATCCCATCTCTCTAAATAAAATAATAAAATTGATCTTTTGGCATAAGAATGATATAATAGACTTTGGGGACTCAGGTGGGGGGTGTTGAGAAGTGTGAGGGATAAAAGACTGCATATTGGGTACAGTGTACACTACTCAGGTAATGGGGGTACTAGAATCTCAGAAATCACCACTAAAGAACGTATCCATATAACCAAAAGCCACGTGTACCCCAAAAACTATTGAAATAAAAATAAACATTAAAAATTGACCTTTATCCCCTTCAGATTTTAGAAAAGGAACAATACGGGGCATGGACCATACATTATGTAACACCACCAGCCACCCATAGGGTCTGCGGTAGCATCCTTGGATCAAACACATTCGTATTTTGCATGAAAACTATAAATATTTACATTTGGTGTGACAAATAATTCTAATTTGCATTATATCAATTCAGGTCAGACTTCACCAATAAATGAGTTTTAGTGCCAAACTTTTGAAAAAAAAAAAAAAAAAAAAAAAGAAGAAGGCCTTTTCTGTTTTCAGAACTTTTTGGATTTCAGAATGACAGGAAGGAATTTTGAACCTGTATTATCATTCATGCCCAGTCAACAGATCAGGAAACTGAGATTGAATGTGTCCATTATTTGCTATATCTCGCTGTCTTCTAATTTTCAGCAACTGTTTCAAGATTTACTCCATCTCTTTTGGGCCAATACTCAAATCTTTTTTGAATCTGAGTTTAGCCACTCCAGGCTTTGGCCCAGCCCCTGCCAGTCGTTCTCCCTGGACTCACCAGCCGGCTGCTGTGGCTGAGTCTCCAGTGCCCAGCTGGGTTCCCCACCCATCGACATGGGGACTTGCCTTCCTCTCTCCCTTGATCTAAACCTAGTTCTTTCTCCTTGTCTCCTCAAAAAGGAATATCTCTGGGCAAACAAAAGGCAAAAATATGGTTCACTTTTACTAAAATGAAACACTTATGGACTCCCCTGCCTGGGACTCCCACCATGGATTGGGAGCTGTTACTGGTGTCTCCAGAACATTCTGCATCTGTCAGACAGTAAATGTTTTGAAGGAGCAGCGAAGGCGCTCTGTCCAAATGCACACATACGTAAGAAACACTGGCTTGCAGGTGGTTCAGAGAATAAAGGAGTCAAATGGTCGTAATAGAGGCGGGTGGGCCTTGCCATGACTCTGAGTTGCACATGGGTACACGCAGGGAAGAAGTATTTGCAGGTGAGGCCCAGGTGAACACTGCATGCAGGCAGCAGGTGGTAAGATGGTGAGTTGGGTCCATTCACCCATGGGAGGGAGTGTGGGTGGCTGAGAGTAGGGGATGGCAGAGTCCACATCAGCTCCTGCTCAAAACCAGAAGCATCTGTGATTGTTGATGCCCTCTCTTTCCTAATTTCTAGCCAAGGGGAAGTGAGTGGTCCAGGACCAGGAGGTCAAAGCTATGGAGGAATTAGGTGGGTGTGCGGGGCTGGGCATGGTGGCCCTCCCTGCTCTGGCTGGGCTGCTGTTCTGCACGGTGATGGATGACTGCTGGCTCCTCAATGAATCACCAATTACCAGCTAACAGGGGTTTGTGGGCCCTTGCTGGTGGCTCTGTGGGGCTGCAGAGAGTTGGGGAACCACCAAATTTGACTTCTGCCTCTTCAGACAGCTCGTGACTGCCTTTCAAGAAGGTAAAAAAGCTTCACTATTCAGAAAGCGAGTGGCCGAGAGAGCTAGGGATAGAAGAGCAAGCAAGCTCAATCACGCCTAGGCAGAAAGAAAACTTTTGCTGAACTGCAGAAGTTCTGTAGTTTACTTGGCTCCCCCGCTGACCCAACTAATGTTCTAACTTTCAAAGAACCAGGTAGGAGTCTGACATGCTCACGGAGAAAAGAGACAGAAAAATCAAATCTTCCCTGAGAACTTTTAAAGTTACTTTCTTCTCTCCATTTCTGAAGGGACTTGGGTCCAAGTTCTTGCCCAGAGAAAAATTGCTCCTGAGAGCTCAGGGAGTGCAGAGAGAGCGTGTGCTTGGGAAGATGCCCCCAGGGGCAGAGGGAATTCTGATAAGGACCCTATAAACAAGAGATGATGCAGATAACAAAACCCCACCCTGGCCCTCAATGGCTCTGAGCCAGGCCCTGTGCTGAGGCTGAGTGTGGGGAACATTATGCTTTGTTATCAATTCTAAAACAAGACTCCACTTCATATTTTGATATCACCAACATTTGGATGTCTCTTACAATTCGTGGCATGTCAGCGTTAAATCCTAGTTTAATTCACAGCATTTTTTTTTTTACTTTTTCCAGTGGTATTTAAAATAATAGTGCATTTTATCACCTGTGGCACCTTAGATTTCTGCAAGTCGGGCTATACCCTATCTTACATATGAGGCCTGGAGAGGTTAGGAAACCTGCCTAAGGCCACACAGCCACTATTTGGACTTGAAACAAGGTGTATCTGGCTCTCAGTCACTGGCTTTCAGTGGGACTAGAGCTGGAGGTCCCATCCTTGCAGGGAAGGGAATGTCCACTCTCCAGGCAAGCATGAGGAGGGACGGGGGGCTTGCAAATCTGGCCCAGCCTGCTGGGCTACTGAATGGGAAGTGCGGTGATGGGACACCGGCAGCACAGGGCTGGTCTCTGTTTCCTGCACACAAGATTCTGTTTTTGTCACTGCTTAGCTCTTAAGCATCTGTTAGTTTTCAGAATCTGCCTCTGAGTTAGAGTCACTTTAACTCAGAGTAACCACATTATCAAAGAAAAAAATAATGGGAATCTTTTGGATCAAGAGTGACTAATTCTTTCAGGGAGGCAGTGTGGAACTGGAAAGAGGCCAAAGATTGAAGTTTGGTACGTCCGGGTTTGAATCCTGATTCTTGCTGCTAAAAGCAAGCTGGCAAGTTGCCTAGACTCTCTGAGCCTCGGTGTTTTCATCTGTAAGATGGGAACAATGACGCCACCTACCTGGAAGTACTGCTGTGAAGATTTTGTGTGTGGAAAATGTCCGGGGCATGGTAGGTGCTTGTTAATCGAAGTTACTATTTTATTGTTGTTCTTATATCTTATCCTGAGGATGATGATGATGATGAAGAAGATGATGAGGATGAATGGACCCAGCAGGGCCTTCTCTCAGTTGTCACACATCTCTGACACTCTCCCCTCCTGGGGCTCGGCCACCCCTGTCCACTTTGCTCCCCAGTTGCTGGGTGGATGTCCTCCCTCTCAGCCTCCTGGCCGGAGGTGCAGCCCTGACTGCGATCCGGGCAAACCCTCTACCGGCCCAGCATGCCCAGGCTCTGGCTCCCTTTGAGAATGGTCCCTTCTGTGAAGAGGTGGCTGAGAGGGGCCGTGAGGGTACCTTTAACGCCCCCAGGGGCCGGCTCCCGCATGGCACTTCCTCCTTCGTTCATTTCAGGCCTCTCAACTCCCAGCTTTTGTGGGTTAAGGGGCAGCACCAGAGGAAACAGCAGTGACAGCCTTGCCCAATAGTGTCTAGGTGTTGTTCACACACTGGGATTTCCTACTGAGGGATGGAGGGCACTCAACTTCCCCCATGGGGTCCTTGGGAGGTTAAGTTGTAGCCCTTTGCCCAGGTGCTCCCAGCGCCCCGACATACCTAATGTGCCCCCAAGACACTCATGCAAGTTGGAGTCCATAACTTAGGCCCTCACTTGGGACCCAAGTATACAGACAGTTACCTCTGTATTCTGTCAACCTCACCACAAGCCAACAGAGACCCAGAGAGGTTAAATGTCAAGTCCAAGTTCACAGAGCCAAGATGCAGACAAAGCCTAGATTTGAATGGCCATGTGAGCTCTGGCCCCTTCCTATACCCAGTGACTCAGGTCAACTGGCAGGATAGCTGTTGTTTGCCATAGAATCTGGGCAAGGCTTAAGCAGCAGAAAAGGGGAAAGGGCCATTTGGGGAAAAGAGCTCAGGGAGAAAAAGCAGGGCTGGAAACCCACCTGCTCGGGGACTGTGGCTGCTTTTCTGAAGACAGAGCTGGGCCCTCAGCCCGCCTCCAGCCCAGTGCAGGAGGGGGCTGGGAGGGCCCCTCATGTTCCTACCCAGCCTTGCACAGGCCCCTTTGGGCTTGCTCCAGAGGAAGATCCTGAATGGTCTGGCTGGAAACTCCCACAAATCTGCTCAGGAAGGCTATCATCACAAGAACTTTCTAGAAAAGGAGGTCCCCATTGCTCCCTTTTAGTCAGAGCCTAGAGCTCCACTCCCATGGATGGTTATAAACCTGACCGAAGAAGACAGGGGAGCGTTTCAGGAATCTCATTCCAAAAATAGCCATCAAATTTCAAATTCCAGCCCACAGCAAGCAGTACAAAGATTCATATCCGCTCCAGTGATGTCTCTGGCTGCCATTCCCTCCTCCCTTTGTCTGGGATTCCTGCCCCAGCCCCCGCACTGGCCCCTGCCATCTCTATTTAGTGAGCTCCCAGACCTTCTCCAAGACCCTGTGCAAATGTCACCTCCTCAGAGATGCCCTCCTGACTCTCTTAGAGCACAGTGCCTCCTCTGGTGCTTCCGATGCCTCTTGGAAACCTGTACTAGGTCTCTCAGTGTACTTGCCCATCATCTCCCCTAGATAGTACAGTGCTTGTAATACAGTAGGTGCTCAATAAATGCAGGTGGAACAAATGCATGCATGCATAAATGGCCATTTTAGCTTCGTTTATGCTGGAAGTTGCAGGGAAGTCATTAGATCTTTGCATCAGCCTGTTGAAGTGCATTTCATCTGAAGATTGTATGACAGTGGTCATAATAAAAGAAACAGTAATTGCTGCCAAGGTCTCTGCTCGCTTGTGAAGCCTGGATGGAGAGGCTGGTCGGACTTGGTCCTGGTAGCCTTGTCTTTACTGTCCTCTTGTGGCCAAAAGTTGCTGCTGCATCTGGAAAAGCTGGCAATTTCAATGAGGCCACAGGGGGATATTTTTACCTGTTGGAGCACAATCTTTTTGGGATCCCTGAGTCATTTTGAGCCCAGTTCCCCATAGACTGTATGTAATGTGATCCTCCTTCTCGGGCCTTGAAAATATGTTAAAATAAATAATAAGCAGCAATTGATAGGGCCTGAGCAGCCGCAAAAAGAGCATTAGAGACTCCATCAACTCTGACTTAGGCCTGTGTTAGGTACTTGGGTGTGGAAGGGAAAAATATAACAAAGTGTGTGACAAATTTATGCACTCAGAGACTTTGCTGTCTATTTCTAACACCTTCATCAAAAGTGAACAATACCATACACTAATAAACAAAAATACCCATTCATCTAGTAGCCAAGGTTTGGAATCAAATGGCCCTGGATGTGTATCCTGGCCCCACCACTGATTGCCTAGGTGACCTCGAAGGAGTCACTTCGTTGCTCTGAATGTCGTTTCCTCATCTGCAAGATGGCCTTTTAGGTGTACCCCCTTCCTCCTTCGCAAAACTATAATGATTAACTGAGATGACATGTGTCAAGCCTTAGCATGGTGCCAGCACAGAGTAAGTTCTCATAAAAGCTAGCCATTATTGTTACAAGTAAGGTTTTTAATTGTCTGATGCAGAGAGAGAACCGGGTGAGATGTGATAAAAACCTGGGTAAATAGACTCTTCAACATGGTTTGTTTTTTTGTTTGTTTGTTTTTCGTTTTTTGTTTTGTTTTGTTTCGTTTTGTTTTGAGACAGCGTTTTGCTCTGTCACCCAGGCTGGAGTGCAGTGGTGCGATCTCGGCTCACTACAGCCTCCACCTCCTGGGTTCAAGCAATTCTCCTGTCTCAGCCTCTCAAGTAGCTGGGACTACAGGCATGTGCCATCATGCCCAGCTGATTTTTGTATTTTTAGTAGAGCCAGGGTTTTGCCATGTTGACCAGGCTGGTTTTGAACTCCTGGCCTCAAGCGATCCACCTGCCTCAGCCTCCCAAAGTGCTAGAATTACAGGCATAAACCACCGAGCCCAGCACCACCATGGCTTTTTTAAAGGCAGATATCTCAGGTATTTTTCTTCTCAGAGCCCATTGCAATCCTGTGTTTATTATTAATATGATAAATTGGTCATGGGCAAGGTGATCCATAGGGCTGCCATTGTCCCAGGCTGCATGGAGGAGGCAGGCTGCTATCAGTTGGCTCTAGCCAGAGTCTGTTTGCTTCGCTCTTTCCCGCCTTACGCATGGCAGACATCACTAATCGATTACAGATCTCTTTCACATAGATCATGAATATAATTTCAGAATTATTCTCATAATACAGCTCCAGGCAGTTATAACAGTTAAGCAGAATGGGAAAATGGCATACAATCTAATTTACCTTTCCAGCTCTTGGCACATGGGTAGATTAAAGATGTATAGAGGAAGGAGGAGAGCATTTTAGCTGGAGGCAGTAAAGGAAGTTGAATTATGAGTGAGAGATCTGATAGGAAAAGGAAGGAAATTAAAGACAGGCTGGGTTATGGAGCCCCTTGACTTCAGGCTGACTTAAAGCAGTAGGCAACAGGGAATCGCCAAAGGCTGCTGGGCAAGAAACCGTGGTAACGGTCCTATGGGGGCAAGATATCTCTGGCAGCCAGTGCCAGGTGGATTGCAAAGGGACTGAGTAGGAGGGCTGGAACTCAGGACAAGCTGCTGAGGGATGCTGGAAAGGAAAGCTTGGTGGACGCGCTGACTCCTGGCACATTAAGAATGAAGAAAGTGGTGCCATCCAAATGGTTTCTCCGACCTTGACCTCCACAGGCTGGGAGAATAACAGCACCTCCACCAGGAAGTGTGGTTGGGCACCGAGGAGAGAATGTGCTTTGTTTCAGGCATGTGGATTTGGAGAGCCTTTGGGACATCTATGCAATTTCCTGTGGGCAGCTGTAAATGGGAGACTGGAGCCAGAGCTAGAGCTACAGATATTAGAAAGAAAAGAGAGAAAAATAGTTCATGCTTTCTGGGCCCAGCCTCGCTTTTACTCAAAGCAGTTTGGGTAGGAAAAGAAAGAGCACATTCAGGAAAAAGACGAACTGGGCGAAGGTCATGGCTTAATTAAGAGGCATTCACTGCGATATGGTTATTCCAAAAGACACTGCATATCTGGGTCAAGTATCCTTTTCACAATAACACCTAAAATGAGTAGGAAAAATTTTTTTTGGTAACAGGGAACAGTAAGTCTCATGCACAGGAGTCCTAATGTCCCTGTTGCTAAGAAAGAAAGTACATATTTCACTGAAATACCCGAACAATCAGAAGGGAGGTCAGAGGGACAATTCCTTTATTAGAAGACTCCATTTCCTAATGGGTAATAAAGTCACTTGGACTCTAAGGTCAAACAGACCTAGATTTGAACCTCAGCTCCACTACTTCCTTGCTGTGTGACCTTGGGCAAGATACTTAACCTCTCTGAACCTTGGTTCCTTCATCCATAAAGTGGAGATAATAGAGTACCTAATTCACAGGGCTGTGGTGGTAACCAAATGAAATAATGCATATAAAAGTCTAGTCTAGTACTGGACACATAACAAGCATTGAGTGCATGAGAATTGTCTTCTATCCAATACCTAACATTTTAAAGATTTTAAACAGACAGTGCATATTTTCATCACTGACATGATTTCTGGGAAGTCCTCTGAGGGACACAGAGAAAATCTAACCTGATATGAACCAACAGGGTGCATTTCTTTTGTCTAAGTCCTCCAGTAAGGGACAAAGTAGGAGAGGCTTCAGGAATCCATAGATTAACAGCAGCTGGCCATGGTCCATCAGTGTGTTCTTCTGGGAGGGGCTGGAGGGTTCCATTGTCTGGTCTCCTGCGTCTTTGCCATTTCTACCGGTTTACATGATGCAGGCATTCCTGAGGGGTCACGTGGACCTGTGCTATGGGCCCCTTGACCTGTAGGTGGGGATGCTCTACCAAACCAAAGGAGACATCTCTAAGCCATGGCCAGTAAACAGAGAAGGTCTTCTTGCCTCAGGCCTATTTTTGAGGAGATCTTTGGAGAATGTTTACCACTGATGGCCAGCATCAGTGGTAAAATTAAAAATCTGGAAGGTTCTGGAAGGTTCCAGTTTAGGCTAGAAAGACAATGTATTGCGGAAGGGTTAAGTGTGCTATATAATAATACCTAACATTTACTGAGCAATTACTATGTGCCAGGAACTGTTCTAGGTATGTTCCAACTTTACTCCATCCTCACTAAGACCTATCAGGGAATAACCATCCCCATTGTACAGATGGGTGACTGATGCTCAGAGATGTTAAATAGCTTGCCTCAGCTTTCACAGTTACTAAGGGGCAGATGCAACATTTGAACCCAGGGAGACTGATTGCAGAGCCTGCACTCTTAACTACTGTGCTGTAGCCCTGTGCCAGGGCTGGGCTTCAGACTTGAAGGGGAAGGGCTGTCGTGGGGATCCTGAGCTTCTGAAGAGAGGCTCTGCTGGTAAAGGAGTTGCCCGTTAAGTCCTGAGTTCCCAGAGCCTGAGCCCAGATAAAGAGCTGTTCCCTTAGCTGTTCCCAGAGATGAGTCATCCTCAGGAAGCCACTGACTCTTCTCAGGGCTCCTGTCCTTTCATCTCCTTGTCCCCTTCCTGGGAATAAATAGGATACGGAGAGAATTTCTCTGATTCCTATATTTACTCAGATATTCTTCTCATCCCCAAACATCTTAATAGGAAAGGTAAAAACATCCCTGTGACATCATTCTCCTCCCAACTGATGAGGAGCTGGGGATGGCCCCAGTGGAGGTGAGCGGCTCTCCTTGTTGAAAGTGTAACCGAGGGACGTGCCAACTTGTCCCCACCTCCCCATCCACTCTAAAGAAGACCCTGAGAGTGGGAGGGCAAGGCTGGAGTGGCAGGAAGGGACTTCTGCTCCCAGGATCCCCTGCTCCAGGAGTAGGAGCTTGAAGGGTTCATGCCAGGGGAGGGGACATGAGATTTGCACAGTGGTCTCTTGAAGCCATTGGCATGAAGGTACGATGACGCGTCTTAGCGTCTCAGGATGAATCTCAGGTAGCACTAGTATAAAGAGTACTATGAAGAGGTATCTCAGGTCACACAGGCCTTTGGAGGATGGTGCACAGGGACTTCTGATGCTGTTCTATCCCTGGATCCTGAGCACAAGTGAGACCAGGAATGCTATGAAATAAAAGACCAACATTCACTTATTCAGGGATTCACTCATTTATTCCAAGAACATTCACTGGGAGCTTTCTCTGGGCCTAGAACACTGCCGCGAGCTGGGGGTGCAAAGTCCAAATGGACATGCTCCCCAAGGAGCCTGCTCTTAGTTAGAGAGACCCAGGCACCCGGCTAGAGGATCACACAGCCCAAGTCGCTGTTTGGAAGCTCAGAGACCCATGGGAGCTTTCACTTCTGACCCCCCTGGGAAGACACATTAGCAAAGTGACCTTATTTAGGGCTAGGAGGAGGTAGGTGGCAGCAGGCACCCCTCGGGGTTCCCCACTGAATGGGGTGCTCACTGACCCTGGACCCTACACTCGGCTAACACCTGCTTCTTGGTTCATCCTGAGGGAGCCTTGGAGTTGGTGGGGCTTGTCCGAGTTGAAGGCATAAAGAAACTCATTCCTCTCTCTGTTCCCCACCATCACCCAACCTATACAAGCAGCACTGGGCCATGGGGAGAAAGGGGACAGGGAGCTCTGAGATGCTTCTCTTTGGAGGGGCAGGCAGAATATCAGAGCTCAGACATTCAGATTTGAAGACAGATCCATCTTGATTCAAATCCCAGCTTTGCCCCCTTGAGCAAGTGTCTTAATATTTCTGAGCTTCCACTTCCCTAACTGCAAAGAGTAGATGATAAGAGGGCCTCCCTAGTAGGGCTCTGCAGACAGTGAAATGCAGTGATGTCTTCAAGGCTTTTGGCATAGCACCTGGTACATTGCAGCCTGCAACAAATGGTAGCTATTATCATAACAGTATTAAGTACTTTTTTTTTTTTTTAACCATACTCTAATTCTTTGAAAACTGGAGTGAATTTGGAGTTAGAAAAACTGGCTTAGAATCTGGGAGCCTCTTTTTCCTGGTCATAGGGAAAAGAAAGGGGTCTCTTGGGGTCTGCCCTATTGTGCTGTAAGGATCAAATGAGGCAACAGATGAGGAAGAGTTTTGTAGATCAAGTGCAGTGTAAGTGGAGATGATTATGAGCCAATTGTTCCTGCAGCTTCCTCCGTCCCACCTCTGTAGTGAGCACCACCTGCCACCCAGTGCTTCCTCCTCTCCTCTGAGGCCTTCTAGCCCCTCTTTGACATTGAAGATTTCCAAATGGTTCTATTTTTGACTTCTGCTAGTCTCTAATGAAATGAGACTCAAAGTTCGCTGCGGATCAGCCCTGTGTCTCACACCTTGATATATAACCAAGGGTCACTATTATTGCACCTGGGACGTGCTAAGCATTTTGTAGGCATCATCTCATGGTTTCCTCCCAGCAACTCTGCCAGGAAAGGACCACTGTTGTCTCCATTTCCTCCATGTGAAAACTGAGACTTAGAGAAGTAAGCAACTTACCAAAGATCTAACAGCCAGTGTGTGTGTGACTCTTTCAGCAGGACCCACAGCAGGAATTTGAACACAGATCAGTTAGACCCCAAGCCAAGCTCTTAGTCCCATACAGAGTTGGGCCCTGGTGGAAGAATTGTTTGGCCTAAAGTGTCAACAGTGTCAAGATTGAGAAGCCCTTGTGTAGACCCAAGGATGGGCAAAAGGCTCTTAGGAAGATGGCAGCGCTTCACAGATGCAGTGCCCAAGTCTCTCTGGCCACGGAATCCCCCAGAGGTAAATATCCTCCACATTACTGCTGGCATTTCCTTCTCTACTCCACGAACTACTTCACTGGGACATATTCCAGGCCACTTCCTGCTGCTTGGCGCCTGCTGTGTGTCTAAGCTGAGGATGATGGATTTTCTGTGCTCAGGGCCATCCATGTGTGTACGCAGCCCTGATGTTGTGTGTGTATCCTGCATCCTGAAGTGTAATTTATTAGGTCTAATCCCTGTCTGGGGTAACGGTAAGTCTTCCCTCTAGAAATGCTGAGGAGGGGGGAATGTGCTCATTATTATTTCATTAGGACACCACTGGGTATTCCAGGAGTCCCAGAGTAGATATCACATGTTCCTCGGGTGATTTAGAGGAGACAGCCTGGGGCCTCGTTCCTCCAAAACTCGGGAAAAAATATCCACAGATTTCCATAAATATGTCCTGGCCTCTCTTCTGATTACTAAATTCCTTTCTTTTCACCTCATGCCAATTTTGTCTTTCCACATAAGTACAATATACAAACATTTCAAAAGAAAGCATGGGATATTTACTGTTTCCTCAACAATGCAAGCAATAGTTTCAGAAGCTAATGTCAGCCTCAAAAGTTTCCAACCTCAAAACTTGTGTTTCTGCATCTTCTCTCTGAAATCAGCTTTGATGAAGGCTACCAGGACAAGATAGCATTTCATAGATTCTCCTTCTTTGTCCAGCTCAGCCTGTCTAAATGCAGAGTGAGGGGAAAGGCATAGAATTATCAAGAGATGCCCAAGCTCTGTTTCCCCAAGAAGGATCCACACTCTCTCAATCATCTAGCCTTGTCCTTCATTCTCCAGCCCCCTTCCCATGTGCATGGTAAGCTTAACATACCCAACATGATTTGAATGTCACTGGATTCCAATTCCCCAACTCACAAGGTAGATGTTCTTCACATGAGCATTTCAACTCAGATACCTTTTGGGTCCTTTCCCTTCCCATCCTATTGAATGGAGCCTGCAACTGATTTGATTTGAGAATGAATCATGGAGGTTACTTTTCTTGATACTGCCAAGTGCTTGCACCCTGCCCACAGTTGCCCACCATCACCATGGACCTTGCAACTTTGTCCATCACTACCAGAAGCAGCTGGACTGGGAGTGGGTCACAGGGGGGCTGAGGATTCAAAACCTTGGGGTCAAATCCTAACACAATAGCTTGGTAACTAGATCCCTTGGGAAAATCATTTCCCCTCTATGAGCCTCAGTTTCCTCATCTGGCAAATGGGAATCTTTGTACCTACCTGACCGGGTTGTGCTGAGCAGCAAATGAAATAATGCATGTGAAAGCAGTTTTCAAACTGCAAGGGGCAACTTGGGGCCAAATGCGGTGGCTCATATCTGTAATCCCAACACTTAGGGAGGCTGAGGCAGAAGGATTGCTTGAGCTCAGGAGTTCAAGACTAGCCTGGGCAACAGAGTGAGACCCCATCTCTACTAAAAATCAAAAAAGTTAGTTGGATATGGTGGTGTGTGCCTGTAGTCCCGGCTACTCAGGAGGCTGAGACAGGAGGGTCACTTGAGCCTGGGAGGTCGAGATTGCATTGAGCTGTAATCACCCCGCTGAACTCTGGCCTGGGCAACAGAGACCCTGTCTTGAAAAAAAATGATTCTGCTCCAATAATAATAATACCTGATGTTTACATTATATTATGACATTTTGCTGTGTATCAGTGGAAACAGTGGGTGATGTGGAAGGAAATGACTCCTCTGTAAGGGTAAGCTCAGAGTCCCTGGGCTTAGGCTGTGCTGGGGTGAGGCCACTGTGCTGATTGTCACCATCTTATCAGCTGAGCGAGTGAAGGGAGGGGACTGGCTCTGCATCACTGCCTCAAAGGCAGAGTCAAGGTTCCAGATTTGAACATCCTGATGATCACCCTTTTCCCAGGAAGAAAATATCTGACAAAATGAGACAACAGGACGACTCTTTCCTTCCCCTTTTGCTTGACGTGCAGCGACACGGTCACGTTGGAAAGTTCACACACTAAGTTTCGAAGTCATTTCTGTTTAGCTCATCAATAGTTGCTGTATTAGAACTATCCCATGCCTAAGAAGCATTTTAAGCCTTTTTAAGCTCCAAAGATTAGGGTGCAACAGGGAGGGGTTAAGAGGAGGACAGATAAACAAGACTGGAGCGCATTCTCCATGCAGAGAAGTAGATTCTGTACTTTGGTTAGATTAATCCCCAAATTGAAACCGGCCCTGAACATCGTTCTGAGAAAGGAGAGCCGAGAGATAAGAGAAAGCCCCTTGGCAAAGCCTGGGCATTGAGCTGTTTGTGGAAATGCCGACTGCGTCCTTTCCCTGCCGCCAAAGGACAGAAAGACAAGACCGCGGAGGACAAATAGAGAGTGAGAGTTTCCTTAAGGACAGTCAGGGAAACAGGAGAGGGAAAAGGAAAGGAGCAGAGGCCACATGGGTGATGACTCCATGTTTTGTCAAAGCATCATGGCGTCTTCCCCACCGAGCCTTGGGACCACTGACCTGCCCGGGCTCACACCATAGAAAGCACACACATTGGGTTATGCAAAGACCAAGTGCTGGGAAGGCCAGCTTTGCTTCCAGTCTCAGGCAAGGACACTCACAGAGGACTGTCACACCCACACGAGCAAGGTAACCCCCTTTCTTGAGCATGCCTGGTTTCCAACCTGTGGCCTTTTTGAGAGAAGCAGGCTGTAGCCCCCAAAGGACTCATGTTTGTGCTTGAAGGCTGAAGACTGGCACCAAGGAGCTACTGGGACATGGGATCTGAAAGTGGATCCCCACAGGATTCATGGCAGCATGACTGGAATTTCTGAGTTTTCCAAAGGGCCTGAGAGCTTCCAAGGGGACATTGGAGGTGTTGATGACTTAAAATAAGTCAGGCCAGGTGTGGTGGCTCACACCTGTAATCCTAGCACTTTGCGAGGTGGATCACTTGAGCTCAGAAGTTCAAGACCAGCCTGGGTAACGTGGTAAGACCCCGTCTCTACAAAAAAATACAAAACTTAGCCAGGCAGGGTGGTGCATGCTTGTAGTCCCAGCTACTCAGAGGGCTGAGGCAGGCATAGCACTTGACCCCAGGACGTCGAGACTACAGTGAGCAGAGATTGCGCCACTGCACTCCAGTGGGGTGACAAAGTAAGACCCTATGTCAAAAAATGAAATTAACAGTCATATGATTTTATAGTCATACCTGTAAAGACCGAATTACAGTGTCTGCAGACATGGCCTTGCAAGGCCCAGCAGCCAGGAGCAGGGATGTGGCACAACCCAGTGCCCAGGAAGGGCCCTGCAGGGAGGGGCTGTCAGAGAAGCGGAGCTCCCAGAGCAGTGTGAGTGACCCGCGGGAGAAGAGGGAAAGAGCAGTAGGGGAGGGGGAGATGGCTCCCGGCTAAAGGAGAAACTGGAGTCGCTCGTTCTCCTTTCTGTCTAAAGCTTCGAGGAATGCCACGTAGAATTCAGACAGTCCAGGAGCCAAGCAAGAACGCAGGGAAATGGCAGCGATGTCTGCAGGACTCAGCGAGACTGCAGGAAGGTGACAATATGGGGCTACATGGAGAAGGTGCCCCAGGAAGACCCTGAGCTCCCCATCTGCACTGCCCTCGGCTCTGCGAGGAAGGACACTCTGCTGAAGGGATTTGGACATCTCAGGGACCTTTTGATTTTCATGTACTGTTTACTGACACTGCTCAGGGCAATGTGGGTTTCTCTGTAATTAATTCTCTCTACCCACAATTGTATGGTGAAGAAAGATGTTGGGGTTACATGGCTGTCCAGGATCTGAGTTATTCCTAGAAACACAGAATGGAGTGGAACTGGAGAGAACATGCCAGAAAAAGCAACAGTCCATGCAACTAGCCCGAAAAGCCTGGGAGAGGCACAGCATGCACAGTTGCACAGTCTTAACTTTTTTTCCAGATTTTTTTTACATAGAGAGAGAGAGATGAGGGCTCACTGTGTTGCCCGGGCTGGTCTCAAACTCTTGGGCTCAAGTGATCCACCCACCTTGGCCTCCCAAAGTTTTGGAATTTTAGGTGTAAGCCACTGTATCTGACCTGTTTTCCAGATTTTTTTTTTTTTTTTTTTTTTTTTTTGCGACAGAGTCTTGTTCTGTCGCCAGGCTGAAGTGCAGTGGTGCTATCTCTCCTCACTGCAACCTCTGCCTCCCAGGTTCCAGCTATTCTCCTGCCTCAGCCTCCTGAGTAGCTGGGACCACGCCCAGCTAAGTTTTGTATTTTTAGTAAAGACAGGGTTTCACCGTGTTGGCCCAGCTGGTCTCAATCTCCTGACCTCGTGATCCACCTGCCTCGGCCTCCCAAAATGCTGGGATTACAGGCATAAGCCACTGTATCCGGCCTGTTTTCCAGATTTTTAAGTGGCATTTCTTCCTTCTAACCTGTTTCCATCCTCCTGCTGCAGTTTCACTTGTCCTATCTTTTGGAGAAAACAAAATACATATATTACTATTTTAGAAAATATAAAATATTTTTAAAATTTATCAAAACCACAGAATTGCATCCTTTTTAAATGTAAATTTTGTACCAAAGTTATATGTACACATAATTTCAAAAATAAGTAGCACTAACTGGCTCATAATGAAAAATAATCCTCCCCTCTCAAACCCAGAGGCAACTGCTTTTTAAATGTTAAAATTGTTTCTATTTTTAGTTCTGGTGATCACCTCCATATCTCCAAATAATGTGTTTCTACCACCACTTCTTGCTTTATCAACTATGCACTTTATCTACTGACCTTCTACCGGGATAAATGAAGACTCAGCTCACCAAAAACTCACCTGCCTCTCTTTCATCCTTCTTCCCAAGATAGCTAAATCAGTTCTTAATTCTTCTACTGGTCACCTTTGTGTAAATAAAGCATACATATTAAATAATAATGTGTATTATTTTGAACATGTATGATTTGCACACATTTATATGTCTGTATGTGCATGCTGTAGTGTCTTTTCTGTGTTTCATCATATCTCTTTTTTTTTTTTTTTTTTTGAGATGGAGTCTCGCTCTGTCACCCAGGCTGGAATGCAGTGGTGCCATCTCGGCTCACTGTAACCTCTGCCTCCTGGGTTCAAGCAATTCTCCTGTCTCAGCCTCCCGAGTAGCAGGGATTACAGGCGCATGCTGCCATGCCAGGCTAATTTTTGTATTTTAGTAGAGACTGGGTTTCACTGTGTTGCCCAGGTTGGTCTCGAACTCCTGAGCTCAGACAATCCACCTGCCTTGGCCTCCCAAAGGGCTGGGATTATAAGAGTGAGCCACCACGCCTGGCCTCATCATGTCTCTTGTCATGCTTTCCTGACATGATCTCAGAATAGTCGAAAAATTATGGTGGGATGGGGAATAACCACTCACAGCTTTATTGCTGTTGCATAGATGTGCAAAAAGAAGGAAAGAGCGAAATGCGTAAGAAGCTGGTATCCCTGGCCCAACCAACCCAAATAAAACGAAGGCATCAGAGCCCACATCCACCCAATCTAACCACACACAGGGTTTGCCAGTGGAGGGTAAGATGCCAACAGAAAGGCTGGGCACCCTGGAAGCAGATCTGCAGAGGCTGCCTCTTGCCTAGTCCCCTCTCTGCCAGCCAACCCCTGGCTACTGACTCTGCGTCCCTGCCCCTCCAGGAATGGTCACCTCTGGCAGGTCCCACTCCTCTTGCAGCAGCTTCCAGCTCTGCTTCCTGCTCCCTGTCCTCCTTCAGCCAGTCATGGAATCATCAAACATCCACTGAGCACCCACCTTGTGCTTAGGCACTGAGCACTGAGGGAGGGGCTTGTGCAAGTCAGACAAGCCTGACGTTCCCTGAATCCTGCAAGGCCAGGGAAAGGGACACGCAATACATAAATTAACCACGTAATGGGGGATTACTAAAAAGGATGTTGAGACAGAAAAGAATAGACCTCATCTCTGAAGAGAAATGCCACCAGGCGCGTAAGCTGAGGCTGGAGAATGCAAAGGAGCCAGGCTTCCAGGGAGCAGCTGGAAGGGAGGCACAAGAAGAGGAAGCTGGGTGTGCAAAGGCCCGTGGTAGAGATGGGGAGTGGGGTGTGTTTAAGGAATGGAGAGGGGGCTGATCAGCTGAAGCTTGGTAGACGAAGGGGAGAGTGGTCCAAGGTGAGGTTTCCAGAAGGCAAGGGCAAGATCACACAGGGCCTAGTTGGCTTAGTAAGGAGTTTGAAATTTTTTTTTTAAGCAGAATAGGAAGTCACCAAAGAATTCCAGCAGGGGAGAGACAGGACCAATTTTTGTGCTTAAAAATGTTCTTTCTGGAGAATGGACTGGAGGCATCCTTGGGGTTCCTTTTTTTTTTTTTTCATTTGAGTCTCACTGGCTGGATTGCAGTGGCACCATCTTGACTCACTGCAATCTCTCCGCCTCCTGGATTCAAGCAATTCTCATGCCTCAGCCTCCCAGGTAGTTGGGATGGCAAGTGTGCGCCACCACTAATTTTTAGTAGAGACAGGGTTTCGCCATGTTGGCCAGGCTGGTCTCGAACTGCTGGCCTCAAGTGATCCGCCCACCTTAGCCTCCCAAAGTGCTGGGATTACAGGCATGAGTCATCACACCCGGCTGGGGTTCCTTTTTTGTGAACCCATTTTTGTGGGAAGAGGGGTCCTCTCCAGATGTTATCATCTGTGGCCAGCAAAGAGTTCAGGGACCTGGGAGACGGAGGGAGAGAGTCACTCAAACCCAGATGCTTGCTTGGCCACATTTAACATGGCGACTTTCCCATCATAAACCAACAAAAGATGTGCCCGGCTTCGAGCAGCATCTTGGGATGAGCAGAGCCTGGCTGGGCTGGAGGATGCAGCAGCTTGCCAACGCTCTCTCTCCAGGATTTCAAAAGTGGAATTAGAAGACTGGAATTACAGACAGATGCATTTCAGTCCTCTATTACTCTATTAACATCTTTTTTTTTTTTTTATCACCTGAACTCTTTTCCGGTCTCCCGGCTCCACAGCAGGGGTCCTCATGTGATTTCTGCCGGGATCCACCCCCACTTTCAGGGAGCAGGGTTTGAGGTGCTGCCCCTCCACTTTTCAAAGCCTTCCCCCTGGTCATCAGAGAGTGTCTCCTCGGGGCTGGGCTCTGTGAAACAGGGGACTTTCTCTCCACGCCCCCTCCCTACCTCTCCCTTCTCTCCACCCCTCCATTTTCTCTTCTCCTTTATATTGAGTTATCTATTCAAAGCAAAGCCATCTCCTGGAACTGCCCGGATGGGATCCTGTCTCCCATCAAAGCTGCAGAGTCTTTCTCTGGCCCAGCTAGTTGTGTCTGTTAAAACTTTAACTGCCACAGCCTTTGGGGGTGGCTCAGCCTGGTGGTTAGGGATGTGGTTTGCTGATTACAGCGAGGCCTGAGCTGGCTGCACAGACTACCTGTAACACAGACAGCCTCGGTGAGTAAAATGAGCATGGGCTCTGGAGTCACACTGCTTCAGTTCACCATCTGGCTACACTGTTGACTGGCAGTGGGACAGCAGCGGGCAAGTTAACCTCTCTGAGACTCAGTGT
Source organism: Homo sapiens (assembly GCF_000001405.40). NCBI lineage: Eukaryota > Metazoa > Chordata > Mammalia > Primates > Hominidae > Homo > Homo sapiens. The sequence continues at coordinate 113,534,791 of NC_000010.11, forward strand.
CCCCATCTGTAAAATGGGGATATGGATTGTAGCATCTTCTTCATAGGGCTATTAAGGGGATTAAAAAATATTAAGAGGCATGTGAAGCACTTAGCACGTGGACATATTCAAGGAAGTTCCCTGTCATAGCAACCAGTAAAATTCCACCAGATTCTCGGGAAGCTGAGATCATGGAAACATAGAAGTTTCCAGAGATGCCACAGGAAGCAAAGGGAAGGGGAAGGATCCCCTAACTTTGCACTTCCTTCTGTCCACCAGTCTTTCATTAGCGCCCTTCAGTGGCCAAACCCATCTGGAAGCCAGAAAGAGAGCCTGATCTTTTTTTTTTTAAGTTCTGGGATACAGGTGTAGAACGTGCAGGTCTGCTACACGTGCCATGGTGGTTTACTGCACCTATCAACCTGTCATCTAGGTTTTAAGCCCCACATGCATTAGGTATTTGTCCTAATGCTCTCCCTCCCCTTGTCCCTCACTCACCAACAGGCCCTGGTGTGTGATGATCCGCTCCCTGTGTCCATGTATTCTTATTGTTCAACTCCCAATTATGAGTGAAAATATGTGGTGTTTGGCTTTCTGTTCCTGTGTTAGTTTGCTGAGAATGATGGCTTCCAGCTTCATCCATGTCCTGCAAAGAATCTGAACTCATTCTTTTTTATGGCTGCATAGTATTCCATGGTGTATATGTGCCACATTTTCTTTATCCAGTCTATCATTGATGGGCATTTGGGTTGGTTCCAAGTCTTTGCTATTGTAAACAGTGCTCCAATAAACATACATGTGCATGTGTCTTTATAGTAGAATGATTTATATTCCTTTGAGTATAGAGTCTAATCTTTTGCCATTACTTTCAATGACAAAAACCACAATTACTTTTGCACCAACCTAATAGCTCCTTCCAGTGCAAAGTAAGGCAGCAGAGGAACAGGCAGGAATGGGGAGTGGATCCAGGAACAAGCAGACGTCACATACAGTGTGCGTGCATGTTGATAAAAGATAAACCTCAGCCGAATTAAATTTAAAGGAGTTTAATTGAACAATGAATGAATCGCGAATCGGCAGACCCCAGAATCACAGATTCACAGAAGCTCCGGGGGTGGCTCATAGTCAGAATAAATTTATAGACAAAAAAGGTAAAGTGACATACAGGAATCAGAAGTGAGCTACAAAATAGCAAGATTGGTTACAGCTCAGCGTTTGCCTTATTTGAACGCAGTTTGAACACTCAGCAGTCTATGAGTGGTTGAAGTATGGCTGTTGGGATTGGCCAACACTCAGCTATTGCTAGGGGTGCATATGATTAAGTTAGGTTTTCAATTTTGTCTGACTATTAAACTAGGTTACAGTTCATCCGCAAGGACTCAAATATAGAAGTACGGAGTCCTTCTCAAGCCATATTTAGTTTGCTGTAACAGTGTGCATGTTTCACTTTGTGGGGATGCAGTCTAGGTTGCACGTTCATAGATATAACACATCAAGGCCAGGCATGGTGGCTCACACCTGTAATCCCAGCACTTTGGGAAGCTGAGGCAGGTGGATCATTTGGGGTCAGGAGTTCAAAACCAGCCTGGCCAACACAGTGAAACCCTGTCTCTTCTAAAAGTACAAAAATTAGCCAGGCATCGTGGTGCACACCTATAAACCCAGCTACTCGAGAGGCTGAGGCAGGAGAATTACTTGAGCCCAGGAGGCGGAGTTTGCAGTGAGCACAGATCATGCCACTGCACTCCAGCCTGGGCAACAGAGCGAGACTCTGTCTCAAAAAAAAAGGGAGGGGGAGGGGGGTCTACCCTATATGATCTTCACCAAAACCCTGTAAAGTAGGGAAACTAAGGCTCAGAGCGACTGCTTTATCCTTTATCAGGGGCCACATGAGCCTTTAAGCCCGTTTCCAGAGTGGCAGTCCAGCCAGTTTTACCCAGCACCTGCGCTCCTGACTGACCCCATTTGGCCCTGAAAGTTAGCTCAAGTGAGACTTTTGGTCAAACTGCAGTCTCAGAGTTAAACAATGGGTACTCATGGACATAAAGACAGGATCAATAGACACTGGGAACTGCTAGAAGTGGGAGGGAATGAGAGGAGCAAGGGTTGAAAATGGGGGGATGCAGTCTAGGTTGCATGTTGGGTACTATGCTTGGTACCTGGGTGACGGGATCATTTGTACCCCAAATCTCAGCATCACACAATATACCCGTGTAACAAACCTGCACATGTACACCCGAATCTAAAATAAAAGTTGAAAAAGAAAAATGACACTGTGGTGTTGCCACATTGTGAAGTGGCTGAAGGTGACTATACTCTCAGTAACTCAGATCTGCTCCTTCAGGAGGGCAAACTCTGAGACAAATACCCCAGGGTAGCTGCTCCCACTTGAATTTTTCTTATATATAGGCTTTAGCACTTAGACTTGCTTCCCCAGCGACACTCAGCCTAGTAACATAGAAAAGGTAAAAAGAAGGCCAGGAGTGGTGGCTCACACCGATAATCCCAGTACTTTGGGAGGCTGAGGTGGGCAGATCACTTGAGGTCAGGAGTTCAAGACCAGCCTGGCTAATAAGGTGAAACTCCGCCTCTACTAAAATGACAAGAATTAGCTGGGCGTGGTGGTGAGCACCCAGCTACTTGGGAGGCTGATGCAGGAGAATCACTTTAACACAGGAGGCAGAGGTTGCAGAGAGCTGAGATTGCCCCATTGCACTCCAGCCTGGGCAGCAGAGTGAGACTCCGTCTCAAAAAAAAAAAAAAATCCCAAAAGCAAAAGGTAAAAAGAATTAATTACAATAGATAGAGAGTTGGTAGAGAGTTGGATAGATGATAGCTTTGGGGAAGAAGAATATTTAATTCAGTTCAGATTAAAATGCAGCATAAATTAGTTGCCGACAAGAAATCCAAACTGTTGCCCTCCCTTTCTGTCACCCCTCCCAAAGGCTCCAGGTAAGTCTGGGCAGGGCCAGGAGGGAGGACTGTGGCTGCCTGTCCTGTCCCTGCCCTCCCTCAACCCAGGCAGCAAGCCCCCACCCAGGCCTGTTTTTCCTCAGCACCAAAGTCCAGGGTCTAAGGGGAAGTCGGCAGGTATTTATTAGGACGGTGCAAAAGTAATTGCGGTTTTTGCATTACTTTTAATAAGTAATGCATGCATATGCATGCTTCACTTTGGGGGCATGCAGTCTAGGTTGCATGTTCATAAATACAACACATCAAGAAACAACAGCAAAGCATATTGCATGGTCTACCCCATGTGATGCTCACCAAAACCCTATATGGTAAGGAAACTAAGGGTCAGAGGGACTGCTTTATCCGAGGCCATGCAAGCCTTAAGCATGTTTTGAGAATGGCAGCCCAGTCATCCTTACCTGGCACCTGCACCCCTGACTGTCACCATTTGGCCCCAAAAGTTAAGAGCAAGCATGCCAGAAAGCGTTTTTCTTTTTTCTTTTCCTTTTCTTTGGGGGATGCTTGGGGAGAGGGGTTGGGAAGAGGAAGGATGATCTCATCTCTTATTTTAATAATGAATCACTGGGGCCCTTGCTAGTGGGAAGTCCAGACTCTGCACCCCTCAAGCCTCCCACTCCTGAATTGTGTAATCACCCTGGGGGCTTACCCAGTCCAAAGGGAGAATCAGCCTGGAATCCAGAAACCAGGAAGAGAGAAAGCTGGGAGCAGAAAACACAGGTCAGAAGCTGGCCTGCAGATGTGCTTCAGGTGACAGACACCATGTTGCCCCACACAGGTTAAACATCAATGAATTGTTATCAACTTTTGGGTATCAGGAGCATTTTGAATTTCTGGCTTCTTTTGAAAAGTGAATTGTCAGGCCGGGCACGGTGGCTCATGCCTGTAATCCCAGCACTTTGGGAGGCCAAGGCGGGTGGATCACCTGAGGTCAGGAGTTTGAGACCAGCCTGGCCAACATAGTGAAACCCCATCTCTACTAAAAATACAAAAAATTAGCTCGGCATGGTGGCAGGTGCCTGTAATCCCAGCTACTCAAGAAGGCTGAGGCAAGAGAATTGCTTCAACCCAGGAAGCAGAGGTTGAGGTGAGCCAAGATCACACCATCACACTCCAGCCTGGGCAACAGTGTGAGGCTCTGCCAGAAAAGAAAAGAAAAGAAAAGAAAAGAGAGAAAGAAGGAAGGAAAGAGAAAGAAAGAAAGAAGGAAAGAAAAGAAAGAAAGAAAGAAAGAAAGAAAGAAAGAAAGAGAAAGAAACAAGGAAAGAAAGAAAGATAGAAAGAAAGAAAGAAAAGAAAGAGAGAAAGGAAAGAAGGAAGAGAAAAAGAGAGAAAGAAAGAAAAATGAGCTGTCTGGCCACATGAGGCTCACATTCCTGCAGGGCAAAGATGCTGACACTGGATGGGACTGCCTCCTTACCTCAGGCCTGAGATCCCCAGCTAGCTGTAGTCTCCACCACTCCCTAGTGATCCCCCAACCTTCCAGTTAATTGTCATTTGTCCCAGTTCTCAGGCTGTGTTCCTCTGCCTCCCTCGTTCTACTCATTTCAGATGACCTGCCCTGTAGGCATCTGCATTTGCGGGTCCCAGTCTCATTCACCTACTGTCTTGTTTCTGTCCTTGCCACTTGCCACCAGCTCCCCTGGCACCACACAGAGCCCCAGACCTGCCCTCCCCAAGTTCCCTCCCACTCTGCTTCCTCATGAGACCTCCGTGTGGAGGAGGAGTTTCCTCTCCATTCTTTAAACATGCACTTCCCTCCTACCTCCAAGCCTTTGCTCATGTTGTTACCCTTGCCTGTTTTCCCTATTTCTCCTTTAGCAACTAATTTTAGCCTATTAGTTGTTCTTTATTTCTACCATAACAAATGATCATACTTAGTGGCTTAAGCAACACATATTTGTTCTTTTATAGTTCTGTAAGTCAGACACACGTGTCAGCAGGGCTGTGTCTCTGATCCCTATTTTCTTGCTGGCTGTTGGCTTCTAGAGGCCACCTATGTCCTTGGCTCGTGAACTCCTTTCTCTACCTCCAAAGTCTAGTCTTTCTCATACTTGGAATCTCTCCTTCTTTTCTCTTCTCTTCTCTTCTCTTCTCTTCTCTTCTTCTCTTCTCCAGCTCCATCGTTCCTGCCTGTGATCACCAGCCCTTGAGATGAGCTCGCAGCAAAGATCTGAGTGGGAGCCAGGGGATGAGTCAGACTGGAGCCACAACCCGCAGGAACCAGAGTATTGACAGCCCAGGGAGGCCTCTGTTTCTGCAAGAATCAATTCCCAGGAGCCTATTGACAAATGTGTCCCTTACTTATGTGCTGTCATTGCCTTTTCTATTGACTTAGCCCCGAGGCTAAAGAGGTGAAAGATAAACTGGATCTGTGGGCCCGTCATCTCCTGGCTTCTAAGGCTGCCTCCCCACGCCCCTCCTTCTCCTTCCGTTTTTATTCTTCTAAATGCCCCTCTGAGATCCCTGTTATCACACACACCCCTAAGGTGATATCAACACATCCATTTCATTCAGCAATGATTGAGCACCTACTGTATGCCACATGTGCTGGGCATCCAAAGATGAGAGAACCACAGTCAAGGCCTCAAAGTGTCCTCAGAAGTGACACACCAGGGTCTCAAGACCATAAATTCACAAGATCCCAGAGGAGTCCTCAGAGTAGAGAGCTGACTCTGATTCTAGGGGAAGAAAGCTTCACACAGGGGCCCCTCAAGCTGTGTCTTGTTTTGGTTTTTGTGAGACATGGTTTCACTCTGTTGCCCAGGCTGGACTGCAGTGGCACATTCTCGGCTCACTACAACTTCTGCCTCCTTGGTTCAAGTGATTCTCCTGCCTCAGCCTCCCAAGTAGCTAGGATTACAGGCATGCACCACCACGCCCAGCTAATTTTTATATTTTTAGTAGAGACAGGGTTTCACCATGTTGGCCAGGCTGGTCTCGAACTCCTGACCTCAAGAGATCCACTTGCCTCAGTCTTCCAAAGTGCTGGGATTACAGTTGTGAGCCACAGCGCCATGCCTCAAGCTGTGTTTTTAAAGAGAAAAGAGTAGAGCTCTCCAAGGACCAGAGGTGGAAGAAGACTCTTCTAGAGTGCAAATAAATGAAGGTATCAGACAAGGCTAGAGTTTAGGATATGTATCAGGGGAGCGGAGATGGTGAGGAATAAAGCTGGGTGGAGAGAAGAAGAAGCAAAAGTTGCCAGGAGCCAGATTGGCAGGGCATTCTGTGTCACCCTAATCAGTCTGGACTTAGTCCCATAGGCAATGAGGCATGGAGGATGAGTTTTAGGCAGATAAGTGACACAACCAGATTGGTATTTTAGAAGATGACTCCTCTGGCACCATGAAGACTGGGTTTGAGGGCAGGGCTGAGAAATTGGAGGCTACTGCAAAGGTCCAGGCAGAGATGTTGAGACCCTGAGCCACAGGCAGGGCAGTGAGAGAGTGCTGAGAGGACAGATGCAAGGGATATGTTGTGGGTGCCCAAACAGGTGTCCCGCAGATGTCCTCTGCAGAGATCCCTGCCTGGGGGTGAGCCAGGCCTGAGAGCTGGAAGATTGACATCCTGCAGACTGGGCGGGTTGGAGGAGAAAATGAACTCTGGAGAAAGGGGACTATTCAGGGCAAAATCACCTGTCTCCAGGCCAACTGATAAGCACTGCACAAACTGACTGTGCAAACAATCGCAGGGATGGCTGCTCAACACGAAGCACTGTGACAGCACAGGGATCAATAATCAACATTGAGAAAGAGGGAGATCCGTAGGGGCAAGGAAATAAGAAACGCCTACATTTGGGCCAGGCATTATGTTTAGGAAGCATTCCAGCTCCTTAATTACTACATTGGCAAAAATGGATCAAATGAACTACATTTTACAGTTGAGAAAACTGAGGCTTAGGGGCGTTTCTGATTTGCCCAGGAATGCAAAGCTGATACAGAAGGGAACTGGCACTAAATCCCAGTCCCTGGAGGCCAAGTTTAACTCTGGCTACACTCTCCTGACCTTGCTCTTTGCAAATTCTGGGGCTTCTCAAATGTCATCTGTTCCATGTGATCTAACACTTGACCATTCTCTAATTATGCTACTGGGTAGTAGTGGCTGAACATGGGAGAGCTATGCTATGTGGCAGGAACTGTTCTAAACACTTCAGCTGTTGTGAACTGACCTAAGCCAATTTGCCCATTCAACAGCTGTCAGGCTCTTTTTGGAAATAATAGGGGTCTCTGATAATTAGAGGAAGGTGGGAGCTATACATCTCCCCCTATCAACCTTGCTACCTGGTGGTTTTACAATGAAAGTCGTTCTGCCACATGTACAAAGAGGCAGAAAATCACCCACATGTGGGTCCCAGTAAGTCCCACTCTGCCTCTGCAGCACTCTGACACACATTTTGCAGGAAAGAATCATTTTGCAGTCATAGCTCAACAGCAGGGTCAGCTGGCCTTCTGGTTGGACCAGAAGTCAGAAGAAAGACCAAATGGAGGTCTAGACCTAGAAATTTCCTCTGAAAGTGTCAGGCAGCCAGCTTTGCCAGATTCTTTTATCTTGTACATTCCAGGGCAAAAGTGTCTGTTCAGTCATTTTAGCCAACCTCCTATCTTTTTTTTTTTTTTTTTTTTTGAGATGGAGTCCTGCTCTGTCGCCCAGGCTGGAGAGCAGTGGCACGATCTCGGCTCACTGCAATCTCCGCCTCCCAGTTTCCAGCGATTCTCTTGCCTCAGCCTCCGAAGGAGCTGGGATTGCAGGCACCCGCCACCACACCTGGCTAATTTTCGTATTTTTAGTAGAGATGGGGTTTTGCCATGTTGGCCAGGCTGGTCTTGAACTCCTGACCTGAAGTGATCTGCCCACTTCGGCCTCCCAAAGTGCTGGGATTACAGACATGAGCCACCGCAGCCGGCCTTAACCATCTATCTTGAGTATTGCTCACTTCGTCAATGAAATGCATTTTTTAACATTCTTTATGCTAATGAACTGTACCATGGATGCACATTTAAATAGCAATATTTGAAGCCCCTGCCATGGATACTCCAGAAGGTGGATCGTTTAACAAATGCTCTCAGAGCACTCCCTAGGTGATGGCATGGTTCCAAGCACTTTGAACTTTACACATCCTAACCCATGTCATTGTCACAACAATCCCATAAGGTATGTACAATTTTTATCTTCATGTCACAGGTGAGGAAACTGAGGCATGGAGAAGATGACCATGGCTGAGGTCTGTTCTCCCCTCTCTATCCACAGAGCCAAACTGGATACTGGGAACACAATAAATAAATACCTGTTGGTAATAGGTAATAATCACCAAAATGGAGATTGGTTCCACTGAATGGCCTGAGATTGGACTGTGTGGTAGAGGATGGGTAGCAGCTGAGAGCTAGCCTGTCATGACTGATGGAACCCATTTCACACTTATCATGCTTCCCACGTGCCTACCTCCAATTCTCTTGCATCCTTCATGGGTAGGAGTTGGCCTTGGCCAGGGCCTGGTTGCCTAAGTGTCTGCAGAGTTGCCTATTTGGGCTTTCGCCAACAGAGACAGAAGTATATTATGCATCTTAGGATTCTGTATTACCCAGCACTCAATCAATTCTTCTAAAATGAGTGAATAAATGCATGACTCAGGGAGAGGAACCACACAGCTCTGTGTGTGGTGTTGTTTCCACTTTTGTTTAACTCCTTTTATGAAAATTTGCTCTTTCGATTATCATGCCAATTTGGAGGAAAATACATGGTTCTCATAATAAATTTGAAATAAATCAAGCAATGCAATAGGAAAAGAGAGGAAGATAAATGAATATGGATCCAGAACCTACTGTGTGCCAGGCATTTTCACATATGTCATCTCAAAAATATATCATCAGAAATATATCATCACACGAAACTTATTCAAGACAGGCTCAGAGAGGTTAAGTGACTTGCCTAAGATCACACAGCTAGTAAATGGCTTTTCTGCTGACTCTGTCTGATGCCAACCCAGGCTCTTGCTAGCACACTACAGAGCTAGCATACAAATGTGCTTAGGGAAGGTGGCAATGCCAGGAAGTGTCTAGAAGTACATTTTAGAGAGGTGCTCAGAGGTCTGCCTTCCTCAAAAGTAAAAAGGCTTTTGAAACTATCACAGCATACTCTATTCAGAAAGTCAACAAATCGAGACAGAAAGGGACACCCAAATCTCAAGATCCCTGCTCTCTTTCAGGTTTTCTATTACACAGAAGGGAAGGGGGTAGCTTTCCAACATGCAAAATGCATGCAGAATTTTATGCAAAAATGTTTAATAAATCAATGATGCACTTAGAACAAGAAGCATCACATGGCCCAGGTGCTGTTTGTGAGGCTGGAGATCCAAGGAGGCTGACTTGTGTTTCCACAGAGCTGATTATGGGATGGGAGAGATGCACGAGTGTGATAAACTCTCCTCCATAGACAATCACTGAACAGAGGAAATTTAAAATGTGAGAGGGAAGATTGAAGCCCCACTGAAAGATTAAAGAAAGGAAGGAAGTACAAATGGGCAGATCAATGATTCTGAGGTGTTTAATTCACACTGGGCTGTGCCACATTTGGAGGCTGCAAGTCGTACTGCATCAATGGCTCTTATCTTTCCAAACTTCGTAGATCACAGGAGTCCGAACCACCAATGACTTAAAGCTAGGGATCCTTATGGAAATAGGGAGGCACCTCTGAATTTGGAGTCCATGGCTTGGCCATGAGCTGTAGCCAAGAGAGGGATTTCTGTCTGTCTTCATTCATTTATTTTTCCTAAGAGACAGAGTCTGACTCTGTCACCCAGGCTGGAATGTAGTAACATGATCATAGCTTACTGTAACCTCCAACTCCTGGGCTCAAGCAATCTTCTTGCCTCACCTTGTCCTGCTTGGGACAGCTAGGAGTTTTATAAGCAGCTAGGACTACAGATGTGCACCACCACACTTAGCTAATTTTTAATATTTTGACATAGAGATGGGGTCTGGCTATGTTGCCCAGGCTGGTCTCAAATTCCTGGCCTCAAGCTATCCTCCCGCCTCAGCCTTCCAAAGTGCTGGGCCTACTATCTTTTGATCAAACATGGTTGCCCACTGTTCTTCCCCAATGCTGCCCCTGACTTAGTCCAAGCCCATGCCATCTCCTGCCTCACCTGCTGAGGTAGCCCCCTCCTGGCTCTGTCTGTTTCTGCTTCTGCCTCTTATTAAATCCATCCTCCCATCTAGTTGCATTTATCTTATAAAAACCTCATCAGAGGCCAGGTGCGGTGGCTCATGCCTGTAATCCCAGCACTTTGGGAGGCCAAGGCAGGTGGATCACCTGAGGTCGGGAGTTTGAGACCAGCCTGACCAACATGGGAAGAACCCCATCTCTACTAAAAATACAAAATTAGCCGGGCGTGGTGGCACATGCCTGTAATCGCAGCTACTGATGCTTACTCTGCACCAGGTCCTGAGTGAGGACATAAAAATCGGGCAATGGACATGACTGACATGGTCCCTGGCCTTATGAAGAACAGCACGTGAGTGATGAGGGCACAAAATGAGGCTGGAAAAGTAAACAGAGGTCAGATCAAGCAGGGTCTCCATAAGAAATGGGGATTTTATTCAAAGTGCAAAGGAGGCTGGGCATGGTGGCTCACGCCTGTAATCCCAGCACTTTGGGAGGCTGAGGTTGGGGGATCACCTGAGGTCAAGAGTTTGAGACCAGCCTGGCCAACATGGTGAAACCCTATCTCTACTAAAAATACAAAAATTAGCCAGGTGTGGTGGCACGCACCTGTAGTCCTAGCTTCTCGAGAGGCTGAGGCACAAGAATCGCTTGAATCTGGGAGGCAGAGGTTGCAGTCAGCCGAGATCATGCCGTTGCACTCCAGCCTGGGCAACAAGAGCAAAATTCCATCTCAAAACAAACAAAAAAACAAAGTGCAAAGGAAAGGTCTTGAAGAGATTTTTTTCTTTTTTTTTGAGATGGAGTCTCGCTCTGTCACCCAGGCTGGAGTGCAGTGGCACAATCTCGGCTCACTGCAAGCTCCGCCTCCTGGGTTCATGCCATTCTCCTGCCTCAGCCTCTCAAGTAGCTAGGACTACAGGTGCCCGTCACCATGCCCGGCTAATTTTTTGTATTTTTAGTAGAGATGGGGTTTCACCATGTTAGCCAGGATGGTCTCGATCTCCTGACCTCGTGATCTGCCCGCCTCAGCCTCCAAAAGTGCTGGGATTACAGGTGTAAAGGACTGCGCCTGGCCAGATCTTGAAGAGTTTTAAGCAGGGGTGTGATATAATCTGATGAGGTTTCTTTTTTGTTTTGTTTTTGTTTTTGTTTTTGTTTTGACAGAGTTTTGCTCTTGTTGCCCAGGCTGGAGTGCAGTGGCACAATCCTGGCTCACCGCAACCTCCATCTCCCGTGTTCAAGTGATTCTCCTGCCTCAGCCTCCCTAGTAGCTGGGATTACAGGCATGTGCCACCACGCCCGGCTAATTTTGTATTTTTAGTAGAGACGGAGTTTTTCCATGTTGGTCAGACTGGTCTCAAACTCCCAACCTCAGGCTATCTGCCCGCCTCGGCCTCCCAAAGTGCTGGGATTAAAGGCGTGAGCCACTGCACCTGGCCTCTGATGACGTTTTTATAAGATAAATGCAACTAGATGGGAGGATGGATTTAACAAGAGGCAGAAGCGGAAACAGACAGAGCCAGGAGCAGACTACATCAGCAGGTGAGGCAGGAGATGGCATGGGCTTGGACTAGGTTGGAGGTAACAGAAGTGGAAGGTGCCGGAAGGATTTGAAATGCATTTTGGAGGTAGAAACATGCCAATAATTTGGATTTGGGAAGGGGGAGGAAAAGAAGAGCCCACGATTTCTCAGGTTTCTGACTTGAAAAGCTGTGTGTGTACTAGAGCCCTTGTCTAAGGGAGCAGAGGAAGTGGCTGTTCATTCCTCCTGCTTCCCAGCTGGCACTGCTTGAGCACCGACTGTGTGCTGGACACTCAACACCTGCTTCTGCAAAAAGAAGAGAATCAGTATCGCGGGTTCATCCAGACTCATGCTCAGCCTCATAGACAGGCACGCTTCGTCTGGCCGTGCTGAGGGGCCACATGGAATTCACGATTGTCACTATGTCCTAGGGGCTTCCTTCTCCTGCTTAACCAACTCCAACCTGTGCTCACTACCTCATAAGGTTTTTGTAAAAATGAAAACTGACCTGGAATTGACCATGGGGGGATAAAATGTTATTTTTCCTATAAAATTCACTTACATGATAATGTAAATCATGCCAAATGATCAAATTTTTCTTTTTTCTTTGGCCAACAAGAAGATTAGCTACAAATTTGTAGCTCAGATTAATGACTGTGTAGAGCTGATGGTTTCCACAATAGCATTCTGGTTTTCTCCTTGATATTGATTAATCCAACTACACATCCTTGCCTGTCTGCCCCGTGGATCAGCCTAGCCATGTTTGTGGCCCCAGCCATCTCTGAGGAGACTAAATATAGATTGTGATGTTCACCCAACATCTGGCTGAGCCATTCAGGTTTCCTGATTTGGGTACTTGGGCTAAGGGATGTGGAATGAATTTCCAGCTAATAGTTGGAGTGGGTGCTGTGTGTGCCCACAGGTCCCCTCTTCACAAACGAGGAACCCTTTCTTTCAGCTGCCAGGTGTAAGCTGCAGAGGGCTCTCAGCTGAGGATTACCCTTAACCAAATTATTATTATAATATAATTTGGTTATATAGTATATAGAATAATTTCATCCAGTTATTTTCTGAGGACTGTTCTTAACCAAAGAGAATTGCCCAAAGTCACACCTCTTCCAGGAGGGCAGCTCCTATCCAATGGTAGGACCATCCCAGTACAAAGGTCCAGTCCTCTTGGGTCATCACAGGACAACACTGAGGCCATCCTAGATCCAGAACTTTCTGTGGATGGGCCTCTGTTGCAACTGCATTGCAACCCCTTCTTCTTCTGCCCAGTCCTGCTTTCCTCCCTCCCCCATGTGTACGGAACCCAAGACTACGCCCCTGTCAAACTTTCTGCACACAATCTCAGTGGCTCTATTTCCCAGCAAACCCAACCTAAGATGGTAGTGGCTGCAGTTGCTGGAGGGGCACTGGAAAGGCATCATTTCTTTAATAAACACTGGGCCCATTGCCACAGCTAAAGAGTAATATAGTAAGGAAGAAGAGAAAATGAAAACTGGCCAGGCAATGGGAAGTCTTAGCTTTTCAATATATTGTTTTCTTCAATAAGTGCTCAGGTAGCCCTACTCCAGGCCCTGGAGTCCATGCAGTAGAGTGGCAAAAGCAGTTGGCTTGAAGTCAGAAGACTTCAAATCCTGGCCCTGTTTTAAGCTATGTGCCCTTGGGCAATTTATTATATCTAACCTCTCTGAGCCTCACTTTCTTTAACTGCAAAATGGGCCAAATTACCTTACAGAGTAGTTATAAAGCCTTGTAGGAGCTCAGGATTGGAAAACCACTTGAAACACAGAAGCTCTTCAATACGTATGCTCAAAAATGCATTCCTTTCACAAATGTGGGGGCATCCTAGTGCCTTCCAGGTCAGAGAATGGGACGTGCAGTACCAATGAATTTCCAGTGGATATGAACATACTGAACTGAGCTTGGGGCCTTGCAGCAGAGCTGGGAAGGGCTCATGCCCAGTTAACAAGGCATTTCCATTGCTCCTTCCTCCCAAAAGTGGAAGTTAATGGAACAGGCAGGGGGGCTATGAGACCACAAGAAAAAGCAGGGACTTCCCTGCAGGATGTCTTCTCTGATCAATGAAGATTTTAGGAATTTATCTGAAGACCAGCCACGTGACTGAGCAATTTCATTGTGAAAATGTAACTCCACAAGGCTGGAACCCAACCTGTCTTCTTTACTCCCTAGAGCACTGCTGGGCACATAGTAGGTGCTCAGTAAACACTTGTGGAATGAATGACTGAATGATCTTTAGTTCCTCACCCCGCAAAAAAGTCTGATGATTTCCAGATGTGGTGTGTGTGCATAATTTCTGGGTAAATGCTTTGAGGGCAGCATTGTGGCAACAGCCCAGGGGCCCCTCCCATGTCTCTGTGTGCCTCCATTGTTTTCCAGTATCCCCTCTAGCTGTGCAATGCTTTGGCTGCATCACTTTCTCCCAAAGCGGTGTCTGCAAACCAAGGCCCTCTTTTAGTAAATACAGTTTTATAGGAACATAATCATGTCCATTAGCATAAGTGTCACTTGGGGCTGCTTTTGTGCTACCACTGCAGGATTGAGCAGTTGCAGCAGAAAATTACTCTCTGGCCCTTTCAGAAAGTGTACATTGATCCCATCCTAAAGAGATCAAATTAGACAAGGGTTCATCCCCAGAAGGTGGTCATTCCTTCCCTGGGTTGGAGACTAGACTTACCGAGAACCAGGCCCTTTCATCTCTGAGGGGCTCAGCAAGTCTCATCCCATGGAAAGACTTCACTGATTTCAAAGCCAGGGTGTTGTGCAAAGGTCTGTTCTATGCCCACTGTGGCACTAGGCACCTTACCTTTATGCTCCCATATACACCTCTCAGTAACGCCACGAAGAAAGAGCTACATTATCCCTATTTTATAGATGAGGAAACGGAGGCCCAGAAAGGATAAATGACTGGCCTGAGGTCACACAGTGGGGAGGTGGCAGAGCTGGGGCTCAACCCCAGGTCTGTTCTGAGTCCAAGCTGCTGCTTTTAGGTGCTTCTCTAGGCTGCCTCCCCTTCCTGAAGGCTTAGCAGGAAGAAGCCTCAAGGTACTTGAGGAAAACAAACGTGAAACACGTTTGTTCAGGCCCAACAGGTGATTGCTGCATAAAAACAATCCCTCAGTTGGTCATGGTGGCTCACACCTGCGATCCCAGGGCTTTGGGCGGCTAAGGCAGGAGGATCACTTGACCTCAGGAGTTCAAGACCTGCCTGGGCAACAGAGTGAGACCCCCGTCTCTACAAAAAATTTAAAAATTAACTGGGCATGGTGGCAAGTGTCTGTAGTCCCAACTACTTAGGAGGCTGAGGCAGGAGGATCACTTGAGCCTGGGAGGTTGAGGTTTCAGTGAGCCACAATCGTACCACTGGACTCCAGCCTGGGCAACAGAGTAAGATCCTGTCTCTTAAAACAAAAACAAAAACAAAAACCGATCCCTTGCCTAGAACATCAAAGGGTGGGTGTCTGGCAAGGGCCTTGTGAAGAAGCCTTTCCTTTTGGTAAAGAATCAGCCAACTAGAGAAACCAGACTCCCAAGGCCTCCCATGCAGGGCAGGGACTCCCTCCAGCGGTACGTAACCCAACACGTGAGAAAATGTCACCCAGGGAACAGAGAGACCAGATTAACTTGATAACATCTGAAACCCCCATCTGGATGAGCACTAAAGCCTTTGTGTTTGGATTTAAAAACCAGAGATCCCAGGTAGGTTAGTTCCAGCTCCCCAGCTAAAGACGTATTACGTGATTAGCCAGCCTCTTTTTCCTTCTAAATTAAAAGGATTAAGTATATTTTAGAGAATGTTCTCCTTTAGGACTAACTGTAGAAATTTATTTAATTTCACTTTGTCATGATAACAACACTTTAGGGAAATAAGAGACAATATGTGGAAGGCCTGCAGTTATTACAAAAAGAGCAAAAGTGTTCCCTTTTTGTTTGAAATAAAGAGAAGATTACATGTCAGGGAAATTAATCTCATTACAAAGATGAACAGCAAACTCACCAGGTCACTTCCTGTTGACACAGGAAGAAAAGCTTCTGGCTTGTTTTCTGGGAATCTCTCCACAAAGTCAGAAGGTCAGTAATTCATGCGAGGCAGTGGAGGGGAAAAGAGACGCCTGAGTCACATGAGTGATTTCATGGTTTGACTTGTCTGAACATTTCCGTTTTTGTTTTTTACCGTCTGTACAAACACTGTGAAGACTCCAGCAAAGTCCTCATGTGTGCTGCCTCCTTGGCCCTTGCTCTGGGATCAAGTAACCACCAACAAAATCCTCAGCACTGCACCGATGTCCTGTTTAGCCACCATGTCACCGTGGCCACCATGTCATGGTAACCACCTCCCATCGTCCCGCCCATGAGGATTGCTATTCCATCGCCTTGTTTCACTCTTTTTCATAGAAACCACTAACGAAAATTAACTGTTTACTTTTTCACTGTCTGCCCATCTCCTCCTCAACCAGTTCACATCTGCCTCCTTCATCCCCACATCACCAATGCCTGGCTCACAGCAGAGCTTCTGTAAGTATTTGATGAATATTAATGGAGTGTTCATGAATAAGTTGAAGTGTGCTTAAAATTTCACAAATACTTTTAGTTTTCCACATCCAGTTTTTCCTTTCACATTGAGTTGGCTATGCTATCTAAGGCATCCTGGTGATAACATGTCCAACTGTCACATGGATAAAGTGGTCATTCATTTGTTCATTTCATCCAACATAAACTTATTGAGCGTCTATCCAGTGCTGGGCATCTATGCCAAGGATTCAATGGTGATTGAAACAGAGTGCCTGCTCTCCTGAGTTTTCAGTCTAATGGGGACAATGGGAAACAAATATTAATGAAATAGCAATACGGCTGTGACATTACAACCTCATAAATGCTGTAAAGAAGAAATGCATGCAGGGCTTCTGAGGAAGTAATGTTTGGGCTAAGAGATGAAAGATGCATTAACTAGGAGAGTTAACTAAATTAACTTGCTCAGGAGTGAGCAGGGTTCCAGTTAACAAATTTATGGTTGTCATAAGGATTAGGGGAAGGACAGAGTAGGGCTAGAGAAGAACTTTCTAGGAAAAGGGACTACAGCCAGGCGCAGTGGCTTATGCCTATAATCCTAGCACTTTGGGAGCCTGAGGCGGGTGGATCACCTGAGGTCAGGAGTTTGAGACCAGCCTGGCCAAGATGGCGAAATGCCGTCTCTACTAAAAATACAAAAATTAGCCAGCCATGGTGGCATACACCTGTATTCCCAGCTATTCAGGAGGCTGAGGCAGGAGAATCACTTGAATCCAGGAGGCAGAGGTTGCAGTGAGCCAAGATCACGCCACTGCACTTCAGCCTGGATGACAGAGTGAGACTCTGTCTCAAAATAATAATAATAATAATAATAAAAAGAAAAAGGGACTACTAACATGGGCTTGTATTATGGTGATCAGGTGGATGTTGATGGTATAGGAGGCGGGGTGGGGGGAGTTGATGGCTGCCTAAAATAGGATGGAGACAAAAATATGTGGATAAAAGAAAATAATGTGGAAGTCATTTAGGAGGTAAAATGGCAGGACCAGGACTTGGCTAGTCCTTCAAGGCTCATCTGGTGACTGGGGCATTCTTTTGGGCTGGGATCTGTGGGGCCCTCCCCGGCTAGCAACTTGGCTTTCAGAAGTAGATGCAGCCACTGATGCAGTCCACGTGCCAAACAGGGATGGCAGGTAGGGGCAGGGCTGGGCAGGGGGGCACAGGTGAGCACATGCCTCCGCTGGCAGCAGCATTTCAAAACCTGGATTTATGACTCAAGTCAGGAGGATTCCTGGAACCCAGGCATAGATTTCTGTGGGCAGTCAGTTGTTTACAGGAGATTAAGATCATGCCTATTAAAGAGATCAATTGTGTCCACAAGAACCCACACTTAATAGGTAATTGCTGCTTGACAGAACTCTACCTGCAACCAGCATAGCTAAATAAGGAACATAGGAAACAATTGTCCTGAAATATGAACACCATGTTTTTTTTCCTCCGCTTGATCAAAGAAAGACTCCAGCAAAAGGGGAAAAAATAATTAAAAAGTAAAAGTCTTACCTAATGAGGTTTAAAACAAAACTTTTGAAGCCAACAAGCAACTGTGGGCAACACTTCAAAGGGCCCAGAATCAATGTTTGTCAATAGCAGTTTTGCATCCTTTAATTTATGTCTCATGAATATAAAGTGTGATGTTATTAGGAGCCCATCCATGCCTTAATTCTGTTTGAGATTTGATGAACCAGAAGTCTATTAACATTCTGTACAAATCAGCACTGGCAGAGGCCTGTGGCACAGGCTTCACCTGATCTTTTATCCTGAGGCTGGGATGCTAGTCACGCTGTCAGGCTTCCTGCTCGGAACACCCAGCAGCTGTCATGTGCACCGTGGAGCCAGGGGGCTATGTCAGCTACTTTCTTTGGAGAGTTTCTCCCCAGAAGAGAAACCACTTCATGACTCAGCCCAGCCCCAAAGTTGCCATTTGTTTAATCAAGATAGTTAGTTTGCAAAACATTAAACATTAAACAGTATTTGATGCCTAGTTAATAATTTGCATCCTCTTCATTTGTTCCTGAATCCTTGGAGACTGACATTTTTCCCCCCTAAAGGCATAGACAACAAAAGAAATTTTATTGAGAGGAAAACACAAGTCCTTAAACTGCAAAGATGTTTGCCAGGATGTCTGATCTCCATGTTCTGCTGTTAATGGCTCTGGTGGGAAAGACAGCCTGTGGGGTAAGTGTTCTTTTCTAATATTTGTAGTTGAGAGACTCCGAAGTTTACTAGGAGGACCAAGCTAGGCTGGGAGTGATGAGAAACTTTAGAGTGAAAGGCTGGAGTTGCCAAGTTGGAGATGTTCTAACTACAAGAACCAATGCAGGCCTGTGGCTTGGTTTCTTTTGAGCAGCCACTCCCATGGGAACAGGTGTCTGACTTGAGCCATCTTGGAGCGGAGCCTCCATGAATGCATTCCAGCAAAGGAGACTGGGGCAAGAAAATGTGCCCCAGGGCATGGATTGTAATCTGTCATGGATCTCATAGACCCCTTTGAGAAGCCATGGAAAGCTATAAACTCTCTCCCCAGGAAAATATACCTATCTATTGGTGCTGACACACACAGTTTTCCAGCGATTTGTGGCTGACACTAGGGTAAGAAGCAATGTGCTATGGCCTTAGAGGGGAAGCCTGCTGACTGCAAAAGATCCTGGCAGTGGGTCTGCATAAATAGTTTGGATTTGGGGAGAAGCTTTGTGTTTAGTACTTTGTCTCCTTTTCCCTGTGACAGCAGCAGATGAGGCAGAGAAGGTGAGCAGGGGCCCAAGGGAGGTTGCAGTGCGCAGGGAAGGGAAGTCCCATCAGAGAGTCTTGAACGGGGGACTCAGGACCTTCCGGAGCAGATGACTTGTCAAGATGTTAGTTCCTTCTGTGTGCCATGGTCCAAGAGTGTCAGATGGATCTCTGTGGGCATGGAAAGAGGACCTTGCACAGAAATAGAGTCTCCTTGGAGTTCCGTGCTGGTTGTGGTCTGAGGCATGAATGTGGGCTTTGGAGCCAGGGTTCGAATCTCAGCTTTGCCACATTCTAGCTGTGGAATGTTGGGCAAGGAACATAATCTCTCTGAGCCTCAGTGTTGTCTTCTGCAAATCAAGTGCTAACCTCTCATAGATTTGGGGAGGGCCACAAGTAAACGAGGTCATGTATGTGGCTTGCAAATAAATGTGAGCTCTACTCCCTTAAAATGTCAAGAATGAACACAACTTCTCCATAAAAATCAGAGAATGCTCCGCCTTGTTCGGGAGGGGTGGTAGAAAGTGGGCAGAGGATAAGAACTAAAATAACAGTCATAACCTCTCTGTCTTATTAAGTACCTTTGCATTTTGTTCCCCATTTCACTCCATAGAGCGTTTCCTGAATGAAGCAGATTAAGTTACAGTTTTCTGATTAGCATGTTTTTAAAACAATAGCTTCTCCTTTCTTTTCCGTCAACTGTGCTCAGACACCTATCTTAGCTCTGTATTAAGTTGCCAAGTGACTCACTTCTGAAAGGGTTTTCTTTTCAAATCATGACTTGTGTGTGTGTGGTGGTTGTAATTACAAATTGTTGTCAAGCCCCTACATCATTTGATGGCTTGTTGGTGTCTGAGGCCGAGACACAGCAGAAATACCACAGGTCTAGAGAAAGGCAGGAGAAATCATCGGAGGCCCACGCGGGGCCCAGAGAACATACCAGTCGGAAAGAATTAGATCCTAAACTTTGCGGGCAAGGAGAAACGTTGACACGGTATGTTTGAAGTTCACAAAAGGATAATGGTCCCGAAAAATCCCTTTTTTGCAAACCCCATTGAATTTTTAGGGTTAGCAATGAAATTATAAGTCAATAATGGATAAAAGAGAAAATATGAGAGTTAGCCTTCAGGCAATGAGCTTAGTCAATTCCAAAGAGAGGATTCGGGGCTTTGGAATGCTTTCTTACCCCAGATGTGTGCCAGACAGGTGGTCGGGAAGGCGGCTTGTGTTCCACAGGCTGGCATACAGACATCAGGGGAAAGTGGCCAAGTCGTTCAGATGCTTTGGAGAGTTTGGGGCGTCATGGGGGTAAAGAAGCCACATAGCCAGCTGGGCTGGGTGGCCTCTCCAGCCCCACACAGCTAAAAGTCATAACTAACTGCTACCATTTAATGAGAAGTCCTGAGTGCTAGCCCCTGAACTTTCCATGAATTGGTTCATCTCTGGAAGGACCCCAAGAAGTAATTCCTACTATGCTCCCATTTTACAGAAACGAAGCTGGAAAACTGGGCCTGTCCCAAGTCATACAGCTGATGAGTGGCAGAGCTGAGCTCTGGATTACAGACTGGTTTCCGTGTAGCCAGTCTCCTGTCTGGGGCCCTGGGTGAGGATGAGATTTCTTTGGTTCGTACAGCTTCAGGGACATGGCTTTTCCTGTAGGGAAAGGCCTCTTAGACCAGGCACATGTTTGCTGGGTGGAGTGTAATGGACTCCACGTGTCTCTGAAACTCCAAAGAAAGGCAGCTATAGGATCTGTGGTCACTATTCATTGGAAAGACACCCAGGTACTCTCCCATGAATTCAGATCATGTAGCAAATGAGGACTGTTCTTTGGGATCATCTGTCATGGAGATTTTTATTCTGATATCCACTAGCCCAAGAGATATGGGTCAAAAATCATTGCTGTGAACTCCAGGGCATCATTCATTGTGCCTTGCTGTTCTACTCGAGGTTTGGTTTTCCTAACATATCATTTTTGAGCACCTGTCCAGCACAACCTCATATCATTATCCCTGTTTTATGGATGAGATACAAACCCAGAGATGTTAAAATGACTTTCTGGCCAGGATTGGGGCCAGGTCTGTCTGACTCCACATTCATCACAGGAGGCCTGCTTAACTGTAAATAAGGCGTGGACTGTCTTAGAAATCTCTTCTTGCTAGGATTCTTAGAGTGATTTGGGGCCCAGCTGGGCTCAGCCATAATGGAATTTGGCCTCTCCAAGCCCAGAAACCAGAGGACAATGTTTGTCAAGCTTGCCTGCTTATCTCAGCCCATCCCTAGAAAGAAGAAAGACAAAGGCTTCTCCTCTCCCCTGCAAAGGAGGTGCTTTCAATTAAAACAATGTTTACATTTCTGGGCTTTTAAAACCCTAGAACTCTAGAATCTTCCCAGGGATAGAGCCACAAAACAGTTTGCATAGGTCAGAAGTTGCAAATTGGCAGCTTGAAATACACTCTGCTCACAGCTCAAGTTTAACTTGGTGGATAGAAGATTGACTCCAAGAGTATTTTAGTTTTATTTTAATTGCTTGGCCACATTTGAAAATCGGAACACAGAACATTTCCCATTAAAGATACAGATTCCCAGCTTTTCTTGAAAATCAGACATTTGAGTAGCATTGGGTTCACATTCTTGGCTGGCACCATGGAGAGGGGTAGCCACCGCTGCTGTTATTAGATGAAGTTTGAGGCCAGGCATGGTAGCTCATGCCTGTAATCCCAGCACTTTGGGAGTCCAAGGTGGGAGGATTGCTTGAGGCCAGGAGTTTGAGACTAGCAACATAGCAAGACTCTGTCTCTATCAAAAAAAATTTTTTTTAAATTAAGCGGGTGTGGTGGTACATGTCTGTAGTCTCAGCTACTTGGGAGGCTGAGGCAGAAGCGTCACTTGAACCCAGGAGGTAGAGATTGCAATGAGCAGAGAAGGTGCCATTGCATCCTGCCTTGGCAACAGAGCAAGACTCCATCTCAAAAAAAGTTTAAAAAAAAAAAGAAAGAAAGAAAAAAGAAGCTTGAGTTTCCCAGATCCTGCTCCTCTCTCTTTCTTTGATTCTTTTATTCTTTTTTTTTTTTTTTTTTTTGTAGAGACTGGTTTTTGCTATTTTGCACAAAGCTGGTGTTGAACTCCTGACCTTAAGTGATCCTCTAGCCTTGGCCTCTCAAAGTGCTGAGATGACAGGTGTGAAGCATCATGCCTGGCCCCCATACTATCTAGAACTCTTCCTCTTGACCAATGTGCATTGTCTGCCTGGTTCTGCCTTACTGCACTTCTCTGGTTATTGCTCAGAAATGCTGTGGATATTGACTTATCGGACCAAGTTTGGGATGGGCAAGTGACCAGGCTCAGCATCCGATTAATTCAAGCATCCACACCTGCATGGGCTCCAGGACCAAACAAGGTCTTGGACAGGAAGATGGGAGCCACTCTTTTCAAAGCCTCCAGAATGCCAGTCTCTTTCGGGCCTAGGAGAGACTGAAGAGGCATTCCTCCCTCTTACTGCCATCTACACGGTCTTAGGGAAAGGGGAGGGACTGATTTTCACTGCAAATTCTCATAGATTTTTTTTTAACTGATCTGAAGCACAAATCCAACTCATTACCTTTAGCGGTGTACACTGGTATTTAGGGAAATCAGGTCGCAGGAAATCACATGTGTATACAGGCACGGGTATATTTATATTTTAAATTCATTAGAGTTTCCTAAATGCAAGAGCAATTCTGCTGTCACAGAGAAACAGCATGGCAGAATATTTGGCAGCCGGGATTTTAAATAAAACATGCTTTTTCTTCATAATTAATATAACAAGGTTTCCTGGCTTAGGACTTGGCAACGATCCCAGGAAAAATGGTTGGCGGGGAGGGGGTTGGTGCGCCATGCCTGTGACCCGCAAACAAGTTCCAGGAAAAGTTGATGCTGAGTAAGTTCTCCTTAGTCGGCTCTTCCGGCACTCTGAGAAAACAGAACAAACTCACTGACAACAGTGGCTATTAATAATAGGAGTAGTAAGAGTAATCGTAATAATTAATAGTAGCAGCAACCACGTATGAAGTCTTTACATTTGCCAGATGTGGCATGCTTTATGTTTATTATCTCATTTAAGCTTCTCTCAAACCCTATGAGTTAGGGACCAATGTCATTCTCATTTTACAGACAAGAAACTAAGCATAGAGCAGTTAAATCATCTACTCAAGATGGCACCTCTGGGAGGTTACAGCTCTGGGATTCAAGGTCTGCCCAACGCCTAGTTCTATGCTCACAAGCACTGTGGTTGAGATCATCATGCCTGGCACTGCCCAAAGACAAACAAGACCGTTTTGTGTGGTATCAAAGGTGTCAAAATGGGCAGCAGCCTGAGACTCCAGCTTCCAGCAGGAGACAAAGTCGCTCCCATCTGGACGTTCCCTCAATAGCCCCGAAGCTTTGCTTTCCCTTTGCTTTCCGACACCACAAGGATCGAGTCTTGCCGGCTAGCAAACCAGTTCGTTCAGTGTTTTCAAAACTTCAGTCATGAATGAAGCCATCTTCAGAAATTCTGCCAAAGCCCAAATTAGTTTCTTAATACTTTTGTTAAAGACTCACCTTTTCTCTACCTAAATTGATTTAGTTCTAAAGGAAATTGTCATTACTACAAAGAAAGCGAAGTGATGTCATTGAATTCTAGCTGGCTGCTGTTGACATGCTAAAGGTCTGAGCCTGAAGCGGCTTTATCCTCCTTAGAGGAAAGATCAGCAGGAGGCAGAGGATAGAGACACCAGCACCCGCCAGTCCTTCCCCCTGGTGGGATTGGAAGGCTTGACAGTCAACCTGAGAAAAGAAAGACTTTCTCACGCTGTGTTTTCTGTTTTATTCTAATGCTGTTACTTCACATCCTGGCTAGGCACCATCTCAATCAACTCAGATACCCGCAGTGGCTCACATCTGATGCCACGGAAAGCGCAGGAGTGAGCACAGCTTCAGCAGAGGTGGTGCTGATGCCTAGCGGGGGAGTTACCTTCCTGAAGCCCTGGGCTATTTGCTGGGGCTGACTGACCAAAAAGGGAAACATGGGGGCTTGTGCTTATGAGGCGGCCCCACGCTCAGCTGTGCTTTGGTTTTGTCCACTTGCTTGTCTTAATTTTTTTTTTTTCTTAGACGGAGTCTCGCTCTGTTGCCCAGGCTGGAGTGCAATGGCGCAATCTTGGCTCAATGCAACCTCTGCCTGCCAGGTTAAAGCGATTCTCCTGACTCAGCCTCCTGAGTAGCTGGGATTACAGGCAACTGCCACCACGCCCAGCTAATTTTTGTATTCTTAGCAGAGACAGGGTTTCACCATCCTGGCCAGGCTGGTGTCAAACTCCTGACCTTAAGTGATCCACCCGCCCTGGCCTCCCAAAGTGCTGGGATTACCGGCGTGAGCCACCGTGCCCAGCCTTCGCTTGCCTTTTAAAAGGGCTTCCAAGAGCATTATCATATGCAGAATTTTTACCCAGTCTCCTTGTCTTGGATGGCCTCACTCCCTAACCTTCAAAGCTCCCCTCCACCACCATCTGTTTGCACCAAGTCCCTGGGATGAGCCATTTGTACAGATATTTCTCACCAAGTCTCACCTGCGGAGTAATCATTGCAAATGCCATATTCTTCCTGAGCAGCCAAAGTTCCTTGAATAAAACATTGGAATTGGGAAAGGGAATTCTTACTTTTATAATTGGGGAAACTGAGGCACAGAGAGACTCAACAAATTGCACAGGAGCAAAGATAGGCCCTGAGTCTCCTCAGCCAGAAGCTTCACACCCAAGAGAGCTTGGTATAACCAAAGCGTGGCCAAGGGCAGAGTCGCCTGGGCACTGGAGGAAGATGTGTGTTGTGTTCCCAGCCCACCTCAGACCCATGGACGCCAAACCTCTGCGGGTGGGCCCCAGGGATCTGTATTTTTATCAAGTTCCCCAGACAATTCTTATGCACATTGAGGTTTAAGAACCAATGTCTTTAAAATGGAAATTCTCCGGATGTAACAAATGGGACTCTTCTCTTTCTGCCCATTGCCCCTGTCCCATCTCTGCCTGCCACTGTCACACGAAGCTGCAGCTCAGCCCTTAGCTGGGTAGGGTCTGAGTGGCCAGCTCTGGGCTTTAGAGCAGGGAAGCTGCACAGAATCCCTCTGAGCCAGGCATAGGTGATCGGCGTCAGAGCCAGGAGACTTGAGCCTGAGTCCCTCCCCTGCCCCAATGTGTCCATGTCCTTACACAAGCCACTTCACCATGCTGGGCCTCATCTTCCTCCTCTGCAGATGAAGGGTCTGAGCCAGTTCCTCTCTACAGTGGCTCCTGGCTCATCACTGTGGTCTGGTGAACAGCTTCACCCAGGTGTCCAGGAAGGAAACCACCCACAGGCACTGCTGGCCAGCACCTTCACCTTTGGCTTCCACATTCTCCCTTGAGAGTTTTGCCCCCTTCCCCTGAGCTTCAGGTGAAAGCAAAGCTGCAGTGAACCTGCCAGTCTTGAGACGGCATTGAGCAATGTGTGCAAAAGCCAGAAGGGCAAGATTCCTGTGCCTACGAAGGGATGGAGTTGCACCACTTCACACCTATTAGGATGGCTCACTTCATACCTATTAGGATGGCTATCATTTTCGAGAATGGGGAATAACAAGTGTGGGTGAGAATGTGGAGTAATTGGAACCCTCAGGCCTCGCTGGTAGGTATGTAAAATGGTGCAGCCACTGTGGAAAACAGTATGGCGGTCCCTGACAAAGTTAATCGTAGAACTACCCTAGGACCCAGCAATTCCACATCTAAGTACATATCTGAAAGAACTGAAAGCAGAGACTTGAACAGAAATCTGTACACCAATGTTCATAGCAGTATTATTCACAATAGCCAAAAGGTGTAAATGACCCATGTCCATCAAGAGATGAATGCATAAACAACATGTGATTAGATAGAGACAATGGAATACTATTTAGCTGTAAAAAGGAAGGAAAGTTTGATACATGCTACCTAGAAGACCTTGGAAACACGATGCACAGTGAAATAAAGGCAGTCCCAGAAGGACAAATATTGTAGGATTCCGCTTCCATGAGATACTTAGAATTGCCAAATGCACAGAGACAGAAAGTAGGCTAGAGATTAGCAGGGCTGAGGGAGAATAAGAAGGAGGCGTTTCTGTTCAACGAGTACAGTCCATGCTGGGGATGACGAAAAAGTTTGGGGATTAGAGAGTGGTGATGGGTACACAGCATTGTGAATGTAATTAGTATCACTGAAAGGTACACTTACAAATGGTCAAAACGATAAATGTGATGTTCTGTATATGTTACCACAATTTTCAAATAAAAGGACTGAGTGGCTTGGCACAACTGCTCATCTTAGTGTCTTCTAGGATAAAGTTGGTTAGACAGAAAGTCAAGGAGGGGCAGAGAGAGAAGGAGCCCGTGTCTCTGAATCCTACTGATTTACAGTGTAATCTTCTTGGGGGTGGGGAGTGTATACGTCTAGTCTATTTTGTCCTATCTTTAATCCAGTGATGATTTCAACTCAGGCTGAAATGACATCGCTTATCTTTGTAGCAGGAGCCAGAGAAGAACAACATGAGGGAGGATTTGGCCTGGGCACTGGCAGCCACTGCCCTCTGCCACCTCCACTACTCGCTCTGGCCTTGAGCTCTTTGCCCAGCAAGGGGACTGGCCCTGCTGAACTGTGCACACTTGTCCCTGTCCACCTTCCAGTCCAGAGGTTGCAGCCTCAACCATGGCCATGGTACAGAGGTCTCTCCTCCCCAGCTGCCCTTGGGAGTAACGCACCTCCCTGGTGGTTGGCAACATGTGGCCTACCACCAGGCATAGGGTAGAACATGCAAGGAAGAAGAGATGGTGTGATTAGAGTCCCAACCTTTTATCCAGCAAGCAGAAGATTTCTCTGCTCTTAGTTCATTCGGAGCTGAGCCTCTGTCCCCAAAAGACAAATCTGGCCCTATCTCCCCCATCACTGCCTCCTAATCCCTCTGAGAACATTTTCTACCAACGAATTTCTGGAACACATCAACTCAGACTGTTAGGCTTTTTGTTTTGTCTTCCAGAAGTTTTGGAATTCTGGAAGGCAGAGGAAGAATCTTAGTTGAAATAATCACTGGATTAAATATAGGACAAAATAGACTTGATGTATGTGCACCCCACCCACAAGGAGATTACACTGTAAATCAGTAAGACTCAGAGACTCGGGATCCTTTTCTCCCTGCCTTCCTCACTAACCAACCTTAACCTGGGAGGACACCAGACTTTGAGACTCTGGTGGCTTAGGGAGTTTAACATTGCTAAGGGCCTGCTCCTAACCTTGAAGTCAGTGTCCTGAGCCAGGGATCCATTGAGAAAGCCCAAGTGCGGAGTAGAATAAACAGTCGTTGGATCTAGAATGGTCTTGCTAAATATACTACAAAGCAGCTACCTTACCATGTGCAGAAGCAGCAGCGTCCACCCTTTAAGAGAAGACGGGTCAGCTGGGACCATGTGCTATTTTAGCCCTGTTGAAACTAGGAATGGATGTGGTGGGAGAAGTGGGCAGTGGCTTACGTGCCTTTTGATCTGAGTGAAGATGTTTGTTAAGATGTGTTTACCGCAGTAGGCTGGCCAAGGCTCAATCTGACTTTTGTACTTTCTCCAGCTGTCACTGGGGCCAAGTAGGCCCTCTCTGTGGCCTGCCAGGCCTAGGCCAGATTGGATAAGCTTTTTTTTTTTTTTTTTTTTTAAGACAGAGTCTCATTCTTTCACCCAAGCTGGAGTGCAGTGGCACGATCTCTGCTCACTGCAGCCTCCACTTCTCAGGTTCAAGCGATTCTTGTGCCTCAGCCACCCGAGTAGCTGGGACTACAGGCTCCTGCCCTCACGCCTGGCTAATTTTTGTATTTTTAGTAGAGATGGGGTTTTGCCATGTTGGCCAAGCTGGTCTCCAACTCCTGGCCTCAAGTGATCTGCCCACCTCGGCCTCCCAAAGTGTTGGGATTACAGGCGTAAGCCACTGCGCCCGGCCCACAGATAAGCCTTTTTATAAAGCATTCCAAGAACAGTGCCCCTGATTTTGAACCTAGCTCAACACCTGCCTCTCAAGGTTAATGAGCTTTTCTGTTTCTTTCTCCTCCATCCTTGCTTTATTACTGTGTACACGTGGCAGCTTCCTGGTCCCTCACAATGGTGACTAAGAGCAAGGACTCTGATGTGAGACTGACAGTCTCCTGTTCTGGCTCCAGCATTTCCTAGTTAAGTTATTTTAGACAACTTAATATCTGAAAACCTCAGTTTTGTCACCTCTAAATTGGATATAATCATAATACCTAAATTATGAAGTATTGTGTGCAACAAACAAGACAAAATGTCCGTAAAATATTTAACACAGTTGATGGCACATTGTCAGCTCTAAAGGAATGTGAACTGAGATAACAGTTTTCTCCCTAGTTATCTCTTCCTCCTACTCTTCCATCGATCTTTCTCTTTGAATGTGCAAGTCTCAGGAGTAAGGGTTCTTCTATCATTTTCTTGTCTCTGGGAGAAGAGATAATGGAATGATGGAATGAAAGGAGGCAAATACTGTGTCCACCCTTCCCACCTACCATCATCCAGGTTAGTTTCAGGGATCCGGATATAGGCATAAGTAATTGACTATCAGCCTGGACTTTCCCATACGGTCCCTAAATATCCAGCCAGGTGTTCGGACTACCAGTTTCCACATTGCACCACGGCCCCTCTCTGTGGGTGGACACTGTGAGTCACAAAATGAGTGACTTGCTTCAGATTCCGGCGACCCCCTGACAGGCAGCCCAAGCTGCACATCGGCTTCAGGCTCCCCGAGAGCCCAGCCCAGGAAGTCTCGGCTTTCTTTTTGTTTGGTTTCCCTCCGAGCGCCAGCTCCTAGGAAGGGCACGTCTGCCACCTGCTGGCTGTAGGCAGCATGGCACCCGGCTGTCCCTCAGGCTCCAGCTGGAGCCAGGATGCGCAATGCTGGCCCAGGTGCAGGTCCTGGAGGGCCCTTCCTTGCTGGACCCCGAGGAAGGATGTCCCTCAAAGTCTTCTGCCCACTTCTTAGGACATGGCCCACCCTGTTCGGCTCAAAGAGAAGAATTCGTAGGGAATCTCCAAAGGACTGGGTGGAGACAGGTCTAGACAGACAGGCCCTGCCCTGAGAAAGGCAAGGCAGGGAGCAAAGACCAGGACCAAGGCCCAGATGACTGGGGGTGATGAGGGCGAGATTGAAGAAGGGGTAACCTTTGTCCTTGAAGTCTTAGTGTATTAGTCCATTCTCATGCTGCTAATAAAGACATACCCAAGACTGGGTAATTTATAAAGAAAAAGAGGTTTAATAGACTCACAGTTCCACATGGCTGGGGAGGCCTCACAATCATGGCAGAAGGTGAAAGACACGTCTTACATGGTGGCAGGCAAAACAGTGTATGCAGGGGAACTGCGCATTATAAAACCATCAGATCTCCTGAGACTTAATCACTATCATGAGAACAGCACAGGAAAAACACACCCCCATGATTCAATTACCTCCCACATGGTCCCTCCTATGACACATGGGAATTATGGGAGCTACAATTCAAGATGAGATTTGGGTAGGGACACAGCCAAACCATATTAGGGTCCCCTCATGGCACCTCTCTGGCACTCAACCCCAGAGGTACCCATTTCTGGCAATCCTTCACCCTAAGCCCAGGAGCACCCCTAAGGCCTAAGCTGCCCTTCCTCTGCCAGGCCTCCCCACTGCCAACCCCCACCCTCAGCCCCAAACAGAACACCTGTCCCATCTCACTGCCTGCAGAAACAGGGTGTGGGGGAGGTGGTTAGCCAGGAAGTCATTAGACAGAGGCACAGTCCCCGATAACAAATGACCTCTCTTCCTTTTTTTGCATTCCTTTCCCCTCACCAACATGTTATTTTGTAATTTTTTAAACCTACAGAAAAGTGGGAAGAATAATGCAATGAATATTCTTCATCCAGATAGATGCCACAATTGTTAACATGTCGTTATGGTTGCTGTGTCTCTCATTCTCCTGTGTGTATAGTTGTTTTGTTTGTTTGTTTGCTGAATCATTTGCAAGTAAATTGTAGACATCACTCTACCTCACCACGCATCTCTCTCTTTTGTTTTTTTCTTAGATGGAGTCTCGCTCTGTAGCCCAGGCTGGAGTGCAGTGGCACAATCTTGGCTCGCTGCAAGCTCTGCCTCCTGGGCTCACCCCATTCTCCTGCCTCAGCCTCCCGAGTAGCTAGGACTACAGGCCCCCGCTGCCACATCCAGCTAATTTTTTGTACTTTTAGTGGAGACGGGGTTTCACTGTTAGCCAGGATGGTCTTGATCTCCTGACCTTGTGATCCACCCACCTCGGCCTCCCAAAGTGCTGGGATTACAGGCGTGAGCCACCACGCCCAGCCAGCGTCTCTTAAGAATAAGTACATTTTCCTACAGAACTACAATACCATTGTTTACTCTCAAGAAAGTCAACATTGACACAATAATATTGTCTAATATGTCTATATTCAAATTTCCCACTTGTTTCAGTATCTTAGTCCATTTTGTGTTGCTACAAAGGAATACCTGAGGCTGGGTGATGTATTTTTTTTAAAAAAGAGGTTTATTTGGCTTGGATTTCTGAGGACTGGAAAGTCCAGGATTGGGCAGCTGCTTTTGGCAAGGGCCTCAAGCTGCCTCCACTCATGGCAAAAGGGAAAGGGGAGCCAATGTACAGAGATCACATGGCAAGAGGGGAAGCAAGAGGGAGGGATGGAAGTGCCAGGCTCTTTTTAACAACCAGCTCTCCTAGGAACTAATAGAGTGAAACCTTGCTTACCCTGAGGGTGAGTACTAATCCATTTGTAATGGATCCACCCCTATGCCCCAACATTGAGGCCCCACCTCCAACATTGGGGATCAAATTTCAGCACGAGGTTTGGAGAGGACAAATATCCAAGTCAGCCCAAACCACAGCACTCAATGTCCTTTTTGCCATTGTTTTTAAATCCAGGATCCAATTAAGAGTCACACACTGCATTTCGTTGCCATGTCCTTTACTAAAAATACAGTCCTCCCATCTTTTTTTGTCTTTTATGGTGTTGATGTTTTTCTGGAGGCTAGGCTAGGTGTTTTGTAGAATGCCCTGCAATTTGAATCTCACAATTTGGATCTGTCATGTTCCTCATGAGTAAATTCAGGGTAACTATTTTTGCCAAGAGTACTATCTGTTGATATTTTACATCCTCAGTACATCATATCAGGATGCATTATTTCTTTTTATTTTTCTTTCCTAATTTATCATCTACCTAATTCCCAAAATCATGTAAGGAAGCCTACAGTAAAACAGAAAATTAGAAATTCTGCAGAGGGTAGAAGCAGCAAATATACCAAACTGCCTAGCTTGATGTATCTCATTGATCTCAGCTTTCTGGCGGCCAAGACCCAAAGGGAAAGCTGTCTAGTGGTAGAACTCGCATTTCTTTAAATCAGGGTTCAGCAAACTTTGTAAAATGTCAGATAGTAAATGTTTGGGGTTATACTTTCTCTCTACAAAAGCAGCCATAAACAAACAGGCATGGTTGTTTTCCAATAAAACTTTATTTACAAAAACAAAACTGCTAGGCTTGGCCCAAGGGCCCTTATTTGCTGACCCCTGATTAAAGTGGAAGAGAGCATACTCCAGTTATTAAATGAGTAATACTTTCTTTTTCAGGTTGAGTACTGCATATTAAAGGAAATATTTATGTCATTATTTATTTATTCAGCAAATCTTTTTGAGGAATGCCATGTGCCAAGCTCTATGCTAGGTATTGGGTAATACATCAATGACAAAACAGACAAAATCCCTGCCTTTCTGGAGGACAGAGTCTGATGTGAGAGACAGGTGACATGCAAATAAACAAATGTAAATCTATGCACTGCAGTAAGGATTATGGAGGGAATAAGCGGGTGCAGTGACAAAACAGTGGGGATAGGGAAATGTCATATTGATGGGATATTTCAGGGAAGATGACACTTAAACTGAGACCTAGCGAAGGTCATAGAGGGGGGCTTCCAGGCAGAGGCAACAATAATTGCCAAGGCCCTGAGGTGGGAGGAATTTATCTTGCGCCATTTTGAAGCCAGGTGTGGCTGAAGCTTAGTAAAGGGGCAATGGGAGGGAGGAGTATGGGAGGAGATTTGTAGGTCATGGCAGGTGTTTGCATTTTATTCTAAGAACAACGAGAAGCCACTGAAGGGTTTTAAGCATCTGTCCATCCCCAATCCCCAGGAACTGTCACCTGAAGAAATCACCTAGATTTCAGCATGAATTCCGAATCCTATCACAGCTATGTGACCTCCGAGTCCAAATTTTCTCATCTGTAAACAAGGCTGATGCAAGCCTCTTCATAGGGCTGTTATAAGTATGAAATGCAGCAATGTGTGATCAGGCAGGGAGTAGATGAAACTCACTGCACCTGACGAGCACACCAGTACCTGGGCAGCCGTGTTCCAAAGCAAGGACAGGTGCAGACAACTGACACGAACCCCTGCTGTGGAGAAGGACAATGCTTCAGTACTCAGCGCGCACAGGTGGTGGTGGTGGAGGGGGTGTATCTTCAAATAGACCCCATTGCCCCTCCCTTCAACCTCTAGCCCAGCCACAACCATCAGAAAGCACGCAGTGCACCTGCACCCCATACGATCTCCTCTGGCTGACAGCTAAGGAGCACGCCCGGCAGAGCTCCATCTCAACGCTGATCTGCTGTGTTGTTTTGTTTTTCAGTTCTCCCTGATGTCTTTATTGGAAAGCCTGGACCCAGGTAAGTGTGCTGATCTCCCTGGGGCTTCCCACCAATCCCAGGCTGGTTCTGGGCTGGTGAAAAGGAGGCCTAAGTATGGAAGTGTTGGAGGGACCTCAGGGTTCAACTGGTTCCAGGTTGTCACAGGCACCTTTGAGAACTTGCCCTCAAAATTTGTGCACCCACAATGCTTTACACAATTTTGAGTTTCCTGTGGACACTGATGAGCCCAGGCTCAGGATCCCAAGGGAAATACTGCCTACGTACTTAAAACCCTTGATTTTATAAAGAACTGAGGCCTAGAGGGGAAGCAATTTACTCCTGGCCACACAGCGAATTGGAGGCTGAGATGAGGTGAAAGGCTGAGGCAAAGTGAGGGCGAGATGAAAAATGCATGGCTCCAGGCAGGCCGCTCCACCTCTTTTTGTGCGAGGGCGGCCTCCGGGCTGACCTGCCCTGGTGATACCCTCACACCAGCACCTCTGCTGTTGTCTTCTCTGCCCAAATGGTTTGCTTCCTCAGGCTCGACGCGTCTACCACCAGGTGGGTCCTGTATCTTCACAAGGGCTCTCTGTCTCACAGACTCGCTCTCTTATTGTCTCCCTTTCCTGTGTCCTCGGCCTTGTGCCCACAGCGTGCGCAAGCTAAGCAGGGCCACCCCTTCCACATCATGCACTCCTAGTCCTTTGGCTCTGGGTTCGAGTCTCCCTTTGCAGCTCTGAGCCGCAGTGGAGAAAATTCTGCTCGCCACTCCATCTGGCCAGAGGCCAACAACCCCACTGGTAGAGATCTATGCTGGTCACCCACAGAGCGCCATAGCCAGGCAGACAACACATGGAGACTGTGGCCACATCTGAACCTTGAATCAAGGATTTATTTGGCACAAAGATGGCAGTAACTGGGCCAAAGTCAGTTTGACAGTCAATATTGTCCAGCAGCAAACCCTGGATGGGCAGAAAGATGAGGCCAGGTCTTCATTCTGTCCCAGGTGCTCAGAGGATATTTGTGGAGTTGAAGAGAAATATATATTGGCATGGTGTGTGGGGTTTTGAGAAAATCCGTGTCTTTCCCCAACACGAAGGATATTCAACGACACATAGTTCAGTTCCTCTGAAGGCGCGTATTTCAGAGAGTTATCCCCTAGCTGATGAACACACCACCACCCACACGTGGAGTCCAGGGAGGAGCCAAGACCAAGGGGCTGGAAGGGTGGCCTCTTCCCCAGCCTTAAGCCCAAATTGCTCAGGCACCGCTGAAGGGGATCCCTGGGTCTGATTTTCAGAGATACAGGGCTGTGGGAGCTATGGGGTGACACAGTGGAAGAAAAAGAAGTGCGGAAGACTCAAGGGCCCTTGACTTTACTGCCAGCTGCCAGAAAGTTGTAAGAGACATCTACAGTGAGTTCATGACACCCTGGAATTGTGCAGTGAACAACTTGAGCAACTGTAAGCAGTGGCCCTACTGAACAGAGACCATGGAAAGGGAGTGGAGTTAGCCAATGTGCCCATAGATTTATAGCTTTAATCAAACAGACTGGGAGCTACAGGGTCAGATTTGATCTGCAAACAGGAAGAACTTTCTCACTATCAGAGTTGTTCAAAAATCTGAATGGGCCACTGGGCTCTCAGGAGGTAATGAGTTTCCCATCACTGGAGGCTTTTTAAGCACAGGCTGAAAAACCTCTTATAGGGAGTGAAGAGTATTTAATTTAACCCTCAAGAAACTACCTTCAGACAGTTTGGTATATAAATGAAGGGACCCTGAAGCAGACTTCTCCTGGGATCCAGAGTCCATCTCGAGGTGTCATAGCCTCCAGGGAGTGGGCTGAGTTGTAGAGATTGGGCCTTTTTGCAAAGAGTAGATTCAGTTTAAAAACATCCCTGTTCAGTGTCCGACTTAACCTCTCACAGGGGTTGTGCTTTGATGGTATTTGTCAGCTCCCTGCTGGCTCTAGACAACAGCATGGCGAAAGAGACCCCGTGCTCGTGCCCGTGGGCAAGTTGCTTCTTTGGTTGATCTTGCTGGAGACAGCGCACGGTGAGGGCCTTGCTGGAGCAGAAGGTGCGCATTCCACAGTCCCCAGTGGGTGGTGGAGGAGGTAGCCAGCAAACAGCACAGACTCTGCCAATCTCCCCAAAGCAGGTGCCACGACAGCCAGCAGGCCTGTGGAAATGCCTCTTCAAAGCTGGCTTGGCTCTGCCCAGCAATGCAGGCTGAGCCCATCCATCAGCTGTCCTACTGCCTGCCAGCGAGAGTGTCTGCTGGGCTTGCCCCGCCAGCCAGATTGGAAGTGTCAAATGCAGGCCGACAGGGCTGGGGTTTGGAGGAGGCCCTCAGAGGAGCCGTCTGTGCCACAGTGATGGATGACACCAACAGGGACGACATTC
The DNA here is from genome assembly GCF_000001405.40 of Homo sapiens. NCBI lineage: Eukaryota > Metazoa > Chordata > Mammalia > Primates > Hominidae > Homo > Homo sapiens. The sequence continues at coordinate 113,569,892 of NC_000010.11, forward strand.
CGGGGATTTTGATTCTGTTCCACACATCTGGCAAGCTCCTTAACCAGAGCAGCTGCAAAGCTCCCATCGCAGGAACTCTGAGCATTTTCTGAGAGACCCCAAACATGGACTGAGTTAATCCTGGTCAAGGGACCTGGAGCATGTGCTTAAGAAGGTTTCCCAATGCATGCTACTTCCTGAAAGCTAAAACCCAAGGACTTTCATGAAACCCAAACCTATAAGAGATTCCAGGATCGTAAAAAGGCAAATAAAACTTGGAGTTAGGTAGACCTGGGTTATGATGTCATCTCATTTGGCCTTCATTTTTCCTTATCTGCAAAATAGGAATAATAATACCTATGCTATAGGGTTGCTTTAAGGTGAAGTAAGATTGTGGGCAACCACATTTATTTAGTTTAGTGTCTGATACATAGAAAATACTCAACACATTATAACCTATTATTAGGATAATTTGGCTTAACTCAGGATACTCTCATGATTCTTCCTGATAATTTCTAGAAACAGACTGAAAACTAGACAAACTCACAAGAATTTCTTTTTATTCCTGATAGAAAATTCTTGAACAGCTGCCCCTTTCTTTCCCAAAGCTCCTCCCTTTTCTATAGCCTAGAGAAAGTCACAAATAATCTATGTTTAAACCTGAACTGTTTTTCTACAATCTACCAGTGGAACCAAAATTTATGGCAGGCTACTGTGCCTCTCTACCCAGGAAAATATGTGGACGAGTTTCTAGATCGCTACAGAGCTCATCAGGTATTTTCTTTGCCAAGTACATTTGACCCATTTCTTACACAGTTTCTTACTGAAATTCCCTATTTGCTCTGCTTTAAGCAGACACCATTTTTTTAGCCAGCAAAGCTGCATGCAGGCCAATCAGAAAGCAGAAAGGCTTAGCCACTAAGGGAAAAATAAATCCGTCAATCACATACATTAACTACAGGTAGGGCTTTGTGCTGGGCACTCTGGGGTTAAAAGAGGAATGGAAATGGCCCTTCCTTTTAAGAAACTAACTATCAAGTTGGAGGAAACAAATAAGATAGACCAAATACCCAAGAGAGGTGCCATCTGAGGTCTAGCTATGACACTTAAAACTCTCCAGCCAACTGGGCCACAGAGGAATGCTCTTGAAACTAAAATTCTTATCCCATTAGCAATCTAATATCAATCAAGCCCTGTGTGTCGGTTTGTTATTATTGCATAATACGCTACCCCAAACTTAGTAGCTTAAACCACTGACCATGTATTTAGGTCACAATTCTTTGGGTTGACAATTTTGGCTGGGTTCAGCTGGGCAGTTCTTCTGGGCTGCATCGGGCTCAGTTGATCTTGACTGGGCTTGCTCATGTGTCTGCAGAAGCTGGCAGATTGGCTGGCCTCTTATCTTGCTGAATATTGGCTGGGCTTTCTTATATGTCTGAGGCCTCAGCTAGGACCACTAGGCCAGCCGTTGTCCACATGTTCTCATTTGCTCTTGCAGAATAGGCCAAACTGTTCACATGGCAGTCATGTGGGTCCAGGAGTGGGAGAGATACAGAGTCGAGAGAGAACAAGACTTCTTAAGGCCCAGGCTCTGAGCTGGCACACCGTCCTTCCATCACACATGCTATTGGCCAAAGCATGTCCTAAGGCCAACCCAGAACCAAGGGGCAGGGAAACTGACTCCATCTCTTGGTGGGAGAAACTGAAAAGTCACATTGCAAAGGGTGTGGGTGCAGGGAGGGGTGGAGAATCAAGGGCTATTTTTGTCATCAGATTGGCTCATACTGAAGCAGAGTTTCACTGTGGAACTTGAGGGCGCCAGGCCTAGACTTGGTCACTTCTAGCTCCCTCACCTCTTCACTACTCTTTAATCTCCTTCCTTAGCTGGCTTTCATCCCCCACCCAACCTTGGCTGGAGGCTTCCTTGAGGACAAGGCCACATCCTACTCTTATTTGTATAACTCTGCACCATTCCCAATGCCATCCTGAACCTGGCATAACACTTGGTCCATTGTAGGTTCACAAGACAAGTTACATATGCAGACAATAGGATTAAGTGCCAACATAATGGGAAAGACAAAATAAGGTTTAATCCTAGAAGTGGAGAAACCCTCCCAGATGATACTCCTGTAAAGCACCTTCAAATCACATGGCAGCCCATCCCAAATGGAAAGGATCTTTGTGACTTTCCTTGCACAGCCACCAGCTGGATGGCTTCTTCCACCCTGGCTACCTGGGGCCACTGAGCTCTGCTCGTTCTATCCATCTTGACTGAGGCCCATGGGCCCTAGAGAATAGGAAGCCTTTCTTAGCAGCAATATGATTCAAAGCCTATGTATTTTATTTCTTCTTTGGCTTCACTGAGAGGTAAGCAGACCTTGTTAATAGGTCTGGATTCAAGTCAAAATCCTCTAACAGACATTTCATTCATCCCTCGTCACCTGGAAAAGTCACACCATACCATCTACATCAGAATCTTCCCCATTTCTAAATATCTGCAAAAGAAGTAATTCTTAATGGCCTTGCCAAGATTAGCTGGTCTGACTGCCAACCTGTGGGAGAGATGGGAGAAATTACAGAAGCAACCTGAAGGGCATTTATCTATAAACATCTGTTGGAAAAACAAAAATAAATTCTTCAAAGAACAAGAAATAACTAAGCAATGCAATCAGCTCCTTATCAAACCCCATTGTCTCTCCTAAATGTCAGTTTGAAATCTTTCATGTCAAACTCAGAAAAACATTTTTTTCCTCATTTTCTCCCTCTCTTTCTCTGCTTTATCACGCTAGATGGAGGAAAACTTTATTTGCTCCAGGAAGACAATGGCCTTATCTTCAACCTGGATCCTCAGCCCTAAAAAGGTGGCCTCCCCTGGGAGCATTTTCATAGTGGGGAAAAGCACTTCGGGAGAAATAATGAGCAAGCCAAGGGAGTCTTGACTTGACACTGTGATAAATGAGGTGAAACTTTGGCAAGAAACCAGAGTTGGCGTATTCAAAAAAGAAATAAAAAGCTAGTTCCATTTTAATGGGAAATATAAAACAGCCATTGTGCAAAAGTCGATTTTTCAAAAGCCAGAGAGATAAAGACTCTAACAGAATGACTGAGAGACGAGTAAGATAATGTGGTTGATAATCAGGCTTAGGTAAAGTGCCATCCTCCAAGCCATCAGCTGGCTCCGTAGGAGTGCCTTTTCAAGTCAGCTATCTGCATTTGCTCGCGCCTCATTATCATATGCATCTCTGGACAGCTTCCTTGCAGCTTCAACTTGCCGACTTGCCATACTCCAGCCGGCTGGAGAGAGCAAAGTCAACCTGACTTTCTTCAAATCCCAAACTTCCACAGACCTACCAGCCACAGAGCTACCAGGATCTCCCCGCCAAGGCCCCAGAGAGCAAAGAGCTTGAGTCCAGCCAACCTTACACATACCTGTTTTTTTTCCCAATGACCAGTCTAGTGTGAGGTTTACAACTGTAGGCAAGATCCATGAACTTTTATAAGGTTATCCTTGGGAAATTCCTAATGAGCAGGCTGGATAGTCAATGGGGATGGTGGGACACATTTTCCCAAGGGTAAGTGTGGGAGTACCCAAGGCAATGTAAGACCCCAGTTGAAACAGTTGAGTGCTACAGTTGAGCTAGTGAGATTTAGGGGTTGTACGGAGACAAACTGCCATAGTTCATATCCTGCCCTTTAGTAACTATGTGTCCTTGGCCAAGTTACTCAATCTCTGTCAGCCTCAGGTTTCTCAACTTAGAGTGAACAATACACCTCCTAGATTTTTATGAAGATGAAGTTAGATGGTGCATGTAAAGTGCTTAGCACAGGGCATGGTACATAATAAAGGCTCAAAAAATGTTATCTGTTAAAATGACTCTGTAGATAATGCTTGACCATGACCAAAAGAAAAATGATGAGTTTTCTTTGATTTCATTCAGCTTGGTGACTAATGAAGTCCCATCAAGAAATATTATCCACAGGATGAGGCAACCAGGCACTCAAGTATAGTGTGATCTGACCCCGGGCAGACCCCATGTAGGACCCTGTAGACGTGCTAGGTCCCAATCCTCTTCCTGCTGTTCAAAGATGAGAAAATCAAGACTTGATAATACAGTTGGCTTTCCTAAGTTCAAGGGAGTAGAAAGCTGGACTTCGCTTCATCTCTTCACTTCCAATCAGGTGCTCATGACCCTGCTAAATGTCAACACTACCTTGCCGGGTCATAGCGTCCCCCAAGTGAAAAGATGCAAAGCCTGAGCCCTCCTTTCCACTCCCCTCACTGTGCAGAGCTGGAGAGACACATGATTCCTCCTGCAGGACTTTGAATTCTTTGGGGAAAAGGTGTCCAACTAAATAAAATGCTGGCCTATTTGAGTGTAATGATTAGGATTTCTTCTGTCCTGTTACCATCCCTGCAGACTGGACCCCTGACCAGTATGATTACAGCTACGAGGATTATAATCAGGAAGAGAACACCAGTAGCACACTTACCCACGCTGAGAATCCTGACTGGTACTACACTGAGGACCAAGCTGGTAGGTACCAAATCTCTTTCAGGGACTCTCCTGGGAGAAGGTCAGAGCGGAGTGTATGTGGGACCACATGCAAGGGCCTCTCTCTCCGCCTCTCTGGCCAGTATTGTGAAATAGCTATGGAAGAAATTATTTGGACTGGCTTTTTTTTCTGTTAGATTCATATGCTATGAGGACTGGGGAAGTTCTTAGAGACCATCTCCCCTACCCTCAAATGACAGATGAGGTAAGTGAGGCTAAGAGAGGAGCTGACTTGGCCAAGGTCATGCAGCAAGTTAATGCAGCATTGTCCAGGTTTCCTGATGCTGTGAATAGCAGCTGTATTCAAAATCACTCCCATAGCTTAGATTACAGGTCAGACCCTAAGGATGCAGGAAGTCCATGTCAGCCTTGAGTACCAGACTGTAGCATGTACACATTCAGCTTTGGGACTTTCCTTCCCTCATGCCTTTGCCAGAACTTTTCCTTCCCTTCCACTTTTTCTTTCTCCCTTCACTCTTTAGAAGCTTTCCACAATTGTTAGATTGTGTGTGTGTATGTGTGCATATGTGTGTGTGTGTATTCATACACATGTGCTCCTACCACACTTGTTTTTGTTTTTGTGGCTTCTTAACCCAAGCAGTGGGACAGAAAAGAAGAAGCTGGGTCCAAGCAATGCCATGTGACTAAACCAGGAGAAGGAATGGAAAGCACTTAGCAGCTGGAATAAAAGCTGTGTAACTGTGCAAAGTGGCCTGGAAGGCAGGGCCAAGATACAGGGCATGGGGGAACATCAGAAGGGACCATCAAAACAAGAGCAGGGCCCAGGGATCCTAGTTCCTGAACCAAAGAACAATGTGTGTGAACAGAAGGATAAAGAATTCCCCAAGGGAAGATCCATTCAGACAACCATGAAAAGCCACAGGCACAGATGAAATATGACAAAATCTAACTGAACAAGTAGTTGAAGAAAGATGAAGGCCACTGGGTCATTTCCTCCTTGCCGCCAATTCTTCTGTCACCCTCTTGCCTTTGGTCTTCTCTCCTGATGTTCAGAAAGCTTGCGTTTCATTAGGGGTGGGTTTTCTTTCCCCACTCCTGACCTCCACCCCTGGGCACTGGAAGTAGGGGAGGTCTTCAGGCTTGTGAAATACCTTCAGCATCAGAGACAGACCCTGTGGCACTCCCAGCAAGACTGGGAGGAGAAAAACACTGATGAGGGAAAAGGGGAGTTTCTCAATGAGAAAGGCCCCGTCCAAAGCCAGGCCGAGGGGAGACAGTCGTGGTTCCTTCTCGCCTCTCCTCTCACTAACCTGAATCCCTCTCTCTGGTCAGGTGACTGCAGTTTTCCTTGCTGTTTAGGGACAACATATGTTTTCCTCCTTTCCCCAGTTTCTGGCTCAGTAGTTACTCTCTCATTTGGGGCAGGAGACTGAAATTTGATGAAAAATTTGGAGGGGGGCGCTTCTCACCTGCCTTTCCTTACCAACATTGCCTTCTTCCTGTGTGTCTTAGATCCATGCCAGCCCAACCCCTGTGAACACGGTGGGGACTGCCTCGTCCATGGGAGCACCTTCACATGCAGCTGCCTGGCTCCTTTCTCTGGGAATAAGTGTCAGAAAGGTGAGTCCGTCATCACTAGTCCACTCTTCCCTCTGAGTTAAACAAGAGGCAGTCCTTTCTGTGTGAGAAAGCACTGCGCAATGCCATGGAAAGGATTATAACTGCAATACTGTATCATGCATAGTGTATTCCTCTGCAGGGTCCCAGGCAGCCTCTCACTGGATCCTCACCCCTGCACTGTGAGATGGAACTAGTACATCCATTCTCCAGATGGGAAGATTGAGGCTGAGAGGGGATAAGGGCTGGACTCTAACCAAGATATATCCCAAACTCAGGACTTTGTGCTTAGAGTTTAGTCTAACTGCAACAGAGCCATGTTGTCCTCAAATGGGAGAGCAGGGAGGATCTCAGGGCACATGAGACCCAACCCAGTTAGAGAAAGGGAACCCAGAGAGTGGGGGCATTTGATCAAGGTCACACAGCTAGCTAGATGTAGAGCAGAAATTAGAGCCCTCGTGCCTGACTTCTGGCCCATGCTCATTCATTCTACCATACTCACTGTGTCTGCTGCCAGTGAACTCTTGTGGGCATAACATGAGGCAGTGGAATAAAGCATCAGGAATAGGACTCCTAGGGGCTAATTTTACCCCTAGAGAAAAGCTGTATTCGGGCTGCTCTAGCAACCATCTTACTTCGTGGAGGGAAGTGGGGCCTTAGGTATATGTACAGCTTTGTGGTTGACTTCTTCCCTCGGTGCCCTCTTCACTTATTCTTTTCATTTTCAATCCTGCAATTTCTTCAGTAAATTTTTCAGGATGGTTGAGAATATCGAGTATAAACACAGTGTCTGGGCTCACTCCTCAACTTCTCAGAAAAGTGACAAAACTGTAAATGCATTCTGAAGTTAGCTAGAAAATGGAGAGACTAAAATTGCAGCTCTGTTTGGTGAAGGTGTAACAATTATCAAAGTTTTTTTATTAAGATATAAAAATTAAGACTATGGGCATGGGAAGCAATGTGGGAGACAATCCTCCATGACCCAAAAATTAGACAGAAGCCTTGTCCTGGCATAGCCCAGTGTTTCAGGACCACGGACAAGGCTACAGACACTGTCAGTCACCCCACCCTCAAACATTGTTTTATACATGTATCCCTCTAAGGAAAATGTGCCCCAAATAATGTCTTATGTTATGGATCTCCTACAGTGCAAAATACGTGCAAGGACAACCCATGTGGCCGGGGCCAATGTCTCATTACCCAGAGTCCTCCCTACTACCGCTGTGTCTGTAAACACCCTTACACAGGTCCCAGCTGCTCCCAAGGTAAGTGGTGGAGGCCCCTTCGACGCTAGACTTTCTGTGCCCTATCTTGTACCTGCACCCTTCTGCATGGAAGGCCAGATGCATCTGATGTTTTTGTGGCAGGCACCCAAGATGGTCCTTTTCCCTAGGCTTTCTAAAGATTCATTATCCCTGGATTGACTCCACCCAGTGGGAATTGACTGGTCTGTGTCCCTTCCCACCCAAAAAGAATCATCTTGAAACTCACTTCTTCCAGGAAGTAGACCCTGATCTATTCCTGAGAGGGACCAAGTAGGGGAATGAATACATATCGAGTCCCTGCTGTGAGGCAGGCATTGTCTCAGGAAATTTACGTTCTCTTTTGCTTTCTCCAAAGACACCTCAAGGAGGAGCTTTACAGATGAAGAACCTGAAATGTAGACAGATTAACTCATTTGCTCATGGCCACATGGGTATCAGCAGGCAGAGCTCTACCTAGCTCAGACAGGGCCCACCACTCCTGCTCCGTCCATGCTTCTTTGTTTCCTTACTGACTGACCCATCTACTTATGCACTTAGGCATGGCCTCCAGCCAGATTGCTTCATCCACATTTGCTTATGTTCTTAAGGCTTCTGTGTACACTTACTAGAGTGTCAGTGGATCTGTCTTTCCCATCTGGTGACCCATCTTTCGCGAAAGGATGGACACCAGTAGAATGCCACCAATGTCTCCTTGTCATCTCAGACATGGGCTGCAACTCCTTCTGAAGAGCCTTCCTGGCCCCATTCCTGTGTTCACAGTGGTTCCTGTATGCAGGCCAAACCCCTGCCAGAATGGGGCTACCTGCTCCCGGCATAAGCGGAGATCCAAGTTCACCTGTGCCTGTCCCGACCAGTTCAAGGGGAAATTCTGTGAAATAGGTATGGGTCTCTGCCACCATCAGGGCCACAAGTGAGGCCTCTGGAACCCTTTCCTCTCTGGGTTTTGTTGCCAGAATGTGGTTCAAATCAAGTTTCCCAAACTCGACTATTGCCTCAGCCTTCTCACCTAAAGGGATAGGGCGTGTCTGGCTTCCTGTAAAGAAAGTAATAAACTGGGGTGTAGTGCAGGCAAGTCAAACCACTTGGGCATCCCTAGGCCCTAGCCCACCTTCCATCAGTTCTTGTGTGAGCCAGAATTAAAGAACTAAGCTCCCACACCCTACAACCACTATATTTCATGTTTTAAGCAGGATTAAATGTGGGACATTCAACACTTTTTTTTCTGAAATTCGTGGTGAAATCTCAGGGCGATAAATATGCAGGTCCAGTTCTCTCACCATGTCACATACCCACCAAGCCCTTTTTGGGAGTGGCATGCCAATGGCTGTTGGTTCTCACATTGCTACCTGCTCTCTCGGAGGTTCTGATGACTGCTATGTTGGCGATGGCTACTCTTACCGAGGGAAAATGAATAGGACAGTCAACCAGCATGCGTGCCTTTACTGGAACTCCCACCTCCTCTTGCAGGAGAATTACAACATGTTTATGGAGGATGCTGAAACCCATGGGATTGGGGAACACAATTTCTGCAGGTAACATTTACCTTATTTATGCTCAGTTGATTTTGGTCACTTATTTTAAAACAGATCATTGAAATTCATCAGCCTCCTTTCTAGGAAGATTTTCTTACTCAGCAAGGCAATGTTATGCTGCTGTAGTAAACAACTGCCAAATGTCAGTGGCTCAAATACATCAAAGTCTATTTCTGGGCTGGTTGCTGTGGTTCATGCCTGTAATCCTAGCACTTTCAGAGGCTGATGCAGGCAGATTGCTTGAGCCCAGGAGTTTGAGGCCAGCCTGAGCAAAATGGCAAAACCCCGTCTCTACCAAAAAAAAAAAAAAAATAGCTGAATGTGGTGGTCAGCACCTGTAGCCCCAGCTAATCAGGAGGCTGAGATGGGAGGATCATCTGAACCCAGGAGGTCGAGGCTGTAGTGAGCCACTGCACTCCAGCCTGGGTGACAGAGTGAGACCCTGTCTCAAAAAAAGAAAAAAAAAAAAGAAAAAATGTCTATTTCTTACTAATGTTCCATGTGTCATGTGGGTTGGTGGTGATGATGGCAGGGGATTCAGCTCCACAGGCTTACTCAAATATTCAGGATCAGCAAGAAGAGACTGGGAAATGAAGCATGAGTTTTTCTCTACCTCAACCTAGAAGGGACACATCCTCTTCCCACACATACTTTGTTGGTCAGAAATAATCACATGAGCCCACGTAACTTCTAGGCAGAGATGGAGAAGAGCAAGTGGAAGGTCTGTTGAAGGTGATGGTCTCTGGCCCAAGGATGTTCAGGCTTTCCCATGTGAGGCTAATGCCACCACCCTCCCTGGTGGTGATCTAGTTTCCTTCTTCCTTTTCTGCTGCCTCCAGGCCACTCTGTTGGCTTCCTGCCACTACCCTTTGTCTGGCCAAGGCCAATGAGTCAGATGAGTTGCAGGTGAGGGGGTCTTTGTATGGCTTTGAACTGGCTTCATAAATGAGGATTTTTTCTTGTTTTTTTTTTTTGTTTGTTTGTTTTTGTTTTTGTTTTTTTGAGATGGAGTCTCACTCTGTCACCCAGGCTAGAGTGCAGTGGCACCATCTCAGCTCACTGCAACCTCTGCCTCTCAGGTTCAAGCAATTCTCCTGCCTCAGCCTTCCAAGTAGCTGGGATTACAGGTGCGCACCACCACACCCGGCTAATTTTTGTATTTTTAGTAGAGATGGGTTTCACCATCTTGGCCAGCCTGGTCTCGAACTCTTGACCTCATGATCCACCTGCCTTGGCCTCCCAAAGTGCTGGGATTACAGGCATGAGCCACTGCACCCGGCCATGAAGATTTTTTTTTTTCACAAAACACTAGTACTTTCCACTTGCACTCACCTTGAGCTGTTCCCTTTGTGGAGCTGTCTTCGGGGGCGGGGGGAGGGGGGGCCTCTTGGCAGCCTTTCTCAGAGGATTCCCATGCATAGAATTCAAAGCCTCAGGCAGAGGAACCCAACTCTCACCATGTTTATGTGATGATTTTACTCTCCTGATATAGAAAGGTCTTCATCAGGGATCTCATTTCTTTTCCTACAAATAATTTGGTATGTCCTGTGGATCTGGCATGAGACTTGGGACCGCTTTCTTGTCCTTGAGATTTTCCTCTAGAAGAAAAGATTTTGCCAGAAAAAATACTATAAACACCCTTCTGTTCTAAGGTTTTGTAACCTGATGGAGGATTCAAAGAAATGTGGTCCCAGGGGGAGCACAAGAGTCTAGCACCTTCTTATCCAAAGGTTCTTTAATAAGATCCAGTGTGTTCATCAAGCCTTGACTCTGAGTTGTTTTGTTTTGTATTTTAGAAACCCAGATGCGGACGAAAAGCCCTGGTGCTTTATTAAAGTTACCAATGACAAGGTGAAATGGGAATACTGTGATGTCTCAGCCTGCTCAGCCCAGGGTAAAGGCCATGGCTGTTCAGAAGCCCAGGGGGTGGGGGGGATGGAGATTTGTAGGGAGATGTCCCTGGCACCTGGTCCCTCCCTCACCCTGTTCTTCCTCCACACCTGCTTTACCAATTCCCATCCCAGTGCCAGCCCAACTGCCCAACTGTCTGCACCCACCAGGATGCCAAGCAGGTCTGGATACCTTTGTGGGTTTAGGTCAGGTAGTCCAACTCTAAACTCATGGTTTCTGACTCCAAATCAGTGCCCTCAACAGATATTTACCCATCTCTTGCTGTTTGCCAGCCACTATGCTGGGCACTGGGTGTGCAATGGTGATCAAACTGGCTGGGCTCCCATAGCCTCTTAGGATGCAAAGCATTCAAATTCCAGCCTCACAGTCTTCCTGGCCATCTGTCCTGGCCCCGCTCTGTGCCCACATCTAGAATGATGTGCCCTTCCACCCTGACCAGTGGGATTCCTTCCCTGAGCAGTTTCACATATGTGCCTTTGATCTTATGGTTACTTCTGTCTATAACATACCATCCCATATCTGTTCTTGTCCATATACAACTATTCTTTGAGAACCAACTCAAATATCCCCTCCTCCAGGAAGTCCTCCTTGATTTCTCAAGTAAAATGTTATCTCTGCCTCCTTACAAACCCTAAGGAACAGGACAAGGCACCACCTATACAACATTTACTGCTCTCTCCTTTTGTGTCACAGTCATCTGTGCAAATGTCTTATCTCACCTATTCTAGTTCATCTGAATATCCTCCCCTCTACCCTGAAAAAGCCTCCACAATTGTAAGTGTGCACTAATAATGAAAGGTGCATTGATGATGCACATTTATAATTGTGGGGGCTTTGTCAAGGTGAAGTACATACCCAGTGAGGGATTTGTATATTTACATAAACATAATGTGTGTGTGTACATGTCAATCTTAGGAGTCACATACTTTGAAATGGACAAGAAAAAACTACATTGTTAATTCTATAGACTTGCTTTATGTTACGCAATGTATTCAACAAATATCAACTGTGCACCTACTGCATGCCCACCCTGTCTGCACCAGTGCAGTCTCTCAGCTCTGGACCCCTGCTCAGCTGTTGGGCTCAGAGTCATACCTCTGCCTGAGCCCTGCTGAGGAACTGGAGGGAGGCTGAATAGCACAATTTATCTTTCTTGTGTCCCACAGACGTTGCCTACCCAGAGGAAAGCCCCACTGAGCCATCAACCAAGCTTCCGGGGTTTGACTCCTGTGGAAAGACTGAGATAGCAGAGAGGAAGATCAAGAGAATCTATGGAGGCTTTAAGAGCACGGCGGGCAAGCACCCATGGCAGGCGTCCCTCCAGTCCTCGCTGCCTCTGACCATCTCCATGCCCCAGGGCCACTTCTGTGGTGGGGCGCTGATCCACCCCTGCTGGGTGCTCACTGCTGCCCACTGCACCGAGTAGGTGCCGCTGGGAGCAGGGACCAGGGTGGCTTGAGTGGCTGGGGGTGCTCTCCCCTTCCCCTCTGAGCAGCATCTTTGTAGCTCTGTCAGGATTAGGGGGTCTGATCTGTTCAAGGGCAAAAGAAGGGCTCCTGAAAGCCAGAGGGAAAATAGCTACCATGTCTGGAATGTTTACCATGGGCACTGCATTTATTATATGACATTTAATCCTTAAAGCTGTCTGCTGGAAGACAAGCTGAGGAAGGTCAGGGATTTTTATCTGTTTTATTAACTGTAGGATCTCCAGTGTCTTGAGCAGGCCTTTGTACATAGCAAGTGCTGAGTAAATATTTGTGGAGGAAAAGAGTTTATTGTTATTCCCTTTTTGTAAGTGAGGATCTTGAATCCCGGGATTCTTCCTTTACCTTGCCTGAAGTTGTATGGAAAGTTAAGTGGACAAGTAAGATGGAAACCCCATTCTATCTGCTTCTTTGACTTCTTTTGTCCTGCCCTGAATAGAGGAAAGCATGCTCCTTTGTCTGATACCATCACCAATGACCCTTCTGAGTCAGGTGTCTTCATCCATGCCTCCTGTGTGCCTTAGAGAAGCAAGTAACTTCTGGGGAGCTGAAGAGTCACCCCCTCTTCTGAGCTCCCTGTGCTCATGGTCAAGGCTGGTCCAACAAAGTCTGGGTTTTGGAGGTGGCCATGAAGGTCTTCCAGTTCACCTTATAGTAAATGATTTCTCTGGGATTCTAGGAGGTGCTCCTCAAGAGAGGTCAAGCAGGCAAACATTAGCACCTGCCAATGGATTTTAGAAGATTGGTTCAAGATGGCAATGGCTGTTTCTTTGGAAGGCCTAGGGAGAATGGGAGGTCTCCCATGAGAAGTGGGTAAAAGTTATAGCTTATATTTGGAGCTTGCTTCTGTTAATAAAGCACTTCCCTTACATAATCTTATTTGGACCCTACCACAGCAGAGTTCTGTGAGTGAGACGAGGGTTACAAATGAGGAGGCTGAGTCTGCAGAAGGTCAGATTTGCCAAAGGCCACACAGCTGAGCAGAAACAGTGCCTTCCTGACCATCTCATTTTCCCTTGCAGCATAAAAACCAGACATCTAAAGGTGGTGCTAGGGGACCAGGACCTGAAGAAAGAAGAATTTCATGAGCAGAGCTTTAGGGTGGAGAAGATATTCAAGTACAGCCACTACAATGAAAGAGATGAGATTCCCCACAATGATATTGGCAAGTTCCTCTTTCATGGCTTTCCTGAGGGTCTTGTCCTGGGTGGATTTCTCTATGACCAGAAAGCTGAAGTTTGGTTCTAGAAGGTGCTCTTGATTGTTTTTGGTCCCTGTGGACCCTGTGCGGTAGGGAATGTATTCCAGGGATTTTTAGTTTTTGAGGGTATGTGCAAATGTAGATAAATGGGCATATGCTCTTAAACTGAGGGGAAGCAATGCTAGGAACATTGTGCTATGGAATAGGCTTGGCCTGGAATCCCAGCTTCCCAACTTTATCACCAGGAGACAGCTCACCTCCTGAGCCCTCTTTTCTCTTCTATGAAATGGAAACACTGATGCACAACTCTCAGCTTCCTATGTGTCAGGAGACACAATGTGCTTGCAGGCATGCCTGGCCCCTAGCCCCTGGCAGGTGCTCCAGTGCAAATGCAATGACGTTCCTAGCTACCAGCTGCTCAGTTCTGTATCCCGTTTCCCTTTTCATGAGACACCCCCCCACCTCTCTCTCCTTCCTCAATAGCTTTTTTCCCCTCTAATGGCCTGTTTCTTAAAAAATGGATTAGAAATGATTTCAAAGTCAATTGTCATTTCTTGACATGACTCTCGCCCTGAAGTGTTACTCCTTCCTGGGTGGAAGTTCAAAATATGAAATGACCACGGAAGAAGATTTTCAGGCATGGTGGGGGCAGGTGGGGCTTTGCTGTGGCCACCTTCATGAGCAAGTTGGAGCTGGTGCTTCTCTGACAAAGAGGTGACATCGCATCCATTTTCTACCTCTCTCTCCACCTAGCATTGCTCAAGTTAAAGCCAGTGGATGGTCACTGTGCTCTAGAATCCAAATACGTGAAGACTGTGTGCTTGCCTGATGGGTCCTTTCCCTCTGGGAGTGAGTGCCACATCTCTGGCTGGGGTGTTACAGAAACAGGTGAGTCGGCCATGCACTCTCCCATGACTTAGGTGAACTACATCAACCAGAGAAGAAAGGCCAAACTCAACTGCCCTTTTGAAGTTGAAATGAGTGTCATATTCAAAATGCATCAACCAAAGAAAGCATCCACCTCATTGATCAAGCTCTGGTTAAATTCCTCCACCTGCAGGGAGCCTTCCCTGAGTTTCTCTGATCTCCATATCTGTCCCTGGCCCTACCCCTAAATACTTGAATTTTACCAAGCATTGACCCTGCATTTATGGAGCTCTTGCTCCCTTCCTAGTTAGATTGGAAAGAGGAAAGATCATGGATTTTTGAGTCAGACAGACTGGTATTCAATTCTTGACTTTGTCACTTGAACAACTGAGTTTTAGTTTCTCAATAATCATACTTACTTCCCGGGTTTGCAAGCATGATCACAGGGGATGATAGAATTCTACAGAGACATTCATTAAGTCAGCCCTTAGAAGATGGGGGTCAGGTCCCATTCATCTCTGTCTGTCTCACAGTACTTTGCTCGGGGTTCTCCACACAGTAGACATTCTATAAAATTGTGTTAAATCCAGCTGTTGATTTGTCTTTAGGATTTGGTCTAATTTTTAAAAGTAACCAAAGGATTACTTTCCTCATAGTACTGGCAACATTATACCCACTACTACAAAAAAAATTCAGAAAGGTATTTCATGTCTTTTCCAAATACTCAAAATATATTTCTCTTCCTTCGCAAATCCTGTCCTTAATAATGAATAGCGAGAATCACGATAAATAAGTCTGCAGAAATTCCACATATCTGAACAAAGTGAAATGTAATATACAACTTTGAGTCTTTTGAGAAAGATGTCTGGCTAATTGGATTTAGGGTCAGCCAGTAAACTCATTTTACAGCCATTTTCATTGTAGTCCATCTGAACTTGTCAACCTCTATTCTGCTCAATATGGTCTGGTCAGCATGGTGATGTCTCAGTTGGGAATCTTTTGGAGCCTCAGGTTAGAATTATTTTGCTTTTCATAAACAGGCTTCTAAGACTTTATGTTCAAAGCCTTTATGTTCTCTAAGACTTTATGTTCAAAACATGTTTTGATTGATGTCATTATCTTTACAGGGGAAAATGCCTGCTCTAGGAAGCAGGTAGCCTACTGCGCAGGGCACTTCATCCATCCATCCATCCATTCATTCACTAAGAATTGTGCCAGCCCTTTTGTTAGGCCTTGGGAATTTTAAAATGGTTAAGAGAGCATCTATTTCCTCCTGAACCTCATGGCCTACCTGGGGAAAGAGAGGAGGGAATATACTATCTGGTCCATGTATCATGACCAGCACAGGATTGCAGGTCTGCACTGGCATGGTGAAGGCTAAAGATGAGGCTTTTCTGCCCATATCCTGGAAAAACCCTTCCCTTCTGAGCTAAGAGTTGGTGGGCTTCTCCCTGACAATCTGGTTTCTGGTGGGGTTGGTGCCACCCTGGTCCCCACAGTAGTGACTCTTTTCTCTGCACCTTCCCCACAGGAAAAGGGTCCCGCCAGCTCCTGGATGCCAAAGTCAAGCTGATTGCCAACACTTTGTGCAACTCCCGCCAACTCTATGACCACATGATTGATGACAGTATGATCTGTGCAGGAAATCTTCAGAAACCTGGGCAAGACACCTGCCAGGTCAGAGACTCCAAGTGGTGCTTGTGGTAGGAGAGGCTAGCAGGATGTTTCACTAGGCAGAGGACCCTTAGAGCCCTGGGCTGGGAGCTAGGTTCAGAGGTCCACCTGTGGTAAAGCTAAGACACAGGTGAGCTGTGTCTGCCCCCTGGCCCTCTGGTGCATCTGCATCCGCATCAACCCAGGATGACTCAGCATAATGACCACAGAGGTCACATTGCCTGCACTGTCTAATTTAACTCTCACAACACACTGGTGAAGGTGATGTCATGATCACCATTTTACAGATGCTTAGAGAAGTTATCTTGGCCTATAGCAATTGGGTGGCCAGTGGCAGGGCTGGGATTTGAACAATACAGTCTGCAGGACACCAAAGGGGCTTGTGGCCTCAGTGTAGGGCAGCCTTTCTGAGAATCCCAGTAAACAGGGAACTGTCCAGAAGACCAGTGGCTAGAAGGAGAAAGAAGAAGGCCTAGAGCTAGAGATTTCACAGTAATATTAACTCATGATTAGGACTCATGTGTGCGTGTGTGTGTGTGTGGGGGGGGGGGGGGTGTTTTAGCCCTAGAAAACTAAGTATATCTGTAGCCTAGGGCCTTTCAGAACTCCAAGTTGCTGAGGCTTGTGACTCAGAGACACTGTTGCAGAGAGAGAAGGTGGTGGCTCCATCAACCAATGCTAAAGTGACTTCAGGCCCTGCCCCAAGTCAAAGCCCATTCCCCATAGTCCCTTTATCTGTAGGGATCACATCACACAGGGTCCTTTCTAGAATCCCAGGAACACCTCCATTTAGAATTTTCTGACTGTTGTCCCCATAAGCCTTCTAAATGTCCTGGAAAACAGCATGCCAACATTCAAATCCCAACTCCTTCAGGGAGCCTCCCCGTACAAAGGAACCCACAATGATTTGCTGGCCTTGAACTCACTTTGGGATGGGACATCAAGGTTCCTCTCTCCAGGGTTTGTGGCTCTCCTGTGACTATCTGTCTCTTCCCAGTGAGCCAAGGATGTTCACCTACTCAGAGGAGGGGCAGATGGGTGCAATTTGCCCTAAACTCCTTCCCAGAAGATGGTTAAGAAAACAGCTCATTCAGGCTGGGCATGCGTGGTGGCTCAAGCCTGTAATCCCAGCACTTTGGGAGGCTGAGGCGGGCAGATCACCTGAGGTCAGGAGTTCAAGATCAGCCTAGCCAACATGGTGAAACCCTGTCTCTACTAAAAGAAAAATACAAAAATTAGGTGGACATGGTGGCACATGCCTGTAGTCCCAGCTACTGGGGCTGAGGCAGGAGAATCGCTTGGACGTGGGAAACGGAGGTTGCAGTGAGCCAAGAGGGTGCCACTGCACTCCAGCCTGGGCAACAAAGCGAGACCCTGTCTCAAAAAAACAAAAACAAACAAACAAAAAAAAACCTCATTCAATTCCCTAGATAATTGAAGGCTTTCACTTGCAGGCTTTGGAAACAAATAGTTGTGAATTGAAACCTGTTTCTGTCTCTTACTGTATGGCTTTTATCAGTGATGAAAGCAATTCTTCAATCTCAGATGCCTAAACTATAAAATGGAAATCTATCTATAAGATCACAAGGTCGTGGCTAAGTTTAAAATAGAGAATTCATTTTTTAAAAACCTGTCAGTTGTAGTGTTTAAGCAGTATTAAGTTTTTGAGAGCTATCACCCTCAATGTCTTCTTCTCCTCACCATCATCATCCTCGCCACCTTCCGTGAGGGTTTAATATGAACCAGGCACTGTTCTATATACTTTACAAACAATCTTCACAAGAACCCTGGGGGATGGGGATCTATTGCTATCTATGGTTTACAGTGTGAGAAACTGAGGCCTAAGGTCACATGCCTGGCAGGTGGTAGGGCCTGGCTTAAAACCCAGGAGATCTAACCCCATAGACCATGCTGAGCACCTAGGCCACGCTGCCTTGGAGTCCCCAACCTCCTCCCCTATGTGTGCTGAGGGCCCCCGAGAACTCACAGTCATAACATCTGCATCACTGAGAGTTGGGAAGTGCAGCTGTGCGGCTCCTCTGTTAAGCCCGCGTGGACTCAGGGACGGAGGACACTGTTATCTTCTCTCCCTTAGAGTCTTGTATCATGTGAGATGTGGGGAGAGCCTTGTCACTGCTTTCCAGAGAAGCCCACGGAGGCTGGCAAGGGACTCCACCCCATCCCTCCCTGACACCCCCTGGAGAGAGGTGGGGGCATCTCCAGATGTCTCTGGTTCACGAGGATGAGCTTATGCCTCTGTTTCCCTTAGGGTGACTCTGGAGGCCCCCTGACCTGTGAGAAGGACGGCACCTACTACGTCTATGGGATAGTGAGCTGGGGCCTGGAGTGTGGGAAGAGGCCAGGGGTCTACACCCAAGTTACCAAATTCCTGAATTGGATCAAAGCCACCATCAAAAGTGAAAGTGGCTTCTAAGGTACTGTCTTCTGGACCTCAGAGCCCACTCTCCTTGGCACCCTGACACCGGGAGGCCTCATGGCCAACAATGGACACCTCCAGAGCCTCCAGGGGACCACACAGTAGACTATCCCTACTCTAAGCAGAGACAACTGCCACCCAGCCTGGGCCTTCCCAGACCAGCATTTGCACAATATCACCAGGCTTCTTCTGCCTCCCTTGGTAACCCAAGGAATGATGGAATCAACACAACATAGTATGTTTGCTTTCCTTACCCAATTGTACCTTCTAGAAAATCAGTGTTCACAGAGACTGCCTCCACCACAGGCATCCTGCAAATGCAGACTCCAGAATCCCCAGCATCAGCGGGAACCACCATCACATCTTTATTCCTCAGCCCAGACACTCGAGGCACTCAACAGAATCAGCCATCCACGTCTAGGTATCAGAGAGGACCACAAATACAACATTCTCCATCTGCTTTCAGAGTTATTATTTTAATAAAGGAAGATCTGGGATGGGCTGGTGGGCCATTCCAGCTTGCCGAAATCAAAGCCATCTGAAGCCTGTCTCTGGTGAACAAACTTCCTCTCTGGCCTCTCAGGAATCAGGGTGGACATGGCTCACAACAGCAGGGCCTTCTTCTTTTTGACGTGCAGAATCTCAGTGGCATCTGGGTTCACCTCCCCACTCTGATGATCTCCAGCCTCCACTGCTTCTGCCCCCCGCTGCTGAAATCAAACATACCCCAAGTTAAAATGAAGCTCCCCCACCCCCACTCCCGGCCCCGGTTCCCACAGGACACGCTAAGAAGCACAGGGAGCATTTAACAGGCTCACCCTCCCTTTCCTTTTCCCCTCTTCTACCCTCCCCAAGAAAAAGGGCCTTCAAGGCAGGAATGAGAAAGCAAAGCCAATCTCTCATTTAGACCTGGCTTCTTTCTTCTGAACAAAGTAGGGTTCAAAATGCAGACTGTCATATCCAGCGAGTCCCTGACCCTTTCTGCGAATGTAACGAGCAAGCAGTCAGCACAGCCTGGGCTGCCCTGGCCCGGGATTGATGTAGCCCCGGTAGGTTTGCCTCTGCAGAACTAATGGCTGTGACTTCAGAGAAAGCCCTGCAGGAAGTTTAACCTGCGTGTCATCTGCCTGGTCATCTCAGACCCATGAAATTAGGCGCCTTGTTTGAGCTGCGTTTCACACTTCTTTAGAGCTAGCTGACCTTTGGCCAAAAATAAACTTTGAAAAGAAACAATGAGTTTGTCTTTCCCCATGGCCTTGCAAGCCAGGGGTGGCTTTGCAGCTTGCTACTCACGTAAGCTCCCTGGAGACCCAGGCCCCTTGCGTTGGCCAGTTCCGCAGCCCGCCGAGCCATTTCCACTTTGTAGGAGCCAGGAGGGGTCCAGCCAACACCTCTGGTCAGGTTCAAGTCTGATTTATACTTGACCTTGAGGGTAAGAGGGAAGCAAGAGGAATATGTCAGCAGGGTTTGGAGCGGTTTGACCATTAAGTAAAGAAGATTAAAAAGGCAGCCACAGTATGAGACTATGTTGTCTGTCATCAGTAAAGCCAGAACAAGGGGAACAAATTTATCATAAGCAGCATCTCCCTGGCACAGGGGCCGCAATGTGCTGTGAGTCCAGCCGGCATGTTGCTGTCTCTTGCATCTTCCCATTCAAGTGACAAAAGTTACAGTTGGGAGTGGGTGGGGTAGTGACACCTGCTCCACACACTCTGTGGCCTTAGGGAAGCCACTTCCCTTCTCTGGGCTTCAGTTTCTTCCCAGAGAAAGTGCAAAGGCTGGGTTAATAGCTAAGATCCCTTGGAAACAGTTTAGCATAGCCATCGAGAGCTTGGGCCCTCACAGCAAACCAAAAGGGGTTGGTATCCCAGGTCTGCCACTTATTTGTTATGGGATCTTGAGTAAGTCACTGAACCTCTCTGAGCCTCAAGTTCCTCATCTGTAAAATGAAGCAGCCCTGGGGTTGGCATAAGTGCCAATGGCAGGAGGCTTGGAAAGCATTTGACACAGAGCCTGGCCCACAGGAGACACTCGAGAAGTGGTGGTTATTATTGTTATTCTTTCTGGCACTAAAGTGTTAGGTGTCTTGGATTCTCTCTCAGCCCAGCTCCCCCAGAAGCTAACAATGGAACGTGGCATTATGGCCATCTCTTAGGAAGAGGCACCAGGGGAAGGGCCTCAAGGGAGTGGGTGGAGGTGGCTCACATCACTCTGCAGCTGGTGGGCCTTCTGAGCATGCCTGAGGCCCAGCTGCTCCGGGTCGCAGGTGGGCTGGGGCAGGGGCTGCCTGTAGTGCACATCACTGGCCAGCTGCTGGCTCCTCTTGGCCTGAAGGAGGCCGGGCTGGTCTGTGCTGCTGTGAAACTGGGACCGACTCTTGGCAAAGTCCTTCTTGTACTCATTGTCACTCTGGAGCCTGCCAACGTTGAGGAAATGCTTCATCCTTGGGTCATCGTCGACACTGCGGTACCCGATCTGCAGGCCTCGGTCCCGCAGGAAAGCCTCTTTGTACCGGAACTGCAAGTCAGAGGAGCAGAGGCAGATCATGGGTGCCTACCTCCCCCAGGACCAGCCTCACATATGGGGCCATCCCAGGGCATTCTCAGCAGGAGGCTCAAGAGTGGGTTAGAGGCACAGGCTTTGGATTCAAATAGACCTATCTGTGTGGTCATGGGCCTGTTACTGAGTTTCTCCATGAGCCTCAGTTTCCCCATCTGATAAAATTGGAGAATGATCTACACCCCATAGGAGGTTGCGAGGATTCAACCAGATAAGGACTGAGCTTCATGTCTGGCATCAGCTCTGGCCCACTGAGTGGTGGCTACTGGTATTGTCACTATTGTAATTAATACTCCAACAGGAAGATAAATGTGCCCATTCTCACATAGGCCACTCTGCCTTTGATTCTTTCCAGCTTTTAGGGACCTAGTCCAGTGCTCCTCAAACCATCTACAGTGAAGGGCCAGTCCCATTTTGATTTGCTTTTTACATTTCCAATGCATCAAAGACCCATGTATGGTCCTATTGCATGTGGCTAGTATGTAGCAGTACCACTTGTATTTGGTAACACCCAACCTGGCCTTCACCCTTTTCAATGAGATGAGTCCAGTGATCACATGCTTGGATGTTACAACGTCTAATTGCTAAAAAATATTTCAAAAATCCCATGCTCTTAATTTCTGTACTTATCCAATTGTGGACCAGCAGGAAACTGTTCCCAGGTGCGCCTCCGTCTAGCACTGTGGACACTTGTCTAGTCAATGGTGCCCTCTCTTGCAGAATACCTGCTATGTTCCTGACACCATATACGATTTTGTTTTCATTCCTACATTAATCTGGGAGATAAGATCCCTATTTCATAGATGTAGAAAATCAAGTTCAGAGAATTTGAGCAACTTGCCCAAGACAAACAGCCAAATTTCCTAAGTGACTGAGCCAGGATTTGAACTTGTCCATCTAGGGCAAAAGCCCTATCTCTTTCTACTCTACCACACTGAACTTCAGCTAAAAGAAGTCCTTTTATTGCAAATCAACAACCCAAGCTCATATTCATGAACCTCTTGGTACTCATCCATCATCTTTTAAGAGTGCCTCTCTAAAAAGAGAATGGAAATACAGCCCTCCTTGACCACAATTTCTGCCTAAGATGCTAGAAAGTAAAGCCCTTTTTTTTTTCTTTCATTTAAAATACAGTACATGTTCAGTTTTGGTGCAGAGAGAGAGATAATCTTGACAGGTCCTGGTGGTTTGCCTTTCAACAGAACTGGGAAAACCAGAGAAAAACTCATCAGTGACCGCAGGAGAGAACATGGGGGTCTTACATCACTGGCGATCTCCCTAGATGCCCGGGCAGTCTGGAAGGGGATGGCATCCAGCCTGAAGTCATAACTGCCAGCCCGGGTCTGCTCCCAGGAGTTTCTGTAGACTTTCTAGATTGGAAAAACAAAAGCATGAGTAAGCAGGCAGTCACTCCACTGTCTTCCATGTTGCTGGTACTCAGCAGGAGTGGTTCTTAACCTTTGTTGGTTCCTAGGACGGCACAGCCTATAGCTCCATGTCCACCTTGGCGACTCCCTAGCACTGGGATTGGTGGGGTTGGCCGTAAAAGGCTTCAGCTCTAAGCCCCCAACCCGCCCACCCATTAGGCCCTGCTCCTGTGGGGCTTGTGATCTTCGGGTATGGCTCATTTGCGACACCCACTTGGTATCAGAAGCCTCCACCCCACTCCTTCCTGTCTTTGCATTCACTTTCAGTGCTTCGGGTTTGCAGCTTCTAGGTGCCAGAATTCAAGCTTCCAGAATCCAGTTTCTTCCTACATGCTGAAAGTGCTGTTCCTTGGGCCTTGGCACTCATGTGTTTGTTAGCTCCACTGACATCCGGAGGGGCCTCAGCCTGGCTTTGATGCCATGCCTTGCACCATCACTATGAGGCATGCTGCATCTCATATACACCCCTGGTGCCTGCACGAAGGGAAGAGCCTTCACCTGAATTAAATTTATTGTCAAGCACCTGACCGAGTACCTGACCCATGTGTTTCATATCTTCCTCTTTCATTTTTTCCCTTTTCAAGTTGTTCTCACACGCCCTCTGGGAGTCTGTAATCATATCCTCTTAGTCCTCAGGTAGACCCACATCACCGATAGAGGCATCAAAATCTTCTGTGCCTTCATGTAGCTAATATTTTTTTTTCAAGATAAGGGAATGGCTCTATAAAAGGAGGCATCTGGAGATCCCAGTGGAGGGCTGTTCTTTATTCAGCCACAGAGAAGGGAGACAGCAGGAGAGGCGCATCACCAACAGATGACAAAGTGACAGCCCCAGACCGTGTCGGTTGCTCACTCGTTCCACGAGCTACAGCAGGTCAGGGGGCCCTTAAGAACCGTCCTTTTGTCTCCTGGAAATGGAGGTCAAGGCTGGCACTCTGTTCTACGGGGGATTGGGGGGATTAAGCAAAGGAGGAGTGGCAGATGAAAAGCAAAGTGCCCCACCCCATCCCACAACTGGGCCTGGAACTAGAGAGGACCACAAAGTGCTTGGGCCAAGCATGGCGGATCTCATCATTTCTCTGTACTGCAGATCACACCACCTTCACCTCCATCCTCGCCTCTGACTCCAACACCCGATGCCGTAAACCCTGAGCCAAACGTCTACTGTGTTCTAGGCCCTGGAAATGCAGAACCGTTCGTTCCTGGGATAATCACCTAACTGATGAATCACAGAGCCAAAATGATTAGATTTACTGGGTCATCATTGAGTTTAGCAGTTAGGACTGAAAGACATGTAGGAATGTTCAGATTATGACAGACTGATGATCCTCTGTAGCATTCTGCTTTCTGTTTGGGTGGCCCCACAAAGGTTAGAGTAGCAAATAGAGTCAAAACCCTGATCACTCTCTCTAAGG
The DNA here is from genome assembly GCF_000001405.40 of Homo sapiens. Classification (NCBI taxonomy): domain Eukaryota; kingdom Metazoa; phylum Chordata; class Mammalia; order Primates; family Hominidae; genus Homo; species Homo sapiens. The sequence continues at coordinate 113,593,774 of NC_000010.11, forward strand.
GGCACACCATGCCTTCCTAATAAGAATGCCCGCACCAGATCTGGGCTGGTTATTGACACCAAACTTGATGCAACATCGAAGTCCAATGTCACCCCACTTTGGTGTCCAATGCACCCCAGCTTCTGAGTCTCTGTAACTCAGGGTCAACTAGAAAGCATGGCCCAGATCGGGGGTCTCCCGAGTGTGCAGGCCCCTTTCTCTGGGCGACTTCTCCCTGTGTACTATTTGCTTGGTTGTGATCACTTCCTCCCTGAGTTTTTTATTCTGTTGAGGTTTTTGCCTTGCCACTGGGAGTCTTTAGATTCCGTAGGCGCTTTGATTTGGAACCCTGGGCGTTCCTCTTCTTTATCACAGTGGGCACAGTTTTGTCCTCATCCTCACACATTAGAGTCATTTGATTTTTAGTTATTTCGGCTGCCTTACACATCTCAATGGCTTTCTTTGCCCAGGAAGGTCACTTTCCCTCCACATCTTCCTCACAGAGCACTTGATCCAATTGTGCGTATTCTACACGCCCCCGAAGAAGTGCTCTTTCAAAAGAGGTTCATGAGTTATCCATATCCGCATACCCTGGTGGCTAATTTCAGCTCCAGGACTCTGCAGACCGGCATCCCTTGTGAGAGGGAAGATGCTTCCATCACCAGCCTGGGGTGGCTCTCCTCCTCAAGCCGGGCCCCAAATGCACTGGCAGCTTTATCCCACTTTCTACAGCGATGGGTCTCCAATCGTTCCTCAAATGGAGGCCTTGCCTTCCCCCATCCTTGAAGCATTAATGAGATAGATGTTTTGTGCAGGCTCTGCTGAGGGGGAGGTCCTGCTTCCCCAGATGGAGGTCAGCCCACCAGAGCTGCTGTTCTAAAATTATCCCCTGCACATCCCTCAAAAGCATCAAATGGTCATAATAACTCATATTTACAAAGCACCATCGCATTCACTGCATGGGATCCCACAGGGCTTTACAAACGCAACAAACTAATACACACGCTAACTAGAAGGCGCCTCTCGCCAATCCCTGCAAGGCAGCCACCTCTGGGGTGAACGGTAGCAGCTGTTGATCTGCACGGAGCCCCAGGACACAATGGCCAGGCCAGGGAGGGAAGAATGGCCGGACTCTGGGAGGCCCTACGCTGCCCCAGGCCAACACACTCAGCCTGTGTTATTCTGATCTGACAGTGTCTTTTGATTCTGCCGTCTCTCTACCTGTTATCCAAGGATCACAGCTTTGCTGGCCGAGCGGCCGCCTATTCTATTACAACCAGGGGCCTCCAACCCCTGCTAACAACAAGCCTGGGTTTAGGAAACAGTAGCTTGGTTATGCACGCAAAGGGCACATGTCCAAGGGAAACGAAAGTGTTGGAGGCCACAGTCCCATGCACAAAGGAGCGAGCTGCATTTGGACGGGATGGGCTACCATTGCAGCATCTTTCCAAACTGTGGGGTGAGATAGAGCCACTCTATCTCCAGTGACACTACTCTGAATGACTACAGAGAGGGGTCCAGGAAACAAAAAGAGCAGGTGTCTACACCCACTAGGGCCAGGGGACCACTCCCCTCATGGTTACCCAGCACATCACTGAGATCTTTGGAGCCATACCCAAGTCAGAATTTTAGAGCTGGAAAGAATCTCAGTTTAGCTCAGCCCATTACCATTTTGCAGATAAAAAAAACAAAAACGAGGACCACTGAGGAAAGTGACTGAAAGTCACACAAACAGTTTCTCAGTTCAGTGTCCTTTCTGTTCCAAGTCCTCCTTCCTAGAACTTTTTTTTTTAAAAAAACGAAATCCACATTGGGCACAGATCATTTTACAAAAGTGGGCACACGTTCCATGAACCACCAGTTCACTTACGTCACTCAGATGCAGCGCATTGAGGCGAGCTCGGGTGAAATCGGGATGGTCGGGGATCAGGGTGTATCTGTGCAGGGATTCTGCATCTCCAGATCTATACATGCGCTGTAGATAAGATGGGCTCATGGTAAATAGAGAACTGTGTGGGCTGAAACCACAGGGGAATAGCAACTGACTCCCTTTCCTGCCCCTCCCACCTGAGTGCCCACCGCATAGAACAGAACCCAGTCCTGCCCATGGACAGTGTCCCTCCAGAACCCACAATTTGATGGAAGATGCCTTTATAGCCAGGGTCAGATGGGGCAGCTGGTTTTAAATAGACTGTTAAAAATATTCTTCAAGATCTGCTCCAAATAAGCCACAAACCAACATCATGGTTGGCCATACCTGGGTGTTTTACACAGTAGAAGATGTGTAGATATTTCAGAGAATCTTTGCAATTGAGCATTGGACATGCTTTTTACTAGTAACAAGATACAGCCTCAATGCCTTTGTTGTTTAACATTAATGGTGATAATTATAATATGCATAGTTAATAAGTTCTTTTTGTTATAAAACATCTTAATACATGTTCAAGAAATTAGTATTTTCATAGCCCACCTGGATCACAGGAAGACACAATTTTAAAACTCAAAGATTTATCTGGTTTCTATTTTTAAAGCAGTGATTTAAGAATTACAAACAATTTTAGGAAGTGTTTGAGTCTTATGTACTTTTAGAGGTGAAACTGTAATATTCCGATCAATTCCCAAATTTAACTGAGGCTTTACAAATATGAACCAGTCGGTACAGTAGTCGGGCTGTCTGTGAAATGGAGCAGCTCTGTCACTGTGCATGTAGAACTGAATCCCTTAATTTCAGGGGAAAAACATTAACTTCCTATTCCTTGAAATAAAGACAGGAATGAGGAAATAGGGCTAAATTATACAGAGAGTAAAATCAGGAAGAAGCTTTAAATACAGCTGTTCCTATTTTTTTCTTAACTGGGTTATATTAAGCTTTTAATTCCACTGCCATCTATCAACAAGCAACATGTATCTGACCTAGCCTTTGGCAAGGGATCATCAATAATACTTGGTATTCTTGTCATTGTGATTATGAATCAAACCATGATAAGGAGCACTTATTGAGAACTTACTGTGTTCTATGTACTTGCTAAAACTTTCTGAGCCTTTATTTAATCCTCATTTAATTCATTTAATCTTATGAAATGGTTGCTATTATTATCCTCCCCGAAACCCCAACCTCCTTCAAATAAAGGGACCAAGGTTAGAAGGGATTCAGCAACTGGCCCAAGACCATCCAGGTCATAGAAAGATTTACACACCCATCTGTCCAGATCATCCAGGTAGTAGAAAGAAGGTTTGCACCCCCATCTGTCCAGAGCCTGTGTTCTTAGACCCGGACCACTGAGCAGCAGTGCTACACTGCATGCCCGGGATGAATGACAAGAAAGGACCCACCTCATTGCAGTGCATATAGCTGTTCTTGGCATGAACCAGGTCTGGGGAGTCAACCACTGTGGTGAACTTGATACTGTCTGGTTTTTTACGGTACTTGGTCTATAAGATAAAGACAAAGATTCTCATGAAACACAGTCCAACATCATGCATCTTTCAGGGTGCAGCTTCACTCCACCTTCTCAGTACCTAACATGCCAATCATATTGTTGGAAAACAAGCCTTTCTTCTTGGTAGGTACCTAACAATCAAGAGTATAAAAAGATTCAGCTGCTTCTGTGATATGGAACATTTTACAGGTATTTACTCTCTTGAAGAGAGAGGCCACAAAATACTACGGCTCCCCACAATAAAGGAATTCAGTAAAGGGCAGTATTCAGCATCAATGTGGCCCTGCTTGGATCCTGTCCAAATACATTCTGTTATTAAGAAACTGAAGAAGGCAGTGTCACCTTCGAGGGAATTCCAGGGCAGGGATCCCCAGGCTGTTAGTATGGTAAGGAGTTCAGTTAATGTAACTATTCCTGTGCAAATTTTAACACTATCAGAAATCAGAAAACCTCTGGACACAGAGTCAACTCAGTAGATGGGTGGCAAATTCCTCCTCCTCTCCATACAAAGAATGGGCCAGTTTAGATAACGATTGTACAAAATGTATTTGTTGAGAACTTTCTAATAAATCATGCCTTCAGTTCCTCAGCAGTGAATTCATTTGGAGGGAAACCTCATTCTGTCTTGGGATTTGGTTGCACATGGCCCTCCAAAAATACTGGGAGTCCAGTGGCCATGAGGTCCTTTGGGTTCTCCACTCCATAAACAGATTCCCTCTTCAAAAGGAAATGCTAGCTTGCCCTTGTCACTTGTGGTGGGGACAGGTTGATGGTACCTCGCTGATGAGTTCTCCAGCCTTCTTTGCACTCTCCATCTGTGGGGATCTCAGCGCCAGCCATCCTATGCCCTTCATGCCGATCAGGTCTGACTTGTAGCGCAACTGCAGGGAAAAAAATCATGGGCTTTATCAGGAGAGTGCTTAAGACTAGTACAGCATTTCAAGAAGATCCTTGATTTGTAATAGCATTTATAATAATGCTTCATCACAACATTTCAACATCTTCACTGGGAGTACATTCTGCATGTCGTCAAGTCAAACTGTTTGAATTTGTACATTCTGCCAGGAATTAATTAATGCATCACATACGAGATACAAGAAGGTCCCACCAGTGAATTGGCAGGATTTAAAGCGAGAGTAACAACCTATGTGGACGATCGCATAAAGAAAGAGCTGAGATATATGCTCATATCTAAGCACCAGCTGGGATTATTTTGTTTCATTCTGCCATTGAGGCCATTACCCGCCTGCCTAAATAGAAACATTCTGCACACTGTTCAGGCTTTGAACTCTTGGGTTCAACCTGCTATGACTGGGAGCAAATCACTTTAACCAAAATGTGACTCAGTTTCTCTCTGTGATACTCGAAGTTCATAACAACCCCTCTGTTCTCATAAAAACACCTGCTAGTAGTCAGGGCTAAGAGCCACTCTTTAAGTTAGATTTTTTGTTCTTGTGATAGTGGTAGTGGAGGGGGAAAGAAGTCAATTATAGCATGACTTTAAAAACGGAAACAAATTTGGATGCCACCAGCTAATAGTGAGTAAACCATTTTAACCGCTTCATGCCTCAGTTTACCACCTCCTCCCACTGTTACTCATTATGATTTGTTTATATTCCAAAAATAGGCTAAGCCTTATTTTCTTTCCTCATTTTAAGAGCTCAGAAGTTTAGGCTATGGCATCAGTCCTGGGAGAAAATAATAAATGGTGCTTTAAGACAGTGGGTCTGACTGGTAGCCTTCCCAAATGTTGAATCTCATTACTATTCCTTGATCTGCCCACCATTACCTACAACGAGAAAGTCGCCTGAATGCTTCTCTTCTTCTCTTTATGGAAATTAGGCATTTTTTAAAGGTGGAAAAAGCCTCTCTAAGAAAATCTAAAATTTGGATCTAAACGAAGTTGATGGCATTTCTCTAATTTAGATATAAGCTCTGCTGTAACGCAAAATATCACTCCAGAAATCAGCCTCTCAGCCTTTTTAGTTCTCTTTCATTTCAGGATTCACAGCGTTCCTCACAGCTGGCCTCAAAGAGGGTCCGTTTCTGATCTACTGTCTGCTGGTTAATGCCCCTGTGCAAATTCGACTGTGCCTTCCAACTGGTGAAGGGAGACATCACTCAGGCTCAGGAGCAGGTTTCAAAACCCCATGTCAGTAAGATTGCTTTTTATACCACGATCTTTCAGTCTACACCGGCAAAGCTTTTGCCTTGCACTCTGATAAAGAACAGAGAAAATTGGATAAATTTCTAAGTTGGAGAGAATAATCCTACAGGGCCTCTTCACAGCCGGGCCTTGCTCCTTTCATAAGCGAGATGAAGTGGGGAGCGCTCTTTCAACTTGCCTTTTGTTGAGCTGAACAGTACGATCCCAGGTAAGTCAGAAAGCAAGATGCAGGTTCCCCAAAGATCTGACTATGCCTCCAACTCTCTTATAAATGGATTGTCTATTGATATCTCAGCTCCCAGCCCAGCTTTGACTATTCACGCAGACCCTAAAAACAACACACTTGCCCCAGACTTCATGATAAAAGAGGGGGCCAGGGGAGGGGAGTCAAGAAGAATCTGCTACCCAAAGATGGTTTCGAAGAAGGATTATAAGATAATGAGAGACCTTTCAAAGCTGCACAGCTGAATCTGGCTTCCCCAAATGGCAGCCTCACTTTTTTTCCCCTCTTACATACTAAGGTCTAGAAGACCTCTTCGGATTCACACATGGGGTTACCCGGCACCCCCATTTTGGAGCACTGTGTTGCAAATGCTCAAGCTGCAGCTTTCAGTCCCTGAGTTCTAATGCAGAAGGAATGATGTAAACCATTGTGCCCAGCAAGTGCCTGGGGTAAAGTATATCTTTGTCATATTAATAAGAAACATTACAATCAAGACCTTGTGTAGAGTGGGGTTTGTTTTAGACCCATTATTTCATTCAGTCCTCACACCATCCTGCAAAGAAGGGGTTATATTCTCTCTCTCTCTCTCTCTCTCTCTCTCTCTCTGGAGATGGGGTCTCTCTTGTTACCCAGGCTGGAGTGCAGTGGTGTGATCATGGTTCACTGCAGTCTTGATCTCCCAGGCTCAAGTGATCCTCCCACCTCAGCCTCTCAGAGTAGCTGGGACCACAGGTGTGCACCACCACAACTGCCTCATTTTTTTTTATTTTCTATTTTTGTAGAGATGGAGTCTCCCTATGTTGCCCAAGCTGTTCTCTAACTCCTGGGCTCAAGTAATCTTCCTGTCTCAGCTTCCCAAAATGTGGGATTACAGGTGTGAGCCACCATGCCCAGCCTAAGGAACAGTTATTCCCATTCACAGAACAATTTTGGTTTTCAAATGATTGTTCAGACTCTCAGCAGAGCCACCAGCTGCCATACTGTGGGTAAGCCACACCAGGTAGTGGTTAAGAGGACAGACACAGAGCACCTGGGTTCAGAATCCAGCCACCTGGGGAAGCCAAAGAGACTGAACCAGGAGTTAAGAGGCAAGAGCTAGAAGCCTCACTGTGCCTTGTACTAGCTGTACAGTCTTGAGCAAGTCATTTCCCTACCAGCTGTGGCCTTGGGCAAGCTACTTAGATTACTGGTGCCTTATCGCCGCATCCTGTAAAGAGAGGAGTCATACTGGTACCCACCTAGATATTAAATGAGATAGTTTACACAAAATACTTATGCCAATGCCTAGCCCAGGGTAAGCATTCCATACATTTTAGTTAGTGCTGTTGTTGTTATTTCTGAGGGAAAAACTGAGTCCCGAGAGCTTAAGGAGTCTACCTTAGGTCACACAGCTGTATGCAGAGAGGCTGGGACTGTCTCCGTGACATTTCCTGCATGTGCCTTTCCGGACTCCCAGCAGCCTGGTCTGAGACCACGGAGGGAGCAGGCAACAGCCGACTTGAGAAGCACGGAAGAGATGATGGAATCAGCACCTGCCCATGATGCAGCTTGCCTGGACCAGGCATGCATCTCAGGTGAATTTCTGAGTCAAGCAAGACTGGGCCGGGCTGGTCCGAACTGGGCAAGACATGGGAATGAACCATAGCCACGAGAACCTCAGCATCTCTGGGTCCCCTCTGGCCCTACCCAGAGCTTTCTCTCTGGCCTGGGGAGGGCAAAGTCAGGAGAAGCAGCTGAAGGCTGGGGCTGCTCCCTTGACGTAATGCCTATTTAGCACTTGTTTCCTTTTTTGCATAATAGAAACACGTGAAATGGGAGTTTTGATAATGGCTGCTATCAAGCTGAAGCCTCAGAACCAGCTGAACATTTCAGGGACTCCTGTTCACAGCTTCTTCGAATCCAGACTCTCTCATTAACCAATTTGCAGCTTAAAAGGAATGCGTACAGCATAATATGGTCATTTAAAATTTAAGCAGTCACTTCTTAGCATTTAAAAATGTAATACATATCCTGCCTTTAAAATGTCAGCATAAGATTGCCAACTACAATTTCATGGGAGGGATTCTCCATTTTAGATTATGTTCTCTCTGCTTTCTTTTTTTAGTGTGAAAATGTCCTTTCTTTTCAGAAATAACAGTGACATACATGGTAGCTTAAGGTAGTGTTTGTTTTTTTCCTTCTTCCTCAGTTAGTAAAAAAAATTTGACATTATGTGGATCCCACCATTTAAAAGCCATTTTCCCAAGAATCCCAAAGTCTAAGATGGTGGATCAAATCGAACCTCTTTGCTTTTCTTTTACTTTCTTTTTATTTTTTTGAGACAGGGTCTCTGGTTTTCTGTCACCCAGGCTGAAGTGCAGTAGCACAATCATGGCTCACTGCAACCTCTGCCTCCTGGGCTCAAGCCATCCTCCCACCTCAGCCTCCCAAGTAGCTGGGACTACAGGTGTGCACCACCACACCCAGCTAATTTTTTGTAGAGACAGGGTTTCATCATGTTGCCCAGGCTAGTCTCGAACTTCTGAACTCAAGCAATTCATTTACCCTGGCCTCCCAAAGTGCTGGAATTACAAGTGTGAGCCACCACACCCGGCCCCTTTTTGCTTTTCTGATGGAGAGATGGAGGCCTAGAAAGGGAAGTGACTGCTCATGGACACACAGTGACAGAGCTGGGCTTCCCACACACATCCTCTGACTTCCAGCTCCACCTCCCATACCTCTCCCAGGTGGCCTCTCTACCTTCCTCAGGTGCCTGTTCTGTCCCAGAAGGTTTCTGTTCTCCCAAGAAATAGGCCATTGACAAGAGGGTCCCTGGTTGGGCACCAGAGAGTCATGCTATGAGCTGTTTTGGGGGCCCTCAGGATTGCTTAGCAAATGGAAGGACTTTGTAAGTGGAACTTGGGCTGGCACTTTAGTAACTAAATCCCCTATGTGGGACCCAGATGAAGGCACCCTACTCTACACTCTGCTTGATGGTGAATGACATGATATTGCAGTTCCAGCAAACTGTGATTAATAATGCAATGATAATTAAATTAACAAAATCATTACTGCAATTAATAATAATTGATTATGTGTTTAGAATACCCCACTTGTTGCTATCGACAATTAATCTAGCAGTAGTCATTGCCCTGAAGGCAACCAGAATTGAGGGGCTTGGCGCAAGGAACGTACTCAAACAGCTACTACTTATTCTAGTGTTTCCATGGATCAGGTATCATGCTGTTTCATATAGACCAGTTCTCCACTGAGAACCAGATTCTCAACGGGGGATAACTTCGTCTCTCAGGGACATTTGTTTGGCAAGATTTAGGGGCATTTGTTGTCACACTGGGTGGTGGGGTGCTATGGACACCTAGAGGATAAAGACCACGGATGTTACTAAATATCCTGAAATGCACGGGACAGGCCCCTAAAACAAACAATTAGCCTGCAAAAATGTCAAAGGTGCAGACGTTGAGAAACCCTGACACAGATGGCTGGTTATGTTCTAAAATGAGAGCACCTTCTTCCTAGGGATGCTGTGGGCCTAGAGAGAGGATGTGAGACGCAGTGCCTGCCACACTGCAACGCAGTCCCATTGTCATTATCGTCATGTTCCATGCCATCGTTACCATGCCTGCGGCTTGGAGAGGACATGAACTTGTCCAAGGTCACCCAGCCAGTAGTGGGGGAGCTATGGTTGGAATCTCAGAAGTCTGACTCCAGAATCTTGCACCATGATGTGGGAGGGGCCAGTGCTCTCCACCAGCCTGCTTGGTGCCCCTGCTCAGGGAAGGACCTCCCTGAGGTAGCCTCAGGGTCTATGCCTGTGCTGTGAGGGGCATGGCTCCCTGCTCTGAGCTCCCCCCAAGAGAGCAGGATGGTTAAGAATGGGTTCTGGAGCCCACCCTCCCTAGGCACTTCCCACATGACCTCATCCCTAAAACAGGAGTAACAGCTGCCCCCACGTCAGACTGCTTTCGCAAGTTTAAAAGCAAAGGCGAGCAGTCAGTGAGAGTCGGCGGTGGTTACAGTCTTATCACATCACCACCCTCGTCCTTACTCCGCAGAGCCTAGGCCCTGCTCAGACCCTGTGATTCCATCCCCACTCACTCGGCCTCAAACAGGCCAAGGCTGCTCCTTCACTTCAGCCTCAAACAGGTCAAGGCTGCTCCTACTCAAGTCCTTGGCCTTTGAACTTGCTATTCAGTTTGCCTGGAGTTCCCTATCCCCTTCTGTCTTTTCCTTAAGGCTCTTGCTCAAATATCAACTTTTCAATGAGAACTACCCTAATGCCCTATTTTAAATGGCACACGTGTACGTGCACGCACACACACACACGCACACTCACACCTCCTGCCCCACTTCCCTGCTCTATATGTCTCCATAGCATGTACAACCATTGACATATTACATATTTCATGTATTCACCATGGCTTATCTCCCTCTAGTATAACAGGAGTTTCCTGAGCACAGGAATTTTTTGACTCTTTTGTTAACTGCTGCACTCTCAGGGCTTAGAATGGTGGCTAGTATACAGAAGGTGGTCAATAAAGACTGTTTTTTTTCTGAGATGAAGTCTTGTGCTGTCACCCAGGCTGGAGTGCAGTGGCGCGATCTCAGCTCACAGCAACCTCTGCCTCTCGGGTTCAAGCGATTCTCCTGCCTCAGCCTCCCAAATAGCTGGGACTACAGGTGCATGCCACCATGCCTGGCTAATTTTTGTATTTTTAATAGAGACGGGGTTTCGCCATGTTGGTCAGGCTAGTCTCAAACTCCTGACCTCGTGATCCGCCTGGCTCAGCCTCCCAAAGTGTTGGGATTACAGGTGTGAGCCACTGTGCTAGCCCTCAATAAAGATTAGTTGAATGATTCAATGAATGATTCCAACCTAAATGACATAGACCCAGCAAATCATTGTTTGGGGAAGGCAGATAGGGGCAGGAGAGCCCAAAAGACTAAGGAAGAAGCAGAGATTGACACCCGGGTTTGGTGAAAGGAGAAAGGCTGGGGGCTGGTTTGCATTCCACAAGGCCACCCCTACCTCACTCTGCAGGGCATGGGCTTTCTTGGCCCAGGCCATCTTCAGGTCCTCGGGCAGTGCTGTGAACTTGTGATACTGTGTCCTGTAGTCGTGGTCGCTGGCCAGAGCCTGGGCATTCTTGGCATGGACCAGGTGCACCATGTCCATGGGCAGATGGAACTGGGCTTGGCTGCTGGTCGCCCCCCTCCTGTACTGAAGCTCGCTCTGCAGCTGGCCCATGCGCCGGCAGTGCTGGATCCGGGGGTCGTCTCTTACACTCTGGGGCCCTATGAGTTTCCCTCGCTCCTTCACAAAGTCATGTCTGTAGAGAAACTGCAAGAAAGGGCTGGCCGGTCAAATTCTATCTGTGCGTTTTCATTGCAGACTCTAGAAAAATCACTTGTTCTTACACTAGGAGGTGATGATTATAAGAAAAACCACAGTGGGGCTGGCCTGAGAGTGTGCCTTCCTCCCTGGGGGATGAACAATTAAAACATCGCTCCATTCTTCCTATCTAATTAAAATCAGATCCTCAGAACTAAAGGAAGGGCTTCACTCCCCTTACATGTCCTATGGCCAAAAGGAATTTATCAAAAAGGGTGAAAGAGAAACTTGTGCTTTATCCGTTCGCACTTGGCAAAACATTAAACCCAAAAGACAGGATCCATTTATTTGAAGTCCACATTTTTCTGTGATTTGTTTGTGGGAAAGAGAAAGTCACCTTCATGTCCCAAAGCTATGGACGTTATCAACAGAGTGGCTGAAACACAGCCATCAAATCCTAACACCAATGCGTGAAACTACAGAGAGCCAAGAGGGAGATGTGTTCCGGCTGTATTGCAATTTCTATTGAGAGTTCTCGTTCTAAATCTGGGTGGAGTTAGAAGACAGGCAGTCATGCATTACAAGGGGACCGTCGCCTAGACGTTGCAATTAGAAATAAATCATCATCTCCTTCCTGCTAGAGACCTTTGCCTGAATTTAGCTTCTGATTAATAGAGCCTTTCTTTTCCCCCCTCAAAGAATCTCATTCATAACTAATATATTCTGCAGGTGACATCCTGTCTCACATGGTTATAGATTTGCTTTAATTCAGGAAAATCAGCCGTAGACATTGTTTTACATGAAGTTAACAGAAATTAGGCAAGATGGAAGGTCATATCATTCAACTCACATCACTGGCTATATCTCCAGAGGCCCGGGCAGCCTGGAAGGGGAGCGCTTCTATTGTCAGCTTGTAGCCTTGAGCACGAAGATTACGCCAGGACTCTTTGTATCTTGCCTAAAGTGGGAACACATGTAAATCTTTTTTAAAAAATTACATGAATCAACGAGCAAAGGCCACCCCTTTCATTTATAGCACAGTGTTCCAGAATCAATTTCTGTTTTGTGCAGCAAATCTCATTAGTACACACCCTGGGTACACTCATGGACTCATATTTGTGAGAAGGTGTATTTAACATGAGCATCTAAGCTACACATTTTAAAAAGCTTCTGTGAAGGCCAGAAAGGTCAGTGTTGGGTTACTTCACAGATGTAGACATACATGGCTTTGGAGCATGCTTGAACTTAAGTAACAAAAGGGCTTACGTCACTCAGGTTGGCTGCATTCGTTTTTGCTCGGATGAACTCGGGCAGACCCAGGGTCATTGTATACTCGTGTCTTGCATCCTCTCCAGCTGCTTTATAGAGGCGCTAGGCCAAAAAAATATAATAATAATAATGCAAGAGATAAGTGCTGTGCATTTCTGCAGTGCTGGAAGTCCCTCAACGATAGTTGAGGAAACACAATAGCAAAAAACCGTTCATTGTGTCATGGATACATCTCCAGTCTTGGGGAAGATGTTTATTTCAATAAAGACAATCATTCAGGAGTCAAATCGAGTGATGTAAAAGGAATATGTAAGGAATGGCAATGTGCTTTGCTGAATAATAGGCCAGGGAAAGAAAAATAAATTTAAGAATACTCCTGAGGTTCCTTATATCGTAGACTTTGTCCTTGAGGACAGAGCATAAAGATCATACAAAGACCTGGGAAATTTAGGAGAAGGGAGGTGGAAGGGACATCTCCAAACCCAGGCCTGTACCCTTTACTAAAGCCCCAGGATCCTTTCCACAGGTGAATCACACCAATGCTGCCCTGGATGGCCTCATCTTGTACAAAAACATCCATTCTTATGATTAGAAATGGGTCTATGAGCCAGGCGTGGTGGCTGATGCCTATAATCTCAGCACTTTGAGTGGATGAGGCCAGTGGATCACCAGGTCAGGAGTTCGAGACCAGCCTGGCCAACATGGTGAAACCTCGTCTCTACTAAAAATACAAAACTTAGGGCCAGGCGTGGTGGTTCATGCCTGTAATCCCAGCACTGTAGGAGGCTGAGGTGGATGGATCATCTAAGGTCAGGAGTTCGAGACCAGCCTGACCAAGATGGAGAAACCCCATCTCTACTAAAATACTAAATTAGCCTGACATGGTGGCGGGCGTCTGTAATCCCAGCTACTTGGGAGTCCGAGGCAGGAGAATTGCTTGAACCCAGGAGGCAGAGGTTGCAGTGAGCAAAGATCGCGCCACTGCACTCCAGCCTGGGCGACAGAGCGTGACTCTGTCTCAAACAAACAAACAAACAAACAAAAACAAAACAAAACAAAAAACAAAAAAAAATTAGCCGGGCATGGTGGCAGGCGCCTGTAACCCCAGGTACTCAGGAGGCTGAGACAGGAAAATTGCTTGAACCTGGAAGGCGGAGGTTCCAGTGAGCTGAGATAGCACCACTGCACTCCAGCCTGGGTGAAAGAGCGAAACTCCGTCAAAAAAAAAAAAAAAAAAAAAAAAAAAAAAAAAAAAAGAAAAGAAAGAAAGAAAAGAAAAAGAAAAAAAGAAATGGGTCTATGGTTGCTGAGTTGGCTAACGCCAGAGGCCATCAGAGAAGGCACTGTTATCCCACAGCACAAAGCTCATAAAGTAAGCAGAAAAGATGAAATAGGAATTTAAAAGTGATACTATCACTCTAAAAGATCATGAATTCCATCCTTAAGCCCAAGCTGCAATTTCTTGCTTTTCAGTTGAAGCAAGTAGGAACTAATAGGGTAAATAACCAAATCTCAGCTGACTTCTATAAGTTAGAGTCAGAAGGAGAATCTTAAAACCTAAAGGTGGTTCAAAATGTAATTCTCTGCCAAGCTCACCTATTTTGAACCTGTAAGAGAGCCACTAAGAAGAAGTAGAATCAATGAGGCTGGAATGATAATTTTACAGAATGAGATTCCTTCCCTTGCACCTGCCCTCTGCTGGATACATGAAAGTGTAAATTGGGTAAATGGTGAGTGAGAAGAGGAGAAGGTAGATAATTGAGAAGCCTGACAAACATCTTACAATTTAACTGTCCTTGGATAACCACAAATCCTCCCACATCAGATTGACAATGTAAAATTGGTTAGCCAATATTTGCCTAGATAGAACAAATGAATTACAGACCAGTACTTCTCAGATCTTCATGTGCCAAAGAATCATCTTATGATCCTGTCAAATGACCATTTGGAGTCAGTAGATCTGAGGTTGTGCCTTGCCAGTATGCTCCCAGGCAATGCTAATGTAGCTGGTCTGGGATTGCACTTGGAAAGCAAGACTACAGACAATCCCAGATTCCCAACTGGGCTTTCATTTCCTCTGGAAAATGTTTAGGTTCCATATAATGACATTCTTTTCTTTCCAAACCTCCACATAAACACCCATGCTCTTTCTCACCCCAAACACATTCACGTGTATTTTTAACAATCGAGCAGTTTTTAAAAAGACCATTCCAAAGCCATCAGGAGATTTTACCTCATTCGTTATCTGGTTGCTGAATTTCGCATGAAGGAGGTTGGGAGTGTCTGTCACAGCTGTGTACTTGAATGAGTGGGGATGCTGCCGATATTTACTCTGAATTCACACACAAGAAGGGAAGAAGACGACTCCGTAAGGGATAAAAACCAGAAGCAGAACCAGTTCTTTAAGTATTAGCCATAAAGCCTCGTTTTGCAAAGGCTGCAAGTCTATCACTCCAGAATCCAGATTGTCACCTGCCTTTGTGACCCCAAAACTCACTGGGATGAGGAAGCAGAGAGGAGGATAGGATGGACTGAATCAGAACCTTCTAAATGGAAAAGGGAGATTTAGTCCTTTGCCATGAATGTGAACATGACTATTTAAATTTGTGGTTTGTTCCAGATCTTTGCTGGACAGAGAACCAGTGCTCCTCTACCTTGATGGCATATCACAAACTGCAGCTTTAAAAAAACAGACATGCCAGGCATAGTGGCTCATGCCTGTAATCCCAGCACTTTAGGAGGCCAAGGCGGTGGGATCCCCTAAGGTCAGGAGTTCGAGACCATCCAGGCCAACATGGCGAAACCCTGTCTCTACTAAAAAATACAAAAATTAGCTGAGCATGGTGGTGCACATCTGTAATTCCAGCTACTTGGGAGGCTGAGGCAGGAGAATCGCTTGAACCTGGGAGGCGGAGGTTGCAGTGGGCTGAGATCGCACCATTGCACTCCAGCCTGGGTGATAGAGTGAGACTGTCTCAAATAAATAAATAAATAAACTAAAATAAAAATAAATAAAACTTTAAAATAGGTGTGCCTACACCCCACCCTGAGAGACTGGGATTCAGTAAATTAGTCAGTGGGGCCCAGGCCTCTGCATTTCTTAAGGTTTTTTAAGGTTCTGATGCACCATGAGGTACAGAGACCACTTGCTTTAGAGATTTCTCTGGAAAAGCAAAGCATGAGGTTAAATCTAAACTCCCCTAGCAGGCAAAACATAAGCTTATCTGAGCACTCAGGCTGACTGCTGAACACCTATTACTTCCAGTACCTTCCATTATCCCCTCTTGTCCCTGCATCTACCATGAATTAAAGTCCTGTCACCCTCCCAGGGGTGAGCAAGATTCCCCAGGAAATCAGAAAGCTTAGAATTCTAAGACTTCTTTATTTTTACCAAGAAATTATCACCATTTCAAGCTTATAGTAACCATTTCATATACAGCTGCCAGAAAAGCACAGTGCTTAGATTAGTGCTAATCCTCACAAAAATTAAAAGAGAGGGGTCTGAGTATACCCATTTGACTAATTAAGAAGTGGAGGCTCAGAGAGGTGTAGGTCACTGGCTTGAGGTCACACAGCAAATCAGTGCTGGCCTGGAATGTCAATCTCTCTCTGTTGGTCTTCAAAGGCTGCTTTGTTTGCATTGTACCACAGGGCCACTCTTCAAAGGGACACAGAGAGAATATCGCATGGGCCAGTGAATAATCCTTATATGTTAATAGAGGAACTGACTCCATATCCTCAAAGCTGTCTTAAATGGCATGCAGTCTGAATGGAGAATCCAGTAAGAAAAAAAAAAAAAAAAGTCCAGCCCAGGGGGTTACGGAGTGAGTCACTGCTGCTAAGAGTTTAACATCCAACTGGCTTTAGTGGTAAGAAACAAACTGATTGGCTGGGCGCAGTGGCTCACGCCTGTAATCCCAAAACTTTGGGAGGCCACAACAGGTGGATCACTTGAGGTCAGGAGTTCGAGACCAGCCTGGCCAACATGGTGAAACCCCATCTCTACTAAAAATATAAAAATTAGCCAGGCATGGTGGCACTCACCTGTAATCTCAGCTACCTAGGAGGCTGAGGCAGGAGAATCGCTTGAACCCAGGAGACGGAGGTTGCAGTGAGCAGAGATCGTGCCACTCTACTCCAGCCTGGGTGACAGAGCGAGACTCCATCTCAAATTAAAAAAAAAAAAAAAAAAAGGAAGAAAGAAAAAGGAAAGAAACAAACTGATTATCCTCTGCTGTGGAAATGTCCTGGACACTCAACACCAGCATCTGTAGTTACCTCACTGATGAGTTCCGATGCTTTCTTCCTCCCTTCAATCTCTAACGTGCCTGGAATGACACATGCAACACCTCGCATAAAGTTCAGGTCTGACCGGTACAAATTCTAGAAGAAATAATAAATACAAAGAATCAGAAAAGCCAAGCTCTCAGAACAGGGAAGCAAAGCAAAACCAGAGGTCTCATGACACAGCATCTGACAGCGTCATAATTAGAACTCAAGGCTGAACCCGTCCCTCCGGATATATTAAACTCAGCCAACGCACAAACACTTCTTGGTAAATGCTCACTAGGGGGGAAGCAATGTAGGTCAGAAGAAAATAATTCTGCTGTCACTTGTCTCAGAGTAGCTGTTCCACAGAAGCGAGACAGATTTTTATTTTAATGTGGGCTATCAAAAAATAAACACTGAAGCGGATTGTGGTTAGAAAGTCAGTTGTCTTGGGGCAAATGTGGAAATGGTCTAACAGGTCTTCTAAAACAAAACTCAGCAGCAGCGGGTGGCATTAATTAATCATGGGTTAAGAAAGAACTAATAAATAAATCCAAAAGAATCTGGCAAAGGCCTGCCTGAGTTCGTGTGGGTGGGGGCCAGTCTGTGTACCTGAATGATTCGGGCTGACAGTTTAAAGAGTTCCCACATTCACTCCCCTTCAGCCAGTGAGGCGCCCCCTGGGCGTCCTGCCTTCCAATCGCTATCACAACCAGAGGCAGGGCAAGTGAGGGCTCCGCTCAAGTGACAAACGGGCCCCCGAGATGAGCGTGGCAGCTCCCTCGTTCCTACAGCTGCTCTCAGGTTCCTGACAGTTTATGTCATTCAGTAAACGCTGTACACAGGCGTAAAATCCAAACAGACGACAGACACCCAGATCTGAGTGCCGCTCAGATCGCAGGCACTGCCAAACCAGGAAAGAGGTTTTGTGCGGAGTTTTCTTTTCCTAAGCGGGCCCATTACCTGCAAATCTCATAGCATGGAAACCTAGCAAGCTGGGAAATAAGGTGAGTAGTGAACAGGATGTGGATGCCTGTTGGGAAGAACACTCTGGCTCTCCTTGGGAGTGAGGAAGTCTCCAATGCTTCCTGACCCTCCTGGGCCTGTCTGCTTCAGAAATCGGGATCACGAGTGAGAAATGCATGTCAGAGGAGTACAAAGACTCCTCAAAGGGACCCAAGGAGGGTCTCCAGGGCCCTGATTTCCCTCTCCACTCCCTGAAGTGCGTCAGTCCTGACAGGTTCTGAGCAGCCTCTCCCAACAGATCTTAGCCCTCCTCAGAAGGCGGGTGGCACAGGAACGCATGAAGCACCAAGAGGAATCCTTCCTGAGACTTGAGGCCAGAGGCAATATCATTGGCAAATCTTAAACATGCACAACCATGAACCTTGAGGGCATCTTTGTCATTCAAACCTCAAGTTCAAATCCCAGCCCTCTCTTTCTAACTATAGCTGTGTGATCTTGGACAAGATATTTAACTTCTCTGCATTTCACTGTAATTTCTCTGTAAAATGAGAATAAACTAATGATATGGGCTGATTGTGAGATAATGCATAAAACAATGCTTAGAGTGCAGCAAAAAATAATAAATTGTGGTTATGATTAGATTTGTGTAACTGTGCTTAAGGGATGTGCAGGAACTCTCAGACTGGGTTTCAAAATAAGACTTGGGTTTAGGATTTCTCACTTCCAGAGATTTCACTGAGCCAACAGGAGCCTGGAGGTCACCACCCTGAGGTCCTAAGAGAAGAAGGGGCCCTGAGAAAGAGGCCAGGTCTCCTTACCTCACTCTGCAATTTGTGAGCTTTCTTGGCACAGCTCAGCCTCAGGTCTTCTGCCAAGGAAGTGTACTGGGGCAGTGGATGTTTGTAGTCCTGATTGCTGGCCAGGGTCTGAGCCTTCTTGGCATGCACCAGGGCGGCCATGTCCAACGGCAGATGGAACTGCGCCTTTGAGTGTTCAAAGCCTTTCTTGTAATTCACCTAGAGGGGCAGACAGAGCAACAGCAGCTATTTCAAAGCCACTATTTGCAACAGGACCATCAGGGAGGGCAACTGCAATGCAGTTGTCTGGAGGTAAGCCCAGGGGAAGTTCTTGGCAGGGCCAGTGCTCCTTTCTTGCAGAGACTGGCCTAATAACCAGGGCTTGTCTCTAGGCCCTGACACTTACCACCCCCAGCTCCTGGAGGTCATTGATCTGGATGAAGAAGGCCCATGGTTCCCTCATTTGAGGAACATACAAAAGTCCAAGGAACAGTAAATAATGTCAGTGATTCCCTTGCTCAAATCTTTAGATCTTTCTATTTTTCAGAGGCAAGAAGATGCATCGCTCCCTGCCCACCATATTTTTTCCCATCGCCCACTCAAGTTCAGACACGAGGGATTCTCCTCTCACACTAGCTTAGGAAGAGTTTCTTCAAAGCATTCAATGATTTTCCTAGCCAACGTGGGAGCCAGGAGCAGTGGGGAGGATGCTTGGAGAGTCAAGCCTCAGGGATAGGCATTCCCCAAAACCCAAAACACACCCTGGGAGAGGGAGGGGAAGACCCATTCCAGACCATAGATTCGACTATAGTCCTTGGAGGAGCTGTGTTTAAAGGTCTGGGAAACTCTGGGAATAATCAGATGCAGAATCACCACCTCTTCCTCATCCTCCTTTGTCCTTCCATTGTCTTTCATTGCTCTGGCCACCCCTCCCTGACCTCCTATCCCCACTTCCATTCATTCTGTCCTCACCCTAGCATAATGCCAAGGACAGTTCATATCCAACCTCATATTCTTAGGTCAGCAACTCAAGATGGAAAGGAAAAAAAAAAAGTTATGAATGGGGAAACTGGGGCAGAATACAAAATGGCAGAGAACACGTGAAGCTGTGGAAAGACCATGAGAGGTAGAGCTGGCTCCACGGCCTGGCTCTGCCCCTATGTAGCTGACCTTGGACAAGAGACTGAATCACTCAGAGTTTCTACTTCCCTATGAGAAAATAAGGAAGAATAACAAGATGGAGTTCCTAGAGATAGTCTGACAGTTAACTGAGACACTGTATATAAAAGCGTTTAGCCTCTGTAACATGCTGGATACAGATTTCATCACCAATGTTAGCCAACTCACATATGTGCAAGGAGACAGCACCTACACACATTTGCCAGCCTCCAGAGGGTCACAACCAACAATGACAGGGTCATTGCAAACTCAGACGCCTACAGGGGCCAGGCAGGTAGCATAAAGAAGTAAAGCAGGAAGTGAAGAGGAGGGTGGCTGCCTGGCCCACTGCATGGATCCCTTCTAAATGGAGCTGTTGGTCAGGAAGCCACTACAACCAACTGTAGCCTTAAGGAATCCAGGTCCAGCTTCTGGCCAGAAGCTTAACACTTTTATATAAAATTTTCCATTTTTAAAAATTTGCAATTAATCCACTCTGCAGACGAAATGAAAGACCCCTGGAGGCCAAATCCAGCCCAGGGTCAAATCCAGACCAGTGGCCCATGTCCACTGGTGAAAATTATAGAATGCCCAGCCCAGAAGGGAACTAAGGGGTCAACCAGTCCGGCACCTCATTTTTACAGAGGAGGAAGGTGTAGCCCAGAGGGGACAAGTGATTTAACAATGTCACGTAGCAAGTTAGCAACAGAACCAATACCCATGTCCAGAAGGACAAATGAGGTTAGGTTGCCATGCAGTGAGCGTTGTCAGGTGGGGGCCCTGCAGCCGCTGATGCCTCTCCCCCCACTTACATCACTCTGCAGTGAGGTCGCATACACTGAATGTGCAAGGCTGATATCATCTTCCAAGCTCCGGGAACCAAGCATCTGTCCTTTCATTTTCTCAAATGCCTCTTTGTATTTGTACTAAAGGGAAAGAGAGCGGGAGAGAGGAACAGCTCAGGGATAAGGGACACAGAATGGAAGAGGTGGGCATTGGGTGAAAATGTTTTGTTCTTTTGACAGTAGCTGGGTGAGTTAAAAGAAAATGCGCGGGAGTCGTCAAAAGGGCTATTCTTTCATATGCAAGACTCCCAATGACTAAAGGGCTCGGCTGTGAAATGGCAGGATGCATTAGCACGTGGGCGGCCCCGCACTGGAGGAAGGTGGGTGCATTGTTAGCCATCTCTTCACATGGACTCTCTTTATGAACACCTCGGTGGAGGGTGCATTTCATCTGCCCAGGGTCTATGTTTACAGTCCAGCATTTGGCTTTGTATCCCAGGCTGGGGAATTTTTTGTTGCAAGATATGTTCTTTCTCACTGGTCATTATCTGATTGCCCTGACACAGTCAGTTCGGAGAGGACAGGGAATTATCCACAGGCAAAAGAAGGCAGGAGTTACGGGCAAAAGGAGTGAAAACGGGTTAGTGTTGAACATTGTCACAAGAATGGGGGTGAATGCTCACATCACTTATGATTTCACCAGAAGCCTTTGCTGCTTGGAATGGAAGGGCATCCAACCTCAGTTTATAGCCACCATCTCGAAGTTTGCTCCAGGATTCCTTATAACGCGTCTGTCGGGAAGATGTGCACAAGGAAAGACCTTTAAGTGACCTGGTGGTTTCCTAAACTCTGGCTTACCAAATTGGCAATCTGGTTTGTGGTGGGTCCCCTCCCTCCCCTGGCCAGTTGGAGTTAGAGATCATGGTGGCTTAGCTAAACCCACGTGAGTTGGATCCTGCCTCGTGCCCACCTCTTTGGAGGTAGGCAGGGGATGGGGTTGGGGGGGATGGGTTGAGGCATAGAGGGGAGAGGAAGCAAAGGCTTTAGAGTCAAACAGACACAGTTTTTCTAAGCAGCAATTTGATTGGAAGAAGGCATGAGATTGCATATGCATAGTGCTTTATGTCAGATAGAGAAAAGTCAGATGTATCTACCAAAGAACAGAAATGGTGGGCAGGGGAGCTGACAGATTTTGGAGAGGAGGAGTTAAGCCCCAAGTCTTCCCTTGGTATAGCCACTGGATATACTCAGCTATATTCTGATGTTCCCACTTTCCAGCTCCTCCAAACCAATGCTCTTTGAACTAGGCAGAGAATGTCCCCAGATCATTCTTTCAAATGAGCTGGACTCTTCTGCAGGACCAGCTACATAATGTGCAGGGCCTAGTGCAGATGAAAATGTGGGGCCCCTTGTTCAAAAATATCACATATTTCAAGGTGGTGATGGCAGAACATGAAACCAGCTCAGGGGCTTCTGAGCACAGGGCATTGTGTGCCTGCCCATGACCAGCCCCGCTCTCCCGTCATTAAAACTCGTGCCCCTTGGGTCAGCCTCACCTCACTGATATTCATGGCATTCAGCTTGGCCAGCAGGACTTCAGGGAGGTCAGCAGTCGGTGTGTAATGATGCTTTATGTTTTCTCCTTGTTCCCTGTATAATCTCTGTGGATGGAAGGAGGTTTTGCATGAAACCTAGACCCCATTCCATGCAGCCATCAGCCAGGTTACGCTTCAAGAGTCCAAGCTGCTGCAGCTGCCACCTCCTCATAGAGACATGATTTCGGGCACCCTGCCTCCACCCAGATTTTACAGCTAGCACGGTGACACGCATGTCATTTCCAAGCTCTGCTTCCTAGCTCAGAACATGACAAGCTGAAGCATTCCCCTCAGTGAACGCCCCACTCATAGTAAACTGCTGAGATGGGTGTCAAATGAGAAAACGAGGTTTACTTAACACCTAGTAATAATTTGGTGATTAACTATCAGCTATGAGATGGCATCAAGATACAGAAGGCGAGAAAGAAGATGGCTCTTGTACAGGTGAGGTTTTCTCCTCCCTATCTCAATCCTCCTCCGTTCCCCCGTCTCAAATATTCTTCCCCTAAGACATGTCTCCTGGGTGGATCTGGGACTCTATTTACCCAGAACTCTGACCCAAGCTTCGGATACCCTGATAGTTAATAATGACACATGCAGTTGGCATCAGCCACCAGAGAAAGTTTCCAAACAGGGTTTTTCCATCCCAAATCTTATCAGATGTATCCAAGTTTCTACGTATCACAGCAGTGCCCCCTAGAGTTGGCTAGGATAAGGAAGAAACAGGTATTGTTTTTCTTCATACAAAAGTTCTTGTTTGACCATCTGTGTTTCTCAGAATTCAGTTTGATTCTGATGGGCTGATTATGAAGAAGTTATAAATTCCTAAATCCATAAGCTTGTAAATCATCCCATCCCAGATTCTGACAGGCACTCAGGCTGTTTCAGAATGCCTGTCAAATAAAGCGCAACCAGAATCATTTGCTCAATTGGGAAACAAGGAAGAGAATTTTGAAAGCTATGCCCCCAAGGTTTGTAAATTTTCCCCATGGAAAGTTGAATGGTTTGAAGGTATTTAAAAGCCAGGTTTGCCCTGCACAAAGATCCATGGGTATCTCTTAGCAGAATCAGCCAAACAGGGTTAATCTACATCACAAAGTGTTTTTTTTCAGCACCTCATCGTTCACTTTAGTCTCCAGCCGACCCTGCAACCCTGCACCCCAGCCAACCTTTCCCACAGAGGGAAAAGGGTCAAATCTTGGTTTTGCATCATAAAGGAGTATGGGAAATGGCTTGAAAGTTAGTCTGATGTATATAAATCAGACCCAAATCATGTTCAAAGTCTCTGGGAAATTCATAGAGCAACAATTGCTGCCCTTGGGTCCTAAAGAGCTCTAAGCACAGCGTCAGGATTCCAATTACCAAGAATTTCACCCAGTTCTGAAAACAACACTTTCAGGCAAAAGGAGAGGAGAAAACAGCCTCACCACGAATGAATCGGTGAGACATGCAAATGGGAAGGAGGGAGAGCATCTTGGGGCAGTGGGGTGGTGGAGCCCCACTTGGCATTCTAAGTGCAGTAACACCCCCATTTGCATCCTAATGAGGAAGCACCCCCCGCTAAGGGAGCCTCTGCAAAGGACAGGGAGCGCCTTCATCCTTAGGACAACAGAAGGAGCAAACCCAAGAACCCCTCCGCTTCAATCGCAGTGTTGAAAGAAGAGCCCACTCTTAGAGTCATAATGTATATACATTATCACTTACATCCACTGCTTGGGTATAACTAATTCTGGCCTGGACCATCTCCGGAGTGTCTTTAATACTGGTAAACTTCAAAGCATCTGGATGCTGACGGTACTTCTTCTGTTGAGCAGAAAAAGATCAAAGCTGTGAATTTTGTGCTGCTCTTTCATGCCATTTGAAAGAGAAAATCATAGGTTGCTTGAGATTAGAGTGAATTTGTGAACACAATTATTATTCTGCTTCCTCCATCTTTATATCCTAGGTGCCTTCAGGTTAATATTTGTTTCAATTTAAGAATAACCTCATGTCAATTAACATTAAAGTATTTCTACCTGGTGCAAAGAAAACATCTCAAAATTAGGTTATACTAGTAAAATACTGTAGGATACACACTTAGAAAAGGATTCTTTTTATAGGCTTCAAATACTTTGTCGCAGTTGTTTACATATCTTAGTTTGGGTCTTCTAAGCAAGAAAGAGCATTCAGAGTTACATTTATCCATTTAAGCTTTCTATTTTCCTTCCACAAAAAAACACTGACAGACATTATTGCAGTCAAAACCCTCACATTCAGCAGCCCGCGAGCGTATGCCGTCCAGTCACATTAGAGCCTAGTTCAGTTAACACAGGAAATAATTCTTTAAAATATTACAATAACAGGAAAAAGGGTGCTATTATTCAAAGGAGTCATCACACAGTTTGAAAGACACTGAAGCAAAAAAAAAAAAAAATCACAAAAATGCTGGCAAAGACCTAGATACCCAATTTTGAAGTATTCTGAAAATCTGTTTAAATTAATTTCTTTTTTAAAAATCAAGGTACATTTTTAGGAGACAGAAACCATAATTACTTCAATGAGATCATAGAGTTTATGCTTTCCAAAGCAGAATAATTGTCTTAAACACACTCTTCTTTATCTGGTTGGATTTTTGTACACTGGGTTGTCTTAAGACAACACAAATCAATAGCCAGCTAAATCTAGCTCACCACCTGTTTCTGTAAATAAAGTTTTATTGGAACATGGCCATGCTCATTCACTTACGTGCTGCCTATGGCCATTTTCCAGCTAGTTGTGACAGAGGCAATATGACCTACAAAGCCAAAACTATTTACTATCTGGTCCTTCACAGAAAAGGCTTTCTGACCTCTGCTTTGGATCGTAGGTGTGCGTGTGCATTTGTGGCTCTTTCAACAGTGCCGGGCATTCTCTCTGGAATTAAGAAGGTGGCCCAGGCCGAGTGCAGTGGCTCACGCCTGTAGCCCAGCACTTTGGGAGGCTGAGGAGGGCGAATCACCTGAAATCAGGAGTTTGAGACCAGCCTGGGCAACATGGTGAAACCCCGTCTCTACTAAAAATACAAGAATTAGCTGGGTGTGGTGGTGGGTGCCTGTCATCTCAGCTACTCAAGAGGCTGAGGTAGGAGAATCGCTTGAACCCAGGAGGCGGAGGTTGCAGTAAGCCAAGATCACTCCACTGCACTCCAGCCTGGTTAACAGAACAAGACTCCATCTCAAAAATAAATAAGTAAAATAAAAGAAGGTGGCCCAATTCGACAGTAACTTGTAAATGTGACAGCCTAAAATGAGATGGGGGGGAAAGTTGCTGAAAGATGCCTTGCCTTACTTACTAAACTTTGAGGACTAGTATGAGACAAGCCCATCAAAGAGGATAAGCAAATTTGTTGAGAAAGTATGCAAAATGAGGTGGCTAACTAACAACTGTGGGATACATGGTCCCCTGAAGATCCCTTGGCTGCCAGATTAAGACACACGAAGGAAATCACCCTGAAGTCTAAATTATGCAAATATGGTCTTTAGTCTTCATTTCCTTTTATGAGTGAGCCCAATATTGAGAGTTTGGGATCATGAATCCTCAAACCTAAATGTTTATTCCTGTGAGTTCTTCACATTTATCCTCCCAGAGGGCCTCTCCTGAACTAGAATGAACAAATTATAGCAGTGCTATCCCCATGGAGTTCCCAGGGTCTTCTGAGCCTTGAGTGTTGACCAAGGTCCCTAAAAATCAGGCTGATCAGCATAAGGCCACTTTTTGAAGTCAACTCTGCATTGTGCCAGGTAGTGAGAATGCCGTTCCATGGGAAAATACTAATGCTGGACAGGTGTGTTTGAAAAACCAACAAGGGTGTCTTTCTATTTTAACTATAGGTTCAGAAAGAAAGACTCCTCAAAAAAAAAAAAAAAATCCAGGAGGCTCATTGCCAAAGCTAACAACCTGTGGGACTATGGCCATTATGGTCCCCTCCCCACCCAGAAAAGTCCAGAAAGACCAGGCCTACTCTGAAGACAACTAGGCAAATGGTCACTTGTCTTCTGATCAAGTCTCCCTGCAAGCAAACATAAAGAGCACGGGTGTGAGTGGTCTGATGGTGTCCAGCCTCCTGGGAGCCTTGTCCTGTGCCTCTCCACCAGGGACAATTCTGCTTCCTGGGGGGCTTTCGGCAATGTCTCGATCCATTTTTGGTTGTCACAGAGGGCACTACTGACATCCTTGTAGGACGTCCTGCTAAACATCCTGCGGGGCACAGGATAACCCCACGACAAAGAAAAATCAAAACGTCAGTAGTGCCGAAGTTGAAAAACTCAGAAAGAGCTGCTCATTGACACTGTCCTGAAATACGAAGAAACGACTCTTTTCGCAAGCAGTGGTGCTGTAGGGTCCAGCCAAGGTGGCTATAAGTAGGCAGAACTGAGTAAACTGAAGTGAGACTCTCCCTCAAAAAAGAACCATGTCACATGGTGGCCACCACGTGAATATTCAAAAACTGTTGACTCTGTAGCAGAAAGGGAGAGGAAGAAAATGTGCCTAAAGTCACCAAAGAGCTTTTTGGGTGCCATAAATGTATCTTTTCATCATCTCTCCTGTGTTGCTTCATTAAAAAGGTAAGTTGGTGGGTAGCAATTGAGCTCTGTTTGATTGTCATTATTATTCATAATATCATTTGTCACCCACTTTGTTTTTGCCAGGGCCCCTACTGGTGTGTGTTTCGTACGTGGTTTCCCTCTAATTACCAGCCCTAGTCTGGGTTTTGAGGCCTTTCATGTGGCTTTGCCTTTTTCTTTGCCTTTTGAGTGGAAATTATTTTAATTTTATACAGAGACGCCGCACGCCTAATGCAGCCAGGCCTGTTACAGGCTGTCAGGAAATCTCACCTCGCTAATGAGTTCTCCTGCCTTCTTCGCCTGCTCCACATTTAATGACCCGGTGGCGACCCAGCCCATGCCTTTCATCCACTTCACATCTGCCCTGTATTGGTTCTGACAAAGGAGAAAGAAAAAAAAAAAAAGCAGGCCATTGTTGGTGCACAGACATTTAAAGGGCTATTAGCGGCTCCCAACACAGCCTTGGTGCCAGCTGAGTCAAATTAGATGCCACTTTTGTCTTATGCATTTCTGCAAAGTCACAGGTAGGGCTCCCAAAAGTCAATTAATTCCCCCTTTAATTGGAGCCATCCCTTGGGACAGTGGCTTTAGGCCCCATCCAACACTATTGGGGGTGACGCAGGAGGGGCCAAACCAAGCTTGCCCCTCATTACGGACGAGTCTACTCGGAAAGAAGCACGTCCTCATTGTCTGCATTACCAGTTTTCTTGTTTAAAATGACACACGGGGGACAAGAAAATGAGAATTCACAACAGAACCCAGGCGGGCGCTATTTGAGGGAATTTCACAAGGCAGCGGAGGCTTCCCACAGTGCTGATTCCTTCCTAGCCACCTCAGTGGGGGGGCAGGGTGTATTTCTTCTCATTTCTTTAGTTGCCATTGAATGAGTAGTTTTAATGGAAAGTCATTTAAATGGACACTTCTCTAAAACTAGTATATCACCATCTATCATGAAACAGCTCTACCAGGAAGGGTGTGTCTACACACACACACACACACACACACACAACCTTCCTGTGTGACAGTCTGGCTGCAGCTGACCTGCCTTTTCAGTTCACCCCCATTCTTGTGCAAGAGTTACCTGAAGACAGAAAGTAGAACTGGGAGGGGAGGATAAGGAGGACAGGGAAAGGGTTATTGAAAATTAGCAACCCACCCATTCCAAAAATGGGGACTATCAAAGTCGGGGTGAGTTATCAGCGATGCTCTCCCCTAGCAGGCCACCACTAGGAATGACACAAAGATACCTCCCCCCTGGCAATAAAAAGAAACCTGGAAAACATATGTAGTCCAGAATTCCAAGAAGGAAAAAGTAACTCTATGATTTCTTCTGTGTGTTAGTACAGAACCTAAAATCGGTCTAGTTTGAATAAAAGTTAAACCACTAGCAAAGTAAAGTGTTGCCACTTAGGGATCCAGAAACAGGTGTCCCATAGCATAAATTGTTGCACTGAATGGCTTAGGGAAACACTTGCACTAGCACACACACAACACACACATACACACACAAGTGCACACACTCACACAGAGCTTACATCACTCTGTAAGCCATAAGCCTTCTTGGCCCATTCCACCTTCATGTCTGTGGGCAAAGCCGTAAAGTGATGTTCCGCTGTCTTGTAGCCTACGTCTGTGGCTAAATGCTGAGCTTTGCGGGCATGCACGAGGTGGACCATGTCCAGGGAGACGTGGCATTGGGATTTGGTGTCCTCGAATCCCTTCTTGTACTCCAGCTCACTCTGCAGCTTGGACATTTGCAGTGAGTGGCTCATTTGCGAATCTCCCTGTACATCTTTTGCCCCAATGAGCTTCCCTCTGGATCTCTCATAATCCTCCTTGTACTTCACCTAAATAAGAGGAATAGAGCAGGGATACATTAGAACCTCCTAAAGGAATTGTTAGGCTTCAGACTCCATGCATGGGAGCTGAAACAAAGCCATTGGACAGAATCCTATTAGAATTAGAATCATATGAAAGTTTGCCTTTTTGAGCATCCGATACATTTTCTTTCATCAGTGAAAGAAAATAGTATTACCTATTATTTCCCTTTTCACCTCAGCTGCCAGAAAACTCAGGGTTATAAATAAAAGTAGCCGTGAAATGAGAAGCATACAGAATAGCCAAAGTACAATTGCTGCTCATGAAAGGAACTGAAATTAAAAGATAACTGGAGTACATACATATTTGGGGGAGTATGAGGGGCAAAAAGGAGCACATTGTTTGAAAAATAACACTAGGTCGAGAGTAACAAGGACCAGAAGCAAGAATAAATATGAAAAAGCTGTGAAAACTGTCAGAAGGCACCAGTGTGGGGCATGATTTTCAACATTATCATTGCTCTGGCCAGTGGTAGATTCCGGTTCTACTCTCAGCTCTGACAACAACAACAGTATCAATATCTGCCACCACTTATCGAACACTTGGTATAAACCAAGCACAGGACAAGCCTGTGTAACTCAAGTGCATCCACAGACCAGTGCCGATTTGTAAAATGTTACCAACTAAGAACAAGATAAAGAGCTTATGTCAGAATGTAAACCAACCACATCACCAAGCCAGTTGTTTTTGGTTCACCTGATCTTTTTTTGAAGCAAGACTTTCTCGATAAAGGAAGCAGAGTTTGACATACATCCTTGCTCAAGCTTCTTCTCTCACATCCAACTCCTAACAGATTGCATTAGGCTGTACAACACTTCATGTACGTCAGTTCATTCCATTTCGTTGTCATTATTTTGCAATTACCAATTTACCAGCAAGTTAACTGAGATTTTTAAAGTTTAAACAATCTGCCTGAAGTAACAATGCTAATGGATGATAGAGGTGGGATTTTATACAAGGTCTATCTAACACCAGAGCCTGTATTAACCATTAACAGACCACAACGTCTTTAGAAAGTCATGGAATGTCTCTGGGCATCAATTTATCTGTAAAGCGAGAAATTTGGATTCTTACTCTTGCTACTACTACAAATAATAAGTCATCACTTACTGAAAATCAGTGTGTGGCAAGCAGTTATTAAATAGATAGGCACAGATGTGATTATCTCATTGCAAGGTGATTGCTATCATCTCCATTTTACAGATAAGAATCCTGAGATTCAGAGAGATTAAGAACCTGCCCAGACACTCAGAGAATCTCCCCGGTATAAAAAGGCAGGATTCTGCGGTCTCTTGTACAAGGTGGGGACAGACTCACCTCGCTAGCCAGGTCCCTCTTGGCTTTGGCTGCCAGGAAGGTCAAGGAATCAAGACGCAGCTCAAACCCTTTTGCTTTCTGGTTTTCCCAGCTGCTCTTATACAGTTTCTAAGGGGATTTAGGAGAGAAGGTGAGTGGGTTTTCATGTGAGAGGGTTCTCACGTGAGAGCATTTCTCTAGATTCTAATGACGATTCTAGGAAAGCAATACTGATTATTACGTCCTTCTCTGAGAGCCACAGAAATCATGTAGTCTGAATACAGCCAGGCCTTCTTCCTGCCTTAAGGCCTTTTAACACATAGGGCTTCAATCAAAAAAAGCAGAAATTAAACTCCAGAAGCCTTAACAAATACTAGGAGTTTTCGTGGAAGTCTCAAAAACATGCCAAAGGCAGGATAACATCGCACAACACAGCGACATTTCTGAAAAGTCTATTCTCCATCTCTGTCCACGCACCCCACCCTGCCAGCAGCGGCTCCAGCTGCACCTCTTTCTCTTTCCTCCCGCCTTCCCCCAGCCTCTCTAGTCCACCTGGGTCTTTTCCTTGCGCCTCCTGTTCTCTCTCCTGCTCCTATCTCCAAATGTCGAGATCTTTCTTCTGGAAGCCTCCTTTCCCTTTCTGCATGTGAATCAATTTAACCTCTGTTTCTCCTCCCAATTCTCCTCCCCATCTATTTCTCAGATGAGGAACCCAAAGACCTGGGAGCTAAGCAGGGAGAGCCAAGAAAACACTTTCCCCAGAAGATACAGAGAAGGGGAAGTTGGAACTATGGATGCTTTCATGACTAACAGCTACCACTGTGCACTTGCCTCTGAGTGCTTGATGTATAGAGACTCACTGAAACCTCATGACAACCCAGTAAGGACGGGACTAATATTGGTATCATTTTACCAATGGGACACCTGGAAACAAAGAATTTGCCCAAGGTCACACACCTAGTAAGTGGCAACCGAGGATCAAACCCAGACCATTTGGAGCAAATGTCTGAGCTCTTACTCCCCTCTAACACGATTATGCTGTTTCAACTCTGGCACCTAGAATAACCCCTACCTCCAACCCCAGGATACAATCAGCAGCTCAAGTCCTCCACTAGCTCATTCCTATGAAAGCTGTCCTCCTCTCCCCCTAAAACACTGATCAGGAGCCAGATCTGCTGGGTGAGCTGTTTTTACAACAACCAGATGTATGTAACCTCAGTTGATACAGACACTATGCCATGGCTGGTGGGCTTGGTTTACCAGGTGGCTATACACAAAGGGGAGCAGAGTTCTTGCTGCCCACTCATTCTCTCTGTACCTCGCTGAGATTTGCAGCATTGGCTCGGGCCTGCAGGAAGAGAGGCTCGTCTTTGCTGATGGTATACTGATGGACAGACTGCTCATTTCCTGCCTTGTAGGCCACCTGTTGGGAAAGAGCACTGAGTCAGGAGCAGGTGGCAAGGGCGAGGTGGGCAGGGTGGCATCCCTCATGGTGTCTCTGTCTGGTTGGCACTTCTCTGACTTGCACAGAAAGTCCATTACAAAACCCACCAGATCAGACTCTGAGTGGCAGGATACAGTCAAGGAGATGATGAGAGAAGGAGAAGCAGTGGGGAGGAGCTGGGAGAAAAATGCAGCAGGGAGCCAACCTGAAAACCCCTCCAAGATTTCTCTTTTCACACCTTTCCTTTGGGATGGTATCAACCTCTGCAAGCTGTTGCTATTTACACTGTCTGTGGCCAAAAAAATACCCCACCAGGGGGTTCAGATTAGTACAGACTCCCCAGGTGGGAAAAATAAGAAGCATGCTCTGCCTCCTGCCCCTCCATAATCAACCTTAATCCATTCATGGGTACTGACACCAGGAAGTGAGCATGCGTGGACATCTCCTCCATGGCAAACTTATCACTCTTCTCTTTCTCTCTTTGCTTCCTCTCCACCCCCAACTTGAGTTTCCTGACAGTGGCTTTCTGCTGACTCTGAGTTATGTTGATAGTATCCTTTCTGGCAGGTATATCTTACCTGGACCTTTAGGAAGGAAAGCTAGGAAAGTCCTGGACAGATTGCAGCAACTATGGTCCTCCTTGGTGTAGAGAACTAATCTGTAAATAATGTGTGTGGTGCTTCTTTGTTCTGGCCCCATAAATACGCTTATGTGGGTGTGACCTGCACACACCCCAAACGCAAATGTTTTCTTCCCCCAAGATAATTCTCTCCTGGCTCCAGAATTAGAGTCTTTGATGAGAGATAGGAGTCAGAAGAAAAAAGGAACTAGAGAATATGGAAGCTGAAAAGGAATAAAGTCAGCCCTGCATCTATCCCTAATAAAATCGGGGGAGATGGTGGTGGATGAAGCAAGGGGCCTGGTGTCCAGTTCCAGAAACAGCCTGGAAGCCTGGGGAAAGCTGGGTCCAGCCTATTTAGAGGGAAGGCTCTTTGGTTTCTGGATTGTGCCTGGGCGGCACCTGCTGTTGTCCCTGGAGGTCCCCCAGGCCCATGACACAGCAGCTTGGTGGAGAAAGGGCAGCCCAGGACTCACCCCGCTCTGTAGCTCCTGGCTCTTCTTGGCGTGCTCCATCTGGGAGCTGTCGGTCACGCTGGTGAACTTCAGCTCATCGACCCTCTGCCGGTAGTTTTTCTGTTTCCAAAGGAAAGGGACCCCACAGCATTAGGATTGGGTTGCCCCTACCACCCTACTCATGTGCCCCCACACACACACACATTCTTTCTGTGGTCCAAGCATTTCCTTGGGAGGAATGTTCTAGTTGTTCCTGCAGCTTGAACAGAACCACACAGCCCTGAGACAGCCTGTTCCAGTGAACTTGATTTAGTTGCTATTACTGAATGGGAAATGTAATTTTCTTCCTCAGTAACCCTGTATTTCACCGTGTGCCCTGGGGAGGTATACATTTTATAAATATAGACCTGACATAGGAAGGTGAGGTGGAGGAAACTTGGACTTTACAATGATGAAGACTGAGGTTCAAATCTTGCCTGTACATCCTTCCAGCTTCATTACCTCCGGCACATCACTCAATCCAACCTGAGCCACCCTTGCTTGGAGTGTACAATGGGGACAACAGTAGAAGCTACTTCAGTCTAGTGGGGAGCAGAGGCTTCATCACCATGTTTTACCTGTGAGTCAGGTCCCTGGGACAGTGTTAGGACATAGCCATTGTCATGGTGTTATCACAATTGTCCAGAAAGCAGCAGATTTAAGGAAGGAGACACAGAGCCACAGACAGAAGCCTGCGGTCAGGTGAGATTCGCCTTCACAGTTTCTGATTTTCCAGATCACTGAGGTCTTGTCCTCCTAGTGTCCCCATCTCACAGCCACAAATTAATTGGCAAATTTTCAATGTGCTAATTCTGTCCCCCCTCCGGGACTTCTTGTCTTTCCTGAAGATTAGCTCCTCTGGCTTTTCCATTGAAACTGCCAAAGCTGCTGGGAAAGATGGCCACTGAAAACGGCGTGTGGAAGCAAAAGCTTCACATGGCAGGGAGATCAGAGATGAGCTCACAGCCTGGTTCTGGCAAAACTCCCCATGCCATCAGCAAGAGGGTTATAGCAACCAACTGAACCCAACACAGTGATTGGAACACTGGAAACTCCAAATTTTCTGCCTTTAGGGGAAAAAAGTTCTAGAGAAAACATTCCAAACAGTCTTCTAATTTTCCTCCCTAGTTCCACTGTGTTGAATGGGAAAACTCCTTCACCACATAACTGAAGGGAGTCACATTACCCCGCCATTGTTGGAAATTCCTAGTTAACCCAGACTATGCATTGGTCAAATCACAAGTACTTGCTGAGCAGCCAAGAAACTACTCCGTACAGAGCACAGAAGGAACATAAAAAAGGTGAAGGAAGTAATATCCTCCTGGCCTTGGAGGAGCTTAAAAATTAGTAGGTAATACAGGAAATGAGATAGAAACTGACATTCCTGAATCTCAAGGACCAACTGGCTGCATTCTCTCCCCTCTGCTACACCCCTGTCCAAGACAGACGGGGCTCTGATTGCTCCACCTGGACTTTAGTTGGTCTCCAAGAAGCTAGATAATGAAAGCCCTAAAGGGTTATGCTTTTCTCTCCACCTCATTCTATATTCTAATCCTAAATATGTCTCTGTCTCAGAGGAGGGTGAGTACAGTGGAAATATAAGAGTAAATTACAAGATAAGCTTTTGAGATACAATACTGTCTCATGGTCAAGAGCTGGGGCACCAGATCAAACACACTGGGTACAGATCCCAGCTCTTCTACTTACTTAAAGTGTAACTTAAATCTCACTTTCTTTATCTGTAAAATGGGAATATTAATAGGCTAATCATACCATCTAATCACAGAAGACTGTGGCAACCTATACATGACAGTATGTATATAATACGCCCAAAGTGATGATTCAATAATGATTATCAGCCCTTAAATGGCAGCTATTATTATCACCATTATTATAATTTGCAAGAGATATGCCGACTCAGCCTTCTTGGCCCTGAAACAAGAATCCTCTTGGAAGATTCCAAACAAAGTTCCTGAAATAGTGACACTTCCAAACGAAATGTCCTTCAAACGTCCTCCTCTGCCTGCTGCCAGAGCCAGCTTTCTATGGTGTAAAGAGAGGCAAAGGCTTAGAGCTGCAGGGACCTGGGAGAGTATCTGATCCAACCTCTTCATTTTTATTTTATTTTATTTATTCTTTCTGAGACAGAGTATCGATCTGTCGCCCAGGCTGGAGAGCAGTGGCACGATCTCGGTTCACTGCAACCTCTGCCTCCCAGGTTCAAGCAATTCTCCTGCCTCAGCCTCCTGAGTAGCTGGGATTACAGGCACGTGCCACCACACCTGGCTGATTTTTTTGTGCTTTTAGTAGAGACGGGGTTTCACCGTGTTAGCCAGGATGGTCTCGATCTCCTGACCTCGTGATCTGCCCACCTAGGCCTCCTAAAGTAGTGGGATTACAGGCCAACCTCTTCATTTTTATACGAGGGAAAGAGGATCAGGAAGGTTAAGTGACTTTTCTGAAATCTGCAGTGAATTTAAGGCACAGGCATAATGAAAACAGTATCCTCCAAATACTGGACTTTCTGATTCAAAAGGAATCACAAGCTGCTCACCTAAGAAGTGCTGTTTTCCCAGGTGCTGTATATTACACCTTTCTAAACCAAATTATTCTTTGGATGTAACTGCTACTTAAAGTAAATCAGTAGGC
Source organism: Homo sapiens (assembly GCF_000001405.40). Classification (NCBI taxonomy): domain Eukaryota; kingdom Metazoa; phylum Chordata; class Mammalia; order Primates; family Hominidae; genus Homo; species Homo sapiens. The sequence continues at coordinate 113,628,714 of NC_000010.11, forward strand.
TTCTTTAATGACACCATCTCAGTAAGTTTAAGGGTGTGGAAAGTTAGCTGAGAATGTGCTACAGGTGTGAAATGAAGTACTCCCACTTTGAATCACAGCCAAAATAAATCTGAGGATAGAGAAAGGGAATTAGAGGCAAAGATCACCCTGCATGTGTCAGGGGCTGAGGACTACTGGAGGCCAGAGGCCCCAGTGCAGGTTACCTCGCTGACCAGCTGTCCAGCCTTCTTGGCTTGTTCCAAGTTGAGACTCCCCTCTGTCAGCCACCCAACTCCCTTCATCCATGCCAGGTCAGCCTTGTACTGCAGCTACAAAAGAAAAACCACAAAGCTCTCATTGGGCGCATGGATAGAGACAGGACAAAGTTGATGGGAGAGTTAAGAAGATCTTGATCCTGCATTTGCCTTCCTAGAAGAACTGCTCCCTGCTCCTTTATGGTCAGGCAGATCTCCACTTGGGAGGTACAGCCACCGGGCCCACCTTGTAACAAGAGTAGCATGCTCTACCTTACTGCTGAGACACCGCAACCTTAGCAAAAAGAGTGTTTCTCATATTTGTTGACCAAGGGCCTTTTTTTTGCCAACCTGCTAAATTTCCAAGATTTATTTACCATTTTAAACATTTTCTTCTCCTTGGCTCATCCCCATCACCAACACATCTTGACTTTAGCATTAGCTGTGAGCCCTCCAGTCTCCATTGTGTCAACTATATCTCTACCTCCCCATCTGCCCTTTCTGGCCCCCTGGTACATTTCCTGCAGTTCTTCCTAGTCTTCCAAGTTATGTAATAGACTCGTGCACAGGTTTGAAATCACTCTGAAAGCATGTCCAACTGCAAGAGATGCATGAAGAGAACTGATAATGTGTGGGCTCACCTCGCTCTGGAGCCCATAGGCCTTCTTGGCCCACTGAGTCTTCATATCTTCAGGCAGCACAGTGTATTCATGCAGTTTCTTCCTGTAGTCCAGGTCACTGGCGAGAGTTTGGGCCTTCTTAGCATGCCTGATGTTTACCATATCCATGGGCAGGTGAAACCGGGTCTTACTCTCTTCAAAGCCTTTCTTATATTCAACCTTGAATATACCAAAACAAGGCCCGTTTTGTTAGTTGAAGCCCACCCTTTGCAGGAGTGATGTGAAAATGCAGGAAAGATTTCCGGGCTTTCGGGAGCAGGAGAATCGGCACTCTGGGCACTGCCACCCTTCTGTCAGAAAGGCCCAAGTCCTGGCTCTGAAAGGCAGCATCATGAGGGAGCTGAGGTTCCATACTACTTTGTTTCTGGGAGGACTGTCTCTTGCCAATGCTAAACCTTTTCACCCGGCTGCTCCAGGAGAAAACTCTATTCCCAATTCTCATAGATGCTTTAAGAGATAGAATAAAGAAGCTTGGGCTGCAGAGCCAGACAAGCCTGAGTTCAAACCTGATCTGCCCTCTAACAGCAGGGTGACCTCTGGAAAGTTATGTCACCTCTCTAAGGACTTGTTTCCCTCTGGGAGACTGTTGTGATAAGTAAATGAATAATAGCTGAAACATGCTTAGTACAGGGACTGTCACATAGCAAATACTTGATAAATATTCGCATGACAATAACAATGGTGGTTCGGTGGTGATGATGATGATAGTGATAGTGGTGGTGGTGATGGTAGTGATGATGGTGATGATGGCAGCAATGATGGTGATTGATGATGGTGATGACAATGGTGATGGTAATTATGGTGTGGTGGCAATGACCATGGTGATGGTGAAGGTGATGGTGATAGTGGTGACGATGGTAGTGCTGATGGGAGAAGATAGTATGCTATAGTAGAAGGAGTGTGGTGCCAGGTAATAAGAGTTCTAGGCTCTAATTTGCTACCCCTCTACCACTACTGCTGACTACCACATGGCTTTGGGAAAGACACAGTCTTTTTGACCCCCAGCTGCTCCAACTGCAAATATGAAACACCAATGTGTTCTGTCTAAACTGAAGCCAAATTCTCAATGCCTCTTTATGCCTTATGACTATGCACTTCATTCGGCTTGTTCTGTAGACACATCCAAAATGGCGACCCAGATGCCAACCCTCTTTTGTATTCAAGCTATGGCTATTTAATGACTCATTGGATAATTACATCCAACTGTACCATCAGAGCAGCATAAGTTGGCCTCACAGCTTGGAGCAGGCAATCTTTTGTGTCTTTTTCCCTATTCAGCATCAGCAGGGAAGACTTGATTAGAAACTGGGTCTGTCTCTTCTAGCAGAACTCTCCTTTCCCAAAGCCTCTTGGTAAATGACATTTACCAAGGTTCCTCTCCAGCTATTACAGTTGTTTACAAGCATCGTCATTCCGATTGGCTGGAGCCTGGGAGGCCCCAGCTTGCTAAATATTTGAATACCATAAGTGTTGTAACCACAGGACCAGGACAGCACCACAATAAGCAGGACGCTTTTGGTCCATGAGGGAGAAACTTATTATGCGCTGTTCATTCTTATAGCCCCAGGGTCTCGACCAGTGTCTTGCCCATAGTAGTCACTTGGCAAACATTTGTGACATGAATAAATGCAATTGAACACCTTTGTACCTTGATCAGCAGATGCTGTCACCCTTAGGGCCACACTCCTTATCTATTTAAAAAAAAATAGTATGCTTTGGCAAAACAAATAAACCAAACAAACTTCTTATGCAAGCCAGGAAAGAAAGGAGTTGCAGGTAGAAGTCAATAAAAAGGTTACAGTCCCAGGTGAAGTAGGCCCAGGGAAAACTTTTAAAATAACACAACTGTAAGTGAGAGGTTGGGGGTTAGAAAAGAGTTTACCTCACTGCTCATCTTAGCAATCTGCAGGGAGTGCAGAAGCCTAGAGTCGGCTGTTCCCATGGCTTTGCCTTTTGTCTTTTCATATTCTTCTTTATATTTAATCTTGAGAGAAAGAAGAAGGTCTACTGTGAGTGAGAGAGAAACTTTGCCGTCTAAGGGGCTCTGGTTTTAACAAGTGCAAGGGGAACAATTCTGAAAAAACACCTCCCAGTCTTTCACAAATCCAGAAGAAGATTAAAGTATTGCGATGTTTACAATGTTAAGAGTCATTATTTTTTTCAGCAGGACCACTGACATTTTATTGGAACCATTTCTTATGCATTCCTGAGTTAATGAGAGGAAACGTACATTGCTAGCAAGCTCCCCAGAGGCTTTGGCGGCCAGCAGAGACATGGCATCCAGCTTCATCTCAAATCCTTTCCCCTTTGTCTTCTCCCAGCCTTCTTTATACTTAACCTGACAAACAAAACCACAAGTGAATAGGAGTTGCTACCCATATTCCTGCCAAACGTCAAAGATTTTTTCAAAGCAAAGTTGGATTTTTCCTCTATTTACAGACCAGAGGCTCGGCTGTTGTTATCAAAATGATAACAGTAATTATTAACACAGTTAATTGATTCCTTCGCTGTAGAGCTGTGCAGGCCAGTGGTAATGGAATAGGACAAAGAGAAGCCCCATGTGTTGCTCCTTGCTCTGTTGTTTTCTGATCATGTGACCTTGGCCAATAACCTCTTGGGGCCTCAATCTCCTATTTGCAAAGAGTGTATCATATTCTCTTTCTCAGGATTGCTGTGAGAATAAATTGGATAGAATATATGTAAAGAGATCTTAAACTGGTGAAGCATAACATAAGTGTGGGGTATTGACATTGCCCTGGCAATAACTACTGTTTATTGGCCTTTTCCTAAATGATTTCTACTCATTAACCACAAATCTTCACATTAGGCCTGTGAGGCTCAGAGAAATTAAAGAGCTCACCTACGGTTACATAAATTTAAAAAATGGCAATGCCAGCTTCTGAACCTAGGTCTCTCTGACACCAAAGCCCATGCCACCAACTGTGTCCCTACAATACCTTCTAGGACTTATGATAATTCCACATACACAGTGCCTGCCTCAGGATAGAACAGGCATTTAAACAATGTTAGTTCCTTTCATTTTCTTCTCCTGCCCCCAAAATTCCATCTAGAGTTAGAAGCCAATTCATAGCCCACTTGTGACTCCAGGGAGAATCTGATGATGCAGATTGATCTTCTTAAAACTTAAATTTCCTCCACACAGCAAATCACCAGTTCACTAGGGTGATGAGGATGAGCATGTAGGGGGGTGTGTGTGTGTGTTCACACATAGATTGTACACATGCTCATATAATGGGAATAAATGGCTATGACCAATTTATCACTAGTAAACTACAACGTGCCATGACATAGCAAAATTCAAAGTTACAACTTGATGGATGCCTCTGATGAGCCTTTCTCAGGGACAGACACTTCCCACTTGCTGGACCATCCTGTTATCTTTGTTTTCACATCGCTCTATAACCCCCTCCACCGTCTCCCCACATTGCTCTCTTACCTCACTGAAGAGTTTGGCATTGGTTTTGGCCTTCACCAGCTGAGGAACATCCTGGGGCAATGTGTAATTCAACTTATTTTTCTCATAGTCAGCACGGTAATTCACCTGTTGGATTTAAAATAAATCTGTAGGGTTTTTATATGGGCAGAAAGAGAACTTTAGGGACCCATAGCTCTTTCCCCCTTAGACCCATAGTTGAGAAGGAGTTTCCAGAAAAGGCATTTTACAAGGCAGCCTGTACTTTTTGTGAATGTTTTAAATTAATGAACTGAAGGTGTCAAATGAAAACTAAAGAAACTCAAAGGCACACTTGAAGTTGTGAGTTTGCAAAAGAATTCCCTGTGACTGCTTCACCAACTCCCCTTACACGCACTTGAGAATATTGAACTTTTTAAAAAACATTTGCTGCAGTGCTGAATATCTTGTTATAGGCAGGGTAATTATCAAATGCCTGCCCACAATGACAAAAATCCATCTTAAATCACACACACAAAAGACAGCCAACCAGATATGTGACTCCTGTTGGATGAATACGGCATCATCCGAGAAGCAGTCTTGACCAGAAATTAAACTTGAACTTTGGATGATTGGTGAAACTAAGAATTATTGTTAGATTTTTGATGTGATATGTTAAAATTATATAAACATGTTTTTTCTTTTTTACCTTTTAGAGATTCATACTGAAATATTTACAGATTACATTATACAATACTTGAAATTGGCTTCAAAATAATATGGAAGAGGAGAATTGGACAGGCATATAGATGAAGCAGGGTGGCCATGAGTTGATGGCTGTTGAAGATGGGTGACAGGTACATGGGGATTCATTATGCTATACTCTCTACTTTTGCATGTATTCAAAATTTTCCATAATAAAAAGTTTAAAAGAAGTGGGGGTCATTTTCTGGCTGTAATAAGACATGTGTCACAATTTATGAAAGTCAAATCCTTGGAGGTCAGATGTCCAGAGGCCTCAAAGCAGCAATTTCAAGACCCCTACATCCAGCTGGGCAGGGACAGTTACTTACATGACTCAGCTGCTGGGCATTGATTTTGGCTTGAACAATCTGTGGGGTGTCAGTCACCGAGCTGTACTTCAACTTGTCGATGCTCTGCCTATAATTGGCCTAGGTAAAAACAGGCACAAAAAGATGTCATTTGCTCTTTTCTCAAAGATTTGCTTAGCTCCCTCTCCCAAGCCCAATAAAGTGGCAATTCTCAAATGGCTACGTAGAAAAAGAGTCCAATATTCCAACTGGATACTGACAGACACTCCAAGCCCATAGATAGAAAAACAGTACATTGGAGAGTGAGACATCTAACAGGCAACTCATAAAAGAGGTGAATTAACTGGCCAGTGAACATACAGAAAGATGCTCAGCCACACTATTAATGAGAGAAAGGCATACCAAAACCACAAGATACCCCTGCACACCACCTGAAGAGCCGAAGTTAAAACTGCTGGTAACACAAAGTGTTGGCAAAGGATGAGGACTTATGAAAACTCTCACAACGGTGCTAGCAGAAGTGCAGATTGGTACAACCACTTTGGAAAACAGTACGGCATTTGGGCACATACACATATCCTGTGTCCCAACAATTCTGTGCCTAGGGCTCATTCCCAATGAAAATATATGCCTGAGGTCATTTTATAAATAATTAAAGCAGTATATCCACACATAGTATACTTTCCTATATACGTCTTATACTTCACCAAAAAAGAGGTGTTAAAAAAAGTAAAATGAAAGAGAAACAAAAAGTCCAACCAAGTTATACATGCATCTTCAAGTGGGAGACAATGGAGCATCAGCGACTCCTTGTAGGTGGCCCTAACATGTCCCCACCCCGTACACCAGCCCCTGCCTGGCCCTCACTTCCACCTTGCCAGAGTCCCCAAGGAAATTGCCCTAAGCTTAGCACTTTCGTAGAAGATGCAGGTTCAAAAGAGGAGGAGGCAGAATCGTCAGTGCAGCTGGATGCATTGACTGCCTGGTTCCCACCTCAAGACATCAAGGACTAGGAATTTTCCCCTTTGAAAATACAAATTGCCCTTTCGAATATTAAGAATTATTAGCCATTTGCACACAAGAATATATGCATCATATGCATCCAATCATCTTATTTTTCTCCAAACACACCTGACCAAGATCCACTGCAGAGGGAATGGGAACTTGGGCAGTGAAGTAAAGGAACAGGTTTGAGGCTGGATAGTAGGCGATAAGGCGTGAGGCACTAAGGTGAGCTGAGTGAAAGCCCCAGAAACCTATGCAGGTAGAAGTAAAGCTAGGATAAAGAAAAGAGGGAGAGGTTGTGGATAGCAGATAACCTCTTTCACAGTTTATTTTGATTTATTTGTTATTTAGAGACAGAGTCTCACTATGTCACCTAGGTGGGAATGCAGTGGCACGATCTCAGCTCACTGCAACCTCCTCCTCCTGGGTTCAGGTGATTCTCGCGCCTCAGCCTCCCTGGTAGCTGGAACTACAGGCGTGCACCACTATGCCTGGCTAATTTTTGTATTTTTAGTAGAGACAGGGTTTCCCCGTGTTGGCCAGGCTGGTCTGGAACCCTTGGCCTCAAGGGATCCTCCCACCTCAGCCTCCTAAAGTGCTGGGATTACAGGCGTGAGCCACCACACCTGGCCCTCTTTTAGAATTTAACCAAGGTTATCTGAAATCCAGGTAAAAGAGGAAGAAGTAAACTCATCTCTAACCCTGCTCTCCTTCCCTTATGCTCACCTGGTTCCTTTCATTCATCCACTTGCCCATCCATTTATTTCTTGAACAAACTGTCGTGGGGTTCCTACTCTGCAGAGTGAGCAAACTCAGACATTCCCTGCCCACATAGATATCTCAGATGGGTCCTCACTCCCAGGATCCCAAATTGACCCAGTGCTTCTGGACATCTGAATCTCTGTGCCCACGGGCTCCAGATTGGGCCTGTTGCCAGCTGAGCTCCCCCGGCTTGGCTCAAAGCGACAGGATCACCACTGAACACCTCATTCACAGACTTCATGTCTCTCTTTTCTTGCCCAAGGCCAAAGGCCCCACCCAGAATCCCACACAGTGTGGCAACTTCTTCAGGCCTGGGTTTTGCCTAAGAACAACACCCCTTTTCTGTGTCACCACTATCTACTGACATCTCTGCCTGGACCTCACCTATGGCCTTGGCCAGCCTCCTCTGGCAGCTGGCTCTGCCCTCCCCAAGGGCCCACACCTTGGCCACTCTTGTACTGTTCTATCATTTCCTGTCTGTCTAGACTACAGCCTGATGTCTTTGCTCTTCTGTCTTCCTCCTATCTGCTGCTAACTCCTATGGCCACCTCCCTGAGATGACAGCCCACCTCAAGGAGTCTTTGCAACCCAAAAGTCACAAATGTCTCTGGGAGCCAGATAGACCACTAGCTGGGTACAAGTCCAATGCTTGGCCTTACTGTTGGGGAAGTAAGGAGTCGAGAGGACTATGGCAAAGAGAGGCAGCTGCTGCCCAGCTCTAGGAGATTGTTGTGATGCAACAAATAGGGCGTACAGAAGCCAGATTTTCCAGTTATTCCAAAGAAACCAGAAATCCATATTATGATGCAAAATCTTGCAATTTTTAAATGCTAACAAATAGCTCAATATTTTAAAAATCCAGTGACCCGGGCCAGGGGCAGTGGCTCATGCCTGTAATCCCAGCACTTTGGGAGGCCGAGGCAGGAGGATCACGAGGTAGGGAGTTCAAGACCAGCCTCACCAACATAGTGAAACCTTGTCTCTACTAAAAATACAAAAATTAGCCGGGCGTGGTGGCTCGCGCCTGTAACCCGAGATACTCGGGAGGCTGAGGCAGGAGAATCGCTTAAATGTGGGAGGTGGAGGATGCAGTGAGCCACGATCATGCCACTGCTCTCCAGCCTGGGTGACAGAGCAAGACTTCATCTCAAAAAAAAAAAAAAAAAAAAAAATCCAGTGACCCAAGAGAAATAGGTCTAATAGCCACTTTGGCCCACTGGCTACTAACTTGTATACTCCATGTCTTCCCTGAGTCTGGGTCTTGTATTCATTTCATTTTTGCCTGTCCTAACACCAGCTCATCATAATTATGACTAACACATGGTACTTACTATGCACCCAGCACCATTCCAAGTACATCATGCATGTAACTCATTTAATCCTTCCCACCACCCTATGGTTAGGCACTATTATTATCCCTACCTTACAATGTGGAAACTGAGGCACAGAGACCGAAAGTGGCTTGCTCCAGGTCATCCAGGCAGTAAGTATCAGAGCTATGATTCAAATCCCAGGAGTCTGCCTCGCAAGGTGGCTCTATACCTATACTCTATAAACCTGGTTTGCCAAAGCTAGTGTGCTTAGAGCGATTATTTGTTATATTACAGATGGGCAAGGGGTTCCCCTTAGCCAGAGTTAGCATTGTTTAGACAGGGAAATGCATTCTAGAAACAAACAAATGACTTACAAGTGAACTTCTAGAACAGGACCTAGAAATAACGAAGTGCTCCTGACAATGGGCCGTGGAGTGTTTTGTTGGATTTGGAGATTAAAAAACATCATTAGGCTGGGTGTGGTGGCTCACGCCTGTAATCCCAGCACTTTGGGAGGCCGAGGCAGGCGGATCACCTGAGGTCAGGAGTTTGAGACCAGCCTGACCAACAGGGAGAAACACCATCTCTACTAAAAATACAAAATTAGGGAGCGTGGTGGCGCATGCCTGTAATCCCAGCTACTCGGGAGGCTGAGGCAGGAGAATTGCTTGAACCCGGGAGGCAGAGGTTGCTATGAGCCGAGATCGCACCATTACACTCCAGCTTGAGCAACAAGAGTGAAACTCTGTCTCAAAAAAAAAAAAAAATCATTTTGTGCTTTTTAGTTAATGATTCAAGGAGAAAAGTTTTTGCATGTTCTGAGTTTTGGACATGGGGTGTGTAGAGAAAATTAGGAAATATAAAGTCATTTCAATGTCAACTATTAATTAGATTAAAGTACAGTGACTTCCTAATGTATTAATTCAGGAGGCAAAATTATTATCTCATAATAGAGTCTATTAGAATTCAGAATTATGCATGATAAAATGTCACAAATACTATATTTTTAAATGGCATATTTCTTCCTGATAATTCTGCATTAAGTATGTTACTGAGCACAATTACTTTACTCTGTGGGACATAATTAAAAGTCTCCATGATTAACCACATCTTTGCAACACCACAAATGCTTGGCCATTGCTTCAGTCTACATTTTGAAGGTTTTTTTTTCTTTTTGCTAAAGATAGAGTCTCATTTTAATTCTATTAGTGTTTATAAAATCTATCTAAAGGGAATGCTCTCAAATTAAGAACCCATGCTTGCTTATTTAATTTCATGGCTATTTCACCACCTTTAAGATTACCAGACAGAGAGACCACAATTGTTCTTGTAAATGGATTCCCCAAACTTCCTGATTATTAAAATCCCTACATTATGGGTGATAAACTCAAATTCACATCAGAACCAGGAAGGTAAGCTAAAGGAGGTACAGCAACAGAGAGCAGTCACCACCCAGTCCCAGCCAATTGCTGCCTTGCAGGAACTAGGGCAGAATGTCTCAGGGTTTTCAAGAAAAGGTGAGCGTATTAGTTTTTGTCTAAAATCAGAACTTCCACATGTTGGTTCAATTAAAACAACAACAACAACAACAAAACCCACTGTGTAGCCAAACAAAGCACTTCCGTAGTGCAAATGTGGCTCATGGGCTGCCAGTGAACCCACCTCTAAACTCAATTAATATTTCTAATTCAGTCTGGTTTAAGTCTGTATCAGACTTCCCCGGGTGGGCTTCCAGGTGCCTGGTTTGACTCAGAGTCTTATCTAGATAAATGTAGTAGCAAGTCATGTCATAATGGAAGTACATCTTGCACTCTTTGTGCTACTTATTAGGCATGATTTATAGAATCCTACTGCAAAAGCACATATTCAAATTTTAATAAGGTGCCTTTGATCTGCAAGTTTCCCAGGTAATGTATATAGCAAAAAAAAAAAAAAAAAAAAAAAAATGTAGCTTTGGTAGTGGTCAAGTTTAACTTTGTGAAATGAGTAAGTCAATCCAACCAAACTTCCTGAGAAAAAGAGAAGCAAAGTTTAGGCCCCTGATCAATTCCTCAGCTTCCTTCCTCCTGTTTTATTACACATTTGGAAAGCCCCTTTCATTCAATAAATATCATTTGCCAATGATTGTCCTCTGATGTCTGGGCACTGGGTTGGACACTGGAGATAACCAACTGAATCCTACTGCCCCAACTCTGAGCAAGAGAGAGAGAGACAGATTCAGAGACTTATCTACCAGTAGCAAAACCTCAATCAATTTCTAAAGTTGTACTGATCCCAAAGGAAAGCAAAGGAAAGTAGCACTTGACTTTCATAAATATACGCTGAATTATTTGTTAAATTATTGATTGATTGGAGATAACCTTCTCTGGCAACCACAATACAACCTTTCTTCTAAGCCACCTTAAGTACTTTTTAAGCTAGTAGGTGACTTTTATCTTTTTCTTTGCACTTTTCCGTATTTTCTAAATTTTCTATAATAAACATGTAGTAAAATTCTTGTAATCAGGAAACAAGAAATTTAATTGATTGCACACATTTTGCTTGGAACAAGCCAAACCATAAATAAAATCGCTGCTGTAATAATTAAGGGATACATATACTTTTCCATGTGCTCCTGAGAAAAAATGGAGTCAATAGTACCACTTCCTCTCAACTTGTATGTAGACATTTTATTTTACTTCCTTCAACTCTTAACATACTACATAACAAACCTTTTTTTAAAGAAAGAAAACAAATCATCCTTGCTAAGGAACAAGCATTTGAAATGTGCCCAGCAGGCAAAGCTCACTGAATTCTAAGAGGAAAAACTGAACCTCAGGTTATTTTCAAGACAAAACTAGAGTTGTCCCTAGTTCACATTGAAAATCTAAGGGTGTGCAAACATGCATAAATGAACTTCCTAGTGGAAAATAGAAAAGGATTTCCCTTTCCTCAATCCCTTCAACCTCTTATGAACTGTTGTATCATGTTTCTTTCCATCTTGCTACCTACAAATCACTCCTCAGGAAGGAAGCGACAAGTGACAAAGCAGAAAGAGCTGTTGGAAAAGAACTTACATCTTTCAAGGGCACCAGTTTCATAGCTGTTTGATAGGAAGGCGTGAGAGTGGCTGGGTAGTTGTAGTCGACAATATCATGTTTATAATCAGCTTTGTAGGCAACCTAAAACAGGAAGAAAAGAAGAAGAATGGAGAAATCAATTTCTACTTTCTTTTGGCTTTGTTTGAATGCCATAAGAAATATTTTTTAAATACCCAGAAACGAATTCAGTTTCATCACCTTCAAGGAAAATTAAATTATGTTCACACTTTTGTCTTTAATGAATCTGAATTCCTCTTAATTAGTCCAAAATTAGTTAACTTCCATCTGTAGCACATTTACTTTATATTTCATATTAATTATGAAGCTGCTTGTCATTTTTGTTGAAAAGAAGCATTTTCACATGGATAGGCAATGGAAGAGCTCCTTGGCTAACCCCAAGAAAATAGATGGAAAGGTGAAGAGTCTTCAGAGTATTTAATTTTTTTTCTAAAGATCAAATTGACATTCTTAAGCAGAGAAAATCCGACATTTGTATGTTTTAATAATGAAATCAGTTTCCTTTAAGTGTCCTTTACCTCCAGGATTTACAATCTGGTATTTGTAAATCTATAAACTGGATTGACGAAGCTAAAGAGAGATTAATAGAGTATATGCTACAGGGGAAAACAAGGACTTGATCTACTCTGTTATCCCACTACCCTGACCAGTGCCAGGCCACAGTAGGTTTTCAATGAATACAATGATCAAAAAAATGAATGAAGGAACAAACCAGCTTACCAACCAACCAACTCTCAATAAATCACAAAAGCTTTGGAACCCTGGGGAATTTGGAATAAGAATCATAATTATTCATTTCTCTTTTTCTCTCAGAAATTGAAAGTGTTAACCACACTGGATTCATTATAATAGACTGAAGTACTCTTCAAATTAGAGAAAGCTAATATAAACAAATTGAAGCCTTTGAAAATTTTCAGGGATCTTACCTAGCCTTGGTTGTATCCGCTAACATTTAGAAACTCTTTTGGGTCAGTCTTTACACAGTCTTTAAAATAGAAGACAGATTTTTTTTTAAGGGGAATTTAAAAAGAATTGGCTGAATTCTTCATGCCCTGCCCCACTCCATCCCAACAGACCCTGGCATAAAAGGACTCACGTTGCTTGCCAGGCTGCCAACTTTCATAGCATGCAGAGTGCGTCTGTCCATACCAACTCCTTCATAGCGGCCTCTCATGTGGTTCTGGTAGTTTTCTTTATATTTATTCTACATGGAAACGCAAAGTTTTCAACCAAAGCATTCCCTTCACAAGTAGTTGAAGATAAACTACTCATCTTAATGCATTAAATCCAAGGCATAAATGATTAAATATAACCCATTTAAATAGTCAACGTATCACAGAATAAAAAATAAGGCAAACTTTTTTTTAATAACGTAAATTTCAACCCATCACAAGAAGTTGGAGTAAGACAGGAAGACAAGGAAACATGGGATCAGATGAGCATAGACAGCACAAAACAGACTTGACTTTCTGTGTTTGTTTTTACATTTTTAGTTTTAAATTTACCAGATTTTTCCAATGTGAAAATTTACCATGAGACAGTGGCAGGCACTGACTATGCGGACGTCACATGCAAAGCCCCATGCTGAGGCTGGTACAAATCACTGCATGCCATTACCTCCATTTCTAAATATATGAAGGACAAAACCTGAGCTTTGCCAAATTCTGTGATGTAAAAGTTGGTCACTAGTGCGACTATGTGAAATAATTATGTTATGTGTCAAATGCCACTTATCAAATAAAGAGAAGACCAAAACAGGATGACAAGAGGTCATAAATAGGAAATTTGGGGTATTAAAATCACCTAACCTGGGAGGCCATTGCATTTCTCGGTACTGCTAGTGTTTAAACAGAATACTACTTATGACTATATATCAGATATGATTCTACTTATCTGAGTTAATCTTCACAAGTACTCTATGAGGGGGAAGGAACTATTATCATCCCCATTTTAGAGTTGGGCAGAGTGGCTCAGGGAGCTTAAACAACTGCCCAAAATTGGCCACTTTGCTATTAATAACTGGGACATAAGGTATGTTGGCTCTTAAGCCACTACATTTATGCAAAATAAATTCCTCACTGTGCCTTACACAGTCCCTTGCAATTTTAAATTCTACTATTATGTGCAACTAAGCAAAAGTAAAGCATACTATCTAGTATAGGTCTTTGATGTCCATGAGGATACATCTTCAGACCTGCTCTGAGAATCTCCAAATTTGCGAATGCCCCTCTAGTACATATCTGTTCATCTGTAAGATAGGGAAATAACATCTGGCTCTCCAGGTGACTCTGAGGGTGAAATGAGGTCATATTAACTCAGAAGCACAAAGTCACATTGAGAGGGGACGTCACATGCTCAGCCAGGCCCCCTCACCAGCATTCATCACTATGAGCTGGGCACTGTGCTGCACACAAGGGAAGCAAGGGGACGGAGAGGACAGGTCCCGCCCAGAGGACTCAGGGTCAAGATTGGGGATGTGACAGAATTGAACACTATGAGGACCAATCCCAGCAGGCAACCTTAACCAAAACCCAGGCATTTATGCCTAAAAGGCCATGCTTCTCCAAGACACATAGATCCATTCCCATAGACTGTCCCTCTTAGGAGACCTAAAGACTAAGCTCACCAACAGTGCCCAAACAAAAGCTTAGCGTTAACAACTCACATCACTGGTAAATTTTGAGATCTTGCTCACGTTCCTGAATTGAGGTGTTTCACAGTAGTTGATACTGTGACCTCTACTACTTTCCAGATCCTTCTTATACTCCACCTTGGAAATCAAAACACCAGACACACAATAGAACCAAATCCGAAGTCACTCTTGAAAATGTCCCAGGACTTGACTAGGATATTTTTAGAAAACTTTCAACCCAAGATTTTAACATATCAAGCATAGAATATGCTAAGTTAGCAGGACATATTTTCCTTTATAAAAATGAATCATAATAAATAGCAAATAATTGGTTTCATTCAGAAAATTAAAAGCATATAGTCGCTTTCAAGAACAAATAATATAAGATTTCATAACTCAAAAAATGGCAAAACTGGTTTTACAACTCAGGTAGTTACTCTTGAGTGGAAATGCATTACGGGGATAAATCATATTTCCTGTAATGGAAATGTCTTAGGAGGATGTCTGGTCGTATTCTGTTTCTTGATCTGATTGCTAGTCACACAGGTGTGTCCCACTTAAGGAAATCCTTCCCACTATACATTTATGATGTATGCACATCTTTATAGGTATACTTCAATGCAATTCAACGAGGAAAGTTACTTTACAAGCAGTATAATAAATGAGACCACTCAGATGCAGAGTGTCTTCTAATTTAAAATCAGTTGGCTATTTGAGCTCTCCCGGGTGCCTGGATGTAGGATGTGAGGCTACATTTATTAAATAGACTCCAAGTCATCTCAGGTAATTAGCATGAGGCAGTTAAGGCCAACTACCACCAATAGATGGCTGGTTTGTCTTACTGACTAAACATAAGGACGTAAAGAAATGGAAGGTTCCCTTGCAACTTCTTTACCAAAGGAAATACCCCACAGTTTGTTATCATATCTTATAAAACTATATGGTGGGGGTATGTCTAATTCTAATTCTATAAATACATTTTTATATTCATCCCTTCAGTTACAGTATATTCATATAGAAAGAGGCTAAAATGGGAGTTCAAGACCAGCCTGGCCAGCAGACGGGGTTTCACCCCGTCTCTACCAAAAATACAAAAAATTAGCTGGGCATGGTGGTGGGCGCCTGTAATCCCAGCTACTCAGGAGGCTGAGGAAGGGGAATCGCTTGACGTGGGAGGTGGAGGTTGCGGTGAGCTGAGACTGCGCCATTGCACTCCAGCCTGGCCAACAAGAGTGAAACTCCCTCTCAAAAAAAAAAAAAAAAAAAAAAGGCCAAAATGTTAACAGTGTTATTCCTGGGTGGTAGAACTGCACTCCCAGTGGTATGGATCCAGTTCTGTCCCTAAAAGTCTCTACCACCCAGAATTAGATACTTTACTTTTCCAGGCGTATGACAAAGTGATAGCCTAATGATGGAAAAGGTCCCATCTAGGTCTAGTGTTCTGTGAGTGAGAGCAAAGGCCAGCAAACTTTTTCTATAAATGACCAGACAGTAAATATTTTAGGTTTGGCAGGCTACAAATTCTTTGTCAATTATTATACTCAACTCTGCCCTTGTAGCTCCAAAGCAGCCACAGATAATCCAGGAACAAATGTGATATGAATGTGTTCAAATAAAACTTATTTAAAAAGCAGGCAGTGGGCTGGATTTGTCACTGAGGTTGTAGTGTGTTGACCTCTGGTCTAGAGTACCAGAATCATCTGGAACAGTTGTTTAAAATGCAGATTCCAAAGCCTCAACAGTCATCTACCACTTCAAAGTATCTGAGGCTCCTGATGAGGCTTGGGAAAATATCACTGCTGGTGACTCAGAGCAGCCCCAAGTTAGAGGATCACGGGTTAACTAACAGTTTAGGGTAAAGGACCAGCTTTTAGAGGTTAGAGACGGAAAATATTTTTGGATATTTGCATATCTGTTTGTGAGTTGCAGATAACTTGTTATGTGAATGCTTTGAATTGCCATAATTGTTCCCGTTGCCAGAGGCTGCCAAGTCAAATGCCTTCAGAGTCCAGATAAGAAATGCAAATGAGGGAAAATGCCGTGAAGAACACACTAGGGCATGAGAAGGATATGAGGTTCTACAGGGGATATTTCCTTGCCAAACAGTCCTCACAATAAAAACGTCTTAAACGGTGGGCAAGCCAAACAAAACACACCCCTCAGGCAGCCAGTGCAGCATGTAAGGTAAGGGAAATTCACATGGAATACACAGCTTCTCAGAACTCAGACTTCAGTAATAAGAGAACGAGAGGGGTTTGACATTTGAAACATCTTTCAGATGTTTGATTTGTTTAAAAAGATGGATCCTCCAGTATTCTTTCTGGCAACTAGAAGCCTGTTGCCTGGCACTTTTGAATATTGACAGCCCTGGGAGGATTTAGGAAGTAACTTCTGAACCACCAGAGAAAGATGTAATTGGTTTGATTCTAGGCTGTCTTGTAAATTGCATTTTACCGCATATCTGTTCTTTGAAACCAGTAACCAATGGGTAGAATAGGTGGTGTCACCTTTTTTGTTGTTTGTTTGTTTGTTTTGAGATGGAGTTTCGCTTTTGTTGTCCAGGATGGAGTGCAATAGCACTATCTCGGCTCACCGCGACCTCCGCCTCCCGAGTTCAAGCAATTCTCCTGTCTCAGCCTCCTTAGTAGCTGGGATTACAGTCATGCGCCACCACACCCAGCTAATTTTGTATTTTTAGTAGAGACGGGGTTTCTCCATGTTAGTCAGGCTGATCTCGAACTCCCAACCTCAGGTGATCTGCCTGCCTCGGCCTCCCAAAGTGCTGGGATCACAGGCGTGAGCCACCGCACCTGGCCGGTGTCACACTTTTAACCAGAGCTTTTTATTATAGGGTCACCTCATTCACTGACTATAGGAGATAAAAGAGGTGATGCTCATGGGTGTGACTCTTCCCCCATACGCACCTCACTCACGAGTTTGTTTACGCTCTGAGCCTGTTTGAGAACCAAGTTGTCTTGAGCTGGAAGCGAGTGATAATGTGCAGCGCCTTTCATCTTATTGAAGTCCTGCCTGTATTTTATCTGAAAAAAAAAACACAAAACGGGGCTGGAGTTGATGTTTCCATGCTCTGGGAGGGGAATTACTCCAAAGTTATCCTGGGCTTAATGTCAACATTTACTTAATACAATTTTCTGAAAGAAAAAAAAATTCACATGGCCTTTTCTCTTCATTAAATCTATAAACTACTTTGTCCTTTTTTGTTATTAAAATTTTCCTGGCCCTTTTCACACTTTTTATACTTTATACTCTAATTCTGCGTGGGAAAAAAAAGTCTTAAAATAATCATAACAAAAGTTGTCAGTCCAAACCCATTCTGCCCTTGGTTTAAACATCATTTCCCTGCTAATGAGGGGCAGAGTAATGTCTTTTAACTTCCTTCCTCAGGCAAAGATGGTGCTGTTATGGGTCAATGGGTAATAGGTGAATAGTTCTTTGGTAAAGGAAAGAAAAGAGAGTGAAGGAAAAGGAAAGAAAAAGAAAATGGCAAGGGGCGTGAAATGAATGCTAGGTTCTGTTGAGACCAAGTTCCAGTTGGCATGCTAAGATCTGCAGTGAGCATGTCACTTTTCCAAGTTTAATTATACCCTGCCTTCCAAGGACTGCCAGCAGGCTAACATTCTGCCAATAAAAATCATTTCATCACCGGGTTACACCCAATTTGATAATCATATGACTTATTTTAATCAGCTCTTCCCCTAAATTACTCAATTTCTAATTGGGCCATTTGGCAAAACTCTCCTAACACCCCACTCTGGCTGGCCAGCCTCTGTACTTGCTTCAATGGCCTCAAGCGAGCTATGCTGGCTGTCCGTGTCCATCTCCTTGGAAGCAGACAAATGGGGCCAAAGCAGGCATCATAAATTTGGATGGGAGTTGAGGGCTAACATTCTACTTTGGCTCAGCTATAATAAATGTATCTGTGTGTAGGTTTCAGTAAGCACAGCCTTCAAAGTCTCACTTCTCTGCCTCTGGCTCTGTGGTCACACCTACATGGTACTTACGTCACTAGCGAGTTCGTGAGCTTTCTTGGCGTTCTGATATGCTGGAGTGATCATAGCTGGGAAGCTGCCCTTTCCCCTGTGCTCCTCATACTCCTCCGGGTAACCCTGCCGGGTGCATCAAAAACTTCAGTGAGTAATGCTTCCCTCCCCAGATGGGTGGGGTTCAGCAATGGTCACTCATAGAGCCTATTCTCACAGAGGTTCATCCACCTTGGGTATTTCACTGATGTCCATGTGGTAGTTTAAACATTCCTTTTAAGATGGCAGACCCTGGAGTCAGGCCCACTTACTGGTGCCCAGCACATAGTCAGCACCAAATAATGGCAACTGATATCATGATCATCATCCTTATTTCCACTAGATAAATCAGACACTCTACCACTCTCCCAGGCCCATATGTTATGAAATATTCACTTTTTAACTGACAACCAGGGAAGTCCTTTGTCTTCCAGTAGGTCTCGAACACTACCTTACTCACACCCAGTGGCAGATCTATGTAGAGACCTCCCCCGATGGTACTGTCTCCCCCGGTGGTACTGCCTCCCCAAGTGGTACTGTCTCCCCCGGTGGTACTGCCTCCCCAAGTGGTACTGTCTCCCCCGGTGGTACTGTCTCCCCCGGTGGTACTGTCTCCCCCAGTGGTACTGCCTCCCCTGGTGGTACTTCCTCCCCTAGTGGTACTGTCTCCCCCGGTGGTACTTCCTCCCCTAGTGGTACTGTCTCCCCCCGGTGGTACTGCCTCCCCCGGTGGTGCTGTCTCCCCCGGTGGTACTGTCTCCCCCAGTGGTACTGCCTTCCCCAATGGTATGTGTCATGTAACCAGAAAAGGAGTATTAAACAATGTTTGTAATATGGGAGGAAAACCTCAAATTACCATAAGATTATCTGAAATGGGACTAAATGTATATTTCAGACTAAGGATTATAATCTTTGTCTTAATCCTTTCTTTTATCTTCCCCACACCATCCATCCACTCCCAGAAAGGAAAACCTTCTCTTTCATGACACTGTCATCACATGACGGATAACCCCTCCCTGGCAGCCAGATGTACTTTAAGACCCAGCTTAGGGACAGTCTCCTCGTGGAAGTCCCTGAGTCCTCCTTCACCCCTGGACCTGCCCCAGGCAGAGTCCTCTGTGTTTTCACTGCACTTTTTGCATAAATCTGAAACAGCCCATATGGTGCCCTCATTAGGCTCACGACTCCATCTCTCTGTGGCCTCCTCCAAGCCAGGGGCCTGTCCAGCTCCAGCACCAGGGCTTTGACTGTGGCACACACATTTTCTAAAATAAAATAGTTGGGTCAGATTAGAAAGTCCAGGCTCCCCGTTATCCAACAATGAAAACTATTTAGCCCGAGTTCTCCTTTTTGCCTGGCTGACAGAAGGTTCTGGCCAAATATAATAAGTAAAAAAAGGTTAAGTTTTTTTAAAAGGTTCTCAAATTCTTTGGTAATCTGCTCTATGGCTTTGTCCATTCTGCTCTATAGTTTTGTGTTTGTAACTTTATTTTAGTTTCTCTCTCTCTCTCTCTCTCTCTCTCTCTCTATATATATATATATATATATATGTTGTAAGTGTTAATCTTTTTTCAAGACACCTAATCCTGTTGATTACATGGTATAATCCTTTTAACAAGTCTAGTTACTTGTTAAAAAGAAGAATGAATTGGTTGGCATTTAAGGCACTACAGATATTTATAGTTATCTGCCTGCTGGCTTCTCTCTCGCTCCCTCCTCCTCATGCCCTGGCGAGTCATGCTAAATCACAACAGTGAAATGCCATGCTAGACTGAGTCCTCTCAACAGCTGCTGAAGGTGCTATCAAACAACACTCACTTTGATTCTTGCATTTGTTATTTTCAGGACTGAAAACTTCAATCAAATCGTCCTACTAATCAAGAACCAGCTATGATACTATGAAGTTACATTTCATCTGTACCTACAGACATGTCTAGGTACACATATGAAATGATACATGTGTCTTATAACTACTGGTAGATAGGATTGGCCAAATACAGGACAAAATACTTTTTGCCAAATATAGAAGCCAGATTTTTTTTAAGCTGATTTTTAAAAGTTGTCCTGAGCTTTCCAAACAATATATTTAAAATACAAAACCAGTAAAAACATTTTTCACTGGTTTAAAGCACTAAAAGACCACTTAATTAACTTAGAGAATTTGATTAAATGGCCTTTTAAATTCAAAACCAAGCATTTTTGCTCTGGCAGACATTTTCAAAGGAGTCCCAACCGACCTTCACACACATCCTAAGACTCATATGAGCATATGCCTAACTATGGCAATGTGTCTTTCTAAAGAAGAGAAACAAATTCATTGTGGTTTTCTAAATCATATATGTTGTAGAGAGTCTACTTACTGACAAATAATTCAAACAACTGTCCAATTATGAATAAAAATCACTTAAACCCATGGAATGTATTCTTCCAATACACACACTTGCTCTTCCAATGTTCTTCACTTGCAACTGTGAACAATAATGCTTCCTTTCTACCCTACAACACCTGGCTAGTACCAGAAAAGACAGAGGGATGTGCAAATAATAATTAGCTTGTGATTGTCATCTTAATCTTTTTTTACTCCCTGTCAAGATGTAGTTCATCTGAGAAGTGAAATTGGAAAAAGGGTTTGCATTCTCTGGCATACTGATTTATCTACCAACCTAGATAAAAAAAATTCACTTTCTAAGAAAATGAGCACCACTACTCAGTGAAATGCTCAATATTTTTCAAGATGCATTTTGATCTCTATGTTGCTTATGATAGAGACCAGCTAAGCTTAGCCAATCTTAGTCCTAGCGACTGTTCTTCAATGGACAGATAGGAATGCTTTCTTCTTGGCCAAGCCACCATATTGGTATAAGTCATTTATTAATTTAAAAAAAGAAAGTGCCTCAATCTGTTTTCCTAAGTGGGTCAAGTTGAGCCCTGTGCAATTGTTTGTCCACTACTTTCTATCTTGGAAAATCTACCTTTCATAAAAAAGGTAAAGATAAACCAAAGCCCCACCCCTGATTAAATTGTCATAGCTGTGTCACAGCCTAGAATGGGCCAAACATGGAAAAGAGCAGGTCAGGAGATCATTTTATCACATACCTGGCCATATTGGTCTGCACATTCCCTTGTCAAGATGCCCTCAGCTCCAATGGCTGGACCAGCCATTCCCCTCATTTCTTTTTGATATTGTTGATGGTACCTCACCTGTTTTAAGGCAAAGGACAAACTCGGTGAATTTGACTCCCATGCACAGGAGCCAAAAGAGTAAAAGTGAATGTCTTAATGGAATGTTCTTTTTCTGCTTGGATCTAGGGAGTAGGTATGTCTCAGACATAAAAGTGCCAGGTCATTGTCATTGGTAAAATTGACTTAAAACTATAAAGGAAAACTACTCCCTGGCTTCAGGGTAAATGCAAAAGTCAACAGGAAGTTGGACTCCTCAGACCCAGGTTCACATTCCTCTTTCTCCCTAACATGACCACATTGTCAAGGACACTTACATCACTTGCCAGCTCATTGGCTCTTTTGGCTATCTGATAGGCGGGTGTGATCATCGCAGGGAAACTGCCTTTCCCTCTTTGTTGTTCATAGTCCTCTGTGTATCTCACCTGAAATGAAAAAACATGTGAATCACATGCCCCATGTTTATCAGATGATCTTAGTGAGATGCTCTGCTAAGGGTTCCATGACATCCTGCCCATCTCCTGTCATAGCTCATAAGGCACATAATTGGCTTACAGTTTGATGGGCCATGTGCATCTTATTCATCTTCTTATTCCCAATACCCAGCACAGTGCCTGGCACATGGAGACACCCAATGTGGAGTTCAACACATGCTTGCTAAGCACCTGGTGTGGGCCAGGCACTGGGCCTGGGCAGAGTAATAAGTCCTCAGCCCTCAAGGAGTTGTCAGCCATTTTTGGGAGACACAAGAGTCTTCTCAACCCCAGATTAAGGCTAAAGCAAGAGGAAACCATGTATGACGCAGAAGCTGGATTTGTGCTTCAATGTCCCATTCAGAACAACACTAAGTTCTTGATCTTATTATGCTGTGCAACATTTGGATTATGTAAAGGCAAGTGGTAAAAGTTGTTTAGAAATTATGTTCTCTAATTTGTAGTGGCAAGAGAGATTTCTCTCAGATAACTGAGATACATCCAATTTGGTACTAATCCAATCTAAAGTTTTCTCTTTAAAGAAGTGTTTTTGCAAGGTCTCTGCTAACTGACTTATCAAGCCCAACCATCCTTGACCTCAGGAATTTCTTCTTGTTACCCATGCAGGACTAAAATGTCTCATACATTCTCCCTCCCTCCACCTCCAAGCAAGGAAAGAATGAGGGATCTTAAGTGCAAACCACTACATCTTGGCCTTCCTCATTTCTCTCTCTTTTTTATTAATTTAATTTAATTTAAGTTCTAGAATACATGTGCAGGACGTGCAGGTTTGTTACGTAGGTAAATGTGTGCCATGGTGGTTTGCTGTACGTATCAGCCCATCACCTAGGTATTAAGCCCGGCATGCATTAGCTATTTATCCTGATGCTGTCCCTCCCCTCAACTCCCCTCTGTGGGCCCCAGTGTGTGTTGTTCCCCTCCCTGTGTCCATGTGTTCTCATTGCTCAGCTCCCACTTATAAGTGAGAACATGGGGTGTTTGGTTTTCTGTTCCTGTATTAGTCTGCTGAGGATAATGGCCTCCAGCTCCATCTGTGTCCCTGCAAAGGACATGATCTTGTTCCTTTTTATCATTCTATTATAAAGATACATGCACGTGTATGTTCATTGCAGCACTATTCACAAGAGCAAAGATGAGGAATCAACCCAAATGCCCATCAGTGATGGACTGGCCTCCCTCCTTTCTTACATCACTTTGAAGCTGTGCCCCAGCCTTGCTCCGTAGCAGCTCAGGAGTATCCACCACCGTGGAGAACCTGGAGATGCGTTCATCATGCCCTCTCTTATACTCCACCTGATGAGAAGACAGTAGAGTCAAGGGTGCACCCACCTCACAGCCTCCTCAGTGACCTCTCCCTGTGGCTCTCCTAAAGCTGCACCATCAGGCTACACTCAATGCAAACCTGTGGCAAGTCTTCTGTGGCTTGTTTCATGGGCTCCTCCTCAAAAAGCATCTATGCCAATGTGCTAAGTCCAGGAGTGTGCCAGGGACTGCCACACTCCAACAAATATTAACTTGCTTAATCTCCATAACAATCATATTTGGCAGGACTAATGTTTTCCTCACTTTACAAACGAGAAGCCAAGAAAGAGAGAAATTAAGTAATTTGTCCATGGTCACATAGCACTAAGGGATAGAGTCAGGATTCAAATTTCAACATTCTGGCTCCAAAATCTAAGCTTTTAACAAATAAACTTTGCTACTCTTCCGGTGAACCTGACATCCAGTTAAAAATTAGTGTCTTCGGCTGGCTGTGGTGGCTCACCCGAGTAATCCCAGCACTTTGGGAGGCCAAGTTGGGTGGATCACAGGGTCAAGAGATTAAGACCATCCTGGCCAACATGGTGAAACCCCATCTCTACTACTAAAAATACAAAAAAATTAGCTGGGTGTGGTGGCACGTGCCTGTAGTCCAGCTACTCGGGAGGCTGAGGCAGGAGAATCACTTGAACCCAGGAGGCAGAGGTTGCAGTGAGCCAAGAATAAAAATAAAAATAAAATAAAAATAAAAATAAATAAATAAAATAAAAATAAAAATGTAAAATAATAATGTGTTCAGTGCTAAAGCAAACTCAAGAAATCATGTGGTCCAGACTTTGGGTGAACTATACATTCTTCTCTGTATTTTATAGACATGGTCCAATCACAGCACAGAGAATACTTGACGGGGAAAAGTAAGAACACAGTTTTCTCTGTAATATGACACTAATGGTACCTACTTCCCCAAAGCACTCTCTTACTGTTTTTTCCCTAAATCACGGGGGCTCATTAATGACAAAAATTAGCATAATCAATGGTGAAAAAGCACCCAGGCACTCACTTGGCTGGCCAGCTGGTTGGCTTTCTTGGCCCTTTGATAAGCAGGTGTGATCATGGCTGGAAAGCTCCCCTTGCCCCTGGGTTGCTCATAGTCTTCTGTATATTCCTGTTGGTCAGAACCAATGTCAGCATGAGAACTGAGATGATATTGAATGACAACTAAGAAAACCGCAATAAAACCAATGAAACTAGATTCATAAAGTTCTTCGGAAATATTTCAATCACCTGTAATAAATTTAAAAATGGCTTATAATTGACCATTTGAATAAAACCATCAGCACTGAAGAACTCATATTTCCCATGTCAAAGGGGCTCCTCTTCAATGTTCATATCAAAATATGGGGACCTGGCACAACTCAAGGGCTGCCCTTTGGCTCTAAGGCCTGTAGGTACCACAGCTATTAATTAATACATGGGTGACTTTCCTGTAACTCGTCTGCTAGCAAGAGTACTACAGTATTGGAAGTAAAATGTCTCTTTTTCTTTCCTTCTGACTTTTTGAATATCTCTGATGATTAGTTTTCCTAATGAGACTTATCACCTTAGCATTTGTGTTTCTAGCATTTTCTTTCCATTTTCTAAAGAAAAGTCATGAGGACTAACAGTGTTTTCCAAAGTAGATTCTTCAAAGGGTAAGTGTACCTAGAGGTAACCAGGAGGGACCTAGTTACCTAGAGCGTAACCTGTGCAAATGATTGAGGATTTCCACAGTCTGGGCTAAAACTGTCTTCCCTATGTGAAAGCCTGCTAAGGTCTCTTATGATTTTGGAGGTCAGTACTTTAAAATGGGCCATTGGAGATGGTTCCTTCTGGAGGTTCTAGAGCATAATCTGTTTCTCTGCCTTTTCCAGCTTCTAGAGGCCCACACATTTCTAGTTCCTGCCCTACATGGATTTGGCCTCTGCTTCTGTCACCATATCACCTTTCCTCTGACTCTGACCCTCCTGGTTTCAGGGATTAGGACATGGGTATCTTTGGGGATGATAGCATCATTCTGTCTACCGAAATTGTAAAAGTCAAGGAACAGTCAAACTAATTGCTAAGTAATTGCTAAACCAATTCCTAAAGCAATTTCTAGGGTGCTTACCTCACCAAGAGACTTTCGAGCCTCAACCATCCTTACAATTTCGGGGTCTGGCAGAGCTCCTGGGCACCAAGCATTCCCTTCCCCATATCCAGTCCAATAGGCTCTCTACAAAGGAAGCACATGAAGGGATACAAACACATGCCCCAGACTCCCAGCAACACTTACATACATTGTCAAAAGAAGATATTCTTAAACATTATAAACTCCTATTGGTAAATCCTGGGTCTCAGCTAACTGAAATGTTCATTTATTTCAGGCTAGAAAATGACCTAAGATTCTAAATAATTGAACTTTCTGAGAACCACTTATGTTACAGGAAAATTTTGAATGTAACAACATTTTCTTGCACACCATTGCATCAAGATTGGGCGAGGAGGAGGGGAAATCACTGTGGACAGGTAATCTGAGATTAATCAACATTATTCAGACAAATGTCAAAAACCTACTACCTGTTATGTGCTTGACAACTGACAATGGCAATAAAAGCAAAAAAAAAAAAAAAAAAGGAAAGGCAAAGTTTCTCTTTTAAGATACTCATGACCTACCACCTTGGGAGATAAAACTAACATGAAATAAATAGCAATTAGAAAACAGTTATGTGTTTAAGTGTATTGTCTGAGTGATAAGTACAATAAGAATCTTTAAAAAGCAGTCTGTAAGAGATGGGTCCCATATGGGGCAGGAAGATAGAATTTGAGCTGTACCTCCAGGGCTGAGGGCAATTAGTAGAGGCCAAGGGAGAACGAATGGCATCCACTTTAGAAGGTCCGTTCCATGAAGGCAGGGATTTTCATGTCTGGTTTACTAACGCATCCCAAAAGCTTGGAACAGTGTGTAGCAACTCATAGACTCAATAATTATTTGTTGAATAAATTCCAGGAATGTAGGCTGCCATGAATAAAAGCATGAAGGCAGTGATGGGCTCAGTAATTAGGACCATGAGGAGCTGGGTTTGATTGGACACAAGGGAAAGAGATGGGGAGCCAGGTGGGCTGGAGGGGGGCAAGTTGGACAGGTTGGATAGAGCCAGCCTTTGGAGATCCAGAAAGACAGATTATTCATATGTGAAATTATACTCAACCTGACTAGCAATCAGGGACATCTAAATTGAAACAAGATGCAGATTGTCCAAACACTTATCTGACAATACCAAGTGATGGTTAGAATGTTGGGAAACAGGCATTCTCACACACTGCCTTTGGGAGTATAAAATGTACAGCTATTTTAGAATTCAATTTGAGCCTCCATTAAAATTTAAAAGGGACATACCCTTTGATCTAGCAACTTTGTTTTTTCATTATCTAGTCTAGAAAAACACTCACTTGTATACAAAAGAGGTCTTGAACAAGAATGTTCCTTGCAAATTTGCAATAGAAAAAAAATTTTGGAATAATCCTGTCTATCAATAGGATAGTATGGTATTGTACATCCATTTTTTTTTTTTTTTTCCCTTGAGACAGAGTCTTGCTCTGTCACCTAGGATGGAGTGCAGTGGCACTATCTCAGCTCACTGCAACCTCCGCCTCCTGGGTTCAAGCAATTCTCCTGCCTCAGCCTCCCGAGAAGCTGGGATTACAGGCATGTACCACCATGCCTGGCTAATTTTTATATTTTTAGTAGAGATGGGCCATGTTGGCCAGGCTAGTCTCGAACTCCTGACCTCAGGTGATCCACCCACCTTGGCCTCCCAAAGTGCTAGGATTACAGGTGTGAGCCATGGCACCTGGCCTTGTATATCCATACTTAATGGTGCACCTATGATACACCCATTCACGATAGCTTAAAAGGATGCTGATGTAGAAATATTTCCAAGATATTTGTTGAGTGAAAAATACACACTTCACAACAATGCATATTGTTTCATGAAAAAAGTATACATTTTAATAGAAATATACTGTAAACCAAAAATAAAATTCTAAGCCCCCTAACTATCTGAACAGATCCCTCCTCTCAGCCAAGGACATTCGAAAGTTAACCTGCAAAACTGGTTCAGGCCATGATGGAAAGGGGGAGGTCGAACATGTCTCATTATACCCGCCTCCCTTTCGGAATTCAAGAAAAGCCTACCGACCAGCATTAACACCAACACATACTCTAAGTCTGATAAGAAATATTTACAATCTATTCTCTCTGAAACCTGCTGCTTGGAGGCTTCATCTGCATGATAAAACTTTGGTCTCCACAACCCCTTATTGTAATCCAGACATTTCTTCTATTGATTTCAGGTCTTTAGTTAATAACTCTTTAAATCAATTGCCAATCAGAAAACTTTAAATCTACCTATAACCTGAAAGCCCCCACTTCGAGGTGTCCTGCCTTTCCAGATGGAACCAATGTACACCTCACATGTACTGATTGATGTCTCATGTCTCCCTAAAATGTATAAAAGCAAGCTGTACTCTGACCACCTCTGGCACAGGTTGTCAGGACCTCCTGAGGCTGTCGTGGGTGTGTCCTTAACCTTGGCAAAATAAACTTTCTAAATGGATTGAGACCTGTCTCAGATACTTTTGGGTTTATATAACATATATACATATATAATTTTCAATAACAAGTAATACTAGCTGATATTTATTGTGCCTACCACTGTTCTAAGATCTTTTGTTCATCGCAATATCATTATGTTAGGAAGTGTTTTTGAAGTTCACCTTACAGATGAGAAAGTTGAAGTAAAGAATGGTTAAATAACTCATTTAAGATCCTTCAATAAATGGTAGCATGTCCAAATGTAAATTCTAGAAAGATATGGTTTTATTTGCAAATCAATAGAGAAAAGTCTGGAAGGATGCTATCCACAAGATTGACGAGAGTGGGTACTTGTACAAAGAAAACTGGAATTGGAGGTGGTGGATAAAGGGTTAGCTTTGTACTGTTTGGATTTTTTTTTATAATAAGAATAATGCAAATTCTTATGTGTATATTATGTGTGTAAATAAAATAAATGGCTAAGGAATTCTGAAATGATGAGTCTGTCAACAGACAGGGGAGGTGGGAAGAGTAAGTCAGGGACACCTAGGAAGCTGGGAGCCTCCTGACCCATGTGAGTACAACAGGCTGGAGAGAGGCCAGCCTAGAGGAGGGAAAGCAGCCACCTTGGGAGGCCTCGTAAAGGTCCAGGCAGAAAATGATGTAGATCAGAACGGGGAGAGTGGAGAGAAAAGGGTGGAGCTGAGTGAAGTGTCAGAGAAAGACAGGGTAGCCTTGGTTTCAAACCTGGGTGATAGAAATACAGTGGTTGGAAGGGGAAGACAATGAACCTGGTCTGGGGAAGATAGAGTTCAGGTGATATTAGGACACGCTGATTGAGGTCTTCCATAGACAGCTGGAATTACAAACTGGGTGAAAGGAAACCTACTTGGTTTTCTCTAGAAGTAATAATAATAATACACTCAATTGACATAGTATGTCATTCTTTCTTTTTCCAAACCCACTTGTCACTTTTCTCTCACCTCATTTGCCAGTGGCTGCCTGTTAGGTGCACCTTCCTTATCCTTGGATTTCATGTCCCAGTGAAAAACTGATTTACACTGTTCACCATCTTCTTGGTCATGGATCTGCTCAAGGAAGATGTTGTCAGTAATGTTTCCATCAGAAAAGAGAAAAAAACATAGACAAACAATTCCTAGCTAAAATTGGGGGATTTTGCTAAGTCTCAACTGCAAAGCATCTTCACTGTGCTGCAAGGCACACTGTGCTGTCAGTCTCCCTGTGGTTTAATCTGCACCTCCAACCAGGTGGCACATATAGAGCACCTGCTGTGTGTGAAGCTCTTTGAAGCAGTGCAATTAAAGTGACTGAGATAAAGTCTTTATAAACCTACCACACAATACAAATTAGAGTAACCTCAGAAAACATTGGGCATTAGAGTACTGGTTCTTAATTTTAGTCATGTAACCATCACCCAGGGAGCTTATTAAAATGCTGGCTCCTCAATTTTATGAAGATATTCTTCTTATGCCTCACAATTTTACCTTTAACATCCTGATTTATAATACACCTTGAGTTAATTTTTACATATAGATAAGGGTCAAGGTTCATTTTTTTCTATATAAATACCTAATTACTACAGTACTGTTTATGAAAAGATCATTCTTGCTATGTTAAATTGCAGTGATGCCTTTCTTGTAAGTCAAGTGACCATATACGTGCAGCCCTATTTCTGGACCTTGTGTTGGAGTCCACTGGTCTATTTCTCTCTTCTTGTGCCAATTCTATGCTGAGTTAATAGAGTAAGTCTGCTTTTATAGAGTAAGTCTTGAAATCTGGTGAGTCCTTCAAATTTGTTCTTCAAGATTTCTTGGCTATTTTAGAAGCTTTGTGTTTTTATATTCGTTCAGAATCAGTCTGTCCATTTCCACAAAAAAACACCAGGATTTTGAATGGCACTGCCTTGAATGTATAGATTAATTGGGGGAAAACTGACCTCTCAGTAACATCTTCATAACCTTGAGATAGACAAAGATTTCTTAAATGTAAAAAGGACTAATTATAAAAGAAAAAACATCAGAAGGTCTTAGGTCCAAACTAAGATATCAAAATTTATTAGGTAGGAAGTGAGGCCCAGAAATCGGCAATTTTGGCCGGGCGCAGTACCTCACGCCTGCACTCCCAGCAATTTGGGAGGCCAAGGCAGGTGGATCACTTGAGGTCAGGAGTTTGAGACCAGCCTGGCCAACACAGTGAAATCCCATCTCTACTAAAAATAGAAAAAATTAGCTGAGCATGGTGGTGCACGCCTGTAGTCCCAACTACTCAGGAGGCTGAGATATGAGAATCACTTGAACCCAGGAGGCGGAGGTTGCAGTGAGCCGACATCACACCACTGCACTCCAGCCTGGGCAACAGAGTGAGACCCTGTCTCAAAAAAAAAAAAAAAAAAGAAAGAAAGAAAGAAATCTGAAATTTTTACAAGCTGAAGTTTAAATTCTTAATTTTAAACATAATAAGAAAACAAGCTCAGAGAAAAGTTTAAACCCAAAGGATTCTTGTTCCCTATCAAGGGCACATTCTGATATTGACTTTCCAGGGTTGCTACTGCTTAATGCTACTTGATGCATATATTTTTAAATATATACACTGAGAGATCTTTACATGCTTTTTCCTTGTATTTTTAGGAAACAATTAAATGAACATTACGTAAACTTAAAGTGGGCTTTGTTTGTTTGTTCGTTTTTTGTTTTTACCTACAAATAATACTACCAATATTTTGGGCCAGTTAATTATTTGTTGTGGAGTACTGGCTCGGGCATAGCAAGATGTTTAAGAGCATCCCAGGTCTCCACCCACCAGATGCAATAATACCCCATCAACACCAGTCACGACAATCAATATGTCCCAGACATTAACAAATGTCCCCCAGGTAGGGGTTGGGGGGAACTGCCCTCCTTGAGAACAATGTACTTTAGGAATCAGAAACACAGGACCAAAAGACCAAAATAGATATTCTGTCCACTTCTAGAAAGTTATATTTGCTGTCCTCCTTCCCCAGTGCAAATCTACCACTGGGGAGGGTTTGCCTCCCCTAGGGACCTTTCGTGAGATTCAGGATTACACCAAGGAAACAGAAAGAGGAAAAAATGCCATAAATCTTACCAGTGGGGTAAGGAAGCATGAAGGGCTAAATTTCGTTCTCTGAATAGAAGAAAACCCTAGATGTTTTATTTTTCTAAAAATTCCATTCACACCTACCAAACAGGAAATTCTGTCTTTGCAAGTATTTATTTATTTTTCAAAGGGTGACATTTAGGAGACAAAAAACCTGCAAATCTGCTTTGAATGCCAGCTTAAAATCTCTACTTTTCTCCTTCATCACCATCACTGAAAAATCTCTTTCCTTTTTTGATTTTAGCACTTTCACAATGAATTTGTTTTTTATTCAATTGTCAAAGTCTCCCAGAGATCACAGGGAGGTGAAAAGGTAATTCATAACACACCCTAGGGCAGTTGTAAGAGCTGGGCCCTGTAAGGGATATGGTTGTCCGTTTTACTTTGTCCCTGGTGGGCAAAAAGGAGAAAGTGATCTCAGTAGACAACACACACACACACACACACACACACACACACACACCATATACACATATATACATACATACATACATAAACACCATACATACATATATACACTCACTATATACACATATATACATACCACATATGCATATACATATCCCACATGCATGTACATATACATACATATGCATAAACACATACACACCAAATACATGCACACAATACACATGAACATGTGCACACACATACTCATGCACACACATCACATACACACATATAGATGTGTGTGCACACACATTCACACCTACATACACACATATACACACTCTCCGGATGCACACACACATATATATACACATATATATACACACATATACGCTGTCACATAGACGCAAACAAATACACACACGCAGGCTTCCTGGGAAGCTCACATCACTGTCTGTGGCTGGAAATAGAACCAGCAACAATCCTAGCCTTGCTCCAGGTTGGGCCTGTCATACACAGTTAAAATAAAGTGAGTCCACTCCCACCTCAAAAAGAGGAAAATAGTGTGTGACCTGTTGTGTGATTATAAGGTGGAGACATGCCTGCTGTGGCTCAGTTAGAGGAAAAATACAGACATTATGGATCTTTCTGTAGACACTGTAATAAATGCAAACAGCATTCTGAGGTAAAGTACATCTCCTCATGTTTTATGTGTCAAATCCTCGCTACACAACTGCAGAAACATATGGATATTTGAAAACATGAACAAGTGCTTTTTGTCTTCTGGAGAGTTTGCCACCCTCTGGATATATATGAAAGAGAGCCACTAATAAATATCCTAAAGTTAAACAGATCTGGATTTGTGCCCAACCAGCTGGGTAAACTAGGCAGGTTACTTAACCTCTCTGAGCTTCAGTTTCCTCAACTATAACACAATAATATTACAGAAGGTTCTTGTCAAGAACACATGAGATAATATAAAGAACTTAGCAGAGTGTTCAGTACTCTGTTTAAGTAAGAGCTAGATTCAATATTTATTGTAATTTCATGTAGCTGCTCTCAGACACCAAGAGATGAAAACAAAGTCCTAAAAGAATTAGGCTTCTCAGTAACCTAGGATTACTTGTGAATTCATAAGACTTGTGAATCCCTAGGAAGCAATGATGTCTGAGCAACAATTTGAGCCTCTGTTTCCTCACCGTAAAATGGGATAATAGTAGTATCAACTTCATTGAGTTGTGGTGTACGTTAAATTAATTAAGTGCTTCTACAGTAAATGCTATATATGCTTGTTAAATAAAAGAAATAATAAACTCACAATTAGTTCTAAGCACTTAGTGAAAATAAGGTATCTTGGCAGCATGTGTAGAGAGCCACACAGCAAGGTCACTACCTCTATCTCATACACAGTTTTTTGGGAGGAGGACAGCTGGGCAGGGAAGGGAGTCAGTATGAGGTGGAGCAACATTAGGAAGGGAATCTTGGGTAAAGAGGGATCACTAGAGAGTCTTTCACCTCATGGGTAATTTTCTAATTTTAGAAAGCCACTAAAACTTCATCCCACAGAGCAACTTCTTGTGGGCATGGGTTATAGAAGCTCAATGATTCATCATTTTAATAGGTGCAAGAGTTCCGTCGATAACTGGTTATTTGACAAAACTCCACTATTAGATTTTCAAGAGGTTGGATTTGGCAATGTGGCCTCCATATTTACCTCCCCATCTCAACCCCACACGTCCTAAACTAAACTTCCTTTCCAAAGGAAAACATCTTTGACTTATCCCCACCCCAAGGGGAAAACAGGCTGCCAATAATCATAAGTAATGACTGAATTCAGAGAGACTTAACAGTGTGAAACTAAAGGTTTTAATTTTGTGTACCAGAATGTCACAGGGAAAAGTCAAGATCCTTGTAATATGTTCCAACTACGTAAGCATTGTTTTATGTATTAAGCACCTAGTATATGCAGAGCCTACTCTATAAACTGTCATCATTTTATGAAACAGTCTTGAGCTGGTCAAGACACAAAGATTATACTGAAATCAAGGACCTCAATTATTCAATCTAGATTATCCTGTATATTGGCTCCTAATATTGTGGGAGAACAAACAGTCATATTTGTTACTCAAATGCACTTTACATGTGTATGTGGAGGAAATGGGCAGGTTCACATGCAGACAGAGACACTTAAAAACTTAACATGTGCCTAGCATTGTTAATCGGTATATAATATTTGCACATATTTATGGAGTACATATAATATTTTGTTACATATTAGAATGTGTAATGATCAAGTCAGGGCATTTAGGGTGTTTATCGGCTCGAGTATTTATCATTTCTATTCTAGCTATTTTGAAATATATGATACATTGTTGTTAATTGTGGTCATCCTACTCTGTCTGCTATAGGACATTACAACATGTTCCTTCTTTTATTTATTTAACTTTTTAAGAAATAAAGACAGGGTCTCACTATGTTGCCCAGGCTAGTCTCTAACTCCCAAGCTCAAACCATCTGCCCGCTTTGGCCTCCCAAAGTGTTGGAATTGTAGGTGTGAGCCACTGTGCCTGGCTAGAATATATTCCTTTTATCTATTTGCATGTTTCTACCCAGTAACCAATCATTCTCCATACCCTCCATCCCACTGAAAATTAAATAACTTACCCCACTGATGGCCTCTGGAAATGTCCTCACATTTAGATTTAATGGAGTGTGATAGACACTGGTGAAAGTGTTGTTCTTAGGGTTATGGCTACAACAAATAGGTATAAATCAAAATTAGAAATGTACTTTATCCAAATGATTGAGGGACTATTCTTAAAATTATTTTTAAATAATAACAGTTATTTTTAAAAAATCAATAAATGTAAAACTTAAAAATTAAGTTCGTGATTTTCCAGGCAATGCATCTTACAGAAAAAAAAGCAAATCAAATAAAATCGACATATATAACTGAAAGCCTAAATTTAACTGGAAATGATCACTTGAAAACTTTCTGAAGAAAGTAAAAAAGGATTCTGAAATTATTTAAAAGAAAATACTTCAAAGCTCTATATGCATATTTATGGCCATTACATTGTTCTGCACAGTATTTAATAATTTGACATGAGGTTATAGTGGATATATTTGATCTTTTACTTGGAAGAAATTTGAAGTTTTGTGTCCATTGCATAAAATCCCACCTTAGGTCTCTTTAATGACAGGATACAAGGGAACACTTTGGGAGAAGATATTTCTTGGATTTAACCCTGGGTTATATGATTTGAACGTTTAGTTGGCTCCTTGTTGAAAAACAAATAAAACTCAAGAGGTAGTGGTGGGGGCATCAAACACTTACGCGTGACAGTACGGCTTTTTCTGGTGACTCACAAAGTTATTAACAGACAGCATCATCTTGCAAACTTCACAGTGAAAACAGGCTTTATGCCATATCTAGAAATCATATAGAGAAGATTTAGCAATTACCCTTTTCCCCCCAGACTCAAGGTTCTTATATATTTTAGGGTAAAAAAATGAACTTCGAGGATAAAATGCTGATTTTAAAAAAATTAAAATCCACACACACAGCTATAACAACACTCACGGTTAAATAAATGGATAACTTTTTTTTTTTGAGACAACACAGAAGAAATAGAAATGTGTAGAACTAAATAAAGGTGAGAAAATATAACTTTTTCTTGTGGTTCAAAACAATTTAACTGAAAATTAAATTTCCATATTTACCTATGTCCATATGTGAGAAGGTCAATTTCCTGTGTTTGTTATTATTCACAAAAGCCAAGAAATGTCTACTGACCTGATCTATACAGCTGATCTTCTCGGCAGGATAAACCCCATACCCACACCTAGAACAGGGCTGCACATTCATCTCGAAGCCGGAAGAGAGAGGACAAAGATAGGCAACAGGCAAGAAATGCAAGGAGAACCCCCAGTCTAGTTCAAGTCTTCAAAATCCGACGACCATAAAATTCCTGTGGGCACCTCGATCTTTCAGAATCCAACTTCCACTTTCCTTTGCTGACCTTCTAGTTTGAAGTCAGCAGTTGGATGGTTTTTAAAGCTGCCACTTACTCAAGGGGCTATTTTGGCCACTCACTCAGCACGCATGTGTCTGGGAAATAAGGTGGAAGTATTTCTAGCTGACATGCTTCTCTAAATAGAAAAATGAACTCACAACAGCATCATGTTTATGTGGATAACCAAACCCTGGTGTATGATCAGGCAGCATGGAGTGGTTTAGCACTAGCTGTGATCATGACCCAAGAAAAGAACCTAAAGGAAGATGCCACACCGTCATCCAACAATCAAATTAGAAAAGCTTGCTCTATGCGTCCTATGACTAAAGCAGAAAGGCCAGCTCCCAAAAATATAGAAAATAAAATAGGATTGATTCACTCCTTTAAATGGATAAATATCACACTTGAATTTTAACTTTACCTACCCAAAGCGTTTACAACAGTTAAACTAAAAACTTAATAAGGTGTTAGTTTGTGTTTAGCTTCTACTGGAACGCAAAACTAAAAACTAATGAGAACTCTTGGTGTTTTGGCCTCTGTATTTTATTCTAGAATGTTCCAAGAAGGCCTTTGTGCTTGTTCCCTTGCCTCACAGGCCTTAAAAGAGGTGATATGAAGACAGAATCTCTCTTCCTGGCTTTGGGAAGCCTCTCATTGCCTTCAGTCTCTGCTGAAATGTCACCTTATCACCTTATAGAAATACCTGATACAAAATGGCACCTCACCTGTCCCCACTCCTATCTCATTATCTTCCATTACTCTTAGCCTGCTTGATGGTCTTCATAGTGGTAATCACAGCTGGACATATTACATGTTAATGTTTCTATTTTTAAAAATTGTGTCTCTCCCATCAAAATATGAGTTCTGTCTAAACAGGATCTTTGGTCCTTTTTGCCACTTCTATATCCCCCATGCCTAGAACAAGGTCTGCCAATAAAAGGTGCTTAATAAAGATTTATTGGATTAATGAAATAAATTTAATACTCACACCAAAATGCCTATAGAGGCCAGGTATGAAGTCTAGATAATGGTAGGAACTTTTCCAAATAGATGAGCACTCATCCCATCTGAAGCAGGCAACTGCTCCTCAGTCCCAGCCAACTGTCATCATGAAACAATCAACATTCCAGGTTGCCAAATATCCTGATTTTTCCGGAATATTTTCCAAATATTCTGAGCACACCAGAAGTCTGCATTTACAAATGAAATTCCCCTTTTTGTATATAAAACAATATAACAGAGTCGTGGGCAGTATTTGGCCAGCAGGTTACCAATTTGTGACCTTGGCCCTAAATGTTCTGAGGTTAGGTTGGTGTCCCCAGGTAGGGTGGAGTAAGATGAGTAGTATTTTGGGGTTGTGCTGAGATAGCCAGGGGGTAGGAAGAAGCTCTAAAGCCAATGAAGAAGAGTAGCATTCAAGTCCACATGAGTATAAGGGGAAGGCGGAGTCTCAGGTTTTCCCACATGGGGCTAGGGCTCTCTCAGCATGGGGAGGGGACTCAAAGCAGGGACTCCAGGCTCAGCAAAGACTCCCACACTGAAACGTGATTGGGCAGGAGGGCTGCCACCAGCCTGCAAATGAGAACAGCAATGGGCACAGCACAAAGACCTGCAGGGTTCCCCGGTTGTTTTGCTCTGCACCAGGCTTCTCAAGCCTTACTTAGTGGGTGGGGTGGAAGCTCCAATAATCACTGAAATGAACTGTACCCCAGTCCGGAGGGCTGAGGAATCAGGAGGATTTCACTTAAAAAAGAAGCTTGCAACGTTCCTTCTCTGCCTAAGCTTGTGATTGCAATCTGTAGCCGTTAAAACGGGTTGGTCACATTTGTGAACACAAGAATTACAAAATGCAAGATGCTAAACTGGATTTGTACCATCACTTCTGATTTATTAGACATCAGAAATTGCTAGGAGAAACAACCCCATAGAACTAGAAATGGGATAGTTTAAGGAACTAGAAGTAAACACTCATTTCTGGGGCAAGACAAACACAGACTTCACTGTGTAGTCGAGTCTTGGTTGGTTCACACCACCCTTCTCATGTTATATACAGCCCCTCCTGCTCCTTGGCCTAAGCCCCTCCCACTTGACGCAGGGATTACAGCAGGCCGTCCAAGCCAAGTCAGTGAGCATACCACATTCCTTTGGCCTTAGGAGTTGGTTCAGATAACATCAGTCTTAGCCTGGGTTCTCCAGAAAACAGAACCTGTGTCAAAGGCTTATATGCAAGGACTTTATTCCAAAGTATAATCCAGGGAGCAAGAGTTAGAAGGCAGGAAATGCAGGGCAGGGAACAGTTGGTATTAGGGTTGTTCTCAACGGGGCCACCAGCTGGTATAAAGTGTATTGAATGGCTTGACCATCTTCCAAGGGGCCATATAAACAACCGCTACTCAGGAACATCTACCAGAGGAAGGAAGGGTCCTGTCTCCCATTGGTGAAAGGTTTGCCCCATTGGCCATTAATGTCCATGCTGTGTATGTACACAGGGAGTCCCATGGCATCTCGCACCTCAGTATCAACAGGAAAACACCAAGGGCAGCAGAAGGCCAAAGACACTGTCAGTTGTGCCCACGTGAAGATGGCCAGAGCCCTCATAGAGACAGTGGCCACTACCGAGGCTGAGCCTGCTCAAGTAGGCAAAGGCCCTACGGAAGGTGAGGCTGAGTGAATCTAAAGCAGCCCTTCCAGGTGTCTGATGCACTGGGCTCTCAGCAGAGTCCTGGACCTGGGCTTGGTGGTGGTGAGCTGGAGCCTGATCTTGCAGAGCCTTGTGGAGCCTTGATCTGGGAACTTCGGCCCACACCACCCCACATTGCTCTGGCTTTTTTTAAGTCTTGACTCATAGGGAGCTTTTTGTTTCACATTAATGACTTTTATGTTCAGTATGTGGGCAAGTAGTTTCCTTTTGAAAGTTAAATGTAGTCCTCCTTATTTACCTCTTTTCAATTTCATCCTGTTGATGGTGGTCGCCTTGCTTTAGGCGGTTGAGGTCTTTTTGGACTTGGATTGAGTCATCCAGGATATGAGGTAATCCTTTCTAACTCTGCACCATTTCCAGGGCCCTCCAGGGCTGTGCATATGGACTGGTTTTGAAACTACAGAAAAATGATAAGAGATGTGAAATCAAGGGACAGCTGCTGACCCTTCATTCTGTCACTGTCACTCAGATTAGACGGAAGGTGTTCCTCCCATGCTGGGGGTTTGTTCCTGTTTTAATTTAGGTTGCCCCCCTCAGCAAGGCACAGGGAAGTTATTTGGGAGGTAGTCCCATGAGGCAGGAGTGAGGGTTTAAGGCAAATGAGCCAGGGAAAAGAGAAGAGTCAATAAAGAGCATATCCTAAACTAGATATTATACCACTGTGGGCAGCTGGAGCACAATCTTGCTGGGGACACTCTGAAGATTTGTGTAGAATGTGCCTCAGAATGGTCCCACTGAAGGATGGTGGCTGGGACACATCCACTCAACTCTCATCCCCCATTGGTTGAGGGCAACTGTCAGGGTCATTAACTCCCCTATACCTTTAGGGGAGACCTCTCTCCACAAGCTTAATGGACTTAGGCAGCTTGAAGAAAGCCCAGAGGCAGGGAAGTGGAGGGCCACTGCTGTGGGCGTGTAAAGAGGGCCT
The DNA here is from genome assembly GCF_000001405.40 of Homo sapiens. Lineage (NCBI taxonomy): Eukaryota > Metazoa > Chordata > Mammalia > Primates > Hominidae > Homo > Homo sapiens. Next base: position 113,667,660 of record NC_000010.11, read on the forward strand.
GGTGACATGCATGGAGATAACACTGGTGAGCGGAGGGGATGTGATACCAGGTACCCCCAGAGTGGGTCACTCAAGGAAACTGGCAGTGGACAGGGTAAGGGAAAGTACTTATATGAGATGCACCGTGAACTCTCACTGTCCTGCTCTTCCAGGCTGATGGTGTCAACCCTGTTCCATCCGTCCACTCCTCTGCACTGTACAATGCTGCGTCGACACACTTGGGGTGGAGAATTCAGGAAGCAGGGCCTTGTCTTGAGCTCTCATGCTTTCTCAGGTCAGACCTGCCCTTGCCCACCACCCTCACCCCTAACCTTGGGGGCTTCCAAGTGCCCTGGGAGAAGTTATTGGGGGTATTCTCCTGGGGTAAAGTCCCAAGGGTCCTGGCTGATGGGGGGGTCAGCGACCTCAGACTGAAGTTCTTCTGTGGCAGTCATTAAGGCCTGAGCACTAGATGGTGGTGACCTTAATTAGGCAAGGAGCTCTTACCACCCTAGGGAAACCTAAATATTGGTGAGGTTACCTAATGCCCAAGCTTCATTCTGAGAGGTTGAGCAAGTGATCTGTTGGTTTATAGAAACTGTACTCTGTCCAGGAAAATTAGAGAAATTCTACATCTCCTCAAACTTAAATCTGGCTTGAAACCACTCTGGTTTAAAGTTATATATTAGTCAGGGTTCTTCAGAGGGACAGAACCAATGGGGGACATATATGTGTATATATATATGAGATTATTAGGGAGAATTGCTTCACACAATTACAAGGCAAAGTCCCATGATAGGCCGCAAGTTGGAAAAAGGGAAAAGCCAGTAGTTTGGCTCAGTCCAAGTCTGAAAGCCCCAAAACCAGGGAAGCTGACAGTGCAGCCCTCAGTCTGAGCCCCTGGGAGGCCACTGGTGCAAGTCCCAGAGTCCAAAGGCTGAAGAACCTGGAGTCTGATGTCCAAGGGCAGGAGGAGAAGAAGCCTAGTGTGCTGAAAAGCATGGGAAGAGAGAAAGAGGGAGAAGACTCAGCAGACAAGCTTATCCACTTTCTTCCACCTGCTTTGTTCTAGCCAAGCTGGCAGCCCATTGGATGGTGCCGACCCACATTGAGGGTGGGTCTTCCTCTCTCAGACCATCAACTTAAATGTCAGTCTCCTCTGGCAGCACCCTCACAGACACATCCAGGAACAATGCTTCATCAGCCATCTAGGCATCCATCAATTCAATCAAGTTGACACCTAATATTAACCATCACAGTCATTGTTTGCTTTGAAGATGGGATTGTGTCATTTGGTGTAAGATAGGGACCCATAAACTTTTCTGTAAAAAATCAGACTGTAAATATTTTAGGCTTTGCAGGCCATATACAGTCAATCTCTGTTGCATCATCTTTTTCTTATTCTTCTTTTTTTTACGACCCTTTAAAAATGTAAAAACCATTCTTAGCTTGTGAGCTGTACAAAAACAGACCACAGGTGACCTGCAGGTGGTAGTTTGCAATCACAGGGCATCAGGAGCAACCGTGTCTGATGCTCTTGGGGAGAGGGAGTGGAGAGGAAGGCAGAGGAAAGGATTAGGAATCAGTTCAGCCCTATATGGCCTGGGCTTTGATTGCAGTAGAATCTTATTCAGGTGTGAATAATAATATTCAACTGCTACGGTTACCTTTTCCTGGGCCAGGAGACAATGACACACCCTGTGGGTGGGGTGGAAGTTCCCCTCTGAATCAAGAAATGGATAGTCGGCCGGGCACGGTGGCTCACGCCTGTAATCCCAGCACTTTGGGAGGCCGAGGTGGGCGGATCACAAGGTCAGGAGATCGAGATCGAGACCATCCTGGCTGAAACGATGAAACCCCGTCTCTACTAAAAATACAAAAAAGTAGCCGGGCGTGGTGGCAGGTGCCTGTAGTCCCAGCTACTCAGGAGGCCGAGGCAGGAGAATGGTGGGAACCCAGGAGGCAGAGGTTGCAGTGAGCCGAGATCATGCCACTGCACTCCAGCCTGGGTGACAGAGCAAGACTCCATCTCCAAAAAAAAAAAAAAGAAAAAGAAATGGATAGTCACACTGCTGAAGGCAACAGAATCAGAAATGAGGCAGGCTTGAGTGGTATCCATCTGGGTCCACTCAGGAGAGAGAAACCATACAGTAAGCTGAATTAACACAGGCATCCCTCAGTATCCATGGGGGTATTGGTTCCAGGGCCCCTGAGGATACCAAAATCCATGCATGCTCAAGTTCCTTATATAAAATGGCATAGTATTTGTATATAACCTACATATAATCTCCCATATGCATTAAATCATCTCTAGATTACTTAAAGTACCTAATACAATGTAAATGCTATGTAAGTAGCTGTTACCCTGTATTTTTTTATTTATATCATTTGTATTATTGTATTGTTATTTTTTGCTTTTTTTTAAGTATATTTGATCTGCAGTTGGTTGAATCCTCAGATCCAGAACCTGGGGATATGGAGGCTCAACTGTATAACAAATTATAAACTATAACAGCGAGTTGGAATATCAAGAGGTTGGCTAGTAAGAAGTAAAGAGAACTCTGAAAACTGTAGCAATAGCAGATATCCTTGCAAATAACATATGTGTTAGTTTGCTAGGGCTGCCATAACAAAGTGCCACAGGCTTGGTGGCTTAAACAACAGAAATTTATTTTCTCACAGTTCCAGGGGCTAGAAATCCAAGATCACGATATCAGCAGGGTTGATTTCTTCGGAGACCTCTCTCTGCTTGTAGATGGCCACTTCTCTCTGTATCCTCCCATGGTCTTCCCTCTGTATCTGTGTCCTTACTGCAACCAGTCAGACTGGTTGGGGGCTAGGTCTTCATGTGCATAGGGTGTAACTGAGTAACCAATGGGAAACCTCTAGAGGGTACTTCAGACCCCAGAAGATTCTGTAGCCAGTGCTCTTGAGCCACTTGCTCCAGCCAGCTCCCACTCTGTGGAGTATACTTTCATTTCATAAATCTGTTCTTTCATTGCTTCATTCTTTCATTCCTTTGTTTATGCATTTTGTCCAATTCTTTGTTCAAAACACCAAGACCCTGGACAACTCCTAGTCAAGACCCTCCACTGGTAACAGAGGCACTCTCTACAAAACCACCTGAAGCAGGTGCCAGGGGAAGCTGATGGCTGCTGTGTGTTCTGGCTACCAGGTACATTCCAAGAACCTGGTGCTGAGAAGCCATGCCCTCTGAAGGAGCACGCCAGACATGCCAGAACCAGGAAGCAAAACTCTTTCCATCTTATAATGAATCTCCAATGCCCTTTACCCACCAAGGTTAACATGAGGCCACAGGCAAGGGAAAACTACTTAAAGGGCCCAGTTCAATTTCTACAGAACAGACAAAAAGGGTGGATTTGAAGTTGTGAGGCAATCATTCAATAACATGTACAACATGAATTCCTTCTTCCAGGGAAGAAGGGAATTCCTCTTGGACCCTGAGCTTCCTACTCTCTCCACCTGGCAAAAGTCTGCTGGGACCTCAGCAGGGGCCAGGGTTTGGGTTTGGCCTGTGGGTGGTGAGAATGGCATTTCTGTTAATCTTGCAATGTCCTTCATGGAGTCCTGTATAAAGTCATAGCCTGGCCTGAGCTATCCAGTGGAGAATTGGAGAAGCAATCACTGGTGGCACCCCTCAGGGGTGCTATGCCCAGCAGGGTGTGGATGGGGAATTCACCAGCAACCAGAGGGGAGGGCTGGAGGGAAGATTCGGAGGGGCTGGCCCAAGAGCACCTATGAGCCCCTTTGGAAACCATCCCAATAGGGGAAGCTGGGGGACTTTTCTGGAATAAGGGGGAAGGTTCATGCTATAATCATGTGAATATAGAAAGGAAACATAAAACAATGGCATGGTCCAAGGCTGGAGAGACAAAGGAGGTACCTTTACAAGAAAACATCATTTGGATCCAAAGTGTCAGTACAATTATTACAGAGGGAAAAGTTCACAATGGTTTCTTCCCTTCTGTATTTCCCTCTTGTTGATACTGTGATAATCCAGCCTTAGAGCAGTAACTTTGGAATTTCTTGTGCCAGCCCACAATAAGTATGAGGGCAACCCACCCCCAATATTTCAACATAGGTTCTTTCTATTTTCCCTAAGTGTCAGCTGGTCTGAGAAATAAAGAGAAAGAGTACAAAGAGGAATTTTACAGCTGGGCCGCCAGAGGTGACATCATATATTGGTAGGACCGTGATGCCCACCTGAGCCACAAAACCAGCAAGTTTTTATTAAGGATTTCAAAAGGGGAGGGGGTGTATGAACAGGGAGTAGGTCACATGCTTTAAGGGGCAAAAAGCAGAGCAAAAATCACATGCTTCTGAGGAGCCAAATAAAACACAGCAGAATCCCCTGCAGACTTACATGTCCCTGTCTGACAGCTTTGAAGAGAGTAGTGGTTCTCCCAGCACACAGCTGGAGATCTGAGAACGGACAGACTGCCTCCTCAAGTGGGTCCCTGACCCCCAAGTAGCCTAACTGGGAGGCACCCCCCAGTAGGGGCAGACTGACAACTCACATGGCCGGGTACTCCTCTGAGACAAAACTTCCAGAGGAACGATCAGGCAGCAACATTTGCTGCTCACCAATATCTGCTGTTCTGCAGCCTCTGCTGCTGATACCCAGGCAAACAGGTCTGGAGTGGACCTCCAGCAAACTCCAACAGACATGCAGCTGAGGGTCCTGACTGTTAGAAGGAAAACTAACAAACAGAAAGGACATCCACACCAAAACCCCATCTGTATGTCACCATCATCAAAGACCAAAGGTAGATAAAACCACAAAGATGGGGAAAAAACAGAACAGAAAAACTGGAAACTCTAAAAATCAGAGTGCCTCTCCTTCTCCAAAGGAACGCAGCTCCTCACCAGCAATGGAACAAAGCTGGACGGAGAATGACTTTGACAAGTTGAGAGAAGAAGGCTTCAGATGATCAAACTACTTCGAGCTAAAGGAGGAAGTTCGAATCCAAGGCAAAGAAGTTAAAAACCTTGAAAAAAAATTTGACAAATGGCTAACTGGAATAACCAATGCAGAGAAGTCCTTAAAGGACCTGATGGAGATGAAAACCACAGCACGAGAACTACGTGATGAATGCACAAGCCTCAGGAGCCGATTCGATCAACTGGAGAAAGGGTATCAGTGATGGAAGATCAAATGAATGAAATGAAGTGAGAAGAGAAGTTTAGAGAAAAAAGAATAAAAAGAAACGAACAAAGCCTCCAAGAAATATGGGACTATGTGAAAAGACCAAATCTATGTCTGATTGGTGTACCTGAAAGTGACGGGGAGAATGGAACCAAGTTGGAAAACACTCTGCAGGATATTATCCAGGAGAACTTCCCCAATCTAGCAAGGCAGGCCAACATTCAAATTCGGGAAATACAGAGAACGCCACAAAGATACTCCTTGAGAAGAGCAACTCCAAGACACATAATTGTCAGATTCACCAAAGTTGAAATGAAGGAAAAAATGTTAAGGGCAGCCAGAGAGAAAGGTCAGGTTACCCACAAAGGGAAGCCCATCAGACTAACAGCTGATCTCTCGGCAGAAACTCTGCAAGCCAGAAGATAGTGGGGGCCAATATTCAACATTCTTAAAGATAAGAATTTTCAACCCAGAATTTCACATCCAGCCAAACTAAGCTTCATAAGTGAAGGAGAAATAAAATACTTTACCGACAAGCAAATGCTGAGAGATTCTGTCACCACCAGGCCTGCCCTAAAAGAGCTCCTGAAGGAAGCACTAAACATGGAAAGGAACAACTGGTACCAGCCACTGCAAAAACATGCCAAATTGTAAAGACCATCGAGGCTAGGAAGAAACTACATCAACTAACGAGCAAAATAACCAGCTAACATCATAATGGCAGGATCAAATTCACACATAACAATATTAACCTTAAATGTAAATGGGCTAAATGCTCCAATTAAAAGACACAGACTGGCAAATTGGACAAAGAGTCAAGACCCATCAGTGTGCTGTATTCAGGAAACCCATCTCACGTGCAGAGACACACATAGGCTCAAAATAAAGGGATGGAGGAAGATCTACCAAGCAAATGGAAAACAAAAAAAGGCAGGGGTTGTAATCCTAGTCTCTGATAAAACAGACTTTAAACCAACAAAGATCAAAAGAGACAAAGAAGGCCATTACATAATGGTAAAGGGATCAATTCAACAAGAAGAGCTAACTATCCTAAATATATATGCACCCAATACAGGAGCACCCAGATTCATAAAGCAAGTCCTTAGAGACCTACAAAGAGACTTAGACTCCCATACAATAATAATGGGAGACTTTAACACCCCACTGTCAATATTAGACAGATCAACGAGACAGAAAGTTAACAAGGATATCCAGGAATTGAACTCAGCTCTGCACCAAGCGGACCTAATAGATAGCTACAGAATTCTCCACCCCAAATCAACAGAATATACATTCTTCTCAGCACCACACCGCACTTATTCCAAAATTGACCACATAGTTGGAAGTAAAGCACTCCTCAGCAAATGTAAAAGAACAGAAATTACAACAAACTGTCTCTCAGACCACAGTGCAATCAAACTAGAATTCAGGATTAAGGAACTCACTCAAAACTGCTCAACTACATGGAAACTGAACAACCTGTGCCCGAACAACTACTGGGTACATAACGAAATGAAGGCAAAAATAAAGATGTTCTTTGAAACCAATGAGAACAAAGACACAACATACCGGAATCTCTGGGACACATTCAAAGCAGTGTGTAGAGGGAAATTTATAGCACTAAATGCCCACAAGAGAAAGCAGGAAAGATCTAAAATTGACACCCTAACATCACAATTAAAAGAACTAGAGAAGCAAGAGCAAACACATTCAAAAGCTAGCAGAAGGCAAGAAATAACTAAGATCAGAGCAGAACTGAAGGAAATAGAGACACAAAAAACCCTTCAAAAAATCAATGAATCCAGGAGCTGGTTTTTTGAAAAGATCAACAAAATTGATAGACCGCTAGCAAGACCAACAAAGAAGAAAAGAGAGAAGAATCAAATAGACACAATAAAAAATGATAATGGGGATATCACCACCGATCCCACAGAAATACAAACTACCATCAGAGAATACTATAAACACCTCTACGCAAATAAATTAGAAAATCTAGAAGAAATGGATAAATTCCTCAACACATACACCCTCCCAAGACTAAACCAGGAAGAAGTTGAATCTCTGAATAGACCAATAACAGGCTCTGAAATTGAGGCAATAATTAACAGCTTACCAACCAAAAAAAAGTCCAGGACCAGATAGATTCACAGCCGAATTCTACCGGAGGTACAAGGAGGAGCTGGTACCATTCCTTCTGAAACTATTCCAATCAGTAGAAAAAGAGGGAATCCTCCCTAACTCATTTGATGAGGTCAGCATCATCCTGATACCAAAGCCTGGCAGAGACACATAAAAAAAGAGAATTTTAGACCAATAGCTCTGATGAATATTGATGCAAAAATCCTCAATAAAATACTGGCAAACTGAATCCAGCATCACATCAAAAAGCTTATCCACCATGATCAAGTGGGCTTCATCCCTGGGATGCAAGGCTGGTTCAACATACGCAAATCAATAAATGTAATCCAGCATATAAACAGAACCAACGACAAAAACCATGATTATTTCAATAGATGCAGAAAAGGCCTTTGACAAAATTCAACAACGCTTCATGCTAAAAACTCTCAATAAATTAGGTATTGATGGGACGTATCTCAAAATTATAAGAGCTATCTATGACAAACCCACAGCCAATATCATACTGAATGGGCAAAAACTGGAAGCATTCCCTTTGAAAACTGGCACAAGACAGGGATGCCCTCTCTCACCACTCCTATTCAAAACAGTGTTGGAAGTTCTGGCCAGGGCAATCAGGCAGGAGAAGGAAATAAAGGGTATTCAGTTAGGAAAAGAGGAAGTCAAATTGTCCCTGTTTGCAGATGACATGATTGTATATCTAGGAAACCCCATCGTCTCAGCCCAAAATCTCCTTAAGCTGATAGGCAATGTCAGCAAAGTCTCAGGATACAAAATCAATGTGCAAAAATCACAAGCATTCTTATACACCAATAATAGACAAACACAGAGCCAAATCATGAGTGAACTCCCATTCACAATTGCTTCAAAGAGAATAAAATACTTAGGAATCCAACTTACAAGGGACGCGAAGGACCTCTTCAAGGAGAACTGCCAACCACTGCTCAATCAAATAAAAGAGGATACAAACAAATGGAAGAACATTCCATGCTCATGGGTAGGAAGAATCAATATTGTGAAAATGGCCATACTGCCCAAGGTAATTTATAGATTCAATGCCATCCCCAGCAAGCTACCAATGACTTTCTTCACAGAATTGGAAAAAACTACTTTAAAGTTCATATGGAACCAAAAAAGAGCCCGCATTGCCAAGTCAATCCTAAGCCAAAAGAACAAAGCTGAAGGCATCACGCTACCTGACTTCAAACTATACTACAAGGCTACAGTAACCAAAACAGCATGGTACTGGTACCAAAACAGAGATATAGACCAATGGAACAGAACAGAGACCTCAGAAATAATGCCGCATATCTACAACCATCTGATCTTTGACAAACCTGACAAAAACAAGAAATGGGGAAAGGATTCCCTGTTTAATAAATGGTGCTGGGAAAACTGGCTAGCCATATGTAGAAAGCTGAAACTGGATCCCTTCCTTACACCTTATATAAAAATTAATTCAAGGTAGATTAAAGACTTAAATGTTAGACCTGAAACCATAAAAACCCTAGAAGAAAACCCAGGCAATACCATTCAGGACATAGGCATGGGCTAGGACTTCGTGTCTAAAACACCAAAAGAAATGGCAACAAAAGCCAAAATTGACAAATGGGATCTAATTAAACTAAAGAACTTCTGCAGAGCAAAAGAAACTACCATCAGAGTTAACAGGCAACCTACAGAATGGGAGAAAATGTTTGCAATCTACTCATCTGACAAAGGGCTAATATCCAGAATCTACAAAGAACTCAAACAAATTTACAAGAAAAAAACAACCCCATCAAAAAGTGGCTAAAGGATATGAACAGACACTTCTCAAAAGAAGACATTTATGCAGCCAAAAGACACATGAAAAAATGCTCACCATCACTGGCCATCAGAGAAATGCAAATCAAAACCACAGTGAGATACCATCTCACACCAGTTAGAATGGCGATCATTAAAAAGTCAGGAAACAACAGGTGCTGGAGAGGATGTGGAGAAATAGGAACACTTTTACACTGTTGGTGGGACTGTAAACTAGTTCAACCATTGTGGAAGTCAGTGTGGCGATTCCTCAGGGATCTAGAACTAGAAATACCATTTGACTCAGCCATCCCATTACTGGGTATATACCCAAAGGATTATAAATCATGCTGCTATAAAGACACATGCACACGTATGTTTATTGCGGCACTATTCACAATAGCAAAGACTTGGAACCAAGCCAAATGTCCAACAATGATAGACTGGATTAAGAAAATGTGGCACATATACACCATGGAATACTATGCAGCCATAAAAAATGATGAGTTCGTGTCCTTTGTAGGGACATGGATGAAGCTGGAAACCATCATTGTCAGCAAACTATCGCAAGGGCAAAAAACCAAACACCGCATGTTCTCACTCATAGGTGGGAATTGAACAATGAGAACACATGGACACAGGAAGGGGAACATCACACACCGGGGCCTGTTGCGGGTGGGGGGAGGGGAGAGGGATAGCATTAGGAGATATATCTAATGTTAAATAACGAGTTAATGGGTGCAGCACACCAACATGGCACATGTATACATTTGTAACTAACCTGCACGTTGTGCTCATGTACCCTAAAACTTAAAGTATAATAAAAATTAAAATAAAATAAAGGCAATTTGATTCTACTTCTGCCACTAGCAAATCTGTGACGGGGGCAACTTCGCTGAGCCTCAGATTCTTTATAAAATGAACAGAGATTAGTTGTAAAAGCCTCTTTTAGTTCTAACACTGATTCACTATATTTCAGGAATAACCTGCAAGATCCTAGATTTACAAATTAGATAAATCAAAGAGTAATTTAATTGCTTTACTAATAGTATTCTTTGTTTCTCAGATGACTCACAATCGAATTTATTTTATTTTATTTTATTTTGTTTTTGAGACAGAGTCTCGCTCTGTCGCCCAGGCTGGAGTGCAGTGGCGCGATCTCGGCTCACTGCAAGCTCCTCCTCCTGGGTTCCCGCCATTCTCCTGCCTCAGCCTCCCGAGTAGCTGGGACTGCAGGCGCCCGCCACCATGCCTGGCTAATTTTTTTGTATTTTCAGTAGGGACAGGGTTTCACCGTGTTAGCCAGGATGGTCTTGATTTTCTGACCTCGTGATACGCCCGCCTCGGCCTTCCAAAGTGCTGAGATTACAGACGTAAGCCACCGCGCCTGGCCTTGAATTTCTTTACAAAGCAAATTATCTTAGCGTCTAAATGGCTTACTTTACCTCCAACATTTTGGGAACATGGGTATTAAAAAAAGACTAGGGCAGCCACATTAGAAATTGTGTCACTGCTGGTTAAAAATATTCAGGGATTCAGGATTTTCCCGTAAGTTAATCAATTATAATTATTCCCTTACACTTGCCAGGGGTCAGTCTTTTTTTTTCAAACCAAGGAAGCATCCTCACCTGGAGAGATTTGAGCGACAAATACTGAAGTCTCAGGCCCACGGGAAAGCAAGCAAACAGAAAGAGAAGATGGCGTTCTTGCCTGGTATCCGACCACTAAGCATGTACTCCATTCACGCAAGGATTTGGTGGTTCCTAAAAGTAAATACTGTGTCTCTGATATGAATAAAACTACAATTTCTTCTCAGATATTTTACACCTCAGTGTGATTGAGTTTAGTTGCTTCCCTGAGCCAGGGTGAAGAAAGACGTGTGTGTGTGTGTGTGTGTGTGTGTGTGTGTGTGTGTGTTGTGGGGTCAGGGTGAACTAGGTGCGTGTGTGTGTATGAATCCGTGTGTGTGGTGGGTTTCATGAACTAGAATCTGTGTGTTTGTGTGTGGGTGTGTTGGGTCGGGGTGAACTTGAATCCGTGTGTGTGTGTGTTGTGGGGTCAGGGTAAACTGGAATGCGTGTGTGTGTGTGTTGTGGGGTCAGGGTGAACTGGAATGCCTGTGTATGTCTTTTGTGGGGTCAGGGTGAACTGGAATGCCTGTGTATGTCTTTTGTGGGGTCAGGGTGAACGGGAATCCGTGTGTGTGTGTGTTTGGTCAGGGTGAACTGGATAACTGGAATCCGTGTGTGTGTGTGTGTGTTTTGTGGGGTCAGGGTGAACTGGAATCCGTGTGTCCGTGTGTGTGTGTGTGTGTGTGTGTGTGTGTGCGTATGCTGTGGGGTTGGGGTGAACTAGAATCCGTGGAAGTGCTCAGTCTCTCCCGTGTTTGACTGACTCCCGGCCGCATACCCAGTCCCTGACACACGGGGGCGCACAACAAATATTTCCCGAAAGATCCAGGAGCAGCATCTCCACCAGCAAGCTGGGCTGCTGGGTGGGTACTTCCTTCAAAGCTGAGGGAGCGTCCTACGCCCACGCGCGCAGGAGGGCGCCCCCCGCAAAGCAACGTCTAGGAGACCACAGTGGATGCCACAGCGGGCCCGAAGCGGATCAGCCTTGTGGGGTACGCATGCTAATGTAGGCGTGGAGTCCCCCAGGGGGACGCCAGCAGTTCCAGCTGGGATCCAGGTTTCGCTAGGGGAGAGCCTCTGGCTATGGGAAAGGGGTCTCCGAGTTGATGTGAAGGCCCAGGTCGAGGTGTACACTGGGGGCGGGGAAGTGGAGGTGACCACACGAGCGCCCCATCACTGAGCGCCGCCGCGAAATCTGCGCTCTTTGGGTCACTTGGAGCGCGGCCAGTTTGGCAGATTTGTTTTTTTCCCGGAACAACCCGCGGCGGCTCGGCTGTCCCGGGAAACTGCAAACTTTGCTGTGCGCGTTCTCCCGCGCGCGGGCTCAACTTTGTAGAGCGAGGGGCCAACTTGGCAGAGCGCGCGGCCAGCTTTGCAGAGAGCGCCCTCCAGGGACTATGCGTGCGGGGACACGGGTCGCTTTGGGCTCTTCCACCCCTGCGGAGCGCACTACCCCGAGCCAGGGGCGGTGCAAGCCCCGCCCGGCCCTACCCAGGGCGGCTCCTCCCTCCGCAGCGCCGAGACTTTTAGTTTCGCTTTCGCTAAAGGGGCCCCAGACCCTTGCTGCGGAGCGACGGAGAGAGACTGTGCCAGTCCCAGCCGCCCTACCGCCGTGGGAACGGTAACTGCAGCCCCCACCTCGGCCGGCGCCTCTCCAGCCCGCCGGCCGTGCGCGCCTTGCCTCCCTCCTTCCTGCCGGCTTCCTAGTTCCCCCCTGCGCCCCCAGCGTGGTCTAGGGGAGCCTGGTTGAGTGGGACTGAGTGGCCCCGACGGCCTGCGCTGAAACTTTGGGAAGAGGGCCCGTTCCGCTCTCTCCATCGCTTGCCTTGCTCAGCTTGTCCTCCCTTCCCTCCTAGCCGGGGGGCTAGGGGACACCTCGTACTATTCGAGATTTAGGAGAGGAGGGCTCGTGATCTGGCACAGCGGCTAACAGCGAGGGCTCCTTTGCCTGCGTTCCGGTCCCCACCCCTTGCCTGCCGGCGGTGGGACCTCAACCCTCTCTCTGTTAAATGGGAACCACGGTGATCCCCGCAGACTGTTGGCGGGGATGGACAGAGTTGATTATGGTACGCGTTTCGCGGCAGTGGCTCTGTCAAGTCTGAGTACACTGGAGCTGAGCGTCCTTGCTGCAGGGCTCTTAGAGGGACCTTGAGGAGGTGGAAACCAGGCAGGAGACATTTAGACGTGTGGAGTGTTAGGCTCCAGGTGACAGCTTTGCGGTTTATGGAGCAGTAAAATTACTTGTGGGTGATTGTGGGTGTATCATTTCCAGATCTTTATTCTTGAACTTCTGGGCTCCTGGGCTAGTTGACGTGGCCCTCCCTGTTGTCTCAACTTACAGGCTATTTCCTCCTTTTGGGTCTCGCCGGCCTGACCTTCACCCTTGGTACCGCCATTGCCTAGATTCACAGTCCACCTTCTGCCACCTGTAAACTGTGTGGCTTTGGACAGGTTACTTAACGTCTCTGAAGAAGCTAAAGTTTCTGCAATAGCAAAGTAAAGGCCCTGGTCTAGCAGTGCCATGAGCCTTGGGTGACGCAGCGGAGCGCTTGAGTGCCCAGCAGAGCCTCCCTTTCCCCCTCCCAGCTGCTAGAGGCAAGAGGGGGAGGTTTTCAGGTCTTCTCTGTGTGCCCTTTAGGAAGATTTTTATTTGGGCAAGAAGTGAGTCACAAATTGTATGATGTCACTTTTCAGGGGAAGCAGCTGCAGTCCATTTCCCCCTTCATGAAAGTAAAAAGTTCAGACAATAGCTGGGCAGTGACTTCTTACCCAGCTGTGTACCAGTTGCCCCAACATGTGGGCTCCTGTTCAACATGTTTAGAAATAATCACTACAGGAACTTTTTTTCAGTCTCTACAAAATCTTTTTAAAATATGGATGTGGTTTTTAAATATCGGCAAAGGTTGACAGTTGCATATTATCTTAGTCTCGTGGGCAGTGGTGATAATGGGAATATTTCTTGACTATTTAGATTGTGCCACCTAGCATTTTACATGCATTGTTTCATTCATCCTCCCAACCACCTGTGACATAGGTACTGTTGTTTTCCCATTTTACAGATGAGGAAACTGAGGCTTAGAGAGGTCGAGCACTTTTTCTGAGGTCCCATGGCTAATATGTGGAAGAACTGATTCAGCCCCAGATCTCAGGGTTCTCAACCACCCTCTTGGGTCTCCTTGGTTCTGCTGTTTGGACAGCAGTTTATTGAAGGGGCTGAAGGATTTGAAAATACATTTAAGTTAGATTTATAAAGAAAAATGGATTTGGTGCCTGCCATGTACCTGACATTTTTCTATGATTAAAAAAATGATTAAGATGAGGTCTCAGTCTGCAAACAGTGACAATCTTGGTGGCTAATAGTAAGAATAAGAGTTACAGTGACTAACCAAGACTTACTATGTGCCTATCATTGTTAGTGCTTTGAGTGTCTCATGTATTAATTTATTTAAAGAGAAGTTAGACATATTTAACAGTGGGATAAGCAATCTCCCTCAAATGACTGCTCTTTGCAGCCTGGACCTTAAAAAGGGGACAGATATGAGAAAATAATGCCATGTGTACCCTCTACGGACAGCTTGGCAGAACTGAGATAGGTCTGGATTTTCTTGGTGCACTGTGATGATGAAAGGAGGAAATAAGAGGTCAAAACCAGGTCTTGGTTTGACTGAAATGACGTGTCTGAGATCAGGCATTCCCCACTTGGTTACCACCCTGGGCTATGATCGCTCTTTGGAGGTTCCAAAAATCAAGCCCAGTCTCATAGGAATAAGAAAGTAACTAATTGTTTAGCTTTACAGATTTGAAAGAGCCAAGTCCCACCACTGCTGACTTGGATTGTTAGAAGAGACACTTTCTGTCACTGCAGACAGTGTTCAGCATCAACCCAGAAGGATGCGGTAGGTTTCAGACAGAAGACCTAATGGCCTACTGTTTGGAGGGAAAGTTCTAGAAAGCGTCCCATCATTGAGCCACAGAAATCAGCCTGAATTTTACATCTCAGTAGCTAAGTCCAAAGCCCTCTCTTAGTGTCTGAGAAGGATGAGTTTAAGCTATACCCATCCTTTGGTGGAACATTTCAAATGTTTAATGAGTGCACAGTTCTCTCTGCCTGCATCGCTCCCACCTACCCTCTCTGCTTCCCCCTTTTCAGTTCTCAGGTCAGACATTTCCTCCCCTGAGGAGTTTCCCTAATTTCTGTGAGGCTCTTGAGTTTCCCTGGTATGGCTACAGATTGTTCACCCTCAAGGCATACACCACAGTTGCATTTCAAACTAGACGCCATCCTTTTTTTCATGTCTGTTTCTCAACATGGCAGGACCAGGTCAATTTGCTCACAAGTATATCCCTAATTCCTAACTTCTAGTAAATATCCATTGAATGAATGAAGAAGAGTCTCCAAAAGTCTCAGCAGTCCCAATAATATCAAAACAAAGGCTTGGCTTTCTTAGGAGCCATTTTGCTTAGGGTCTTCCCCTTTTTCAAAACCACTTTATTAAGGTATAGTTGAAATATAAAAAGCTAGGCATAGTTAATGCATGCATACCTACCAAGTTTGGAGATAAGCATAGATACACCCATGAAATCATCACCACCTCAACAAAGCTACCACCTCCTAAAGTTTCCTCCCACACCGTTTAATGCTATTATTACTATTATTTTTATTACTACTATTTTTTGAGGTGGAGTCTCAATGTGTCACCAGGCTGGAGTGCAGTGGCGCAATCTCGGCTAACTGCAACTTCTGCCTCCCGGGTTCAAGCGATTCCCCTGCCTCAGCCTCCCAAATAGCTGCGACTACAGGCATGCACCACCATGCCCAGCTAATTTTTGTATTTTTAGTAGAGACGGGGTTTCACCATGTTGGCCAGGATAGTCTCAATCTCTTGACCTTGTGATCCGCCTGCCTCAGCCTCCCAAAGTGCTGGGATCACAGGTGTGAGCCACCATGCCTGGCCAAAACTAGTATTTTTTGTGTGGTAAGAACATTCACCATAAGATCTACCCTTTTAGCAAATTGTAAGTATACCATATAGTATTGTTAGCTATGGGCACTATGCTATATAGGAGATCTCTAGAATTTATTCATCTTGCACAACTGAAACTGTGTACCCTTTGACTATCACTTCCCCATTTCTTCCTCGCTGCCCCCACCCCCAACCTCTGACAACCTCCATTCTATTCTCCACTTGTATGAGTTTGACTCTGTTAGATTCCACATAGATGTGAGATCATACAGTAATTGTCTTTCTGTGTCTGGCTTATCTCACTTAGCGTAATGTTCCTTAGGTCCATCCATCTTGTCACAGATGGCAGGATTTCCTTCTTTTTTTATGGCAGAATAATATTCCATTGTGTGTGTATACCACATATTCTTTATCTATTCATTCATTGATGGACATTTAGATTGTTTCCATAATGTTACAGTGAATGTGGGAGTGCAGGTATCTTTTTGAGATCCTGATTTCAGTTTCTCTAGATATATAGCCAGAAGTGAGATTATTGGATCATATGCGATTTCTAGTTTCAATTTTTTGAGAAACCTCTAGACAGTTTTCCATAATGGCTGTACCAATTTATATTCCCACCAACAGTATAGAAGAGTTCCCTTGTTTTCACATCCTTGCTAACACTTACCTTTATACACACACACATATATACATACACATACACATTATATATGCATATGTGTATGTGTATACACACACACACACACACATATAAAATAGCTATCCTAACAGTTGCGAGATGATATCTTATTGTGGTTTTGCTTTGCATTTCCCTGATGATTAGGAACATTGAGCACCTTTTCATATACCTGTTGCCCATTTGTATGTCTTTAGAGAAATGTCTATTCGGGTTCTTTGCCCATTTTTTTAATTAGATTTTTTTTTTTTTTTTTTTTTTTTGCTATTCTGTTGTGTGAGTTCCTTGTGTATTTTGGATATTAACCCCTTTTCAGATATATGGTTTGTAAATATTTTCTCCCATTCCATAGGTTGCTTTTTCGTTTTTTGTATTGTTTCCTTGCTATGCAGAGCTTTTTAGTTTGGTGTAATCCCACTTGTTTATTTTTGCCTTTGTTGCCTGTGCATTAGCATCATATGCAAAAACTCATTGTCAAGACCAATGTCAAAGAGCTTTCTCCCTATGTTTTCTTCTAGCAGTTTTAAGGTCTCAGGTCTTATGTTGAAGTCTTTAATCCATTTTGAGTTGATTTTTTTGTATGGTGTGAAATAAGAGTCTAGTTTTATTCTTTTGCATGTGGATATCCAATTTTCCCAACACCATTTCTTGAAGAGACTATCCTTTCCATATTGAATATTTTTGGCACCCTTGTCAAAAATTAGTTGACTGTAATGTGTGGGTTTATTTCCAGACTCTCTATTCTGTTCCGTTGCTCCATGTGTCTGCTTTATGCCAGTATCATACGGTTTTGATTACTATAGCTTTGTAATATAATTTGAAGTGAGGAAATGTGATGCCTCTAGCTTTGCTCTTGCTCAAGTTTGCTTTGGCTATTTAGGGTCTTTCGTAGCTACATATGAATTTTATAATTTTTTTATATGTCTGTGAAAATGCCATTGGAATTTAGATAGGGATTGCATTGAATCTGTTCAGTGATCAATTTGAGCAGCATGGACATTTTAACATATTAATTCTTCCAATCTATGAACATGGAATATCTTTCCATTTATTTATGTCTAATTTCTTTCATCAGTGTTTTGTAGTTTTGTTGTTCTGGCTCAAAGAAGAGCAGTGTGTTGCTTAATTTCCACATATTTGTGAATTCTCTAATTTCTCTCCTGTTACTGATTTCTACTTTCATACCATTTGTGGTCAGAAAAGATACATGATATGACTTTAATCCTCCTAAATTAATTAAGACTTGTTTTGTAGCCTAGCATATGATCCATCTTGGAGAATGTTGTGTACACTTGAGAAGAATGTGTATTTTGCTGCTGTTGGATGAAATGTTGTATATATGTCTGTTAGGTCCATTTGGACTAGTGTTGTTCAAATCCACTGTTTCCTAATTGATTTTCCATTTGGATGAAATATCCATAGTTGCAAGTGAGGTTTTGAAGTCCCTTACTCTTATCTATTGCTATTTCTTTCTGTAGTTCTATTAATACTTGTTTTATATATTTAGGTGTGCTAATGTTGATGCATATATATTTACAGTTGTTATGTCTTTGGTAAATTGATATCTATAGTTATAATATAATGACCTTCTTTATCTCGAAAGTTTTTTACTTTAGTCTATTTTGTCTGATATAAGTATAGCCCCCCCTGCTCTCTTTTGGTTACCATTCATATGGATTATCTTTTTATATCCCTTCACTTTTAGCCTATGTGTGTCCTTAAATCTAAAGTGAGTCTCTTGTAAATATCATGTAGTTGGATCTTATGTTTTTACTCTATTTAGTCACTGTATGTATTTTGATTGGATAACTTAATCCATTTACATTTAAAGAAATTATTGATAGGTAAAGGGCTCACTGTTGCCATTTTGTGATTGTTTTCTGACTGTTTTATAGTTCATCTGTTTCTCTCTTCCTCTCTTGCTTCCCTCCCATGTGATTTGATCATTTTTTGTAGTGATATGCTTTGTTTCTTTTCTGTATATATTTTGCATATCTACTACAGATTTTTGCTTTGTTATTACCATGAGGCTTACACAAAACATCTTATAACGTTCTATTCTAAGTTGATAACAACTTAGTCCATTTGGGATGCTATTACAAAATACCCTAAACTGGGTAGCTTATAAACAACAGAAATATATTTCTTGTAGTTCTGGAGGCTGGCATGTTGAAGATCAAAGTGCTAACAGCATCAGTGTATAGCGAAGTTTCATTTCCTTGTTCATTTATTATATCTTATCACATGGTAGATAGGGCAGGGCAGCTCTCTTTATATAAAAGTGCTAATCCCATTTATGGAGCTTTACCCTTTTGACCTAATCATACCCCAAATGCCCCACCTCCTAATACTATGACATTGGTGAATAGATTTCAATGTGTAAATTTTGGGGGGTACGTAAACATTCAGACCATAGCAACAACTTAACTTCACGCACATTCAAAAATTCTGCAGTTTTATTCTCTCCTTCCATGTTTTATGTTATTGATGTCACAGTTTACATTTCTTTATATTGTATATCTATTAACAACTATATAGCTATGGTTATTGAAGCTAGAGTTGTTTTTAATACTTTAGTCTTTTAACTTTAGTAGAGTTCAAAGTGATTTATGCACAGCTAATACAGATGCTCCTCAACCTATGATGGGTTTACATCCCTATAAACCCAATGTAAGTTGAAAATATCATAAGCTAAAAATGCCTTTAATGCAACTAATCTATTGAATTTCAGAGCTTAGCCTAGCCTGTCTTAAACATGCTTATATCACATTAGCCTACAGCTGGGCATGAGAATCTAATACAAAGCTTATTTAATAATAAAGTGTTGAATATCTCATATAATTTATCAATACTGTACTAAAAGTAAAAACAGGATGGGTGTATGGTTACTTGAAGTATGGTTTCTACATGATGTGTTTTGCTTTTGCAGCATTGGAAAGACAAAAGATCTTAAGTAAAACCATTGTAAGTCAAAGACCACCTGTAAATTATTCACATATTCTGGATTTGACTATACACTTACTTTTACCAGTGAGTTTAAAGAATGTCCTTTCATTTCAACCTGAAGTATTCCTTTTAGCATTTCTTGTAAGGCAGGTCTAGTAGTGATGAACACTGTCATTTTCATGTGTCTCAGAAAAGTATTTATCTTTTCTTCTGAAGGACAGCTTTGCTGGATATAATATTTGTGGTTGGCAGTTTCTTTCTTTTAGCACTTTGATTATATTATCCCACTCTTTCCAGGCCTGCAAGGTTTCTGGTGAGAAATCCACCAGATGGTCTTATGGACATTTCTTTGTATGTAATGAGGTGCTTTTCCGTGTGTGTGTGTGCATGTGTGTGTGTGTATGTACATGTATACATGTACGTACATATATATGTATGTACATGTATACATGTACGTACATATATATGTACGTACATATATACATGTACATACACACACGTATATATCAATAGCTTTTGGAGTACAAGTAGATTTTGGTTACATGGATTAATTGTGTAGTGGTGAAGTCTGAGATTTTAGTGCACCTGTAACCCAAGTAGTGTACATTGCACCCAATATGTAGTTTTTAAAAATCCCACATCCTCCTCCCACTCTCCCCTCTTCTGAGTCTCCAGTATCCATTATACCAATCTGAATGCCTTTGAATGCTCATAGCTTAGCTTCCACTTACAAGTGAAAACATAGATATTTGGTTTTCCATTCCTGACTTACTTCACTTAGAATAATGGCCTCCAGCTCCATCCAAGTTACTACAAAGACATTATTGTAATGTCTCCATCTTCATTTCTCTTTCTTTCTTTCTTTCTTTCTTTCTTTCTTTCTTTCTTTCCTTTCTTTCTTTTCTTTCTTTCTTTCTTTCTTTCTTTCTTTCTTTCTTTCTTTCCTTTCTTTCTTTCTTTCCTTCCTTCTTTCCTTCCTTCCTTCCTTCCTTCCTTCCTTCCTTCCTTCCTTCCTTCCTTTCTTTCTTTCTTTTCTTTCTTTTTGAGACAGAGTCCCGCTCTGTCACCCAGGCTGGAGTGCAGTGGCGCGATCTTGGCTCACTGCAACCTCCACCTCCCGGGTTCAAGCGATTCTCCTGCCTCAGCCTCCTGAGCTGGGACTACAGCCGTGTGCCACCATGCCTAGCTAATTTTTGTATTTTTAGTAGAGACAGGGTTTCACCATGTTGGCCAGGATGGTCTCAATCTCTTGACCTATGATCCACCCGCCTCAGCCTCCCAAAGTGCTGGGATTACGGGTGTGAGCCACTGTGCCTGGCCCTCCATCTTCATTTCTGATTTAGCTTATTTGAATGTTCTCTCTTCTTTTATTGGTAAATCTAGCTAATGGTCCCCTGAGTTTATCTTTTCAAGGAAGCAACTTTTTGTTTCATTGATCTTTTGCATTTTTTGTTTCAATTTCATTTATTCTGCCTTGATCTTTGTTATTTTCTTCTGCTAGCTTTGGGTTTGGTTTGTTCTTGCTTCTCTAGTTCCAGGAGGTGTGACTTTAGGTTGTCAATTTGTCATCTTTCAGACTTTTTGATGTAGATATTTAGCACCACAAACTTTCCTCTTAGCACTGCTTCTGTTGTATCCCAGAGGTTTTGATAATGTGTGTCACTGTTATCATTCGTTTTGAAGAATTTTCAAATTTCTATCTTGATTTCATTGTTAACCCAAAAATCAGTCAGGAGCAGACTGTTTAATTTCCTTGTTTTTATATAGTTTTGAGGGTTTCTTTTGGAGTCGATTTCTAGTTTGATTCTGGTGTAGTCTGAGAAGATACTTGATATGATTTTCATTTTTAAAAATTAATTGAGACTTATTTTGTGGCCTATCACATGGTCTGTCTTAGAGAATGTTCCATATGCTGATGAGAAGAATGTATATTCTGCAGTTCTTGGGTAGAATGTTCTATAATTATCCGTTAGGTCCATTTGTTCTGGAGTGTAGTTTAAATTCAGTGTTTCTGTGTTGACTTTCTGCCTCAGTGATCTGTCTAGTGCTGTCAGTGGAGTATTGAAGTTCTCCAATATCATTATGTTGCTGTCTATCTCTTGTCTTAGGTCTAGTGGTAATTGTTTTATGAATCTAGGAGCTTCAGAGTTATGTGCATATATATTTAGGGTTATAATATCTTCCTGTTGGGTCAATCCTTTTATCATACTTTCTTTGTCTTTTTGTTTGTAAACTGTTTTTCTTTAAAGTTTGTTTTATCTGATATAAGAGTAGCAACTTCTGCTTGCTTTCGGTTTCTATTTGTGTGGAGTATCTTTTTCCACCCCTTTACCTTGATTCTATAAGAATCCTTTGTATTAATTAGCTCAGCTTCTTGAAGACAGCAGACATTTGGTTTGTGATTTTTTTTTTAATCCATTCTGCCAATCTGTATCTTTTAAGTGGAGCATTAGGCCATGTACATTCAACATTAATATTGAGGTGTGACCCAATCATCATGTTGATTGTTACCTGGATACTTTGTTTTTTTTATTGTGTTATTGTTTTATAAGCCCTGTGAGTTTTGTGTTTTTGAGAGGTTCTATTCTGTTGCATATTGACCTTTTATTTCAGCGTTTAGAATTCCTTTTAGCATTTCTTGTCGGGCTGATCTGGTAGTGGCAAATTCCTTCAGCATGTGCTTGTCTGAGAAAGACTATATCCCCTTCATTTATGAAACTTAGTTTTGCTGTATACAACGTTTTTGGCTGAGAGTTATTCTGTTTAAGGAGGCTAAAAATAGGGCCCCAATCCTTTCTGGCTTATAAGGTTTCTGCTGAGAAGTCTACTGTTAGTCTGATAGCTTTTCCTTTGCAGGTTATCTGATACTTCTGTCTTACTGCTCTTAGAATTCTTTCCTTCATGTTGACATTAGTAATAGCCTGTTGACTGTATGCCTTGGAGATGTCCATTTTGCCATGAATCTCCCCGAAGGGCTTTGACCTTCTTGTATTTGGATGTCTAAATCTCTGGCAAGGCTAGGGAAGTCTTCCTCAATTATTCCCTCAAATAAATTTTCCAAAATTTTTACTTTTTCTTCTCCCTCAGGAACACCAGTGATTCTTAGCTTTGGCCATTTTACATAATCTCATATTTCTTAGAGACTTTGTTCATTTCTTTTAGTTATTTTTTCTTTATTTTTGTCTGACTGGGTTTATTCAAAAGCCTTGTCTTCGAGCTCTGAAATTCTTTATTCTACTTGGTCTAGTCTGTTGTTAAAACTTTCCACTTGTTTTGTAACTCCCTAAATGTGTCTTTCATTTCTAGAAGTTCTGATTGTTTTTTTTTCCTCTAAAGTATCTATCTCTTTAGAAAAATTTTCATTCATATCCTGAATTTTTAAAAAACTTTCTTTATATTGGTTTTCACCTTTTTCTTGTATCTCCTTGGGTAACTTAATAATCAACCATTTGGATTCTTTATTTGGTATTTCCAAGATTTCATCTTAGTTTGGATCCATTGCTGGAAAGCTAATGTGATCTTTTGGGGGTGTTATAGAACCCTGTTTTGTCATATTGCCAGAATTATTTTTCTGGTTCCTTCTCATTTGGATAGACTGTTTCTTCTAATTATTTTTGAATTTATTTTTGATTCAACCGTTTCTTTCTAATTTCCTTTTTTCCACCTTATGGATGTGACTTCAATGATTATAGCTTATTGTAACCTAATTTGGCTCTGGGTGCTTTTGGCGGTGAAGACTCTGTATAAGTTCCTTGGTTATAGAGAGTCTTTGTATGATGGTTTTCTCAGATGTAGTAGCAATGTGCTTCGTGTGTGAGCAGGTTGACTGTCTCTTGTGGGGTTGGAATGGCAAAAGTCTCTGAAGCTCATCCCCAGTGGTGTGCACTTATTTATTTATTCATTTGTTCATTCATTCATTCATTCATTCCTCCAGTATTACTGGGTTGAACAGTTCAGGCTTCAAGTCAGTATGGGAGTTGTCCCTGGGTAAAAACTGGGTGTGCCTAAAACAGGTAGATAAATACAATACCTAATGGAGGGCAGAGGTCCCAGCCTTGACGTAGGCGGCTGGAGAAGCTGTCATTGAAAAACACTGAGGTCTTTTCAGGGGGAAGGAAGGGGCTACCCCAGCTCCCATCCCAGGCCAGCAGGAGAAAAAACTGCCTCCCATTCACACTCCTGACCCAGTGTTCTGTCCATTCAAACCAGGCAGACACCACTTTCCAGCTGCAGAAATACTGATGTTCCATGTAGAGAGGGATTATAATTACCCCTCATGCAAGCCTGAACCTTGAGGGCACTTGTCCTATGAGGATGCAGTCACCCTGAAGTGTTCTAGAAAGGCTGTCTACAGATGCACCCATGCCACGCTCTTGTGGGAGAAGCCCAAGCTGTAGCTGCAGTGGTGGGTGAGGAGGAAAAGTCTCCTTCTCCAAGACCTGTCACAAGCACCAGGGATGCCTGACTGTTGTAGTAGAGCCACAGACTTTCCCTTCTGAGTTCAGCATTGCACCTGTGCCTCTGCTGAAAAAAACTTCCCACAAGCAGAAAGCTATGGGACTCAAGCTTTGCCATCTGGATTCTTTTGTCCCATGGGTTACTCCTTTGATGTGGTGCACTCCCCCTTCCCCTAGGAGTAGGAGCCCTGAGGGCCAGACTGTTGTGAATGCTGCTGCTTCTCTGGGTCTAGCCACCCAGTGGGGCTGCCACACTCCAGGAAAGTGCCGGGGAATGTCTGCAGGGGGTCCAGTGATGCGACCTGCCCTCAAATTTCCAGCAGTAGGTACCAGCATCTGTTCTGATGGGGGTGGCAGGGAAGTGACATAGACTCTGTGAGATTCCTTATAAATAGCCTTAGTGTGTTGGCTTTCTCACACACTAGCTATAGTAGGAATGAACTGGTCATGTGGACAGACTCAGGACCTACTGATTAGCTGGGGGTAATGCAGGCAGTGGTGACAGATGGGGTCATGCGTAAGTTTTCTCCTTCCTGGGTGCTATGTTATTCTGCCAGCAGATGCTGTAATGGACTGTGTTGGTTGGCCTCCAGGCAGGAAGTGGCACTTGGAAAAGAACACCAGCTGCGGTGGTAGCAGTGGGATTTGTGCTTCTTATGTTACCCAGGTGAGGTACTCTGGTGTCTCAGACAATGCGTGAGGCCATAGAGCTTCCCAAAGTTTCTGTCCTTTGTGTTAAGCTATGGAGTAGGGGGTAAAGGGGCAAAGCCAGGTGGGGGCTGGGTCACGTAAGTACATGCTATGGCTCTCCATGTGTGGGCTCAAGCAGAGGCCCCAGTGGGGATAAGAGGGCAGTCCTCTTGCCGCAGGGGTAATGTTCCAGGGAGGAGTGCAACTGCCTGTGCTGCACAGAAAGTCCACACAGGGAGTGGGGAGTAGCAGGTGACAGTAAGCTCTGCCCAGTTCCCATGCACTTGGCAAGGTAGGTCTCACACCGGTAGTGTTCCACTAGTAGCAGCTAGCTAGGTTCCAGGCATTCTGCTCTCAGAACTCAAAACTGCCCCAGGCCATAAGCCTTCCCAGTTGAGACATACCATGGCTTTCAGGCCACGCCCCTTCTGGTCTGCCTGAGAAACAAAGGTACCCAGCTCTTGTGCTCGTGAGTATAACCCACTGCCCACTCACCCCTCGGTTCTGGCCAAGGGGGTTCATCGTCACTCGAGATTATATCACAAATGTCAATTGGGAACCTCTCTCAACCTATGACAGACTACTGAGTTTGCTGGAAGATGTCCACAAGGTCACCTGTGAGGTAGGACCTGGAATGACTTCCTTCTATCCCTGCTGGAGACCGAGAGCACATGCAATGCACATCCCAATGCTATTCCTTCTCATGTATTCCCCAGTGCTCACTAAATCAGCTTCAGTGCTGGGTAGGGTTAAGACCTTTCCCTGTGGCCTGGATTGCCAAGTTCTCCAGTGGGAATGTATGTCCCAGAGACAGTTTATCCCCCTCACACTCCAGGGACTTAGAATTTTCTACCTGGTTCACAGTATAGGCTGCAGCCCACCACTTCTTTCAAAGGCTCTGTGGTTTCTTTCAGTTTTCCTATTAAGTTCCTGTGTTGCTTCTTGGAAAAAAGTACACAGCATGAATCTCTACACACTATTTTATCTTCCCAAGTGAGAGAGGCATGCTAACAATGCCTCCAATCTGCCATCTTGGAAAAAAATCAGTTGCTTTTCTTTTGCTGCTTTCAAGATTTTCTCCTTATCTGTTTTGACTCTTACCAGTGATTGTAATGTGTCTCAGTGAAGACCTATTTATGCCCAATCTGTTTGGGGTTCTTTGGGCTTCATGAATCTAGATGTTCCTTTCCCTCTCCAGATTTGGGAAGTTTTCTGTCATAATTTCTTTAAATAAACTTTCTACCCTTTTCTCTTTGCTCCTTCTGAGACACCGATACTGCATATATTGGTTCACTTGATGGTGTCCAATAAATTGCATAGGTTTCTTCACTCTTTTTCATTCCTTTTTCTTTTTGTTCCTCTGACTGATTAATTTCAAATGATCTGTTTTCAAGTTCACTGACTCTTTCTTCTGATTGATCAAGTCTACTGTTGAAACTCTCAATTGAATTTTTTATTTCAGACATTGTATTCTTCAGCTCCATAATTTCTGTTTCGTTCATTTATTGGTTTTTATTTCTTTGTTGAACTTCTCATTTTGTTTATTTGTTGTTTTTCTGATTTCATTTATTTGTCTGTCTGCTCTCTTGTTCCTCACTGGGCTTTTTTAAGATGATTATTTTGGATTCTTTGTCAGGTAATTCATAGATCTCCATTTCTTTGGGATCAGCCACTGGAGCTTTATTTTGTTCCTTTGGTGGTGTCATATTTCCTTGATTATTTGTGTTCTTTGAAGCCTCGCATTGTGTGTTCACACTTGAAGAAGCAGTCACCTCTTCCCGTCTTTATTGACTGGCTTTAGGAGAGAAAGACCTTTGCCAGTGAGCTTAGCTAGAGATTCTGGGGATCTCTCACACTTTTTCTCTAGATATACCTGCTCCACACCTCTTGTTCCCTCTTTGGGATTATATGTGTTCTCTCAGTCCTGCAAAGGCAGACCTTGTGCTAAAAGCCTCCTGCTTATTCCTTAGGGTAGTACCCTGAAATGTTCAAAGTTATATGTCTTCTCTCAATCCATCAAAGTTGAGCTGGCTGCTAATATCCCTACCTGCTGTTGAGATCCAAGCATTGTCTGTGGTTGTGTACAGACTGTTGTGCACTGAGGTACATATCAGCTGGTTGAAGGGGTACATAGGCAAGTTGTCCTGCAGGGTTTATGGGAGGGACTTAGGGTAGCATCCATGAGCTGGGTAGCAGAATCTATAGCCGGCTTTTGATAACCATACACTATTTGCACTCCTGCTGCTGCTTCTCCTTGCTCCTGGCTGCCCCAGACGATTCAGCCGTACTATTCCCCTCAGTGTTCTGGGTGGGATGAAACAGAAGTGGGTCTCCTAGACAACATCCTTTTGGGCTGGGAAAGCTGGGTGCTCACTTCACTCTCACTTCCCCCATGGGAGAATTGTGAGCTGGAGGGACCTCTCTTGGAACTGAGCTGTGCCACCTTAGGGGAGGGGTGATGTGGGTAAAGTGAGCTGCTCTTATTATACTCTTTGATGCATCCACTCTTCGATTTTTTGCTCCACCAGTGTGCTGAAACCTCTCAGTGGACTCCTGTGGCCTCACAAAAGTATTCTTGTCCATAGGTGTAGTTGCCAAAATCAGTATTTCTATATAAGAATGAAAACTGGAACCTCCTATTCCGCTATCACACTGACATTTCTTCTTTCTTTTAAAAATAGTGGTTATATTGTGTTGTCATCATATACCCTAGATTGAGCCTTTAAGATTAACTTTAGCAAAAGGGCCAACTTGATTAACACCACATATCAAAGTTAGTGTCTTTGTCTGGTGGATTTTTTTAAAACTTTGACTTACTAGTTTTGAAAATATGTGAGTGTGTATTGTGTTAATAACAGTCTATATTGGAAAGTAACTAAGTCTATGTAAAGGAGACAAGAGAGGCTATCAGGTATTTTCTGCATGTGTGGCCTTATGCTTATCTCCTCTGTGAGTTATCTCCATTTTTGAGAAACTTTGGGTTCTAATCTGAAAAATCTGCCTCCCAACCAGAAACACATTGGTGATGATGAAGGGAGGCTCATGATGTGTTGAGAAACAAGGTGACCATCTGACTTCCCATGGTCATTGTAGAGACCTGGCAGTAGGACTTTCCCTTCTTAGCTCCCTCCCCTCTTCCCAGTTCACCCTCAGATAAGCTGGAAGGTGACACCATAATGCCATTCGGAGTGCAAGGCCACTAGGTTGTCACTTTGCCTCCTTGGACACCTCCTTCTGAACTGCATTCCTTCTCCCCACCTCCAAAAGTTATTACTTGTGCTCAGCGGCACAAAATATTCTGTAAAGTAGATGCCTTCTTGTTTTCCAACTTAATGACAGCATCCCTGGGTGAGCCCTAACTGGAATACAGAACTGCACCTGACAACCGCGGCCTGCTCAGTGAAGTTGCTCAGGGATTGTATCAGAGGCATTTGAACCGGAGCAACTCCATATTGAATAGGGGCTGGGTAAAATAAGACTGAGATCTACTGGGCTGCATTCCCAGGAGGTTAAGGCATTCTTAGTCACAGGATGAGGTAGGAGGTTAGCAGAAGGTAGAGGTCATAAAGACCTTGTTGATAAAACAGGTTGCAGTAAAGAAGCCAGCCAAAACCCAGCAAAACCAAGATGGTGACAAGAGTGACCTCTGGTCACCCTCACTGCTCATTATACACTAATTATAAGCCATTAGCATGCTAAAAGACACTCCCCCCAGCACCATGACAGTTTGCAAATGCTATAGCAATGTCTGGAAGCTACGCTATATGGTCTAAAAAGGGGAACTTCCTTAGTTCCTGGAATTTCCCACCCCTTCCTTGGAAAACTTGTGAATAGTCCACCCCTTGTTTTAGCATATAATCAAGAAATAACTATGAGTATCCCTAGTCCAGCAGCCTAAGCTGCTGCTCTGCCTATGGAGTAGCCATTCTTTTATTCCTTTACCTTATTAATAAACTTGCTTTCACTTTACTCTATGGACTCACCCTTAATTCTTTCTTGCGCGAGGTCCAAACCCTCTCTTGGGGTCTGCATCAGGACCCTTTTCTAGTAACAGTTGGGACCAGGTAGAAATTGGAGTCTGAAGTTTCTCTTTATTCCTGAAAGTTGATCCCTGATCCCTTCATGGGGAAGAAAATGGGACTTGATTTAGGAGAAGTGATTCTAATACTGGCCAGGTGCAGTGGCTCACACCTGTAATCCCAGCACTTTGGGAGGCCAGAGTTTGAGACCAGCCTGGCCAACAGCCTGGCCCTGTCTCTACTAAAAATACAAAAAAAAATTAGCCAGATGTGGTGGTGGGCACCTGTAATCCCAGCTACTCGGGAGGCTGAGGCAGGAGAATCACTTGAACCTGGGAGGCGGAGGCTGCAGTGAGCGGAGATCACACCATTGCACTCCAGCCTGGGCAACAAGAGCAAAACTCCATCTCAAAGACAAAAAAAAAAAATGATTCTAATACTGGCTCTGCCTTGGGCCAGCCACATCACCTTTAGCTAATTCTTTCCCCTTAGGGTGTGTGTTTCATCCAGCCTTCCATTCAATTAAATATTTTAGTAAGCACCTTCTGTGTTCCAGCTACCTCTGCCATAATGAACTTATATTGTCTTATAGGAGCCAAACAGCAGAGCGCAAATAAACAAGCCACATACGAAGGCTATGCGGGAAATGAAGGCAGAGGGTGGGGGTGGAAAGGGCCAGGTAGTAAATATTTTTGGCTTTGTGGCCATCACTCAACTCTGCTCGTAGAGAGGAAACAGCCATAGGCAATACATAAATGAATGGACATGGCTGTTTTCTAGTACAACTCTATTTACTGAAACAAGTGTTGGGCCATAGTATGCTGATTCCCAGACTAGATCAGAAAGGGCCTTAAAATCCAAGGAGATGGCTTTAGATTTGTACTTATAGTTAATGGGGATCTCTTGAAAATTCTCAAGCTGGAATGTAATTTGATGGAAATCTATTTTGTGTAGAACCGTGTAAAAGCATCTGACATAGAAAGAGAGCCTAATACCCCAGGTTGTCGCTGCTTTTGAATTGCGTATGAGCACTTTGTGACCTGCTAGGAATTTAGGGGGAAATTTTCATTGTTGTAAACCTTGACAGACCTTCCACTGTTTCTTGTATGCAGTGAACATACAACAAAATTGTGGTTACTGGATTAGAAGCTCCCTGAGGGCAAGGACTTTGTTTTCTTTGTTGCCATATATGTAGTCTCTGGGATGTAAGCATATTCACATATTTGAATGCATTAATGGGGCGGTAACCCTGAAGCTTAAATATGCAAAACTTCTCACCCCTAGGCGTAATGGAAAACTGTATCACCTAATGAGTGTCATTTAAAAATATCACAGTATCAGTGATGCCACTGACCTTGTGGCTTTTTTTCTCTCTTCCCAGATGGCAGATGATCAGGGCTGTATTGAAGAGCAGGGGGTTGAGGATTCAGCAAATGAAGATTCAGTGGATGCTAAGCCAGACCGGTCCTCGTTTGTACCGTCCCTCTTCAGGTAAGTTTGCTTAATCAGGGACCCTGGACCACGTCAGCCTGCCATGCCTCTGCCATCTCCACCCACCCATGGGGAGGGGGACATTCAGGGAAGGAGGTTCATGCTGAGCATGAGGTTTGCACAGGTTCTTGCTAGCTGTACGTAGCAACACTAGTGTCCTCATGTGCACCCTGTTGTCTGTGGGCCAAGCCCAGGAATGGACAAAAGCAACCACTGGGAGTCTCCTGCTCAGCCGCTGAGTGTCTGGTAGCAGTTCCTAAGTATCAGGGGCTGTTCTCATTAGAGGTGATTTGCAGGCACCTTCAGAACAGAGCCTGGGCTGCTGCTGCCAGTGGGACCAAGTTTGACAACACAGAATCCAAGGGCTGAGGGACAGGAGGTTTTAGGGTGACTCACGCCCACCCTGTGTCTCCTGAGGCATTGCACTGATGGAAGGGAGATTGCATCCTGTTCATTAGTTCCTACCTTTCCATTTCTTGAGCTCACTTTTAAAATTCTAAATTTTGCATTTAATAATATAATAGCTTCATTGATTAAACTCTTGTATGCCTGCTTGGTATTATTGCATTTAGTCTACATAATTGCACATTTAGTTTTATTGTTATCACCATTTGTCAGGTAGGGAAACTGAGGTGCTGTGAGGTTGAATAGCTTGCCTTTTTGCTGATAGTTAGTAAATGGTAAAGCTAAGATGAGAAACTAAACAATGCCAGCACCACTCACTTAAAGATTCTGCTGTGTGCTTCCCATTTAAAAGTCGGGCTAGCTTGGTGCAGTGGCTTACACCTGTAATCTCAGCACTGTGAGAGGCCAAGGAGGGAGGATCGCTTGAGCCCAGGAGTTTGGGACCAGACTGGACAACACAGTGAGAGCCCCGTCTCTACAAAAAAAGATAAGAAAATTAGCTGGGTGTGGTGGCGCGTGCTGGTAGTCTGGCTACTCGGGAAGCTGGGGCAGGAGGATCACTTGAGCCCAGGAGATCGAGGCTGCAGTGGGCCATGATTGCACCACTGCACTCCAGCCTGGGCAACAGAGTGAGACTCTGTCTCAAAAAAACAAGTTGTTTTTTTTTTTAATAAAAAATATAAGTAGGGCTGTAAGGACATGGAGGAACCCCAACCCTCCCTTAACCTTGATCATGGATGGACAGTGAGTGGAACTTCTTGAGAGACAGAAGGCAGCAGGAGTCAGACGCATCACACTTCTTTGGATTCCCTAAGCCAAGTCCTACTGGGAAAGATAGAGAGAGGGATAAAGGCCGAGGTTAGGGAGTGCTCCCAGGCAGTATTCAGGAGGGGAAGAGCTGGTGGGGATGGGCAGCCAGGCTCCCAACACCCCAGAGCAGACCTTGGGCCATATCATCCAACATAGGACTTGGAAAAGTGGGAGAACCCCAACACTGTGGACCCAGATTCCGTTGTTTGCCAGATAGAGTCAAGAATATCCAATGAAATGACCAGAAAATACAGTTCTGACTCCTGGAACTTTCCAAAACCATGAGAAATCGGTGCAGGCCAACTTACTCCCCAAGGAAAGCCCCTTAGAGCAATGGTCTTCAAATGCCTTTGCTTATATGTGCTCAAAATAATATAAAGCTGTGTGTATATTTTAAGGTAACATACACATTTTTGTCAAGATAGTTGCAAAAAATGTAATAATATTTCACTCTTCCGAACCCTTTTTGAGTATCTGACTTCAGCAAGTTGTCTACAAGTGAAAGAAACGGGAATCATTT
The DNA here is from genome assembly GCF_000001405.40 of Homo sapiens. Taxonomy (NCBI): domain Eukaryota; kingdom Metazoa; phylum Chordata; class Mammalia; order Primates; family Hominidae; genus Homo; species Homo sapiens. The sequence goes on from NC_000010.11 coordinate 113,699,339, forward strand.
AATAATCATTTTGTAAGTCAGTTTAAGAACAGACTAATACACAGGACTCCAGCTCAGCAAAGCCTTTTGATGTACTTCCCAGAAATTATTAAAATAAATGGTGTGTTGTAAATACTGACATTTCAAAGTCGTTTCTTTAAATGTACCCAGTGGAATCTACATCCATAGTGATTTTATAACCACCTTTATCCATTAAAAGAATACATGAACAGCTCTCCTGTAACAGCTAGAACTTTTATGTCTTTTTTCCCTTCAAACTTGGTTTTTTCATTCTCTTTTCCTCCACATTTTCTTCTGATGTAATAGATTTAGTTGCTTGAAAGTCTTATTGATCACACCACATCATATACCTATGTAACATATACATGTATGCATATGTGTATCCATATAAATTTTAAGACAGTTTTCTAGATATCATGAGTATTAAAAGAAAGTTCTCCTAGACTAAGTTACTGTTTCAGCTTTAATGAATTCACAATTGATCTGAAAAATAAATGTTAATATATCATTAATATTATTAAATTGTCATTCATCAAAATAATTATTAAATAGAAATTGCATTGAAGTTTCAACTTATAATGGAATGAAGGGGCTCTTAATAAGTTAGTTTCTAAAGAAATGGACAAATAATACTTATTGCTGGAATAAGAAAGAATTTGATATTACCTCTTTTTCCTATTTTTCATTTTTAGAGATAAGATGCACTGAGAAATCATGAATAAATACATGAGATGGTAGGAGTTTTGTTACAGTCATGTCACTTAATTCTTTGAATTCCTTCTGAGTTCTGGACCAAAAAATGACAACTTGATTAGGTCTTTCCTTAATTATGTTGGAAGAATTGGCAATTATCTAACTTACAAAAGGAATTATCATTCCGCCTTAAAGGTATTTAATTTTTTTAGTTTCTGGGAAGTACACCAAAAAACTTGTACCCAAACTTCTCAAACAGTTGTAAATTAAATTTGCTCTTCTTTTATTTAGAGGCAGTCTGTTTAACTCAAAATGTTCCAGAAAAGATAATTAAGCATTAATAAACATTTGTCAGTATCCTTTTTTTGATAAAATGCTTTTAAACCATATGCTTTTTAAAATGTATTTTTGTCAAGACGTTGGAGTTGCTAATGCAGCTCATTCATGTATGAAAATTGTCTGCTCTATAATCTAATGGACAGAGCCAGTCCCTGTCAAACCAGTTAGCCATACCACACTTGTTTGCTGTCAGTAAAGGTCTGATACCATTTTTCAGTTCAGTGAATATGTTATTAGGCATCCTTGTGACAGTCATCTTGTTTCTGAATTCTAAATTTTTATTCTTGGATAGATGAATGGATGGATGGGTAGAAGGGAAGAAGGATGAAAGGAAGAAAGAAAGGGTACCAAGCCCAGCCATGCCATGTTTACCTCCTGGAATCAGTGTTTGTTTTGTTCTCACAGGACTGATATGGTTTGGCTCTGTGTCCCCACCTAAATCTCGTCTTGAATTGTAATCACCATAATCCCTACGTGTTGAGGGAGAGACCCGGTGGGAGGTGACTGGATCATGGGGGTGGTTCCCCCATGCTGTTCTGGTGATAGTGAGTTCTCATGAGATCTGATGGTTTTATGTGTTTGACGGTTCCTCCTACACACACTCTGTCTCTCCTGCTGCCATGTAAGACATGTCTGCTCCCCCTTCCACCATGCTTCCCCAGCCATGTGGAACTGTGAGTCAATTAAACCTCTTTTCTTTATAAATTACCCAATCTCAGGTAGCATCTTCATAGCAGTTTGAGAACAGACCAATACATAGGACTCCAGCTCAATAATAAAAAATCTTTGGAAATAAGGGAACGAAAAAGGCAAAGACATTAAATAAGAACCATCATCACTTCCATTTCATTCTATTATATATATATATTTTAACACATTTTTCAGTATATACAAGCATACTTTGTTTTACTGTGCTTTGCAGATACTGCTTTTCTTTCTTTCTTTTTTTTTTTTTTTTGAGACAGAGTCTCACTCTGTTGTCCAGGCTGGAGTGCAGTGGTGTGATCTTGGCTCACTGCAGCCTCCGCCTCCCAGGTACAAGCGATTCTCCTGCCTCAGCCTCCCAAGTAGCCAGACTACAGGCGTATGCCACCACGCCTAGCTAATTTTTATATGTATTTTAGTAAAGACAGGATTTTGCCATGTTTCCCAGGCTGGTCTTGAACTCCTGACCTTAAGTGATCCACCCCCCGCTTGGCCTCCCAAAGTGCTGGGATTACAGGCATGAGCCACCACACCTGGCCCAGATATTGCATTTTTAATAAATGGAAGGTTTGTGGCAACCCTGCAAACCTATTGGCTCCATTTTTCCAACAGCATATGCTCACTTTGTATCTCTATGTTACATTTTGGTAATTCTCACAACATTTTAAGTTTTTTAATTAGTGTTATATCTGTTACTATGATCTGTGATCAGTAATCTTTTTTGTTGTCGTTGTTCAAATCCAGGATAATCTCTGTAAATGTGATGAGTGATCTTTGATGTTACTATTGTAATTGCTTTGGGGTGCCACAAAGCACACCTGTATAAGACAGCAGACTTAAATGATAAATGTTAAGTGTGTTCTGACTGTTCCACCCACTGGCCATTCCTGTCTCTCTCCTTCTCCTTGGGCCTCCCTATTCCCTGAGGCAATATTGAAATTGGGCCAATTAATAGCCCTACAATGGCCTCTAGGTGTCTATTGAAAGGAAGAGTGATATGTCTGTCACTTTAAATCAAAAGCTAGAAGTGATTCAACTTAGTGAAGGCATGTTGAAGCCAAGACAGGCTGAAAGCTAGGCCTCCTGTGCCAAACAGCCAAGTTGTGAATGCAAAGGAAAAGTTCTTGAAGGAAATTAAAAGTGCTATTCCAGTGAACACACGGATAATAACATTATTGCTAATTATTGCTGACTTGGAGAAAGTTTGAGTGGTCTGGATAGAAGATCAAACCAGCCCCAACTTTTTCTTAAGCTAAAGCCTAAGCCAGAGCAAGGCCCTAACTCTGCAGTTCTTTGAAGGCTGAGAGAGGTGAGAAAGCTGCAAAAGAAAAGTTTGAAGCTAGCAATGGTTGATCCATGAGGTTTAAGGAAAGAAGCCTTCTCCATAAAATAGAAGTTCAACATGAAGCAGCAAGTGCTGATGTAGAAGCTACAGCAAATTATCCAGAAGATCTAGCTAAGATCATTGGTGAGAGTGGCTACACTAAACAACAGATTCTCAATGTAGACAAAGCAGCCTTCTATAGGAAGAAGATGCCATCTAAGATTGTCCTAGCTAGAGAAGAGAAGTCAATGCCTGACTTCAGTGCTTTATAAGGATGCTTGACTCTCTTGTTAGGCAGACTGGTGACTTTAAGCCGAAGCCAATGCTCATTGACCAGTCTGAAAATCCTTAAGAATTATGCTAAATCTATACTCTTTCTGTGCCCTATAAATGGAAGAACAAAGCCTGGATGACACCTGTTTATAGCATGGTTTACTGGATATTTTAAGCACACTGTTGAGACCTACTGCTCATTAAAATAAGATTCCTTTCATTGACATTGCACCTGGTCACCCAGGAGCTCTGGTGAAGATGCAGAAGGAGATTAATGTTTTTATGCCTGCTAAAACATCCATTCTGCAGCTCATAGATCAAGGAGTAATTTCAACTTCCAAGTCTTATTACTTAAGAAATAATGTCTTACTATTTGAGAAATATTATTTCAGAAATACATTTTATAAGGCTATAGTTGCCATAAATAATGTTGGGAATAACATTATAGCTATAGTGTTACCGCTGATGGATCTGGGCAGTTAATTGAAAACCTTCTGGAAAGGATGCACCATTCTAGATGCCAGTAAGAACATTTGCGATTTATGGGAGGATGTCTGAACATTAATAGGAGTTTGGAAGAAGTTGATTCCAACCCTCATGGATGACTTTGATGGGTTCAAGACTTCCTTCAATGGAGGAAGTAACTGCAGGTGTGCCAATCATGGTGGAAATAGCAAGAGAACTAGAATTAGAAGTAGACCTGAAGATGTGGCTGAATTGCTGCAATCTTATGATAAAACTTGAACAGATAAGGAGTTTCTTCTTATGAATAAGCCAAGTAAGTGGTTTCTTGAGATGGAATCTACTGCTGGTGAATGTGCTGATACATTTTTGAAATATACATTTAGAATATTACATAAACTTAGTTGGTAAAGCAGCCACAGAGTTTGAGAGGATTGACATGAATTTTGTATGTGTTTTAACTCTTTTTTTGTTTGTTTTCTTTTAAACTTTTTCCTTTTTTTTTTTTTTTTTTTTTTTTAACGAACACTTTCGTTGAGGGCTGACTTTCAATAGATCGCAGTGAGGGAGCTGCTCTGCTACATACGAAACCCCAACCCAGAAGCAGGTCATCTTTGAATGGTTTAGTGCCAGGTTCGCCAGGAACATGCATTGCGTGACAGGCGAGGGGACAATCACCTTTCTGTTGACTTGAATTTTGAATGAAGTTGTACTGTGAATAAAATGCTATCAAACAGAATGGTATGCTACAGAGAAATTGTTCATAAAAGGAAGAATCATTTGATGCAGCGAACTTCATTGCTGTCTTATTTTAAGAAATTGTCACAGCCACCCTAATTTTCGGCAGCCACCACCAGATTAATCAGCAGGCATCAGTGCTGAGGCCAGATCCTCCACCAGCCCAACAGTTACAACCCACTGAAGGCTCAAATGATTGTTAGCATTTTTTAGCAATAAAGTATGTTTTAATTAAGATATGTATTTTTTGGACATAATGCTGTTGCGTATACTCAGACTGGAGTACAGTGTGAACATAACTTTTCTACCCACTGGGAAACCAAAAAAGTCAGGCGACTCCATTTATTGCAATATTTGCTTTCCTGTGGTGGTCTGAAACTGAGCCGACGGTATATCTGAGTTGTGCCTATATTTGAATTTGGAACAGCCCAGTGTGGTCCCACGTACCCCCATTACTAGTGACATACTTCCCCTTTATCAGACTCATGTATAAGTAAGAAGCCCACCACAGTGCCTGATTCAAGGAGACTCACAGATACATCTTGTTTGTCTCTTTGTGGATGACCTGGAGGTTTCATCACCCTGTAAGTGAGGTTCAGGGTGGGTGAGAAAGTCTGCCCTTCTTTTACACAGTGGGAGATGGGAGAATGGGCAAGGGAAAAGTGGTATCTCTGACAGACCAGTTTTAGAAAAAAATACAAGTGGCAGTTGAGGACCTGGCCATTTATTCTTCCCTTAAGACTGTGCACCCCTGGGAAAGTTTTTGAGTACCTTGCTGGAAGACTTCTGCCTAAAAGACCTTTTATTTTGCAAAAATAGATGTGGTCTGTGGTATGTCCCCCCCACCCCTCAGCTTTAAGTTCTTTGGAAAGATAAATAAGCCTGGAGGGTCTACATTCTGGTCCACTCTACCTTTTTCATAGCATGACTGATGTTGACGTCATTAAAATAAACAGTAAGTATCCCGAGGTCCTCTCTGCAGTTTCAGGAGCACCATGTGACCCAATGACAGATGTGGGGTGCGATGCATGGGAGTGCCACTGGCTCCTCTGGATGTTCGTTGTAGCTGAAGGTGCTCCGCCCCCCCCCCACACCCCTACAACCTTCCCTCCCATCCCATCCCACCCTATTCCAGCTCCCTTCTCTAAGGAGCTCAGAATCACTGTTAGGCAGTGGAGGAGGCAGTAGCATCTCTGACCTGACTCTAATCAAGGACCAGACTGCTCACCTGCCCTCCCCTGGAGACATGAAGGATCCTGGGTTGCAGAAAGAAATATCCCCTTCCCCAAAAAGCCAGGGTGGGACTCAGGTTTCAAATACTAACAGTTTCAAGCCCCTAGACTTGTCTTGGCCTTTTTTTTTGCCTCACAGCCACTAGATGGCAGGACAGCATCGTTTTATTTCCAGTCCATAGGCACTAAAAATCCAGCCTGTTCTTTAAAAAAATATTTAGTGATTTTGTAATTTTCTGATTATTGAAGAACATTTGGAAAACACAGAAAAGCACAAAAAAAATCCAAATATCTTAAAATTTGTAAAGCATTCAGATTTTTAGTTATTTAGAGGAAATCATTGTGGGGCCAGTCCATATTCATTATGAACCACAGTTTATAGAACAGGGTCTAGGGTCCTCCTTGCACTTGAACAGGGTTCTGTCTTGATGTAAATATAACCCTATAGTCCTTGCCCTGGATATAAAGTCAAAGTTTTAACCAAATGCCTAGGCACAGCTACAGAAAATAATAACTAATTGCTGAATTGTAGGACATAGCCTTGGAGCTGTGGGAGGTTGAGGAGGGAAGGATAAGGAAGGACTGGAGGAGGAGCTGAAACTTGAGTTGTCAGGAAAAGCAGGGGGGGTATCAGGGGACCGGTGGAACCTCAGGGCCAGGGTGGAGATGATGGTCAGGCAAGGCCACCGATGTGGCTTCTGCCTAGGAAAGTGGGCAAAATCTGCTGGACAGGGTGAGTTAGGTCTTAATAGCATAGGCCACAAGGAGCCATTGTAGGTCCAAGACCAAGCCCTGGCCAGCAGCCTAGAAGATATTCTCTCCTAGGAACCTGAGAAATCAGAGGCTCCCTTCTGAGCTCTGCTCAAGGTCAGAATTCAAGAAAAGGAAAAAAAGGGGAAAACAGGTTTCCCGCAGTCTCAGATTACCCCTGGGCCTCCGTGGAGTCTCGTGTGTCTCTGCTGAGGAGTTTGTTTACCCTTCTGGTTTCCCAGTGGAAGAGAGCAGGAGAAAAGATCTATTCTCAACATTTGCTAAACTCCCTATTTTCCAGGCACTGGCTCGGATCACATGGGTTTTACCCTTGGCATCATCTCTGTTTTCCAGCCTTTGCCCCCTGGAGGGTGGTTAATAAATGCCACTTGGTTATAATTCTCTCTCCTGGAGGCATCTTGGGCTTCTTCACCAGTGAGTGAAGATATGTAAACACATCCCTATAAAAAATGTGTTATTTGTATAATTATAAGGAAGATTCAAGTGGCATCCTTTTTCATTTGGAGAGGGGTTAAAAAACTGTTTTAGAAGACGCAATGCTTTGGAATTAGAGACAAGAACAAAGAAGGCAGACCTTAATTCATTCCAAAGAATACATTCCAAGTTAAGCAAAAATTGTGCCATGATGCCCATTGATTGAAAGGGGCCAGATCTGGGCCCACTAAAGAAAATATGAACATTGAAATTTATGCAGGGCGTTTACTTTTCAATAAAGGAAGGATTCAAATTCAGCTTCCAGAAAATTGGATGCCTGTCTCCCAAATTTGTACATAGAGAATGATAAAGATTTAATGCTGTATTTGAAGCAGTGATGACACTATGTAAAATAATAGAAGTAGCAAAGTTGAGTCAGACAACCGGGGTTCAGATCCTGGCCCTTCCTCCCACTTACTATTTGAGGGACTATAGCAAGTCACGTGACCTTCCTGTGCCTCAGCTTCCTTATCTGCATAATAGAGATATTGATCTCTGCCCACGGGATTGTTATGAGAATCAGAGTAACCGTCAGCTTCCTGAATTACCTGAATGTGCCTGCTGAGGAAGAAATCATAGAATCATGATTTTAACACTGGGAGAACTTACCTAATTCCCTTCATTATGATCAAGGAAAGGAAGACCAGAGAGGTGATACGTAGCCACCCAAGAGGACCAGGACCGAGACACAGGCCTAACTTGTCCAGTGCTTCCCCCCAGCGTCAGGTGGCACCCACGACTTTGGTGGCACCAGGCTGTTCATCCACATTAATCCACCCACAGAGTGCTTTTTTCCTTCCACCCAAGTGGGTCAGCAAATTTTCTTCGTGTACACGGCTTCTTCTCTGCTTCACTTTGGCAGAGGGATGGTATAGGGACAGCTGTCCCAGCAGGGCGAGCAGTGGGCTTTCCAGTGGCGGAGGGATGGCATAGGGACAGCTGTCCCAGCAGGGCGAGCCATGGGCTTTCCAGCGGCGGACGGATGGCATAGGGACGCTGTCCCAGCAGGGCGAGCAGTGGGCTTTCCAGTGAAGAGGGCCAAGTGTACGTTTCAGGAGCAGCAAGCACAGGACACCAAAACGTGGGCAGAGGTCTAGAAACTGCAAAGCTGTAGCTTCTGCATGTGTGGGATACCTCCAGTTCTTTTCAGTTATTGCTCTTCTAGAGGGGATAAATTAAAGTGAAAAGGTAAGGTAAATCATCAGCTTTTCACAGTAATAGAAACCTAGAACACTATTAGCAGAGAAAAATTAAGCCTAGTAATAGAAAAGTACTATGAAAACATAACCAGTTGCTTCTCACATGAACATGTGATCACAGACAGGAAATGTGAGCGTGGCATTGCATGTTTAACCCCTGAGCTGCTGGTTTTCTTTCTCTCAAGGATCTGTGATGATGAGAATTTTGTTTGTTTTGTTTTGAGACAGAGTCTCACTCTGTTGCCCAGGCTGGAGTGCAGTGGTGTGATCTCACCTCCCTGCAACCTCCACCTCCCAGGTTCAAGCAATTCTCGTGCCTCAGCCTCCCGAGTAGCTGGGATTATAGGCGCGTGCCACCACTCCTGGCTAATTTTTTTGTATTTTTAGTAGAGACAGGGTTTCACCATGTTGGCTAGACTGGTCTCAAACTCCTGACATCAGGTAATCTGCCTGCCTCAGCCTCCCAAAGTGCTGGGATTATGGGCGTGAGCCACCCTGCCCGCCAATGGTCAGTTTTAAGGGGAAAAGATGGGTGGAGTGATTAAGGACTGAAGTATGTTAGCTGTTCTAATGCTGGACCCTGCAGCCGTAATACAGACGTATTGTATCCTCCATTCAGTCTATTAGGCTATTTAAAGACAATTCAGCCTTTTCTACCCCCTGGATGATTTGTTTTAAAGTCATTTGTCAATTTTTATTGTCAGGGACCCTACTGGTTTTGTTTTTTTGTTTTTTTTTTTTAGGGGAAAGAGGGAAATGTGGAGGTTGGTATGTTTTGGGGAGGGGGATCTATTCTTCTCCTTAGCCTCTTTTAAACTGAGTTTGCTTCCCCATGTTTATATTTTTGCAACTGACTTTCAGAGAAAAAAATGTATAGAGCGAATTTTCTCTCCTGTTCACAGACCTGAGGATGGCAGGTGATCAAGAGGCTTGTGCAGGGTAGCAGGTGTCATAACCTCATTGTATCAGCTTCATACCCTTTCTAGACTGTGGTCCTGAACCAAGAAATGGAGAAAAGCGTTGCTGAGCCGTTCACTTTATAAGTGTTTGGTTTTTATGTGTTTGCATTTTCCTTGTTGCATTTGGAGGGTTGAGATGGGGAAATACAGCAACTCCTGGATCGTTCACTTTATGCAAGATCATTGAAAAATGTTTGTATGCCTCATTTAAAAATGAAGGGCTTTGGTATGCTTCCGTGGTCTCCTATTATTTTTATTCACTTGAGTACCTTTAAAGGAAAAACATAACCTAATGAACTTGAACTCTTTAATTCACCACACACTCACTTCCTGTTTTTGTTGATTAACTTACATATAGTTTGACATGTTTTGCCGTCATGTGAGTGCCGTTTTGCAGCCTGGTGTAGATTTGGGACTTCGGTGGGTTGACCATGTGTGATGCTCATCAACTTGAACTGTATGATGGTTTGTTCTGTTGATACTCTGTCTCTTGCTTAGCTATTCCCCTGTCGTTCCCAATTTTTCACTCTTAAAGATTGTGCTCCTGGCTGCATGTTTATGGAAATTTTGTTTTCTTTTTTCCTTTGGACCCCACGCTCACAGACAGTTGCTTTTTTCCACAGGAGCCATCCCAGGGTTGGGGGATGCTACAATGGGGAGCCGGGGCATTTCTGCCGGTCAGCAGAGAAGGGAGAGGCCAGTGTGACCTTCCCAGCCCGAGTTTGAATGGTCCTGTGGAAAACTCCAGCGTGCAGTTCACTGCTGATTCAGTCACAGGCCTTCAGGGCCAGGCAGCCTGTGCCAGTCTTCTATCCCCTGCTGAGCTCCGAGCATGTTGAGTTTTTATTATTACAGAGAAGAAGGAAACTCACTTCCTGTCGTCGCAGAGCACAGCCTAGTTCTGATGCAGAGGGGACTGTTTTCAGATGGAGACACTAGGTACTACTACCTGCACTCTTTCTTTTCTTCTCTGTCTTGCTCTGTGCCTTAATATGTTAGGACTGTGGGGATGCCCTCTGTTGAGATGTTGAGACCATGAATGAATCATCCCAAAAATATTTAGACAAAGTGGCTACGAAAACCAGAGCTCTAGTTCCGAATGAAACAGCTCTGGGGAAATGTGAGCCTGGTGGTGTGTTTACTTTCATGCTGATGAATGTCTGCAGGCAGATAGAGCTACTGGGAATCCTATTCATGGTGATGCTTTAGAAAATTAATCGCAGTGGGCTTCTTGCATGCTTATATTCCTTTCCAAATATAGAAAGGCATAATTCACATTTTGAGTAGCCCAGGGGATCCATAAGAGGATAAAACCTGTATTTATCCACTCCAGTGATGGGGAAAATTACACTTGCACCCGGAGTGGATTGTAAAAATCCATTGTACTCTTTCTAAGGTTTTTCACTTCTTTGTAAAGTAGGCAGAATATTTTTATCCTATAACGTTTTCTGATACAAGTTGCTGTAGGCTCTTCAAGGATGTCTTTTTATCTAAATAATCATGAGAGCTTGGTTATAATTTTTTGACTCTTGACTGTTGTAGTGAAAATGACTGAGTTGACCTCACACTGTGAAATTAGAAGTTGCAGGAAATGGCTCTCTACCTAAGAAGTTAGGACACTCTGGTTCCTTCCTGATAGTTGATGCTGGCATTATTTGTGTTCCTAGCAGAGATTTATGCTTATCTGAACACATCTGGAAATGAAGATAGTGGTACTTGCCCATACTGGCGAAGAAGCTCAACATGAAGAAAGAGATGGGATGGTTAGGAAGCACTGGGTTCAACCTGCTGTGTTAACTTTCCTTTGCATTTTAGTGTACACTTAAGTGCACTTAATAAGTCATTCTACCAAGATATTGTAGTGTGTTGTGATCTTGCTTGTCTGGCTCTAAGCATAGTGATTTAGTAGCCAGGTTTCTTTTTTTAAATCTGCAGTGAATTGTGGAACACAGAAGCTTTTAAGCGGATTTAGAACTTTCAATTCACTGCTCTGGTTTATCTTGGACTTTGCACTTAATGGCAGGTTCCAAAACAAGAATCCTATGTTTCTTCGCAAAGTAATCTTAGTAAAAGTCTTCCGAATATAAACGGGGCCAAAGTAAAGGTAGTTGCATCAGCAGTTAGCAAAGAGAGGAAAAAGAGGAGGATGGATAGAATGGGAAGCGACAAACTCTGGAGGAAAAACTACCCTGGCCAGTTTTATTTGCCTTGTCTTTCTTTGCCTCTCATCTGTACTTTGCAGAATCAGTGGGATAATGATTGTTAATTCAATTTGTAAAGCATAAGCCTATAAAAATATTCATACTTCTTCATGGTGACTTAAAAAATATCTGAAGTGGTTCCTCCACCGTTTGTGTCGTTCATCAGCTTCGGAAGAAAGACTCATACCCGTTGATCTGGACTTGAAAGAATCTCAGTGGCCTTTTCCTCCTGCCCCTCCGTTTGGCGGGGTACAGCAGTTCTCACATGCTTCAGCATCTTCTGCAGTGAGGTCCTAGGAACCTGGAGAAACAACAACAGCCACTTTTAGAAAATCATGTCTTTGGGGATGATTGCCAGCTGAAGAAGTTTCTAATCTGGACCTTTGAAAGCATTTTATTTTCCTTCTTTTTCCCTCCCCAGCTCCCACCCCTGGGAGAACCTGCTGGACTGAGCTATGGACTGTTGCCTTCTTTGTGCCATTGGCTAATTAATTAGCACAATCTCCTGGGAGCCCTTGAGGCCCTTTCTTCTGTCCAATAGCAGTTGTTTAGCTGATGATCTGCTCGACTCCAGCAGCTGATTTCCAAGCAGACAGTAACTCTTTTATTCGCTGCTGGGACTGAGATCACAAAGCATGTCTCCTCTGACTGTGCTGAGAGTGAATTACTGCTCACACCTAGGCTGCCCTGGGGACTCTACACAGTTTGTTACAAAGGAAGGAGACTCTAAGGATGACACTGCCTGCTGGGGCATTTCCTGGAAGGATTTTGGTGGTGGCATTAAAGGAATTTCAGTTTAATGTTCAGCTCAGCTGTCATTGCTGGGAGACCTTGCAGGTTCCAAGGAGAGTTGTAAATTGCCCCCGTGGCCCTAAACATACCCTCACTGCTGCAGAGGGGCACCTTCCAGAGGCCGTGCTTCCTGAGGTATGTCAGGTTCCATCTCCTGGCCAAGAGCCAAGGAGCCAAAAGGCTGTGCACAGCTGGAGAGGTGTTTGATACCGTAGAGCGAGCTGGTGTTCTCCGCCCCACACAGGAGTGTGAATCGGCACCACGCAGGAATGTGGGGCCAACATCTTCCATCAACTTCTCCACTTCCACGGGCTCTGGAAGTAGGCGAGGGGCTTGAAACAAGATCAGAGACAGCAATGAAAGGTCAGAGCCAAGAGGGCCTATGCAGTGGGCGGACAGGCTTGTCATCGTGACCCTCAAGCTTCAGAGGGTCCGAGATGCTCAGACCCTCTGCTGCTGCCATTGATCAGCATGTTGCTTTTGTTCTGTGCTTAACACTACTTATTGGAGATCATCCCAGGAGAACGCCCACACCTGACCTGAGACTCATTCTGTAGGTCTAGAGCAAAGCATAGGATTCCGAATTTTAACAAAGTTGAGAAACTCTGGAATAGGAGACTTGGGGTTACACCTTGGAATGAATCCAGGCTCTATTCCTCTCTAGCTTTGTAATTTTGGACAAGCTGATTTCATCCCTCTCTGTGAAATGGAACTAATACCTCACAGAACTCTTGAAGATTAAATGAGATAATATATGTAAAGTGGTAAATGATCAAAAAATGATGTTTATTATAACTGTATTTATTATTGTTGTTATTGCTGACACAGTGGAGTAAGAAGTTTAAAAGGCTAGGCAGAGGGATAAAGTCACAGTGAAAAATAGAAAAACGGGGTGTCTAGGGAGCCCCCTCAATTAGCACAAAAAAGTATGAATCCAGTGATCTTCAAAATAAGCCAGATCTTGAAATCCGTTTGTAGCAAGCAAGAGACTTTTAACTGTTAAATGGCAATTATTAGTTTAGTGTTTTAAATAACTTATTTGCATATAATAAAAAGTTACACAGAGTTCTTCCACTCTTGCCTACTGTCTGCTCCCAGCTCCCTGTAACACAGATAACCACGCTGAAAGATAGACATAATAATGAACCGGCGTCAGTGTCGGGAGTAAATACCCAAGATTCATTGTCTCACGGCCACGGAAAACTAAGACACAGACACACAAATACTGAGGTTCAGAGTGGAAGTTTAATAAGCAAAAGAAAGAGAAGAGCTCTCTCTACTGCAGAGAGAGGGGTCCAAGAGAAATGGATTGCTGGTTCCGCAGTGGAATGCAAGGCGTTTCATAGATGAGCTTGAGGAGGCAGTGGCTGATTTACATAGGATGCAAAAGATTGGTTGAACCAGGTGTGTCATTTGCATAGGGCACCAAAAACTGTTTAGGGCTAGGTGTGTCATTTGCGTAGGGCATGAAAAAGCTGGCCACCCCACACTCATCTTTTATTATGCAGCTGGTTCTCCACCTGGCCAGCGCCATGTTACCTGTTTCCTTACTGTACATGTGGTGGCAAAGAAAAGGGAAGAGTGGAGCCTCCATGTTAAACATACCTGGCCCTTACGTAGCCCTTTTCTACTGGCATAGCTGCCGGTGTTCACCCGTGCAAGCTTCCAGCTTGCTTATCTATGTCTGCAGCTTGATTTTTCAGACTGCTCTTTGTTAAAAAAAAAGAAATTATTTGGGGCCTGCTTTTTGTTAAAAGGGAAATTCTGTGGAGGACTCTTATACCCTTACTATCTGCCTAAATAATTTCTATCTCCTGTATCAATAACAGTAATAATCATGATGTTTATTTACCACTTACAACAGGACACACACTGTTCTAAATGCTTTGTGAAGATTAACTTGTTTACAGGCTCTGAGCAAATGCTGTTATTTTGTCCTTTTAACAAATGAGGAAGCACAAGCACAGAGAGGTTAAGTAATTTGCCCACAGTCACACAGCTATGCAGTAGAATAGGGAGTCAAATCCACACAGCCCAGCCCCTGAATCCATGGATTTATCTACTGCACCATCCTTCAAGTGTCTCTTTATGCAGATACGAGCAAATCTAAACATATTTTCTTTTCTTCTTTTTTTTTTCCAAAAGGTAGCACACTGCTGCCATTGTTCTGCAATTTGGTTTTGTTCTGCACTTAACACGACTTATTGGAGATTGTCCCACATCAGAACATAAAGAGGTTCCTCATTCTTGTTTACTGTACTGTGTGATTTTGATTAAAGAACCCTCCCTTTATGATCCAACCTGGTTATTATGGGAGCGAGTGACTAATTGAATAAGCTTATGTCTGCCAGATAGCTCTTGTAATTGAAGTGTGCTATGAAGGTTCAACACTGGAAATGGGAGAGTCAGGGGAAATGAGGGAAGAAAACTTATTACTCCAAAAATGTTTCCAGGTAGTATTAGGTCTCCCACCTGAAAGAAATACTCAAGCAAGAGTTGTCCTGCGTTCGGGCTGCCCTAAATTAACTCCCTCTCAGAAATCTGTTCTCTTCCTATATGTGAGCTTTGAGCCTAATGAGGCTGTACCTAATGAGTGTCTCTGCAGCAGCCTTGCAACAAGAATTGGCAAAATGGAAGTGCGGGTACCAGTGTGCCTGCCCCTCCCTCACCTGCCCCTGACATGTCCTGCTGGTCACCAGGCAGGACGGCAGCTCCATTTAGCTGATCACCTAAACAGAGGTGGCCCAGGGCCTCTGACTGTGGTGTTTCTTCAGCACGAAACGCTCTTCACTCATTCACAAAACACTGTTGAGCACCTGCTATGTGTCTGGCACTGTTGTAGAAGCTGGGGGAACTGCAGTGAAGTAGTCCAGGTCCTGCCCTCATAGAGTTTACACTCTAGCAGGAGACAACATAGCTCTGTAATTTGAGGTCAGGTGATGAATTTAAAAATTAAAGCAGGGGCCGGCGTGGTGGCTTACACCTGTAATCCCAGCACCTCGGGAGGCCGAGGTGGGCAGATTACCTGAGGTCAGGAGTTCGAGACCAACCTAGCCAACATGATGAAACCCCATCTCTACTAACAAAATACAAAAAAAATTGCCCGGTTATGGTGGCGTGCACGTGTAATCCCAGCTACTCCTGAGGCTGAGGCAGGAGTGGGAAGGAAAAAGTGGATATAATAGGGGTAGTAACTCATGTAGGCCCTGTGGGCTGTGGTCAGGACCCTGGAGTTCCTTCCCAGCATATGGGAAAACCACTGGATGGCTCTGGGCAAGGAACTAATCTGACTGGATTTATATATTTTTTTTTTTTTAAATACAGGGTCTCCGTTGCCGAGGCTGGAATGCAGTGGCGCGATCTCGGCTCACTGCAGCCTCTGCCTCCCAGGCTCAAGTGATCCTCCCACCTCAGCCTCCCAAGCAGCTGGGACTATAGGCGTGCACCACCACGCCTGGCTAAAATTATTTATTTATTTGTTTGTTTGTTTGTATTTTTTGTGGAGACCAAGTTTCTCCCTGTCGAACTCCTGGACTCAAGTGATCTGCCCACACTGGCCTTGGAAAGTGTTGGGATTACAGGCACGAGCTACCGCACCTGGCCTTACCATTTTATTTAAAAGCTCACTTTGGAGAGAAGCCAGTTAGGAGGCAATGGTGGACAACAGGTCAGAAGATGATGTACCTTGAGCGTTCCAGGGTCCTGGCCTGAGGGAGCAAGCAGCATGATGCCCAATGAACTAGGGTTGTTGTGTGCAGAGACAAGAGACCCAGGGATAGTGGCCAGCTCCACCGGGTGGGAGCCATCGTGGGTGCCCTGGGTCCTGCCATGCCCTGTGATCCTCCGCAAGCAGGTCTGAGCCGTGCAGGGGAGAGCTGCACCAGGACTGGGGCCGACAGGCCAGCAGGGACACCCTGAAGGCTTCAGAAACCCTGGAACGGAGTTTCACAGGGAGCCCTGGGAGGGCTTTAAGTGGTGATGGTGGAATCTGATTTTTGTTGTTGTTGTTGTTGAGACAGTCTTGTTCTGTCACCCAGGCTGGAGTGCAATGGCATGATCTCGGCTTACTCAAACCTCCGCCTCCCGGATTCAAGTGATTCTTCTGCCTCAGCCTCCCGAGTAGCTTGGGATTACAGGCACAAGCCACCACGCCCAGCTAATTTTTGTAGAGATGGGGTTTCGCCACGTTGGCCAGGCTGGTCTTGAATTCCCTACCTCAGGTGATCTGCCCGCCTCAGCCTCCCAAAGTGCTGGGAATACAGACGTGAGCCACTGTGCCCAGCTTGATTTCTCTTTTTAAAGGAACGCTCAGGCTCACAGGAATCTTGGGTGAACGTTACCCACTCTCCTCTTCCATTCCCACATTTCTCTTATCCATTGGCTTTGTTCTGCCCAATCTTTGCCAGTCTGTCCTCTTGGCTCCTCAAGCCACATGGTAAAACATGGCGGCCACCAACTCTCATTTTAACCACCTTGACAGAATGACTCTTTTTCTCAATTTCAATTCTCAAATTCCCAGGGAAGAGGGCTGATTGACCCAGCCTAGGGATCAGGTGCCCCCTGGACCAATCAGTGGTGGCTGCAAGGTCAAGGGGACAGGATGGCAAATCACTTTCTACCAATATGGTGGCTCTCACTGTAGCCTCAAAGGGAGAATAGGGATGAAAGGGATTTAATCCCCAGGGGAAAGAAGGTGCCTTAAAACATCACAGCTTAGGTGGAAGCCTAATCTCTTGGACTCTCATTCTTGCAGAATATATCTATAAGCAGTGGACTTTTAGTCCCTCTCCCCTTTTTTCTGGTGCTTTCCTCCTGATGCCTTCTAGACAATCATTTGCACCTTTTCTTTGTCTGTCTCCAGTTACATGTTTTAATCATCGGGGTTTGCTTCCTCAAAGTTAAGCTATGGATGGAGTTTTCCCAAGGCCAGCTCTTCTTAGGAGGATGAATTGAATTCATCCTCCTAAGAAGAGATTGAATTGATAGTCACTCACAAACACACATCTGTGGTCTGGGAAGATGTGGGTTTAACAAAAAGCTATTTTGGTTAGAAGGAAAAATTAATATTGACTGACTCAAATCCAGAAAGAGGAAGCAGATACCAAGTTCATTTTGAAAAATAAGAGTTCATTTTAGGGGCAGACTAGCTAAGCTCTTTTGCTTAGAAGGAGAAATTAATATTGGCGGACTCAAATCCAGAAGGAGGAAGCAGATATTAAGTTCATTTTGAAAAATAGGAGTTCAATTTAGGGGCAGGCTAGGTATCACCCTTTTGAGATATTTACCAGGAGTGAGGACCACATTTCATATTCAGTTGTAAGGTACTTTTCATAACCATGGACAGTGTTTTCTTAAAGTGTTTCTCTTTCTTCCCCTATTGTGTTCTTTTTATGTAACCAGTTAATTTTCCAAATTTTATTCTGATAGAACCAGAGTCCTTTTATTTTTTACATAACATATCTAATTCTGTTTTTCTCTTAAAGGATGCTTGCTGGTTTTGTTTTGTTCATCACTGAGGATGAGCTAATGACAGCTTTTAAAACATCCCAGCTTGTTTTTTACTTGGATATCATCATAGAGATCCATACCACAGAAGAAAGAAGTAGGACTTTTATCTCTGAAAGGATTTTAGTGCATAAACTGTGACTTCCAGCCTGCTAGACTTCATGCTAGTCTTAGGATCTTTGAATAGCCTTAAATTAGCTGCAGGATCCAGGAAGCTTGCTCTGAAATTCAGTTGACATGGTAAGAACCCTACTTTAGGCCAGATGTGGTAGCTCACACCTGTAATCCCAATACTTTGGGAGGGCGAGGCGGGTGGATCACCTGAGGTCATGAGTTCAAGACCAGCCTTGGCAACATGGTGAAAACCTGTCTACTAAAAATACAAAAATTAGCTGGGCGTGGTGGTGCACACCTGTAATCACAGCTACTCAGGAGGCCGAGGCATGAGAATCACTTGAACCTGGGAGGCGGAGGTTGCGGTGAGCCGAGATCACGCCACTGCACTCCAGCCTGAGCGACAGAGAGAGACTCCATCTCAAAAATAAATAAATAAATAAAAACTCTACTTTACCTATTCAGTGTTCTTTTCTTTTATCCCATTCTGGCATTTTCTGAAGGGTTGCAGAGAGCACTGGTTGAAGCCTATCCTGAAGCTACCTTGGTAGAGGAGTTAATTGCACCAGGAGACCTAATTTCAGAAAGGTCACAGATTATATTCCACCCTCCACAAAAGTAACCTGGAAGATGAGTAAGTCCTGTCCTAAATTTTAGTACCAAAAACAGTGTTTGCTCAAAGAAAAAATAGTCTAGTAGAGAAAAGCACACCCTTTGGGGTCAGACCACCAGGAATCACATACAAACTCTGAACCTGAATTTTCTTATCTACACGAAGGCAGCATGGCTGTGAGAACATGCAGTGATTTTATAAAACTCCTGGCCCATAGGTGGCAGGTATTAATAGGAAATAGCTACGTAAATATACTTCTTCTGGACTTAGGTACTGTTTTTGCATTGGTCACCTCTGCTTTTGAGTCTCACTCAAGAAATCTTTGCCCAGACCAATGTCCTGGAGAGTTTCCCCAACATTTTCTTCTAGTATTTTCATAGTTTCAGGTCTTAGCTTTAAATCTTCCATCCATTTTGATTTAATTTTTGTATATGGCAAGAGTTAGGGGTCCAGTTTCATTCTTTTGCATATGGCTATCTAGTTTTCCCAGCACCATTTATTGAAGACATTGTCCTTACCCCAATGTATGCTCTTAGCCCCTTTGTTGAAAATGAGTTTACTGTAAATGCATAGATTTCTTTCTGGATTTTCTCTTTTTTTTTCCATTGGTCCGTGTGTCTTGTTTTTATGCAAGTCCTATGCTGTTTTGGTTATTATAGCTTTGTAGTATAATCTGAACTCAGGTAATGTGATTTCTCCAGTTTTGTTCCTTTTGCTCAGGATGGCTTTGGTTATTCTGGGTCTTTTGTGGTTTCATATAAATTTTAGAATTTTTTCTTCTATCTCTGAAGAATGTCATTGGTATTTTGATAGGGATTGCATGGAATCTGTAGATTGCTTTGAGCAGTATGGAGATTTTTAACAATTTTAATTCTTTGAATCCATGGCCAACTTGCTTGGATTTGGACTTGCTGTGCCCCCTCACAACCCTGAGCTAGTTACTTGCCCACCCCAAGCCTCCGCAGCTCATCCTTAAAGGGGGTTACGATGATATCTGCCTCCCTCTTTGAGTTGCTATCAGAATTCAGTGAGGACATGCAGATGAGAGTTTTAACAATATCTGGGCCCCTAGTAAGCACTGACAAATGTTAATTATTATTGTTACTTGTAAAATGGGCATGATTATCCCCCACTACCTACCTCTGAGGCACCTATCGAACACCAGAGATTTTGTGTGTTCGAAAGACTGTGCACACATTATTTTAAAAAGTACAGAGGACACTGTCAATAGCAGTCATTAACAGGGTGGCAATAAGGAAATCCTATTGCTGCCTGAATGGTGTGTCCTTGAACAGTGCAGAAACTCCCTTTGCTGATACATCTCCAAGGGGCAGGGGGTGGGGATACATCACAGGAAGTACCTGCTGCCACTGCAACTCCCATCTAATTTTGCGACAGTCACGAAATGCGTCACCTACTGCATGCAACTGACTGCGTCACATGAGAGGAAGTTGGTTTTCTGCAAAGGGTAACAACTCACCGGATCAGGTCACACGGGCGGGTGGACGCAGAGCTCCGACTAGCCGCAAGTCCAGCGCTCTTTTGTGCTGCTTCTTTGTGGAAGGAAATGTGAAGAAAACCCAGCGTCACCCTGTAAACCAGACAAAATACAAAACAGTGGAGAAGCCCAGAGAAGGCAAAACAGATTCCGGATATTTCTCTTTTAAAAGTAAAATGGCATCATGGAAGAAATTTGGCCTTCCGAAAGTGGAGGATAAAGTCATGTTCAAGGGGAAGAACAGCAATACAGCATCTGCGGCTTAGACATACAGAGCTCGTCTGTAATTTGGAGTAAGATAGGAGTGGGGGCGGAGAGGGGGAAGGCCATGCCCTTTCAGAGATTCTGAGAAACTCCAACCATAAAAGTCCATGACAACTCAAGTGCAGTACCCGTGACCCCATGTTTGTCAGGTAACAAGCTGGGTTTTGACTTTTATTTTGCTGCTTCTAACTCTGGCTGGGCGCCATGGGAGAAGGGCGGGCAGATCACTCTATTGAATACTCCAGGGGACAGTGTTGCAGACTGGGACCCACCCTTCACTAGCTGGGTGACCTGGGACAATCCCCGTCTCCCCATGGACCTCAGTTTCCGTATCTGTAAAATGAAGTGGATACAATTCTATTCATTCATTTATATAACAAATATTTATTCAGCAACTTATATGTTGGGCATTGTTCTCCCTATTGGGGATTCAGTGATTTTCAGAACGGAGAAATGTCTCCCTCCTGGAGCTCACGTTGGCATAGATGGCTGGCAAGACAGCTTCCCACCCTCATTGGAAATGTGTCCCTCTGCCCGCTCCATGGTGCCTCATGCCCCACCACACTGCCTACCTGCTAGACTTTTGGCAAACTGGACCACCAGTTGTCTGGAGATTGGAAAGAGCCTACTTTTTTGTTGTAATCCTTCTGTTCCTTTTTCCCCCTTTTAATGTAAATGTTATTAAAACATAACATCCACATAGAAAGTGCACATACTGATAAATTTTCACCAACAGAAACACACATGTAACCAGCACCCACACCAAGAAACAAAATATGACTCACACTGAAGAAAGACCCCATGTCCCTCTGGTCTCTGATCTCCACCGTAGGGAAAACCATCTCCAGATTTCTGATCCTAGGTATTAGTTTTGTTCTTTTTAACTTTGTCTTTGTATATACCCTTTTGTATGTCAGTTCTTTCACTCATTGTTATATTTGTGAGGTTTATTCATGTTGCTTCACATTGTGGTGGTTTGTTTATTCTCGTATAGTATTTCATTAGACGAACGTTCAACAATGTGTGCATTTGACTGTGAATGGACGTACAGATTATTTTCTGCTGGAGGCCATCGCTGAATGGTATTGCTGTGACGTGTGGACCTATCTTAGTGAACGTGTTTGCTTTTCCCAGGGGAGTTGCTGTGGCATAGGTTATGTATACATTCCATTTCAGTACATTCTGCTGGTTTTCCACAATGGGTGTACAAAGTAGGTTCCCACCAGCAATGTTTGATAATCCAGGGAGCTGAACATTTTGCATCTTTTACGCTGTAGCCATTCTGGTAAGTGTGTACTGGTATCACATGGTGATTTTAATTTGCATTTTTCTGGCATCTAATAAAATTTGCCAGGGGACCCTGTTCCACTTAAACATGACAATTAAACAGAGCCGTCTGTCCACGCCAGGTCTTTTCTTCAAGGATACTGCAGTTTTCTTAGGCATCCCCCGCTTTCACACTAGTAGTAAAATGAAGAGACGTTACTATACACACTTCTTCCACAGCCCCTGACTCTGGAACTTTATATTTCACCAGTAAGAAGAAGAAAAATGTCACCATGCGATCCATCAAGACCACCCGGGACCGAGTGCCTACATATCAGTACAACATGAATTTTGAAAAGCTGGGCAAATGCATCATAATAAACAACAAGAACTTTGATAAAGTGACAGGTGGGTGTGTGGGCATGGGCTCATCTTTCCGGTTCCCTTTCATCTTCTCCTATTTGTATCAGACATTTATGGGAGAAATGCTGCACCTACCTACTGTGGCAGACAGCCCCTCTGAAGGCAAGGTTCCTGTATTCAGGGGAAAGGGTTATGCGGAAATCAAGAATGTTCAGTCTAAGGCCCCACCACGTGTATTAGCTGATGCGGGGCTTTGACCAAAGGGCTAAGAATCCAGGGGAACCTTGGCTTTGATGGGAGCTGAATGTTACCAGGAGGCTCACCTGTTGCGGGCAGGTGGCACTGTTAGCCTCCCCTTTGAGTTTGCTTCAGTTCATTTAAATTGTGGCCTTGGAAGGCATTGTATATACTTGGAGTGTTTCTGCTGCAGCTGGCACCAGTACATTTAGCACCCGGCCCACTGGCGCCCGCATGTAGTATTCAGCCAGGGGATGCTCACCTGTGGATTCATTGCTTGATTCCCACAGGTATGGGCGTTCGAAACGGAACAGACAAAGATGCCGAGGCGCTCTTCAAGTGCTTCCGAAGCCTGGGTTTTGACGTGATTGTCTATAATGACTGCTCTTGTGCCAAGATGCAAGATCTGCTTAAAAAAGGTGAGTGCTGCCAGGAGTGGTGGCTCATGCCTGCAATCCCAGAACTTTGGGAGGCCAAGGTGGGAGGATCACTTGAACCCAGGAGTGCAAGACTAGCCTGGGCAAAATGGCAACACCCTATCTTGAAATTTTTTTTTTTTTTTAAGTAGCCAGGCATGATGGCATGTGCCTGTAGTCCCAGCTACTTGAGAGGCTGAGGTGGAAGGATTGCTTGAGCCTAGGAGGTTAAGGGTGCAGTGAGCCATGATAACACCATTGCACTCCAGCCTGGGTGACAGAGTGAGGCCCTGTCACAAAAAAAGAAAAGTTGAGCCCTTACCGCCCCTCCATCTATCTTCTTCCTGTACCCAAGGGAGGCGATCCGCCCACCATGGCCAGGCCCATCTCAGAAGGATGCCTGTGCAGGGCAGAGGAATTTCAGTGTGAGAAACCTCCCTCCCTCTTGACCAGTCCATACCTGTCCTGGAGTAGGCAGGTTTCCTTGAGGAGCCTTCAATCTCTTTGTAAAATGATGAAATCAGCTTAAAGTCCAGCAAAAGAAATAGATTATTTGTATACAGAATGGTCACAATTTCAAAAGACTCATTCCTGGGAAGTAACAAATCTGTGTCATCCTTTCTAGAATGAAGTGTAAGCGTAAACTTTTCCCTTGTGGCAGATAGAGAATAATAATTCCATATACTTTAGAACTATGTTATTTTTTATATAGCATGTTCACAAAATTATTTCATTAGATCTTTAACAGAAGCCCTGCAATGTTGGGCAACAGAATATTATGCTCATTTTATAAATATAGGGGTGGGCCACGTGTGGTGTCTCACACCTGTAATCCCAGCAGTTTGGGAGGCCAAGGCAGGAGGATTGCTTGAGGCCAGGAGTTCGAGACCAGCCTGGCCAACATGATGAAACCCCGTCTCTACTTAAAAATACAAAAATTAGCTAAGTGTGGCGACACACACCTGTAATCACAGCTACTCGGGAGGCTGAGGCATGAGAATCACTTGAACCCGGGAACCCAGGAGGCAGAGGTTGCAGTGAGCCAAGATGGCACCACTGCACTGCAGCCTGGGTGACAGAGCAGGACTCTGTCTCAAAAAAAAATAATAATAATAAAATAAAAAATAAAATAAAAGAAGGGGTGGAGCTTCAGAGAGGAAGAAAGATACACTGAAGGGTGCAGTTAGTAGGGGCAGAACCGAAACCCACGCTCTGGTCTTCTAACTCCAGGACAAATGCGTTTCCTATTACACGACCCTCTCTAATGGATGCCACCTAAGGTATTCTGGCATTTAGGGCAAGTGTTTGAAAGTAACATCCTATCAATTCACTAGACACAGACCCACAGGAAGTAGATAGGAACACAATCTAAATCACTGCTATTTTTCTTAACCTCACAGCTAAAACAAAAAAAGTCCCCACCATCTTTTTTTTTTTTTAAAACTAGGCATTTTTCCTAATTTCCTCCAACTTGACTCTTACAAGCTGACCTTTTGTACCCTAGTAGGTTATGTCCTAGACCAGACTAGAAATCAGGAGTCTGAGATCTGGGTCTGGCCCAAGTTCTAACAGGCAACCCAGGCAAGGCAACCACATCATCCTGATTTTTTTGCTTTCCTGAAAGGCAGATTATGATACCAGCTCCTGCTGTTTCTTGGGGATGGAGTGAGGAAGCCTGTGAGCCAAGAGGAATTTTGTGAGCGTGCTTCGAGAAGTATAATGGCCCAGATAGGCATATGAACTTGTCCCAATTGTAGTTTCTGTTTGGTTTTTGTTTGTTTGTTTTGTTTTGTTTTGTTTGAGACGGAGTCTCACTCTGTCGCCCAGGCTTGAGTGCAGTGGTGCAATCTCGGCTCACTGCAACCTCCACCTCCCGGGTTCAAGCAATTCTCCTGCCTCAGCCTCCCAGGTAGCTGGCATTACAGATGCGTGCCACCATGCCTGGCTAATTTTTTTTTTTTTTTTTTAGTAGAGATGGGGTATTACCATGCTGGCCAGGCTGGTCTCAAACTCATGACCTCATGATCCGCCTGCCTTGGCCTCCCAAAGTGCTGGGATTACAGGCGTGAGCCACTGCGCCCGGCCGTTTCTGTTCTTTTGAAAGGTGATTCATTCTGCCCAAGTCCAGAGCATGTCACAATCAGAGAATTCTTGCTTATTGTCCTATCAAACTAGTAAAGCACTTATTTTTTCTGACTTTACATGCAGTCAGTTCCAGTGAAGACAAAACTCCCATTTTCTAACTGTCCTAATTTGTGTACTCTTAAAATAAGCTAAGAACTCCAGCTTTCATCACCATCACCTTGTACCTCTACTGTCAAAACTAATACAAGAATCACTGGGGAGATAATGCAAAGTGTCTTGGTAATTCGAATGGGAGAGGCCACTCTTACTCTGCCTGGAACTGGTGAGGTAGCTGGACTTTGCAGTGTCCTGGGCTTGAAAAACGGCCCCAAGGCTCCAACGTGTTCTACCACCTTTGGGGAAGGTTATGAGACCTCTCCGAGATTCCATTTTTTTAAATCAGTGAAATAAAGATAAATGAGGCCTACTTCCAGTCTTGTAGGAATTAAAAATAACTCATGTAAAGTACCTAGATCAGTGTCTGCACATAGTATTTGCTCAAGAAATTCTAAATATTATTCCTTCCCCCCTCATTAATCATAGAGAAGAAGAAAGGATATGTGTATTAGCTAGTTATAGGTTGGTGCAAAAGTAATTGCGGTTTTTGGCATTAAAAGTAATGGTTAGTTCACCTATAGCTGGTTAGTTAGTATCATAGAACCTTTGGTGAGTTCTAGCTGGGCCAACTAGCTACATGGTTTATGATTCCTCTCCTCAGTATCCTAAATGGACAGCCAAGCTAGTATTTTTATTTATTTTTCTTTAATTTTGTTTAATTGTGGTAAAATACACATAACGTAAAATTACCATCATAACCATTTTTAAATGTATAGATCAGAATGACTTCACATGGTTGTGTCACCATCACCACCATCCATCTCAGGCTTTCTTTCATCTTCCGTAACTGAAACTTTATCTCCATTAAACACTAACTGGCTATTTCCCCTTCCCTCCAGCCCCTGGCAACCACCGTTCTATATTCTGTGATCTTGACTACTCAGGGTACCTCCTGAAAGTGGAATCATGCGATGCTTGCCCTTTAGTGACTGGCTTATTGCACTTAGCGTAATATTTTATTCTCTTTAACAAACACTTGCATGATGCTTATTATGTGGCGTGTTTTACAAATATTAACTCATTTAATGAGTTAATATTGATCTTCAATGTACAGATAAGGAAATCAAGGCACAAAATGGTTCAGTAACATTCCTGATGTCACAGAACTAGCCAACAGCAGGGCCACACACATCAGCCCCCATACACTGTACCTATCCCTCTCTCTTAACGTCTTAGATAAGTCTGATCCTTTGAAAGGAGCCCAGTCCCCAGCTCCTCCCCTCCCCTCCCTTGTAACCCTCTAATAGTCAGAGGCAGCTGCCAGGCTGCCTCTGAAAATGCTGCATCTGAGGCTCCCCAGAACTTAGACCTTAATTCTTCAATGTTCGTATTATTTGCTTGCAGCTTCTGAAGAGGACCATACAAATGCCGCCTGCTTCGCCTGCATCCTCTTAAGCCATGGAGAAGAAAATGTAATTTATGGGAAAGATGGTGTCACACCAATAAAGGATTTGACAGCCCACTTTAGGGGGGATAGATGCAAAACCCTTTTAGAGAAACCCAAACTCTTCTTCATTCAGGTAATCTCTTTTCAATGCCAATACACTTGAAAATGGGAAAGATTGCAGAGTGACGGGGATGGCATCATTTTTACAAATCCAAATGCTGCTTCCATATTCAAATTAGGGTTTTATTTTTCTGGGAAAGATTACAGAGTGACGGGGATGGCATCATTTTTACAAATCCAAATGCTGCTTCCATATTCAAATTAGGGTTTTATTTTTCTATCTCTGAATGGTTAGCATATGTGTTTCCACTGGATCACAAATTATGAAGGTTTCTTTTTTTTTTTCTTTGAGATGGAATCTTGCTCTGTCACCCAGGCTGGAGTGCAGCGGCGTGATCTCGGAAGACTGCAACCTCCACCTCCCAGGTTCAAGCAATACTCCTGCCTCAGCCTCCTGAGTAGCTGGGATTACAGGCACGCACCACCACGCCTGGCTAATTTTTGTATTTTTAGAAGAGAGGGGTTTCGCCATGTTGGCCAGGCTGGTCTCAAACTCCTGGCGTCAAGTGATCCACCCACCTCAGGCTCCCAAAGTGCTGGGATTACAGGTGTGAGCCTCCACACCCAGCCACAAATTATGAAGGTTTCTTTAAGACATTGCAATACTTTTATTTGCTTTGCTTAGTCATTTGAAACACATTCATTCATTTATCTTTTCATCAAATTATCATTGAGCTCCTAAGTATGCCAGGCACAGTTCTAGGTATCAGGACACAGCAGTGAACAGCACGTACATTTCTGTTCCCAACTGCATAGAATGATGTCTGCTTTGATATTTAGGCTTGCCGAGGGACCGAGCTTGATGATGGCATCCAGGCCGACTCGGGGCCCATCAATGACACAGATGCTAATCCTCGATACAAGATCCCAGTGGAAGCTGACTTCCTCTTCGCCTATTCCACGGTTCCAGGTATCATGTCCATTGTCTGCCAAGCATACTTCAGTCCATTCCATCATCAAAACACAGATTTGGGGACTGTATTCGTTTCCTCTTGCTGCAGTAATACATTACTACAAACACAGTGGCTTAAAATACACAAATGTATTATCTTGCAGTTCTGGAGGTCAGAATTCCAAAATAGGTTGGCAGGGCTACGTTCCTTTTGGAGGCTCAAGGGAAAATCCATTTCCCAGCCTTTACGTGGCATGTTAGAACCACCTGCATTCCTTGGCTGTGGCCCCTTCCTTCATCTTCAAAGCCAGCAACTTTGCATCTCTCTGACCCTTCTGTCGTTTACCGTGCTCTCTTTCTGACCACAGCTGAGAAAGGACACCTGTGATTAGATGGAACCCACCTGGATGCTCCAGGATCATCTCCCCATGTCAGTCCGATACCCTTAACCACATCTGCAAAGTCCTTTCTTCCACATAAGGTTTCATGTTCATAGGTTCCAGGGTTAGGGCGTGGACATCTTTGGGCACCATTATTCTGCCTACCACAGAAATGCATTCACTTTTCTCTCCAGGAAAGCTGAATTCTCTCATTTGTTATTATTATTATTGTTTTAGTAGTTATAAGGACAAACATTTCTGTAGTACTTTGCAATATAGAGTATCTTTCATGTGTTTTTTCTCATATACAATAATACCGTAAGTATTTAGGAAAGGTGTTATTCCTGTCCTGATTTTACAGGTAAAATAAAAGAATTTTTAGTTTGGATGAATCTAAGTGATATGCCTAAGGTCAGGTAGAGATTTCAGTGCACAGTAGAGCTGTGAGTCAGCCAAGGTTCCTTTACACGGCAGCCTGTACACAGATACCAGAAAACGCCAGCAATGGGCAAGCCTACTCACTATTTACCAAGCACTACATTTGACTGAATCTGTTCAATGAAAGTCCTTCCTTTGTTTTGGGTACAAACCAGCACTAAGTTAGAATTTTCCCAGCTGTAATAGTAGTTGTGTCAAGTATTTGGCACAAGGGTACTGGTTACAGTAAATAGGTTGATGTGTTTGGAAAACCAGCTCTGGCAGGATCTACAGATGAGATTTTGTGAGAGCGATAACTTCACAAGTTTTAAGGATGGCATAAGATCGAAAATAATTTGGTCTTTCTGCTCTTGAGAGGGAGGTGGTGTAATGGGGGCATATGTCTGTGTAAACAAACCCAGTGGTAGAGTTGTAGTTGCTCTGAGCAAGGAGGCAGTTGAGAAAAGCTATGTTAAAAAGGAGCTGCTGGGCCGGGCACGGTGGCTCACATCTGTAATCCCAGCACTTTGGGAGGCCAGGGCAGGTGGATCTCAAGGTCAGGAGATTGAGACCATCCTGGCTAACACAGTGAAACCCCATCTCTACTAAAAATACAAAAAAAAAAAAAAATAGCTGGGCATGGTGGTGGGCGCCTGTAATCCCAGCTACTCGGGAGGCTGAGGCAGGAGAATGGCGTGAACTTGGGAGGCGGAGCTTGCAGTGAGCCAAGATCGCACCACTGCACTCCAGCCTGGGCAACAGAGCAAGACTCCGTCTCAAAAAAAAAAAAAAAAAAAAAGGAGCTGCTATAACTGAGCCTAAAATTTCAAACAACATAGGTAAAAGAAGGATGGCTTGTCAGACGGAGTGCTGAGGGGCTGGATAGCCCAGTGCATTTGGTAAAACTCGGGGCTGGATCTCAGGGTATATCAGTCTTCTTGGGCTGCTATAGCAAAATACCTTAGACAAGGTGGCTTAAACAACAGACATTTATTTCTCTAAGTTATGGATGCTGGGAAGTCCAAGATCAAGGTGCCGGCTAAGTTGCTTTCTGGTGAGGGCTCCCTTTCTAGCTCATAAATGGTCACGTTCTTGCTATAGCCTCATATGGCAGAGATTGAGAGCAAGACTGAGTGAGGTCTGTTGTGTCTCTTCTTATAAGGACACCAATCCTCTTGGATCAGAGCCCTACCCTAGTGACCTCATTGGACCTTAATTACCTCCATAAAGACCCTGCCTCTAAACACAGTCACATTATGGGGTGCGGCTTCAATAAATGAATTTTGGGAAGACATAGTTCAGTCCATAGCAAGGGATATGACAGGGCATGGCCAGGGTCAAACCAGGACAGGTAGGCAGGTGGCCCTGTCATGGTGGAACCTGTGTGCTATGTCAAGCAGCCTGAACTTTACTCAGATAAAGTGGCGCAAGGGAACGGTTTTAGGTTAGGGAGTTATAGGATGAGATTTGCCCTCCCGGGTCATCAGGCTCTCCTGGCCCTGCCCCTCAGACAATTGGGCATTCAGCTTCCTTGTGCCTCTAGATTTCTTCAGCAAGGTCCAACTCTACTCCTATGTATCCCAGCAGCAGGAACACATCTCAGAATTCCTTGAGGTTCTCTGCAAATTCCTTCTCTAGTAGGCTTGGATTAGGAAGTAGCACTGACCCCTAAAGGATAGTGAGGAGTTCCAGAGTTATGGAATAGACCTCCAGCATTTCCTTTGGAAGTCTGCACATGCAGATCTGTCTCACACCCACGTATCTGATATTTATCAGGTGGGTACGTCCATCAAAACTGACACAAGAGAGTACCCTGGCAACATCCACCAATGCTGGCCCTTAGTGATGCTGTCTGTCATGGGATTTCCATGCTGAAATACTCAAAGCATTTTCTAGCATCTTCATGCCAGCCGTTAAATCTCAGATGTTTGCTCTCTGAGCACACCAGCATAATTCTCATTAATGACTTGTGTGCAGAGTAGAGTGAAATAGTTTCTGAAAAGCAGGTGTGAAAGTGCCATATACTCATTCTCATTGGTGAGTGGAGCAGCTGTCAGAATTAGCTGATTTGGTCGTCTCCTTTCTTTCCTGTTGAAGGCTATTACTCGTGGAGGAGCCCAGGAAGAGGCTCCTGGTTTGTGCAAGCCCTCTGCTCCATCCTGGAGGAGCACGGAAAAGACCTGGAAATCATGCAGATCCTCACCAGGGTGAATGACAGAGTTGCCAGGCACTTTGAGTCTCAGTCTGATGACCCACACTTCCATGAGAAGAAGCAGATCCCCTGTGTGGTCTCCATGCTCACCAAGGAACTCTACTTCAGTCAATAGCCATATCAGGGGTACATTCTAGCTGAGAAGCAATGGGTCACTCATTAATGAATCACATTTTTTTATGCTCTTGAAATATTCAGAAATTCTCCAGGATTTTAATTTCAGGAAAATGTATTGATTCAACAGGGAAGAAACTTTCTGGTGCTGTCTTTTGTTCTCTGAATTTTCAGAGACTTTTTTTATAATGTTATTCATTTGGTGACTGTGTAACTTTCTCTTAAGATTAATTTTCTCTTTGTATGTCTGTTACCTTGTTAATAGACTTAATACATGCAACAGAAGTGACTTCTGGAGAAAGCTCATGGCTGTGTCCACTGCAATTGGTGGTAACAGTGGTAGAGTCATGTTTGCACTTGGCAAAAAGAATCCCAATGTTTGACAAAACACAGCCAAGGGGATATTTACTGCTCTTTATTGCAGAATGTGGGTATTGAGTGTGATTTGAATGATTTTTCATTGGCTTAGGGCAGATTTTCATGCAAAAGTTCTCATATGAGTTAGAGGAGAAAAAGCTTAATGATTCTGATATGTATCCATCAGGATCCAGTCTGGAAAACAGAAACCATTCTAGGTGTTTCAACAGAGGGAGTTTAATACAGGAAATTGACTTACATAGATGATAAAAGAGAAGCCAAACAGCAAGAAGCTGTTACCACACCCAGGGCTATGAGGATAATGGGAAGAGGTTTGGTTTCCTGTGTCCAGTAGTGGGATCATCCAGAGGAGCTGGAACCATGGTGGGGGCTGCCTAGTGGGAGTTAGGACCACCAATGGATTGTGGAAAATGGAGCCATGACAAGAACAAAGCCACTGACTGAGATGGAGTGAGCTGAGACAGATAAGAGAATACCTTGGTCTCACCTATCCTGCCCTCACATCTTCCACCAGCACCTTACTGCCCAGGCCTATCTGGAAGCCACCTCACCAAGGACCTTGGAAGAGCAAGGGACAGTGAGGCAGGAGAAGAACAAGAAATGGATGTAAGCCTGGCCCATAATGTGAACATAAGTAATCACTAATGCTCAACAATTTATCCATTCAATCATTTATTCATTGGGTTGTCAGATAGTCTATGTATGTGTAAAACAATCTGTTTTGGCTTTATGTGCAAAATCTGTTATAGCTTTAAAATATATCTGGAACTTTTTAGATTATTCCAAGCCTTATTTTGAGTAAATATTTGTTACTTTTAGTTCTATAAGTGAGGAAGAGTTTATGGCAAAGATTTTTGGCACTTTGTTTTCAAGATGGTGTTATCTTTTGAATTCTTGATAAATGACTGTTTTTTTCTGCCTAATAGTAACTGGTTAAAAAACAAATGTTCATATTTATTGATTAAAAATGTGGTTGCTTAATTCCTAACCAGTCCAGTTTGCTTTCCTTTTGAAGTTATTTATGGCAATGGAGAAATGAGAAAAGAGAAAACAGGATAAGAATTGACCCTATTGGCTGGGCGCAGTGGCTCATGCCTGTAATCCCAGCACTTTGGGAGGCCGAGGTGGGTGGATCATTTGAGGTCAGGAGTTCGAGACCAGCCTGGCCAACATGATGAAACCCCACTTCTACTAAAAATACAAAAAAATTAGCCAGGTGTGATGGTGGGCACCTGTAGTCCCAGCTGCTCAGGAGGCTGAGGCAGGACAATCGCTTGAACCCAGGAAGTGGAGGTTGCAGTGAGCCGAGATCGAGCCACTGCACTCCAGCCTAGGCGACAGAGTGAGACTCTGTCTCAAAAAAAAAAAAAAAAGAAGAAGAAGATTTGACCCTATTGACTTGACCTCAACACATAATATATAATTTTTTTGAAGTGAGTACACTAGTAAGTAAATTATCACTTGGGAAGCCAGGACTCTTCACATAAAGGGTTAATCAATTTAGAAAGATGTTTGTGATGGGCTGCCATTTATTAATTTTGGCAATAAAATCAGGTAACATAAAAGTATCTTCTTTCAAATAAGAAAACTAATTTTGGGTGTGTTTACTAGACTTGTCCTTGGTTTCCTGCCATCTAAAATATGCCACATGTTCAAAATTGGAGATCATAACAGACATCTACACTACTATTCCCAGAATTCACAGGCTGTTCTTTGGAAAATAAGCTATCTAATAAAGGTCTCTATCACAGAAATCAAAGGGCCTAAGTGCATTGCAATTTGAAGTAAACACCATACAATCTACTTATTTGCCTTGTAACCTTCATTAAAGGGAAAGAAATGCTCCCAAGTGTCAGGATTAATTTTTCCTGAATTCTCTGGGAAGTTATACCTTACAGATAATGAATATTACCTTATATCCCTTAGACTTTTAATAAAGAGTCTTAGTCCTTGAATACTTCCATGGGCAGACACTTATTTATTGAGATCAGAAATCCGAGTTCAACTTGGGAATGTGTTCAGTGATACCACTTTCATTCTAAACTTTCCAGACTTTTTATATTCCGAAATTCTGAGGACAAGTTACCCTAAAGGAGAACTCGGTCCTGGTGAATATACATTCCCAATTCTCATCGTTGTTGAGAACCCCAGTTCCTCCTCACAGGAGTATCAGACAGGGCACTGCCCTTGTCCTATGGGAAGACAGTGCAGACTACAGCATCCCCACTGGCTTTATGAGCTCAAAGCTGGATTTCTGTTTGGATTTTCATTTTCCTCAGGGTGCCATTAGGTTATTTAAATTTTTAGCTATTGGGTCAGGCACGGTGGCTCATGCCTGTAATCCTAGCACTTTGGGAGGCCAATGCGGGCAGATCACTTGAGGTCAGGAGTTTACAGGAGTTTAAGACCAGCCTGGCCAACATGGTGAAACCCTGTCGCTACTAAAAATACAAAAATTAGCCAGGCACCAGTGGTGGGCACCTGTAGTCCCAGCTACTCCGGAGGCTGAGACAGGAGAATAGCTTGAACCTGGGAGGCGGAGGTTGCAGTGAGCTGAGATCTTGTCACTGCACTCTAGCAACAAAGCAAGACTCCATCTCAAAAAATAAAAAAATTAAAAAAAAATAAATGTATTTTTTAAATATATTAACTATTAATACATTCACAGACAGCTTTGGGCTCTGCCCTGGGCTTTTTCTCTGAGCAAATTTCCACAAGCTGTCATCAGCCCAATGTGTTTATGAACTGCTACAAATCGGTCTGAAAGTCCTGCGGTCACTGAATTTACATGATTTAAAACCTCGAGGAAACCAAGGCCTCTCTGTGAGAAAGAAAACAACATCCACCAAAATGTCCTAGACACTGGCTGACAAATCCCTTATTTTGCCCAGTCTTGCAGTGCGTCACCTGAAATCTTTTATTACCAGCTACTCTGGTGACCAAGGATTGATTGCCTTTGACTTCCTCGAAGCACACCATTTTTGCCAGCTTTTCATCTTTCAGGCCCTTTTCCAGAAAACCTCTGGCCAGGTAAGAGGCTGTGTTGGTCATCAGTTTATAGCAAAAATTCTTCTGTGTTAATTAGCCACTGGACAAATAGCAGCAGCCCAGGTATCCTAAAGAATTCTTCGAAGACATGCAGATCAGAAAGCTACTTTATACTGTTTGCTTGTAAATGTTTTAGTGCCTTGCAACATTGAGCGAGTGCCTGGACTGGCCACATCAGCATCCCCTGGGAGCTTGTCAGAAATGCAGACTCTCAACCCCGCCCCAGACCTACTCAACGTGAATCTGCATTTTAACCAGATTCCCAAGTGGTCCATGTGTACATTACAGTTTAGGAAGCTCTATTTTGAGGACAAGGACCACATGTATATATATATATATATTTTTTTTTGGTCTCCCCTCTGCACTGAACATGGAGCTGATAGTACATGCCTACAAAGGATTAATAAAAGAATATTTTGGAGCTTTCATGGAAGACAGGTTTTCAAGCTCTCCTAACCTCTTTTAAAATTCCACGATACCCTTAAAGTACATAGTACACTTTTTACACTCTTTGCCCAGCTCCATGTTAAATAAGCCTTTGCTGAGTGGCATAAAAGGATTATTTATATGATCTCAAAGTGTCTGTGAATGTGAATTGCAGCCTTTAAAATGTTTTCATAAACATAATAGGATTAAAGGAGCCATTTCTTGCATGCTTTTTTTGGTGGCAGGACTGCTGAGCATTGAGGCTTCAGAGCTTTCTTTTCCACCTGTCCTATCCCTAGAGCCCAGTGGACACTGGGAGAATTATTATTTCTCCTTGACAGTGTGCCCTCAAGCCATAGGTCACCTTTTTGATAGACCTCAGGGCTTTGTTTTGGATCAGGTGGCAAATAATTCTTTTTGATTCATAAATCATTAACACAAACACACCAAGGACATATTTGGAAAGCCCAGCCACCACCACAGTACTGAGGTGGACATGGAAACTCCATTAACTTGTAGGTTCATGCATGATCGGCTCTCTAAAAGTACGCAACAAACATCAGAAAACACAAAAGCCAAATACGATGAGTTTGCTTCGGCATAACTTTTGGTTTTTATGGCACTATGAATATTTATGGCACTGCAGTTTTCTAACAAATATTTGTTGTAATCATTTAAAGCCAAACTGTCAAAGAATTTAAATTTGGAAGGCACATGGGGTTATGGCTGCAAATAAACGAGGCTGAGCATTTCGCGAGCTTTAAGTGTCTGACCCAAGTAAATAGTATAAGATTCGAGAAAGAGTTGGGAAAGAGGAAGGTGTACATGGTGAGATAGGTTTGGTCTCCGTTGCTAGTTCTAGCTTCCGTTATTTTAAGTAGATCTCAATTAGTATAGCATCAAACGTTTTAGCAGAGGTGCTTTTAACCATTCATGTTTAAAAATTAGGCTCTGAGTCTGATCCAAGTTCTAATCCTAACTCTGTCATTTAACCATTTAATACTCACATAACCCACATAACCTTAGGCAGTCCTTCAGTTTCCTCATCTACATATGAAGATGGTAATGTGAAAATTAATGAGATAATGTACATGAAATGCTTAGTACAATGCCTGGCACAAAGTTGTAACCGAAAGAGGATCTGGCTGCTCACCACTTACAGAAAGAAGCCAAAATAACAAGAACAAGGTGTGATCAAAGGAGAGTGAATTTTATTATCCAATGCCAACAAGGGGAAAAGGTCAGAATCCTTTCTGAAAATTGCCACCTTTTCAGTTTCTGGAGAGTGGGCAATGGTTTAAGAATAGAGGCTTGGAATACAGGGAGGGGGAGGGGCTCGGAGGTGCCAGGTGGCATGTTTCACTCCGATGGCTTATCTTAAATTATTGCTCCAACTGGCGAAGGGGCCAGCACCATCTTGGGCCCAACCAGCTTACAAATTAATTGCAGTCAATTGTGCAGTTAATGTCTCGCTGGGAGTGAACTCCGTCCTTGAAGTCATCTCCCGCTAGGGGGAGAGTTCCAGAGATGCCTCGTCCATGTCAGGATTCGGCCCCTGAAGCTTCTAAGGAAATACATGACCAGATAAGTGGGCATGGTGTGAGCTTAACAAGAATCTAGGTAAATAACTGTGCATAGGCATGGGAGCATAAGGTGGAAAAGGAAAGGAAAAAAGTTCTTAAAACAGTTTGAAACTAAGCTGCTCAGTTACAAAGTAATCGACAAGTAGTAGATATCAAAGATGATGGTGATGAATGATGATGATGACGATGACATGAGGCTCATGGAGGGGCAAGAACGGAAGATGCCCCCCTGGATGCCTCACTTGCTCTTTCTGCCTCCAGGTCTCTTCCTTAGTCATGCTTTTCAGTCTATGCTTTCAACCTGAGGTCTCCCAGAAGTGAAGGGATTAGATCAGCGACTGCTTTATTTAGCAAACATTCAGAGTCCTACTAGATGCCAGATGTCATATTAGGGATGGGGCTAGAAAGATGACCAAGAAAGGATGCTTATACCAAAGGAGGTGAACAAATCACTCTAGGGCTTAGTGGCTGTAACACAGTCATGTGTACATTACCCAGGAATACAGAGGGGGTGCATCCTGCCTGGGGATTCCAAGAGAGGTTCCAAAGGAACTGTTTTCATCATCTTCCATTCCAGCCTCCAAAAAAGGCTGAAGGGAAGGTGGTGGAGAGGAAATTAAGGTTAGCAGGTAGAAGATGGCCTGAGAATTCCTGGAAGATCGGTTTAGGAAGGAAATCACTATGTCCCACTGCATCCTCATTGCAAATCAATAGGTCTAGGGTGGAGACCAGGAATCTGCATGTTTAACCAACCTGCCTAGATATTCTGAGGCAGGTGGTCCTCAGACAACATGGATTATTCTGATACCAAAAGACTCCCTTGCAGATCTGCAGGAGTGGCAGCAAAGCCCAAATTAAACAGCTGGAAAAGATCACCCAGGGGCCAGCAGCGCATTGGCTGTTCAAAGACCTGGCTAGCCATCCTATCCCCAGATTGAATAGCAAAGGATTCAGGGCATAAATGAGTTCAGTACTGGAGCATTCTTGTCCAGAAACTTCCAGAGGCTGCACAGGAATGCCAAGCCCTTGTTGGCCAGGCAGGTTTGAGGAAGACTGTGAAGTGTGAGGGAGGGGTGGATCAGCAGACAGCTTTCACTGAATGGGTCCAGGTGCACTGACTTCTCCAGCTGGTGTCAGCAGGCACACGTCTTTCTCTTCCTCTCGATTGCATCACTTAGGCAATCATTTCTAGACAAGATGGGCCACTCATGTATTCCCTCTCCTCCAGTGCCTCATAGGTGCCACAATGCAAAATGCTCCCCTTAACAACATTTTGAGGTTGACATTTTTAAAGGAACTTTTCTCTACAGCACCTTTTGTAATTAACTAGATTAATGTTAAGTAGGGAAGGGAACACAGAATTCTCAAGTGAATGTGGTTTTTAAAAATATATTAGGATATAGGACCCATTCTCAACCGCTTAGGAAAATCAGCTTTTGCAAATTATCTTTTCTGAAGCTTCCAGCTGCCTTAAGTGCTGACAGTTTTTAAGCACTGAGATGAAAGAGACAAATTCTTTTTCTTTTGTGTTACTAATTACAATTTTGCTTGGCATAATGTAGCCTGCTTTCCTCTTGAGACATTTGCCAGCATACATTAATTGCACAAATATTTACAGAGGGCTAAAGCACAGGAGAAGCTTATACCAAAAAAGATACTGAACACTTGGAAAAAAGCCTCTTTGACACATATTTGTGGCCAGCTACCCAGAATCGTATAAACTATTTGCCCCTTAGCCTCAGCAAATGTGTTTAAAGAGCAAGTCCCTGGGTTGACTTAGTGTTGACTTTGCTGGCAATGACTGCTGAAATCTTTCTTCAAGAGCCTTGTGGTGACACTTTTTTTTTCAGGGTTAAAAATAAGGTTTCCAAGAATATGCATGCATCTTATGGGTTGCTATATTGTCAACACTTTTTATCTCTCTAGCCACCCACATGGAATGGAAAAGGTTTATCCAATGATTGTTCCAAACCCCAGGAGTTGCAGAAAGCCAAATTGAGCAAGTCTGGAAAACTTGAATGGCTAAGCCACAAGGTCCTCAATACCATCTTCTTGTTTTCCTAGCATGCTAATTAAGAAAAAAAAGGCCCTGGTGTCAGATAGCCCCAGGTTCAAATCCCAACTTCGGCACTTCCAAGCTATATGACCTTGAGGAGTCTCTTAATCTCTCCAAACCTTTCTTCTTTCATCCTCAAATAGAATTAGTCCTATGTGAGTACCTAGGAAATAATACCTACCTCCACAGGTCTTGTGCCCACCTCACAGGGATGTTAGGTGGAGCCAGGGAAATAACACACAGAAATGGCTTTGCAAAACTCCCCAAAAATCTAAAATCAAATAAGGAGACATTTCCTTTGTTGGATGTTGTTATGAAAACTAAGACATCAAGCAAAAGTCAAGTAAATGTTGGGTTGTGTTTTTTAAACCAGCTTGATCTTATCAATAATTGAGGCCACAGAAAGGAGATTAGGATGAAGAAAAGAAAAAAGGACATGCAAATGATGCTGACATACAGAAGAGGTTCTTTCTGAGGATAACGGCTACCCATGCAGTGGAGAGGAAGAACGTCTTCCAAAAGCGGATGTAGTCAAGCTGCTGGAGATCATAGGCAGGAAAGAGAAGGGCATAAGACGCTGGCCTGAGCTTTAGAAGAGGACACATTTCATATGTAGAGTTGCCATATGAAATAGAAGATGCCCAGTTAAATTGGAATTTCAGCTAGAACAACCATTTTTTAATATATATATCCCAAAATATTGCACAAAATATACTAAAAACTTATTTGTTATCTAAAATTTCAATTTAAATGGGTGTCCGGTGTGGGTGGGTTTTTTGTTGTTTTTTGTTTTGAGGCAGTCTAGCTCTGCTGCCCAGGCTGAAGCGCTGTGGCACAATCTCGGCTCACTGCAACCTCCACCTCCCGGGTTCAAACGATTCTCCTGCCTCAGCCTGCCCAACTAGCTGAGATTACAGGCGTGCACCACCATGCCTGGCTAGGGTTATTTTTTGTTGTATTTCTTTGTTTTCCTAAGTTTGGCAGCCCTAGCCTAACTCTGTAGACCATTGCTCTAGCTCCATTGCCTCATCTTAACCCTGAATGCCCACCTCACAGTGATGTTGGGAGGAGCCAGGGAAATAACACACAAAAATGGCTTTGCAAACTCCCAAAAAAATCTAAAATCAAGTAAGGAGACATTTCCTTTGGTGGGTGTTCTTATGAAAACTGAGTCATCAAGCAAAAGGCAAGTCTTTGTGAATTTAGGAAGTATGGAAAATTTCAAGGAGTCTATGGAGTTTAGTTTTTGTTTTTTTGTTTTGTTTTGTTTTGTTTTTGTTTTTGTTTTTGTTTTAGATAAAGTAGCCCAGCTCTGTAGCCCAGGCTGGAGTGCAATGGAGTGATTTTGGCTCACTGCAACCTCCACCTTCCGGATTCAAACGATTCTCCTGCCTCAGCCTCCCGAGTAGCTGGGATTACAGGCATGGGCCACCATGCCCGGCTAATTTTTGTAGTTTTAGTAGAGACGGGATTTCACCATGTTGGTCAGGCTGGTCTCGAACTCCTGACCTCAGGCGATCCACCTGCCTTGGCCTCCCAAAGTGCTGAGATTACAGGCATGAGTCACCATGTCCAACTAGTGGAGTTGATTCTTAAGAGGAGTTCTAAAGACTCTAATGAGAGGGACTAGATGTGATGACTGTCAACACTAGCAACACCTTAGAGTCACCTGGAGAGGTTTCCAATCTCAATGCCCAGGCAGCACCCCAGACCAACTAAATCAGGATCTCTCAGGCTGGCACCCGGGAAGCAGTGTTGTTAAACCTTTCCAGGAGATTCCCATTTGCAGCCAATCTTATCACCAGTGGTAGAATAGTCCCAAAAGGGTGAGTTGAACAGTTTAGAAACTTTAGAGTATAAGGAGAGTCCTAAGGGATATCTACACCCTTTATGAGACTGGTTATAAGAGGGGGAAGAGGAAAGAAAAAACAAAACAAAAAGCAGGAGAGAATTTGCAAAAAATAGATATATTCTATCAGCTTTTTCAAAAATGTAGTACCAAGGGCAAAAGAGCATGATCGTTTTAAAAACCAGGAAATTTGGGTATGTGCTAGAAATAGTTGATTAAGTAAGAATGCCAGGTAAGAATTTGCTATAATTAATCAACCAGCACTTAACAGTGTCCCACATACTCAACAGGGACAATGGTCCCTCTCATTTGAGAGCACAAAAAGATCCTTCAGTGATCGAAAGGGACTGTGTTGGAGGATTTGTACTTTCAATGAAATTACTGTTGGTTCACAATTTCTCTTCTAGCTTGACAGGACTTGTGGGAGCTGAAGACCAATTTCTCTTTCAGGCATAAAGATATAAGAGATGTGGGTGGCTCTGTAAAAATGCACAAATCCGTGTTCTAGGTAAACCACAGCTACGTGGGTAGTCACCACTTACCCTTAACTGTCCATGACATCCAAAAGGAAGTAATCATATAAATAACCATATGTGTGTGTGTGCGTGTGTTTCAATTAACAAATATTTATTGAACTATGTGCCAAGCACTGTTGTTGGCACTGAACAAAACAATCTTAGTCCTCGTAGGATTTATCTTTTAGTGGGGAAGACAGACAGTTCTAGAGAGAGTGACAGAGAGAGGAGTGTTATGAAGAAAGATAAAGTAGGAGAAGGAGCTCAGAAACAGTGACGTGGGAGAGAGGAGTCCATGTCAGACAGAGTGGCTGGGAAATGTCTCTTTGAGGAGAATACAGCTGGGCAGACACGGGAGTGGAGTGAGGGAGTGGACCACGTGACTGTGTGTAAGAGCTTGGTTCTTGGTGGAGCAAGCAGTGAATGCAAAGGCCCTGGGGCAGCTACAACCTGGGCCTCTTTGAGAAGCATCAGAAAAGCCAGGGTTTGCTGGTGGGAATGTAAACTAGTACAGCTGCTATGGAAAACAGTGTGGAGATTCTTTAAAGAACTAAAAGTAGAACTACCATTTGATCCAGCAATCCCACTACTGGGTATCTA
This sequence comes from Homo sapiens, assembly GCF_000001405.40. NCBI lineage: Eukaryota > Metazoa > Chordata > Mammalia > Primates > Hominidae > Homo > Homo sapiens. Next base: position 113,739,995 of record NC_000010.11, read on the forward strand.
CCCAGAGGAAAATAAGTTATTATTCGAAAAAGATACTTGTGCACACATGTTTATAGCAGCACAATTCACAACTGCAAAATCGTGGAACCAACGCAAATCCCCATCAATCAACAAGTGGATAAAGAAACTGTGAGAAATATATATATGTGATGGAATACTACTCAGCTATAAAAAGGAATGAATTAACAGCATTTGCAGTGTCCTGGATTAGATTGGAGACTCTTATTCTAAGTGAAGTAACTCAGGAATGGAAAACCAAATATCATATGTTCTCACTGATATGTGGGAGCTAAGCTATGAGGACGCAAAGGCACAAGAATGATACAGTGGACTTTGGGGACTTGGGGGGAAGAGTGGGAGGGGGATGAGGGATAAAAGACAACATACATGGTGCAGTGTGTACTGCTCAGCTGACGGATGCACCAGGATCTCACAAATCACCACTAATGAACTTATGTAACCAAATACCTCCTGTACCCCAATAACTTATGGAAAAATAAAATAAAATAATAATTTTTTAAAAAGTATTGCAGAGCAGGGTGCTGGAAGCAGGGGCAAAAGGCAGGCAGGGCCAGATCAGTCAGGCTTTCAACTGTGGAAAGCACATTGGATTCCTTCTAATGAAACGGGAAACCACTGGAGGGATTGGAGCAGGGGAGTGACAGGATCTGATGTACAATTGTGAAAGACACTCTGGAGAATGGATTAGCGGGAGAATGAGTGGAGCAGGGAGCGAGGTGGGAGGCTGCTGCAGTCATGACCTAGGTGGAAATGATGGCAGGTGGAATGGGTCATGAGAAGGCATCCGATTTGGGCGTGGCCTTTAAAAAAAAAAACACTTTATTGAGGTATGATTGATATGCAAAAAGCTGTGCATATATAATATATACAACTCAGTGAGTTTGGGGATAAGTATACACCTACTGAGGAAGAGCCAGTAGGATTTGCTGACAAATTTGAGGTGGGAATGTGAGGAAAGGCTAGAAATCATTAGCTGGGTGTGGTGGCACAAGCCTGTAGTCCCAGCTACTTGTAAGGCTGAGGCATGAGAACCACTTGAACCCAGGAGGCGGAGGTTGCGGTGAGCCAAGCTCGAGCCACTGCACTCCAGCCTGGATGACAGAGCAAGACTCCATCTCAAAACAAAACAAAAACAGGCTGGAAATCCAGGATGACCTCAAGGCTTATGGCTTAAGCAGGTGGAAGACATGGGGCTGTTTCCTGAGATTGGGAACAGCTTTGATGCAAGAGGTAAGAATGACGAAAATCAAAGTTTGTTTTATGCAAGCTGTTCAAGATACCTGCTAGATATCTGTGGTAGACTCTTCCATTAACCCACCCAATATCCACTCTCTCTGTATTAGTTTCCAATTGCTACTGTAAGAGACTATCACAAATTTAGTGACTTAAAACAATACAAATTGATTCTCTTTGAGTTATTGAAGTCAGAAGTTTAAAATCAAGATGTCAGCATGGCTGGGTACAGTGGCTCACACCTGTAATCCCAGTATTTTGGGAGGCCAAAGCAGGAGGATAGCTTGAACTCAGGAGTTCAAGACCAGCCTGGGCAACATAGTGAAACCTTTTGTATTTCTAAAAAAAATACAAAAAGTAGCCAGGCATGGTGGCATGCACCTGTAGTCCCAGTTACTCGGGAGGCTCAGGTGGGAAGATGGCTTGAGCCCCAGAGGTTCAGGCTGCAGTGAGCCAAGATCATACCACAGCACTCCAGCCTGGACAATAGAGTGAGACCCTGTCTCAAAAAAAAAAAAGACGGGGCACAGTGACTCACGCCTGTAATCCCAGCATTTTGGGAGGCCAAGGCGGGTGGATCGCCTGAGGTCAGAAGTTCAAGACCAGCCTGGTCAACATGATGAAACCCTGTCACTACTAAAAATACAAAAATTAGCTGGGCATGGTAGCGAGCACGTGTAATCCCAGCTACTCAGGAGGCTGAGGCATGAGAATTGCTTGACCTGGGAGGCAGAGGTTGCAGTGAGCCGAGATCACACCACTGCACTCCAGCCTGGGTGACAGAGCAAGACTTGTCTCAAAAAAAAAAAAAAAAAAAATCAAGATGTCCACAGAGCTGGTTCCTTCTGTAGGCTCTAGAAAAGAATACATTTTCCTTTCCTTTTCCAGTTTCTAGAACCTGCCCACATTCCTTGGCTCCTGGCCCCTTCTCCTACCTTCAGAGCCATCAGAATAGCATTTCCCCCCACCCTCTGGCCTTCCCCCTCCCTCTTGTAAGGACCCTTGTGATTATGCCGGGCCTGCCTTGAGGTTACAGGCATCCCCATTCTACCTGAACCAGTTTCATTTTCCCATCCCAAGATTCTAAGCTTCATTTGCAAAGTCTGTTTTGCCATGTAAGGCAACTGAGTTCAGAATAGCAATGTACTCAACTAAAATCACATTTTACACATCTATTTGCAAGTAGAGATGACAAGAGCACCTTCCCAAGAAGACTGTAGCAGATGCTGATGGTGGCTGCCCATATCTCCTCATACTAATCATGTCAGTGCACTGGCCTTTTCTCAACTGCCAGAATCCATGTGTTTTTGCCCCAAGGATTCCTCTGGTCCCTTGAGCCCACTTTGCTACATGTATGACAGGCTAGAAATGCCAATAAATTAATGTTCTCTGATGACTGGCACGGTTGGTATGTAAATACCCCAGCTCCCTCCCCACTGTATAGAATAACACTGAGGCAGGTGTTTTCCACCAGCTCCCAGAGTTTCCCAGTGCGATTCAACTCCTGTTACCCTCAGGGATAACATACCTGACATAAAAGCTTTCATCAGCTGGCTTCCCTTCTTGGTTGTAAAACAGGGAAAATAATATCCATACTGCCTGTCTGACAAGGTTTTTATATGAGCAGAAGACGCTGTCCAAATGCTTGGTAAATGCTAAACTGTAGAATCAATTACAGTGGTGTTATTATGAAACTATGAGGTCTGTTAGGTACCTGAAGATCATCTGGTCAACCCCCATACCCTTAAGAAGAAGAAAGGGGACAGACTTGAGGTCTTCAGTGAGTTGAAGCAGAGCAGAAGCATAAACTCAGGGTCCTAATTCTTGGTCTCCTGGGCTTTAACTCCATCATGATGTTTATTATCAGATTCTCTCTTAAATGATTTTGATCTTCCTGAAACCTCTATTTACTCATATGAAACATGGAAAGAATTACCTGACACCCACATTGTCACTACATAAAGTATTTGGAGAGTCTTCACACTCCGAGAGGAGCCCAGCCCCTCTCTTTACAGGTGGGACTCATGAACAAGTTCAGTTGTAAAGTACAGACACGAGGCCCTTCATTTATTGGACAAGCACTTATAATGTGTTTTCTCTATGTCAAACACTGCTCTAAGTTCTTTACAAGTATAAGTTCATTTAATTCTCATTACATCTCTATCAAGTATACTATCATTCTCATTTTATAGACAAGGAAACTGAGGCATAGAGAGGTTGAGTAGCTTCTCCAAATCACGGAACATAGCAATGGACCCAGGAAGTCTGACTCTATGCTAGTACATACTATGTTATATTGAATCACCTTCCTTTTTCTTATATTTTCTCTGCCTCCAAACTCCCTCCCCTCATCTTCACCCTTGGACCAATTACCTAATGTCCAAATCATAATAGCTCTCAATCAAGATGTTTTACATTTCACAAAACAATTTAATGAAAACTGACTTAAACAGTTAGGACATTTTTAGTTTCCCATAATGAGAAAGTGCAGAGGAAGTATGGAATTCAAGCACAGTTTGGTCCAGAGTTTGCCAAGTCATCCTGACTGCTGCTCTGTATCTCTGTGACTTTCAGTTTTGCCCTTGTCCTGTGTCATCTTCATTGCAAGGCTAGCTTCCCTCAAGGAAGCAAAATGCTCTCCCATCCCCATGGCCCTGCCAAGAGAAAGAGAGGGATCCTTTGACCCAGTTTCCCTCTTAGGCTCCCTCTGCCTCTGAACCATGACTGGGCCATTGCTGGGGTCAAGAGTGTGTCTGCTGTCCACGAGTTACATGGGTACCCAGGGCAATTGAGACATGGAGGGGTGGGGGGCATTAAATGGAAACTGTTGGCCACACCAGCCTGTAGGACCCAGCCAAGACACCATCTTCTCCATGAGATCTCCCTCTGTCTCTTTCTCTTCCTGCTTTGGGAGAATGGCTCTCTTCTCTGAATCCCATGCTCTTGCTCTGCCTTGCCCTGACAGCACTGGCCACTTAATATCCTCATATTATACTCCTTCTGGATTATCTCCACTTGCCCCTCCAGAGTCCCTCTCCACTCTCTTCCACCATTTGTTGCCGTGAGGGTCCTCAACAGATGGGCCATTTCTCTAGTTAACCTGCTCCAATCAGACTTTTGCTCCACACCACTCACCAAATGGTTCTCGCCAAAGCCGCAATTGTCCTTACCCTACCAAATCCATCTCACCCTTCCTCTTGGCAGCATGTGAGGTGGCTGCCCCCCACCCACCCAAACCTTGTCTCTACTGCTAGACGCCACACACTCCTGGTTTTTCACATGCTCCTCTGAATGCTTCTTGTTAATCTCCTCTGCTGGCTTCTTCCCATCCTACCCCACCCCAGCCCCCCTGCTCCCTCCATGCTGTGCCATGGTCTGGACAAGTAACCATATATCTTGACTACGGCCACTACCCCTATAGTGTAGGTTTATCTCATGACTTCAGCTTTCATCAAAATTGGGTAATACTTCTCCCTCCTTTCATCCCTGCAAGCCTAGAGGAGGTGAAGTCTTCCCACTCTTGCTACACCACCATCCCACCACCATTTCTTGCTGCTCCTTTAACCCTGCCTCCACCTCTGCAGACAGACCCTGCAATAACTCTCTTCAATAAATCCTTTGAGCATGCTGTTTCCTGCTGGGACCCTGACTGACACATTATTTCTGTACAGATTTATCTGCCATATTAGTTTATAAGGTCCCTAAGAGCAAAGTCTATGTTTAATTCTTTTTTCAAAATTCCCAACTGTGCCTGTTATGCAAGTGGTACCAATAAATGCTGAAAGGAAATATTCTTTCTTATTAACTGCCTTCAACTTAAATAGAAGGTGAAAGGAATGAAAACGTTTTAAAAATATATACATCTCTTGGAACAATAAACGTTTAGAAGTTGAGTTCAGAAGAATAAAAAACTTTAGAAGAATAAAACACGATGCTAAGTGGGATGTGTGGTCTGATTTCATGGGCTTTACCTGATTCTTCAAATTCATGATTCATACAGAATCCATATGGAATATGTTCTTTCTTCTCCAGGTCCCAGAAATGAAATAGGGTTGCTTCTGTTATGATAGCAGTTGAAGTGCCAAAAAAAAAAAAAAAAAATTGGGCTGCTCCTAGATCCAGAGCAGCAGGGAAGCTCTATCACTGACCAACAGGAGTTCTAGGAAACATAGGGTTCCAGGGTTACACCACACCCTACAGATGTGATGGGCTGGTGGGAAAGAGGCCACTGCACAGGACCATCAATTTGGGGGTTTCCTTCCTACTCCACTTTTTCTTCGACTGCACTGCCACCCCTTCCTTACCAACACTGACCCTTTTGGCCCAGTGCCAAGCAAGTTGGACCTACTAAGATTCAGGGCCATAATGGGAAAGAAAGGAAAGAAAAAAGAGGAAGAACTCATCATCCCTCCCTCTGCCCCAGTGGTGGTCTCATTGGCTGACTCCCAGTCCGAAATCTTTGGGCCATCCTCTATCACCTGTATACATTCCCTAATCCCCAGAAACTGGACCCAGGTGTTCTCTTTAAATAAGGAAGATTCTGACTTCAATCTTCTGTGGATCTCGAAGTCCTCTTTTGGCATCTACATCTGCTTTTGCTCTAACAAATGAATCTAAATACAAAAATAGACACTGGTATGTGTGTGTATTGGGGGAAGCAGGTAGAGTTAATTACCTTTATTCCGTTTCTCATGTTTTTAAAATGTTTAGAGAACTTTAAAAGGACTTTGCTCCATCAACTGGACAACCATGTGGATGGCCAAACACTTTAGCCCCTCAGTTCCTTGACCTCCTCGTCACCAATGACCTTCTACGCTACATAGCTAAGCTACCTGCGCCTTGCAATTTCTCTATTTTAAGATCGATCAAGCATATTCTCTCCAAGCACTACTTCCTATCCTTCAGTCAGCTTGTACCATCTGTCTTTGACGGCACATCTCACCAGGAATCACTACCCAGGATGCCCGTCCCCAAGAATCTCCTCCTATCTCCTTTATCTCTTTATCTCCTTAGTTATTTCCTCCTTATGACCCTCTGATTCCATGAGTCAACATTTTGAGCATTCTTCAGCAAGTATGCTAAACTCCCTTGCTGCCTTCCTTCTGTGGCATTTTCCTAGCAAAAATGCTAAGCTGAAATGAACCCCAGGCCCTGGCTCCCCCATGCCTGCTCCTGAACAGCTGAAGGCCACTGGAGGAAATCACACATCAGGACTCTTGCCAAATTTACGGTCACCAACCTCAATGGACCCACACTATTTCCAGCATTGAGAAATACTTGCAAAGTAAGGAAATACAGTATCTAAGGAAGGAACTCTGGGGACTCCAAAAAGTAAAGATTGCATGCTGGTAGAAAACCCAGCAAACAAAACAAAGAAATAGATCAGTATAGTGAGAACCAAGTGAGAGAGTAACTTGGAAGCAAAGAGAAGAGAAAATTTCAGCAAGGGTTGGCTCGCTGCCATTGCCTCTTCTGAGCAAAGTTCTTTGTGTCAGGCCTCTCCCTGGGTCAAAAGCCAGCCAATAGAGGGGCAGTCCTAGGGTAAGGTGCTCACCCTGATCCCATCAGTAGTTATTCTTGTGCAAAGTTCAACCCAGCTTATTTCCTTTTGCAGGCAGTTGAGAGAGTGGCAGTTTCAGCTGCTAATGGACACTGATCTCAGCAGACATACTGAAAGAACGAGGAAGGGTCCAGAATCTTGAGGTCTTGGAGAGGCTGAAGTGAAGAAATGTAAAGCATAGAAGGAAGGGAGATTGCAGTTGGAAAGTGGAGCACCCCAGTCAAAGTTATCGAAGTTCATGCAAGAATGGGTAGTTCCAAGGTCCAGAGTGTAATCATAAGAATTGAACAATGAGAACACTTGGACACAGGGTGGGGAACATCACACACCAGGGCCTGTCGTGGGGTGGGGGGAGGGGGGAGGGATAGCATTAGGAGAAATACCTAATGTAAATGATGAGTTAACAGGTGCAGCACACCAACATGGCACATGCATACATATGTAACAAAACTGCACATTGTGCACATGTACCCTAGAACTTAAAGTATAAAAAAATGAAATTAAATTTAAAAAGTGAGGTACAACAGTGAAGTAGGAGGGATTACCAATGGAGTATTAAAGTTAGTTTTCTCTGGATCTCCCTGGTCAAATTATGAGCTCTCAAAAAACACTAATCTTTCCATTTTTCTATTATCTATAACATCTGGCATATAGTAGGCACACTGTAAATAAATAAAGAATGGATAGGCATTTAAGCTAGCTACTGGGGATACACTGGTCAGAAGAAACAGACACAGTACTAATGGATTATACAGTCTTGTGGAGGAAGAGACAGACATTAACCAAATAATCAGACAAATGCATCTAAAATTACAAATGGCAAAATGTGTACTGAGGTTAACATTGCACCATGATAATGTGTCATAAAGAATCTGGCCTTGTCTGGGGAGAGAAGGAATCACTGAGAAGTGATGTTGGAGTGAGAGCTGAAGGATGTGTAGTAGTTAGCCAGTGGAAGAAACAGGAGAAGAGTGGGCCAGAGAGAGGGAGCAGCATGTACAAAGGCCAAGGTGCTTAGCGTGCAGAGACCAGGAGTAAGAGTTCTTGGAAACAATCTTGAGGGGAGGCAGGGGACGATGGAGGGAGAGAGGGATGATAATGTCTGTAACAGTCATGGTCCATCTTCTTGGCTAGCAGAACCCCAATTTTGTTCAGACGGCAAGGGAAATTATCATGATTGATGCAAGCCAATGAAATCTCATTTCCTCTTGGCCAATGACTGGTCTTCTTGAGGTAATAGCTGACCAATCCAATCAGATGTAAGAGAAAGTCTTATTCAGGCCTTGTAGGAGGAATTTTTCTCCCTGAAGTGAAAAGCACATAAGGAGAATGCTCATTTTCCCCCAACACTTCCCTGCTGCTTGAGATAGTGTGTTGTGGAAACATGATGCTTATGGCAGCCAACTTCTGACCATATGGAAAAGGCCAAGAAAATCAGACACATAACCTTAGTTCTAACATCACTGAATCGTCAAAATAAGTCTGGAAATGCTTCACTCCAGACTTCTTGCATGATGTATGATAAATAAATTATAAGCCACTATTGTTGAGTTTTGGGTTTTTTTAAGAGCCAAAAGCAATCCTAACTATAGAGCAATTTCCAAAATCAGTCATGGAAGAGAACCATATAAAATTATACAAAATGCTTTATATCATCAGTTCCTTTCTCTTTACAAACATCAGATGATTCAGACTACTACCAAACAGATGATAGAAAATAGGTCTTGGTTTGATACCATTTTTAATATAATCTAAAAGATACCTTTGTTATTACTTTGTTCTGTGTACAGCTTTCTCCTTGCTTTCCTTGAATTCTTTGTTCCAGAGAAGAGGTATAGTAAGGATGCTTTGAAGTGATGTCATTGATGTCACTCCTTTACCGGTGTCACTGACAAAGACACATTTACTATCCACATGGACAATGAGCACGCAGCATGGAGTGAAATGGCCTGCACGCTAATAAGCCCTTGACTTTGATTCAAAGGCATAATCATAATCAGAGATGAATGGGTACTTAGAGCTCTTTGGGGAAGGACAGTAATGGGATTATGAGGCCCAATATCTGGCAATCTACGCAATGTCACACAGTCAGAGTAGGCCGAGACCCGAGGCCAACTGATCTCAGCCCAGGACTCACATAGTGTAGCATATGAAAGAACACACACAGGCTTCGGAGTCAAGACAGACCAGTCTGATTTCTGTGTGTCACTTACTAGCTGCATGATCCTTAGCTAGTTATTTAATCTCTCTAAATTTAAATTTCCTCTTTTAAAATTAGGATTAATAGATTTTATCCTGCAACAAGGTAGAATTAAATGAGATATTCTATGTAAAACAAAAATCCCCAATAAGTAGTAGGTATTGCCATGCCATATAAACTGTTCGGTTGTGTTTTGGTTAAGAGGCAGCAGAACTCAAGAGCATCTTCATGACAGGAAAGCGCAATTAACAAAGTCATGGAATAACTCATCTGATATTTCAGATGAACAGGCGATTGCTTTTTGTGACAGGTAATTGATACCTTGTTTACAGGTCATTGGAAACAACTTTTAAAAACCTATGCTTGGCCGGGCGCGGTGGCTCACGCCTGTAATCCCAGCACTTTGGGAGGCCGAGGCGGGCGGATCACGAGGTCAGGAGATCGAGACCATCCTGGCTAACACGGTGAAACCCCGTCTCTGCTAAAAATACAAAAAATTAGCCGGGCGTGGTAGCGGGCGCCTGTAGTCCCAGCTACTCGGGAGGCTGAGGCAGGAGAATGGCGTGAACCCGGGAGGCGGAGCTTGCAGTGAGCCGAGATCGCGCCACTGCACTCCAGCCTGGGCGACAGAGCTAGACTCCGTCTCAAAAAAAAAAAAAAAAAAAAAAAACCTATGCTTGTGTTTCATAGGTATGTTTGTTTTGCAAGTTTAGTATTTGGTGTCTGTGCCAGTTTTTGTTTGCTTTTCAGTTTATATTTCATGGGTTTATCTACAGTACAAATAGCTTTGTTAGGCTTCTTCCTCCAAAGAGTTTTGTAATACTATTGGAAAAATAATACAAAAAAGCCTAGAATAGGGTGGGTTGGATGGGTGGGTAGGTGGAGGGACAGACAGATGAACAGGTTGCTGATGGAAAGCACATCTAACTGTTTCATCGGTATCCTTTCCAAAGGAACACAAGTCTTACAGTAATTTTCCCTCTTCCCCTTTTTGGTTAGGTCTCTATATTATAACAATAGGCTGTCTGGACTTTATAGTTCCCAAGTAAGTGGAAATCAGCACAAGCTTTTTATGAACTACTTAGAGCTACAACTGGTATCTGATTAAAATTCTAATGTAAAGACATTAAGACTATCTCCAGAATTATCAAAAGTTAGCCCAAAAGAACATCCAGGAAATTCTGTTAGGTCTATCTCTGTCTTGTTATAAAGAAATACCTGAGATTTGATAATTTATAAAGAAAAGAGGTTTAATTGGCCCATGGTTCTGCAAGCTGTACAGGAAGCATAGTCCTGGCATCTCTCAGCTTCTGAGAAGACCTCAGGGGGCTTTCTTTTACGCATGGTGGAAGGTGAGGCGGGAGTAGCCATGTCACCTGGTGGGAGTGGGAGCAGTAGAGTTGGGGGAGATGCCACACACTTTTAAATAAAGACCTCAGTACAACTCACTATCTCAGACACAGAACCAAGCCATGAGGGATCCACCCCCAGGACCCAACACCTCCAGCCAGACTCCACCTCCATCACTGGGGATTACATCTCAACATGAGATTTGGAGGGGACATCCAAACTATATCAAAATTAAGAAATTGTTTTTCCTAAATCAAGCAAAACTGGTCCTGTGCAGGAAGCAAACAATATATCAATAATTTCTGTATGCCTGAAGTCCAGCTAGGTTTGCTAAATGAAGAAACCAATAACATCTACCCTCCATAGGATGCAAAAGAGAAAAACAAAGAAATACCCTCTGTTGAATGCTAACTGTGGATAAAGCACTGTGCTAGATGCTTTTTATATGTGAAATTTTACTTAACTTTAAAAAAAAATCCTGTGAAGTCAGTATTATCTGTTCCATTTTGCAGATGAGGAAACAGACTCAGAGAACTCCAGTTAACTTGCCAAGACCACACAATGGATCCATGGCAGAGCTGATTCCAGACCAGCTACCCTCGTGAGGATGAGGATTCAAATGATGTACTTTTACTTCTAAAGGCAGTAGAACAGGATAAAATTCATCATCACTTCTTCCTCTCCCCTAGAAATCTGTAATACACATGAAAATATACCTAAGACCCTTTGGTGGCTGGATACCACTCACCAGGTCTAAGAATGATGGTTTGCTCAATTGCTGTTGGTGGCTGTGCAGGGGAACATGCCTAGCGCCACCCTGTTGATGGTAACACTCTGTCATGGCTGAATGAGCAACTCTTCCTGGAAACCATTGGCATGTACAAGTGTTTAGAGAAGCCAGGCTTTTGTTTCCTCATCTGGTACAAAGGAACCCTTTCTACCCTTCCCAGGAAGACATTGGTTAAGATATGGCTGAGGGAGGCATAGGGATTTTTTTTCAATGGTAGTCACCACAGACGGTTGAGGGTAAATTGGCGTTGTTCTCAATAAGGGTTATTGTGACCATGGTCCAAAGTCTGGCAGGAATTTTTTTTTATTATTAATGTGTTTGCTTTCATTTTTGGTGCTAGGCAGCTGGGACACCAAGGAGAGTTCTGTGGCAAGCCACAAGTATGAAGGCCCAGAACTTCCCCTGAGGGCATAGCTTCCATTTCAGTTTGGGGCAAGAATAAAATCTGCTCAAGGATATTAGTTTGGGAACTTCCTGGTGGTTCAGATTTCAAGCAGAGTTTGTGCTTAATCCTCACCCAGGCACCAAGGCTCAGAGTCAGCAGGAGTGAGTTCAGGAATCCTCGGGACAAGGCACTTTCCTGAGCACTGGACCAGCGACCTCTTGGCTTCCAGTAAGTACTGCTTGGTGTATCTGGTTTGGACTTCCAAGGCTGGGATGATCTAGAAGCTTTTTTGCAATTGAACAATTGCAAAATTGGAAATGGAAAATTTTGCAGATATGCTGTATTTCTGTTATGGGCACTTTCTTCATAAGCTTCCTAGGCTATACTATAGTCAGAGGGAAATAGGACTGACCTCTTGGTATACTGTATTCACCAAATCCAAAATAATGTTATAATAAATGGGTCAGGCAGTGACTGTGGGGAGATTCTCCTGAATGAGATCAAACAGCTAAATCAGAAAGGCTTTCTTTTTTGTTTGGGGGCAATGACAAGAAAAACAAGCAGAACTATGAAAAGACTTAATTCTACTTTCTTAGATAGGAGGAAAAGCAAAGTAGTTAAGGCCAGCTCTCAAGCTAGAATTCTGGTTCTGCTTCTTTTTAATTACATGATCAAAGTAAAGTTGTTTAATCTCTCCGATAACCATTTCCTCGTCTGTAAATGGGCATTGTATCATTGTGAAAACAGTGCAAGCTTTAGAGTACGGTTATGAGGTTAGGATGAGATTTTATATGTATATGTGAAATTATATGTATACATATACATAAAATCTTTCATATACATATTGCTTAGAAGTGCCTGGAATGTATTAAGTACTCAAAAAATGCTACCCATTATTAAACAACCATAGAATCATAGAATATCTGAGCTGGAAAGGACCTAACAACTAGCATTTATTGAGCTTCTATTATGTACTGAGGAGTGCTCATCAACAGGGTATCTCAAGTGATACTCCCAGCAATCTGATGAGGGTAGTAATAACCTTCATGTTACAGATGAAGAAATGGAGGTGTAGAGAAGTATTATAAAGTATCCAAGATCACATTCCTCATAATTCATGGAGATGAAATTTAAACCCAGATGCCAGAGCTAACACTCTAAACCACCACACCCTACTGCCTTATCTGTCCTCTCATTTTACGGTGGGTGGGGAGATGAAGGAGGAATGGTTGCAGCACATGACTCTGGAGCCCTTTGCAGACACTGGAAGGACAGAGATGTCCTCCAAAGCACACTTTGACATCCACAGGGCACAGGGAGGGCAAATGTTATTTGGGAGTGTCCATGAGCATGAATGTGGTGCTGTGTGGAGTTCTGCCAGGGGACCTAGGTCCAAGTCATCTCAGTCTTCTCTCAAATGCAGCTTTTCATTTGTAAAATGAGCTATCTCAGAATGAAGCCATTCTGAACACAAAAAAATAATGTATGCAAATGCATTTTATAAACTTTAAAGGCTTTAGAAATATTTTTTAAAATGATTTTTTGGCTTTTTGACAAACAGCAGCTCAAAAACAGCTTGCAGTAAACACTGCTTTAAAATATGCCACCCACAGCTAATCTCTCCTGCACATTTCTCCGATTGGATCCTTGAGGGCCATCACTCATTAGGCTAACAGCTGCATAGGGGGCGTGGCCAAGTCCTATAAACATGGACAGAGGGAAAGGTGATGGGTTGAAAACCGCTTGTCCCCAGCTCTTCAGGCAGTGAAATCCTTGAAACTGGAAAGAACCTCATGGATTTGATAAGAAATCTCAGGGATAATTTTTTAAATATTATCCATGCATTTTGGGGAGTGGGCAAGGTTTTGAAGAGGTTACGTTCTCTTTCTCACACAGAATTGCTCTTCCAGGAAACAACAGCCTTCGGCCTCAATAGCTTGGCATCTTTCCCAGGCATTATAGCTCATTGCACAGAGCTGAGTGTGCCCGCTACAGCAGGCGAGGGCTAAGGGCACCGGTTCTTCAACATATGCCTTCAGATGCCCGAGAAAAGTTGTAATTTGTTCAAATGATCACTACTGTGATTATACAGGATACCTCAAGGGAGAAAATCTTTCCCTAGGGGCAGGGTAGGTATGATTCCAGGGTCCAGGAAAGCCATCCCACTGGTCTTCAAAGAGCTTCCAAATGCTCTGACAAACCACCAAAAGCATATCTTAGAACTTGTCTTAATCTTAGGATTTTCATCTCTGAACACATATATATATATATTTGTATTATATATTTTTTTTATTTGAGATGGAGTCTTGCTCTATCACGCAGGCTGGAGTGCAGTAATGTGATCTCGGCTCACTACCTCTGCCTTCTGGGTTCATGTGATTCTTCTGCCTCAGCCTCCCAAGTAGCTGGGATTACAGGTGCCCGCCACCACGCTCGGCCAATTTTTGTACTTTTAGTAGAGATGGGGTTTTGCCATGTTGGCCAGGCTGGTCTGGAATTCCTGACCTCAAACAATCCGCCCACCTCAACCTCCCAAAGTACTGGGATTACAGGCATGAGCCACTGCACCCAGCCTGAATATATGTATTTTTTCATCTCTGTATATGCATATACACACACGTAATTAAAGAATTGCTGTAAGTCATCTACATGTTAGGAAGGAAGAATGAGTTTATGTTGAAGAAAGGGAGAGGTCAGGAGGGTCAAGGGCCTCTGCTTCCTCCCCCATCTTACTTGGGGCTGCTTGGGCACCTCCCTTTTCAGGGCCTTCTATTTTGAGAGTCTTACTAACTTAAGGTAAAAGTTAGTCATACCAAATTTGTGGTTTCAAAGACCTCACTTGCCCTGCAGCCCTTCCCCTGAGGGAGTCCCTTCTCTCCATCCTATGATGGTCATAGGATCGCCAGCAGCTGGCCAGGAAAGGATGCTGCCTCTCAGATTCAGTTTCTCCAGGTTATCCTCAGGAGTCTTGCTCTGTCGCCCAGGCTGGAGTGCAGTGGAGTGATCTCGGCTCACTGCAACCTCCGCCTCCCGGGTTCAAGCGACTCTCCTACCTCAGCCTCCTGAGGGATTACAGGCGAGCACTAGGATTACAGGTGCCCACCACCACACCCGGCTAATTTTTGTATTTTTAGTAGAGATGGGGTTTCACCATGTTGGTCAGGCTGGTCTCGAACTCCTGACCTCATGATCTACCCGCCTCAGCCTCCCAAAGTGCTGGGATTACAGGCATGAGCCACCGTGCCTGGCGGTCCTTGTTCTTAAGTTTCCCCTGGAGAAAGCAAGCCCCTGGGCATGGAGAAAGGCTTATCTTGGGCTTCCTCTCAGCCAGTGATGCTTTCTCGGCTACGTTGGCTCCATGGCATCCTGCCCTTTGCCCTGTTCTTATCTCTCCTTTGTGTTGCCATCCGCCAGCTCTCTTATCAAAGCAGTAAGAACAGAGAAAATCCCAGGAAGACAAGCTCCTTCAGTCTTCTCAACAACACCTCCGCAGAACCACCCACTGTGTGAGGACAAGCTGCTTAGATGTGTCCCCGTTACTGCAGCTACCGTCAGCCTCAGGAACAGGGAGGGAAATACTAAAGAAAGGATGGGAATGGGAGACTCACAACCCATCTCAGCAACATTCGTGAGCACAATCCTGATACTCACTGACCAGCGGTGGCTGGTCAATGAAACACACGTAGTGTTGTTTGGGGACTAACACTAACCCTTCCTTTTGACAGGGGAGGACACACAGCCATCATGGAACCCAAACCTCAGAAGAGTCCAGGTACCCGAGGGGTATAATCGCAGAAGCAGAAATCTTTTTATTGAAAATGCCCCACGGTTTCCTTCAAGCTAACCAGGATACAGAACTTGGTGGTTTTTGTGTATGTTGTTTTGTTTTGTTTTGTTTGAGACAGTCTTGCTCTGTTGCGTAGGCTGGAGTACAGTGGCACGATCTAAGCTCACTGCAACCTGCCAGCTCAAGTGATCCTCTAACCTCAGCCTCCCGAGGAGCTGGCACTACAGGCATATGCCACCATGCCTGCCTAATTTTCGTATTTTTAGTAGAGACGGGGTTTCTCCATGTTGGTCAGGCTGGTCTCAAACTCCCGGCCTAGGTGATTCCCCACCTCTCAGCCTCCCAAAGTGCTGAGATTACAGGCATAAGCCACCATGTACAGCCCCAGAACCCAGGTGGGGATAATGGGTGGCATTCTGTGACAATGATTCTTGGTTTGGAGAATGTAGCAGGAACTGTTGGATTCAATTAATTATTGTGTAAGAGTTTACCTGTCTAGAAGTTTAGCATTTTCTGATTTTCATGAGCCAAATTTTCCATTCATTGCCCAAAGATGATGTTAATAGCAAACTATGGGCCAGCAAAGACTGGAGAACATTTTCTTAATTTTACGTGAAACTCACACTTAGAGAAGTGCCTGCATTGTCACCAGGGCTTATTATGAGGGTAGCTCAATGTATGGTATCAAGTATCCTTGCTCTTATTCATACACTTCTTTGTAGATGAGTGGATAGAAAAGCTAAGTTTAGGATGAAGTCACTTAGAAGTTAAATTATCCAATTCAACTCAAAAATGTTTACAAAGCACCTATTACTAGTGAGTCTTTGTGCTTTATGTTGCAGGGGATATACAGATTAATAAATAAGAGTCATTGCCCTCAAAGAGTTTTAAAATGTTGTTGGTGGGAGGCTGAGGCAGGTGGATCACTTGAGATCAGGAGTTTGAGGCCAGCTTGGCCAACATGGTGAAACCTCGTCTCTATTAAAAATACAAAAATTTGCTGGGCGTGGTGCGCCTGTAATCCCAGCTAATCAAGAGGCTGAGGCAGGAGAACCGCTTGAACCTGGGAGGCAGAGGTTGCAGAGAGCCAAGATCGCACCACTGCACTCCAGACTGGGTAACAGAGCGAGACTCTGTCTCAAAAAAATAAAATAAATTCTTGTCAAGAACTTAAACACATGCAAGTCACTGTGCTGGGAAATTAAGATTAGGCTGTGATGGAAATCATGAAATAAGTACAAATGCTATGGAGTCTGAAGAAGAAAAAGCATGTAAGTAGTAATGAGAATCCAGAGAGGTTTTACAGGAAAGGCATTTGAGCTAGACCCTATAGGAGGAGTAGGGATTTTAAAGAAATCAGAAAAAAGAGCACATTCCAGCAGAAGGAATGGCATGACCAAAGCAATGAAATGGTATAGAAGCAGAATGTGTCAAAGCAGAATATACTTATAAGGTAGGAGAAGGGAAAATAGAGGATGAGGCTGCAGAAAGGTGTTGCCAAATTGTGCCAGACCTTGACCGCGTATGACAAGTAACTGTTGAAGCATTTTGAGCATGGAAGTGGCATGGTCAGATCCACATTTTAGATTGGTCTTTTTTTTTTTTTTTTTTTTTGAGACGGAGTCTCACTCTGTCGCTCAGGCTGGAGTGCAGTGGTGCGATCTCAACTCACTGCAACCTCTGCCTCCCGGGTTCAAGCAATTATCTGCCTCAGCCTCCCGAGTAGCTAGGAGGCGCCTGCCACCATGCCTGGCTCATTTTTTTGTGTGTTTTTAGTAGATACAGGGTTTCACCATCGTGGCCAGGCTGGTCTTGAACGCCTGACCTCGTGATCCACCCGCCTTGGCCTCCCAAAGTGCTGGGATTACAGGCATGAGCACCGCACTGTTGGCTGATTGGCCATATTTTTAATAGCTTTATTGTAGTTTATTGTAATTGGCATACAATAAGCTATTATATATCTAAAGTGTACAATTTGATAGAAGTTTTGATATGAAACATATACAAGCACACCTCAGAGATATTTCAAGTTTGTTTCCATGCCAATACAACCAAGCAAATATCACAATAAAGCTAGTCACATGAATTTATTGGATTCCATAAAAGCTATGCGTACACTATACTGTAGTCGAGTGTGTAATAGCATTATGTCTAAGTAAATAATTTGCATACCTTAATTAAAGATATTTTATTGCTAAGATTTGCTAACAATTATCTGAGCCTTCAGTGAGTCACAATCTTTTTGCTGGCAGAGGGTCTTGCCTCGATGTTGACGGCTGCTGAGTAATCAGGCAGGTTGTTGCTGAAGATGCGCTGGCTGTGGCAATTTCTTAAAATAAGACAACAATGAAGTTGACCACATCGATTGATTGTACTTTCATGAAAAATTTCTCTGTAGCAAGTGGTGCTGTTTGATAACATTTTATCCACAGTGGAACTTCTTTCAAAATTGAAATCAATCCTCTCAAACCCTGACACTGATTTATCAACTAAGTTTATGTAATATTTTAAATCCTTTATTGTGATTTCAAAAATAAACAGCATGTTCACCAGCTGTAGATTCCATCTCAAGAAAACACTTTCTTTTCATATCCCGTAAGAAGCAGCTCCTCATCTGTTGAAGTTTGATCATGAGATTGCAGCAATTCAGTCACATCTTCAGGGTTCACTTCTAATTCTAGTTCTCTTGTTATTTTCACCACATCTGCAGTGACTTCCTCCACTGAAGGAAGTTTTGAACCCCTCAAAGTCATCGAGGAGTATTGGAATCCACTTCCTCCAGACTCCTGTTGATGTTGATATTTTGACCTCCTTCTAGGAATCATGAATATTTTTATGACATCTAGAATGGTGAATCCTTTCCAGAAGGTTTTCAATTAACTTTGCCCAGATCCATCAGAGGAATCACGATCTACAACAGCTATAGCCTTATGAAATGTATTTCTTAAATAATAAGACTTAAAAGTTGAAATTACTCCTTGATCTAGGGGCTACAGAATAGATGTTGTGTTAGCAGGCATGTAAACAGCATTAGTCTCCTTGTACATCTCCATCAGAGCTCTTGGGTGACCAGGTGTATTGTCAATGATCAGTAATATTTTGAAAGGAATCTTTTTTTTTCTAAGTAGCAGGTCTCTGCAGTGGGCTTCTAGAAATATTCATTAAACCATGTTATAAACAGATATGCTGTCACCCAGGCTTTGTTGTTGCACTGATAGAGCACAAGTAGAGTAGATTTAGTATAATTCTTAAGGGCCTTAGGATTTTCTAGCTTTTAATTGAAAGTGAGAGACATGTAACTCACCTTTCACTTGACACTCGCCTTCACTTAGAGGCCATTGTAAAGTTATTAATTGGCCTAATTTCAATATTGTTGAGTCTCATTGAATAGGGAGGTCCAAGGAGAGGAGAGAGATGGGGGAATAGCCAGTCAGTGGAGCAATCAGAACACACACAACATTTTTGAAGTTCACCATCTTATATGGGCACCATTCATACTGTCCCAAAACAATTACTCAAAGATCACTCATTGCTGGTCACTCTAATAGATATGATGATGATGAAAATGTTTGAGATATTGCAAGAATTGCCAAAATGTGACACAGAGACACTAAGTAAGCATATGCTCTTGAAAAAATGGTCCCAGTAGACTTGCTCAGTGCAGGGTTGCCATAAACCTTCAATTTGTAAATAAAAAAAAAAGCAATATATGCAAAGCACAATAAAGTGAAGTGCAACAAAATGAGGTCTGCCTGTATTTGATATGTGTGACACCTGGGAAATCATCAAGATGGTAAATGTGGCCGGGTGCGGTGGCTCACGCCTGTAATCCTAGCACTTTGGAAGGCTGAGGTGGGCAGATCACTTGAGGTCAGGAGTTCAAGACCAGCCTGGCCAACATGGTGAAGCCCCATCTCTACTAAAAATACAAATATTAGCCAGGTGTGATGGCCGGCACCTGTAATCCCAGCTACTCAGGAGGCTGAGGCAAGAGAATCACCTGAACTGGGAGGCAGAGGTTGCAGTGAGCCAAGATCATACCACTGCACTCCAGCCTGGGTAATAGTAAACACACTCATCACTCTTGATGTTTTCTTGTGCCTGTTTGTAATCCTTTTCTGCACACCCAATCCCAGTCCCCATTGTTCTGTTTTCTCTCACTGTAAGTTTGTTTGTATTTATTAGAGTTTAACATAAATGGAATCATACAGCATACACCCTTTTGTCTGACTTTTTTCACTCAGCATAATTTTTTAAAAATATATCCCTGGTATTGAGTGCACCAATAGTGCAAAAATAGTTCATTTTTTTGATGAGTAGTATTCCATTATATGGATGTACTACAATTTGTTGATTCATTCACCTGTTGAATATCCAGGTTGCTTCCAGTCTTCGCCTATTATAAAGCTAATATGAACATTTGTGCATTAATTTTTGTAAAATCATATATTTCTTTATTTTACCTAGAATCAAAATGGCTGGGTCATATGGTTGGAGTATGCTTACTTTTCATTCAAATTTGTTAGATTTTTTAAAAAGCTTTATTGAGGTATAATTGACATACAGTAGGCTGACATGTTTAAAGTCTACAATTTAATAAGTTTTGGCAAATGTACACAGCCATAAAATTATCACCTAAATCAGGATAATAAGCATATTCATCAACCTCACAAGTTTTCTTGGTCCCCTGCCTCCCACTCTTCCATGCAGTCATACTTCCCCAGACAACCCCTGATCTGCTTTCTATCCCTATATGTTAGTTTGTATAGAACTTTATATAATCATGCAGTATGAACACTTTCTGTCTGACATCTTTTTCACTCAGCATAATTATCTTGAGATTTACCCATGTCGTTGCATCTGTCAATAGTTTGTTTCTTTTTATTCCCATATAGTATTCCATTGTATAGATGTATCACAATGTGTTAATCCTTTCACCTGTTGATGAACATCAGGGTTGCTTCCAGTCTTTGGCTATTACAAATAAAGCTGCTATCAACATTCATGACCAGCTTTTGTATTTGTATATTCCTTTACTTAAGAGTAGAATGGGCCAGGTGTGGTGGCTCACGCCTATAATCCCAGTACTTTGGGAGGCCAAGGCAGTAGTATTGCTTGAGCACATGAGTTCCAGACCAACCTGGGCTACATCTCAAAAAAAAAAGAAAAAAGTTATAGCCATCCTAGTGAGCATGAAGTGGTTTCTTATTTTAATTTTGATCTACATTTCCTTAATGACTAAATGTATTGCACAGCTTTTCTTGTGCTTATTGGCTATTTGCTTATTTTCTTTAGAAGAATGTCTGTTCAAGTTCTTTGTTCACTTTTTAGTTGAGTTGTTTGTCTTTTTGTGTTGCATTGTAAGAGTTCTTTATATATTCTGGATAGTAGGCCCTGGTCAGATATATGATTTTTGAATATTTTATCCCATTCTGTAGGTAGTCTTTTCACTTTCTTAATAATATCCTTTGATGCACAAAAGTTTTTAATTTTGATGAAGTCTAGTTTATCTTTTTTGTTTGTTGCTTGTGCTTTTGGTATCATATCTAAGAATACATTGTCAAATCCAAGATTATAAAAATTTACACCTATGTTTTCTACTAAAAGTTTTATGGTTTTA
Organism: Homo sapiens; assembly: GCF_000001405.40. Taxonomy (NCBI): domain Eukaryota; kingdom Metazoa; phylum Chordata; class Mammalia; order Primates; family Hominidae; genus Homo; species Homo sapiens. Next base: position 113,760,941 of record NC_000010.11, read on the forward strand.
GCTCTCATGTTAAGGTCATTTATTTGAGTTAACTTCATTATTTGGGATGACATAGGGGTCCAAATTCATTCTTTTGCATGTGAATACTCAGTTGGCCCAGCACCATTTATTGAAAAGACTGTTCTCTCCCCATTGAATGGCCGTGACCACTAATGTATGGGTTTGTTTCTGGACTCTGAATTCTATTCCATTGGCCTATGTGTCTTATCTGTCCTTATACCAAAACGACACTCTTGATTATTGTAGCTTTGTAGTAAGTTTTGAAATTGGGAAGTGTGTGTACTCTTTGTTCTTCTTGAAGATTATTTTGGATATTCAGGGCCCCTTGGTATTTTTGATGATTTTGAGGATTAGCTTTTCTAGTTTTACAAGATAAAAAATGCCATTGGGATTTTAATAGAGATTGCATTGAATTTATAGATTGCTTTAGGTAGTATTTATATCTTAACAGTATTAAGTCTTTCAATTCATAAATATGGAATGTTTTCCCATTAATTTATGTCTCTTTATTTCAGCAATTTTTCTAGTTTGCAGTGTACCAGTCTTTTTATCTGCCTAGTTAAATTTAACCCTAGGTACTTTTTTCTTTTGGATGCTATTGTAAATGGAACTGTTTTCATAATTTTATTTTTGGATTATTTATTGCTGGTTTATAGAAATATAGCTAATTTTTGTCTGTTGTTCTTGAATACTGCTGAATTTATTAGCTCTAGTAGTTTTTGGGGATTCTTTGGGATTTTTAACATATGAGATTATGTCACTTGCAAATAGAAATGATTTTATTTCATTCTTTTCCATTTGGATGTTTTATTTATTTTTACTTATTTTGGATGCATTTTTTAATGTTTTAAATAAGTTTGCTAAGAGTTTTCAATCAAGAAGAGTAATGCTAGCCTCATAGAATGAGTTGAGAAATATTCCCTTCTCTTCAATTTTTTTGGGAGGCTTTGTGTAGAATTGATTATTTCTTGCTTACATGTTTGATCAAAGAGAACAGTACAGCCACTTGGGCCTATATGAAGAATTTTTAACTACAACTCCAATTTCTTTAATAACTATAGGAGGCTATTCAGGTTATCTATTTCTTCTTCAGTGACCTTTGTTGGTGTAGTTCAAGGAATTTTTCAGTTTACCTAAGTTGCCAAATTTATTGGAATAAAGTTGTCTATAATATTTCTTTATTATCCTTTTAATATCAGTAGACTCTGTAGATATGTCCCCTCTCTCCTCCTAATATTGGCAAATTGTGTTTTCTCTCCAGTTTTTCTGGTCTATCTGCCTAGGTAGAGGTTTGTTAACTTAATCTTTTTAATGGATTAACTTTGGTTTCATTGGTTGTCTCTGTTGTTTTTCTGTGTTCTCTTTCATTGAATTCCACTTTTATCTTTATTATCTCCCTTCCTCTATTGACTTTAGATTTGTTCCTTTTTTTTTTTTTTTTTTTTTCAGTTTAGTTTCCTGAAACGTTTCAGGTGGAAGCTGAGGTAATTAATTTGAGACTTTTGTTCTTTTCAAACATGGCCATTTCTAACATAGCCATTAAAAAATTTTTCCCTAAGTACTGCTTTAGTGGCATCCACAAATTCTGATACCTTGTGTTTTAATTTTCATCCAGTTCAAAAAACTTTCTAATTTATTTTTGGGATTTTTTAAATTTAGAGATTATTTATTTCAGGATCTTTTAAGAGGTCTGTTATTGATTTATAATTTGATTTCATAGTGCTCTGAAAACATGATTTATATGATTTGAATGCTTTTAAATTTATTGAGACTTGTTTTATGGCCCAGAATACATCTATATTAATAAATGTTGCATGTGCCCTTGAGAAGAATGTATACTCTATTGTCATTGAGTGGAATGTTCTATAAATATCAATCAGTTAAAGTTGGTTGGTAGTGTTGTTCAAGCCTACTGTATTCTTGCTGATTTTCTACAAAATTGAAGAGAAGGGAATATTTCTCTACTCATTCTATGAGGCCAGCATTACTCTTCTTGAATGAAAACTCTTAGCAAACTTATTATTTAAAACATTAAAAATGCATCCAAAATTTAAAAAATCAATTTTAGCACTATTTGTTCTATCAGTTCTTGAGAGAGGGATATTGAAATCTCTATAATTGCGGATGTGTCCATTTATTCATGCAGTTCTATCAGTTTTTGCTTCATGTATTTTGAAGCTATGTTATAAGGGCATATATGTTTAAATTTTTATGTCCTCTTAGGATTAATTCATCCCTTTATTATGAAATGATATTCTTTGTCCTTGGTAATATTATTTGCTTTAAAATCTACATTGATGTTAATATAGGCACTCCAGCTTTCTTTGACTAGCGTTGGCATAGCATATCTTTTTTTCCAGTTATTTCCTTGTAACCCACTTGTATCTTCATCTTTAAAGTGTGTTTCTTACAGGCAGCATAGAGTTGAGTCTTGCTTTTTTATCCAATCTGGTCATCTCTGTTTTTTAATTGAGGTGTTTAGACCATTTACGTTTAACATAATTACTGATATAGTCAGGTTTAAATGTATCATATTGTTATTTATTTTCTGTTTGTCCTATTTGTTGTTTGTTCTCCCTTTCCCCCTTTTCTGCCTTCTTTTGGAATAATCGAATTTTTTATGAATCCATTTTATCTCCTTTGTTGGCTTATTAGTCATTACTTTCTGTTTTGTTATTTTAGTGATTGCTTTAGGGTTTATACACATCACAGTCTAACTTCAAGTGATAGTATACCAATTCACATATAATAAAAGAACTTTACAAAAGCGTATTTCCATTTTTCCCTATTGGCCTTTATGCTACTGTTGGAATGCATTTTACTTGTACATATGTTATAATCTGCACAATACATTGTCTTTATTTTTGTTCAGTTAATGTTTTAATGTTTTCAATAATAAGAAAATAATTTCATACATTTACCCCAGTAGTTACCATTTCAGTGCTTTCAATTTGTTTAAATTCAGATTTTTATGTTATCATTTCCCTTCTTCCTGGACTTCCCTTCACATTTTTTATACTGCAAGCCTCCTAATGATGAATTATTTCAGCCTTTATATATCTAAAAAGTCTTTAAATTGCCTTCATTTTTAAAAGACATTTTTGCTGAATATAGAATTTTGAATGAGAGTATTTTTTCAGTACTTTAAATATAGTTTGCTTGTTTGTTTGTTTGTTTTGAGATGGAGTCTCACTCTATCGCCCAGGCTGGAGTGCAGTGGCGCTATCTCGGCTCACTGCAACCTCTGCCTCCCAGGTTCAAGCCATTCTCCTGCCTCAGCCTCCCAAGTAGCTGGGACTACAGGCTTGCACCACCATGCCCGGCTAATTTTTGTATTTTTGTAGAGACAGGGTTTCACCATGTTGGGCAAGCTGGTCTCAAACCCCTGATCTCAGGAAATCCACCACCTCAGCCTCCCAAAGTGCTGGGATTACAGTTGTGAGCCACCACACCCAACCCTTAAATATATTGTTTTACTTTTTCTTGCTTGCATTTTTTTTCTGATGAGAAATCAATATCTCTGTTTCTTGTCTTTTTTCTGTATGCAATAGGTCTTTTCTTCCTCTGGCTACTTTTAAGATTTGTTTTCTTTATTGCTGGTTTTGAACAATTGAGTTATGACATGCCTTGGTGTACTTTTCTTTGTGTATCTTGTGCCGAGATTCATTGAACTGCTTGGATCTCTGGGATTATAGTTTTAGGTTTATAAAATTGTTAGCATTATTACTTCAGATATTTTTTATTTCTCCCTCTCTCACTTCAGGGACTCCTATTACTTATATACTAGGCTACTTGAAATTGTCCACAGTGTACTGGTGCTCTTTCTGAGTTTTAAATTATGTTCTAACTCTTTGTTTATGTTGTTAGTTACAGTTGCCATGCCTTTAAGTGCACTAATCTTTTCTTGTACAATATTTAATCTGCTCTTACTCCCATCCAGTGTTGTTGCTGTTTTTTTGAGACATTGTAGTTTTCATCTTTAAAATTTCACTTTAGGTCTTCTTTATATCTTTTATATCTCTCCCTAACTTTTTGAAAATATAGTGATAATAACTGCTTTAATTACTTTCTCTGCCAATTCTAACATCTGTGTCAGTTCTAGGCCTGTTTTGATTGATTGACTTTCTTCTCATTATTGATCATGTTTTCCTTCCTCTTTGTATGCCTGGTAAACTTTGATTGACTGCCAAACATCGCAAATTTTACCTTGTTGTTTCCTGAATATCTTTGTATTCCTATGAATCTTGAGCTTTGTTCTGGGATACAGTTAAATTTTTTGGGAACAACTTTCTTCTAAGTCTTTCATGATTTTTTAGGTGGGTTTGGAGCAGTGCTCAGTGTAGAACTAGTAATTAGTGTAGAGCTAATTATTCCTCACACTGAGGCAAGACATTCCTGAGTACTCTACCCAATGCCCTGTAAATTATAAGTTTTTCCAGTATGGCTGGAGGTAACAAGCACTTTTTCTGAATCTCTGATGTATTTTAATGGTTCTTTCTCTGGCCTCAGGTAGTTTCAGCACACACATGTGTTAATCGACACTCTTGAATACTTGAGGGAGACAGTATATATTGCCCTTTGGCTTAGCAGACAAAAGCAAAACCACTCACTATTGAAAACGGGGTGGCAGAAGTGATTAAATAAAGAAGTTTCTAAAATGTTAACTGCTTCTCTATAAGTGATGAAATTATAGGCAGTTTTAATATTTTCTATATTTTCTAAAATGTCTACAATAAATATGTATCATATTCACTATTTAGAAAAACACAATGTTGTTAAACACAGTGTTGTTATTTTTGTTTTCATTTTGGGTTTGTTTTTGTTTTTGTTTTAGCTTGGATTTGCTTTCACATCCAGGCTATAGGTTTAGTTTGTCCTCAGTTTTGGAAAGGGCAGTCTTTACTAAAAAAATTAGAGCTTCTTTATTAAGTGAAAACAGACTTAAGATTTGGTAATACAGTATTTGGTAATAGCTGGGGCTATTAGGATAGTATCCAGTAATTCTGGGGAGGTGGCTGTGTTTACCTTCACTCCTTTTCCAACTTCTGCAGCAACTCTACCTGTCCCCCTTCCCCAGATAGTTTTTGCCACTTCATTTTTAATAGCAGGTGCTTTTGCTCTTGTTTGCTAAGCCAAAGGGCAATGCAGAATTATCATGCTTCTGCAATGGAAATACAGCCAAATCTTTGCTCACACGTAGAGAGCCAACGACATACTCTAGAAACAGAAAGCCAGACAGGTGTGAGCTGAATTAACATGGTTTCAAATGTTGTTTGAATGAAGGTCTCGGCTGTGGAGGAATAAGAATCATACATTTGGTCCTTTGTTTTCTTGGGTTATTATAGGTGTCCTTTTCCATAACTACTGAATAATCTGAAGGTCTTTCCAGAGATAAACAGTGTTTTCCAATTGAGGCAGTTCTTTTCAGAAATTTATGAGGAACAAACTGAGTTCTGTTCACTTTTATTAGGCAAACAATTTACATTTTCTTATGAAAATGAAGTCTGCAAACAAGATTACTTTATTAAATCACCACCTTCTCAGCTGTTCTCCTCTGTGGTAAGTATTTGCTGTGATTTAACAAGCCTCCCACCAGCCTCATGAGCATTTTTAAAAATCATTTCTTTTCCTCTGAGATTTAACTAAGACATAAAATCTTTTTATTTTTCAGACCTCTTGGAAAAAGCGGTTTTTCATCCTGTCAAAGGCTGGGGAAAAGAGCTTTAGTCTTTCCTATTATAAAGACCATCATCACCGAGGTTCCATTGAAATTGATCAGTGTGTATCCAAGCAGGAAAACTTTTATAACAACAAATACTATAAAGTCAAACAGTAACAAGTTGCATGCAAATTGAAATTTACATAATTGACCAAAGGAACCTGCTTCAAGCTGATTATAATATTTGTGACTGAATAGGAGCTAAAATAGTGAGCACTTTGAGTTAAAAGATAGTTGAATATTTGTTTCATATTGTATGTCATACTTGATAAGTCTTTAATTAACAGGCATTCAGTTAAGGAGTTTGATTCACATAATTTGTGGATGAGAGGGAGCAGATGAAATTGTCATTTTATAAAGTCAAGATAGAGTTTTAAAAAATATTTAGATCAGCTTTTTTTGGTCTTCTCTTTAATAAATTGTGCACCCCAAAATTGAAAAACATAATTTGTGGAATCAAGAATCCAATTAAAATAGAAATTTTTGAATCTTAGGCTAAACAAAATAATTTCAATTAATTAACCAGATCAAAAAATCCAAACTTATCTTCTAAAATTATTGGACAATCTTGGAAACATGGATCCAGCACATCTAAAGTTTTATTCCATTTGAATCCCAATATAAAATATTAGTTTTCTATTTCTGTATTTACCTTGGTTTAATACTTTGTGTCTATATCTAATAGAAATTCCAGTGTAGAAGTTGGCATAAGTAGCCAGGAAAAGATGCAATCTGTGCAGAAGATGTTTAAATGCCACCCTGATGAGGTCATGTCCATCAGAACCACTAACAGGGAATACTTCCTCATTGGCCACGACAGGTGAGAGAAGTAAGATAACACAGAATATCTACTGCATGCAAAACAAAAACAAACCAAAAAACAAAACATTTTATACCAATAAACATGTTCTGAACCCACGCTACAAACCTCAAATGCCATCTTGGCAATCTTAGTTATTTTTAAAAATATCTTGAAAAGTTACTGAGCTAGTTTCCTAGGGCTGCTATAACAAAGAACCTCATCCTGGATAACTTTGAACAACAGAAATTTATTGTCTCACTGTTCCAGGGGCTAGGAGTCCGAAATTAAGGTATGGGTAGAGCCATGCTCTCTCTGAAGACTCCAAGGAAAGATTTGTTCCAGGGGCCTCTCCTAACTATTGGTAGTTCCCTTGGCTTGAGGCAACATAACTCCAGTCTTCACATGGCGTTCTCCCTGTGTGCATAGCTCTGTGTCCAAATTTCCCCTTTTTATAAGAACATCAGTAATATTGGATTTGGAGCCCTCTCTATTCCAGTATGACCTCATCTTGACCAATTACATCTGCAACAACCCTCTTTCCAAATAAGGTCACATTCTGAAGTATTGGGATACGGAACTGAAACATACAAATTCATTGTATTTTTGCGGGGAGGGTACATTTCAACCGATAACAGTCACCATCACCCCAGAAGCATTCCATGTAAAAGAACCCAATACAAAAACATCTACACAAGCTACATATATTAGGGAGGAACTAGGCTTGCCCCCAAAGTAGTCTGCAGTTTTTAAGAGGGGCTTCTGGTCCTAGCAAAGGTGCCTAGTGGACTCTTCATGGATGATTATCTGCTTGAGGGAGAGGCAAAGCGGGTGTGGGAGAGACTGTGCAGAGGAGGCGGACAATGCCAAAGCCAACATATGAAAAACCCTGATCTGTTTCAGATTGACCAAAGCTTCCTTTTAAGTTGTCCTGTGAGTCCATAGAAAAGATGTGATTATACAAATTCACTCAAGCACATTCTTCATCAACACATGCACTCCCTAAGGGAAGGCCCACCTGCATAGTTACACAAAAATGACACTGACAGGTTAGGGGGCTTGCTTGAGAACACAAAGGAAATCAATGTCAAAGCCGAAAGCCCCAAACCCTGTGATTACTACTATTATTTTCTACTTTTCTTCCCTTTCTCTGAGCTTTCCTTGCAGAGGTGGCTGAGCATTAATTCTAGTGTGCAAATGTGGAGGTGGCGAGGCCATTTAAGCTACTTAGGAAAAATTCTTATTTCGCTGGTACCTGCTCTCACCACCATTCTAACATTCATAAAAGAATCCTTCTCTGGTTCAAAAGGCACTATTGTTGCCACATGCCAACTGAAAGTTTATTCCTGTCAACAGGGAGAAGATTAAAGACTGGGTCTCCTTCATGTCATCATTTCGCCAGGATATAAAAGCAACACAGCAGAACACAGAGGTGACTCCATATCACTAATAAAATAACAGGGCACCTGAACACAACCCTCTTTCAATAGAAAACAATGGTAGCTTTCCTTTGCCTCCTTAGTAACTGGCTTTAATACAAGGAATAAATAAATGAGAAAATGTACATCCTTATTACTTTTTATGATTAACAGAAAAAAATTCTTTTGTGTTTTGTGAGAGAGCTAAAGTACAGACACTTCAGATTTTTATTATTGTGTTAGAGGGAAGAAAAGTTAACTGTGACATTTTTAAGTAGTAGCTAGAATATAGTATTTTCCATCATTGTTATTCAAGGTGCATGACAAGCTCCCTTTTGAATGACTAAGTCTAGGGCAGTTTCTATAAAAATGTTTTACATGTATCTTGCATTTTTAATATAATGTATCTTTCATGTACATGCTTAGCAGTTTTAAGTTTTAAACTTATTTCAAAAGGGCCTCTGCTAATGTTCCTTTCTCAGGGCAGACCTTTATAGATGGAACTTTGGTCCCTAGGTATCTTTTTTTGACATGTTTTCTAGGTTGTTCCATGCTTACAGCAAAAGCCAAAGAGAAGGAGAAATCAAGGCATGTCTTCAAGTAGACTGAAGTGATTAGAGCAAAGGGAACTGGGGTGGAGGGTGTCAGAAAGAGACACAGTTGAGGAGACAAGTTGAGGGAAACGCTGGTCATCTCTGAGGGTCAGGCTAAATGTCCTCAAGGGTTTGGAAACAGGAGAGAGACAAGTTCGGCTCTTGTCTTGGTGAAATAATGCTGGCAGGCCAGCGGCATGAATGTTAGATTGCTATGGGAAAAGACAGGAGGCAAGGAGCCCGGTAGAGAGGCTGCCGTTTCATTCCAGACAGAGATCAACTGTGCCCTGACTGATTCCTTTTTTTGTGAGCAGGAGGAACTCTCATTGGGTAATAAAAGAACCCTCTTCTACTCCAGCCCTCTCCTTGGCCCTTCCAGCACATCAGAGGCTGTTGGCTCCAGCTCACCAAGAAATGGTCTCCAAGACAAGGTAATGGGGCTCACTTCTTTCTCAGGACACCACACCTGGGAGGCAGCTAATGCCTAAAAATCTTACCAATTAGCAATTGAATTTAACCATGCCCACCTTCCTCAAAGCCCGATGCACTATAAGAAAGATTCTTAGCCCTGATGTTTATCCCATACCACAGATGAGCCTCACTGAGGGCTTGCCCTGAATACCTCTCAGTGTATTCATTCATTTTAGATGCTCTTGATATGCTTTGGGTATGCTAGGGTAAGACCCCTTTGCTAAACCAAAACCTAGCTGGCAACTTGCTTCCTTTCTTTCACACAGAGGGCACAGATCCCTCTGCCAAAAGATTTCCCAGACACTACCTGATTTCTGCCCATTCTGTCTGTACTCCTCAGGCAAAGGCTGAGTTTCTTGTTAATCTCTTCCCTTTACCCTGATCAATCTCGCTTCTCATTCATTATAGCTGTCTATCACTTCTTCCTCATTTCTAATGAAATCCATTTGAAGACATAAAATATAATGTACCTGCCTCTTGAAAGCGACTTGTAATTGGACCTTCAGCTTTCTTGGATTTGCAATGTTCCCAACTTGGGATATTAGTCATAAACATGCTGAGTGGTTTTGTTCTCTGGCACGGATACTATTTTGTCTCTTAGAGACTTATCCATTGACTTTACCCTGTCCATGTATACCAAGCACATCTAATGAGTCCTAGTCCCTTGTTTTATCTAGTTGGTAGCTCTCCAACTATTTTGAAAGCTTTTTGTAGCATATCAAATTCACCATGCCAAACACCTCACCTCAGTTCTTCATTTAGCGAGTAGAAACGGTGGTATGCAGCAGTTAGGAAGCTTCACCCTTGTCTGTAAGTGCCTCTTGCTTTTCACTCATGATATCTCCCTCCCCCTAGAGATAACATTATTGGTCACTTTGCCTTTTCACACTATAGATCCAGTGATTTTTAAACCAGCTCGAGTTAACAGTACTGTTTGCCTTGCTGGGTGGTGTTGTTGTTGGTTAAATTAAGTGGGCTGCCTTTACCCCCAACTCAGCATGATCCGGCTCCATGAGCTTGGAACTTAAAACATGGACAGAACTTAAACACACCTGTATTTTAAAACTTGACTTTTTTTCTAGAGAACATTCAGGGTCTTTTCCAAACCCCCTGCTCTGAGGCATTGTTCTTGGAATTTTTCTGCCATGCAAAGAAGCTACTTTAGTAGAATATTCTGTATCTATGGGGAAGGGGAGGCAATAGTGGTTGAATCTAGATCACCTGGAAACCCATAATTCATACTATCATATGATCAACACAACCAAATTCCATTGCTGTGGAAACAATAGAAGTGTGTGAACAGAACACAAAAGAAAAATATGGAGCAGGAACAGGAAAGGTGCAACGCCTTGATTCTGGGTTAATTACATTCTTAGATGGCACTGGATGATTACAGGAAAAAGATGAGGGTAGCAACTCCAGAGCTTAGTGACTTAGAATGCTACCCACAGGGCTGGTCATGGTGGCTCATGCTTGTAATCTCAGCACTTTGGGAGGCTGAGGCGGGTGGATCACGAGGTCAGGAGTTTGAGACCAGCCTGGCCAATATGGTGAAACCCCATCTCTACTAAAAAATATACAAAAATTAGCTATGCATGGTGATGCGCGCCTGTATTCCCAGCTACTCAGGAGGCTGAGGCAGGAGAATCACTTGAACCCAGGAGGTGGAGGTTGCTGTGAGCCGAGATCGCGCCACTGCACTCCAGCCTGGGGGACAGAGTGAGACTCTGTCTCAAAAAAAAAAAAAAAAAAAAAGAATACCACCCACAGGAGAAAACCACTTGTTCTGAGTGACTGTTCCAAACGGTAGAGAAAAAAAGCCTGAGTGATGTGCTTATATGTTTTCATCCTCAGTGGTGACCCAGACTCAAGAGGCAAGTTCAAGTTGTGTGAGCTTCTGGATGTAATCTTGGAAGACCCTCTGGTCTTTTTTAACCCAACTAATTTATTACGGCTTTTCTAGAATGCATGTGATTTAATTCTATCTCTTGCAAAGAAAAAGCAAAGCATTTTTATCTCTTTTCTTCAGCATTTAATGGAACAAAGTTCTCCAGGATTTAGGCAAACTCACCTACAAGATTTATCAGAAGCCACTCAAGATGTGAAGGAAGAGAATCATTATCTTACTCCTCGAAGTGTTCTTTTAGAGGTAACCCCTTCTTGTCCATTCATCATTTGTTTCTTTAACAAATATTTACTGAAACCCTGCCATGCACTTTTCGTGCAATATTAGGCTATGGTCAGTGGGAACACAGAAGTAAATCAAATACAGATGACGTGCTCATGGTGCTGACACTTGACTAGGAGACAGCTGTAATACAAGACAGAGGGTTCTATGCTGAAGAGAGATGCTTATAAAATACCAGGGGTGCATGAGCTATGGGAGGAGGAGATGACTTTCAAACAAAAGATCAGGAAGATTTCAGGGACGAGATGACATTAGGCCATACATGATGAGTAAAATTTGGATGTGGGGGATTGCCTTGAGGAGTCTTTCTGCATTCTTAGCAGAAAGAATAATATGAGCCAAGGTCCTTGGGTGATCAGTTGTGTGCTGTGTATCGATCAGTCTATTGATCAGTAGGAAGCCCTTACTGAATGCCTTCTGAGCACTAGTCACTGTACTGTACTGGGCATGGTGGCTAAAGTAATGAGCCTGACATCACCCTGCTGTCAGAGTGCATAGTCTTGTCAGTTACCACAGGATAACGCTGCACAAAAGACGTGGTCCGTGTGCTCTGGAAGCAATAGAAAAAGAACAGATTTTCTCTATCAGAGTCAAGGAAGGCTTCTGGGATGAAGTGCCATTTGATACATGTATGGGGAATAGTTCAGTGAGGCTGCAACCTAGAGTGCGTGAAAGGCATAGTGGGAGATAAACAGAAGAAAAGGGCCAGCCCATGATGGGTCTTGAATGCCAAGTTGACTTCATTCTGTAGACAGCATAGGGGAAGCGATGGCTTCTGAGTTGGGAAATCTCAAAACCTGAATTATCCTCCATTAGTATTAACTGAGCAGCTATATCTGCCATGGACTATAGAGAGAAGAGAATGGAAGTGAGAGATAGGAAGACAGAATGGAGGGTGGGAATGCTGCGTCATTTCCCAAACTGGGGGTTTTCCGTAAGATGGTGACGTATGTTTATATAAAAGAAACATTCTGGGGTCAAATAAGTTCCGGAAACACCCAGTTAAAATAAGTTAAACAAGCTTCTTAGCAGAATTCTCAGAGCATTTAGTATGCAGTGGTGCATTGTAAATAGTCAAGTCAGATACAACACATGGCATTTCCCAAGCTCCTTTGAGCACAGAGTTCTTCTTTCACCAAAATATTTTCATATTTCTGTTTCCTGGGATGCAGTCTTTTATGATAGTTCAGCCAACCAATCAGATGTGTACTGAGCATCAGTTATAGGCCTGGCCTTTGCTAGGTACTTTATGATAAGTAAAGTCTAGTAAAGCAGACAAAACAGCTAAAAAGACCAAAGATAAATAAATAAATAAATAAGTAAAAAAACTATGCAATGGAAATTGAGAGAAAGGAGAGCTCTGCCGTAGCTGAGGTGATCAGAGTGGGCTGTGGGACTTCAGCCAGGCCTGAACATGATTTCAGTAGGCCGAAAGGAAAGATGGCACTCGAGGTGAAGAAGAGAGCACGAACATGGCGATGGAACAGCACCATTTGCAGGGGGCCAATGGGAAGACTGGCTTGACTGGAAGGAAGGTTTCCATCATGGGTTAACGGTGAACTTAGGTAGGCCTTAGGGTTTTTGAGCAATCATTGCCACAAGTGACTCTCTTTGTTCTAAGGGGGCTATGGAGAGCTTCCTAAGGGCAGTATTTTTCTAGAACATTGCAATGTCCCTGAAGCCACTTGGGCTGCCTGTGAGCATAGTAACCTGAGACCAGCTTCACATTGTGTCAGAGTCTTTGTCCCAGCCAAGTGCCATGATTCTATAGTAGAACTGATTGGGGAAATGCTTTCATGTCATTAAGTGCCGAATGGTGAAACAGAAAGATAAACAGCAATTTAGCTCAATAGAAATAACACTTGTATCCGGAGCATGAGGGATCCAGGAGAAGAAAATTGACTTTGAGTCCTCCAGAAGCTTTGCTGGTTCAGTCTCGCGGAGGTAAGGTTGGTTGATATTTCTCAAATGAGAACCACGTTCATCCACTGGAAACTGTACCTCTATGTCAGAGCCCAGAGCTGTTAATACTAGAAATAAGAAGGTACCTGACTTATCGGTAAACTGGGATTCTTACATCTATTCCTTTTATCTGCAGTTGGATAATATCATTGCTTCCAGTGATTCTGGTGAATCCATTGAAACTGATGGTCCAGACCAGGTCTCTGGAAGAATTGAGTGTCATTATGAGCCAATGGAATCCTAGTAAGTCAAAATGCCGTTTCAAAATTTGATGTTTGCTCATCTGCTGTTAAGGAACAATGATTGTCAGTTCATTTCAATAGTTGATAAACTGATGCCAAACATTACCAGAGACCAGTTTCCACATATTATTCAGTCGTCTCAACACACAAAAAATGAGGGAGTCATGTCTCTTCCCACAGAAAACCACCGATGACATCCTCAGGACCTTTTCCGTCTCCTGAGGAAGTTATCTTCTACTTTGCATTTATGTCTCTCACACTCTCACTTCTGTCCTCCAAACACTGTAAAGGGTAATTTTGATTCCATATCTATTTTTAGAAGGAAAGTTTGTTGAATTTGATGCTAGCTGTGGCTGTGATTCTGATAGTTGGACATACGTCAAGACCTTGCTAGTCTTCACATGGCTGTTAGCTACTTAAATCTGACACACACAGGGGAACACTGTAAAAACACATGCTAAAATAGGGCTTGTTTTAACTTCTTATGCTCTAGTTTTTTCAAAGAGACATCCCATGAGTCTGTGGATAGCAGCAAAGAGGAACCCCAGACCCTTCCAGAGACCCAGGATGGGGACCTCCACCTGCAAGAACAAGGCTCAGGAATTGATTGGTGTCTTTCCCCTGCCGATGTGGAAGCACAGACCACAAATGACCAAAAGGGGTCGGCCTCACTAACTGTTGTGCAATTGTCTATATTAATCAAGTAAAGCTCTAATTTCTAAAACTTGATGGGCCCTAAGAGCAAGGCAGCCTCCCTCCCACTTTTTTTTTTAACTTAGAATTTAAATTTTAAAGCTGTTCCTAAAAATCTCCAAGTCAGCCAAAAACTTGACCATCTTCTCCCTGTCATTGATGTTGTGGCCAAGGAGAGGGGATGATAGATCTCAAGTAAAGCAGTTCCTGGGGCGGGGGGTGGCATTTTCAGCTATTTTTAAAAATTCCCCCTTGGCTACTCTTTCAGGTCCCAGGACTTGGGATCCACACCAATCTGAGTAGCATGTCACTCAGTTTTCCCATGAGTGTAATTATGGACATGCAAGTTGCATGAGACTTAGTTATAGACCAGGAGGGGGTTATTTAGGCTTTAAGTGATACCAAGAGCATTTGGTACGATTGATGTAATTTTAACTCTTTTCCATGCCTTCTTCTATGGAATCATTTCCAGCAGAGAAATATGCAGACTGGCCTGATGTGGACAGTTACATAACCAATTTAGTCCATTTTTCCCTCTGTTCCCATAGCCTACCATCCGCTACCACATCCCAAGAGGATTTTTCAGTAACTTAAATTTATATTATTCTCCAAATGTTTTGAACAACCTTTACCTGGACAATGTCATCTCAGAAATAGAGGCCAAAAGTCTACTCAGAAAGTACAGTTGAGAGCCAAGGTCAGTTGCCTGATGTGACTTTTACAAATGTCTTGTTCATAGTAATATCCCCGATGAAAGCCAAGTGGAGAAACTGAACGTTTTCCTTTCTCCTCCTGATGTCATCAACTATCTTGCTCTCACAGAAGCCACAGGACGGATATGGTAGGTTGGAGATTTGACTGTTGTGGATTATAAATGGGGCTGGAAGCTTTGAAGAGAACAATTACATCTTGAAACAGTGTATTTGGCAACACTGACTAGGTTTGGGGCGGGGGAGCTTGGACTGTTGACTGGCTGTTGTTACAAAAAAATCTTTGAGGCAGAAATCAGGGTCTTGTTGTGCAGAAAAGTCAGCCTGGAGGTGAGCAGGGGGAATAACAGGACCCAAAAGTTCAGGAAGCAGCCATTTCTGACTCCTCTAAGGGAGGAAGAAGGGGCTGGGATACAGGTGGCCCAAGGACATCATTTCCAATCACTGTACAATGAGTATTTGATGAATGAGTGAAATTAGTGAAGTCAACAAGAATCAGAGGCCTAAAAGAAGAAAGCACATCAGCTTCTAAGACTTCCAGACACAAGGTTAAAAAAAAACAAAAAACAAAAACTGCTAGTCACAGACACAGACACAAAAGACTGTGTGGCAGAGAATTTTCTTAAAGCAATCACTGTCTATTTGATATGGCATTTTTTTAAAACACTTTGTAATTTATTTTGATGGAAGATTTCATCTTCATAAGGGAAGAAAACTCTTTAATGTAAACACTACACATTAATTGTCTTATAAGTTCTAAGAAGGGAGGAAACACACCTTCCATTTTTTTAAATAGTCCACAATCTAAGGCTCAATACACACTTGACTGAAACTGTGGACTCCTCCATAACTGAGCTGCTACATTCCTTAATTCATTTATTTGTTCATTATATATTCATTGTATAATCATTACACCCTCACTTCCAACAAACGCTGAGCACTCTTTCTTTACTTGGAACCATGGGGTTTTAAAAATTAAAAAACAAAACAAACAAAAAGGTGACATCATACTTCTGGGGTCATGTAACCTGGTAAGAAAAAGACAGCCACAAAAACAAGTAAATGTAAAATGCATTTTATTTAAAAATGTAACAAATCAGGTACTCACACAATGTAATAGAAGTCCAGGGGTAGGGGAGATGAATTATAGCAGAGGAATGGGATGTAGGATTTCATGGGCCTTTGTAAGGGTGGTATAATTTGAGCTGGGCTTTGGAGGAAGGGTTAGGCTCCTATTGTAGTGACAGAGGAAACAATATTCTAAACAGAAGGAGATAGTCTACTTCAGAGGTGGTGCCACGTGACCTAGAATCAGGAGACCCTGCGTGCCCTGCCCTCCTGGCCAGCTGAGCCTCACACTGGTATTGGATGTTGTATTCCCACTGCAGTGTGTCTCAGTGGGAAGGCCCCCCACGTTTGGGATGCATATTTTGCCACGGAGATCATCTTCTGGCAGTGAATGACCTGAAACCCCAGAGCCTGGAGGAGGTCTCCCTGTTTCTTACCCGGTCCATCCAGAAGGAGGTGAGTCGTACTGACCAGCCCTGAACAGGGCAAATCAGTACCAGAAGGAAAAAGATCAGGGTCTTAGATGGAGTCTGAGAAGTACCCTGAATACAAATAAGGTTCCTCATTCTTCCACCATCAAGTGCAAATAACAGAATGTGCTTTCAGGACTCTTTCAGGATTCTTTCATATCAAGTAGCATTTGGAGAAGGCACTGAGCTAAGAGACAGAGCACCTGGGTTCAGGACCTCAGATCGGCATGATGTAGCAAAAAGAGCTTGCATGGAATCAGACTGGTGCAGGGATTCCAAAACAGCTCCTTCAACCAATTTGTGCCTCAGTTTTCTTTTCTGTAAAATTATGACTAATGATGGTGCTGGTTGTTGGATAATTAAATGAGGTAATATGTGTAACGTGCTTACAAAGGTGACTGGCACATATTAGGTGCTCAATAAAGCTACTAGTTACTTTTACTTCTACTACAACTGACCATGGAATGTTATTCAAGCCCATTTTTTAAAGCCTCAGTTTCATTATCTCAGAAATCGTCACAGCCCTAACTTCCTCATAGAATATTGCAAGAATTAAACATAATATGTGGTGCTGGGCACGGTGGCTTACACCTGTAATCCCAGCACTTCGGAAGGCCAAGGCAGGAGAATCAATTGAGCCCAGGAATTCAAGGTTACAGTGTGCTATGATTGCACCACTGCACTCCAGCCTGGAAGACAGAGCGAGACCCTGTCTCAAAAGAAAAACAACAACAGACCACCCCTAATATTATATGGGTATGCACTAAGTATGTTGTTTTTTCAAGGACTAGCTATTGTCCTGCATATCACTGCAGTCTTCATGTGTTAATTCCTTCCCTGGTCTACTTTTCTTTCTAACTAGCCCTGTGACCTTAGGAAATTCACTGCCTTCTCTGGGCTTCAGCTTATTCTCACTAAAGTGAGAGGCTGGTTTTCAAACTGTGCTTCTTGCATCCCCAGGATGGAGGTGAAAGGAGAGGAGAGGAAGGAGAGAGTATGCTGGGTCTTCAACTGGAGAAGCTTACATTTATCTTTTATCTTTTATGAAAAAAAGATTAGTCCAAAATATTGGACTTTCCTGTTAGCTTTCCTTAAAAAACAGTTCTTTGGCTTCAAATTTCTGAAAACCATTGTATTAGATGATTTCCAAATTTCTTCCAGCTCTAGGAATTTTGTGATTGTGTAGCATATCTATATTAAGAACACATCTTATCTCTTCTGCACTACGTAATAATCCCATTGGTCACACAAATTGTGCCATCCCTATTACTCATTACCCTAAATGAGTAATTCCAGTGAGGATAAGTGAATGAGTTGTCTAAGATATATAACTAGTTAGTGGCAGGGCAAGTACACATTCGTTCACTTTCTTTTTTTTTTTTTTTTTTGAGACGGAGTCTCGCTCTTTCGCCCAGGCTGGAGTGCAGTGGCGCAAACTC
Organism: Homo sapiens; assembly: GCF_000001405.40. Classification (NCBI taxonomy): domain Eukaryota; kingdom Metazoa; phylum Chordata; class Mammalia; order Primates; family Hominidae; genus Homo; species Homo sapiens. The sequence goes on from NC_000010.11 coordinate 113,778,713, forward strand.
GGCTCACTGCAAGCTCCGCCTGCCGGGTTCACACCATTCTCCTGCCTCAGCCTCCTGAGTAGCTGGGACTACAGGCGCCGGCCACTACGCCCAGCTAATTTTTTGTATTTTTAGTAGAAACAGGGTTTCACCGTGGTCTCAATCTCCTGACCTCGTGATCCGCCCGCCTCGGCCTCCCAAAGTGCTGGGATTACAGGCGAGAGCCACTGCGCCCGGCCCATTCACTATTTATTGAGCATCTGCTGGGTGCTGTATACTGTGCTAAATTCAAGAGCTACAAAAATGGCCTCAGCCTGAGCTGAAGCTCACAGATTAGTGGATGAAGCAGGCATGTTATGTGCTACTTGCTATACAGTGTGTGCCCTGAGATATGAACACAGGGCCATAGGATCACAGAGGTAGAATGGAGTAAATCTACATGAAGGAGGCCAGGAAGGTGTCTCAAAGAAAGTGGTGTTTGGCTTAGGTTTTGAAGACTGGATAGGAGACTGCATGGTGGAAAAGAAGTAGATTTCAGGGCCCTAGTCCAACAATCTGGTAACTATAGTACATTTTCTCTGCCAAAGATCCACACTGGGCTGGGTGTGGTGGCTCACACCTGTAACCCCAGCACTTTGGGAGGCGGAGGTGGGCAGATCATGAGGTCAGGAATTCGAGACCAGCCTGGCCAATATAGTGAAACCCCGTCTGTATGAAAAATACAAAAAATTAGCTGGGCATGGTGGCGGGTGCCTGTTATCCCAGCTACTGGGGAGGCTGAGGCAGGAGAATAGCTTGAACCCAGGAAGCGGAGGTTGCAGTGAGCCGAGATTGCACCATTGCACTCCAGCCCTGGGAACAGTGTGAGACTCTGTCTCAAAAAAAAAAAAAAAGGATCCACATACACTGGGGCCAAGTGGTCAATATAAGCTTCTGAACTCTTCTGAAAGTTACCAAACACTACTCTGACCCAAAGATCCAGGCATTAATTCAGAAGCCAAGAAAAGGGTTTTTGCCTGTGAGCAGATCCAGGAACTGTACCTGGGTGTTGCTGACTGCAGTTTATCCTGACTGCCTTTCTAGACTGTGGAGTCATTGCATTTCTCTTGTGCTCGTTCTGCCTTCCCTTTCTAATTGATAACAGCCCCTACATGCTATTGAGAAATATGCAGTATTCATCTTCATGATTATCTGGAAGATAGAAAATTCCCTTACTTTCCCACTGCCTCCATTCCTGATTTCTTTGTGTTGATGGGTATCCACTGCTCTTTTAAAATTCAAACACATAGTCCCTGGAAGGAAAAAGAATATTGGAAAAGGGAGATATGGAACCAAAGGAAGAACAGCCATTGGCCCTTGATGTTTTAAAGTGCCTGAGCCAATCCCATTTACTCTCCTTCCTGTTATGCTACAGATGAGGGAAGTGGAGGTTGGGGTGGGGATGGGGCAGGGATTGGGAGGGGAGAGAACTGAGATTTTCAAGGGAAGGGGAGAAGGTGTGTGCAGGGGAAGGACATGACAGGTTGCAGGAGAAACTGATCAAGTTTAAGTTTCCTCCCAATCTTGTCTGGGGGAGTCCTGTCTGGTGGTTTCATTTTGATTCACTTGTTTGAAGAGGCCTTTTTAATTCTTGGTGCAATTGGACCCCTTAGAGCACCATCAATGCTACCTGGATCCTTCCTTAAAAGCTCAGCTTCCTTTTCAGGCCATGGATGCCAGAAAATAAAAATCCACCTTCCACCTAACTAGCCAAGTAAGTCATCCCTGTCTATTTCTGGCCCAGATATTACAGTTCACTGCAGGACTTTCTTCAATACCAGCTCCCAAGGGTATGAATGAGGACAGATTGGGAAGCAACAATCTTAAAGATAATCTTTAGCCATTTAACTTTCTTCTTTCTTGTGTTTTAGAAATTAAAGCTTACCATCGGCAGGATCCCAAATTCAGAGACATTCCATGCTGCATCCTGTATGTGTCCCTCAAAATGCCAAAGTGCTGCACCTTCTCAGCTGGATAAGCCTAGACTGAACAGAGCTCCCAAGAGGAGTCCGGCCATTAAAAAGAGCCAGCAGAAAGGAGCCAGGGAGTAACGCACCCCAGACCCATGGCAGCAGAACCAGGATGGAGCTGGGACTGTCCAGCTCTGCCCCCTGCTGCTGCCATGTGATAGGAGACAGTCGGCACCCCCCTCTGAATTTCTGCATCTGCATCTTAACAATGGGGATGACTATCCCCTCTCTGGTTATTGTATCAGAGATGCTAAGAGGGTCATGTGGCATGATTGGAGAACCTGGGGGAATTGGAAGGCCTTATTATCTCAGCTATTGTCCCAAACACCACAGACACAGATTGGGTCAGTCCTTCATGTAATACATGCTGTGTTCTGTGAGGATGTGGTCCACACAATTCCTTCTTTGTTAAGGGACATACAGTTGCAAATACTCACTGCATGAAGGCAAGATTCCCAAGGGAGATGTGATAGCTGATCAGGCTTCCCAGACACCTCCTTCCCAAACACCTCCTTCCCAACACCTCCTTCCCCAACATCCTTCCCAACACCTCCTTCCCAACACCTCCTTCCCAAACACCTCCTTCCCAAACACCTCCTTCCCAACACCTCCTTCCCCAACACCTCCTTCCCAAACACCTCTTTCCCAAACACCTCCTTCCCAGACACCTCCTTCCCAACACCTCCTTCCCAACACCTCCTTCCCAAACCCCTCTTTCCCAAACACCTCCTTCCCCAACACCTCCTTCCCAACACCTCCTTCCCCCTTCCCCAACACCTCCTTCCCCAACACCTCCTTCCCAACACCTCCTTCCCAAACCCCTCCTTCCCCAACATCCTTCCCAACACCTCCTTCCCAACACCTCCTTCCCAAACACCTCCTTCCCAAACACCTCCTTCCCAACACCTCCTTCCCCAACACCTCCTTCCCAAACACCTCTTTCCCAAACACCTCCTTCCCAGACACCTCCTTCCCAACACCGCCTTCCCAACACCTCCTTCCCAAACCCCTCTTTCCCAAACACCTCCTTCCCCAACACCTCCTTCCCCAACACCTCCTTCCCAACACCTCCTTCCCCCTTCCCCAACAACTCCTTCCCCAACACCTCCTTCCCAAACATCCCCTTCCCAAACACCTGCCTCTCTTCAACCCCACAGGCCAGAGTGCTGAGACAGAGTGGCCTTTTGGATTCAATAAGTATCTTGTTCTCTTAAAGACTCAGCAACGATTTTAGAAGTCGCAGCAGTTTTACATCACATGCAGCCAAGATCAGCTTGCTCTACAAGCAATAACAGAACTACTTAGCACTTCAAGGTTGAAAGTTCTTCACTAATGGATCCATTGACTAATTGATCCTGGAAGGCCAAAGGAATAAAATTCTTTTATATAAATAGGAAAACAAAGGCAGAGAGCTAAAGCACTAATCAAATCGGGGGGTGTTAGAGCAAAAACAGGCTTCAGAAAGAGTATTTTACCATGCTTCACATGGAAAAAATCGAGCCCCGGAGCGATGAAAGGCATATTTTCTTTGTTTCTCCAAGTTTCATAACCGTTCAGTTGCAGAACCAAGAATCTAAAACCAGCTCTGGGAAACAAATGTCCAGATGCCAGCCTCATAGTTGAACTTGGATTTGAAAATACCTTCAGCACTTAGAAGAGACATTCAAATACATTTCATTTCCTGTTACCCAGATTGTTCGGAAAGTATTAAAAATTTTTCATTTACATGCTGATACGGTTTGGATCTGTGTCCCTAACAAATCCCATGTCGAGCTGTGGTCCCCGGTGTTGGAGATGGAGCCTGGTGGGAGGCAGCTGGATCGTGAGGTCGTGGGGGTGGAGTTCTCACGAAGGAGTTAGCATCATCCCCTTGGCGCTGTTCTCGTGATAGTAAGTTCTCGTGAGATCTGGTTGTTTAAAAGTGTGCAGCACCTCTCCGCTCACTCTCTTCCTCCTGCTCCTGCCGTGTAAGATGCCTGCTCTGTCTGCCACAAGTGAAAGCTTCCTGAGGTCTCCCCGGAAGCAGATGCTGCCACGCTTCCTGTACAGCCTGCAGAACTGTGGACCAATCAAACCTCTTTTCTTATAAATTACCTGGTCTTGGGGATTTCTTTATTTAATGTGAGAACGCATGCCCTTTTGGATCTGCTGTTTCTACTTTTATAAATTTATCATGCAGAAATACACAAATACACAAAGATACATGTAAAAAAAGTAGTTTACTGCAGTACTGTTTGTAATAATAAAAAATCAGGCTGGACGTGGTGGTTCATGCCTATAATTCCAACCCTTTGGGAGGCCGGGACAGGTGGATCACCTGAGGTCTGGAGCTCGAGAACAACCTGACCAACATGGAGAAACCCTGTCTCTACTAAAAATACAAAACTAGCTGGGCATTGTGGCACATGCCTGCAATCCCAGCTACTTGAGAGGCTGGGGCAGGAGAATCACTAGAACCGGGAGGCGGAAGTTGCAGTGAGCCAAGATCATGCCATTGCACTCCAGCCTGGGCAACAAGAGGAAAACCCAGTCTCAAAAAAAAAAAAAAAATCATGTGGGTATTGCTTAATTCTGATTTCATATCATTGAACACTGTAGATATTAAAATGTTCAGCAGGCACAGTTCTGTAAAATTGTTCGTGATACATTAAGAATGAAAGAATCAAGTTGTATAATAAGGATAACATCATCCCACTTTTGTACAAATAAATGTTTGGTGTTTGTGTGTATGTATATGTGTATATCAAATTTCTTCAACCCTTACTAGAGTGAGAGGTCCGTACCTCCCAGGGCTACTGTGAGGTTTCCTTATAAGTACACTGCCTGATCAGGAGTAAACACTCCATAGGTGTTCTTTGTCCCACTTTTGCTCTACGTGCTTTTTTAAAAAATTAAAACTTAGAGTCAAATTTTTAGTAAAGAGTTATCTCTGAGAAATACGATCAGGGTTGGCCATGGGAAGAGAGGCATTTCTGTAATGTTTGAATACTTTTTTTTGCAATGTGCATATGTCACTTTTATAATACAAAAATACAAGCGTGGGAATGTATATATAAATATATATGCACATTTTTTTTCTTTTAAAACAGAGTCTTGCTCTGTCATCCAGGTTGGAGTGCAGTGGTGTGATCTCGGCTTACTGCAACATCCGCCTCCCAGGTTCAAGCGATTCTCCTACTTCAGTCTCCCAAGTAGCTGGGATTACAGGCGCCCGCCACCACACCTGGCTAATTTTTTTGTACTTTTAGTAGAGACTAGGTTTGGCCATGTTGGCCAGGCTGGTCTTGAACTCCTGACCTCAGGTGATTCGCCCGCCTCGGCCCCCCCCAAGTGCTGGGATTACAGGCATGAGCCACCGTGCTCGGCCACATGTACATATTTTTTAAACTTTCAGAAATGAGAAGCCAAGCCACTACAATGAAAGAAATAAAAAAAAAAACCTGCAGGTAAAACCACCTGGCAACCAATAGTGTGGGTGGATACACGGCTTTGAAGCCCAAAGATCCTTCCCTGGGCCTGCTCAGAGGCCACACTACCAGGCCAATAAATGCTAAATGGAGGCTGGTGGACAAGCCTTACCCACCAGTCTTTCCACCCCCTCAATGAGGCAAAGAACAGCGGGAGGCCTCAGGAGTTGAATCACTGACATGGCTCAAGGAAGTGCCGGGCCCAGAACACAGAACTCCTGGCTCCCAATCCCATGCTCTTCCCAGCCCAGCACGGGGAGATCAGCCAACTTACCCTTGGCCCTCTCTTAATCCCAAAACTTTCCTCCAACATCAGGGCCAGCTGGGGTCCTTGTTATTAGGATCCTGCTCTGGGGGCTTCTCTCACATGAGGAGTTTGTTCTCAAGGAAAATCTCAGGGCAGATTCCAAGGCTTCCCCAACTGAAAGATTCTGATTCTGCAGATCCGGTGTGGGGCTGTGGAATCTGCATTCTAACAGCCACCTTCCCTGAAGGGGATCTGACTGCAGGTGGAACAGGGAACATACACTGGGGAGCATTGTGCCTGGGGTCCCGTGGAGAGGCACGCGAGTCCTCCCAAGAGGCTGCAGAATGTGGAGGACGCACACGGGCGTTATTGAGGGGAGAAGGCCCACAGTTTCCAATAGTTCCGAAAGACGTTAATGGCTGTCACCCCCTCCCCACCTGCAAAAAGGCTTGATTCCTGAAGGGAGAAGCCTGGCTTTCACTCCTTGCTATCTGTTACTTAGGGAAGGGTACAACCAGTGCCTGGAGGAACTGGGCACTGCCACATGCTGTTGTGCAGTTGAGGTGGAGAGAGGAGCCCACAGCTTTGGCTTCAGCAAAGCCACTTCTGCCTGCCGCTCCTCAGGGCCCGGGTTCACTCCTCTATGCCCCTTCTTTCCCAGGCCTGGGGACCACACTTCCCCAGGGGTCCAACAAGGCTCTTTCTCCTGAAAATGGGAGTGGCCCCAAGGGAAGCTCATGACCAAACTGGCCCCAAAGCCCAGTCATCAAGCCATTTGTCTCAGACCTCAGCTTTTAGAGCCCTCTTCTGCTGCACGGCTAAGAAAAGAAAGGTATAGGACAGGCTGCTGGGAGATGCAGACAGTTCCCAGGCCGAGGCTAGAAAAACACTTGTGCCTCATATATATATATATATATATATATATATATATATATATATATATATATATATATATATAATTATATGATTCTGCCAGAGCTAAGAGGGTGGGACAGACCCTCCTGACACACTGCCCACCACAGCCACGTCCACACCCACCCTCAGTTTCTTCTGCCACCTGTGATATTTCCCCTTCCAGAACTGCCCTTGATATTTGTCCCGACCTGGTTCTAGGTGGGTGAATGTGGGGCTGGGGACTACAAAGTGATTGGCTCAGCTGTCCTGCCAGGATGGCCCTGTCTGGCAGATTTCTGGAGGAAAGGAGGTCATGAGAATGGACTGGAGCAATTCTTGGCCATCACATCCTCGGCTCAAATCTGGTGCAGCCCTTCAGTCTTGCTGGAGAAGAAACCAGAGCCCAGACATGTGGAGATATTGGCCTGGGCTTCCCCAGCTCCATGCCATGCCTCCACCTCCCAGGCCAACACCTTCCCTGCACTCACACTTCTCAGCAGGGCATCTGGAGCTACCACCTCTCCGGCCTGCTCTCCCTTCCAAATGCTTGCCTTATGCCTGCAGAACAGGCCACAGAGGGAGTCTATATATTTCCACTTTGTTCTCTCGGCTGAGGATGCAAACCCTTCAGAGTGAAATCTTAAAAGCAGCTGGTAGGATAAGGAATGAATGCAGAGGGCCAAATACATGCATCCTTACTTGAAGCTGTCAACATGTGAGTGTAGATTCCAGCAAGGTATTCTTCTCTACCTAGAGATTGAGCCACTGTACATTCAATATATGTACCTAAATGTGTGTGTGTCTGTGTATATTGAGGGGGAGTGGAGAGGACAGGTGGAGAATCACAATAATTCTTTAATAAGGTAAGATGATGGCGCACCACGATCCCCCCACCTCCATCCCATTTCTCTCCAGAGCTTGTGCCAAGTGACTTTCCCTTGAGATGATAAGAGGAATTTAAAGTATCATAAACAGGCCCAAAGGGAGAGGATGCTCAGATTCAGCTGTATTAACTCAGAGTTCTTCAGTGAAGTTGAACTTTGTGGATATGCAAGATATGTGTTTTACTGAAAAAGCTCTTTAAAATGTCTGAGTTAATGAAGTCTTTGTCTAATGATCAAGAATCTGGTAGGACTTAGGGGCCGTTCTCCATATCAACTCTGGTTAGATGGTTCTAGAAAATGAAGGGAGGTTTAAGGGGCCCCCTTGCAGTCACAGCACTGGGCTCTGGAGCTGTGCTGCCTCATATGAAGCCACTAGTTTCATGGGGCCATTTAACTGTAACTAATGCAAATTAAATAAAATTTAAAATTCAGTTTCTCAGTTGCACTAGCCATATTTGAAGCATTCAATAACCCTGTATGGCAATTTGGTACTGTATTAGATGGCACAGATGTGAAATATTTTCATCATCACAGAAACTTCTAGAGGCCAGCACTGATCCAGAGTATTAAGCCCCCAAGAGGAAAATAATTCACATCTTTCTTATTCACCACCATATTCCTAGCATATAAATATAGGGCATGGCACATAACAAGTACTCAATAAGTATATGTTAAAAGAAGGAATGTTCTGTTAAATATAATTCACAAACCTTGTTCATAAATTGGTATTTATTAATTGCATCTGACCCCAGCACCACCCCCCGCCCCCCCCCCCCCCACCACCACAAAAAATGTTATCAGAGTCATTCCAATGTGAGGCTAATAACTACTTTTTGGTCTGGGGTCAGATGCAATTAATTGAAAATCAAGCTATGGGCTTTTTTTTTTTTTTTTTTTTTTTTTTTTTTTTTTTTGAGACAGCGTCTTGTTCCTGTCACCCAGGCTGGAGTGCAGTGGCAGGATCTTGGCTCACTGCAGCCTTGATTTCCCAGACTCAAGCGATCCTCTCACCTCAACCTCCTGAGTAGCTGAAACTATAGGCAAACACCACTGCACCTGGCTAATTTTGTGTGTGTGTTTTTTGTAGAGATGAGGTCTCACTACGTTGCAGGTTGGTCTCGAGCTCCTGAGCTCAAGTGATTTGCCTGCCTCAGCTTCCCAAAGTGTTGGGATTCCAGGCATGAACCACCATGCCGGGCCTTTTTAATGTAAGCTATTTTTTCAACAATTAAGAGATTTCTAAGGTTCCTATGCAGCAGTTAATAGGCTTGGTGCTGTTATGGGGACATAAAAGAAATAGAAGATCTAAAACTCTCTTAAAAAGAGCTTACTACACAGTGAGGAAGAGAAAAGTTGAGCATACCATGATCTTTTGTTTACCTGATATGATTTGAGATGGCACTATTCTGTAAGTTTAATTTTTAGCTTATATGAATCATAATCTTTCTAAAATTTCTTAACACTTTCCTGTATTCTTAAACTCCTCCCACTCAGGGACATGGTTATGGGCATTCTAAGTATCTACCACACTCTAAATATTTCCTAAGGAGTACTGAGCTGTGGGGGACTATTCCCACCTATGCCAATTGATCCTAGACTGCTTTGTTTATGCTGTGGGCTGCAAAAGCAGAGGATGCAGCTTGTTCTAACCATACACACTAGGAATCAATAGGCTTTGAGTGTAGGTCCAAGAGGTTTTATGAGTAAAGATGTTGGTTCTTAATCCAGGGGTTCTGTGACACTGATTTAGAGTTCTCAGTTGCCTTGGTGCTAGTGGTGGTGGTGGCGGTGGAGGTATTGCCATTTGCTTGCCTCTTGGCTCTCAAGTATGTTCTGGATAGGTGAGACCACCAGAAAAATAATTAGAGGCAGTGTAAAATCACTCTCCAAGAAAAATCAGAGGACAATGAACTATCAAACTACATGGTGATAGCAGGGTTCAGAAAGGAAGGAGATCGTGATGGAACAGAATGCCAACCATGACTAACATGCAGAGAGTGCCTTCTATCTGCCGGGCAATATTCAAACACTCTACTGACTCCTATAAAAGCCCTGTGGGCCAGGTGCAGTGGCTCACATCTGTAATCCCAGCACTTTGGGAGGCCGAGGCAGGTGGATCACTTGAGGTCAGGAGTTCAAGACCAGCTTGGCCAATATGGAGAAACCCTGTCTCTACAAAAATACAAAAATAAGCTGGGCGTCGTGGCGGGCATCTGTAATCCCACCTGCTCGGGAGTCTGAGGCAGGAGAATCGCTTGAGCTTGAACTCGGGAGGTGGAGGTTGCGGTGAGCTGAGATACTGCCACTACGCTCCAGCCTGGGTGAGAGAGCGAGACCCTCTCTCAAAACAAAAACAAAACAAAAAACAGCCCTGCGAGACCAGGACTCTTATTGTCCCCGGGTTTCGGATGGGGAGACAAAGCACAGAGAAGATACATCGCTTGCTCAGGGCTATGGCTAGTACCAGACAGAGCCAGAACTCAGACCAGAAAGACTGGCTTTGGAGACCACAGGCGTCCTGAAAGAGGAGCTGAAACTGAGCTCTGGAAGAGAATAATCCAGCAAGGGACGGCGGTGCAGACAGGATCAGACATGGAGCTCACTTTCCAAAAGTAAAAACAGGGAACATGTTGGAATGACTCATAGAATGACTCAGCGTTTTTATACATCTCTCATTTCAGTAACACGCATTCATCTTTGGGCCTATTGCCCAGAAGAATCACAAAAGTGGTTCCTTTTGTGGTTCCGGGAGCCAGGGGAATTCTGTGGCAGCTTCTGTTATGACTAGTAAACGCGTTTCATAACCCTCCTTTGAGTTGGCCATCTGGCTCTATATTATACTCAAGTTAATACAAAACTAATGCATACTTCTAGTGACAAAGGCATTAGGCTAGTCCTCTGGACAGGAGATAATAAAGAATCCTTGGCTTTGTAGACCTCGTCATCAAGTGAAGGTAATAAAAACATACACATAGATACCTACAAGGCAAATATGATTATCCTAAATCCTTTGTTAAAGTCACAACTCAATGTTACAAACACAAAAGGCTTAAAGACTAATTCTATCTAGTTGGTTTGGAAAAAGCTTCAAGGGAGGGATATATTTGGGGTGCAGAGATGTAGTGGGAGGGATTTCATGTCTTGAAGAATGAATAGGATTCACTTAATATTCTAGAACAGGTCAAACCCCCAGTGCACAGCCACCAGAATGTAACTGGAGGGCCAAAGAAGTTCTCAAGCGTCCTGTAGAACTCCCTAATCCCTGTCGGCTGTCACTGTCATCACTTTTCCAGCATCTTCTGGGTTCAGGGGACTGTCAGGCACTGGTGATATTAACAGGAATAAAATATGTTCCCTCAGGGAGGTGATAGCCTAATTAAGGATACAGGTGTGAAAATTGTTTAGGGGTAAAAAGTTCCCTTGTAGAATGAAAATATATGTCCACACATAAACGTGTGTATGAATGTTCATAGTAGCGTTATTCATAACAGCCAAAAAGTGAAAATGTCCATTAACTGAGGAATAGATAAATAAAATGTGATATATTCATGGAATAAATAATATGGGATATTATTTAGTCATAAAAAAGAGGCCGGGCATGGTGGCTCATGCCTGTAATCCCAGCATTTTGGGAGGCCAAGGCGGATGCATCTCCTGAGCTCAGGAGTTTGAGACAAGCCTGGGCAATATGGCAAAATCCCGTCTCTATCAAAAATATAAAAAATTAGCTGGACATGGTGGCACACACCTGTGGTCCCAGCTACTCAGGAGGCTGAGGTGGAAGGATCACTTGAGTCTTGGGAGGCGGAGGTTACAGTGAGCCGAGATAGTGCCACTGCATTCCGAACTGAGTGACAGAGTGAGACTCTGTCTCAAGAAAAAAAACAAACAAACAAGAATGAAGTACTGATACATGCTACAACATGGATGAACCTTGAAGACATCATGCTAAGTGAAAGAAGCCAGACATAAAAGGTCACATATTGCATGATTCTGTTTATATACAATGTCTAGCACAGACAAATCCATAGAGACAAAAAGTAGATTACTGGTTGCCAGAGAATGGGGGAAGGGAGAATGAAGTGATTGTTAATGGGTTTCTTTTTGGGGTGATTAAAATATTCTGAAATTGGGCTGTGTGCGGTGGCTCATGCTTGTTATCCCAGCACTTTGGGAGGCCAAGGGAGGGGGATCACGAGGTCAGGAGTTTGAGACCAGCCTGGCCAACACAGTGAAACCCCATCTCTACTAAAAATACAAAAATTAGTTGGGTGTGGTGGTGGGCACCTGTAATCGCAGCTACTTGGGAGGCTGAGGCAGGAGAATCGCTTGAACCTGGGAGGCAGAGGTTGCAGTGAGCTGAGATTGCACCACTGCACTCCAGTCTGGGTGACAGAGCTAGACTCCATCTCAAAAAAAAAAAAATTCTGAAATTGGATAGCGAGGTTGATTGTACAACTACATGAATATACTTAAAACCACTGAATTGTACTCTTTAAGAAGGTGAATGTTATGGTATGTAAATTTATATGGCATATATAAAAAATACAAAAGAAAATTTCCCTCTTAGACTCTAAACCGGGGTAGGGAAGTTTTATATTAAGGCATCTTTCAATGTTGGAAATGGGCTTCATTTATAGTTCATACAGAAAAAAGGCAGGAGTCACTTTCCCGTGGAGTAATTAAGCAGCCTTTTCTAAAACAGTACTTCATGTGAATCTCCTAAGAGTTTCCCCGCAGAAGAAACAGTTGACTACCTGCTCAATGAGAATCTTTAACTCCTTTATAGTTAATAATTACTATAATCATCAAATCTTAAAATAAAATTACCCCCAACAACCAGGGGTTCCACTTGAAGATCCGTTTATACTAAAGTGTAAATGACTATATGCATCTTAACAGAGCAAAAAGATGGCAAGAAAGGACAAGAGGGCACTCAGTGCCCAGAAGAGCAGGATGTGCGAAGCTAGATTTCAGAGAAAGTGGAAAGATACCAGTAAAGCACCCAAGACAAATGGCATATTTCTCAACTTATCAATAGCTAAGTAGCTATTGACAGTGGCTAAAGTAGCTAGAAATTACACTTTCTCCCCTAAAGCCTTCTTTTGGAAGTTGATAAGAAAACATAATTGCTATTTTTGCATATTTGGGACTGGCAGGATTTTGCTGCGCTCCAAAGAAAGGTAACCCCTTGACCAAATGTTTTGTTTTGGGGTTTCTTGGTGCGTGTGTGTGTATGTGTGTTTTCCTTATATGCTAATCCAACCCTGATTTCTCATAGACTGTCTTGCAATCCCATTATCTTGCCAGGCAAAATCACATAAAATTTAACACTGTAGGAGAAAAGGTCTTCAAAAGTCTAAATAATGACCAAATCATAAGGCCTAGCTAGGAGACGAGAAGCTCTAACTGCGAGCTAAGTGGAGGAGGCGTGGGCTTAAACTCAAGAAGAGGGATATTTAGGAAGAAATTAGTCTTGAGCGATTACAGATTGCTAGCAAGATGTTGCCAGCACAAATCAGCCTAGATGCTATAATCTACCTTTTCCTTAATTAATATCTTACACTTTTGAAGTGAGTGAAACTGCAAAGGGCTCTGCCAAGATTCCTCCCAGTTTACATAAGCCAAACTTGAGCTGGGTTGTGGATTTATTAGGCAGTGCTGTGAACATGTTTAATGCAGTCTTTATTTATTGAGCTATATAAATAGACTTGATACTAGTGTCGCCATCAATTCAGGAAGGATGCTTCCCTTCACATGGTCTCATGGTGGCTGTTAGGCATTTGCATGCTATTCATGATCATCAGAGCATTTTCACCTCTGCAACCCTCCTTTCCCCTGCTATCCCTCCTTCCCAATTCGCTAGATTTTGAGAATGTAGATCACCCAGATCATTAAAACAATATCAGGATTGCCTTATTAACTCTCTGTGATCTAGGAATTAAAGAGAAAAGAAGCATGAAGCATATTGCAGTGCTCTGAACGATTTTAATAAAGTATGTATTTACTTGGTAAACATTCAACCCACAGGGTCTAGCTCAAATGTCATGCTTCTCAACAGCTCTCTTTGCTTCTCCTTCCTGGACCTAATTGATTGTCCCATCTGTATTTCCACATCACTTTGTATCCATTCCCTCTGCAGCATGCAAATCTATTGAGGTTATTTGTAAATATATCTGTTATTCCACACAAATCCATGGATTCTTTGAGGACAAAACCACACCTTGGTCGTGTTTATATTTAAGAGTCTTTAAAAATAAAATTTAAAAACCACAAGAGTCTTTAAGAGTGCTTGAAATAATAACAATTGCATGTCAAATTGAAGTGAAATATGAGGTAACCATCTCACAATGCAAAGCCTTCCACAAAGTGCAGCTGCAATGCCCACGGGTACCCCAAGTCTCTAGTTGCTTTTGCTTATGTAGATGAGTTCTTAGAGCTGTATAGTTCAGAGACTCTAGGGATAATAGAGTTCTAACATTTGTCACTAGCAAAAGCCCTCCACTTTGCCCTTGAGTCATTAAACCAAGAATTTATTCAGTGCTGCTTAATATAGGTTTGGAATGTAGATGCTATAAAAGGTATCTTCTTTATTCCTAAAGACGCAGAAAGAAATGGGCCAGTTGCGGTGGCTCACATCTGTAATCCCAGCACTTCAGGGTGGGTGGGTCACTTGAGGTCAAGAGTTTGAAACCAGCCTGGCCAATATGGTGAAACCCTGTCTCTACTAAAAATAAAGAAATTAGTCAGGCTGTTGGTGCACACCTATAGTCCCAGCTACTCAGGAGGCTGAGGCAGGAGGATCACTTGAAGATTACAGTGAGCCGAGATTATGCCACTGTACTCCAGCCTGGGTGACAGAGAAAGACTCGGTCTGAAAACCAACAAAATGAATGAAAGGGATCTGATTTTTTGAACATCTACTCAACAATGTGAGGTGCTGTGCTAGGACTTTATAAACATTATTCCATTTAATCTCCTCAACAACTGCAAGGTAAGTACTGTCAACGTCATTTTTCAGATCAGAGAGGTTAAATAACTGTGTTGAGGTGATGGATTCTCACTCAGGTTGGCCTCCCTTCAAGGCCCACTGTATAAGGCACAGTCTTTAGAGTCCTACTGATGTACCACTGAGTTTGATCTTTAGCCTGGAAAATTCACTTCACCTTTCTAGGTCACAATCACTGCATCAGTAAAATGGAAATTTTTTTTGACAAATGGTAATGTAATCTTTTAAGAAACCCATGAAACCCTAAGGCCTATCAGTCTAAATCCATTCACGGAAATATGAATAATTAGCATGAACTAAGTATTGTGAAACAGAAGAGAGAATGTATTTAGGTGCCTAACCCACCATATAAACCATAAGTGATGCAAGAATTCAGAGAAAGTGAACATGCATACAAGCTATTGTACTCAAAGAAGGCTCCCTGAAACAAGCAGGTCTTAAATTGGGACTTAAAGGATGAATGACATTTGGAAAGACAAGTAGATTGAGCATAGGGAGAAAAATGACTTAAAATGAA
Organism: Homo sapiens; assembly: GCF_000001405.40. NCBI lineage: Eukaryota > Metazoa > Chordata > Mammalia > Primates > Hominidae > Homo > Homo sapiens. Next base: position 113,793,719 of record NC_000010.11, read on the forward strand.
CATAATAGTGAAGAGACACTGCACATAAAAATAATGAAAACTACCATCTGTTGAGTGATTACAGCAGGAAGCGAGCCAAGCCCTCTGTAAGCATTGTTTCACTTAATCCTCCCAATAATTTTTATAAGGTTGGGTGTTGGATTATTCCCATTTTACTGATGGGGAAACTAAAGATCAGAGAGGTCATACAGTTATTAAGTTGTAGAACTAAGATCTAACTCCACATTCTTGTCTAACTAGGAAAGACAGTCCATGTTGGAGAGAGGTTATGGAGAGGAATATGGGAAGTCCAGATGGTTTCTACAGTCACTGGGATTTATCAGTCTATGTGAACTAATTTTCCCCACAAAATGTTAACAGATGCAACATCTCACCCAGATTCCTAAAACTTGCCCTACCCTTTGATGGAAAAACAAATCCCACTCATTTGTCTTGACTTTCTCTGGGTATCACTGAAACATTTCATTTTTGCCAATGTCAATAGACGTCATGTTTTGTTTGTCATATCTTGATGTCAACACAAAATCAAGGTGGTTTCCAGTACCTACTTTTCTTCCCACTTGAAAATTATCCTTTCTTCTCCTTTTTAAAGTTAATATCCAAAAACCTTTTAACTTAATAACTTGTCTATTATTTCATGTTGAGAGAACAATAATGACAGGCTGGCTGGTCAACGAATCAGCAGATTTATTTCCTTAATTTCATCTGACAGATGGCAGCCACATGACATACTTTCCAGAGACACATTTCCCAAAAATTCTTCAGAGGAAGATAGTTATTTGAGGTCTTTGTTTTGCAGTCAAAATTTATTTTAATCCCATTATGCTTAAAAAAGTGTTCCACATTTGATTATTGTTATAATCTTAGACTCATTCTCTTGTGTGCCTATTGATATTTGTCTCTTTCTATCTTTCTCTCAGGATTTTTAATCCTTTGTTCATTTCTTTGAGCCCTTAAACAAATACAACTCTTTCTGCATGATATTGTATCAGAGAATGTCTAGGCTAGAAGCTTGGGTTCTATCATATTTTCAGTCCTTGTGCCCCAAGCAGTTCAAGAATTTAAAGCTAGACCTCTAATATAGAAATGACATGATCTAAAAAAGTCACTTCCCTCATTGTCCTTCACAAAATAAAGCAATCAAATCCTGTGACTATGTGACTTCAGGGTTCTGGAAGTGATCTGGCTTCAAAGTAAGCCAACATTGGTTATTGTCTTTTAGGTTGAGAAAGAACTACTTTTCTCATCACCACCATGGCTTGAAGCATCCACACCTGCTTCTGTTCATCTATAATGGCAGTCAGTCTACTTGTCACCCAGCTTCTCAGTATAAATGCTGTGCCTTCAAGGTCGGGGTCCCCAGCAGTTAGTGGGAGTTTCTGCCTCGAGTGCATGGTACGAGGGAATCACTTAAAGACTCAGGGACCATCAGGTGAAGCTGCTACCGTTAAACGCTCTGTTGATTTTCTTGGGATGCCAATTATTAAAGACTAAATGAATATTTAGGAAAAACGTATGTCTTTTCAGATGGGAAAATTCTGGATCCCATCACTCTAGACACGAAGATTGCCACTTGGAAAGGAAGCAAAGTGTATAGAAAGTTAGCATTCAAAAACACTGCAGTGACTTTAAAGAATGTGGACTGATAGGACAGGGGAAGGTGTAGTGAGGAGGTGGAAAGTGCATTCACTGTACCCACTCCTTGAGTGCCCAACTGCCCCTGGTGCCATCCTATGAAAATTCAGCCATGAAGTCTCCCCTGCTGTGTGACATGAGCCCTGCTTAGGTGGGGGCAGCACAGGGCAAACTTAGCCAGTAAGTGTCAACCTACCTGACTCTCATATCGAAATGCTTATTAACCACAGTATCTTAATACAACATAAATCCACTGTAAAACCACATGGGAAAGCATGCAGCTAGCACTTCCTTAGAAAATGACAGGCAGGTAGAGAGGAATTGTGCAGCATTTCCCATATGTTAACTGATTTTCATTTCAGGTCTGGAAATAAAACCAAACTTAATCATTGTGGCAGGACTGAATAACAATATGTCTATGTGTTCAGCGCTTATGTCGTTCCTTTCCCAGAATAAAATTTGCCAAGAAAAATAGAAAGCTATGCTTAAAACGTAAGTTGCCTATTCCAACACAACTCTATAAGTATGCACTGAATACCCACTATGCACAAGACACCCTGAAGACATAAAGACACATTAAATATAACCCCTCTTTCTATTGCCATCTCTGGCATTGCAAACTGTCAAGGTGAGCACGTGGCTGCACATACAGGGGCTGAAGATTTGGTAAAAACAAAATCAACATCAAAACCAAATTCCCTTCCTTAATCCCAAATTGATGAAACCTGAAAATAGGAATAAGCTCTAAGTACTAAGTGCTCTTTAGCTTTGGTAAGTTGTCCACAATTTTAGTTTTGTCTACTTGCTAGCCAATTTGTATCAGTTTAAGAAAAGCCGTTCACTCAACAAATATTTCTAGGACCAATCACATTCCAAGTACTAATCAAGGCACCAGAACTGTAAGAGTTCGAGACCATCCTGGCCAACATGGTGAAACCCCATCTCTACTAAAAATACAAAAATTAGCCAGGCGTGGTGGCGCGTGCCTGTAGTCCCAGCTACTCAGGAGGCTGAGGCAGGAGAATCGCTTGAACCCGGGAGGCAGAGGCTGCAGTGAGCCGAGATCACACCACTGCACTCTGGCCTGGCGACAGAGCAAGACTCCATCTAAAAAACAAACAAACAACAACAAAACAGACCAAAGAAGTAAAAAAATTGCTGATCTCATGGAGCTTACATTTTGGTAAAATCATCAATTCCAGCATAAAAATTATAATAATAGATCTGTTTTCCACACAAAGTTCTTAGAAGCTATATATTTCCTGCCAATTATTTTAGGGACTTTTTAATGACTGACATCTGAATTGAAAATTAATAGTGAGGCCGCGTGCAGTGGCTCACGCCTATAATCCCAGCACTTTGGGAGGCCGAGGCAGGTGGATCACTTGAGCTCGAGACCAGCCTGGCCAACATGGCAAAACATCATCTCTACAAAAAATACAAAAATTAGCCAGGTGCGGTGGCATGCACCTATAGTCCTAGCTACCCTGGAGGCTGAGGCAGGAGACTTGCTTGAGCCCGGGAGGTGGAGGTTGCAATAAGCCAAGATTGTGCCATTGCACTCCAGCCTGAGCAATGGGAGGGAAACCCTGTCTCAAAAAAAGAAGAAAGAAAGAAAAGAAAGAAAAAGAAGAAAGAAAAGGAAGGGAGGGAGGGAGGGAAGAAGGAAGGAAGGAAGGAAAGAAAATTAATAGTGTACTTATGCTAAAATTAAGTATAATTATGCTATGGACTAAATACACATATTTTAAATTAATCATCTAAAATTTTTCAATAGATTTAACATACTGATAACATCAAAACCCTTTTGTGAATTTGCTGTTATTCCTAAAATCTTGGGTCTTGCTAGACTGGGTTTCTGCTGCCAGCATAATCTTGCCTTTCTCCTTTTTTGTCTGACAAATGTAATCTTTTGAATAACTTGTCTTTGTCCTGAGAAATAGCAGTCCCACATGAGTACCCTTGTAAAGCCTCCAAATATTTTTTTGCTTCATAATTTTGCTGTATTTCTGCAAGGCGGTTGGAATGGATCAGACATTTCCTAGTGACATCTTTTGGAATAAAGAGCTCTGGAATTTAACATTCAAATGACAGAGTGCACAGTTTGAAAAAGGCAAGAAATTGGTTTAAAATCTGCAGAGGTTTGCATTTATCAAGAGAACTAAAATGAGAGTATTGTCACTAATGAGTTCAACAGCGGGGTTCCCAAGGCAATGGAATATTGGTGACCACCAAAACATCTGAAGTTAGTCCCACCCTCCCCATTTACTCACTGTACAACACTGAATATGTTTTAAGTTCTCTATGTCTCACCTTGATTTTAAACCTGTCTGCCCTCCAAATAACGAAACTTCCCTTCCAAACAATTTGGTGATGTTTAAATCCAGTAAACTGGATTTCCGTGAGTAATCCTGTTTAGTTTTAAATAGTTTAAATAGGTATGACAATTCATTTTAGTGATAATATTTTGGTTGAGATTGACACTAATCTCAGGAATTTAAAACTAGCTGTTTACATTTCAGTATCGAAGGGCGCTGAAATGGTTTCCTTCCATGTACAAAATAATTTTAACAGAAATTTTAAAAATCACATTATCCCCCTAGGTCTGTTGTAAATAATCAGAATTAGAATCTTAATCTAATCAAGTATGGCTAAAAATACTCACCAAAGACATAGCCATTGTTCTAAACCTCTAATTTTAATTAATATTGAGAAATTCACCAGGACAATCATTTAATCTTCTAGATAAAATAAGGGTGAGAGATTGGGCTAGTGGGTTGTTTTCAAATTATTTCAAGATCACATCTCTCTAGTTTTGTAACTCATTTCTTCAGCCATGGAAATAATTACATGATATTTTTAGAACTTAAACCAAGTTGAAATCAGGCAATAAAACCGAAAACAACTGAATTTACTCTGCCTTTCTTTCATGTTGCCTTAATTTTTGTAAGGTTAGTATTTACTGGAAATCTTTTAAGTTCAGTGAAAATTTCAGATCCATCTTGTTCAAGAATTGCTTATGTTCTATTATATTATTTCCCCAAAAAGTTACCATTGGGGCTAACAGTGACAAGTCTCTCTCATCAGACTGAAAAATCACTCCTTAACAAGATTGTGAATTTTGTGTGGTGTTCCTAAAAGTTTTAAAGCTCAAAGTCTAAAAGCCAAAAGCTACTAAGAGGGTTTTTTGTTGTTGTTTGGTTGGTTTGTTGGTTAGTTGGTTTTGATTTTGGTTCTGTTTTTCCAGAAAGCTCACATAGTTAAGGAGAAAATGCCACAGCTTCGGTGTCCCTAGTTCCAGGTGGCTCAGCAAGTCAGAGGTACAGGCAATGATTAAAAAAAAACTGACATTCTCTACTGACAACATGGAAAGCATTCCAACAATTATGAGAATCTATTAGAATATGCACATCACATTTCCATTTGGGCTACTTGAGATTGGGGTTAGCTGGGGTCTAGGGGCGCTTCCTGACCCTCAGACCTACAGAATATCTCCTGGGAAAACAGGATTGATGCTTGCTTATTTTATTAGATATTCTTTGGATCATTTGTTAAATTCACTTCCAAGAATATCAAACCCTTATGTCCCACTCATTTGAAATATGTAAAAATACATAGGATCTGTACATAATGTATTGTGTGTGTATAAAGCTTATATTATTTTCTTCTGCAAATTTTCAGTTTTCCTCATGATTAGACAGAAATTCAATCTCAAATAAATTGCCTTTTCAATCTATCTGCTTACAAAGTAATCAAGCTTCTGATTTTTTAGTCTAACTTCAATGTGGAAAAGGGATGCAACATTTATAGGAACATTAATATAAAATACAAGCCTACTTCTTTCTGAATTATACCTTTTTCAGAACTCATTTTATTTTTAGTACTTGTTTATATCATAGCTTATAATATGAAATGTGGAAAAAATAATAAAGCTGATTTACTTTAGGGTGTATTCCTGTTTAATCATGAGGAAAATCCTGAAAGACTGCAAATAATTGATTTCAATTTTTTAATCCATAAAAAGCACATAGAGTTGGAGTGAGTTATATTAACAGTATAAAATGAGTTGGAGAACTCATCTAGATATGACCAAATTGAATGCAGATTTTCCTTGGTTACATTAACTTTCCCATTATCTGTACTAGTTAGACTTGATTGTTTAGGCCAGTGGGTCTCACTGGCTACATATTACGTATTAACTCTCTGGTGAACTTTTCAGAAAATACTGGTGATCGTTTCCAAATTAAATGAATCTGAATCTCTAGGGGTGGGACTTGGGCATTAATACTTTTGAAAATGTCCCATATGATTCTAATATGCAGCTGGAATTGAGAATCACTTAAGTTTTACAGAGAGTCTGACCCAAGGAACACGAATGATCTTGTGGCTTATGTTCTGGAAGATGCCACTGCAGATGTACTACCAGCAGATGGCAGAAGAGGGAAATTAAAAACAGGCCGGACGCTAGCCCTGATTAAGAAGCACACCGGACACCAAAAGGAATCTTTAAGGACTGAAGAATTTCTTAAAATTATTCTCAAGGATTGGTGTGGAGTTTTCTGGCTTTTCCTGAAATTCATACTTGGGTCTGATATTTGGGAAGTTCAATGCATGCAACCGAGGCAAGGTATGTGAAAGCCTGGAAAAGTATGGGGAAGAAAAATGTCACTGAATAAAGGATTTCTTCTTTCTTGAGGACTTTTTTGTTTTGAGATGTAATTTTCACTCTTGTCACCCAGGCTGGAGTGCAGTGGCATGATCTCAGCTCACTGCAACCTCTGCCTCCTGGGTTCAAGTGATTCTCCTGTCTCAGCCTCCCAAGCAGCTGGGATTACAGGCACCTGCCATCGCTCCCGGCTAATTTTTGTATTTTTAGTAGAGATGGGGTTTCACCATGTTGGCCAGGCTGGTCTTGAACTCCTGACCTCAGGTAATCCACCCATCTCAGCCTCCCAAAGTGCTGGGATTACAGGTGTAAGCCACTGTGCCCAGCCCTCTCGAGGACTTCTTTACCTCCAAAGAATGCAAAGTTATTAGGAGAAATATATCTATTTATCTATTCTTATAGTATGCATAAAATATAGATATTTATATAGATATAGATATGGTGATATATATAGATATATATGATGTTTATGTAGAGATATATGGAGATTTTTTGATATATGTATATATTATAGAATTATTAAATCAAATAATTGATGTATCCATCACCTCACATACCTAGCATTTTTGTGATGAGAACATTTAAAGTCTACTCCCGTAGCAGTTTTCAAGTATACTATCTATATATTGTTATTGATTATAGTCACCATGCTGTATAATAGATTTCCAGAACTTATTCCTCCTAACTGAAGCTTTGTACTCCTTAACCAGCATCTCTATCTGTGTTTATGTCTGCATTTATCTGTGTTTAAAATCATCAGCACTTTGGAAAGAATCACGGAATTTTAAGTTAAAGGTAGAGGACTCTTGATGCCATGAAAATGTGATCTTGAGCAGATTAATCTCCATAAATCTCAGTTTTTTCCTTTGTAAACTAGGGTTTAGATGAGAAAATAATGGAAATGCAAACGACTTTTATAATGTTCAAGTGCACCAGTGTTAATTATTTTCTTTTTCTTTTTTCTTTTTTTTTTGAGATGGAGTCTTGCTCTGTTGCCCAGGCTAGAGTGCAGTGGCGAGATCTCGGCTCACTACAACCTCCACCTCCTGGGTTCAGGTTCTGCCTTAGCCTCCCAAGTAGCTGGGATTACAGGCACCTGCCACCATGCCCGGCTAATTTTTGTATTTTTAGTAAAGACAGGGTTTCACCATTTTGGGCAGGCTGGTCTTGAACTCCTGACCTCATGATCCATCCACCTTGGCCTCCCAAAGTGCTAAGATTACAGGCGAGAGCCACTGCGCCTGGCCTATTTTCTTTAATTCAAGTTGGCTTTCAGGTACACTGGAATTTCAGGGGAAATCCCCTAACAATAATTTTTTTGAGGGTCTTCCATGTGGAGAGGCCTAAACTAAGGGCTGTTATTTAATGGGAACCCTGGTGCATTATCAAGTGTGGCTAAGAACACTCACCCAAAACGTAGCTATTGTTCCAAATACCTGTGCATGCCCTGACTTTTTCTTGGTGTTTCAAGAACTAGCTAATAGGAGTTAAGGTTCAATTAAAGTTACTTAAATGTGACTAAAATAGGACATTAACTTTTCAGCAACTGGAAAGAAGACTGCTGCATTTCCGAGTGCTGGCTTCTGGAGAGCAGCCGAGTTTTAAAATGTTTATATCCCCATGTCCGCCTGCCCCAAAGGCTTAATAAAGATTCTGGTTGGAATTAAATTTACAATATGGTGACTGGACATTTCATTCCAATAAAATCCCCTTAGAGTATTGTATTTCATCCATGTAAATATCTACAATTTGCAAACATCTGTCCCTACGCTAACAAATTGCAAAAGAGTTGATGATATTTGGCCTCCCAAGAGCTCACAGACTTGTTTACGAATTGCATTCAGTATTATTTTCCAGTGCTGCAGTCAAAATTGTGAGTCTCAGCCATCAACGGCCTGGGCATTCCATGACACATAGCCTCATACTGATAACACTGTGTGGTGCCTTCACTCCCCAACTGCACTCTAGTTACTGAGGAGCAGGTACCAAGACTCTGTCTCACTCATAGCAGGCACTCGAAGCTTCTCTATAATACATGGCGTGCTGGGATTGGACAGAGTATGGGAGGCCATCCAATCTAACGTTCTCATCTACAGAATGAGGTTTAAGGACCCCAGGAAGTTGAAAGACTTGCCCAAGTTGACTCAGTTAGTAGCAAAATAAGAACTTGAACCTAGGACTCCTAACTTCTAGATCTGTTGTTTGAATCAATAGGGAGCACTGAGAAGCTCGAAGATGATCTGGTGATTTCAAAGGCTGCTGTTGAAAAGGAGTAAAGGATGTGGAGTCCTTCTTCTTCCCCTCCTGGTTCTCTGCAGGCCCCCTATGATGGAAGAACACTAAGCTACACGTCTGAGTAGAACAAACAAAAGCAGAGTAGCAGCATTTGGGAAGAGACAAGGATATGGGGAGAAAGTGGGAGACTTCTTCTAACCCAGCCTGCTTCTAGGAACTTTCTTAGCTGGTCCAAACCTGGTTCTGGAAAGAAAAGAACAAACTGGTTTACCAAAGCTCTGAGTAAGGGCTATCAGGACAGCTGCACAGGTTGGTCTGGGTTTGGCTAAGTGAGATGACTGGGGCAAGGCTTTGTAAGTAATAAAGCAGTAGATGAGCAAGAGGAAGATTAATGTCAGTCATTTATTTTAATCCAAAAAAGGCTTGGCTTTCATTGTACTGTTGGAATTTGGAGTCAGAACAAAACAGTACCAAGAATGTTACAGAATCCAATCAATCTTGGCTTTTAAAATGCAGAATGGCTTCACTGCTATTTTTCTTTTTCTCTTTCTCTGTCTCTCTTTATCTTTCTTTTCTCTTTCTTTCTTTCTTTGAGACAGGGTCCCACTCTGTCATGAAGGCTGGAATGGAGTGGTGTGATCACAGCTCACCGCAGCCTTGATCTTCCCAGCTCAAGAGATCCTCCTGCCTTAGCTTCCCCAGTAGCTGGGACTACAGGCACATGCCACCACGCCCAGCTAATTTTTGTATTTTCTTTTTTTTTTTTTAGAAATGGGATCTTACTATGTTGCCCAGTTGGTCTCAAACTCCTGGGTTCAAGCAATCCTTCCACCTCGGCCTCCCAAAGTGTTAGGATTACAGGCATGAGCCACCACATGTGGCCTACACTGTTATTTCCATCACGAGAGAGACCCAGCTTGCTATCAGTGAAGTTCCCTTGCTACTTCCTCATTCCACGGTACATAGGAAGTATGTATCTCTTATTGGATTCACGTCCACACATGGTTAATCTTTCAAAGGCTGACAAAACACACAAACAGAAGAACAGCTTTGCAAGTAGTTCTTGTTTAATGTAATCATTTGGGGCATTCTGGCACTGGGAAGTTTACAAAGTTAAATATCAATTTCAGTTCTGTTGCTTGATTCATGACAAGAAATCTCTGAGGTAGTAAAGACAGGAAAACAACACTGGGGTTGTAATTCATGTCTCCCTAGCACAAGACCTAGCATGGATATGCTGGCACAACGCCTGGCAAAAAGACAATTAGAGGAACAGCTAACCTGAGTGTGTTACTGAGGGTCTAAACTGAAGGCTGTGCTTATCCCCAATCATGGGGCTCAGGAGCCAGAATTTAATCATGCAAAAAGCCAAATATCAGATATGGATAGAGTGACCACGTAAAGTTAAAATGCAAGTTAGCTCAGGCACATGGATTTAGTGCCTAAAACAAAATAAATCCAGGCCTGAAGAACTGAGAACTCAGCCAAAGACTGGGGAAAGATGGATGATTCTTCTTTGAATAGAAAAACTGCAAATACTAATGACCTCCCAGGCATTTGTGCTAGAATTAGTCTTAAATTTCTATAAGTAATTCAGAATTGAGATCTCCAAGTTTGCACATCACGATACGTTTTCTAGAGAAGCAGAATGTCAAGCTACTAAGAATAAATGGCAAAACAGCTCACTAAGTTCTGAGAGCGGCCAGAATAGAAGTAGAAAATTTCAAGGTAAGCAAGAGAACAAGGAAATCACACTTAAATAATTATGGGATTCAGCAATCCCTGTGAGTTATCCTTATGGAGTTTCCTGTGAGCTCAAAGTACTGGAACTAAAAACAAACGCCAACTAAATGTAAAGCATCCTCAGAAAGGGATATGCAAGCTAAACTCTGTAAATTACAGTGTATCTAGAATCTTTGAAACAATTTCAATTGCCACATTCCAAGGCTCATTGGAGAGGAGTCAGAATGCCTCTGAAGGGTCTGAATGGAATTGGGAGCGCGGGCTGCCATATCAAGATTCCTCAGGATGAAAGCTTGGAGGGGCCTTCAACATGACATTCTGTAAAGTGGGAGCATGACTAGGGAAGGTCAGAGCAAACATTCCAGGGTGCTGATTGCACCTGCTCTGTGCTAAACACCTAGCACACATGAATCTTCTCACTTATAATGTAGTGGCTCCATGGAGTGAAGACTAATTAGTAGCTTATTTTATAGAAGGAACTAAGGTGTAGAGGAGTTAAATAACCTTCTACTAAGGGGTAAGAATTCCAACCAAGGCTGTTTGACTCCCAAGCCACTGATGACACTAAACTGCTTTTCTTTAGTGTTTTTATAAAATGTTGATTTCCTTTCTTCCAGGAGTCCAAACCAGCCATTAGTAATCAGTGGCTCCTTTTTGATTTGTGCTTGGGTAATTGCACTCCTTCTGCATCCCCTCCTCCTATCCTCAACAATTTCTCTTCAAAAGGTACAAAAGGGGTTGCTCTCCCTTCTTCTTGCAATGCTCCCGAGAAAGAGAAGACACTGAGACACTGAGATTGGGTAGAGACACAGTAGAGCACTAGTGATATTTTGAAAGTGTAATTTGAAAGAAGTGAATTTAGGATAAACAAATTTCTGAATTTCTAAAAAAAAAAAAAAAAATCGAGAAACTCCTCATTCCATGGGGAGGTGCAGGTTGAAAACAGATGAGTTTAAGAAAGTTTTAAATAAGTTTTTGAGTCAATGATATATCCAAATGGCTTATTCGAGGACATGGGGAATGTCAGAGGGACATCTCTAATCCTTTGGAAATGTATAGTGTTGAAATTGAAATCACATCCCTCAGTGTTACCATCAAAGGTCATTTTTACACTGCATGAATTTAGAGGCTAGCCTAGTTGGAAAATTTTTACTTAGCTTTCTTTAGGATCCTGAGCATCAACAATTTTGGGCAGAGAGTATATAAAAAAACAAACAAACATGTAGTTAACCACTCCGAAATTCTGTAGCTATTTTATGACAACATTTTCCGTTGTTTCCATTCATTGGAGTCATATTTTCCTCCTCATGCATTTCTTTTGATAATGTTTTACAGACATTGCTGATTGACATTTATTATCTGAATGTCTCCTTCCCAGACTGAAGTATGATCTTCGTTAGCCATAAGCAGTCAGCAAGCATCTCCTATGACTTGGGGTCCTGGGCTAGTTGCTGGCTACCTTTTCAGTTATTCCCAAAGTGTGGTCATTGCTTTAAGAATTCATTTATTTCAAAATAATACAAGGTCTACTCAATTAGTAGCAACAAAGAGTCAACCAACCCTAAAAATCAAGATAACAACAAAATAGGGACTATTACATTTTCCTCTTATTCTTTTTATTTTATTTTGAGACAGGGTCTTGCTCTGTCACCCAGGCTGGAGTGTGATGGCACAACCTAAGCTCACCGCAACCTCTGCCTCCCAGGTTCAAGCAATTCTCCCACCTCAACCTCCTGAGTAGCTGGGATTACAGGCATGTGCCACCATGCCCAGTTAATTTTTACATTTTTATAGAAACAGGTTTTCACCATGTTGGCCAGGCTGGACTTGAACTCCTGGGTTCAAGTGATCCACACATCTCGGCCTCCCAAAGTGCTGGGATTACAGGCGTGAGCCACTGCACTGGCCTTATTCTATTTTTCTTTATTGCAAATTTTGAGAAACAAGTTTGTATCTGGAATATGTGGATCAGGTTACTCCCAGTGTATTCTGTTAGCACTCTATCACCCTTAGCATAAAACTCAACTTCTTTGCTATAGTCAGCCAGGTCCTGTACAATAACATCGCTTCCAGCATCGTCACTGTCTCCAGAGCGCCCACACTCCACCCATACTGGTTTCCGTTTGTACCTCAAATGCTTCAAGCTTTTTTCCCCCACAGCAAGCTGTTTGTACATGCTGTTCCCTCTTCCTTTCCAGCTTTTTCTTCCTCTGCCTTTGCCAGCTAGATCTTTCTCATTTATTGCCTCTTTAGAAAAACCAAAATGCAAAACAAAAATACATGTATGGGGCCAAGAGGTGAGCACTATTTCCCAAAACTTATTAGGATTGAGTAATAATGGAAAACAGTTTAGCAACATAAACCTTTATAAATAAAAAGCAGAGAGCTGTCTTAAGTTTTTAATCATTCATCTCAATTATTTATTTAAAACAGCTTATTTTTGATAAACTGCAGTTTGGTTTAAGTTTAAATAAATACGAGTCTTCTACTCCCACCCATGAAAAATGAAGTCTAACAGGTGATTAAGGAGTATAAAATAGGCTGGGTGCTGTAGCTCATGCCTGTCATCCCAGCACTTTGGGAAGCTGAAGCAGAAAGATCACTTGAGCTCAGAAGTTTGAGACAAGCCTGGGCAACATAGCAAGACCCCCATCTCTACAAAAAATACAAAAATTAGCTGAGCGTGGGGGTGCACGCCTGTGGTTCCAGCTACTCAAGAGGCTGAAGCAGGAAGACGGCTTGAGCCCATGAACTGGGGGCTGCAGTGAGCCATCATCGCACCACTGAACTTTAGCCTGGGCAACAGAGCAAGACCCTCAACCCATACCAAAAAAAAAAAAGGAATATAAAATAGAAAACACAGGAGCTTTTTTGTTTGTTTCTTTTTTGCCTTGGGTTATTCTCAGATGCCAGGTTTTCAGGTGTGTTTGGTGATATTTTATCTTTCACCACATTGTTAGCTGGATGGTCCTCTCCCCTGATGCTTCCTTCCCTCCCCTCCCCTGTGTGGGTCATTTATGATCATCTTCTAGGAGCTCCTGCATATTAAGCCACAGGAGAGAAAACCCAGCAGCATGGGTTCCATGACGAGGCTATGCCAGCCACCTGGCTGGGCACTAAATCTCAATGTCTTTCCACCTCATAATACTATTAATACTATTAAAAGTTGGCTGTGGCCGGACACAGTGGCTCAGGCCTGTAATCCCAGCACTTTGGGAGGCAGAAGAGGGCAGATCACTTAAAGTCAGGAGTTCAAGACCAGCCTGGCCAACATGGTGAAACCCCATTTCTACTAAAAACACAAAAATTAGCTGGGCATGGTGGCGCGTGCCTGTAGTCCCAGCTACTCAGGAGGCTGAGGCACAAGAATCGCTTGACCTGGGAGGATGAGGTTGCAGTAAGCCGAGATCATGCCACTGCACTCCGATCTAGGTGGCAGAGCGAGACTTCATCTTAAAAATAAATAAATAGGCCAGGTGCGGTGGCTCACGCCTATAATGCCAGCACTTTGGGAGGCCAAGGCGGGTGGATCACAAGGTCAAGAGATTGAGACCATCCTGGTCAACATGGTGAAACCCCGTTTCTACTAAAAATACAAAAATTAGCTGGGTATGGTGGTGTGCACCTGTAGTTCCAGCTACTCGGGAGGCTGACGCAGGAGAATCACTTGAACCCAGGAGGCAGAGGTTACAGTGAGCTGAGATCGCGCCACTGCACTCCAGTTTTAATTCCTTATTAAAACTTTGTTTCAGGTATATCATCTTATTTATACATGTTTATATTCTTAAGCTCCCAGCAGATGAGGCTCCCAAATCTTATTCTTTAGAGACCTGTTATGCTGGTATCTTTTATGCTGTCTGTGGCGTAGCAATGCAGAAGCTTTTTCCTCTTTCGGTATTTGCACATACATATTTCTTTAATATTTCAGGAGGCTTAGAGCTAAGCAACACCCACATTTCTTGCCTGATGATTCAGGTGCTAAAAAAAAAACTGCTAAATTTTCTGTGTTTTTTTCTTTTTCTTTTCTTTTTCTTTTTTTTTTTTTAAGTCTTGCCGAATTAAGCAGAACTAAATTTTATCTTTTACAGGGAGAAAAACAGAGTTCTGGGACCTACGGATTAAAGCAGATTCTCGAATTTTTTGTTGGCATCAAGAAACATCTGAAGGCCTTGTCTCTTTCAAACAAAAGCAAAAAAGCCCTGCAGATTACAAATTCCCAGGTCCCACTCCTAGAGATGCTGATTTCGGCTCAGGAATTTGTCTATTTTTTTTAAAGCTAGGGCCCTAGGTAATTCTGAGAAAGACTCACAGACTATGCTCTGAGAAACCTTAGAATGAAGATGAGTGGTTTCAGGTATTCTCACCTAATTGTCCAGCTGCCATCAAGGGTAATTTCGGTCTGAGCTCAGAAAGAAACCCACACAAGTCCTTCTGTGAGTGAACTGAATATTCTACAATAAGTGGTTTTAGATGCCTTGGGAAGAGAGAAAGGCAAATGTTTTGTTTCAAAAAAGTAGCCTTATTTCACACTCTACCGTCTTGTTCTTCTTGTCCTCTTCTTCTTCCTTTTCTTTTGCCTTCTCTTCCTCATCTCCCTTATCCCCCTCTTCTTCCTCTTCTTCCCTTTCTTCTTCCTTTCTTCCTCCTTCTTCTTTTTTGGTTCATTTGGGCAAATGTTATTTTCTCCTCTCCTTATCCAATCTCCTTTTTCAGAGGCTGAAGTGAAGTCTGCCACAAAACTCTTAAGAAGATGAGGTAGGTACGTCTCTACTGCTAGCAGAACTTAAAGGTAGGACTCAGAACTTAAGAGACCACTCTCTGCAGAGTCCTGGAATTGGCTGGGAATAAATCACCTTTCTTATTTTTCAAGACGAATCTGATAGGCATGACGTAAAATAGTGGAGAAATTCAGGAATGCACCATTGCTTGGATCCTAGCAAAGGAGCATTGCTCTCTATCCCACTCCATACACCATAACAGGAACAGGCAAACAGGTGGCAGTCCGTGGAGTGCCACTACATTCAAACAAGTTCAAAGCCATCACACACAGGAGCTAAGGAAGAGGCTGCCACAAGATTCTCAGGCAGCCCCAGTAGTATCCTCTAGGAACTGATTATCAGGATTAGCACCCAGAGTATAACTCATAGCCTAGGAAGGGAGCAGTGCTTTTGAAGGAGCCATTGGGGAATGGGAGGGTAGCAAGACTAATTTAAGAGATTGTGCGCTGGGCACGGTGGCTCATGCCCGTAATCCCAGCACTTTGGGAGGCTGAGGCGGGTGGCTTGAGGTCAGGAGTTCAAGACCAGCCTGGCCAACATGGTGAAACCCTGTCTCTACTAAAAATTCAAAAAACTCTGGGAGTGGTGGTGGGTGCCTGTAATCCCAGCTACTCAGGAAGCTGAGGCAGGAGAATCGTTTGAACTCGGGAGGTGGAGGTTGCAGTGAGCCAAGATGGTGCCACTGCACTCTAGCCTGGGTGACAAGAGGGAAACTCCATCTCAAAAAAAAAAAAAGAGAGAGAGAGAGAGATTGTGAACACAGACAAAACTATTTACAAACAAGTTCCTTCATTCTTTTGTCGGTGAAGCAAATCTGCTGCCTGTTAGTCTTGACGCTGTCATCTGAGCGGACGGTTAGCAACATCTCTCTCACTGAACCAGGAAAGGGTGACAAAGTATCTCCATGGACCCCTTGAGGGATAAATGGGTGGGTTGAGGGAAGGAGTGCTCATTGTCTTTTGAACATTTAGCTGTTGGAAAGGGAAGAAAGGAGTTGCAAAAAATGGGTGAACAATGAACAGTGGGGTTTGAATCCCGGCAGTGTCTGTACTCACCTCCTTGTAGTCAGAGGTGCTGTCCTGGGAGAGAAAAGAGAACTTTTAACAACTACTCTTTTTTTTTTTTTTTTTTCGAGAAGTGGAATAGCTCTGTCCTCTGTGCCCTCACTAGGAGTCAGACCCCTGGATGGACTTGCCAGATAGGGAATTAACCCATTTTCCATCTGGGAACCTGGCTCTCCTACGACTAAAGAAGGTATCTGGAGTACATGGCAGGGAATGGCATGAAAGAGCGCTCTCCTGTGAGTAGGAGATGAGCAGTTCTTACTCAGGGTCACTCAGCTTCTATAGGTTTCAACTTCCGATTCTCCCTAAAGCCACATGAAACCTTCAAATGTATCCTTTCTGTTCATGTCTCTTGGGCCATCAATTTATTCTACGTGCAGGGGAGGAGCAGATACTGCGGTGTGTTTATTGTCCAACAGGAATCACCAAAGACATTCCATAGGCTGCTAAAAGGCTGTTCATGTGTTACACCACTAACTTGAATCTGGAAACTGCAGTTCTGAACTGTAAGCCATTGTTTGGCAACTGATGTAAGATACATAGGTTTCACCAAGTATTTGTATCAACACATTGCTAGTCAGAATGAATAATCTGTATTGATGGATGTGCTCAGTGCCTGTGTGCTCACCCTGGGAGTGCTGAAGAGTTAGTGTGCCGTGCTCTCTAAACTCTTTCACTCACTTACTACTGGGCTGCTCTGTTGCTGTCAGCTCACTGCCTCATTTTATGGTTAATACAACCATTTTACACTTTACACCACCATGAGGGATTGATTCTTCCACTGTTGTACCTCCAGGCCCCAAACCCAAGCTGGGGGAAGTTCTGCTGTTTTATTTTTTATCTTTTTATTTTTGAGACAGAGTCTTACTCTGTTGCCCAGGCTGGAGTGCAAAGGCATGATTTCAGCTCACTGCAACCTCCGCCTCCCGGTTCAAGTGATCCTCCTGCCTCAGCCTCCTGAGTAGCTGGGACTACAGGTGTGCACCACCACGCCCAGCTAATTTGTGTATTTTTAGTAGAGACAGGGTTTCACCATGTTGGTCAGGCTGGTCTTGAACTCATAGCCACTACACCCAGCCAGTTCTGCTGTTTATATATTATATCAAAAAGCATTAGATAAATACATATTAATAAGTAAAATAAACATATTAGCTCAAAACATTTTCTCACCTGACATATCTTAATATTATAGCATACATCCATTGTGATAATTAGCTTGAAAAATATGATCATGTCCAAGCCCTGGCAAACCATGCAATACTTTGAAAAAAAAAAATAGCAATGAAGCTAACAGACTCATAGAATCTTCCAGGCAGGACCTAAGATCAATTACTTCTCATTCTAGTGGAGGAAACTGAGATGCAGGATAGTGGACTAAGTTGCCCAGTGTCACAAAGTTAGTGGCAGAACCAGGCCTACCTAAATTATAGTCTCTGAACACTAAGTCAACAGCTTTCATTACTATACTGGCTGATTAAGCAATATCTCTTTTCAAAGAATACTAAATAATTAGAAGTTGTGTGATCATATCTATGGCCCGGGGACAGGGCCAAGATGGCTGACTAGAAGCAGCAGCATTTGCAGGCTCCCATTGGGAAAAAACATAATAAGCGTGTGAATCCTTCACTGACAACCAAGGTATCCAGGTTCTCTCATCAAAATTGACTAGAAGCTGGTGTGACCCACAGAGGGAAGGAAGAGCAGTGTGGTGTGGCAGCCCACCTGAGAGCCACACAGGGAAGGGGAACCCCCTCCCCCCAGCCAAGGGAGGCAGTGAGTGAGCGTGCTGCCCAGCAGGGAAAACTGTGCTTTTCTCACGGAACTGTGCAACCCACAGATCAGAAGAGCCCACTTGTGAACCCACACCACCGGATATTCAGGACTTTAACTCGGCTCTGGATCAAGTGGACCTAGTAGACATCTACAGAACTCTCTACCCCCAATCAACAGAATATACATTCTTCTAAGTGCCACATAGCACTTATTCTAAAACCAACCACATAATTGCAAGTAAAACACTCCTCAGCAAATGCAAAAGAACTGAAATCATAACAAACAGTCTCTCAGACCACAGTACAATCAAATTAGAACTCAAGATTAAGAAACTCACTCAAAACCACACAATTTCATGGAAATTGAACAACCTGCTCCTGAATGAATCCTGGGTAAATAATGAAATTAAGGCAGAAATCAAGAAGTTATTTGAAACCAATGAGAACAAAGAGACAACGTACAAGAATCTATGGGACACAGTTAAAGCAGTGTTAAGAGGGAAATTTATAGCACTAAATACCCACATCAGAAAGCTAGAAATATCTTAAATGGACACCCAACATCACAATTAAAAGACCTAGAAAGGCAAGAGCAAACTAATCCAAAAGCTAGCAGAAGACAAGAAATAACTAAGATCAGAGAAGAATTGAAGGAGATAGAGACATGAAAATCCCTCCAAAAAATCAAATGAATCTAGGAGCTGTCTTTTGAAAAAATTAACAAAATAGATAGACCACCAGTAGACTAATAAAGAAGAGAGAGAAGAATCAGATAGACACAATAAAAAGTGATAAAGGGGATATCACTACTGACCCCACAGAAATACAAACTACCACCAGAGAATACTATAATGCAAATAAACTAGAAAATCTAGAAGAAATGGATAAATTCCTGTATATATACACCCTAACAAGACTAAACCAGGAAGAAGTCAAATCTCTGAATAGAGCAATAAGAAGCTCTGAAATTGAGGCAGTAATTAATAGCCTATCAACCAAAAAAGTCCAGGGCCAGACAGATTCACAGCTGAATTCTACCAGAAATACAAAGTGGAGCTGGTACCATTCCCTCTGAAACTATTTCAAACAATGAGAAAGGAGAGCCTCCTCCCTAACTCATTTTATGAAGCCAGCATCATCCTGATACCAAAACCGGGAAGAGACACAGCAAAGAAAGAAAACTTCAGGCCAATATCCCTGATGAACATCAAAGCGAAAATCCTCAATAAAATACTGGCAAACTGAATCCGGCAGCACATCAAAAAACTTATCCACCACAATCAAGTTGGCTTCATCCCTTGGATGCAAGTCTGGTTCAACATACACAAATCAATAAATGTAATCCATCACATGAACAGAACCAAAGACAAAAACTATATGATTATCTCAATAGATGCAGAAAAAGCCTTTGAAAAAATTCAACATCCCTTCATGTTAAAAACTCCCAATGAACTAGGTATTGATGGAACATATCTCAAAATCATAAGTTGTTTATGACAAACCCACAACAAATATCATATTGAATGGGCAAAAGATGGAAGCATTCCCTTTGAAAAATGGTAAAGACAAGGATGACCTCTCTCACCACTCCTATTCAACATAGTATTGGAAGTTCTGGCCAAGGCAATCAGGCAAGAGAAAGAAATAAAGGTAATTGAATAGGAAGAGAGGAAGTCAAGTTGTCTCTGTTTGCAGACGACATGATTTTATATTTAGAAAACTCCATCGTCTCAGCGCCAAAACTTCTTGGAACTTATAAGCAACTTCAGCAAAGTCTCAGGATACAAAATCAATGTGCAAAAATCACAAGCATTCCTATACACCAATAATAGACAAACAGAAAGTCAAATCATGAATGAACTCCCATTCACAAATCTACAAAGAGAATAAAATACCTAGGAATACAGCTAACAAGGGATTTGAAGGACCTCTTCAAGGAGAACTACAAACTACTGCTCAAGGAAATAAGAGAGGACACAAATGGAAAAACATTCCATCCTTATGGAATAGGAAAAATCAATATTGTGAAAATGGCCGTGCTGTCCGAAAGTAATTTATAGATTCAATGCTGTTCCCATCAAACTACTATTGACATTCTTCACAGAATTAGTAAAAACTACTTTACATTTCATTTGGAATCAAAGAAGAGCACATATAGCCAAGACAATCCTAAGCAAAAAGAATAAAGCTGGAAGCATCACGCTACCTGACTTCAAACTATACTACAAGGCTACAGTAACCAAAATAGCAAGGTACTGATAACAAAATAGACATATAGACCAATGGAGCAGAACAGAGACCTCAGAAATAACACCACACATCTACAACCATCTGATCTTCGACAAACCTGACAAAAACAAGCAATGGGGAAAGGATCTTATATTCAGTAAATGGTGCTGGGAAAACAAGCTAGCCATATGCAGAAAACTGACACTGGACCCCTTCCTTATACCTCATACAAAGACTAACTCAAGATGGATTAAAGATTTAAATGTAAAACCCAAACCCATAAAACCCCTAGAAGAAAACCTAGGCAATACCATTCTGGACATAGGCATGGGCAAAGACTTCATGACAAAAATGCCAAAAGCAATTGCAACAAAAGCCAGAATTGATAAATGGGATCTACTTAAACTAAAGAACTTCTGCGCAGCAAAATAAACTATCATCAGAGTGAACAACCTACAGAATGGGGGAAAATTTTTGCAATCTACCCATCTGACAAAGGTCTAATATCCAGAATTTACAAGGAACTTAAACATATTTACAAGAAAAAAAAACATCAAAAGTGAACAAAACATCTGAACAGACACTTCTCAAAAGAAGATATTTATGTGGCTAACAAACATATGAAAAAAAGCTCAACATCACTTATCATCAGAGAAATGCAAATCAAAACCACAATGAGATACCATCTCACACCAGTCAGAATGGCAATTATTAAAACGTCAGGAAACAATAGATGCTGGCGTGGCTGTGGAGAAATAGGAATGCTTTTACACTGTTGATGGGAATGTAAATTAGTTCAACCATTGTGGAAGACAGTATGACAATTCCTCAAGGATCTAGAACCAGAAATACCATTTGATCCAGCAATCCCATTACTGGGTATATACCCAAAGGAATATAAATCATTCCATTATAAAGACACATGCACACGTATGTTTATTGCACCACTATTTACAATAGCAAAGACATGGAACCAACCCAAATGCCCATCAATGATAGGCTGGATAAAGAAAAAGTGGTACATATAGACCATGGAATACTATGCAGCCATAAAAAGGAATGAGATCATGTCCTTTGCAGGGACACAGATGAAGTTGGAAGCCATCAACCTCAGCAAACTAACACAGGAAGAGAAAACCAAACACCACATGTTCTCACTCATAAGTGGGAGATGAACATTGAGAACACATGGACACAAAGAGGGGAACAACACACACCAGGGCCTGTTGGGGGAGTGGGGGTTGAGGGGAGGGAACTTAGAGGACGGGTCAATAGGTGCAGCAAACCACCATGGCACATGTATACCTATGGAACAAACCAGCATGTTCTGCACATGTACCCTTTTTTTGTTTGTTTTGTTCTTTTTTAGAATAAAGAAAAAATAAAAATAATAAAAAATAGAAAATAAATCATACTGATGGCCTTTTTGCAGAGCTAACCCCTGAACCCTCTGATCATCATGAAATGGTGCTAACATCCTGTTATGATTTGAATTTTTTATCTCCTCAAAACTTCATGTTGAAACGTAATCTCCAATGCAATAGTGTTAAGAAGTGGGGTCTTGAGGAGGTGATTCGGTCATGGGAGCTCCTTCCTAGTCAATGGGATTAAGGCCCTAGGAAAGTGGCTTCTCACAGGATTTGGCTTTTTTGCCTTTCTATCCCTTCCACCATTTGAGGACACAGCCTTCCAGGTGCCATTGTGGACAAAAAGACAGGAACCTCATCAGACTCTGAACCTGCTGGCACCTTTATCCTGGACTTTCCAGCCTCCAGAACTGGAATTTCTATTATTTATAAATGTCTACTATTTCTATAAATTTCTATTACTTATAAATTACCCAGTCTCAGGTATTTTGTTATAGCAGCACAAACAGACTAAAGATACGTCCCCAGCTCATTTGGCTAATTTCACCTTGTTTAATTGGAGCCGGCAAAATTTTCCTCCTCTTTTGGTTGGTGGCCTTTTCAACCAAAAGTGTTTAGTCATCTAAAGAGCCAGGCAGGGCAGTGGGGGTGCTTTACCCATTCATGGACATCTTTAAAAGGTCCCCAGGACCTGCCATCTACCACTTTGTCTGCCCCTGTCTGAGTGTGTCTATTGGCAGAGACCATGTCCTTGAGGAAAGCTGTCATGGCTTTATCTCCAGGGCTTTCCAAGGGTAAGGGTCTAACCTCATCTCTTCCTCTCCCCCAAAACCTTCTGATGGTATTCATGGCTGCCTGAGGCTTCTCATTTATCACAGACTAATCAAACAGCTACTAGGTGCAAGGTACTGAGCTGAGACCTGTATCTGCTATTGATATCTACAGTACGTGCAGGGTACTTACTCACCACCCAGGTGGTGTCAATAAATCTACAGAATGTACAGGGTACTTACCACCCAGGTGGTGTCAATAAATCTACAGACTGTACAGGGTACTTACCACCCAGGTGGTGTCAATAAATCTACAGTACGTACAGGGTACTTACCACCCGGGTGGTGTCAATAAACTGTTTTCGAATAAATTTCTGACAAAACAGGTAGTATACAATTAAAAACATTTTGTTTGAACATAGTACACTCTACCACAAAACAATCAGGCTCTTAATATTCCTGTGCAATTTGCTAAATAATTTATTGCTTCCAAGAGTTATTTACAAAGGGGCCAGGCACAGTGGCTCACACCTGTAATCTCAGCAGTTTGGGAGGCCGAGGCAGGCAGATCACTTGAGGCCAGAAGTTTGAGACCAGCTGGCCAATATGGTGAAGCCCTGTTTCTACTAAAAATACAAAAATTAGCCAGGCATGGTGGTGCACACATGTAATCCCAGCTACTTGAGAGGCTGAGGCTTGAACCCGGGAGACAGAGGTTGCAGTGAGCTGAGATCACGCCACTGCACTCCAGCTGGGGCAACAGAGTGAGACTCTGCCCACCCCCACCAAAAAGAAGTTATTTACAAAGAAAAAATCATGAAACACAAGAGGGAAAGATGACAGACAGAATTCATGCTATTCAAGTAGAAGCAAGAAACAGGCTGGTTAATTGTAAGGGAAAAAGTCCTGTTCTGGGGTGGTGATAAAAATAGCAATAATATATTGAAGGAAGAAAGAAGAGGGGAATAAAAGCTGTATTCAGGAAATAACTATGTGCTGAGAATATTCTTGGCCAAGAAAATTTGGAAAAATACACAATCCAAATGTCAATCAATAATCAAGAATATAATGGCAGCATAATTTTTCATGCCATAATTTTTCATGTCAGTCCTTTTCTGGAGTGTGTGTGTGTGTGTGTGTGTGTGTGTGTGTGTGTGTATCTTTGTTCTAGGAAAGATGAAAAAGATACACACGAACTGTAAATGCAGTCATAAAGCAAGAAAGCCAAGTATTTGGAGGCCTGGTTTTGTGGGACCCACATTCTGAACCAGCACAAACAAGTCTCTGTCAGCTTACTGATAGTGACCTGATTAAAAATTTGACCAAGTGGAAAAACTTCCCTGCTGCCAAACTAGTCACTGGAACTTTGATAAGAAGCTGACAATCTAGTGGTGGGTACAAGTCCAGAGACTCATTAAAATTAAAGGAGAAAAAGTTAAAAAGGAGGAAAAAGTGGCAGATTAGTCATTCAGCCTTCTTAACAAAATGGTTCCCAGTCTCTAATTTTTTATATATATTCCAAAGCACCTCAAGTGATCATCACTAACAACTTATTTGTTCTAAATACAACGGACGATGTTTAGAGCCCACCTTCATGCTGTATCGGCAGCATTTCTTACTGCTGATCGTCCCTTATTCTGTGACAGCAGATTGTCCCTCCTGCCTCTCTGCTGCTCCTTTGTCTTCTCCTCCATAGGCCCCTGTCCTTTAATTTTGGAATTGCTTGGAGGTTCTGTCGTATCATCTCTCGTCTCTCAATGCTATATACTGTTTTTGTTTTTATTTTGTTTTGTTTTTTGAGACACAGTCTCACTCTGTCACCCAGGCTGGAGTGCAGTGGCACAATCTCAGCTCACTTGCAACCTCCACTTCCTGGGCTCAAGCAATTCTCTTGCCTCAGCCTCCCAAGTGGCTGGGATTACAGTTGCCTGCCACCACACCTGGCTAATTTTTGTATTTTCAGTAGAGACAGGGTTTTACCATGTTGGCCAAGCTGGTCTTGAACTCCTGGCCTCAAGTAATCCACCCGCCTCAGCCTCTCAAAATGCTGGGATTACAGGCATGAGCCACCATGCCTGGCCTATAGTGACCTATTACTCTTCTAATAAAGTATTATTCACCCTCTGCCTAAAGGTACCATCCGTATGCTGAGGACCCTTAAGCCTATCCCTTGCCAAGATCTTCTAGACTTGGACAGCCAACTGCTCATTGATTACCTTCCCTGGAATGAACACCAGGCATCTACAACCCAGCAGGTCCAGAGTATCTCCTTCTACCCACACTGGTCCTCCTGTCATGCTCAGTGAACAACCTGTGGTTCACCAGGCAACCTGGCCAGACTTCCAAGCCGCATCCTTCATCATTTTTTCTTCTTAAGATCACAAATATTTCCTGAGTGTCAATATGCACCCGCACTGTGCTAGGCAGGCCCAGGACAGAGTACTAAACAAGGTCAAAGTGGTCCTTGCCCTCATGGAGCTTATAGCCTTGGAGCCTTCTTCGCTTCCGCCAAGACTGCCAACCCTCTGCGCTGTTCTGCAGACAGTCCTCTTCTCTCTGACCTGACTGCTGCTTTCCTGTTTTAAGCATCCATCATTTCTTGCCTTGATTGACTTAATAGCTTCCTAATTATTTTTCTGATTCCAAGCTCGCTTTTTAAAGCCATTTTCACAAATCTGCCTAAAAACAATCTTATACCACTGCTGCTAAACATACTTCACTGGCTCCTTACTGTTCTTAGGATAAGGGCAAAACTCCTCACTAAGTGGCTAAAAAGAAGGATTGGACAAAGGCCCGTAGGAGTTCTGGGAAGGAAGACACTGTGTTGTCCCTTCAAACCTGAAGTCTTTTAGTATTCATTCAACATTGTTAACCAGGAAACACTGGTTCTATTAATAAAAATAGCATATTCATTTATATCTAAAGTTAGGAATTGGCTGTATGCATGAACTATAAAAGCATCTTTTTAAAGCTGTGTGCTTCATACATGTATAAAAATTGAGTCTTGCTCTACATATGATATACTGTCATATTATAGATGTCATTCCATGTCATTAAGCATTCTTCTACCATATCATTTTAATGACTACAGAGTATTTATTTATTTACTTATTTAGACATGGAGTCTCACTCTGTTGCCCAGGCTGGAGTGCAACGGCACAATCTCGGCTCACTGCAACCTCCGCGTCCCAGGTTCAAGCAATTATCTTGCCTCAGCCTCCCGAGTAGCTGGGATTAAAGGTATGCACCACCGTGCCTGGCTAATTTTTGTATTTTTAGTAGAGATGGGGTTTTGCCATGCTAGCCAGGCTGGTCTGGAATTCCTGACCTCAAGTGATGCGCGTGCCTTGGCCTCCCAAAGTGCTGGCATTACAGGCATGAAGCCACCGTGTGTGGCCTCTTAATTATTTCTTAAATTTGGTCTTTTCCAAAATAATATATGCACAAGTTTAAAAATCTAATAGTATCAAAAGGTTTTTTTTAAAAAAAAAAAAAAAAGCAGTCTGTCTCACCTGTTCTCACTTCAGCCCTGATCCCCAGAAGCAACCACTTAAGAATATTTTAGCTGTTGCTTTTCCGAATGTATGTCTGTATGTCCGAACAGTGTGCGTATGTCACTTTTTACTGATTTATTTACTTTATCTACTGACCTCTCATCTACTGAATTCCCATCTGATGTAGTCAATCGCGCAGCAAATATATATTGCGCACCCACTATGTGCCAGGCACTGTTCCACGCATTAGGAATCCAGCAATGAGCAAGACAACAAGGTCACTGCATTCATGAAACTTATAATCTAGGAGAAAGACAAGTAAAAAGCAAACAACGAAATAAAACGATTCCATATACTGCTGTGTGCTATCAAGAAAATAAAAGAGTGACAGAGATTTAACCGCCTGACTTTCAGTAGAGTGGTCAGAAACATTTCTCTAAGGCGATGTCGGAGTTGAGCCCCTAAATGATAAGCAGGGCCTGCCATGTGAAGCTCTATGGGAAGTGCCGTGATAGGCATCAGCACATGTAACAGAGACCCTCTAACAATGGCATAAGCAAGTAAGTTTATTGTTTGCCTCATGTGGTAGCCTGAGGATAGGCCATCCAGGGACCCAGCCTCCTTCAGTCCTTCATCTGTAAGGTCCCAGGTGGCTCCACCACCTCTGTGTTCCAAACAGCAAGACGGAGGAAGAAGGAGAAGGGCAGTTCTTGATAAGGACACAACTCAGCAATTTCCCATCTCTTCTGCTCACATCTTTTTGGCCAGACCTTAGTCACATAAGCACACCTAGCTGCAAGAGAAACTTGAAATGTAATTTCTATTCTGGGCAGCTACATGCCGAGCGAAAATTCTCTTACTGTGGAAGAGGAGGAGAACACTATCCGGAACCAACTGATTTTCTGCCAAAAGAACATTTTACACAGAGGAAAGATTGAAGGCAAAGGCCCCGAGGAAAGAAAGTACTTGACTTGTTAAAGAGAAAAAACTGCCCCTGGAGGCATTGCAGATGTGGCTGCTGTGTCACATTTGTGTCATTAGGTAGCAGCGATTAGAGAGGCTATGTCTATGCTCAGCGTTCTGTCCCATGAACATTTGAATGTTTAATAGTCTGACTCTCCTGTTTTGTGGACTTGGCATCTGTTTTCCTTCACCGGTATCTGGGAGAGTGGGTGGGCCTTATGAGTGGGCTTTCTGACCCTCGCGCTGGGCTGGGCTGGCCACTAGGGGTCTGAAGGGACAGTGGGAAGGTAGAGGGTGCCTTCACCAGGAGCAGCCTTCATTAGTGAGTTTTAAGAGCCTGTGAGAGGATGGATCAGGTCTGGTGTGTGCTGGTTCATGCTGCACACCGTGTCAGGATCACGAAGGAAAGGACTGGGGAAGGGTTTGCTGGTGTCTCAGTTAATAGCAATAACGGCAGCCACTATTGTGTTCTTGATTCTGTGCCAAGCATTCTTGTTATTTAAAAAAAGAGAGAGAGAGAAGTCCAGGTCACTGAACAGAGGTTAAAGAAGGGGAGAGTGGGAGGATCTTAAATCAGGTAGCAGATAGGACTGAACAATGCAGAGATTTTAAAACCAGGCTAAGGAATTTCCATGAGAGAGTTTTCAGCGGCTAACTGATTCGACCGTTCTCTCTCATATCTACCTCTTTCCCATTTCTTAATAGCATTACAGCCTTAATTTTGACTAAATTATTAATCACTATTTACACGGTGGATACAGAACATCTGAGATAGGTCTCAGTTAATTCAGAAAGTTTTTTTTTTTTTTTTTTTTGCCACGATTGAGGACCTGGGCCCATGACACAGCCTCAGGAAGTGCTGACGACGTGTGCCCAAGGTGGTCAGGGCACAGCTTGGTTTTACACATTTTAGGGAGGCAGGAGACATCAATCAATACACGTAAGAAGTACATTGGTTCGGTCTGGAAAGGCAGGACAACTTGAAGCAAAGGCAGGAAGACTCAAAGCAGGGAGGGGCCTTCTAGGTCACAGATAGGTAGAGACAAGTGATTGCATTCTTTTGAGTTTCTGATGAGCCTTTCCAAAGGAGGCAATCAGATATGCATCTATCTCAGTGAGCAGAGGAATGACTTTGAATAGAATGGGAGGCAGGTGTGCCCTAAGCAGCTCCCAGCTTGAGTTTTTCCTTTAGCTTAGTGATTTTGGGGGCCCAAGGTATTTTCCTTTCACGACCTCATCATTAGTATATAAATATTGTTCACTGCAGAAAAAAGTAGCATGCTGAGATTACATTTCTTTTTCTACACAACTCTTAGCTTGCCTCAAGTTAATAATATCCTTTGTTTCTCACACACAGACAAAACTACAGAATAAGTGGCTTGATAGGTGATATGGTGGGGAATCGGGAATGAATTGAAGCTGTGATTTGTGTGCATATCAGCTTCAACTCACTCCAGATTGTCCATTATGTCACCTACCAAATAGCTTATTCTGTAGTTTTTTCTGTTTTCCAAAATCTAGTTGAAATCTCTCATCGATTGATGCCTCCTCTACTATCTTATCCTTGTGAACGTATTCCTTTTTAATATCTTCCCTGCCATGTTAATGAATCTTGGCATGAAGAGGAGGAAAATAAGCATTATCTATGTACCAATTTAATTGAAATTCTATTAACGTTTTAGCTTAAGAATTCTCCTATTTAACAGTGACTGTTAACCTTGTAATATACCTTATGAGACTCCCTTTTGACATTTTTTGAGGCTACAGAAAAGATTTAAATGGCTTTCCACATGTCTTTGTGAAATGGTAGTTTCTTTGAATATGACTGAATGACAGGAGGAGATGATGAGGTGGCTTGGTTTCAATGGGGCTGTCCTTCTCCTTATCATTCAACTCCCAGCTTTGACATCACCTCTGCCCACACCATTCTCCTTCCGCAGCAATGAATTATGATCTGCTCACTTCTTTGTATAGTCCACTAGCCCTTTAAAAGCTAGCATCTCTGTCTTTTTGGTTGTTTTTCTTTTTGAGATGGAGTCTCACTCTGTGGCCCAGGCTGGAGTACAGTGGCGCGATCTCGGCTCGCTGCAACCTCCACCTTCTGGGTTCAAGCAATTCTCCCGCCTCAGCCTCCCGAGTAGCTGGGACTACAGACTGGTGCCACCACGCCTGGC
Source organism: Homo sapiens (assembly GCF_000001405.40). NCBI lineage: Eukaryota > Metazoa > Chordata > Mammalia > Primates > Hominidae > Homo > Homo sapiens. Next base: position 113,822,609 of record NC_000010.11, read on the forward strand.
TAATTTTTGTATTTTTAGTAGAGACAGGGTTTCACCATTTGACCAGGCTGGTCTCAAACTCCTGACCTCATGATCCGCCCATCTCGGCCTCCCAAAGTGCTGGGATTACAGGTGTTAGCCAATGTGCCTGGTCTTTTTGGTTGTTTTTCAGCTGCTCACCTTATTGTCCGAACTATTTCAGTGAACACTTAAATATTTCTTGCAAGTATGGATTCTGTCCAACTCTTCCCTGAGATGAAGGTTTTACTCACAATCATCTTTGATTTTTTTTAAAGATATAATTGCCATTCTTAGCTTTTATCGCCCCTGTGAGTATCCCAGTTGTGCTTGTGTTTAAAATTCCACCTCAGAGCTGGGCACGGTGGCTCATGCCTGTAATACCAGCACTTTGGAAGGCCGAGGCAGGTGGATCGCTTGAGGTCAGGAGTTTGAGACCAGCCTGGCCAACATGGTGAAACCTCATCTCTAGTAAAAATACAAAATTAGCCAGGCACGGTGGCGCATCTGCAGTCCCAGACACTCGGGAGGCTGAGGCAGGAGAACTGCCTGAACCCCCTGGGAGGTGGAGGTTGCAGTGAGCGGAGATAGTGCCACTGCGCTCCAGCCTGGGCCACAGAGTCAGACTCCATCTCGAAAAATATATAAATAAACAAATAATAAAATAAAATTGCACCTCAAATGCTACCTTGTCCCTGAAGATTTCCCAAAGGAATGAATCTAAGTTCCCTGTCCTCTGTCCGTCACAGTGTCTTACACATAACTACCATTCAGCAAATGTTTCCTGAATAAACTAAGTCACCTGATGAGGATTCAAATAAACTTTGTTTTTTATGTTATATATTTTAAAACATTTTCAAGCTTCTATCACTAAATTAGATGAAAAGGCTACCACTGTTAACATCAAACACCAAGCTGATATGTAGCAAAAGGATATTTAATGTTTTCCCCAACTGTTTATTTGGCACAGCAACGATAATGTAACCAAACCCATCTGTTTCCTCTCGTCCAGGGATTTCAAACGCTGACCAAAAACGCTTTGTGCTGAACTTCTAATGACTCCTGACTTATCTTACCTGTTCTTTGTCAAAAACCTGTTAAAAATTTTAATACATATGAATAAAGTACTAGGATACAACCTGGAATAAGAATAGAGTTCTTATATAAAAGTCAAGACCTTGGAAACAAAAAGATAAGTTTCTTGGCTGCTTATCTATTCGCATGACATGTGAATAGCTGGGTTGTTTAAAACTCTATGCTTTTACTATGTATGTTTTAAAAAACTTGATCTTAACCAGGAATTATATAATTATAGACTCTGAGCTAAAAGTAACTCAAATAATTTATCAATTTCATTATCCAACTTTCAGAGAAGATCTATAAGAGCCTGCTGCAATTTTAAAGTTTAAAAACTAAAGATTTACATTTTATATATTCACATCAACACTTTTTAAAAATGACATTGCTTATTCGAGGTCAGCTGATGTTATCTACCTTGATATTTAAAACTCCCCTATCTCAAGTTTTCCATTCCAACTGACAATTATGAATTCATTTTCATTACTTTCTGCAATCTGGAGCAGTAACTGTCCTACCTGCACTGCATACAACCACTTCATGACACCTGCAATGCTGCTGTGCCTTTTAACTTTACCCTATTATTAATTCAAATAATTCTCATTGAAACAAAATTGTAGGCTTCCCATGATTAAACATCATAATCATATAGCAATTCAAGGCCAAAGTCTATAAAACTATTTTGCTTGGGTTTAAATAATACATTTTAGAACATCCATTTAATTGAGCTTTCTATACATTGTTCCCTTTCAAAACAGTTAGTGAAGAGATACTCAACATCAGTAGTCATTAGGGAAACGCAGATCAAAACTACAATGAGATACCACTTCACACTCACCAAGATGTCCACAAGCAAAAACAATAACAAGTGTTGGTGAGGATGTGGAAAAAATGGAACTCTCATACATTGCTGGTGGGAATGTAAAGTGATGCAGCACTTTGAAAAACAATTTGGCAGTCCCACAAAAAGTTTAAAGTTACCATATGACCCAGCAATCCTACTCCTAGGTATATATCCAAGAGAAATGAAATGTATATCCACACAAAACCTTATACACCAATGTTCATGGCAGCATTATTCATAATAGCCAAAAAGTGGAAACAACCCACATATCCACCAACAGATGAACGGGTAAACAAAATGTGGCATTTTCAAGCAATTCAATATAATTTGGCCATAAAAAAGAATGAAGTACTGACACATGCCACAACATGGACGAACCTTGAAAATATGCTAAGTGAAAAAAGCCATGTGTTATATAATTCTATTATAAGAAATGTCTGGAACAGTTAAATCCATACAGGCAGAAAATTAGTTGTTGCCTAGGACCAAAGAAGGCAGGTGGTAGGGAACTGGGGCATGACTGCTAATGGGTCCAGGGATTCTTCTTTTTTTTTTTTGAGATGGAGTCTTGCTCTGTCACCCAGGCTGGAGTGCAATGGCGCGATCTCGGCTCACTGCAACCTCCACCTCCCAGGTTCAAGCGATTCTCCTGCCTCGGCCTCCCGAGTAGCTGGGACTACAGGGGTGCAACACCACACCCAGCTAATTTTTGTATTTTTAGTAGAGACGGGGTTTCACCATGTTGGCCAGGATGGTATCAATCTCCTGACTTCGTGATCCACCCGCCTCAGCCTCCCAAAGTGCTGGGATTACAGGCGTGAGCCACCGTGCCCAGTCTAGGGATTCTTTTTGGATGATAAAAGTATTCTAAAACTGATTGTGGTGATGGTTGCTCAACTCTGTAAATATAATAACAACCAATGAGTCGTACAGGTTAAATGTGTGAATCGTATGGTATGTGAATCATTTCTCAATAAAACTGTTTTAAAAACATTTTAAAATAGAGTTTGGGGGCCGGGCACACGCCTGTAATCCCAGCACTTTGGGAGGCCGAGGTGGGCGGATCACCTTCGGGAGTTCAAGACCAGCCTGGCCAACATGGCGAAACCCCGTTTCTACTAAAAATACAAAAGTTAGCCAGGCATGGTGACGTGCGCCTGTAATCCCAGCTACTCAGGAGGCTGAGGCACGAGAATCGCTTGAACCCGGGAGACAGAGGTTGCGTGAGCCGAGATCACGCCACTGCACTCCAGCCTGGGAGACAGAACAAGAATCCGTCTCAAAAAAAAATAGAGTTCAGCACTCTCCACAGATAAAAGATACTAATAAAAAAAACTGGCTGACTTAGCAAACAAGGATATTTGGGCTTTATTCCCTGCTTCCAGATACTGTTGCTTTTAGTTTATTTTACAATTTTATCTGTTTATCCCATGTGATATGTAATCAGAGCTCAGGGCTTCAGCAGGAAATTTGTAACAGTCCTTTCAAACAAACTTAAAAAACAGTTTAGTAACATTATCTAATGGTGTATTAAAGCCCTGCTTTGATGCCATTTTATGATCTTAAGCACTTGCTTTCCATGTTGAAATAACAGAAGGGCTTATACAGATAATGAAATTTGACTTCGCTAAACTTCCTTTTCCTTTGAAAAAAAAAAAAAGCCTATCATATTTGGGACAAAGTGGTGTTTCTGAATCTCTACATAATCTACTATAGTTCTACCAGGATTTAAACCCCGCAAATTCAGTCTGAAACGCAGAAGTAGCACTTATGTAAAACCAAGTTTGATTTAAATCAAATAAGTTGTTTAAAGATCAGTCCAATTCATCACTTACGACTTTACATACCGTTTTGTTTCTAAATTAGTTTCCTGTGTGTTCTATTTCACCAACTAGATCATACAATTTCAATCTACCCTAAATCTCAGGCTTCTCAAGATATGAAACCACACAGATTAATTTCTTAAGTATTTTATATATATTAGCTTTTGTCCAGCCTCCTAAGGAAACTCTAAATTCCTTAAAGGCAAGGACCTCGTCTTAAGCTTCAACACTTCACAGAGACCCCACAACTGAAATGTGTTTCTCAAGGTCTAAGGCGTGACCTTAGACTAGTCAAGCTACAATAATATACTGTATATATTATTAAGGTATGTATATATGTGTGTGTATCAAGTTTATATCTATATATCTTTATACCGCTACCATCTATTTTTCTTTTATACTTCATTTCCAACACATAATATGTTGACTACCCCCAAATCTTTAAGAACTCCCAATTTTCTTCAGAATAACCCCCAAACACCTTCCTATGGATTTCAAAGCTCTTTGTCAACTTCCCCATCTACCCTTTCTAGCCTGAGCATCAGATGCCAACACACCAGTTACTTAAAGCTCTTCTTCCACCCCTCTGCTGTTGCACCTCCAGGCCTCTGCTGTCTCTTGGATTGCTATCCAGTCTATGAAAAATCTGCTACACTTTTAAGTCCATGTCAAGAGCCATCTTCTGTATAGACCCTTCCTTTTCAGAATTTCTCTTTTTTAAATCCCTTCATAGCACTTTGTCTAATACTATACCCCTTATCACAGCTTGACTTATATGGTGCCTAAGACATGCCTTCTCTCCTCGTATTAATTCTCTGATGTTTGCAACTGTTTATGTGTGACTCACCTACCAAAGCACTGTGCTTGTATCCCCTTCACCCTTTACATAAAAACCACTCAACAAACGCTTGCTAGGGATGACACATTGACAGGTGTAGCAAACCACCATGGCACTTGTCTATCTATATAACAAACCTGCACAATCAGCACATGTATCCCAGAACTTAAAGTAAAATTTAAGAAAAGTAAAATAAATGCTTGCTAGATTGAATTACTCTTATCTTGAATTCCCCAAAACACCAAGAATGGTATGGGGCATATAGCAGTTAATCAATAAATAATGTTACTTGATAGAATATACATTCCTGGGGCAAAGATTCAGATGCTCAATGACTGATTTTAGTGGCAGTGAAGTGATAGATCATCACCAAAAAAAGTTTATTCTCTAAATTGTTCCTACACTGAATTGGGCTTAAGTAACAGATGCTTTAATGTACCAAAACAATTAGCTGAGTGTTTAAATATATTTTTATTTCCAGTGTTCCTTCTGGAATAAAACTATTTTCATCTGAGGAATACACATAAAATAATTTTGGAAGTCAATTCTTAGAATGTACATGGATTTTTGTCACTGTTTATTAAAGATTCATTCAAGTATTCATCACTTATGTGAACTGTCCCTGGGCAGACACTGGAAAAGGTACTGAATCATCAATAAGATACAGGCTCTGACCTTAAGTGTTTACAGTATACTAGGGGAAGGATCTCAAAGGAATCTAGGTTTGATGCTTCAGAAAAACTGGTACTAATTATCTTGATATTGATGAATTTAGAAGTTCTTTAAAAAGTACTCTTTTAAATTCAGATTTAAATGTTTATGTTTCAATGTGTACTAAAAACAAAGGTATAACAATATTTAGAAAGCCATTTTTATTCATGCAAACAGCAAAAGAACATAACTAGATGCTATGAGTCAGGGCTGGGACTAGGGTGAGTAAAGAGAGGTTTTCTAGAGCAAAATTTCATGAGGCCACTCGCTCTCAGGGTCCCGTAAATACAGGGTCAGCCTTAAAAAGGAGTGCCTCTTTAAATTCATCACCCTAGTCACCTCCTCTGCTTTACCTGAGCTCTGGCCCAGCTATGAATGTTTAAGAAATTAGTAATTTTGTGTTATACCTGGTTGCGTATACTTGGTATACTCCACAACAAATGCTTTATAAATTATTTCTGATTTATAGAAAATGGAACTTTGAAATTATGGAGGGAATGCATTATGATGCAAAGGGAATATGTTTACTTTTGGGAGCAAAGAGTAGATACTTAGGGAAAAGGAGAAATGAAACAGAATTAGCACATTAAAATGATTGCCAAGTTAAAAGCTTTCAAGTGTTCAGATTGGAAGTAATTCTCATGACTAAACTGTTCTACTGTTATTTATAACCATTAACTTATGCTTTTGTTAACTTCAAATAACTTGTATTGGCATCTGTAATTGTCCATTCTCACGCTGCTATGAAGAAATACCCAAGAGTGGGTAATTTATAAAGAAAAGAGGTTTAATTGACTCACGGTTCCGCATGGCTAGGGAGGCCTCAGGAAACTTACAATCACGGCTGAACGCACTTCTTTACAGAGCGGCAAGGAAGAAGACGAGTGCCCAGCGAAAGGGGGAAGCCCCATATAAAGGCATAGGATCTCGCGAGAACTAACTCACTATCATGAGAACAGGATGAGGGAAACCAGTCCCAGGATTCAATTATCTCCACCTGGTCCCTCCCAGGACACATGGGGATTATGGAAACTACAATTCAAGATGAGATTTGGGTGGGGACACAACCAACCCTATCGTTTTTCTAAGATCAATACCAAATGAACTAAATGAATAAAAAAACAGTAAGTTACAAGCTAATATCGACACTCTAAGACAGATTGTTTTGGAGATTAGCACCTGAAGATTATTTTCTTAATTCCTTAGTGTAGTTATTGATGGTTATTCAAGACTGAATAAGGAAATTCTGGATGCACTTGAGCCATGGGAATACAACTCATTTAAATTTTAAATTTGAATGAAATTTAAAATTGAAATTAAAATTAAATTTGTTGTCCAAAAGAGAAATTTCATATTTAGGTACATTATTAAATATAGACTAAGTGATAATTTAAATGTAAAAGGCATTGACATTAAGTAAGAAAGGTTTTCCCATTAGATCAAAGTTAAAACAATTTGAAATCAGTCTTTCAAGTGTCACTACACCTGGTAATAAAATGTTCAATGTCAGATAAGCTTGTAAAGAAGCTTTCTGAAGGCCGGGCGCAGTGGCTTACGCCTGTAATCCTAGCATTTTGGGAAGCCGAGGCCAGCAGATTGCCTAAGCTCAGGAGTTTGCGACCAGCCTGGGCAACATGGTGAAACTCCGTCTCTACTAAAATACAAAAAATTAGCCGTGCACCTGTAGTCCCAGCTACTTGGGAGGCTGAGGCAGGAGAATTGCTTGAACCTGGGAGGCAGAGGTTGCAGAGCTGAAATCGCGCCACTGCACTCCAGCCTGGGCCACAGAGCAAGACTCCATCTAAAAAACAAAAATGCTTTCTGAAAAGTTCCAAGTAAATATAAAGCAAAACATTTCCCCCACCTTGGCTTGATTCTACTTCCCCTTCTCTCCACATATTTTAGGATGTTAAGAGCTGCCAGATATTTTGGGTTGGTGGTAGGTTTCTTTTTCTTTCATTTCGCTTAAAAATGGAAAATTTTTACCTACCAAAATGTTGTATCAGAACTAAGAATTTCATATATGCTGTCAATAGAACCTAGAAAAGTTTAGTTGTGGTTGTGACTTATTTATAACACTATTTGGTATGTCCCTTAAATGAGGTACTTAATTTGGTATGTCCAGCAATAGCGGGACATTATTCCAAGCTGCCACAAATGATGATTTTCACGTAGAAAGATGTTTTTGCATAGAATAATAAAAAGGCTGAGGCTGAGGCTGCTCTTGAAATAACATGCTTGGATTTTCAAAAACGTTCAAAATCATAAAAAATCTTTTTACCTATGAAAAATGACAATTCTAGTGGGAAAAATCATTCAATTAATAAATAAAAATAACCCCAGACGACTTGACTATCTCCCTTATGTTAAGAATATCTATAATTACAGAAATATAAAGTTTTTCTAATTATAACTCTTAATAGCTTACAAAAAGTTTAAAACATCAAGACAAGCTAAAATATTTTAAATTTGTAATTTAACTGAGAACATAAACACTACCACTGTGCCCCCCAAAAGCTGCTATTCTTCTAAATGTGATCCCCTATAATTCTTACCTCTACAAAGTAAAATCCAAACCCATGAAATAAAGTTCATGGAGAATACTATCCTTCTGATTGTTACTGAAAATGTTCCATGACTATTTCTATGAAAACATTAAGAAATTCCTTAATTTCGTTGCTAGAGCTAATGCAAGAATACACAAATACACACATGCATACATTCATTGTACTAGCTATTGTCTTATTTAGACCACATAAAAAGATCTTTAATATGCATTGGCTGCAAATTTCCACTTTGGATCAACTATTCAGTCTATGTTGGAGAGATTAGGATCCATAAATAAATTCTATAATCTCACTTTACATAAAACACTGCAACTTAAACTTTTAGTTATCTGATGTCTTAAGTTGAATAGTTCAGATAAACATGCAAACTTTTCTGCATCCTCTATTGGGTGATTATCTAAGCTTTTTGAATTGTCTTGTTCAAAGCCACAAGTTGAATTATTTTCACTGAGATTCTGTAAAATTTCATGAATGTCACAGCTATAAATCCTAAAATCCAAAAGCAAAACACACGATAACCTCAAGGAAATGAGCCAATTCTTTAAAGACACAACCTGTCAAAACTCACACAAGAGGAAATAGACAATCTGAATAGGCCCATATCAATTAAAGAAATTCAATTAATAATGAACAACCTTCCAAAACATGAAGTACCAGGCTCAAATCAGTTCACTGGTGAGTTCTACTAAACATTTAAGGAAGAAATTACACCAATTCTTTACAATCTCTTTCAGAAGATAGAAGCAGAGGAATATTCCCTAATTCATTCTAAAAGGCCAGCATTACCCTATTACCAAAATTGGACAAAGTGATTATAAGAAAACTCTAAACCAATATCTCTCATTAACATAGATACAAAAACCCTTAACAAAATATTACAGCAAGTCCAACAATGTGTAAAGAGTTATAAATCATAATCAAGTGGGATTTATCCTAGGTATGCAAAGCTCGTTTGAAAATCAATTAACGTAATGTATCACAACAAAAGACTGAAGAAAAGCCACAAGATCATAGATGCAAAAAAAAAAGCGTTTTACAAAATCCAGCACCCATTCATGATAAAAACTTTCAGTAAACTAGGAATAGAGGGTAACTTCCTCAACTTAAAGAATATCTAAAAAGAGCCCTACAGCTAACATCATATTTAATGGTGAGAAACTAGCAGCTTTCCCACTAATATTGCGAATAAGGCAAATATGTCCCCTCTCACCCCTCTTTTTCAATATTATACTGGAAGTCTTAGCTAATGCAATGTCAAGAAAAGGAAGTAAAATGTATACAGATTGAGAATGAAGAAATAAAACCATCTTTGTTCACAAATGATGTAACTGTCTATATAGGAAATCAAGATTATACAAAGGTTGAAGAATACAAGCTAGTATACAGAAGCCAGTTGCTTTCCTACATACCAGCAATGAACAAATGCAATTTGAAATTTAAAACATGTTACAATTTACATTAGCAGAAAAGAAATGAAATAGTTAGGTATAAATCTAGCAAAATGTACACAAGATCTATATTAGGAAAACTATAAAACTGATGAAATAAATCAAAGAAGAACTAAATAAATGGAAACATTCCATGTTTATAGGTAGGAAGACTCAATATTGTTAAGATGACAGTTCTTCTCAACTTGATCTACAGATTCAGTACAATCTTAATGAAACTCCCAGCAAGTTATTTTGAGGATATTGACAAACTGATTCTAAAGTGTATATGGAGAGGCAAAAGGCCAAGAAAAACGAATATAATACTGAAGGAGAAAAAAGTTAGAGAACTGACACTACCTGACTTAAGACTTAAAATAAAGGTACAGTAATCAAGAGAGTGTGGTATTGGTGAAAGAACAAATAAGAGTCCAGAAATAGACCCACATAAATATATTTGGTTGATCTTTGTCAAAGGAATGAAAGCAATGCAATGGAGAAAAGATAGTCTTTTCAACAAATGATGTTGGAACAACTGGACATCCACATGCCAAATAATAAATTTAGAAACAGACCTTACACTATAACTCAGAATGGATCACAGATCTAAGTGTACAACACAAAACAATAAAACTCCTAAGAGACATTATAAAAGAAAACCTAGATGACCTTGTGTATGAAGATGAATTTTTAAATACAACACCAAAGGCATGATCCATTAAAGGAATAATTGATAAGACAGACTTCATTAAAAACTTTGGCTCTCCAAAAGACATTGTACACTGTAGGCCAGGCACGGTGGCTCACGCCTGTAATCCTAGCACTTTGGGAGGCTGAGGCGGGTGGATCACCTGAGGTCAGGAGGTCGAGACAAGCCTGGCCGACATGGCGAAACCCCATCTCTACTAAAAATACAAAAATTAGCCAGGCGTGGTGGTGGGCACCTATAGATCCAGCTACTCGGGAGGCTGAGGCAGAAGAATCACTTGAACCCAGGAGGCAGAGGTTGCAGTGAGCCAATGTTGTGCCACTTTACTCCAGCCTGGGTGAAAGACGGAAACTCCGTCTCAAAAAAAAAAAAAAAAAAAAAAAAAAAAAAAAAAAAAGACATTGTACACTGCTAAGAGAATGAACAGACAAGCCACAAACTGGGAGAAAATATTTGCAAAAGATATATCTGATAAAGGACTGTTACCCAAAATAAACAAATAACTCTTAAAACTCAACAATAACCAGGTGCAGTGGCATGCTCCAGTAGTCCTAGCTACTCCAGAGGCTGAGGCAAGAGGACAGCTTGAGGCCAGGAGTTTGAGGCTGTACTGTGCTATAATCGCACCTGTGAATAGCCACTGCACTCCTGCATGGGCAACCTAGTGAGACCCCATCTCTTAAAAATAAAATAAAATAGCAACTCAAAGTACTGTATTTTTTTAAAAAAATAAGAAAAATTAAAATACAAATTTAAAAACCCTCAACAATAAGAAAATGGACAGCCCAATTAAAAAGTGAGCCAAAGATCTGAACAGACACTTCATCAGAGATATATAGACGGCAAATAAGCAGATGAAAAGATGTTCCGTATCATATGTCATTAGGGAAATGCAAATAAAAACAAAAATGAGATATCGCTATGCACCTAAGAGGATGACCAAAATCCAGGAAACTGACACCAAGTGCTAGTGAAGATGTGGAGCAACAGTAATGCTCATTAGTTGCTGGTGGGAATATAAAATTGTATAGCCACTTTGGAAGACAGTTTGGCATTTTCTTATAAGAGCAAACATACTCTTATCAAGGACTGAGGTTGCTGGGTAGTATATTTACCCAAAGGTGTTGAAAACTTAGCCCACAGAAAAGCCTGGATCAGGATGTTTATAGCAGCTTTATTCCTCATTGCCAAAACTTGGAAGCAATCAAGATGTCCTTCAGTAGATGATGGATAAACAAACTGCGATACATCCATACAAAGGAATAGTACTCAGTGCTAAAAATAAATGAGCTATCAAGCCACAAAAAGATATGGAAGACCCTTAAATATTACAAAGTGAAAAAAACCAATCTGAAAAGGATACCTATTGTATGATTCCAACTACATGACATTTTAGAAAAAGCAAATATGGAGATAGCAAAAAGATCACTGTTTGCCAGGGGTTTGGGGGGATGGAAAAATGAATAAGCAGAGAAAAAAGGATTTTGGGGACAGCAAAAATTTTGTAGGATATTACAATGATGGATATGTCATTATACATTATACAAACCAAGGAATGTAGGACACCAAGAGTGACCTTAATGTAAATTGTGGACTTTGGGTGATTATGATGTGTCAACGTAGGTTCATCTCTTGTCACAAATGTACCATTCAGGTGAGCAATGTTGATCACGGGGGAGCTAAGCATGTGGGGGTGGCAGGAAGTATATGGGAAATCTCCATACCTTCTACTCAACTTTGCTGTGAACCTAAAACTGCTCTAAAAAATAAAGTCTTGGGCCGGGTGCGGTGGCTCACACCTGTAATCCCAGCACTTTGGGAGGCCAAGGCAGGCGGATCATGAAGTTGGGAGTTCGAGACCAGCCTGGCCAACATAGTGAAACCCCGTCTCTACTAAAAATACAAAAAATTAGCTGGGCATGGTGGTGGGCACCTGTAATCCCAGCTACTCGGGAGGCTGAGGCAGGAGAATCACTTGAACCCGGGAGGTCTCCCGGGAGGTTGCAGCGAGCCATCGCACTACAGCCCAGGTGACAGTGCGAGACTCCATCTCAAAAATAAATAAATAAATAAATAAAATAAAATCTATTAAAAACAAACAAAAAAAACAAAAGACACCAGAGCAAATTTTATATTAATTTTATTTAAGTATACACGTCATATAAAAGTTTCATCTCATAATTTTAAAGACACATAATTACTTATATATATAATGCTTCAAACTACTTTATTAATTATCATTAATCCTTTTGGTCCCTGAATCTGCCTTTGCTTCCTCTTCTAAGGCTTGATGCAGAATATAACTGCCCATGGAGGGCAGGGGACAAGAAATTAAGGGTCCCAGGGAGACCCAGTTTCAGTTATCCTTGATGATGCTGAGAGGCATTCAGCACCACGAACATGTTGTTCAAACATAAATGAGAAAATAAAGTATCTGAACAATCTTCATGAGGTTTTTCCACACAAAGTGTATTTCACATTTCTATAGATTTAACTACTAACAAGCTACATCCAAGGAACTTAACTACTACTGAATCCTCGGAGGTATCATCAATATCCAGCTTCCAATTTCCACTCTCTAAAATATTTCTCCATTGTGCTCCTAGATTTCCAGGTGCCCACATTTACAGTAGGTATGATTTTCTGGGGCTTCAGCCACTGGACAAAGCGCTTCATTTCTAGGTAGCTGCTGTGTTCACTGTAAGGAATTCCTGTAACAAAAAATAAACGAATTTGTACACTAAAATCAAACTAATTTAAACTTTCACAATCCTAAAATAAAATAGAATAAAACAAAAGAGAAAAGCAATCCACAGTATTTTTGTCAAAAACCCCTCAGTGCTTTAGTTCTGAAAAGAAAACTTGTTGATATCTTTTATGAATAATAAAGATTAAGACATTAAAATGATACCAATACGGTTTGGCTCTGTGTCTCCACCCAAATCTCATCTCAAATTGTAATCCCTATGTGCTGGGGGAGGGGCCTGGTGGGAGGCGATTGGATCATGGGGGCAGATCTGCCCCTTGTTGTTCTTCTGATAGTGAGTTCTTGGTCAGGCATGGTGGCTCACGCCTGTAATCCCAGCACTTTGGGAGGCCGAAGCGGGCAGATTACCTGAGGTCAGGAGTTCGAGGCCAGCCTGGCCAACATGGTGAAACCCCGTCTCCACTAAAAATACAAAAATTAGCCAGGCGTGGTGGCACATGCCTGTAATCCCAGCTACTCGAGAGGCTGAGGCAGAAGAATTGCTTGAACCCAGTAGATGGAGGTTGCAGTGAGCCGAGATCGTGCCACTGTACTCCAGCCTGGCGACACAGCAAGACTCTTGTCTCAAAAAATTAAAAAAAAATAATAAGATAGTGAGTTTTCAGGAGATCTGATGGTTTGAAAGTGCGTGGCACTTCCCCCTTTGTGCTCTCTCTCACTCTCCTACTCCGCTAGGATAAGATGTAAGATGTGCTTGCTTGCCCTTTGCCTTCTGTCATGATTGTAAGTTTCCTGAGCCCTCCCAGTCATGCTTCTTGTTAAGCCTGTGGAACTGAGTCTATTAAACCTCTATTATTCATAAATTACCCAGTTTTAGATAGTTCTTTAAAGCAGTGGGAGAATGGACTAATACAGATATGAAACTTAGAACATTCAAAAATCGATTACCTTATTGCGTGTATACTTAATAACATGCATTTCCAGAGAGTCCTATTTAATTAGGTTTTTCTTATTAAACAATTCTTCCTTTAGACACTTTACTTAGCTACAGGTTTCAGGAAAATATGGAAGAAATATGAGTCAAATGTGAAGAATAACAAGCAGGAGACTCTCACTTCCAGAGCAGGTAAGCAGATTTGTCCCCAAGCTTTGCACACATAAAAAAATAGGAAAAAAAGAAAAAATAACACACCGTTTATCTTCTTTGTTGAAGATCAAGTACCACAGAGAAAGGTGAAAAGGGTCCTATTTTCAGTATACTAGGGTCTTCAGAGGCTGAGGGTAAATCACTGGTCTGGTGACACCCCAAACATGTTTCCATCAGCTGTCACTGCAATAAGCCAACTCAGAAGGCAGTAGTAAACCTCCCTCAAGGATGAAAACAGGCAAGTCTGTATCTCCTGCTGTCACCACATCTAACCCATCATCTTCCCGCTCCCAATCTCACATTGTCATCTATACTTCCAGTATACAACCACAGTAGTCCTTTCAAGTTAATTCTGCGATTTCCTCTCAATATCACTGATCACAAAGTGAAATGATCTGTATTCATTAATGTCTATCTACTAGTCAAGCTCCTTTATATCAGTTTACAATGGACTAGATACAGGATTAGAGTTGTAGAGAGATGAAAACTCTTGAATTATTAAATTCTTTGGTGCCTGTTTTTGTTGGATTTGAACCTTATTACATTTTTTAAAATGTAATTATAAACATTATAAACACTAAAAGTGAGAAAATTTAATAACTATACCATATATTGAAATGTTTCCTTTGGTCTGGGGAATAACATCTGCTATTCTAGTGAACTTGTTAGAGTGTGTCCATCCTGTAGGTCGAAATGCCAAAATCTGATTGTATTTCCCACCACACTTCTTCAAATGACTCTGTAAGCCCTGTTAAATTAAAATAGCATATTGAGGTCAATGGAGACGAGTTATATGGAATAAAACAGACTGATTAAAGATGTTATACTGGCACAGGCATGGGGAGTTTTCATTTTTAAGCATTAGCTTCAACAACCTAGTGCTATGCTTCTAAAAAATAATCACTGAAAAAAAAATATATAAAATATTTTCTCCTTTACTTATCTGAAGTTAAACAAGTACAGTCTGGAAAAAAAAGTATAGCGAGACAACTTTAAACACAAGTAATTAGGTATAAACAAATTACAATTCTGATAGCTACCAAAAACAAAAACAAAACTACTCTCCAAATCTTACTCTACAGAGATAATAATATCAACAATGGTAAACACCAATGCAAACATATCTCCATGCATATACATCAAAAGGGGATAGCTAGGTGGATAGAAATAATTTTATGTGAATGGCATTATACTCAACACAGAGATACATTTTACAGCTGCTTAATAGCATTCTTTTCAGGTGTTTATGCCTTTTACCCTTTAAACATGAACTAGATTTATTTTAAAACTTTTCATACCACTATTGTTGGAAGTAATATGCTCCCCTTATAAGTCTTGAGTAGGATAGAACTTCCCCAAACTAAAGTAATCATAAATGATGACATTTGATAAAACTCTTAGAAAATCAATGACTGAAGTTCAGTCTTCGAAAGATAACAGAAATCCAGTTACAAATAATAATGGCACGAGGGATACAAAAAAATCTAATACTTTTGGTCTGAGGACTAAAATCCATAGTTTCAAAGACTTAGAATGAATAATAAAATTCATTTTATTGATGAATTGGTAACAATCCTTTAATCTTTTGTATCAAATAAGAGCCTTTTATTAATTAGAAGTGAATATAAAAATACCTACCATAAGACAACCATATTTCTTACCAATTACTATGCACACCAAAAAAAAGTTAAAGTTATTGATATGTAACTAAATTTCCATTTCAATATTCTTGGCTCTGCAAATTTGCAAGTTTTTGCCTTGCTTACTCTAGGACCTAGTTAATGTAATATTATTTGTTTAATCACTATTCCTTCTGCCCTTGTCCTCACAAAGAAAGAAAATAATAAGAAACTGAGGTTTAGAGTAACTATACATATAATACATAAACTGAGTCCAACTTTCAATACACATCATCAAACCTGTCCATTCCTATTTGTCTCTGCAAAACCATCCAGAAGAATTAAATGATAACTAATATTTGCTTTTTGTGGGACAAATTGGAGTTACCACAAAAACATCATTAGCTTGTACCATAAACAAAAACTTTGGATACTATCATATAAGCCAAATCTACAGAAAAAAAGACTACCAGCAGCTACAAATAGTCCATTAACCACAATCTGAGAACTATTCTCATGAGGAAATTTATTAAGAATACTTTAGTCAATATGAAATCCCTGATTTATGACTTGTCTCTCTCCGTTTATTGGTAACCAGTTTGGGAGAAAAACACTTTTAGCAATGTTACTAGAATTATTTTTTCAGCATGCAAATAATCATCTATAACATCATTGTTATAACATTTTACCACAATCAATCAATCAGGTTTAAATCAGGTGATAGTCAACTACGTAGCACATACGTGAACTTGGGATGTTGAACTAGATAGCATGAATTGTATTTATAGCCTTTCAAAGGCTTTCAGGCATGCCCTGGGCACCTTGAAAACTGTATTAGGATTACCTTTTCACAGAAAGTAATTATCTCTCATGAAACACAACTTTTGGCTGGTAAAAAAAAAAAATTGGCTCTAATTACAAACATCAGCTTCTGCTCCATCTGCGTTTTGGAGGTAAGAAATCTTCCGAGGCCGGGCGTGGTGGCTCACGCATGTATTCCCAGCACTTTGGGAGGCCAAGGCGGGCAGATCACGAGGTCAGGAGATTGAGACCATCCTGGCTAACACGGTGAAACCCCATCTCTACTAAAAATAGAAAAAATTAGCTGGGCATGGTGGCAGGTGCCTGTATTCCCAGCTACTCGGGAGGCTGAGGCAGGAGAATAGCATGAACCCGGGAGGTGGAGGTTGCAGTGAGCCAAGACCATGCCACTGCACTCCAGCCTGGTGGACAGAGCGAGACCCTGTCTCAAAAAAAAAAAAAAAAAAAAAAAAAAGAAATCTTCCGAAAATATTTGGGTAAATGAGGGACAGGGGAGGAAAAAAAACTTTTCACAATATGCCATTTTATAGTTTTGTTTTTTAACGTTGTGAATGTATCATCTATTCAAAAACATTTTAAATACATATTTCCATTATCATTGCTAGAATGTTTAATAAACAAATATTAAAAGAAAAAAAAGAAGTCTTCAGAAAATGTGATCAATACCCAGTCACTTTAATGGAGGAAGAGGAGGGACTACTGAAGGCAATACCAGTAAATATCCATTCTGGTATTACATAGTTGCTTGGGTCAGTGTGGAGGACAAGAAGATATAGACTTCACTTTCTGCGAGCTTACAGCCTAGTGGGCAGGAGGTCAGTAAACCTCACCTTCTAATGGAAACCACCTGCCCTTTCTCAGCTTTTTCTATCTCTCATCATCTATTACACCATTAGCAGCTAGGAGCCTTACAGACTGACCTTTTCACAAAGAACTTGTGTTTTATTATAAAATCCTAGACGTGGAAACATACAGACTTGACGACTATCAAAAATATAGATTTAATGACTCCAGGTCACTCCTCCAAGGACACTAGCCTCAAAAAATCATTCAAAATCAACATTCCTGAGTTATTAAAAACCAACTTGAATTCCTGTATTAAAAAGTTATGCTTAGGCCAGGCATGGTGGCTCACACCTGTAATATCAGCACTTGGGGAGGCTGAGGCGGGCAGACCACTTGAGCTCAGGAGTTTGAGATCAGCCTGGTCAACATGGTGAAACCCCATCTCTACTAAAAATACAAAAATTAACCGGACATGGTGGCACATGCCTGTAATTCCAGCCACTCAGGAGGCTGAGGCATGAGAATCGTTTGAACCTGGGAGGCAGAGGTTGCAGTGAGCCAAGGTTGCACCACTGCACTCCAGCCTGGGCAACAGGGCGAGACTCTGTCTCCAAAAAAAAAAAAAACAACAAAAAAAAAAGTTTGAGTTTGTAGTAGTGAAAATCTAAATCTTGTTTAAGTTGGGATTTGTAAATATATGCTGTCTACAAGAAGGCCATATGCATCAGAACGCAGTCTGTAGAGTGGTAGGTTGTGACGGAACTGTCAGAGAGGAAGAGGTGGCCCTCTTCCTGTTCAAAGTGGATGCGCTTCATTACCTATTTTTCAGATCTTGCTCAGAAATCTTACTTCATCAATTATTCTCTTATCTTAGATTCTCCCTGTCCATTAAAACATAAAAATCCTCATCTCTGATGGCTAACAGACAAGCAACCCTCCTCCCTTTGGCCATGAAAGTATCCAGCTCCTCTTCACACCATGCTCTAGTCTTCCTGTCTCCATTGCCTCACCTCTCATTCATTCTTTTTATTTCATAAACACAATAGCAAATGTGAAAATACATTGTTTCATGCATTATGTTCTGAATTTATTTTAATATACAGGTTTGATGTATTCAATTGCCAGGTGTCAAAATGTTAGTATATGGAATAAACGTTAGTTAGTATATGAATAAGTCTGACAAATAAGCCCCCAAATCCCAGCAAGGTCATATCATACGTCTTAACTTACACCTTGGAACTAATGCTCAAACTTCCTCTTAGGATACACTTCCACTATTTCATTTAATTGTCGCAACAAGTAAATTTTCAATATTTATCAATCTAGAAAGGCTTAATATTAATACAGAATAGAATAGACCTGAAGTAAACTAAGAACTTCTTAGATTCTTCACTCATTTCCCCACTCACCCAGAAAGAACTGGAAAATGATCTTAAAAATTGAAGGTTTGAATGACCAGATAGCTGCATACCTTTCCATTTTTGTTCCTTCCTATATATTAGTTCTCTAGCTCCTAAACTTCTGGTGGGCATATGAATTACTCTACAGAGTTGCACATCTAGAAAAACTATGAACATTTAAAATTCCTCTTAAAAGATTGTCTAGGGCAAATTTTACTATGGGTGACTCTATTATAATTGAATTCCTCTAAGTTAAATGAAGCTTAAAATAATCAGATTACCTTTTTTGTTCATCCTAAAAGACATATCTCTTGAATGCTTACCTTAAAATTAATTTGCATCATTGGGAGAAGGTGAACCAATGAACTGCACATGTCGGTAGTGATGAGTGAATTAATTTCTGGTATATTGAGGCACTGTAGAGTTTTATATTTTTCCTGGGACATGCCCACTTTTGAACCTAAAACATCAGCAATGGCTATGGGCAAAAGAAAAGATTAAAAATAGTAAACTTACAGCTTGTGAAAAAAAGTTACAGCTTAAGCAAATTTTAAGGTAAGAATTTACCAAATAAAAGGAAATTCAAAACATTCACACTTTTACCATGATATCTCAAAAAGGCTGAATCATTTTGTTAGTTTACTGTGTGGAATGAATTGTGAGAAAACTAAATAATTTATTTTTAAAGGCTTATTATTTACTATTTAAAAACTGCAAAAGTGTATAGAAAGTGGGTAGAGGAAGGGAAGGAACTAAATTTGAAGAAATTAAAAGCCCCAGCTTTATCATCTTTAATGTTTGATATAATGTGGCCATACGTAAGAAGAAATGGAAAGTATTTTGCAAATTAGTACAATACTACCTGGACAAACTAAGTTATACATCCAGAAATCATTTAGGAACAAAAATTAAAACTGATTGCCAATGTAATTATTATCCTCAAAGAATGCAGCAATACAACTATGCATTAATCATCTTTCAAAGTTTACTAAATAACAATGTAGCATGGGCAGCTGCTCTATAAATTTCTTATATCTAGAAAGCCTAAATTAAACACAATTATCAAATGTTTCCCTAAAGTCAAACCTTTCAAAGATTAAATGTTTCAAACTGTCAAATTTTCCTTCAACTTCAAAGGTAATATTGAATCATTACAGGAAATAATTATCAAATGCAAGAGTAGAAACTGAAAGGGCATTATGCAAAAAGAATCTGATCTTTATAATATATTAATGTAAATTAGATACACCTACAACTCACCTAGGAAGACTTTCTCTTTTCCAATAGAGTAAGTGCCACAGACAACAAGAGCATGTGGGTTTAGAGTTACAGCCTCAAAGGCAGTGTTGATGGCAAACCGGATAACCTCTTGCTGAGATGGAAAGGTGTATTCTGGGCTACAATATCTGTGGTATGGAAACATGGTACTTACTAAAAGAACAATAAAAAAGCCATCACCTTAAGCTGGATGCTATTTTAGAAAACAAGCGTTAGCAACTTACATACAACAGCAATGTAATATATTAATACCACAAGTTATCTCACTGCCTGTGGTTGGAATTATTTGCCAGTTACTACTAACTTAAGATCAAATTGTAAGTTTTCAATATATCTTTTTCATTATATTTCTTTTATCACTCTCAAAAAATTGTCTTTTTGAAGACTTTTTTCCTCCAAGAATATTTCTAGCAAGCCAGCTATTTTAGTTATAAATTATAAACCTCACTGTCTTTTATTTAACTCCAAACACTATCAAAAAATCAT
The DNA here is from genome assembly GCF_000001405.40 of Homo sapiens. NCBI lineage: Eukaryota > Metazoa > Chordata > Mammalia > Primates > Hominidae > Homo > Homo sapiens. The sequence continues at coordinate 113,842,847 of NC_000010.11, forward strand.
ATTGATAAGGATTATATTTGGACTAAAGACTGTCAATAAAAAATGATTAAAGTAATGAAACTAAATATGAATTTAGTGAAACAGTTTTAAATCAGTTAATATTGACATGGTTGATATTAATATCATTTCTTACAGATACAAAATATATATACTATGTGTATATATATGTACATGTGTACACACACACACACACACACACACACACACACACACACACACACAGATACATGCAAATACAACAGATCCAGTTGGGTCTATCTCCATGCAATATAACCCAGTGAAAAATTAAGCTACTATCTATCTATCTATATTTGATATGAAAAGTAAGCACTTTTTCACTAAAAATGTAATAAACTGCAAAAGCCAAAGAAACATATTTTTCCCAATTTTCAGAATTGTTTTGCTAGTCAACTACTAGAGAAGAGTAAGAATAACCTTTCTCCTATAACAACCCATGAGGAAATTCAGAATCGTATCAGAATAGAACTAGGTAACAAAAAAGGGTTTTTTTAAAAACTTATTTTCTTAATTTATCCAGTGCTTAAAACTCATATAGAAGAATGGAAAAACCAGTTATAGTGTGAGAAAACTGGATGCGGAAAGACCATCTTTTACTAAAATATTGCATCCAAACGTACTTCTCCTTGAAACAGGTTGAAATGGTTAAGATAATTTCTAACAAGTTGATGAGATATTTTAATATATAAAATCACATCATACACCAGAAATATATACAATTTTTATTTACTTAATAAAGCTAGGGAGAAATACATACACAGTTAAAATGTAATGGCTTGTGCCATTATATTTATAGCACTCAGGAATTCAAAACTGTCACTTATAAATTATCTTTTTAAGAAAAGAACAACAGCAAGTTTGGATACTCAAAAACAGAATCACATTTTGACCTCTGTCTTCTCTTCACAATTAATAGCTACACAGTTACTCTGAAAGGACAACTTAAAAGGGTGTCTTCCTAAAGTTTGCTCCTAAGTTTTTCTTCCTTGTTTTAGTAACAGGATTCTCATGTAACATATTTTCAAAAATAAATCACACAAAAAAATGAGCTGTAGTCAGTTAACACATACAATCTCAAATTTGCCCTTAAGCAAGTATATACATATTTTTCAAACAGCATCCCTCTGATAAAGAGCCTTAAAATAATAATTGGCAATAAGCCATCATTTTGATAACCATAATACAGAGAGCAAAGGCTGTCAGTGGGAAAAGGAAACACACAAAAAAAGCCTCTCTTACGTGGTATCTAAGTACAGCATATGGACTTTCTGGTCCGCAAGAAGAGAACGTTCCATGCTGGGATCTGCTCTGAAGTCTCCCGTGTGTAATATGACAGTACCATTAGGAAGATAAAAGAGGATCATGACAGCACCTGGACAGCTGAACACAAATGTCAAAGGAATGTTCATAACACAGGCAAGCACCTAAAGGAACAGTATCTATTTCAATATCAACAAGTTAGCACGCTTTATTAGCTGACCACAATGACATAGCATTGCACTACAGGAAATGCGGCACTTCAACTCAAGGAAATTTACATCATAAAAAGAACTGGTGTGCAGGAAAGGCAGACCCAGGTTGCTCAAACTCCAAACATTCCCAAGAAAAGCATGTCTTCAGGACTGGCCCTTGGCTGGCTCCTAGGAAATGAACTCTGAACCCTAGGAATATTATGCCTGGTAAGACTGTTTTGTATGCCTGAGACATTGAACTATGTGATACTAGCTTGACGCTAACTTTGTGATCTATGGTGAAAACCCCATAAAGTTGACTTTAAAAATCAGAACTCGGCCAGGCATGGTGGCTCACGCCTGTAATCCCAGCACTTTGGGAGGCCGAAGCGGGTGTATCACCTGAGGTCAGGAGTTCGAAACCAGCCTGGCCAACATAGCAAAATCCCGTCTCTGCTAAAAATACAAAAATTAGCCAGGTGTGGTGGTGTGCGCCTGTAATCCCAGCTACTTGGAAGGCTGAGGCAGGAGAATCACTTGAACCCGGGAGGCAGAGGCTGCAGTGAGCTGAGGCTGTGCCATTGCACTCCAACCTGGGCAAAAAAAGCGAAACTCTGTCTCAAAAAAAAAAAAAATCAGAATTCAAACTGGCAATTAAAAAAAAAAAACAGTAGCAAAGTTAGCAGACAAAAACTTAAAGGCAACCTAATGTAATAGCTTGGCCTGGATTTTAGGTAACCTAGATTTAGTCTTCTTTCTCTTCATCTATGACCTCTATGTTACAGTGGGCTAACATTCTATGGAAAGTAGAAAGAAGCAGAGTTGACAGTTGTGTTTTGACAACATGAATGCTGATAGTACTTTATATTAAAAGAAAAAAAGAGGGAAAAATGGAGGCCATTTCCAAGAAAAAAAAGTCTTCCAAACCTTTAATATCTAAAGCCTGAATGATTTCTTAGTTTAAAGAGGGGTAGGGGGAGATAAAACCGACCTCTAGTATCTGAATGGAATACAAGCTGTTAATTTATGTAAATGATAAATGATACTAAAGAAAATGGCAAAATGTTATCTTGCAAAGAACAGCAACAACATGTTAAAGTATTTTAAAAAATAAGATGGAATCTCAGATGTCAAGTGTAGTAATTTAAACTGGATAAAAAATGGGTTAGATAACATTTAGAAGATCCCTTTACTTTTCATCTCTGATTCTATAATTGGGCACATTATTTTTCAAAAGGAGAAACATCTTACTCAAGTTTTAAGAAATATCAAGCATATTAATTATAATGAAAAAAGTTATTAATCATGCCAATGTGTTGTCCTTTTGAACATTTAAAAAATGTGCTATTAAGATGACTTTAATACTTACTGATTGGCATCAAGCAAAACAACTTTGACACCATTCACAATACATTCAGTGTCCAGTGGCAATGGGTGAATATATTGTTCTTGCACATGAAGCTTGTTCTTCAACAAATTGCCAGTTATCTGCAAAACAGGACGTGCTTATTGCTGATGCAGTAAAACACTAAATATTTTATTTCATATCTAGTTTAGAACCATAGCATCTTAATAACATCCATTTTCCTACTTATATTTAAGTAAACACTCCACAATGCCAGGAAGAATTTCCTATAATGGCTGTGCCACTACTCTGCTTGAAAATCGTCACTGACTTCGCCTCATCTGTGAAGAGTCCATCCTTCCCACCATGACATACAAAAGCCTGAGTGATCTGGTTCCAGCCCATTCCTGTGGGTTTGTCTCCTGTTATTCCCTACCTTGTGTTCTAGCCATTTTGAATTATCTCAAGTGCCTGGAATGGGCATATTTCTCAGGTGCCTGTGCCTTTACATAAACTTTACTCTCTACCTAGAATGCTCTTTCCTCTGCCTGGTCCTGGAATCAGACAGATTTGCATACAAGTTCAGACTCTGCCATTTTTAGCTCTGTGACCTGGGGCACGTCACTTAACTTCTCCAAACCCCAGGTGTTTCATTAATAAAAAGAATTCCTGAAGCATGCTTCAAGAATGCTGTGAAGATTAAATCAAATTCTAGTTCAAGCCCTTAGTAATGAGCATTAAAATGTTCACTTTTTAATAATTAGTTCGAGGTATCTTTTACCACAAAACTGTGTCTAACCTTAGCCCAGGACAGGATAAAGCACTCTCTTCTCCCTACTCCTAGGGAGTACTACTTCTATTATGATACCAATCCCAATATGGCATTATTTATGAATGTTTCCTCTGGAGGTTATAAGCTCCTTGAAGCTCGATACAGTCATGTCCCTCAGTATCTGCAGGGGACTGGTTCCAGGACCCCCTGAGGACACCAAAATCTCAGGATGCTCAAGTCCTTTATACAAAATGGCATAGTATTTGCATATAACCTATGCATATCCTCTTTAAATCATCTTTAGATTAATTATAACACCTAATACAATGTAAATTCTATGTAAATAGTTGTTATACTATATTTTTTAATTTGCATTATTTTTCATTGTATTATTTTTTATTTTTGAATCTTTTCGGTTGCGGTTGGTTGAATCCATGGATAGGGCACTCACAGATACAGCAGGCTGACTGTATTTTGCCTTGAGAATCCATTTAGGCTTTCAGTGAATGTTAACTAAATGAAATTTCTTGTTTTTAGTACATCGTGAAATAGTTTATCTTTTGTTTCCATGTAATAAGACAGATGTTTTCTAAAAACTGAAACTTGACATCAACTCGTTTTAAGTTTAGGACTTTTATGTGGAATATGTTTTCTCATTTTTTTTCTAGTAGAATGAAAGATCTTACTGGTTTAATTATTATTTTTTAACCAAATTGCTTAGAAATTCACAGCATTCTACAAAGTCAAAAGTTAGAATACTAAAACTTACCTCACTACAATAAACTGGAAATGTGAAGTGTTTAGACAATCCAGCATAATGATCAGAATGAAAATGTGTGAGAAAATAGGCTGTGCAACCTTCAACCACGCCATACTGAAAGGCATCAACTGTAAAGCCGGTTCCTGCAATAAAAATACCGACACAGTAGGTTGAGCAAGAGCTAAGATACCCAATTTGATTATAAATACTGAATGAACCCTCTATCCTCTTTACCTCTTATTTCCAATTTAACTATATTTAAAAACTTATATCACATAAATTTAACAAAAGGTAACACTAAAGATGAGAATGTCTTAAAAGTTTCTACCAAGTATCTCAGTATAGAGACTTTTATTTGTGAATAATTGCACCAAAAAAAATTTTTTTAAATTCTAGGTTACAAACCAATTACTTCTTTGTTTTAACTAATACTTTCATAATACTTAGCACTTTACTTCTGCAAAACAGCAAAAGGAGAATGCTAACTTTCTTCTAAAACATGAATTCTCAATGGGGGCAGTATTGATCTAAGGAAGCCAAAATGGTTGAGGGCCAACATAATCTCACATATGAGACAAACAACGTATCTACCATCTTTGAATTTTGCTGCACAGTCGAACTAGAGGAGGGGGTGGGAAACAAGAAAAAAAAATGCCTAAAAAGGCTCCTTAGAGGAGCAGTAATGAAGAAGAGGTTGAGAAATACTGTTCTAAAATGTGCTCATGCAAGAAATAATTAAGTGTACTGACTGGCGATGTGCAAATAAATAAGCATAACTTCCCAATTCTATTGAGGCTTATCAACACATGGTTTTAGGATCATTTAAAGTATAGAAAATTGGCCGGGCTCGGTGGCTCACGCCCGTAATCCCAGCACTTTGGGAGGCCGAGGCGGGCGGATCACGAAGTCAGGAGATCGAGACCATCCTGGCTAGCACGGTGAAACCCCGTCTCTACTAAAAATATGAAAAAAAAATTAGCCGGGCGTTGTGGCGGGTGCCTGTAGTCCCAGCTACTTGGGAGGCTGAGGCAGGAGAATGGCATGAACTCGGGAGGTGGAGCTTGCAGTGAGCTGAGATCGCGCCACTGCACTCCAGCCTAGGCGACAGAGCGAGACTCTGTCTTTAAATAAATAAATGAAGTACAGAAAATTAATCAAAATAATTATTAAAAACACCACTGATGTTATGAAGTATATAAATGCTATTCTTTACATAAATACATTGAACAAATTATAGATCTAGAACATCAATAAAGCACTTTAAAAATCTTTCAGCAACCAAGTATATTTTGGCAGCAACCAAAGTATATGAAAGGGCAGAGAAACTAAGTTCTAATACGGTTTTAAAATTTTTGGCATTTACTATGATATGTAAAACCTGTGACATTTCCCATCTTTGAAACTATTTAGTACTTTGTATTTCTCACAAGCACTTAGAGGCTGCCTTTTATTATAGTTATTTACAGAGATGCCTTTCCTCCTTTCATATTAAGCTGAATCCCTATTCCTCTCTTACTAATCTTTCTATAGCCCGTAATATCCACCTAACTAGTATAGTCACTTACATAGAGGGCATGTTTAATAGAAACTTGATGAATTGAATGGAGCAAAAAAAATCAAATAGGCAAAAACCATATCTACGTTAGAGGCTCATGAAGTATCACAAAAGCAAAGGAAACACATACAAAAAATTGTCTCATACACACACACACACACAATGGGCAATAAACACAAAGTTCAAAAACGTTGTCTTTGTTGATATATCGAGTATTGACATTTCAACTTACCAGGTATTTTCTTATAGAATGGACATGTCTTTTTTCTTGATCCTCCTACATTAGATGACTCTGGGATTTTCTTGTTGCCCCTTTGCAGCCCACCATGAGCTGATTTTGTGAAGACTTTGACTTTACTTAAATTGACTGCTTCAGATTCTGTATTAATAAGGTGATCTGATCTCTTCTGACACGCTCCTTCCTGCAGTGAATTTGACTTTCTACATCTCTTTTTTTGACGCTGTGACCTCTCACTAGAAAGTTCCACAGAAAGCTGACTCTCATGTAAAGTACTTGCATCAAATTCTAAATCACTTAAAGATTTTTCTGCTTTCCTCTTGCACTGCGAGGACCTCTTTTGATTAGGACTTGGAACTGGATTTAAGTTTATCCCTTCTAATGCACTTTCCCCTAGCAATTTCTCTTCCTTTCTTTTGGGAGGTAGTCCAAAATACACACCTATATCCATTTGCTTCATTACCTTGGTAGAAGGATGTCTTGCATTATACTTAAGACCAGAAGGCAATATTTTCAAATACTTCGGAGCAGGTGTACTAGACAAGTTTTCTGTATTTAAAATTGTAGCTTTACCAACTGGCACACCCTCTAATGCCTTTCTGCAGAAACATGCTGAGTTAGTATTATTCTTAGCATTCAAGTTCTCACTTGATAATTTTCTAATTGTATTTTGGGTTGGTTGGGAAGAAAGATACCCTTCTACCTGACTTTCAAAAGGTTTCAACATTAAACTCTTAACTAACGGAAGAGAAACTTGATTGTAAACAGATGATTCTTCAATTACCTGTTTCTGTTTATTTGATTGAGCTGAGTGAAATTCTGGCTCATCAGGTTTTGCTTTAGTTGCCTGATGAACAGAAGCAGCAAGCTTCCCTGCCAATGCAGGTGGAAACAACACAAAATCACCACCAGTACATGCCAGATCATAAGGCAAAGTACTCTCATTATTTTGAGAAATAGGTTGAGACAAATCATTTAGACTATTGAATCTATACAATCCTTCATCATACTTATCCCGAGTTAAGAAGCTGTTCACTTTGGGGCAGCTCTCATCCTGGTCCTTCAGTAAGGGACCATGTCGTTTTTTAAAAAAACCACAGCTGTCATCATCTTCTTCGAGGCTGCCATCTTTTGAGCTTTCGGTAAAAAACAGTTGTTCTTGTGAATCATCCGGTTTTTCATCGATATCATGAGTGTCTTCATCACTTTGAAGTGGAGAATAGGAGATTTCACAGTCACTGAAGTCATTTTCTGGCAATGGCAAATTTATGTGTTCTGAGTTGTTTGCAAGACGCAAAGCAACTCCCACTAGTTTGTCATTCTCAACAAAATCTGTAAATTGTAGAGCTTGTTGGGATGTTTGGATATGAGTAGAAATCTTTTCACTGGCTTCAGTCAGAGACGGAGACTTTTTAAAATACTGTGTCATCAATAAGGGATCATTTGAAACCGAGTTATCAGTTTGGTTCTGATACGAAGACCATCTTTCCTCAAGGCTACAAAGGACGCCTGACTTAGTCTCACTGAAACTGCCACCTGACGCAGGTGATGGGCTGCTAAAAGGATGATCACCAGCCCTGCTTTGAGCTAGCAGGAAGTGAGTGTATCTCTTGTAATGAAAAGGAATGGTTGAGGTACACAGAAGACCATCAGGACACTCTGAAATTTTAATAAAGAAAAAATATTACACGATCAAAGCATAGACTAAGCTTTGACAACATTAGCAGTATAAATTGGGTTCCATTATTTAATATCCACATTGCATATAATAAAAAGCAACAATTTTAATAAGATTAGTTATAATTGTTGATACACTGAACAAGTTTTAGATTCTATTCTAAGAATAGAATTTGAGAAATTGGTTAATTATAAGGCTTTACTAATTTGGAAACTATTCCCTATCATACTACCATGATTGAGAAACTTTCTATAAGCCATCTTGGTATATCCCTGTGTATGTTAATTTCCAGATTTATCAAAAAATGACACCTCCCTCCCCTCAAAAAAGATGTTATATTTGTTATATTAAATTAGAAAACTTCATGGCTTACAACCTAACTTAAAAATGCCTCTTAAAAGCATTTGTTATAGAATGGAATTTAATTCAAGAGCCATCTGAGAGTCTACTCAAAGGAGTTTAGTGAAAAACCAAAAGAAAAATTTTTTGAGGTGGCTTCATCTATATGACATTTTACCCTAAGGTCTTCAACCATGGACTCCAATTTCCATTCTTGATTTTCAAGTTACATGAAAGAAAATTACTAGCAAATTTGTGAGGTTTTCACTTGCTATCCTTTTCTGGGAAAGGCTAATGCCAAATTTAAAGAAGAGTTGTTTTTTTTCTGTATCTTCATGCAGTACTTTAAAATAACTACAGGTTAATAATAAAATGTATTCTGAATCATAGCTAACATGAAAGCCATATTGAGTATTTTTTTATTTTACTGAATTTTAACTTTTTCAGATTAAAAAAATCCATATATGGAATATAAATGATTTCAAAATATATAAATCATCACAACAACCTGTTCTCCATATGTATTCCAAGTAGGATTTTCTACATTAAATACTTATTACATATTTTAAAAGATAAAAAACATAGCATACTTTTATTATCATTTGACACGTTTTTTGTTAGAATCTTAATCACCTAGGACTCCTTCACAGTTCCTCTTCCTGTATACATAGCACGATGACTAAAACATAACCATATTTAGAAACCACATTATATCTATACTTTTTTTTTTTTTTTTCAGACAAGGTCTCCCTCTGTCGCCCCACCCAGGCTGGAGTGCCCTGGCATGATCACAGGGCCCTACAGCCTCGACCTCTTGGGCTCAGGTGATCCTCCCACCTCAGCCTTCCAAGTAGCCCACCACACCTGGCTAATTTTTGGTAATTTTTTTTGTAAAGATGGGGTTTCACCATGTTGCACAGGCTGGTCTTGAATTCCTAGGCTCAAGTGATCCGCCTGCCTCCACCTCCCAAAGTACTGGGATTACTGGCATGAGCCACTGTGCCCAGCCTATTTATAATTTTCTATGGAGTTCCATAATAACCACCAACTGGGGCCGGGCGCGGTGGTTCATGCCTGTAATACCAGCACTTTGGGAGGCCGAGGCGGGCAGATCACGAGGTCAGGAGATCGAGACCATCCTGGCTAACACGGCGAAACCCCGTCTCTACTAAAAATACAAAAAATTAGCCGGGTGCGGTGGCGGGCGCCTGTAGTCCCGGCTACTCGGGAAGCTGAGGCAGGAGAATGGCATGAACCTAGGAAGCGGAGCTTGCAGTGAGCCAAGATAGCGCCACTGCACTCCAATCTGGGCAACAGAGAGAGACTCCGTCTCAAAAAAATAAATAACCAATTGGACAAGTTATCTGACTTTTAAGAACTTTCATCTATAAAATGTCAATACTAGCTACCTTATATGGTGATTGTGAAAGTTGGGTAAGTAGACAGTGTGAAAGTACCCAGCATAGTAAGGATTCAGTTAACATTTATGGAAAATAATCCAGATACTTAGGAACTTTTATGAAATAACACAATGTATTTAAACTGTTTTCTAGTCTGCCATTTGCTTTACAATTATACCGTTGACTGGTATGGTGTTTCCCAGTGTCTCATCTCTCTTTTAGGTTACTGCTTGCCTTCCTTGTTTCACTGAATTGGTATGTCTGACCTAATGAAGACTTTTTAGATTATTTAGAAACTACTACGTTTTCTGCAGTCTTACCTGTTTCAGAGCGTGGTGGAGAATCCAAACATTCAAAAACATGCCATCGAGGTGTCTGCCCTATCAATGAGGAAAAAGGCATCTGGCAATTTGGACAGTATCCATCATAAACTGGACGTATCTTTGGGGACACGTGTTGGCTTTTTTGAGTTCTACAGAGTTTTCCTGGAGTAGTTTCCTTGTCTTGGGTCTGCTGAATACCATCTCCACAACTTGAATTCTGACTAGAAGCAACAGAAGTCTGACAACCTGCATTTCCAAGGGGCACTTCATGGTCCTTCACCTCTTTAGCTTCTGCGGCTCTTTTTCTGTTTCTACTCCGTTTTGACTGGTATTTTCCATCTGTTGCTTTTTCAACAGATTTTAGAATATTTTTAGAGCCATTATTTGGATCAACTCGTTTTGGTTTTCTTTTAGATTTGTATTCCCAAATGTCTTCTTCGGAAATGTCTTCTAACATGGCAAAATGATTTTATCATTCAAGAAGTATTAATCTTAAGTAAACTGAAAGTCCATTTCTTGTCACAAACAAAAAGTTATAGAATTATTTTGCTGAGAAAAAAAACAAAGGTAACAAAACCCCCACCAACTCAATGGGAATCTGCAGTGTTGGTAATGAACATATTGGCAAGCTACAAACCTTGTACCTGACAACACCTGCTATTCCATTTATACCACAATGAAACTAAGATAAACCTATCACAGGAGTAGCAACTGTGAAGTTCTCCATTATGGGTGCTATTTCATTCAAATATCTTGTCCTTTTCCAGGGCTTGATTCATAAAAATAATACTTCAAAAATTAAGCGCTAATGGCAAATATAGGTTCAACAGCTTAATCTTAGAACGAGATTTGTAACATTGTTATGAAGCTACTGTCAGTTCTTTCAAGTGGACAACCGTCCAAATAATTCATAAATCCAACCACAGTCCCTGGACAAAGGGCTTAACAGGTATCCCAAACACTAAATGACTATCTAACAAAACTAGTCACAACATAATCAAAGAGATGTGTAATTCGCAAAAAACTGCGAAGTCACTGCCCTCATCCACGACTAGTGGATACTCAACCACTTCAGTTTCCCGCGACAGTCCATGATCTTCCTCCAGCAGCAATGAACAATCCCTGCACAGTGAACAAAAAAAGTTGATATGTGAAAAAAGTTCAAATATGTGAAAGAGTGGGCTTGTATTGAGGTCTGACTCCGTATTGCACCCATGGTTCCGAAGGTGGCCAGCCCTCTGTCCACCTGACTCAAAACGGGGTCACACGCCAGCCTCTCCCTTATCTTTTGGCATTAGAGGCTGGGAGGCCAGGAAGCGGGGCCTTAATCATCTCCAGGTTAAGCATAGCGAGCTCCAAAAAGCCCTCAGAGTCCTGCCCTTCTGAAGACTCTAAGGCCCGCCCTCAAGGACCCTCACCGCCCCCCACCTGCCACTCGGCACCCCAAGGGAGCCGCTCCAGCTGCATCCGCTCCTCCCGGCACCCCCATCTAAAAATGTGTTCGCGCCCGCACTTTCAGCACTCCCAGATGACAAAACGCTGTGTTTGTGTATAAGTGAAAGCCACTCGCGCCAGTCACTTCCAGTTTACAAAGCCTTCTCTCTGGAGGTTATCCCTACCCGCTTTACCTTTAGGGTCTTGGCGGGAACAAGTTCCCGCTGCCAGTGCCGTGTCGAATCGGCGGATGCTGTTCAAAGAGAGAGACTTTAAAAATAATTTTTAAAAATACATTGCCCTTTTAAGTCCTACGGATTTATTGTATTTTATTTGTGTTCGAAAGTCCGCTAATTCCCAATGTGGAGGGTTGGGGATGTTTCCCTTAGCGCCTCTGGGACGCTGTCCCTAAGGCCTTATTCCATGTTGAATCTGACGCTCTCAATGTCCAGGCTCGGCTGCGGCGTGGGGACCGAAAAGGGGCGGGGTGGGTCGGACGGCAGTTTAATTACGTCCCCGGGAACTGCGCCGATTTGGACTTTTGGCACTTGGACCTATGCTTTAAAAAGAAAAAAGTGTCATTGGCGTGGAGTGGGGCTAGTGGAGGGTGAGGTGAATGCGCCGTTTGGAAACCACAGGACAGTGAACGTTTCGTCTCTCCCAGCGAGACTCTCCCGCGGGCCCGGCGGCCGCATCGGGAGCCCGGCGGAAACATGGCGGCGCCCGGAGGCCGGGGCCGCAGCCTCTCCGGCCTGCTCCCCGCGCAGACCTCGCTAGAGTACGCCCTGCTCGACGCCGTTACCCAGCAGGAGAAGGACAGCCTGGTCTACCAGTATCTGCAGAAGGTGGACGGCTGGGAGCAGGACTTGTCAGTACCCGAGTTTCCGGAAGGTGAGGGGCTGGCGTCGGGGTGGGGGCCCCTCCCGGCACCTCCCCTTCCTCGGGGACGGCGCCCTCCCGCGAAGCGGTGGGCTAGGCGGGTTTGTGCCGCTGGCGCCCCGGGGAGTGGCCCTTCGCCTAACTTGGGCCGCTGTTCGCGTGTTCTGCAATTCCCAGGGGTCCCCAAGCGGCCACCGACGGGGGTTTCCCTGGCACGGGGATCCACATACTCGTCTGTGTATCCTGAGTTCCGCCCGCGCCTGATATTAGCCAAGTGGACACTCCGTGAATATTTAGTGTCCCCGGTGGCAATGATTGCAACGTCCACACCATTCTGTCCATTCAATCTGGTTCCCCAGTGTCTTCTGGTCATCTTTCTGCATCATCTTGACATTTATTGATCACTTTTTCATGTATCACACACAGGGTTTTTTTTTGTTTTTTTTTGATACGGAGTCTCGCTCTGTCTCCCAGGCTGGAGTACAGTGGCGTGATCTTGGCTCACTGCAACCTCCGCCTCCCAGGTTCAGGCGATTCACCTGCCTCAGCCTCCGGAGTAGCTGGGACTACAGGCCCGCGCCACCACGCCTGGCTAGTTGTTTTGTTTTGTTTTGTTTTGTTTTGTTTTGTTTGTATTTTTAGTAGAGACGGCGTTTCACTATGTTGGCCAGGCTGGTCTCGACCTCCTGATTTCAAGTGATCCTCCCGCCTCCGTTTCCCAAAGTGCTGGGATTACAGGCGTGAGCCACCGCGCCCGGCCTGCCACACACAGTCCTAAACACTTGAGGGGATACCTAAACACTTGAGGAGATATTACCTTATTCAATTACCTCTATATCCCAGTGAGGTGCTCCTATCATTCCCCTTTCACAGTTGAGGAAATGGAAGCACAGAGAGGTTAAGTCACATGCCCAGGGCCTCACAGCTGATAACTGCCCCAGTTGGATTATACAGGCCCTGGATTTGCTGGTTTCTTAGCTGTACTGTGCTTCTCCGTTCAAAGTCGTGAAACTAATACTTTTAAAAATCGGAATCAATTATAGCCTATTTCCAGGGTTTAAATCCTGGCCATGTGAGCTTTTGGAGCATGAAGGAACAGATATTCCCGGCAGGGATGTTTGTGAAGCATATCTTGCCATGATAAATGAAAACGTATTTTACCTTCTTTGGATGGGAGTAGCATTGCTTTGCCTGATGGTGCTGGCATGTGTCCTGGCGTGACACTGAAACCACATGTATAGTTAATTGGTTGGATGTGGCAGAATTCAGTTATCTCATGGGAGGTATATCGGAACCTGCCTCCGACAACAGAGTATTGGTGTCTTTCCAAGTCTTTTGCACTACTCACCTTGAGAAGTGCTTATTTTTCCTGCTATTAATCTTATACTGGATTTGAAATATTGTGGAATTCTTACAAAAGAATTGGGTACATGAATGCTTATCCCATCAAACTTTAAAAGATTGTTTACATCTATACAAATATATGATTTTAAAAAGTTTTGGTGCAGAAGGTAGTTATATAGTAAGTACACTGTTATAAACAAGCAGGCCATCAACTGGGATTTGGGGAATGTTTTTTATTTTCTAGTCTTGTTTGTATTTACAGGGAGTGTATTTTATTCCCATGAGATTTGACCTCTGTGACTCATAACTAAAAAAACATATAATAAAATATTCAGGCTTTGTGTTTAACACAGTATGATTTTCTCCTGGACCCGATTATTGAGGACAGAATGCTAGAAATGACTGTTTTCTTGGTTTCTTTAGCAGTAAACTATAATCAGGAAGTCATAAACATAACTTTATTTGAAAAACTGTATGCTTTGTTCATTTCTTAGAAGACTTACATGTTTATAGGAGACAGTGCAGTGTAATGGATAGATTCACAGAGACCTGGAATTAGATCCTTGTTATTTCCATTTTGTTGGTTGTGTGATTTTGAGCAAGTTACTTGACCTCAAAGCCTTATATTTCTCACTTGCAAAACTGAACTATTATTTACCTTTCAGGATTATTATTTGTATTGAAAGTAATATATGTAAAATTCTTAATTCACAGAAAAGCTTACTAAATGTTAGCAGCTTTTTATTGTATTCATTGTAATTATTGTTATTGTAAAATAAATTTTATTAAGCCTGGTAAGTATCTAGCACGGTGACTAAGATGTAGTCATTCTTTCTATACCCCCTGATCTAAGCCACTCTTGACTATTTACAGAAAAGTCACAGAAGACAGATTAATAAATATTTTGCAAGTAGGATATGAAATATACATTAATTAGTCTGAAGTTTTGTATGATCACTTGATCTGGTATATAATTAATATTTTAACAAAATGGATAATTAAGAGGTCACTGTACCCTGAAACCTCATTAGTTTGGACTAATTGGCCCAAATACTAGTTTGATCTGCAGATTTTTTTTTCTAGAATTTTGTTATGATTGAGTAACAACAGTTATTGTTGTTAATCATTAGCTGTTACTGTTTACTTCTTCCTCCCAAGTTTGGCTTTCAGTTGCTAAAAGCTATTCTAAATACCTGCTTCAAGGCATAATTAATAGTTGTAATAGCTGCATTGAGTTATTTATAAGCAGTAAACTTTGTTTTCTTAAATTGGTTAAATAGGGATGCTGTACTTTATTATTAGTTAACAAAATCTTTCTTCATAGTACAGAGCTTTCTTTTTTTGGAGGAAAGGGAACACGTTCTTCATTAATATTAATGTTACCTCAATGAAATCTGTGACAATAATAAGTGTATTTTGCTTAACTTTACATTTAGCATATTTTATTTTGTATTTACGGTCTCATCCAAATCCAGAATATTTCAGTTTCTTCTCCTTTAGGAAACTGTTTTAGGCATTTTGTATGTTTATCCTTACACACATTTCACTCCTTTTTGATGTTTAGTTATATCTTACTATTCTTAAGCTTGACCTTTATTCTCAGTAGCCCATTTGTATCTAATTGTTTATGTAATTAGGTTCATTTACTATTTGATATTTCTTCCTTTTTTTTTTTTTTTGCCTAAGTGTGTTGCCTTTACTCCTTTTCACAGACTGTTACCCTATTTCTGAAAGAATTTAGTAGCTTTTTCTTGCTTTATTTGCAGATGGCATCATAATAGCAGCTTTCCCATCCTCTACTCCTCCTGCTCCCCCACCCGTACCCCCATCCCTTCCTTTTCTTTCTTCCCTTTTTGGGCTTTTAATCTCTGCTAATTTGCCTTTTTGGTATGTTCTTCCAAACCCAAATACCTGTTTAGTTACAGTCATAAAGATATATCTTTTATTTCTTTTGTTGATAGAAAATGATGGTTCATAGTAAACAACTATAAATACATGCAACTGCCACAGCCTTTATATGGTGCTACTCTCTCAAAGTGTTTATTTGCATTAGTCTTAAAAAAAAAGGTCACATTTTAATGGAAAGTTTTAGGTAAATTTTATCTTTCTCTTTAATCATTGTAATTTATTTTATGTAAATTTCAGGATTAGAATGGCTGAACACAGAAGAACCTATTTCTGTCTACAAGGATCTATGTGGAAAAATAGTCGTCCTTGATTTCTTCACCTACTGCTGCATAAACTGTATTCACCTATTGCCTGATCTCCATGCATTAGAACACACATACTCTGATAAAGGTATCTGCTCTTTAATTAGTTTCTAACAGACTGTCCTGGCATAGTCACTGGAAGAGTGGCTGACTCATTAGCTCATAGGAGAATGAACATTTGGCAAGGCTTCAGGGATTCTAAAAGTAATCTCTTATCTATGAATTAAAGACTTCATGTACCTTTTCATAAAGGATTAAGCTTAGTGATAGTGGTTTGCCTATCTAAAGAACCAGCATTTAGTATATGGTTTTTCTCTGCGGATAGGGGCATAATTTGCTATTTTTCATGATCAGATATTTTAAAAGGTCTTTTTGTATGTTGAGGCTGACTTAAATTTGTTCTATTAAAAAAATAAAATATCTGACCTTAATTTTACACTGTTTTCACTGTGATACAAAGGTTTAAAGTTCTTATTAGGAAATGTGACTAGGCTTTCATTAATATTGAATGACATGAACTGCAGTGGAATGCAAAATATAACAGATACTCTTTCTTTGACCCTGCTTCATTAAAAAATGATTTATTACAGCTAATGTTTTTCAAAGCACACTAGGAAATCCATTTTTATGGTATTACAAATTCTAAAGATGTAGGAGATTATACTTATTGGCTTTAGAAGTTTGAAAAATTAATCAAATTTTTTTTGTCTACTTTCTAAAAAAAGAACATGGGAGTAAATGAAATTAATTAAAAG
Organism: Homo sapiens; assembly: GCF_000001405.40. Taxonomy (NCBI): domain Eukaryota; kingdom Metazoa; phylum Chordata; class Mammalia; order Primates; family Hominidae; genus Homo; species Homo sapiens. Next base: position 113,859,348 of record NC_000010.11, read on the forward strand.
TATCATTTAATTAGGTTCAAGTGAATTGAAGCACTAATCTTGGAGTGGATAAAAAAAAGAGATAGGGTCACCGATCCTGTGTTAGTAAAGATGAGAATAGACTATATACGTGTGAAAGTAAAGGATATTCTGAAACTTAACTTTAAAGGGGAAGTGATAGAGAAATCTTCAGTGCAACTGAAACTTCAGATGCTTTTGAATTGTAATACATTGTATGTTAAAATTACCAGTCAAATGATTTATCAAGAACTCAAATATTTCTACTAGCTAAATCCTGTTATTAAAAATTTATCTGTATGGATTTAAGAAATATGGATATCTTATCTCCTAGGTTTTAGATGCCAGTGTTTCTTGTTCAAGACATCACGTTTATTGAACATGTTGTTATGTGCAGGGTACTCTGCTAACTGCTGAGGAAATATGTAACAAAATTGAATAAAAAACATTATGGAACCTAAGGAAAGGAATAAGTCACTTTGCCTAGAAACATTGGAAAAGATTTCTCAGAGAAGGAGACAATTGAGCTAGAACTTGAAAAATAAGCAGGAGTGCAGCTGAAAATGAAAGTGGGGCAGAAGGGACACTCCTGGCTGAGGAAGCTTCAGGTAAACAAGCATGGAATCACAGAGGAGTAGGATTCTTGCTCCAAGAACAGGTAAATAATTTAGTGTGGCAAGATTGTAAGAGTTCATGGTAAAAGTAAAAGGAGACAAAGGTAGGTTAGGTTAGGAGCACATTGTGAAATGCATTGTATAGCGTTCTTAATAGTTTAGACTTTTCCTTCTGTGAGGATACAGAGATTGAAGTTTGTTTTTGATTTGTTTTTTTAGTAGACGGATGACATTTGTGTTTTAGAATGGCATTACACATGGAGTTAAGAATCTCAAAGTTTACCAGTTCCATACCTAAGATCACCCCTGAAAGACTATTTGGTGAACTCATGGTTAACCCCATACCTTAAGCAGATTCAGTGACTTCCTAGAATGGATCCTTATAATCTCCTACTAGTTTACTGGAAACATTGTTTTTATAGCACATTGTGACAAAAAAATTAAAAATATTTTTATATACAAATATGCTTCTGAAAAGCAAAATACTTTGTAAGTGGAGCAAGAATTCACTGTCAGTTTCAACAAAGAATCACAAAGCATACACAAAGAACAGGGAAGTACAGCCCATTCAAGAACAGGGAAGTACAGCCCATTCAAAGGAAAAAAATAAACCGATAGAAATTGTCTCTAAAAAATACCTGATACATATCTATGAGACAAAGACTTTAAAACACTGTCTTAAAGATGCCCAAATAACTAAAGGGAAATATGGAAAAAGTTTTAAAAAAACAATGTATGAAGAAAATGGAAATACAATAAAGAGAAAACCTAAATAGAAGCTAGAAAGAAATTCTGGAACTGAAAAGTGGACTAACAGTGAGGAGAAACTCACTACAGAGGCTCCTTGACTTATAGTGCAGCTGATAAACCCATGGTAAGTTGAAAATATCATGAAGTTGAGAAAGTATGTTTAATGCTTGGTAGCACAGCAGATGGTCCCTGACTTATGATGATTCGACTTAAAATATTTTGACTTGATGGTGGAAAGGTGATACTCAGTAGAAATCATAACTTTCTAAATCCTAAGGAGCTCTTTGACTTACAGTGAATTATGTCCAGATAAACTCATCGTAAAGTTGAAAAATTATAAGTCATACCCTCATAGGTCAGGGGCCATGTAGAGACTCGAAGACAGATTTGAGTAGGCAGAAAGAAGAATCAGTGAACCTGAAGATAAGGCAATGGAAATGATTAAGGAACAAACAGAACAGAGATTGAGGAAGAGAAAACAGAGCCTAAAGGACCTTGGAACACCATCAATCAGACCAGCATGTGCATTTTGGCAGAGAATATTTGAAGAAATAATGGTTGAAAACATCCCAAATTTGATGAAAAACATGAACACAAACATCTAAGAAGTTTAGTAAACTCCAAGTAGGATGAACTCAAAGAGAATCATGCCAAGACACATTATTATCAAACTGCCTAAAACCAAAGAGAGAATTTTGAAAGCAGGAGAGAAGCAACTCATCACATACAAGGAATCTTCAATAATCAGCTGATTTCTCATCAGAAACTTTGGAGGCCAGAAGGCAGTGGGCCAATATATTCAAAGTACTAAAGGAACAAAACTGTCAACCAAGAATTCTATGACTGGCAAACTGTCCTTCAAAGTGAGAGAGAAAGTAAGACATTTCCAGATAAATAAAAGCTAAGGGAGTTCATTAATAGACCTGTCCTGAAAGAAATGCTAAAGGAGTCCTTCAGGTTGAAATGAAAGGACACTAGACAATAATTCAAAGCCAGTGAAGAAATAAAGATCTCAGTAAAAGTAAATAATAGGCAAGTATAAAAACTAGTGTTACTGTAACATTGGTATTTAACTCCACTTTTTGTTTTCTACATGATTTAAGAGACTACTATATTTTTAAAATTATTCTAAAAGCTAATGTTATTGTAACATCACATTTTGTTTTCTATGTATTTTTTTTTTGAGACAGAGTCTTGCTCTATTCCCCAGGCTAGAGTGTAGTGGCGCATCTCGGCCTACTGCAACCTCTGCCTCCCAGGCTCAAGCAATTGTCCTGCCTCAGCCTCCCAAGTAGCTGGGATTACAGGTGCCTGCGACCACGCCCAGCTACTTTTTGTATTTTTTTTAGTAGAGACAGGTTTTACTATGTTGGCCAGGCTAGTCTTGAACTCCTGACCTCACATGATTCGCCCATCTCAGCCTCTCAAACTGCTGTATGGGATTAACGCCATGAGCCACCGAGCCCGGCCTATTTTCTATGTAATTTAAGAAACTAATGCATTAAAGTAATTATTAGTTTATATATTTGGAGATATAATGTACAAAGATGTAATTTGGGGCCATCAACAACTGAAAGGGATGGGATGGAGGTGTTAAAGGAGCAGAGTTTTTGTGTGTTATTGAAGCTGGCATAAATTCAAATTAGAGCGTAATAACTTTAAGATGTTAAATGTAATTCCTCTGGTTACCACAAAAAAAAAGAAAGAAAGAATATACACAAAATGAAATAAGAAAAGAATTTAAATGTTTCACTACAAAATAAAAATCAACTAAACAAAAAAAAAAACAGTAATGTAGAAAATGAGGGACAAAAAAGCTCTAAGGCATGTAGAAAACAAATAGCCAAATGACAGATAAGTCCCTCTTTGTCAATAATTACTTTAAATGTAAATGGATTAAGTCTTCTAATTGAAAGGCAGAAATTGGCAGAATGAATAAATAACATATTCCAACTATATGTTGTCTTCAAGAGACTCACTTTAGATCCAAAGATACAAACAGGTTAAAATTGAAAGGATGGAAAAGGATATTGTATGCAAATTGTAACTAAAAGAGAGCTGGGATGGCTATGCTAGTATCAGACAAAATGGACTTTAGATCTAAAAAGGTTACAAGAGACAAAGAAGGACATTATATACTAATAAAAAGCCCAAGCTGAGCACAGATTTCACCTGTAATCCCAGCTACTCAGGAGGCTGAGGCAGGAAGATCACTTGAGGCCAGGAGTTGGAGACCAGCCTGAGTAACATAGCAAGACCTCATTTATTAAAAAATAAATTAATACATAGATGATATGATTATAATGATAAAATGATTATAAACAGGCACTTAATAACAGACAAAATATATGAACAAAAATTGACAGAATTGAGGGGAGAAATAGACAATTCTACAATAGTAGTTGGAGAATTATACCCAATATATACAGGACACTCTCCCCAACAAGATAACACTACCCAACAACAACAGGATTGCGTATGGGACATTTTCCAGGATAGACCATTAGTTATGCCACAAGTTAATTTCAATAGATTTTTTTTAAAGATAAATATTAAAGTATCTTTTCTGATCACAGATGAAGTTAGAAAACAATAACCAAAGGAAAATTGGAAAATTCACAAATTTGTGGAAATCAAACAGCACACTCTTAAATAACCAGTGGACCAAAGAAGAAAACACATAGGTAATTATTAGAAAATACTTAGAGACGAATGAAAACACAATGTAACAAAACTTATGGCACATGGTGAAAACAGGGCTAAGGAAGAAATTTATGGTTATAAATGCTTATATTAAAAAACAAGAAATAACTTAAATCTAAGGTGTAATATCTTAGAATTTTACACCTTAAGAATCTAGAAAAAGAAAAACACAGTAAACCCAAAGCTAACCGAAGGAAGGAAATAAAGATTCAAGCAGGGAGAAACAAAATAGATAATAGAAAAGATCAATTTGGGTACAACCAACCAAAAGTTGGTTCTCTAAAAGTACCAGAAAAATTCCTAGACCTTTAGCTAGCTAGACTAAGAAAAAAGAAGACTCAAATTATTAAAATCAGGAATGAAAATGGGAACATTACTACTGATTCTACAGAAATAAAAAGGATTATAAGAGTACTATGAGCAATTGTACATTAACAAATTGGATAACCTAGATGAAGTAGACAAATTTCTGAAAACAAAACCTACTAAGACTAAACTATGAAGAAATAGAAAACCTGAATAGACCTATATCTGGTAGCATTATTCTCAATAGCCAAGATTTAGAAACAACCTAAGTGTCCATTGATGGATCGTGGGTGAGGAAAATGTGGTGTGTGCATACAGTGGAATGTTATTCAACCTTGGAAGGAAATTCTAACATGGATGAACTTTGAGGACATTATGTTAGGTGAAAAAAAATTCACAATTTATGCCACTTACAAAAATTCAAATACTACATAATTTCACTTACACAGGGTACTTAGAGTAATCTGAATCATAGAGACAGAAAGTAAAATGGTGGTTGCTAGTGACTAGCAAGAGGGGAGAATGTGGAGCTATTGTTTAATGGGTACATTTTCAGTTTTGCGAGATGAAATGAGTTCCGGAGATGGAGGATGGCAATGGTCGCACAGCAATAGGAATGTCCTAAATACCTTGAACTGTACACTTAACAAACGGTTAAAATAGTAAATCTTATGGAAGAAACTATAAGAACACAAAAATGAGCCAGGCGTGGTGTCTCACGCCTATAATCCCAGCACTTTGGGAGGCCAAGGCAGGCGGATCATGAGGTCAAGAGATGGAGACCATCCTGGCCAACATGGTGAAACCCTGTCTCTACTAGAAATACAAAAATTGCTGGGTGTGGTGGCGCGCCCCTGTAATCCCAACTACTAGGGAGGCTGAGGCAAGAGAATCGCTTGAACCCACGAGGCAGAGATTGCAGTGAGCTGAGATTGCGCCACTGAACTCTAGCCTTTCGACAGAGCAAGACTCCGTCTAAAAAAAAAAAAAAACCACACACACACACAAAAATGGGTTTTTAACAACTATTTTAAAAATGAACCTTACAAGGTCAGAATTGTGCACCACTGGGAGGGTTACACTCAGTGGTTTGTTGGAGCTGGCTCCTGTAGGCTGGTGAGAGCCATTTGTTAAATATGTAAGAAATTTTATGAGCCAGTGGTAATCTTGAAATCAGCCATAGTGGGAGTATTTAGACCATGGAAATCAACAAATGCTACAAATCAGAGGTTTTTTGGTTTTTTTTTTTTGAGACAGAGTCTTGCTCTGTCGCCCAGGCTGGAGTGCAATGGCGCCATCTCAGCTCACTGCAAGCTCCGCCTCCCGGGTTCAAGCGATTCTCCTACCTCAGCCTCCCGAGTAGCTGGGACTACAGGCGCTCCTCACCACGCCCAGCTAATTTTTTGTATTTTTAGTAGAGACAGGGTTTCACCGTGTTAGCCAGGATGGTCTCGATCTTCTGACCTCGTGATACGCCTGCCTCGGCCTCCCAAAGTGCTGGGATTACAGGTGTGAGCCACCGCGCCCGGCCACAAATGAGAGGTTTTTAAAAATCGCTTTTCATCCCCCCCCCCCGTTCCTCTCACCATATAATAGAGCTGGTTTATTAGCATATTACTGGGTATGATTTGCTGGCCCAATAACTCACTTGTTAATGTGGTGGAGAATACTGACTAGTGTTTTTCTGTATTTGGCTTAGAATATTGTTTGTGGAATATATTTCTTTTTTAGATTACCGTAGAACTTTTTCTTTAATTTGCCACAGGTTTGTGAAGAATATTGGAAAAAAGGAAAAGCACGAGAAATAGTTGAGAATGCCATTGTGATAAGTGTTCACAGAGGCTTTCTTTTCTTTTTTTTTTTTTTAATATAACTTCGACTTTTTTTTTTTTTTTTAGTTTAAGTTCTGGGATACATGTGCTGAACATGCAGGTTTGTTACATAGTGGAATAAATTTTTAACCATTAAAAAATATTTTGTAAGTAGTCTCAACATTGTATTTCAAAGAAACATTGCTTCTGTAATATGCTACTATGTGAAAATCCTGATAACTTAAAAGATTTTTATATTGATTAGAAGATAAGTTCAGTTCATATTCATAAAAGCAGACATAACCAGAAATGATCACATGGCAGCTCAATAAGCTGTCACTAAGTCACTAAATTGAATTTGCTTTTTTGTAGTTAAATATCTTCTCCCATTACTATTTGATGTACTTCTGAATGTATCTGCAGCAGTGCTATTTATGTTCTCGAAGTGACATTTGGCAGTATATTTAAAATTCCATGAAATGTTCTGCTCATTTTACCATAAAGCCAAAAATGCTCCACTGAATAAGGAAGTGTTTATTAATTCAAAACCTTGAAAGAGGCCCAATTTCATAATCAACTTGCTTCCTCTAAATCAGCTTTTAAATGCAGGTTTGTAATAGGGGCCAGTGCCACTTTCACAGTCGCAAATGAGAAATCGCAAATGCCAAGAAGTTTGAAAGCAAAAAGCAAAACCTACTTAATAGGAATGAATTGTTCTGATGTTTAAACATTTTTAAAGAAGCAACTATGCCCTAAGATTGTTATTAATTAATAATAACTTAGTACATATTTATGTTAAACTGCAAGTGATATTTTACCATTTTCTACTTGAGAACTTCTAAGTTTTTTATTTATGGTGTATACATTAATGGTATGTTATTATGTAGTACTGAAATTGAACATAATGGCTATTATCTAAGGAAAAGCACTTTTGTTTTATAAGAAAACTTCTATTAGGAAAGCCTTGTGTATTTTAATGTGATTGCTAGGTGTATGTTAATGTATAACTAAGTCAGACTTCTAAAAATCTGAATTTCTTATTACTATTGAGTAAATGCTAGTATTATCATATAGTATATGCTTTTTTCTGTTTTATACTTTATTAAAAATTAGAAGAATGCACTTTTAATTTTATAGTAAAATAAGCCTTTAAATAAGTCTATATATAATTTCACTTTGTGTCATTGTTCTCAAACCTCGCCTGCCCGCCTCCCCGCCTCCACCCCCGGCTCCTTCACCAGGTTTGATAGTTTTCATTAGGAGTACTCACAAGATTCAGCATATAATTGTACTCATGACTATATTATAGCAAAAAGATACCAAGCAGAATCAGGAAAGGGAAAAGATGCATGGGGCTGAGTTGAAGGGAGACCAGGTACAAGATTCTAGAGTCTTCTTTCAGTGGAGTCAACCCAAGGTGCTCTTAATTTCCTCAGCCATGTGTTGTGACAGCACATTTGGGATGTTGCCAACCAGAGAAGCTTAGAAATAACCAAGGCTTTTATTGGGGGCTGGTCATGTAGGCAGCTTCTGCCTGCTGTCATGTTTCAAAAGTTCAGATTCTCAGAAGGAAAGCAGGTATTCAGTATAAGCTGTATTGTTTGTACAAACATTTTAGGCAAAGTGAGCCACTCATCAGTTCTAGGAATGGTGAAAACCCTCCCGAAATCTAAGCTCCCAGAAGCCAGGCAAGAGCCAATCTTGTTTGCACACCTTTTAAAGGATAGCAGTCAGGGCTACTATGTTAACTCTTTCTGCACACACTTTATATTTTCTTTATTCAGTAGTTTGTCTATTTATTCTATGTTCTTAAATAAAGTACTATGAAAACATTGCCAATTTATGGCACATTTTCAGATGTTTAGTGTGGACAACAGCCTGATATCAGTGTTTGATTGGCTTTCAAATTTGCTTCTCATTTATTTCCCAATTTAGTGTTCAGCGATTTTGATCCTTTCATTTTTATGTTTCCATTGTTCTTAGTATAAAAACGAAAATTTTCCCTCTCCAGCATCTTTTCCACACCCTTCTCATCCTTCCTCAAGGCTGTTCTAGCCTCCCTGGCTTTCCTTCAGTTCCTAAGTATCATTGTTCCTCTTGCTTTAACACCTTGACACAGTGTTCCCTCTGCCTGGAATCATCGTCTCATCCTTTTTGTCTAGTGAAGCCATGGTTGTCTTCTGGATCTCAGAATGTCTCCATTACAGGTTTTTGTTTTTGTTTTTGTTTTTGTTTTTTTAGCATCTTTCGAAATGCCTCAAATAGTCTCAATCCTTGCATTTAACTAGGTTTTTACATTGCCTGTGATTAAACTACACGTTCTACTATAGTATATACAATTGTAATTGAGTGCATTTAGAAGTATACGTCTCTCAATAAGACTTTTGAAGCTTTAAAAATATGTATTTTAAAAAGTGGTTTTATTACTAATATTTTAGAAGCAGTTATATATTTATCATGTTTTTTGTTGGTTAGTCAGAGACAAGGTCTCACTCTGTTGCCTGGGCTGGATTTCACTGGTGCGATCACAGCTCACGGCAGCCACGACCTCCTGGGCTCAAGTGATCTGCCCGCCTCAGCCTCTCAAAGTGCTGGTATTACAAACAGCCTGAGCCACCATGTATGTGTGGTTTTTTTATTGGTGGTGATGGTGGTGTTTTACTTCACTGAGAAGAAGGAAGTTACAATTTTTGATATAGTTTCTCCTTCCCTCATTCCCTTCTTCCTTGCCCTCTTCTCTCCCTCTTTCCTGTCTCCCTCTCTTCTTTCCTTTCTTCTGTATTTTCTCTTAAATGGAGTAATTTTGATCCCTATGTTGGCAAAGGATTCATAAAGGGCAGAATCTTTTACATCCGCTTTTCAGTATGCATGATTAACAGAAAAAGCTAAATAATTTAAGAAAAATCTGCATATTGAGGTTCTTACAGAAACAAATGGGAGTGGATATTTGGCAATTGTGTTTGTACGTAGATCAATATAGATCTCCTATTTGGACAATATGATATGGTTTATTATACAGATTTATAAATTCCTTCAGTATTTATGTCCTGTGAAATCATTTGTTTCCTACTTACGTACTAGGCACTGGAGAATAATAAAACATGCATGGGACCTATGTAATTAGTAGGCATTATAGTCTAACAAAAGAAGGCATATAATTAAATAATCATACATATTTTTATAATTTCTGATTAGTGATCTATAGGAAAAATTACAGGCTGCTATGATGACATTATAGAGTTTAATCTGGAAGAAATCTTTCTTATGAAAGTAAAAATTGAACTTCTGTTCTAAAAGACAAGCGTGGCTTTAGTAGGTGAGAACAGATGAGAACATTCCAGTCAGAGGGAACACTGTATGCCAACCCTATAAAGCAAAAGGAATAATATTATTGAGGAACCAAAGGAAGTCCTAGAATATACTGCAGGAGGAAAAGAGTGTGGAGAAGATACTGGAGAGATGAGATTTGTTATACTAGGAACAATTGAAAGCCAATGAAGGATTTTCTGCAACAAGGTGACATGATCAGATTTGTGTTTTTAAAAGATCAGTGACTTCAGGATGGATAACTACTTGGTGGGCAAGAATGGATATGGGAAATCTGTGACAAGGCTGTTGTGCTCTCTGTGAATAGGATAACAACTTGAAACTAGTCATAGCTGATAAGAGCAATAGGACTTGATTGTGGATTAAGTATGGATGATGAGAGTGGGCTGATTGATTACTACAGAGATGTCCTAGACTGGTTTTTTGCTTCTATAATTGGATGGATGATGGTGCCATGCAGTGACAGGAAACACTGAAAAGGTCATATTTGGAGGAGAAGGTTATGAGTTTAGTTTGAAATATCTTTGAGACTTGCCCTTCATTCTCCATATAACTTCCCATTTTTCTTAGGATAAAGATATAAATCTTTACCATGACTTACAAGACTGATCCCATCTGTATGTTTGTTCTCATTTTGTCCCACGTTCTCCATTGTTCTCTGTGCCTAGTCACTTACCTTCTTCAGTTTCTTCTATCCTTCCTGCTTCCTCTTTGTAGGTGCTGTTGTCTCTCCCTGGAATCTCCTTCAGCGTTCTCTGCACCTAACACCTCATCATTCACATCTCACTTCAGTCATCACTTCTTCAAGGAAATGTTGGGATATATTTATCAGTAGGAAAATGTGTGATACATGATAACATACTTTATGATAAATATTACATATATATAATGTACATAAAATGTATACAGATTTAACTCATGGATTCTTATTTAAAATTCATTGGGTTATAAATAATTACTGTGATAATTTATTTTGGTATTCCAATGGTCCAAGATTTGACTAATAGGATCCCCTTCAGGCTGTCTTCTGTGATCTTTTGGTATTTCTTTGTCGTTTTTTGAGCCCTTCCTTACTAAATACACCAAAATATTTCCATATGTATCTTGTGTTTTTCCAGCCCAACCCTGAGTCAGCTATTTCTTTAAGGAGCTTTGATCCCTTTTAGTAGGGAATGGTATTGAGAAACCAAGGTCTGGGAACTAGATGTGCTCATTGCTACTATGGTGTTTTTGCTTCTAGTTTCTCAAATAATTCAGAAATTACTTAGGCTATTCCTTCCCACTTCTCAGCTTCCCCCATTAAATTATGTTATTCATCTAAAGTATCGTTAGATTTATTTTTTTCTATTTGTATTTCATTTTAAGTCCCCCCATCTTTGTTGACTTAGTTTTTGAGTGTGTAAGACAACATGGTCTTCAAAGTGAGGATGAAACAGATATTCATTCTATCCACCCATCCCTTCTAACTGTTCTTGCCTTCCCATTTCTGTCCTATATTTTTTAAAATTTCCTTTTTTTTAAAACAAAAGGTGACATACTGTAGACATTTTTATACACTCGCTTTTTTCATGTAAAATTTTATCCCAGGAGTCACTTCATAACAGTTCATAGAGAACTTCTTGACTTTTAAAAATAACTGCATAGTACTCCGCTATATGTGTGCCATAACTCATTCAGCCACTCTCCTATCCTGTGTGTTGGCTCTTAGATCATTCCATATTTAGCAATTATAAGCAATAAATAATCTTGTAGATATGCTTTTGTCTTGCTGGTGGAATCACTTAAGGATAAATTCCTAAAAGTGGCATTGCTGGGTCAAAGTTAAGTACATATGTAGTTTCGTTAGGTATTGCCTAGTTCTTCATCAGGAAAGTTGTACCAGTTTGTATTTCTGCTAGCAGTGTGTGAGTGTACCTCTTTCTCAGATGCTGCTTCAATAAACTGTCTTGACATACTTTTTAATTTTTACCAATCTAATAGATAGGAAGTGGTATCTTGGTGTAATTTTAAGATGTATTTTTGAGTTGGGTTAATCTTATGTTTATATGGCTATTTATTGTATATGAAGTTTTGTCTGCCATTATATCCCCTAACTGGTTATTGTTTGAGTATATAAAGGCTACTGATTTCCATGTGTTAATTATTCTTGCTTCCTGCATCTTTTTTTTTTTTTTTTTTTTTTTTTTGAGACGGAGTTTTGTTCTTATTGCCCAGGCTAGAGTACAGTGGCGTGATCTCGGTTCACCGCAACGTTTGCCTCTCAGGTTCAAGCAATTCTCCTGCCTCAGCCTCCCAAGTAGCTGGGATTACGTGGATGTGCCACCACGCCCGGCTAATTTTGTATTTTTAGTAGAGACAGAGTTTCTCCATGTTGGTCAGGCTGGTCTTGGCCTCCCGACCTCAGGTGATCAGCCAGCCTCGGCCTCCCAAAGTGTTGGGATTACAGGCGTGAGCCACTGCACCTGGCCCTGAATCTTTTATTATTTGACTTAGTTTTATAATTGAGTCTCTGGACTTTTCTTGATATACTGTTATAGCTCCATATAGAAATTTTTCAGTCTTATGCCTCTAATTGATTTCACTTGTCTAATTATGTTGGCTAATCCCCCACGCCCCACCTCAATTTATTGTTAAACAATAGTAGAGATGGTAGGCATTTTTTTCCTTATTCTTTATCGTATTGGAAGTACTTCTGTTTTTATACTACTGGAAATACTTCTATTTTATACTGTACTTCTGTTTTTATACCAGTTTCTGGTTTTATACTTAGTTTATTTAATCAACTAACAAAGTATGAAAGATTAGTGTAAGTAATTATATGTCAATAAACCTAATGATTAAAAAGAATCTATCTGTGCTACTTCTGGGTTTGGAGGAGGATGGTGGCTACCTGATCTTGAATCTCCCCACTGTCCCTCCCCTCTGTTCCAAACAATAAAAAAGGGGAGAACAAGTAAAATCTCACTTGGCCCTGCATTTCACAATACTAGGAGACAGAGAATATCATGGCCTTGACATTAGATGGAAGTTCAGAAATAAACTAAATTCCCATAAAGGTTCTATTGCTGTAAGTCTGTGGATGCCAAGAACAAGTGTAGGGGAGACTTAAAAGACTCCATGAGAACAAGCAGAGTGGTTCAGAGTATTTAGACAACGCACAAACAGAATAGTCTCCTTACCCCCAGAAAGAGAAGCTCCAATACAAAGTATAAAATACTGAACACAGGTTTGGACATACTAGACCATATCACCAGCTCTTACAAGAGTGCAGGACAAGGAATTGAAGCCTCAGAGAAGCATTGCTCCTGGGAGATAATCAGCTATATAAGAAAGATGTGGTTTCCCTTGGAGATAGGCCACTGAAGGGAAAAAAGCGTATATGAAGGAAAAGGTAAGGTTCTAATGGAAACAAAAGAGAAAGAAGATATATCAACCCCTCCTTACACCAATGCTATTCATCAATGAAACTGCCCAGAAAAAGGGAACTGTCAGAAGAGGGCACTCTCAAACTAGGAACCCTATTCGCAAAATGAACAGGAATAGAAAAAAGCAGATCACATCTATATAAAAACTACTGCAAAAGAAGCTGAAAATGCAATTCAGAGTTAAAATGCTGATACAAAATTGACAAAACTGTAACACCTTGCTTCATACTGGATTAAATATCCTTAGTCAGCATTTAGGAATAATGAAAAAAAAACAGCTTGAATCAGAAATTTCAAAATAAGAAATGGACAAAAAAGAAACAGGGAAATGAGTGTTAATTGAATCCAGAAAAGAGAAGACAAATTCAAAATTGTATTACAAATGAAAACTAAATTTGACCAAGGGACAATAAATTTGTATAAAAATTTATTAAGGGGCATTAAAAGCAGGGAGGGAAACCCCAGAGAATGAAAATGAGCTAAAAAAAAAAAAAAAGTTAAAAGGTTTAGAGAAAAAAATGATTGAATTGGAAAACAGGCAGAGGAGGTCCAACATAAGACTACTTGGAGACCTTCAAGAAAATCAGAACAGCTGACTGGAACAAATATCTAAAATTAGAATCCAAGAAAACTTTCTGGAAAGAAAAGAAACCTTGAATCTACATATTGAAAGGGCCTACCAGGTACCGGGGGTGATTGACCCAGAACAGTCCAAGAAGTATCCTAGTAAAATTATTATACTTTAAACATTGAAAAACAAAGAACGTAACTTACAAAGACATGTAAGTTAGACTGGCCATGCTTTTCACAAATAACGTACAAAGCAAGGCAACAGTAGAGTGACATTTCAGGAATCTTAATGAGTGTAAACCATAAACCAAAGAGATTATATCCAACCATTTGTCCTTCAAGAATCAATCAAGGTTAAAGAAAAACAGTTTGAATGTCCCAAAACTCAGAGAATACTGTGCACATGTGCCCTTTCTGGTGAATCTACTATAGGGAGAGCTAGAGAACCATGGGTGAGTAGGGAAACTGCTAATGGATGGATGGAGATTTTATACATGTAGAGCTAACACCAAAACTAAGATGTAGAGTTTTGGTATATTAGTCATAGTTTGATCAGAGAAGCACAACTGGGTATAATAATGAGAGAACTAATAGAGAATTCATTATAGGTAGTTGACCTTATGTTATTGTGGAGCTACATGGCTAACTAGTATATGTGAGGCTGTTGCTTTTGTGTGCTCCTGCAACCTACCTAAGTTTACTAACTTTTCACAGTCTTCAAGCAGAGGTGTGTGTGCGTATGTTCTTGTGCTTTGGTTTGGAATTAAAGTTGTAATTACTGGCAAATTATATCTCCTGATGGCAGGTCAGGCAGTTGAGAAGGAAAGATGGATATAAAGTAGCAGAGAACAAGGGCAAACCAGAAAGAACGTGCAAACATGAACTAGAACTTGCAAGGATAAACTGAAACCCATGTAAGCTTTAGTTTAGATGATGAAGTGGAGCAAAACACTCATCTGGCCCAGAAATTAGAGACGCGGAAGGAGGAGATCTACAACCCTTATATTCTTATTGCTTTCATTTGCCTTGCATATCTTTTTCTACCCCTTTACTTTTAGTCTTTCTGATTCACATTTTCTTAGATGTATCTTTTATGTAAAGAACTTATCCAAATCTTTTTCTTTTAATAATGAGTTAAGCCCATTGGTACTTATTCATATGACTGGTAATGTACAAGTATTATGTGTATTTGGTTATATTTGTTGTGTTTATCAACATGATGCACTTTCTTTGCTGTTTTATTTTCATAATCTCTTCTGATATTTATAAATGTTTACATTTATCTTTTATTAATCTTTGTACTTACAACTTTAAAAAATAATTATAGCAAAATTTGTTGAAATTTTACTCTACACTAGGTACTATGCTAAATGCCTTACACAGATTATCTCTTTTAATCCACCTGACTTATAAGGCATTTGCTGTTATTTTCCTCGTTTTGCAAATGAGAAAACAGATGAACAGGTTAAGTAACTTGCCCAAGGTAACAGGTGTGCAGTCCTTCCCACTCCTCCCCACCACCTTTACCCACATCCCCCAGGCAACCATTCCTCATTGCATCTTTTTTCCCAGCTGCTTTCAAGGCATGTGTTTGTGTGTGTGTGTGTGTGTGTGTGTGTGTGTGTGTGTGTGTGTGTGTGTGTGTTTAGCCTTTGATTTTCAGCAGTTTGTTTATGATGTGTCTAGACATGGTTTTAATGTATTTTATTTTGTGTGTGTTGAGCTTGAATTCTCTAAATTTATATATTTAATCAAATTTTGAAAGTTGGGACATTACTCAGTTATTTTTTTCTGCCCCAATCTTATTTATTCACTTTTTCTGGGATTCCAGTATACTTATTTAGATATTTTGAAACTGTTCCACAGGTCCCTGAGGTTCTGTTTATTTTTTTTCAATCTTCTTTCTCTCTTTATGTTCTTTAGATTGGATTAATTTCTGTTGAGCTGTCTTCAGGTTCATTAACCTTTTCTTTGTCATGTCCTTTTTGCCAATGAGATCATCCAGTGAACTTGTGGTATTTTTCAGTTCTAACATTTTTAGTTACTTTTTATAATTTCCATTTCTCTGTTTTTATTTCCTGTCTTTTTACTTCATTTGTGTTTTTCTTTACCTCATGGAGCATAGTTATCTAGTTGCTTGAAAGTCTTTGGTAAGTCGAACATCTGCTTTATCTTGGCATCGGTATCTGTTGCTTGTTTTTTTTGCCCCCTACCTTGATAACTGACCATATTTCCTTGTTCTTTTCTTTGAATATCAGGTAATTTTTTATTGTATCCTGGACGTTGGAATGTGACGATATGTGAACTCTGGGTTCTGTTATAGTCCTGTAGGGAACATTGGTAGCCTTATTTTAGTAGGCATCAACCCTCTTAATTCAAATTATAACTTCTGTCTCATCTTCCATCAGCTCTCGCTCCTTCTGTAAACCCAGTTATTCAGTTATCAGCTCCCCAAGCATTTGCTACACTTTTTAAAATCTGTTCCCTGTACTGTAGTTTAGGGGTTAAACAAAGACTTCTGAGTGTTCATACTCAGAAATAAGGAGCCACCTTCCCCAGCTGTTCTCCTCAGGGTTTCTCCCACACTGTCCAGGTTATGTGGTTTCTTGGGCTAGAGTTGCAGTGGGATTTCTGTTGGAGTTTTGGCTCTCCATACAGCTCCAAAACTGGAACCCACTCTCAGGACAAAGCTAGGAAAAGGATTGGAAAAGAAAATAAAATTGGCAGCTCACTCTTCTGTCATTTGATCTTCTGTCATTTGCTTTTCTGAGTTTTGGCCCTGCTGTACAATCTATCTGGTCGGGTTTACTTTTCTCCATCTTCAAGCAGGGTGTGTCTTCAAGCATGCATGTCTGTGTTTTGATTCGGAATTGATAGTTATAATAGAAGCATGAGCTGCTGGGAAATTATACCTCCTGATTTGTGTGGTTTTATTTGTTCATCTTGCAGGTTTGAGTAGTTTTTGGTGGATGTGTTGGGAGATTTGAATGTTACTTAGCTGTTATTATCTCTACTACTTTGGTAGTCAATATTGAATTTTTTCACTGAATCCAGCCAAACACTTTTTTTTTTTTTTTGGTACTAATTTCTTGAAATAATGTATTGATTAGATAAGAGAAGTATGTTTTCAGCAGTTCTGTCTACAGAAAGGCTTGTTCTAAGAACCATACAATAGGAATTTTAAATAAATCAAAAGCCTTATATTATGGAAACATCTTGCTTATATTTATTCTGTTAATCTGTAATGTAAAGTTAGATTAAAAAAAAAAAGACAGTGATACAACAATAAATACCTCCCAAAAGCAGGCATAGTCAACTCTGAATTTCAAAGGGGCTTATTATAGGTGGAAAAAATTTCAACATTTATTAAAAAAATAAAGATAATTTTTATAGCATTATCTAAATAAAAGAAAAAAAGTTTTAATCCTGCAATAGCCATATGAATTTGATCATGTGTGTTTTTATGTAGTAATCAAGATTGTTATGAGATTTAAATTTGTTAGTTTTTTATGTGTGTTAAAATGCAGTTGAAGATCCCAGCGTAGTTCTACTTTTCGTTTTTTTTTAATCTATGGACTTTTAATATTTGTGATCCAAAACCTAATGTGTAGATGATGATATTCAAACTTAAATATTTAATAATGTTTAACATATAATTTTTTCCTTTCAGATGGTCTTCTTATTATTGGTGTTCACTCGGCTAAGTTTCCAAATGAAAAAGTCCTGGATAACATTAAGAGTGCTGTTCTTCGATACAACATCACCCACCCTATGGTTAATGATGCAGATGCCAGCCTTTGGCAAGAACTAGAAGTTTCCTGCTGGCCAACTCTAGTCATACTTGGACCTCGTGGAAACATGTTGTTTTCTTTGATTGGAGAGGGACACAAAGATAAATTATTTTTATATACTTCAATTGCTTTAAAGTATTACAAAGACAGGGGGCAGATCAGAGATAATAAAATTGGAATAAAACTCTATAAAGATTCTTTGCCACCTTCACCATTGCTATTTCCTGGCAAAGTAACAGTAGACCAAGTTACTGATAGATTGGTAATAGCAGACACTGGACATCATAGAATTTTGGTCGTTTGGAAGAATGGACAAATTCAATATAGCATTGGAGGTAAAACTTGCTTCTGATTACGATAGATAACGTGTTTTACAGTAAAAAAATAGTTCAAGGTAAATATAAAAGTTGAAATGTCTAAATGAAAACTAATTATAGAAAAGTGATATACATTGACTTAATTTCCTAATAAAAATTTTTTGTTAATTAATATGATGTCTGAATTAACCTCTTCTCACTCCCTCATAAAACAAACAAAAACACTGAAAAAGCTCCAGGTCAAAAAGAGGAAATAGTTCAGCTTTTAGGTATATTTGTATATTCTATCTTTTTTTTTTTTTTTAAACTGCTGTACTTACTGTTTCTTATGAAAACATACGTTTTGGATTTCAGATGTTTTAAGTAGAAGTATTATGTTTCACTTTCCAACAAAATATAGCCGTATCTTTTTAAAGATCATGTCAGTGCCCCATGAACTTGAGATGTAGTTTATAAAATAAATAAGCTAGAATTTGTGCATAGTTTTACTTTTCTCTCCTTTCTTCCATAAGAACTTGAACATGTTTCTGGATCTATTTCCAGAATAGAAATAGGTGTAGCAGAGTATGAGTATCATGCAAGCGTAGATCATTTTGTTCTATATCTCCCTGGTCTTAGATCTAAAACTACCTCTTGGTTACATCTACATAATTAATAAACTCTACTGAGTACATTCTTATTAATCTTTCTTATCTAAACTGAGCTGACATTTGACAGCATGTTAGTCAAAGACAAAAGTAATTCATTTCTTTGCAATCCTGCTTTAGTAATATATGCAGCATTAGTACATAAAGTAGAAATGTCTGTGTTCCTAATATAAAAAAGCTAGTTGTGGTCCTATGCCCTGATGTTATTCTTAATATACCAAGATACAGTATGTGTTGTGTTTTGTGGTGTTTGTTTTGTTTTGGCTACTTGGTATTTTGATTTATGACAGGCAGTTACGAGAATTGAATTGTTACTCAAAAAGTGTCTTTTGTAGCAGTTTGAATTTAAGTGGTTTTAAAAGTTAATAGATTCTGTGATTTTCAAAATAGTGTAGGTGAATATTCTTTGTTAAAAGAGAAACCAGCAGCAAGCTACACTACCCAAACATAGTTCTAGAAATACTGTTATCTTTTGATACAGTTATTCTTTAATTTTTAAAAAAGAATTCTTTGGTCAGATACACTCAGGAAACACTTTTAATGTTATCAGATTTTTATTGGTGATGGTATCATAATATTTCCCAAATTTTTTACTCTCCTAATTTTCCTTATGGGGGGGTATAGTACACAATATTTTCCAATCTCATGTAACCACAGAACTCTCCCTTTTTTTTCAGGGAACTCTTATCAATATCAACACAATAATAGTATTATTAACAATTGTAGGTACAGTAGACACTATATGTCTGGCATTATTCAAAACATTTTACTTGTATGAACTCATTTTTGCCTGCACAATGCTATGAGTTAGGTAATTAGTTCCATTTTACAGAAGTAAAACTGAGACACAAAGAACTTTCCCAAATCACCAGCTAGAAAGAGACAGACTTGGGATTTAGACAAGGTCTATTGGGCTCTTGAGTTGGTTTTCTTTTTTTTAAAGATGGAGTCTCACTCTGTTGCCCAGGCTGGAGTGCAGTGGCATGATCTCAGCTCACTGCAGCCTCCACCTCCTGGGTTCAAGCAATTCTCCTGCCTCAGCCTTCCAAGTAGCTGGGATTACAGGTGCCTACCACCATGCCTGGCTAATTTTTTGTATTTTTAATAGAGATGGGGTTTCATTGTTTTGGCTAGGCTGGTCTTGAACCCTTGACCTCAAGTGATCTGCCTGCCTCGGCCTCCCAAAGTGCTGAGATTACAGACGTGAGCCACTGTGCCAGGCCTTGGGTTTGTTTTCTAGCCACTCTGTTACACTACCTTTTTATGGTTGCCTAGGACAATGGAGTTCCACAAAGCAGTTTGAACTGCTGATTTAGAGGCCTTGAATGGCTTGTCTGCTGGCCATGGAAATAATAGTTACATTTTATTGTGTTATATTCTCCACCCTTGAAACTCTACATGAATTGTAAAAACTGAGAGGTGGACTAGAATCACTCTCTCTTACAGTGTGTATGATATATCGCAGGACTTTCTGACAAAGTGAAATAGTAGATAAGAAGGATTCTTAATCTGGGGTCCTTGGACTCCTGAGAGTCTTCAGTGGTCCTCAGGATCTGGGATTGTTTACAACAATTTGGCCATGTGTATTTTTCTAGGGAAAGGGCTCATAATTTTCATTGTATTATCCAAGGAGCATATCTTTCAAAATTGTTAAAAATTATTCATCTGTTGAACAATTGGAGTTATTTTTAAATCTTTGTAGTCTAGGTAATGGATAATTAGAATGCTTTTAAAATTATTTTCTTCGCTATATACTACTATGCTTAAGTGCACTAGTAATTGTACTATGAGCCCTGTCATTAGCAAAACTCACTCTTAAGAAAAATGTTCCTTGGGGAACATTTTAGTTTTTAGATGGACATACCATTTTTTTATATTAAAATCCCAGCATTAAATACAAGTTTGTTTTGTTTTGTTTTGTTTTACCTTGAGATCACTTCTTAAGTGGCAAATTTTATCTTATTTTAGGACCCAACCCTGGAAGAAAAGATGGAATATTTTCAGAATCAACTTTTAATTCTCCACAGGGTGTAGCCATAATGAATAATATCATATATGTGGCAGACACTGAAAACCACCTTATAAGAAAGGTAATTTTCATTTTAAATTTGTTTTAATACTTACAATCAGAAAAAGGAAATGTATTTGCTACATTAAATATTTGAAGTTAAAGCGTGATTCTTATGTATGTCAATGTCCTTGTTCTGCTTTTCTTGAGGTACGTACTTTAGTTTTATTCTCAAGTATCCTGTTTCTATTTGTGTCAGTATGTATTTGTCACAAAAGAAAACCCCATTCAGTTCTTTTTTTAACCCTTGTTTCAAGGCTGTGTCCCTAATCACTCAAAAGCTCCTCATTTTGAAGTATCTTCCTAACCACTAGTTTACAATGATCCTTTGTCCTTTTTCAGTTGAATTTTCTCAAACTAGAAAAAAAATCCTACCATTCCTGCTTCTATTCAACTTTTATGCTTTGGCTGGAAATACTGATTAGCCAATTCGTCTTAAAACTTGTTTGATTTTATTATGTGTCCTTATTTCTAAAAAGTCAGCTAATACATAAAGGTAAAAAAAAGTCCCCTGACCATCAATTCCAGTTTCCCAGAGGTAACCATCCACTGTTAAAGTGTGTGTCTTTTTGGAAATTTTCTACTCTTATAAAAATAAATTGATATTAAAAAGCCTTTTTGTAGAGAATTTTTTAAACAAATGTAATGATGCTATGCATACATAATGTTTTGCAGGTTTTTCTAACTTTTTTTTTTTGCATGTTAGTCACCTGAATGATATGACTGTATCACATTCCATTGTAGATGTACTCGGTTATTTCAGACATTTCCTCCTGATGGTTGTTTTGGCTAAACCATTGGTCTTTAAGTTGCCATGTGTTTGGAAAATAAGTAACCAAGTTCATCATACTCATCCTGTCTAAATACATTGTTTCAGATACTGCCTTGTTTTTCTCACTGTTTCTTTCAGTATTGACATTTATTCTCATTTATTTGACAATATTTTCACTTATATACACATAGTAGAAAAAAATACATATAATATATAATAATATCCACTGTACTGTAAGTCTTCCTGAGGGCTAGAAATATGTTTTGTCTACTACTGAATCCTAGCACCTAGAAAAGACCTGGCCTATGGTAGGTGTTCAACAGATATTTGTTGGATGAATTTATGAGCAAATAATACTGTTTCAGGAAGCACTTTTGAAAGTGTGTATTCCTCAATATAAAAGTGTTACATGAAAAACAGATTTTGTGGGTTAATACATTAAAGCAGATGTGTTTTTTAAAGTCTTGCAGACTTTCTTCCAGACTTAAATATGCTAATGTATTGTTGAGTGCATTAATGGGGGGATATCTGTGCAGCATTTCTAAACTTATTTGACCAGAGAGCCCTTTATAGGCAGAGCTGCTTATAGGACTGTTTCCATGGTGTATATTTTAGGGAAAAGTGGTTTTTTAAATTACTAAATTCTTAATGATTAATATTTCTTTATCATTATCTTTTTGGGGTTGTATGTGTCTATAATTCGTCAGAGGGGCTAGACCTCTAATGGTGTATTGAATTAGTAAAATAGCCAGCCTGCAACATTCAGGGAGTACTTGTCCTTCTTTTTTAATTGTATGTCATTTCTCTTGCTTTACAACTTAATGGGTTTTCGAGTATTGACCATGTGCTCCATTTCAAATATTTATGCATTTAAGTATAATCACAACAAATTTAGGTTACCTGAAATTGTTTTATATTCTGTGACTTAATATGGTGTCTGCAGAAATGGAAAGTGGAATTTTTTCCTTTTAAAAATACAAGAATATTTATTGTGTTTTATTTTTGTTTAAGACCTCATTTGCAGAGGATTGAATTGATTATATTCTCATTCATGGCTCACGAACATTGTTTCATGCAGACCCTTCTCATTTAGAATAATTTATTTAAATTATAAATTCTCCTACTTCCCCATACCCCCAACTCTCACTCCCCTTACATTAGCATACCTATAAGCAGCCATTGTGATACGTTTAATGCATGTTTTTATTTGTATGTGATCTTGTAAGTGTTCTGTGTATATTTTTTAGTTACTTTATTGTGCTATATTTTATGTATCATAAAGTTAACCCATTGCAAATCTATAATTCACTAGTTTTTAGTAAATTTAACAGGTTTTGCAACTGTAACCATACGTTGTTTTTAAAACATTTCATCCCCCAAGTAAGAACCCACATGACCACTTACAGATAGTCCCTGTCCCCTCCCATCCCTAGGCAACTGTTAATTTACTTTCTGTCTCTATAAATTTGCCTTTTCCAAACATTTTATTAAATAGAATTATATATATTTTCTTGTATTTGGCTTCTTTCATTTCACATAATGAAAAGTTCATGTGTGAAGTAGCATTTCAGTAGTTCATTCCTTTGTATTGCTGGATAGTATTCTGTTGTGTGAATATATGACATTTTATCTACCAATTCACCATTGATATTTAGATTGTGTTTTGGCTATTTTGTATATTTTGTTATTTTGGGCTGTTATGAATAATCTTGCTGTGAGCATTGATACACAGGTTTTACATGGACATACATTTTTATTTGGCATGGGTAGATACCTAGAATTGGTATTGTAGAGTTATATGTTTTATGTTTAATTTTTTGAGAGCTGCTGAATTATTTTCCATAGCAATTGCACCATCTTACCTTCCCACTCGAAATATATGTGGGTTCCAATTTTCTACATGTTCACCGTCACTTGTTATTTTTCATTTTTTAAAAATTCTAGCCATCCTACTGGATATGAAGTGGCATCTCATTGTGGTTTTGATATGCATTTCCCTTATGACTAATGATGTCAACCACCTTTTCCTGTGCTTATGGGCCATTTTTATATCTTTGAGAAGTGTCAGTATTCTTTGCCAAATTTTTAATTGGGTTGTCTTTTCTATAATACAGTTGTAAGAATCCTTTGTATATTCTAGGTACAAGTTCTTTATCAGATATATGATTTACAAATGATTTTTCACATTTTTCTGCTTGCCTTTATACTTAGTTAATCATGTTCTTTGATACATTGAAGTTTTAAATTTTGATGATGACTGATTTGTCCATTTTTTCCTTTTGTTGCTTATGTTTTTGTTGTTGTAAGAATCCATTGCTAAATCCAAGGTCATAATTATTTACCCCTGTGTTTTATTCTAAAAGTCTTTTAGTTATGGCTCTTATAATTAGGTCTTTGATCCATTTTGAGTTGATTTTTGTATATGGTGTGAAGTAGGGGTTCAACTTCATTCTTTTACATGTGGATATACAGTTACCCCAGAAACATTTGTCCAAAAGACTGTTCTTTCTCCCTTGAATAGCTGTAGCAGCCTTGTTAAAAATTAGTTGATCATAGATGTATGGACCCATTGATCTCTCTGTCTGTCTTTATGCCAGTACCTTACTGTTTTGATTGCTGTAGCTTTTAATAATGTTTGAAATTGGGAAGTATAAGTCCTCCCACTTTCTTCTTTTTCAAGATTATTTTGGCTATCCTAGGTCCCTTGCAATTTGATAAGAATTTTAGGACCAGCTTGTCCATTTCTGCCAAAATCTTTTGATTGTTTCTTATGTAAACATATTGTCTCCAAAAACAAATTCCCTTTTGATTTTTAAACTTCCTGTTTCCTTTTATTATATTGCTGGCTAGTACCTCTCTTGCTTTTAAGCATTAGCAATGATGGTGGGTATCTTGTCATGCTTATAATCTTAAAGGGAATACATGTACATTTTCTCCAGAAGTTTAATATTTGCTGTAGCTTTGAGGAATAAGATATCTATGAAGTAAGGAAAATTTCTGTCTATTGATAGCTGGATAAAATGTGCAATAAAGCAATTAAGTGAAATATTGAATATCATCTCAGTGGTAGGTATATGGATGTTTGTTACAAAAATTTTTTAACTTTCCTGTGTGTTTGAAAATTTTCCCAATACATTGTTGGGGAGAGGGTCTCAGGAGATGAAAGCAGAACATATTTTCCCAGTAGAATACATTAGTTTTTCAGTTTATAAAGTAAAGTCCGTAAAGTGTCATGGAACTGCCTGGGTTCAGGTCCCAGATTCTTGACTTACTAACTGTGGGACATTGAAAAAGTTACTTAATGATCTGTGTTTTAGTTTTCTCTAAAATATTAAAATCGTCACACAGTTATGAGCATGGCTGGATGGCTGGTTGGCTTGCTCACTATTGGATTAGTGCTTGGCACATGTAAGTTTTAATGTGTGTCAATTACTAGCTGAGCACAACTGAAATATGTGCATTTAATTTTTAGAAACATGTATTTTGCTACATTGTGTTTTAAAATTTCATTTTAAAATTTTTGTTTAGTTAAGATGAGGTCAATGCCAGATCTGCTGGAGGCATGATGGGAGATGGGGATAAGAGGGGAAAAGTAGAGGAATGGACAGGTGGGATATGAAAGGGACTGATTATGTGCATTTGAATAAGAAGTTCATTCTATAATTGATTGGCCTTTTTTCATAATAAAACTTTGTACTGCACATACACTCTAAATGTTCTATTGACTATTGAAAATCTTTACACAGCAAAAGACAAAAGCAAAAGTAACATTCATTGCATAAAACCATCCTTTGAATTTCTATAGATTGACCTAGAAGCTGAGAAGGTGAGCACTGTAGCTGGTATTGGAATTCAAGGTACAGATAAAGAAGGTGGAGCAAAAGGAGAACAACAACCCATTAGTTCCCCTTGGGATGTAGTTTTTGGAACATCAGGTATGTGAACTTTTGATATTAAATGTAAAGGTAAATTTTACTTCATGTAAGATTTAAAAATATTCTTGAGGTGGTCATTTGGATTCCATTACTAGTTATTTTATTTTATACTTTTATACCTATGCCTCAGAGTTTGTTAATTGTGTAAAAACAAAGCTAGCAGTAATATAGATATATATATACTAGAGTATGTATTATATATATTACATATTTTATCTATAAGATAGACTATGTGTTACTCTAAAGAATTATATATTAGATGCACCCTCCAATTAATGTAGTTCTGAATTTCTTATACTGAAAGGATTATAGTATCAGAACTTCAAAAGGTTATTCATGAACAGTAATCAGTAATAATAAAAATAAATTTATTCATAAATAAGGAACTTATAGTGTCATTATATACTCTAGTTTGAAAAAGAAATCAAAGAGGCAGCTGCTTTTGCTTTAGATTTAAAAAATTTATATTAAAGTATGATAACTTCTTTAAACTTTTACCCTAGTGAATTGTGTAGACATTGATAATGAATGAAACTTAATGTTATCTTTATTATCTATATTAATTGACTAAAAGAAGTCCAGGAGTACTCTTATTAGTATTTTTATTTTTTATTGGCTCTCAGTGATACTGAGATGGTCATCTACATGTCTAAAATTGGATTGATGAGTAAACAAAGTTAGAATATGTCGAAAATGTAATTTTGGACTAAATGGTTGGTGTTGTCTTCATATATTTAAAGAGTATATAAGTACCAGCTTAGTTGAAAAGCTTTACATTTGAGGTAACTTTCTTTTATGATGCCAATTTAATTATGATTCAAACACCCTACTTTTTGGTTGTTATTAACTTTTATGAAGCACTTAATACTCATAAAATAAATGAGTGAACTTCTAGTACTACCCGCACTTAACACTTAAGTATTTTGTGTAGGTTATTTTTGAGAATTCTACTTATGGAATTGTATGTTGTAAACATAATTTGTTTCATAGCTCACCGAAGGGGATAGTATAGTAGGAGCAGTGCATCCAACTAAAGGGATACTTCATATGTAGAGAATTTTGAAATATTAATACAGTGAACTAAAATTCAGTCTCCATTTTATTACCATGCATTAGCAATTCTAAATAATTTCAGGGCTAAATCTTCACCAGTACTTTTCACTTTTACCTCCCTGCCTTATTTGCTCTACTTTTGATTATTTTTGCTAAATCGTATTTTAGTATGATGTTATTTATTACATGAGTTGTTCTATAGTGCAAGTAAACAAACTACAGCTACATCTAGCAGCATGGACAAATATAGCAAGGGATATTTTGAGTGATAAAAGAAAGTTACAGAATATGTACAATATAATTTCTTTGTATGTAGAAATCTACAATATGATTTCTTTTATAGCAAGTACAATAGCATTTAATACAAGCATTGGGAGATCCATTCAGACATAATAAAGTTAAAAAGTAAGAAGAATGATAAATGTACATTTTTATACTAGTGGTTCCTTATGGGAAGAGGAGCAATTAGGTAAGAAAAAGAAATAAAAGGCATCCATATGGGAAAAGAAAAGTGAAATTGTCTCTATTTGCTGATGACATGATTTTATATGTAGAAAATCCTTATGACTCTACCAAAAGACTATTAGAGCTGATAAATTTTGTAAAGTTGAAGATTACAAAATCAACATACAAAAATTAATAGTGTTTCTATATACTAACAGTGAACTATCCAAAAAGGAAATTATGGAAACAATTTCATTGACAGCAGCATTTAAAAAAGTAAATATTTAAGAGTAAATTTAACCAAGGAGGTGGAAAGATCTGTACACAGAAAACTATAAAACATTGATGAAATAATTTGAAGAAGACAAATAAATGGAGAGATATTCCATGTTCATGGATGGGAAGAATTAATATTGTTAAAATGTTCATACTACCCAAACCATTATACAGATTCAGTGTAATTTCTATCAAAACTGTGTTGTGATTTTTCTTAGAAATAGAAAAAAACTATCTTAAAATGTGTATGGAACTAGAAAAGATCCTGAATAGCCAAAACAGTCTTGAGCAGAAAGAACAAAGCTGGAAGCATCACACTTCCTGATTTCAAGCTATGAAGCTATTGTAATCAAAATGGCATGGTACTGTTATAAAAACACACATATCAACCAATATAACAGGATAGAAAACCCAGAAATAAACCCAAGTATTTACAGTCAAATGATTTTCAACAAAAGTGCCAAGAACACACAATGAGGAAAGGACAATTCGTTCCATAAATGGTGTTGGGAAAACTGGATATCCACATGCAGATGAATGAAATTGGACTATATCATATACAAAAACCAACTCAAAATAGATTAAAGACTCACAAGGCCTGAAATGGTAAAGCTACAAGAAGAAAACAGGAAAAGCTCCACAGCATTGATCTGGGCAATGAATGATTTCTTGGATAGGACTCCAAAAACACAGGCAACGAAAGCAAAAATAGACCAGTGGGATTGCATCAAACTAAAAAGCTCTATACAGCAAAGAAAACAGTTAACAGAATGAAGAGACAACCTATGGGTTGGGAGAAAATATCTGCAAACCATATAACCAATAAGGGGCTAATATCCAAAATATGTAAGGAACTCAACTCAATATCAAGAAAACAACCTAACTAAAATATAGGGAAAGGGTATCACAAACATTTCTCAAAAGAGATATGAATGGTAAGCAGATATATGAGAAAATATTCATCATCTCTAATCATCAAGGAAATGAGAATTAAAGCAATGATGTGATATTACCTCACACCTGTTAGAATGACTTTATCAAAAAGACAAATGATAAATGTTGATGAGGATGCGGAAAAAAGAGAACCTTTGTACACTGTTGGGATTGTAAATTAATACAGACATTTTGGAAAATAGTATGGAGGTGGCTGAAAAAACTAAAAATAGAATATTTATATGATCCATCAGTCTGACTTAACAAAGGCATTTAAATTGCTGTGTCATAGAGATATTTGCACTCCCATATTTATTTCAGCAGTATTCACAATTGCTAAGATATGGAGGCAACCCAAGTGTCCATCAGTGGATGAATGGTTAAAGAAAATGTATATCTAAGGCTGGGCATGGTGGCTCATGCCTGTAATCCCAGCACTTTGGGAGGCTGAGGCGGCCAGATCACCTGAGGTCAGGAGTTCAAGACCAGCCTCGCCAACGTGGTGAAGCCCCGTCTATACAAGAATACAAAAATTAGCTGGGCGTGATAGTAGATGCCTGTAAAAATCCTAGCTACTTGGGAGGCTGAGGTGGGAGAATCACTTGAACCCGGGAGGCGGAGGTTGCAGTGAGCCAAGATCATGCCACTGCACTGCAGCCTGGGCAACAGAGCAAGACTCTGTCTCTAAAAAAACAAAAAGAAAATGTATATCTATACACTGGAATACTATACAGCTTTAAATACTGTCATTCATGACAACATGGATGGAAGCAGAGGACATTATGCTAAGTGAAATAAGCCAAACACAGACAGACAGATACTGTATGATCTTACTTGTGGAATCTAAAAATGTCAATCTTAGGCCGGGCATGATGGCTCATGCCTATAATCCCAGCACTTTGGGAGGCTAAGGTGAGAGGATTTCTTAAGGCCAGGAGTTTGAGACCAGTCTGGTCAACATAGCAAGACACTATTTCTACAAAAGAAATTTTAAAATAAAAAGTAAATTTAAAAAAATTGTAAGAAAATCTCAGAAAAAGAACGTAGGAAGGTGGTTGCTAGAGGCTAGGAATAAGGGAAGGTATGGGGAAAGGGAAGAGGTTGATCAAAGGGTACAAAGTTTCAATTGGAGGAATAAGTTTTAGAGATAATTGTGCACTGCATGGTGACTGACTTGTAGTTATTAATGTGTATTTCACAGCTGCTAAAAGAATAAATATTTAACATTTGCACCACACAGAAAAAAATGTTGGTATATTCATAGATATATTATTTAGCTTGATTGAATCTTTCTACAGTATACACATAGATCAAAACATGACATTGTACCCCACGAATGTACACAATTATTATTGGTCAATTAAAAATTTGAAAAAGATGTAGGAAAGGGACTAGAAATATCTCATTATTTTAAATCTACATGTAGTATGTAAATGCATGTGTTTATGTATTTTAAATGGTATCTGAATATTTAACCTGACTATGCCGTATAGTTATAAAAATAATTAATATAAAGTGACTTTTACAAAATTACATTTTATCTGTGTTCATTTTTTAATTGTCATTCTTAATGTGGTCAGAACATCATGCACCAAAAATAATTACTACAGTAAGTTCATTTTTTCAGCAGATACATTGTAATGTTTCTAAAATGTGTATCAGGTCTGTGTTGACTCCATTTGTACCAGACAACAACCTGAAAGACGTTTAGCATAAAGGTTGAAACTCCTATCAGTATCTTTTTTTTTTTTTTTTTTTGAGACTGAGGCTCGCCATATCACCTAGGCTGGAGTGCAGTGACGTGATCTCGGCTCACTGCAACCTCTGCCTGTCGGGTTCAAGCAATTCTCCTGCCTCAGCCTCCCAAGTAGCTGAGATTACAGGTGTGCACCACCATGCCTGGCTAATTTTTGTATTTTTAGTAGAGATGGGGTTTCACCATGTTGGCCAGGCTGTTCTCTAACTCCTGACCTCTAGTGATTTGCCCGCCTTGGCCTCCCAAAGTGCTGGGATTACAGGTATGAGCCACTGCGCCCAGCCAAAACCCCTATCAGTATCTAAGTACTTTAAGACTTTACCTGATTTTGAGTCATTTATAGAAAGGATAACGTGCCAGAATCCCATTAACCTTTCTTGGCCCTTTAATCAACATTTTCCCTAGATAGAAGTTTAGCCATTCTTCTACAACCTTTAATGGTTGAAATCCAACTATTTAGTATGCTAGTCTGATAATCTACAGTGTTCGTATTTATGTGCTTCAATAAATGCTTCTCTGACTCGCATTATTAATATGATATAAAATACCATGAAAATATTTTTGCTTTAAAAAAATCAGATGACACGGAGTTTTGAAGGAATAAATTTGATGCAGTATGACTAGTACATTTTTATTTTGTTAAAATAAGTTATATCTTTATGTCTAAAATTTGAGAGAAGATTCTTATACTGCCTTATCACATTGACTTGGTGTTGATTTTTTTTAGGTTAATTAGGTATAATTTATATACAGTAAAATTTACCCTTATTAGGTATATAATTCTATGAAATTTGACAAAGAAGTGCAGTCTTGTAACTTTTACCACAGTCAAGATACAGAATATTTTCATCCCAAAAAGTTATTTCATAGCCTGTTGTTGAGTCTCCCCCCGCCATCACCACACTCACTGCAGCAACTGGCAGCAGTGATCTCTTTCCTGTTCTCTGTCATCTTTCATGTCTGGCTTCTTCCATTTAGCATAATGTTTTTGAGATTCATCCCTGTGGTTCCATGTATCAGTAATTTGTTCTCTTTTATCACTGAGTAGTAGTTCGTTGTATGGCTCTACCACAGTTTGTTTATTCATTCACCAGTTAATAGACATTTGAAGGTATTTCTAGTTTTCAGTGGCTATAGAAAACCTCCATAAACGTTTGTGCACAGTTTTTGTTTTGTGGTAATATGCATTCACTTCTCTTGGGCAAATGCCTAAGAATGAGATTACTGGGTCATATGGTAAGTGAATGTGTACAAGAAACTGCCAGACTGTTTTCCACAGTGGCTGTTTTCTTAAAGTCCCAAATGTCTGTTGGGAGTCATTGCTTCTGCCTGAAGAACTTCTTATGACACAGGTCTGCTGGCAGTGATTTTTCTTGCCTTTATTCTGGTCTGAAAAAGTATCTAGCTTTCATTTTTGAAAGTTATTTTTATTGCGTATGTGAATCTGGATTAACATTTTTTTCTTTTACTATTTTAAAGATATTACTCCATTGTCTTTTGACTTACATAGTTTTCCACAAGACACCTGTTTTAATATTATCTCTTGTTCTTTATATGTAAAGTGTATTTTTTTCTCTGGTTGCTTTCAAGATTTTATCTTTGGTTTTCAGCAGTTTGATATATCTAAGAATTATCCTGCTTGGAGTTCTTGAATCTGTGGTTTGATGTTCATTATTGTCAAGAAATTCTCACTCATTATCTCTTCAGATATTTTTTTCTGCCCCTTTCTGTCTTTCTCTTTCTGGGACTTCAGTTACTCATGTTAGATTTCTTCTTAATATTATATTCAATAACTCTTGCATATTGTGTTCTTTTTATTCATTCTTCTTATTTTTTCTTTTTGTACTAGTAATTTCTACCAATTTATCTTCAGTCATTAATTCTTTCTTCAGCTGTGTCTAGTCAACTGATGAGCCTGTTGTATTAGTCCATTCTCATACTGCTATAAAGATACTACCTGAGACTAGGTAGTTTATAAAGAAAGGAGGTTTAATTAACTCACAGTTCCACATGGCTGGGGAGGCCTCAGGAAACTTGAAATCACAGCAGAAGATGAGGAGGAAACAAGGCACATCTTACTTAGCAGGCAGCCAAGAGAGAGTACCAAGGGGGAAGTGCCAGACAGTTACTAAGCAACCAGATCTCGTAAGAACTCATTCACTATCATGAGAACAGCAAGAGGGAAACTACCCCCATGATCCAATCACTTTCCACCAGGTCCCTCCCTCGACTTGTGGGGATTACAATTCAGATTACAATTCGAGATGAGATTTGGGTGGGAACACGGCCAAACCATATCATTTGTAGAAGGAATTTTTCATCTCTAATATTATGCCTTTTTAATATAGCATTTGTATTTCTTACAGATTCATCTCTGCTGAAATTCCTTATCTATTTAGGTGTGTTGACCACCTTTTTCTCTAGGTTCTTTAACATACTATGCATAGTTATTTCAAAGTCTGTATTAGATAGTTCCAAATCTGGGGACTATCCTCGAGTCTGTTTCTGATCATTCCTTTGTTACTCGGAAGCGGGTAATGTTTTTGCTTTTATGTGTGTCTTCTCATTATTTATTATATGTCAGTCATCTTGTATAAAACAATAGAGGCTGAGATAAATAGTACTTATGTTATAATTATGAAAGATTGAGTCAATTTGGTCAGGAGCTGAGCTGGGCCTTGGTTTTATTATTGCTATGTCAATGCACCACATGTTTTAAATTCCTCTAGCTGGGCAGTTGTTGCCTTCTGATTTTGCCTCAGTACATGGGCCTAGATTAGCTGGAGGGTTTTCTTAGTGTTAGTGCTCTACCCTCAGCTTTCAGTCGTCCCTGTACAATGAAGCCACATGGTGGTTCCCTCTCTCCACTCTTGCAGCCGTCCCAGGGATAGACTGCTACTCGTTGTTATTCTGCCCCAGGCTTGTGTTGTGTATGGGGATGTTCTCTGTTGTTCAGCCTCAGCCTTGGGAAGGCCCTGAGTGCCTAGGCCTTGAGGAAAGGATGTGGGGAGCTTTTTCATTGTTGCTGTTCCTCTCTCTGGCAGCCAGAATCTGTCTTGTGTCTGTGATTGGTTTGGGGAGCCTCCTGTTTCTCCCCTAGCAGAATGAGAACTCTGCTTGGTGTCAGTAGAGCATTTTTTCATCTACCTTTTCCACAGCTGTAAATGGTATTTTCCTGTGCTCTGTGGAAAGTGACAGGCTTTGCTGCCCTTCCCTAGTGGCTTAAGACTTTGATTCATAAGAGGTTTAGAGACTTTGTAGAAACAAATCTGTGTAGAAGCACTGATGGAGAATTTCACGGATGCTCTTAGGAGGGTTCTAGTCATAGGTACTTAAAATGACAGAATTTTTTTAAAGCTGGATTTCAGGTAATTTTCATGTTGATATTTCTTTTGTTGATTTTATTTGTTTTCTAAAAATATGTCTAATCTCTACTGATAATTATGAGTGAGTTTTGCCTTTAAAAATATTTTCAGAACCTTTTCAGCCTCTGTCATTGTCGTTTTAAAAAATTTTTAATTTGTGATTGTTGAAAGTCAGTAATATTAAGTGCACTCTTTTTTGTAATTTTACCTTCTATTTGAGATTGGGAGGTATGTATGAGGTTTGTTGTGTAGGTGTAAGTATACTCTTAATTTAAAATGGAAATGTTCATGATTACCACATTCTTTTTAGAGGGAACAAATCTAATACCCATACTCAGTGATGGAACTGTGTGCTTTGGAGGCCACACTCCAGGATGAACAGTTGTAAATTGTTAATATGACTCTTGTTACTTTGATAGACATTATAAATGCCAGCCCTCTTTTTTTTTTTTTAACTTTCATTTTGTTTACAAAAACAAACTCTTCAGTGCTCAGGGTAAAAATTTCTGGAGAAGTGGTCTAGCACGGTGGCTGTGAGCAAGGACTCTGGAGCCAGACCAGCTAGGTTTGCAGCTCCACATCTTAGTAGTTGTGTGACTTTGGACAAGTTTCATAGCCTCTTTATACCTCAACTTCCCCATCTAAATTGATGATACAAATAGTGCCTACCTGAAAGGCTTACCATGAGGATAAGAATTAATATATGTAAAGCACTTAGAACAGTGTCTGGTGCATAGAAAGCATAATATAATATACATGTTTGCTATTATCACTGTTTTCTATAAGATAAGAATTTTGTCATAAAGTGTCATGAACAGATGCTGATGATCTGAACCAAACCAAAAATGGGAAGGCAAGGGACTAGAAAATAACTTTAAAGACATTATCCAACCATAGACCATTCCCAGGGGTACAGGGAGAGAAAGGCAGAGGGGTAAACCTCACTATGCATCCCGGAGTAGGAGGCTGTGGGTACATTTAATCAGATCCCTGTTTCTGATCACAGACAGAAATGCACTTGAGTACTTGTTACCAGAGCTAAGTCTGCATGGGTCAGAGGCAGAAGGAGGGTGAAAAACGGGCAAGTAGAGAACTGAACCAAATAGTTCCTTCATTCTCATCAGAACACTCATAATCTAGAGTCAGATTCACTAATGAAGTCGTTTTCCAAGTTTAGCTGGGTGAATTTCAGCAAATTATTTAGCCTCTTTGAAGCTGGCTTTTTATAAAATGAAGATGATGATAATAAGACTTGTTAAGGTTGTTAAATTGAAGGAAATAATCCACGTAAAATTATTAGCTCGGTGCCATCAACACAGAAAGTGACCTGGGTGATGATTATCATTATCCTCATAAGTTGGTATGTAGAATTCCAAACACCTGAACCCTGACCTGACACTGCTGCTGCTTCTCTACTTTTTCTCTTTCCTCGGGCATCTGAAGGAAATAAGTACACAGAGACCAAAACTAAACCAATGCCCATACTTTATCTATCACTGGGAAGCTTTTGCCTTATTATAGTAAGCCCCAGCTGAGCTAGACCGACCTGTTTGGAGAACTAGATAACAAAGTTAAATTTGATCTTTCACTCAGCTATGCACCAACATAGCTCTCCTTTGCCAAGACAGAGGCTCTAAAAGCAAGCTAAGAAAAGCAAATGTTTTTGTTCCTAAAGCTTAGAGCTAAATTTGCCTAACTCACCCTTATGAGATTTTCTTAGAGTGGGACATTGATGTGAAAGAGAAAGAAAAATGCAGTTTTCAAGGTGGGAACAGGATGACAAACCAGTTCAGAAGGAATTCTTGCAGTAATCCCTGATAGTGGCTTAGGTCAAGGTGGAGGTGGTGAGAAGTGGTCAGATTTTGAATATATTTTGAATAAGGAGCCTACATAATTTGCTGATGGATCATGTGTGACATGTGAGAAAAAGGAGGAATTAAAGATGACTCCAAGGCTTATGACCTGAGAAGCTAAAAGGATGGAGTCCTTTTATTTTCATTTACTTGGTCAACCTTCCAGTCTTGTTACCCATAAGGTCCTAACATTGGCTGGAGCTGACTTTTCAATCAAGATAAGTTGTATAAAAATATCTGTCTATATTTCTCTCAATAATGATTCTTAGTGTAGAAGGCTTATAAATCTTTTTTACCCTTAGGTGTTTGATGTTTTTGAATGTCGTTATAAATTTTCTTGTATATTTGCTGCTGTAAACCGATAAAAGAATTTATCCTTGCTTATTGACCCTGTACCCAACAACATTGCTAAATTCCTGTATAAAATTGTGAAGATTTTGTGTGCATAGTTATGTCATCTGCTAATAACTACAGTTTTATTTCTAATCTTTTTGTGCTTTGCTTCTTTTTCCTTCTTTGTTGCACAAACTAGGACCTCCATAAGGTGTTAAATAGAAGTGTTGATAGTAGGTATCTTTGTCTCATTTTTATTCTCGGGGATGTTTGTAGGATTTTGTTCTTAAGTAGGATGTTTGCTGTGACTTTCTTAAAAATGTTCTTTATAAGATTAAATAAATTGCCTTCTGATCCTAGTTTGCTGAGTTTTTATCATGAATGGAAGCTTGTTGGAGATGTTGAAAGGCTTTATTGTTATGTGTGGCTTTGGAGTTCTCAGCCCTATCAGATCCCAGATCCCCTTCCTATAATACATTTTATGAAAAGCCTCCTTTACCATACCTAAAGTGAAATTCATAGGTAGTATAATCCACCTGTGCTATATATTGATATATACATAATATAAATATAGAGAAGAAATAAGCATAATTTATAATAAAATAGTGTAGTCATTATGTAAGTGATCTGGCATGACTATATTATCATATGATATATTACCCATCAAATATCCACAGCATTTTTTAGGGTGGGCTGCCACTCCCATTCAGCATCATTGTTTGAGAGGATAATAGTACAGGTTCACATCTATAGCAGACTTCTGGGATTAGAGATGAATCATTAGTACTATTAGGAAATACCAACCATCATTAGGATAGCTTTAGGGCTTTTTTTCTTTTTTTGTGGTTTCTAGGGGAAAGTTTACTCATTCAACAAATACCTACTGAGCATTTGGCATGTGCCAGGCACTATTCTATGTGCTGCTAATAAAACTGTGAATAAAACAAAGCTGCTGGCCTCTTAGACCTTATGCTCAGTAGAGGAGAAAGGCAGTAAATTAATAAATATGTAACATGTAAGATAGTGATAAATTCTACAGTGAAAAATAGGCAAGGTAAGGAGCTAAGAATGATGGGTGTGTGGTATTAGATAAGGGGAGTAGGGAAGAAGCTTGAGCAGAGATCTGAATGTTCATATCTGGATGTAAGCTTTCTAGGATGAGAAAGGAGGGAGCACACTAAGGTATAGAAGTTGAAAGACAGCAAATTATTTAGCACCTAACATGATGCCTGGCACCATGTTAGGTGCTTTGCTTACACTGTTTTATTCCTTCCAGTAATCTTATGTAGAGAGTGATGATGTGCTCATTTTACAGATGAGGAAATGGAGGCACACACATTAGAAAGTGATGTAGCTACTACAATTCAAATCCAGACCCACCTGGTTCCAAAGCTAAGGAATTGGTGAAGGAATGCTTTCAGGAGCCCTCTTCTTTTAGTGGTCTATCACATTACCATAGGAGTAATTACATTTCATTGAGAAAAATGGGAGAACTGGGTAGAGGACTTGAAAACATAATCATTTACATTTTTTCATGTAGCATTTTAAAAATATTTGAACCTCCACAATGAGATACCATCTCACACCAGTTAGAATGGCGATCATTAAAAAGTCAGGAAACAGCAGGTGCTGGAGAGGATGTGGAGAAATAGGAACACTTTTACACTGTTGGTGGGACTGTAAACTAGTTCAACCATTGTGGAAGTCAGTGTGGCGATTCCTCAGGGATCTAGAACTAGAAATACCATTTGACCCAGCAATCCTATTACTGGGTATATACCCAAAGGACTATAAATCATGCTACTATAAAGACACATGCACGTGTATGTTTATTGCGGCATTATTCACAATAGCAAAGACTTGGAACCAACTCAAATGTCCAACAATGATAGACTGGATTAAGAAAATGTGGCACATATACACCATGGAATACTATGCAGCCATAAAAAAGGATGAGTTCATGTCCTTTGTAGGGACATGGATGAAATTGGAAATCATCATTCTCAGTAAACTATGGCAAGAACAAAAAACCAAACACCGCATATTCTCACTCATAGGTGGGAATTGAACAATGAGAACACATGGACACAGGAAGGGGAACATAACACTCTGGGGACTGTTGTGGGGTGGGGGGAGGGGGGAGGGATAGCATTGGGAGATATACCAAATGCTAGATGATGAGTTAGTGGGTGCAGCGCACCAGCATGGCACATGTATACAAATGTAACTAACCTGCACGTTGTGCACATGTACCCTAAAACTTAAAGTGTAATAATAATAAATAAATAAATAAAAGAAAAAAAAGTATTTGAACTGGCTGGGCATGGTGGCTCATGAGCGCCTGTAATCCTAGCACTTTGGGAGGCTGAGGTGGGCAGATCACGAGGTTAGGAGATCGAGACCATCCTGGCTAACACAGTGAAACCCCGTCTCTACTAAAAATACAAAAAATTAGCCGGGCATGGTGGCGGGTGCCTGTAGTCCCAGCTACTCGGGAGGCTGAGGCAGGAGAATGGCATGAACCTGGGAGGCGGAGCTTGCAGTGAGCCGAGATTGCTCCACTGCACTCCAGCCTGGGGGACGGAGTGAGACTCCGCCTCAAAAAAAAAAAAAAAAATTTTGAACCAATAAATGCTTTGAAATATTGTGAATGGAAAACATTCCAAATTAAGTTAGAATGAATAAGATTATTCATTTTCGTGGGCTTTCCATGTTTTTATTTCTCTTACCTACTGAAGTTTTTGTTTTGCTTGGTCATTTCCATAGTTGATAATATCATTGACTATGCAGGAACATAAAAGTCATTTTCATTGTTTAATACTAAAAGTTTATTATCTTAGATTTATGGTAGATTTAACAGAAATAAGCAATTCTAAACTGAGTGCTTTCTTAGGTACCAAATATGATCTGTTGGTAATACATGCATTATTAATACTCACTGTAAAATTAATGAACTTCTTAAGTGGAAGAGGTTGTATTATACTTTTTACCCTCTATGGTGTCTATTGAAGGGCTGTTCAGTTTGTAAATGTATTTATGTTTTCCTAGTACAAATATGTAAAATTAAGGTCCAGATTCACTAAATGATCATGGCTAACATTTGAGTGATATTGCCTCCAAGCATTACTCTAAGTGCATCGTGTGCTTTGAGCCTTTTATTTGGATGCCAGTATATGTAACATAACAGAATATTTTATGAGCTTAGGTTTCCTGTTCATTTTCGTAGTCCCGGGTTGTGGCTCTAGAATAACTGAAACATTGTGGTATGCTAAAAATTAATTGTGGAAAGCTTTTGATGTAGTTTTAAGGTGATTAAGCAGAGACAGTCCCCAGAATATATGTGTGCCAGTGTCACTTTTAATAGTTTATGTCATGTAAAATAAGAAATCAGATGTTTAAAACATTGTTAATGCTCGTTGTAAAATTAACAAACTGCTGAGGCAGAGTTCAGATGCAGAGATGCAGAGGACTTACTGCTGGTAAGAATACTTTGGATTCCTGTGAAATTGTTGTGGGTAAAATTACAAGTCTAACAAAGTAAACCTTTCACAAGAAAACAAAATTTTCAAAGATAACTTGAAACATTGCAGATATTTTTATTTATCAGATGATTCACAAACATATTGTTATCCTCCATAAATTTAACATTTTAAAACCATTGGAGTGTTTGTATTAACCAGATATGTATATAATAATAATGATTTATTTTTATAAAGGTTCAGAGGTCCAAAGAGGTGACATTTTATGGATAGCCATGGCAGGGACTCATCAGATATGGGCACTCCTGCTGGACTCTGGCAAACTGCCAAAGAAAAAGTAAGTGACAGCCTCTCTCTTTGAGTAGACTGTACTACTTGGTGTTCATATAATTTCTTTTTTCAAAATCACCATCCTCACTGTACCAGTCAGGATGTGCTAGGTTGTACTGCCATAGCACACAACGCAGATTCTCAGTGACTTAAAACAAGGCGTGTTTATTGCTCACTCACATGGGTTCACTGGGGAGCACTCCTCTGTTGCCCAGGCTGATGAAACAGCCTGGAGCTTTCGGGAGCTTCGCCAGTCATCCTGGCACAGTGAGAGAGAAAGAGGTAGTAAGTCACTCACTGACTGTTAAAATTTCTACTCAGAAGTGACACACGTCACTTCTACTTACATTTTATCAGCCAGAGTAAGTCTTAGGGCCACACTTCACTTCATGGAACCTGCAAAGAATCATTCTCCTTACTGTCTAGAAAGAGAACTAAGAATATTCAGTGGACCCTTATCTTTTAAGACATAGTTGAACTATCTCTAATCATTCATTCAAACAGTTGAATACCACATAGCAGAGTGCTTAATAACTCAGTTTTTGTAGTCAGGCCTGAGGTTGAATCCTGGCTCTGCCATTTACTATCTGTGTGAGTTTAGGAGAGCCACTTTAACTTTCAAAGCCTCAGTTTCCTTATTTATATTACCTCATAGGCTTGCTTTGAGAATTAATAATATATGTGGAGAGCTTGGCATAGTACCTAACATGTACAGTAAACATAGGTAGCTTTGCTGTCACAAGGATATAAGGATGAAAGGGTAGTGTCTGCAAAGTTTCTCATATTTTTTTTCCTTAGACCCTTTCCTCTTCCCCCAATACCCCAGGCAGAACTGGCCATACTCTTCTCTGTGACCTCACTGTACCTGGTGTATAGTTACATCACTGCACTAAGTTTTCCTGCCCCAACCCGCTGCCCCTTCCTCTTTCTCTCTCTTCTCTCCTTTTGATTGTTTTTATTTTTAGCCATTTCCTCCTACTAGTCTCTTAAAGGAAAGGATCCTCTCCCATTCATTTTTCTGTCCCTTGTACCTAGCACAGTATTTGGTACCTAAGAGGAGCTCAGTAACGGTTTGAGGATAAATGAATAAAAGCCGTTAACCGGAAAGGCTGTCACGTAGCCATGGAAAATGATCATTGCAAGTTACCGTTATTAATAGAAAGCTGCTTTTATATAGATCCTTCAAAATAGCAGATATTCCAAATAGTGTGTATGTTTGTGCATGTTGCTTTGGACACACTTATGTAATGTTTTAAGACATTTAATCGTTTAGCAAATATTTATGCTAGGCAATAGGGATGAAATATGCTCACTATGTTAAGGATACAATGAAAAGATGTGGTTGTCATCAGTGAACTTACAGAGGAAGAATCAGATCAGCAAACAATTAAAAGTTAGTGTGTGCAAAAGGAATCGCTGCAAATTGAAATTGTTCGGCTGGGTGCGGTGGGTCACGCCTGTAATCCCAGCACTTTGGGGGGCCGAGGCAGGCAGATCACAAGGTCAGTAGTTCGAGACCAGAATGACAATATGGTGAAACCCCGTCTCTACTAAAAATAGAAAAAGTTAGCTGGGCGTGGTGGCGCTTGCCTGTAATCCCAGCTACTCAGGAGGCTGTGGCAGGAGAATCGCTTGAACCCAGGAGGCGGAAGGTTGCAGTGAGCTGAGATTGTGCCACTGCACTCCAGCCAGGACGACAGAGTGAGACTCCGTTTAAAAAAAAAAAAATTGAAATTGTTCCTTATATAAGTAAGAGGAAGACGCAACATCAGTAAGATTTGAGTTGTCAAGGAGGGCTTCTTGGAAGAGGCAACTAAACAGTGACCTGATAAGAGTATAGGAGTTAGGGAGAGTGGAAAGTTTTCCAGGCAAGAATTGGCACTAGTGATGTCAGTAGAAGCCAGATCACACTGTGCCTTGTGAGTACTTTTAGGGATCTGAATATTCTACAAGCCTTTTTAGAAAGGTTTAAGCTGGGAAGTGACATGATTAGATTTGTGTTTTTGAAAGAACATTGGCAGCACTCAGAGTGGAACAAGACTAGAGACAGAGATAAGAGATACCACTGAGGAGCCTATTGCTGTTATCCAGGCAAGAGATGATAGTAGCCTGAACAGTGAGATTACCAATAAGATTTTACATGAGGCATAATTATAAACAGCAGAGAAGTAACAGAAGTTGCCAGAATATGCTGTTCTGGGTGATGGCTGTTTTAGGCATAGATGATTCAGAGCTGCCTGAATTTCCTCATAAGTAGAGTTGTCACTCTCCTTCTTAATAGGAAATTGGCACTAGGACCACACTGACCTGTGTTTTAATTTTAAGGATGTATTATCTTTATTACCGATCTTCAGGTAGTAATGACCCTTAGCATTTTAAAAGTTATTGTTTCTCCCTACTCTTTTCTTTATTTAATTAAGGAAACTCCTTTTTAAAGTATTAAGACTCCTTGTAGACTCCTTTCAATTAATTTGTTCAGCATATTAGTTATTACATATATTGTACTTGCTATGTTTATATGTTTCTTGAATAAGTGGCCATATTTTATGCGTGCTAAATCCCTTTGCCTCTGTCCCCTGCTCCCTACCTAACTTATTATGGGAACATATTAGCCAGTAAGTGATGGTGAGTTCAGACTTTTGCATGTTGTACCATATTCAGAAATGATTTACACAGACTCTCATTTTGTGTCCCGAGTCAGCTGCTTCCCTTCCCTCAACACAACACACTACCATGTCTTTTTTACAGTCTCTCTGGAATAAACTTAGAAACCAGGATCTAAAGCTTTCTCTGCATTACAAAAGGAATCATTGCAATAGTTCCTTAAATAGAAATTTCCCTAATGTATATAAGAAATTGATTTGTACAATCGATATAATTGTACATAATTATCCCATGTAATTTTAAGATAATTATGTACAATTATATTATTTTTCATATAATAGTAATGTCTGACCTGGCCAACTTTCAAAAACTATTCTTTAATTCCTTTTGCTGGTCTCTGTTTATATATAAGAACACAAAACATTTTTAATGAAAATTGAAGCTTTAAACTATCAAGAGCTAGATGATCTTTTTAGTTCCCTTTCCGAACCTCATATTGCATGAAACTAAGAAGTTAAGAATTTAAGGTAGTAAAAACAACCTATCTCATCAATAATCTGATCATTATTTTTATCTTATAATTCTATCAGGGATTTGTCGTTTAACATTTGAAAGTGATTTCAGTTTTGTGTGTATCAAAGTAAAGTAAGAAGTTCCCTACACAGTGGGTAAATAAGTTAATGGTTGGAAAAATGATAATGAAAGCTGACTTGAACAATTTAACTAGACCAAGATCACTAGTTTGTTTTTTTAGGAGGCTTATCACTTTTGATTTGATTATTCACATTCATTTATTTAAGAACTAAATTGCACACAATATACCACATGTTGACTCCACCTATGAACTTGTCTTTTTCAGTGAGTTAACAAAAGGAACCTGCCTTAGGTTTGCTGGAAGTGGAAATGAAGAGAATCGAAACAATGCCTATCCTCACAAGGCAGGTTTTGCCCAACCTTCAGGCCTTTCCTTGGCCTCTGAAGATCCCTGGAGCTGCTTGTTTGTAGCAGATAGTGAGAGCAGTACAGTGAGAACCGTTTCACTGAAAGATGGAGCAGTGAAGCACCTCGTAGGAGGAGAAAGAGACCCCATGGTAATGACAGTCACTCTTGCACAGTGCGCTCGGACACTGAGCAAGCTGTCAATTTTGTGAATTATGGAAAGTTAATAAGATTTAAGAGAGACCATCCTTGGCCTATCTGCGAATCAAAATGAAAGTCAGACCAAAGGAAATGTGAATGTAAAGCAACGTGAGGAACACACCATCTAAGAAAAGTGAACTGACTCTACTTTATTATGTATAAATGTTAAGGTTTCAGGGAGAAAGAAAGGATGAAGCATTGATTATTGGAGAAAAGAAAAAAATGTAAATTAGATATTGGGCAGTGGGGTGGAAAGAGCACCAGACTAGTGGACTTGACCTATTCCTGACCAGATGTAGTATTGTGAGTAAAACTACTAAGCACCACCAATTAATACAGGTTCAAAATACTGTCATTTTTTTTCTAATCTGAATGAAGTATCCAACCCTATTTATATGAAAATCAGCATTTTCCCTTTTAACTTAAATACCATTTGTAACTGTTTGAATTTTCCTTCATATTCTAACAAAACACTGTAAAAATTATAATAACTGCTGTTTCTTTTCTTTTAAAAAAAATTAAAGAATTTATTTGCTTTTGGTGATGTTGATGGAGTAGGAATCAATGCAAAGCTTCAACACCCCCTTGGAGTAACATGGGACAAAAAAAGGAATTTACTTTATGTTGCAGACTCCTACAATCACAAGGTGAGTCGTGACAGAATTATATAATATCTTGCTTTTTGTGTGTGGCATTTAAAATGCTGAAAGATCTGTGAGCCTCCTACAACTGCCACTCTAAAATATAGAAAGGAGTAACAGTCTTTGACAACTATAACCCAGCCTGTTCTGCTCTTTTCTTGGTCCTTTCTTTGCCAAGAGGTTATGATGGTATTCTGAACTAGGGAAAGCACAGAACCAGTTCCAATGGCAATAGCCAACAGTTGTGAATTGCAACCCATCAAAGCTGCTTAGTAACATATTCAGTATATCAAGAGAAGGCAAGTAGCAGGGAAATTTATATGTCATCTAACAAATGAACGTTTTTGAGCTGTTGCATAGTTACAGTGCTTGTTAGTAAATAATTTTGTTTTCAGCATTTCCATTTTTGTCTATTAAATTGTCTTAAGTTTTATTGCATTTTTACTTTTTACAAAAATCAGTGGATAATAAATGTTCATGCAGTACTTCATGATGTGAGACCATAAATTTAATATAATTGAGACATAACTGTCAATCATTAAGTTTAACAAAGGTAGCAAATTCTCAGGCAATGCTAGATGCTCAGGAAGACAAAGTCAGTTCAGTTGTGAAAGTGTGTCCCATTGTGAAGAAAAACAATTCAATAAAAAAAAATTTTTTTTAATTCCAGAAATAACTTCATCAAAGATTGCTTCCAGAAGACAAGATGGAGCTAAGGATTTTACATAGTCTTTAGTTCTTAGAATAGAATATCTCCCCTTAGACTGCAATTTGAATGTTTGGCTTTTCAAGAAAATATGGAAATAACTATTCCTTTTGTGAGACTTATTGAGAATATTAATGGCAATCAGAAATTAGCTTGCTTGATACCATACTCTTCCATACAACAAACATGAGATTGATCTTCAGTTATATAAGTTTTTGTTCTTTCTTTTTTAGATTAAAGTTGTGGATCCAAAAACAAAAAACTGTACAACATTAGCAGGAACTGGAGACACAAATAATGTTACCAGTTCCAGTTTTACAGAGTCAACTTTTAATGAACCAGGAGGCTTGTGTATTGGAGAGAATGGAGAATTATTATATGTAGCAGACACCAATAATCATCAAATTAAAGTGATGGATTTAGAAACTAAAATGGTATCTGTGGTAAGTAATTTTAAAATATAAGTTAAAGAATGTGGTTTTAAGAATGATACTAAGATCCTCACAGCACTGACAGAGGCATTTTTGGTTAGACCATCTCCAGGAGAGTATTAAGTGGATGCTTCTGTTGTATTCTTTGACAAAGAGACCAGCAGGACTGCTTTAAGGATATCCTTTTATTCTTAAAATAAAAGTTCCATCTGTGCTGAGAGTTTGAGAAAAATACTGGAAATTGGAGATAATCTAATGAACCTTCAAGAAAAAAAAAAG
Organism: Homo sapiens; assembly: GCF_000001405.40. Lineage (NCBI taxonomy): Eukaryota > Metazoa > Chordata > Mammalia > Primates > Hominidae > Homo > Homo sapiens. Next base: position 113,904,004 of record NC_000010.11, read on the forward strand.
GAGAGGACTCAGATCTGTTTTTAAGTGTACAGACATACTGACATACACTACATACACCTGCTCTGTGGGTTGGGTTATTTAGCTTATTGTTTTTGTTTTTTTTTTTTTTTCAGTGATCTTTAGATTAACATGTAACCTTTGTTTGCCTGTGATGAATCCATTACCAAATAATCTAACAAAAGCTTTAGAAGCCACTTTCTCAAGACATCGAAAATAAGATTGTGGAAGAAACTTAAATGAGTTATAGTCAGTTTTTAAAGATATGGACGTGGTTTCTTATAGAATTTTCAAGGGGAAATGTCTATTATAAACTAACTCTTGATGTATGACATTTACCTGAAAAAAATGCAACAGTTTTTTTCTGAAAAACTGGTAATTTGCACGGTATATTTTTAAAAGAAACATAGATTACTATTGCAACATAAATGTCATTTCTCTTCACGTAGATCTCTGATATAAGATGAATAACATCTTCTTATAGTTGACAATGAAAATTATAAGAAAATGTATATCTAGCATGTTTAAATTTATAAACTTTTGCTTTAATTTCCTGCCGTCTATATACATTGGACAGTTACTTTAATTCTGCCTCATTCATAAGTGTTGGGTTTTGTTGTTGTCGCTAAGATAAACTTTCTCTGTGTCTACGAAAATAATCTTGAGGGCATCTAACACATTCTAATTCAAACTAGAATGGCGATTAGTTTCATTGACATAGAACTTCATTATTCTACTAAAGTCTAAAAATATGCTCTCATTCTATAATTAATATAAAGTTCTTGTGTTTTAATAACAGATTTTCTTATTTCCTAGCTCCCCATCTTCAGATCTGAAAATGCTGTGGTAGATGGCCCGTTCCTAGTAGAAAAACAGAAGACATTACCCAAACTACCTAAATCTGCTCCAAGCATTAGGCTTTCCCCCGTGACTGCGTGTGCTGGCCAGACTCTTCAGTTCAAACTCAGATTAGACCTCCCATCAGGATCAAAGCTAACTGAAGGAGTATCCAGTTGCTGGTTTCTAACAGCTGAAGGTATGAGTATAAGCTTGCAAATACTAATACATCATATATTCTTGATGTTTAATCTAGTTATTTTTTATTTGTTAGGTGATATTTTTACTCTGTATAGGCAAGATTTGAAGATCATATGAACAAATGAATCCAGATCCAACCCCACATTGGCCATTTGCTTTACTCATCAAGAGTCTTTCTTCCCTTTTATTAAAGAACAGTGTAACTCACCAAAAGTTACAAGTCAGTTGTTAGCATGATTTCTTGGAATGTGGGTTTTCCTATACCTCATCCCTTATTCTGATCCTGTTCTTCATTCTATTCTTGTTCCAAAAAGAATCTTAGAGTTAAAAAGTCTGAAATAGAGAAAGTGGAGCCCTCGTATTTAACATCTTTTTCTGTGACTCTTCCTTTCAGTCACTCTTGGGCATTCCTCCCTTTCTTCTATTTGTGAATCACAGTATGAGCTAGCTCCTTATTTCATTAATCTATGGTAAGGAATCAGTATACTGCTTGCCTTGCAGTATGCATTCCAACATCTGTAACCTGGTGGACAAAAATTTTAAAGTGAAATTTTAGTGGTTCAGAACTTCTAAATTACAACTTGTCTCTAATGATATTCCTCTGTCCTGGTCTCCCACGCTCTTTCACACTTTCTCACTCAATTTTCCATTTCCTTCCCAACTCCTCCTCCTTCATACCCTCTCACACACTTTTCTTTTGTACATTACCCAAATCCTGGGTAATTCATTCCTTCTTACCTTCAACTTTCTCAGGGCAGCAGCCACTGGCCTGCAATTATAATATCAACTTAGTGTCTAAACCAAGAGGATAACGGTATCTTGGTAGACTGGCTGGGAGGAACTGCTGGTTAGTGTTTGGGAGGCTGGTTCTAGGGTGATTGAGTCTGTAGGGAAACCACCCCTTGTCACTTCCCACAAGGGGGAAGGCTAACCATGTACTAGGACCTTTGGAGCTTGCTTTGTAGACAGAAGAATACTCAAACCCTGGCCACTCCATAGCCTTTTGTAGGTTCAGAGCAAGTTCTAGACTGCCAATTTAAGTCTGGAAGTATTACATCAGTTGGAGAACATTAATTTTTCTCAGTGTAACTGTAAGAGCAGTCACTGTTAGAGCAGTGTATTAAATGGTGTCACTGTAGGAGCAGTGTACTAATTTTTAAAATAGGATATTGACAGATTAACATTGGTCTGCATTGTCAGACACACTAATTAATATTGAGTCATTGGGATATAAAATACAGATAGTATTCAAATAAAGTAGTCTATAGAGACTTTATCTAATTTGTCCAAGATATGGGCCCCATTTTTATTATATAGTAGCAGATAATTTTCAGGCAATAATCCTAATAATTTAAGGTTTTTGAATATTATAGAGTACATTTGTACACTTATGTTTAAAGGACATTTTCTCTTTTGGCTTGTTATTTAGAAACACTTATTTTTAGCCAAATTTTGGTCTGTATAATCTTAAAGAAGTTAGAATATATGCAAGTTTTAAGCCAAAAAAAAAAAGGCAGCATAAAAGCACCACATGTGTTGTAACTTCACAAATTGTGTGTGTGATATATATGACAAATATCTAAAGAAACATTTTCTGTTTTATTTCTAGATTTGGACATTAAAATAGCTCAGTATTATTTTCTTTGTTTGATTTAAAATATAAGAAATTGGCCAGGCGTGGTGGCTCACGCCTGTAATCCCAGCACTTTGGGAGACAGAGGCAGGCAGATCATGAGGTCAGGAGATCGAGACCATCCTGGCTAACACGGTGAAACCCATCTCTACTAAAAATACAAAAAATTAGCCGAGTGTGGTAGTGGGGTAGTCCCAGCTACTCAGGAGGCTGAGGCAGGAGAATGGCGTGAACCCGGGAGGGAGGCAGAGCTCGCAGTGAGCCAAGCTCACGCCACTGCACTCTAGCCTGGGTGACAGAGCGAGACTCCGTCTCAAAAAATAATAAATAAAATATAAGAAGTTCTCTACTAATCTCTCTAGCAAAATCATGCATTAGATAAAAGATACTCTCTAACCCAGGAATAAACAAAGAAAGCCAAAGAGTTTTAAAGAGAATTTAAAAAGAATTCTTTAAAAGCTTCAGCATAGAAGTTTTGTACTTATCTCTCTAGATTCTTATCTTTCACCTTCGTACTCTTATTTGACATATTTTTCTCAAATTTGATTTTTCAGTAAACTAAAGCAATAAACTAAAAGAGACATCAAGAGGACTGATAAAGGCAGGCACTCTGAGTCGGTTTACTTACCCTGAGAACAAAAGAAAGAGACAGAAAAGCTAAAAAGTAGACAGCATTTCATCACACTCAGTAGGTGGTCCAGTTTTTGTACAGATGAGTCATTAGAAAATGTTCAGTGTTCTCCATTTACATGGTGGGAAAGCATTTCATATATTTCCCAAATGCTGGCTCTTGAGGGCTGCCACCTTTTTAGGCTGAATGTCTGTATGTGTCTGTGCTTCCCCAGTATGACATGTGTGTTCCTTCTAAGAGAAAGTCGAGATGAATAAAGACATTTAAAGATGATTTTAATTCTTGAGGGCTTAAAATTTGTTAGTGGTTTATTCGATTTTTGTTATAGATAGTCTGTTTATTTCTAGGAAGAGTTTTACGTATTATAATGAGATATACAAAATCTCTTGGTTTTTACATTACTTAAGCCCACAGAGAATAGATATGCAATGGTACCTGTTTCTAAATAAAGTGTGTGTGTATTTTTAAATTATTTTTAGATATTCAATAATTCATTATTAACCAGAAAGTCACTACAGAGTTGCACATACATTTGTATTCCCTAGATAAAATTTTATTTTGTAGTTTTTATATCCCTAAAGACTTTCATCTCTTTGGTAAAAATGATCCATTTTCTCAAGTGTCGTATGTTTATTTCTAAAATTTAATAGGTTTTATTTTTAACTTTAGAGACTAAGGCTTTATAGCCATATTTGCAATATTCAGCTTGATTTTAATAAGAGTAAATGTGTAATTTATTTTATAGTATCCAAAGGAAGAACTATAATAATTAGATGTAATAATCATCAGACTGGGAACTTCTAATGAGTGGTCAGTATATGTTATGTATATTTATGTCCTTCCCACAGACCGCAATGCCTGGCACTTAGAGATTTTTTAATAAATATTTGTCGATCGAGTTTATCTAGTCTTCATAAGATGTTCCCAGTTTTCTACTTATCTTATACAGTCTTAATAATTTCATTTTTGATTTTTAGGCAATGAATGGCTACTTCAAGGACAGATAGCAGCTGGAGATATAGAGAACATTTCCAGTCAACCAACAATTTCACTACAAATTCCTGATGATTGCTTATCACTTGAAGCCATTGTATCTGTCAGTGTGTTTCTTTATTACTGTAGTGCAGACAGCAGTGCTTGTATGATGAAGGCAATTTTGTTCAGTCAGCCTTTACAAATAACGGATACACAGCAAGGTTGCATAGCTCCAGTAGAGCTCAGGTATGTATTTTAGCCAGCCAGCTAGCTAGCAACCCATTGCCACCACCTACTGTCTCCCATCCTGACTATCACTGTAATTTAAGGAAAGAAAACTTCAGTTCTGCCTCTGGATACCAAGATGCCCATTGCTCAGTTCAGACAACTGATATTAAAATAAAGCTATGCTCCTTACTTACTTCTTTTATTATAAACAAATTCCTTTGCTTTGGCTGATACTAGCTGAGTCATTGATCATCATTGGTACCATGATATTGTAATCTATGCTGCTATTTGGCACAAGACTGAAGTTCACACTACAGTAGAGAATACTATAAGATAATTTGCAATAAATACTGATAATAATAATACCAGATATTTTAACTAACTTTTTCTACCTTTATTAATAGCAATCAGCACACTTGAATGTGTAAATTTCACAGTAACTTTAGGCAGAACTTAAGCTCCAGGCCACATTTGTATAAGAACACCAAGTATTCAAGGCATAAAGTCTGTTGTAAGCCAAAAAAAAGTCTTTTCATCACTGTAGAAGCTTAAGGAGTACATCAGTGGTAAATACGATCTTTATTCTCTTCTGTGGTTTTCTCAGTTGAGATATTTTTAAAAGAGAGTTTTGATCTATTTTTATTATAAATTATTTGTTATTTAACATACCATTATGAATGCCTTAAAACTTTGTACAGATAAAGTTGGACATAGAATCTCTAAGGACTGACTCCTTTAACTGTTTTTGAGTGACTACATTACCAGATAATGAATGAGTCCCCAGAAATATTATGACTTTCAAGGAAAAAGGGACTTTAGGACACATTACTTAGTGTCTGTGATAAATAATTTATTGTGACAGCTAAATCTGATGGTTACATATCTTGTTTTGGAAATGTACATTTCACTTGTAAGCATTAAATGCAGATTTGTTGAGTTTAGGTTTTGAGGTTTTTTTCGTTCCCATATTCAGAATTTAAATTATGATCATTTATTGTGATGTTTTTAAAAATCACTTTTAAGCCTTAAAAGTGAAATTTTCAGTGTGAGGTGCTTTCATGCTATTAATAGATACAGTATATCCTAATATATTAGTCTTCAAAATATTAAGGCCGAAACAGTGATTTAATGATACTATTTTTTAATTTTTGTTGTTTTTTATCCCTAAAAAAAGATATTGGAAAGGTTTTTTTTCTATTGTCATAATTTATAACTACTTAAAAGCCTAATCTTGTTTTCCTTAAGACCTATTCAACATGTTTGTGATTTAATCAGCTTACAAGGGTTTAAAAACATCAGGTGAACCATGTTTATTTATTCAGTAAATATTTATAGACAATATGGCATAATATGCTTCCCTTCCCTGTAAAAACAGTGCTAAATTTGAAGTGTAATCTTTTTTAAACATCATTGTCTATTTTTAATTTTGTTTGAAATGTAGTATTAGTTTGTTTTATTCATAAGGTTAGCTGAATCTCTGAAGTAAGGATGTATAAATCATGACATTGATTTAATTAGTCATCTACTGAAGCTACTTTTAAAGAGAAATATAGATATAAAATTAAAAGGAATCCTGTTTAAAATTATATGTAATTACCTCATAAACCTTTTCTCTCCACAAGCAATCAAAAAAATGAAATGTTCTGTAATAAAAGGGTGTATAACATACTCTCTTTTATGAGAATAGGCCTTAGTTATTTTATTTTATTTTTGAGACGTAGTCTGGCTCTGTAGCCCAGGCTGGGAGGGCAGTGGCGCGATCTTGGCTCACTGCAACCTCTACCTCCTGGGTTCAAGAGATTTTCCTGCCTCAGCCTCCCAAGTAGCTGGGATTACAGGCGTACACCACCATGCCCAGCTAATTTTTTTGTGTTTTTAGTAGAGACAGGGTTTCACCATGTCAGTCAGGCTGGTCCCAAACTCCTGGCCTCAGGTGATCCGCCTGCCTCTGTCTCCCAAAGTGCTGGGATTACAGGTGTGAGCCACCTTGCCCTACTGGCCTTAGTTAATTTTTAATCTCATTTGACTTATTATGTTTCTCATTTCTAGATGGACAGGATGAGAATATTTTGGCCCAATCATTTTCTGTTTAAGGACTTAAACAATTTCACACTCTAAATGAAGTATATACAATTTTAATTTACTAATTTAGAAATATCTGAGTTTATTTTTCAATATAATATACAAACACAGTGTTTGTTATACATGTTCATGTACAGTGAAAATGCAAAGGCATTTTTTAGACTCTATTCCCCTTCATTTGTCTAGACAGTTTTAGGTTAGCCTTAGCTTATACTTTTCTTGACTTTCAAAATACAGTTTTATTGAACATTCTTATTCTTACCCACTGCCAGTCTGCATTGTTTTTTACATTAAAAGTATTATTTATAGTAGACTAATATGATTTTGAATAAAATCACACTTAAGCAATATAGATAGGTTCCTAGAATTTATGACGAGGATAAACCTCTCACATAAGAGGAAGCACTAGAAAGTTTATTTTTAAAACTTGTTGATCCATATTCTATAAGGACTAATGCATATTTTTTATCTTTTGCTTTTCTTGTTGGATAAATTATTATGTCCAGTGATAGTTTAAAAAGAACAAGATTTTAGTGTAAGTCACCTCACTTGAAATGCCAGTAATGTGGTATTACACACATTTTATATAATACCTGGAATCTTTGCCCTAAATTATTCTGCTGGTTTGTCGCTATTTTTTTCCTCTCCTCTTTATTATTTCACAAATGGTAGAATTTCTTGATATGATTCTTGTAAAGAGTTTAGCTTATCTTGAACATTCTGTCTTAAGCAAATATTTAACAAGAGAAAACTTTGTAGTTTAATCACCCATAAGTGTAACTTTAGCAAAATTCAATGACTATGAAAAATAATTTTTTTCTTAACTGTTCTAATAATATTTAGTTATAATATTATCAAACCTTCAGAAAGTTATAAATCCTAACAGCCAGAAAAAAAAATTTACTATGTGTATATTTATATAGGTGTGTGTATACACAAAGATTAAGAATTATTCATGATTCTTTTATGGCCAATATACTTTTGAGCTTGTATAACTGAGATAAGTTACTCTTTGCTTGTTTTTCTGTAGTTGGAAAATTTAGGAAGTTATTAAAAATACATATCTCTATAATGTAATAGTTTTCTGCCTGCACAAAGTTTACTATTAATTTATGTCTACCAGTTAAAAATACGATAGTTAGATTTGGCATCACGTTTAACCACAATCATCAAAATCTACTTAAATTCTATAGTTAACAGTTACATAAGAATATATGCAGAGGGAAAATGTCAATAGTTCTTGTGAATGAAGGAATTATGGATGTTTTTATTTTAATTCTACTTTGCTGTTTTTTTTTTCTTTTCAGTGAGCAATCTGTTATTTTTAAAATCACGGTGGGGGGAAACCCATAAAGTTTAAAGAGTTAAAGTTAACTGAATCGTAAGCACTTATATAATAACTTTTTAAAAGTCATTTTTATTACCAGAGCTCAGAACATTGTTTGGAGTCCTTTGATCTACCGGTTCTCTTAAGTACGTGATTTCGTGAAGATAGCAATGGTTATGGCTTTTTTGTTCTGTTATTTTTATTGTGTAACGTAGTGTAGTGGTTAAGAGCTTGGATTTTGCAGTAACTTGGATTCTAATCCTTTAAAATGGGGCTGATATACCTGCCTCATATTCAATGAAATATTGTGTGTACAGCACTTAGTAATTAATGAAACTGGTAATTATTAGCTTAGTTACTGTAATGATAATTTGGGACCATAAACACATATCACCCTACATTTTCTTTGCAACTACAATTTGTGAAGGAAAATCTCCCACTAACTATTGGTTATGTTAATATTCTTCATAGAGTTGGGTTCAAGAAGAGAAATGTTTTATAATGAAGCATATAACTATTTTATAAACAACATTGTAGTTATAAAGAAGCATGCCTATAGTGTTATTAAAAATTTTTTGTACGACTTTCTGGAGCTACAAGTAATGAACTTGCTTTGAGAGGGTCCAGACATACTCATCCTGAACCACATTCCTACAACATATGCCCAACAACCTGCACCAGAGTACTTATATCTTAACCAAAAAGTTTCACTTCAATGGTGGTGCTTCACAAAATCTTCAAAGTGCTTTCATGTGTATTGCCTCATTTGAGCTTCAAATAACCTTATAAATCGGGCAGGTAGATGTTAGTTTACAGAGGAGGAGACAGCTTTGGAATAGTGGTGACGTATCTGAAGAATAGAAAACCGGAATAGTGCTCGATGCCTGAAGTGGTGCCTGGCGCCAGCAGATGTTCACTTCTGTCAAACAAGGGGAAGTAGTGGTGGAGCCTTTATTCAGGCACGGGTCTCCTCATTCCTAACTCCAAGATGCAGAGGGAAAACGAACTGCTCAATTAAGAGTTCTTCCATGGACACTTTCTTAAGCCTTCACATAAAATAACAAGAATAATAGATATTTATTGAGTAGATATTTATTGAGTTCTTTCTATTTTCCAGCACTCATCTATTAAGTGCTTTTATGTATTAACTCATTTAATCCACACAACAACCTTATGTGAGAAATACCATTTTTCCTTATTTGATTGGTGAAGAAGCACACAGAGAGGGTAAGCATAATCAAATACACCAGCATAACCAAAATCACACATTTAGCGAGTGGCAGGGCCTGGATGGGAGTCTGTTCAACTCTCTGCTGTATTGCCTCTTAAAGTAGGTTTTCTTAAAACATAAATCTTTCATAACTTTATATATTTATAGTAACTTAATCCAAAGAACCCCAAAAGTACTAGCAATGATTGTTTCTGCAATTTAAATAAATCCATTTAATTATACAACTTTGCATTATATACTGTTATTCAGACCTTGGAACAGTCTATAATTGTTTGTCAAAAGATTTTATGTACTACTTTTTCTTAATTTCAGATATTATCCAGAGTTTTTCTTGGCAGATGGATGTATTAAAAAAATAGCTTTCCAGTGTTAGTTCTCAACAGTGCTGTTTCAAAAGTTGTTTTAAAAGTTCTAACGGTTGGTCTTCAAAACGTAATTAAGACCTTATCATAAAGAGCCTTTTGCACAGGACTATCTCAAACCCTAAGAAGCTATTCATATTTAAGAAAATTTTGTTGTATTAAATATTAGTCCAAGTGAGCTCTGGAAATACAGTCTTCTGCTTTCTTGTTTCATAAATAACACTGGTATGCAGACCCCTCCCCATGACTCAAATATTAATATATGCAATTCTGTTACAGTAAAGTTTTCACCATGGTCAACCTATTCCAGCATTAGGTACTTTTTGTTGTTGTTGTTTTGTTTTTTTTTTTTTTTTTTGAGATGGAGTCTCACTCTGTCACCCAGGCTGGAGTGCAAGGGTACAATCTCAGCTCACTGCAGGCTCCACCTACCGGGTTCAAGTGATCCTCCTGCCTCAGCCTCCCAAGTAGCTGGCGCTCACCACTACTGGTGCCCACCACAATGCCCGGCTAATTTTTGTACTTTTAGTAGAAACAGGGTTTCTGTTGGCCAGGTTGGTCTCGAACTCCTGACCTCATGTGATGCGCCTGCCTTGGCCTCCCAAAGTGCTGGGATTACAGGCGTGAGCCACCGTACCCAGCCTAGCATTAGGTACTTTGTTTTGTTTTGTTTTGTTTTTGTTTTTTTTGAGATGGAGTTTTGCTCTTGTTGCCCAGGCTGGAGTGCCATGGCAACACAGCCTCCACTTCCTGTGTTCAAGCAATTCTCCTGCCTCAGCCTCCTGAGTAGCTGGGATTACAGGCGTCTGCCACCACGCTTAGCTGATTTTTTGTATTTTTAGTGGAGATGGGGTTTCGCCATGCTTGCCAGGCTGGTCTCGAACTCCTGACCTCAGGTGATCTGCCTGCCTTGGCCTTCCAAAGTGCTGGGATTACAGGCGTGAGCCGCTGCGCCCAGCGCACTAAATACTATTAAAAGGAATTAAGCAAAATGCTACGTACCAATGATTATGATTCATGATCACCTAAACACAGAATGCAGACTTAACTTTTCATTCTTAGTGTGCTAATTAAGTAGTAGTATGGTGCAGTAAGGAATTTTGTTAATTTTGTTATAAACTCCCTCTCCTGAAATCCGTAAGGAAATGTGATAATAAGAAAGTGATAATAGTGTCATATTTTAAAAGTAGAATCCACTGTTAAGCACCAAGATTACCTTTTCTTCCCCCTGTGGCACAGTTTATTTAAATGAAGTATTAGCAATAATCATGTCACTATTTTGTCCTGAATAATTAAGAGTTTGCTTTTTTCCCATGTCTTTGCAATAGGATAATATAAAGAATAGTATTAAAAGTCAGAGGCTTTACTAATCTACCTATATGTATTCCATGGCTAACAAACCCTGGCCCCTTTACATATGAGCTCTGGAGGTTCGCCTGGCTGCCTCAGGCTTGCAGAAGGCTGCCCCAATCACAGAGCCTGGGTAAGGTGGAACAGGAGGCAGCCCCACTCGGCTTTTCTGATTGCATCCCACCTGTTTCTGAGTGTGTTGGTTTGGTTTAATTCTTTTCAAGGGTTGGAGTTGGAAAGTGAAAACCCTAGACACTTGCTGTGGAATGTTTGCCTGGTTGTATTGGTGTGTCCCTCTTCTTCACTGGCATGTCGCTTTCAAGTGTACCAAAGGACATTTTGTTCTGTTGAAAGCCACAGGACCAAAAGGAAAATATTGCAACTATTTGCAAACATACTTCCCTACCTGTACAAGCAGCCATATACTAAAAAGCACTAAACAAGCACAAATGAACACTAAATAGCCTTATACCAAAAAGCATTCTTGTAACTGTCAGGGCATGGTATGAATTCCTTCCTCTTTAAGCAGCAACTTACCACAGGCTTGGTGGCTTTAAGTAATATAGCATTAAGCAAATGGTCAGTTATTTTTTAATGTTGAAAACTTCCAAGTGTGAATAATACGGACATAGTTTACTACCTTTTGCTTTTAATATACCTGGTTATCTATTTCCATTTGAAATAAAATGAAAGGAGACCTCAAACTGATGCTGAGAAGTAGACAAAATCAGCTCTCAGACTTAACTCTCCCCAATTAAAATAGTTTTTTTTTCCCTTCCCATTTTTTTGTTTTTAAGAGATAGGGTCTTGCTGTGTTGCCCAGGCTAGAGTGCAGCAGTGACATGATCATAGCTCACTGCAGCCTGGAACTCCTGGGCTCAGGATCCTTCTGCTTCGGCCTCCTGAGTAGCTAAGACCACAGGTGTGTGCCACCACACCTGGCTAATTTTTTTAAAATTTTTTGTAGAGATGGGGACTTGCTATGTTGCCCAGACTGGTCTCGAACTCCTGGCCTCAAGCCACCAACCTCTCAAATTGCTAGAATTACAAGCATGAGCCACCACACCTGGCCTGTTATTCCTTCTTTATCTAATGTGTGCTAAGCTTGTGAAAAATATATGTTGAGGTAAATAGGGCAAAACATTAGTTGATAAATTATGCTAATTAATGGGAAAAATAGACATGTTCCTCTCTGAACATTTAGAAGGACTCTGCCCTACAACTATCTTCTGTTTTTAGAATTTGTAGTCACTGTTCTTAGTGCCACTGGAAATATATTCATTCTTTGAGCATGTACAGGGTGGGCTCCCTGTTGTATTTATTACACTTTTCAAAATGCCAGCAAGTTTTTGTTTGTATAGAGTTGGAATGTATTGTTCGTGCATGCCTGTGATATTCATCATCAAAATATACCTGTAAAAAATAAACTACTGCTTCCTCTCCACAGCTTAGGCCTCCCTCTTACTAAAAACAATAGTAGTTTCTGTAGAAGTTTCAGTGAGAAATTATGGTTATATAAATAACAGATATGGCAGAACAATTTTGTTGTAGTATTTTTTTCCGTAGCATTTCTTAATAATAGCTCAGTTTTTAAAGGAGGGGAACAATACCCCATGAGTTCAAATTAATTTTCTCTACTTTGAGGTATACCTTCCTAATTATATTTTACATAGGCTGTTTTTTTTAAGTTTAAATTCTCACTGTTAAGTTGCATTGAGAGACAATTAGAAATGTTGTAATTGTCATATCTTTACATGTGGATTATGAACAAATGAAAGTTTGCTGTGTGATTGCAGTTTTAAATTATAACATTTCATAAATATGTCAATTTTAGAAACTCAAACTCTTTCCCATCTTTTGTATGGATAAAGTTTATGGTTTCATTTCTGAGAATAGAGTTGGTCTGCTGTGCTAACTTCATGTTTCTTATTCCAAAGGCTTGATTATATTTTTTTCTCCAGTGATTAAAAATGCAGCGAAAATCCAATCTACAAGTTCATATATTGGTATTTCTAGACATAGTCTAGTTCTAAAAGAATGTACTTGGTGTGCATTTTTAAGTGTTTCATGTAGACAGATTAATATATTTTTGTACAACATTGTATTTCTACATTTATTTCAAGACTGTACTTTTCAGTGACTTTTTCAAGTGCATGTGTTAACAGAAGATTGTTTGGAACGAGAGTGCAGTGGCTTCTTTACTAGCAAAGAGAAGTGTAATACAAGTGATCATAGAAGGTGAGAATGTGTTTATACTGTATATGGAAACCTAATGCCTCTTTTCTAAAGCTTTGTACATTTTTTTCGTGAAATAGATTAAATATTTTCTCTCTAAAACCATGTTTCTGTTTTAATGTGCTTTCTAAGTATATCATGAGGTAACTCTACTACTTAGAAACCTGTAAGCTGTGATTTACTTGAGCTTTTGGGGAAATGGAAAGCAGAATACTTAGTTTAAAAAAAATTTTTTTTTAACTGCAAGCAGATACCTCAAGATCAAATCATGCAATCATAATTAGAGATTTTTAATATATATATTGGGAAAGGGTAATCTATTCAATAAACGATACTGGGAACATTTGAAAAGAACAACAACAGAAATTAGATCTCTATCTAACACTGCACACTGAATTTGAAAGGAATTAATGACATAACATAAAAAATAAAATTACAGAAACGCCAGAAGAAGATAAAGGAGATGTCCTATAGTGTTGAGGGTGAGGATGGCATTCCTGAGAGTGACCTGAAGCCCAAAAGCATGATTGGAAAAGTTGACATGTGTGACCCCATAAAAATTTTAACCGTCTGTATACTGAAAGAACAGAAATGAAAAGAGGAAATGCAAACTGTGAAAATATTTTCAAGACACAAAATGGACATGGGATTACTATGTGTAGTATCTGAAGAGCTCTTATAAACTAATCAGAGGAAGACATCCCAATGGGAAAATTGCCAAAGAATATGAGCATGCAATTCACAAAAGAGATAAAATAATGAAACATGTTCAGTCTCACCAAACGAAGAAATGCAAATGCATTCATTCAGCTATCTATTGAGCACGTGTTTTATGCCATATTCCAGGCCCACAGATGAACAAATTAGACAAGATCTCTGCTCTAGAACTTGTGTTGTAGTTGGGAGGAGAGACAAGAAAATGAATAAAACAAAAAGGATAAATGCCATAACAAGGTAAATAGGGGAGTCCAGGCCTCACAAATGAATTTGAATGATGAGAGAAGCCCAAGTCATGCACACCTGTGGGAAGTGCAGAGGCGACGTAGGCATCTGTTTTCCAAAGGGATTCCACCAGTTACACTCACACTGGCAAAGTACGTGACAGCCAGTGAATCCATGTATTCACCATTATATTGTCAAGACTTGAATTTTTGCCCTTTAGTTTTAAGATGGTATGTCATTGTGTTGATTTGCATTGCCATGACCACCAGTGAAGCTGAACATTTTCTCACTGATCCAGTAGTTGCACTTGTAGAAATTGATTTAGTAGAATACTTGCCTATGTGCACAAAAGCGTATCAACATTGTAATAGTGAAAAACTGAAAATAACCTAAATGTCTCAATAGGAACATATTAAGTAAACAATGGTCTGTCCATACCATGGAATATAATGCAGCCATTAAAAATAATCAGACATCTACTTGTTCTCACATGTTGTGAAAAACAAGTGTCTGAATAAATGTAAATCTTATTTTTAAAAGCTCTATACACGTCCACATATGTACATCTATAAACCATCCTTGCTTTGCACAGTAATGCATGACCATAAAAATGACCTTGCAAGCTGAAGCTGTGCAAAGCAATCTTAACAGTCAATGAAGGAAAAGATGATTGTCTCATGACCTTTAAAAACATTAGTGAAAATATTAAAAGCTCTCTGCCAATTATAAATGGGGAAATGAAAAACATAGTAAAGCTAGTATTTATTTAGTAGACCATAATTTAAAGCATTGCAAATATTGAGAATCTAAGTTTTTGTCAAACTTACCATGAGCATTTGAACAGTGCTTGCTTGCATCTCATAATTTGAAATACAGAGCAAGTACCTTTTCTATGCCTTGGCAAATTGTTACACTCCTTTCAGTTGTAAAATATCTCTAAGAGTTCTATGATGTATTTATACCAGCATCACTTCCTTTGGGACATCGTCTCTTCATTATAACCAATATCTTCACTTATGTTGATAAATGTTAAGTTCCCTTTCACTAAGTGTCTCTGGCTTCTTACCTAGAGTTTCTATCAAAGAGCATGGTATCAGCATTCCCACAGTCAGCCCAAATTTTATTTCCAGTGTTAACCGCTTTTCATTTCTTTGCTGTGTTTTTTGTCTTTTTTGGCCAGTCCCTGTTTTAACTCTCCAGTTTTGTAAAATGTCATGTGCCTCTATCACCAGGACACAAAAAGGCAATACAACTACACACGTTGCTGTCTGTGCATAACAGATGCATAGTGACCAGTCACTGACGGATTTTGAGATAAATGACATTATTGGTTACTGATCATGGGACACACCTGTTATTAGTGACTTGTGGGTTGAAGAGCTAACAGTGAAGTTTGTACTTAGTAATTACAGCTAATATGCCATGGGAATGAAATTTGAACTGTGTTGTTTGGGGACTGGTGTTATTTAAACCATGTAACTGAAATTGTGCCTGTCAGAATTGTTCAAAGCAAAGATTGCCTGCATATATATATATGCAGGATATATGTATATATGTGCATCTCCACACATACCTTATGGAAATATATAAAGGAATAGAAAAAGGAAATATAGTAGGACACAACAAATTCCTAATTAACAATATAGAGTTGAATTTGGGGAAGGGGGTAGGGAGGAACTAGTATTTATTGATCCTACAATATTTTTGTATTGTTTGAATTTTCATAGATTAATAATTTTTTTAGAACAAAATTGAGTAGAAGGGCTGGGTGTGATGGTGCACACCTGTAATCCTAGTACTTTAGGTGGCTGAGGTGGGAGGATCACGAGGCCAGGAGTTCAAGACCAGCCTGGGCAACATAAGGAGACCCTGTCTCCACAAAAAATAAGTGGGAAAAAGATTGCTTCCGTTTCCCACAGTCACAAGGCTTGCTTTGTGTACCTTCTGGAAAAGGTAACCAGAATTGTAATGAGAATATAAGAATGCTGAATACATAAATGTTTGGGGAAAAAAACCCTATGATGTTTATCTTAGAATATAGGGAGAAAAATATAAAATGAGAGTAAGCGTGCCACAGCTTAGTGCAGTGTCTAAGATACCAACTCTGTGCCAGCTGACCCGACACTGTCACTTAACAGAATTGCTTCATCCCCATCGACATTCAGTTTCCTATCTGTATCTGGATATTAATACCCCAGAATTATTTTATGATAATGTTAGAAAAGCACTTAACACAGTGACTAACAACTACTAAATGCTCAAATAATTGCATTATTCATGCCATAGAGAGGAGTGAGTTTTCTGCCAGTGACTGTCTTCAAATAAGAGTCTGGGAGGTGGCTGATCGGAGTATTTATCACATTGGGAGAAATGGAACCAGATGACCTGAAGTTCTGAGCCATTCTCAGAGACCATGATGTGAGATATTTATGGAAAAATCTGTTTCATTTTATTTCAAAGCAATAATTTGTTATTTATGCCTTCGGATTTTATAATACTTTTTGGAATGAGACATACGCTACAAACCAATTCAAGTAATAGTGCATTTTACAGATACACAGAGTTTTAATAGGGCTCAGAAAATTATTTAAAATGCTTTTAATCAAATGCAACTTTATTAATGGATACAATTTTGTATAACTCTAATCTCGCTAATTCGACTTATATTTTAAACTCTTAACTAGGTAAGAAACTTAAGACTTAAAAGGATTTTGAGGGAAAAAAGTGAAATTCACCCCTCCCTTTTTTCTGTATAAGTAGTTCATGAAAAATATTTGCAAAACTCTTTATATACATAAAACTCAAGCTATTTTAAAACTCCATTAAAAGGAAGGGTTTTTTTTTTAAATCATGGGCTATTCAACATACAATAATCAAGCTATTTTACAAATCTGTGACCTCAGTCTTAACAGTTTTCCAAGGAATATACTGTTCTTTACTGAGTTTTTTTTTCATGACATCTGGAATACATTTAGATCTTTATGATATTTTGTGCTCATTTCTTATCTTGCCAGCTGCTAAGGAGCAGAAATTATCAAAGAAGATCACCGAACTGACAGACAACTGTATTTCCACACTCCTGCCCTTTGAAATCTGCCTTCTAGTATGTGAGGCAACCTTCATCAGCATGTAGTAGCATGTCGGTGCTGGCTAGTTACTTTCCAAGAGGGAGATAAACACCTCAAAATAAGCAATGAAATTGCTTCAAGTCAGTTTTAAAATCGTTAGTTTTAATAAAACTAAAATGAGAAAGTGTTTTCACATTAACTGCTGTGGGCCATTTTGTTGTTCCTCAAACCACTTTAAGTTTACTTTCTTTCAGTTCAGATAATTTAGCTTTTTATTTAAAAACATCTCCACAACTTTTAAACCATGCTTATATCTCTCTTGTGAGATATACAATACACAAATTGTATATACTAAATTATGTATGCCAACATTTTATGTGTGTGTGTGTATATATATAGTGAATTTGACCAGTTGCAGTTTCTAGTTTCTGCTTTGTGATGCCAGAGTCACAATTCTAGTCAATCTTAGGGTATCATTTTAGTAAGTAGTAACTTTCATCAAACTTTGAAAATTGGGATTGCATATGTTAAGCATATTTTAATTTCAGTTGCTCAGAGAAACTAACAGATTATCACTGTATAATGTGTCTGCTGTTACTTCCGCTTATTGAAGAAATCACTGAACTGCCACTGAAGAGTGGGAGACGCCTAAGAAAGGCTGAGTTCTGGAATGCTGCCAACACATGAGAAGCATACATTTCTCCTAAGATGTTTAGGGTTTTCATTTGAAAGGAGTCATCTCATTCAGTAGTATCTATCTCTTTAAATTGACATGGTTCTATATTTGGCATTTCATTGGAAATTATATCACAACCAAGTCCCTTATTAGAGTAGGCAAGATAAGGAGGATAGGATAAATATTTGAAGTATAGTTTATCTGCCCATCCTGGAAAGGGAAGAACAATAGCTTGTCCATGTTCAGGAAGCTAACATGACCTAAAATTCCTAACGTCGCATGGGAGCTAATGAGGCTGTTTACCCTGTTCCCTCGTCTTTGGGCAGTATTACAGTAAACTTAAGTCAGCCTTGCAGAAAGTCAAGTAGAAAAAAACACCTGCTTTTATTTGTGTAACTTTCTGGAGGAAGAACAAGATGACCATCTACATGGCCAAGAACCTTCTGTGGTTCCCTTGCACCTTGCTGTTACAAGTTGTAGGATACCCTTGGGTGTTTTTGCTGTGGTTCAGTGTTGTAGGTGGAAGGTACAGCACTGAAGTCATTTTAATAATTTGTGTTAATAAAGCCCTTCTGTCAAAACTTACCACAATGAGTGAGGCGATAGAGAAGCTGCATTTTAGCCACTCATAAGATTAACTATGTGAAGATAAGGATCTAGCCTATTTTAAAATGCTATTCTGCAAACTTTATGGGAAGTATATTCTTATTTAACAGCCCTGCCAGGAGATGATTCCTTGTGTCTAATCTCTGTACCCTGCTCTGTGATGTAAGCATTCCACTTGCTTGTTGTTCAATGAACATGTTTCCTAGCTCGTTATAACCTTAACTTTCTCATTTCAAAGTGAATCATTACATATTTTTAACATTTTCTTCAGTTCAATATTAATTCCCCACACATATGCCTGCTAGATCTTCTTTCCCAGTCTTATGTTTTCTGTCAGCCTTCCCTGAATTGTTCACAGCCACCTGGAGTTATAAAGCCAAGAATTAATGCATTCTGTGGACAGGAGAGCCAGTGCTGGAGATGAAGGTATATTCCTGAATGGCACATGAGGAACTCTAGTGAACAACCATAACTGGTAAAAATTATTTTTAAAAGAGCTATTTAAAGTCTCTGGAAATTGTCCCAAAGGCATGTAGTTAATGAAACGTTTATTCAAGAAAATCTAAACCTCGATAAGAACTGTGAGAGTCTGTGACACTAGAGTCATGACCATTCCTTCCCTTCCCCTGCCCCAGAACAATGTGATGGAAGCTCCACTCCAGCTGTGGCCAAGAAGGTGGGACTCCCCCTTCCCCAGTTCCGAGTAAAGGGCTACAGGAGTTCCCCAGGAGGGGCAGGCTGCCAGCATCTTCCTCTCCCCAAGCTGTGTGTTGAAAAGGCTAAACTCCAGGTGAGGGCAGCCTTGAGTCCACGGGTCCTCTCCCTTCACTAAGCCCCCACTCATAAAGTGGAGCTTCTTCCCCAGGCATGACGAGCTGAGATTACAGGAGCTTTGGACACCCTCATCTCAGCTCGCTGGCAGGACAGCGATTTCACATCAAGAGTCAAGCAAAGAAGACCAGAGGCTGCCGCCACCACCTAGTGCCCTGCTCACAAAGCACAGGTGTCACTCCAAAAATAGCAGGGCACTGACTTCACTCCCATCTCCAGAACAGTGGCATAGAGAATTGGAAATAAAAGGGAGCATGACAACTGACCTCACAAGACTACAAATGAATACTATGAACAATTTAACTTAGATAAAATTTTTAAAATTCCATAAAGACAAAAAGGCTGCAAATGACTCAAGAAGAAATAGAACAACTGAATAGACCCATGAACAGATTGAATTAGTAATTTTAAGACAGCCCACAAACAAAAGAAAAATGGCTTCCCTGGTAACTTCTACTAAACGTTTAAAGAGTAAGTAATATCAATTCTCCACAAAACTCTTCCAAAAAATAACAGAGAACACTTTCCGACTCATCCTATGAGCCTGATACCAAAACAAGATAAAGACATCACAAGAAAAGGAAACTACAAACCAATATTGCTTGAATATAGATGCAGAAATCCTCAATGAAAAATACTAGCAAGGTGTATCTAGTAACACATTTTTAAAATTATGACTGTTACCTGGGCATAGTGGCTCACGCCTGTAATCCCAGCACTTCAGGAGGCCGAAGTGGGAGGATCACTTCAGGTCAGGAGTTGGAGACCAGCCTGGGCAACATGGTGAAACCCCATCTCTACTAAAAAACTACAAAAATGAGCTGTCTGTGGTGGTGGGCACCTGTAGTCCCAGCTACTTGGAAGGCTGAGGCAGGAGAATCACTTGAACCCAGGAGGTGGAGGTTGCAATGAGCCGAGATGGAGCCACTGTACTCCTGTCTGGGCAACAGAGTGAGACTCAGTCTCAAAAAAAAAAAAAAAAAGGTGACAAGCAGGGAAGGGGGATGAGATGTATGGGGAAGAGGAACAGCTGCCATAAAAAAAAAAAATTATGACTGTTGTCTAATAAAGATTTTGGTCTTTGCCCTGGGTTCCTGGTATGGAGATTCTACAACCCTTGGAATTCCCTGAGTGATAAAAATGTATTTTTTTATTTATGAGCCCCTTAGAACACACCTTAATTTGTACTAATGAAGTGACTCACTGTGTGCCCCGAGACAGCTTCAGGATGGGAGCTGCAAAGATCAACCATGTAATTAGAAGTTTGGAGCTTGGAGCCATATGATTTTAGCCTGGCTTCCCAACCTCCAAGGACAGGCTGGGGAGAGGCTGAGGCTGGAGATTGAGTTCAATCACATGGTCAATGTTTAATAAAGCATGCCTATGTAATAAAATCTCAGTAAAACCCCTGGACACAATCAGTGGAGCTTCCTGGGTTGGTGAACACATTAATGTGCCAGGAGAGTGACATACCCTGATTCCACGGGGAGAAGGCACAGAAGTTATGTGTTCAGGACCTTCCCAAACCTCACCCTACATGACTCTATATTTGGTTGTAATAAGTATAGTGCTTTTCTGCGTTCTGTGAATCATTCGAGTGAATTAACCCAACAGGGTCATGTGAGTCCCCAGATTTGTAGTCAGTTGATCTGAAGTGAGGGCAATCTTGTTGTGGACCATGCCCTTTAACTTGTGGCATGTGAACCAAGTTTGGCTGGTTAGTGCCAGAGATGAAATGTAGCACACCAGTTGGTATCAGAATAATGACCAAGTGATATTAATTCCAGGAATTCAGGGTTGGTTTGACATCCAAAAATTAATCAATGCAATACACCATATCGGTGGAATAAAAAGCAAAAAGAAAAAAATCACATGGTAATATCAGTAGATGCAGAAAATCATTTTACAAAATCTAACACCTTTTCATAATAAGTACACTCAATAAACTAGAAATAGAAAGAAACTTAACCCAATAAGGGCATCTATGAAAAAGAACACAGCTAACACTGTACTTAATGGTGAAAGACTGAATACTTTTCCCCAAGATCAGGAACAAGATAAGGGCTTCTATTTTGCAGAAATCGACAAACTGACCCTAAAATTCATATGTAAATTCAGGGGACTCAAAATGTCCAAAACAATCTTAAAAAAAGAACAAAGTTGGAAGACTGACACTTCCTGATTTTAAAACTTACTACAGTTAGGATAGTCAGGGAAGTATGGTACTGGCATAAAGCCAGACATATGAATCAATGAAATAGAATTGAGAGTCCAAAAATAAATGTCAATGTTTATGGTCAATTTAAAAAGCCAGCTGGGATTTTGATAAGGATTGTATTGAATCTGTAGATCAGTTTGGGAAATATTACCATCATAATAATGACTATGGCATGTTTCTCCTTTAATTTAGGTCTTTAATTTCTTTCAGTGATGTTTTGTAATTTTCAAGGGAGAAGTTTTGTACTTCTTTTGATAAATTTATTCCTAAGTTTTTTTTTGGAATTATTGTGAATGGAATTCTTTAAGTTTATTTTTTTGATTATTTATTGCAATTGTACACAAGTACAATTGATGTTTGTATCTTAATCCTTTATCCCACAACCTTGCTGAACTTTTATTAGCTTTAATGTTTTTTTAGTGGATTCCTTGGGATTTTCTGTATTTAAGATCCATGTTATTGGTGAATATAATTTTTTTTTTTTTTTTTTTTTTTTTTTTTTTTTTTTTTTTAGATGGAGCCTTGCTCTGTCGCCCAGGCTGGAGTGCAGTGGCACAATCTCAGCTCACTGCAACCTCCACCTCCCGGGTTCATGCAATTCTCCTGTCTCAGCTGGGATTACGTAGCTGGGATTATAGGTGTGCACCACCACACCCAGCTAGTTTTTGTACTTTTAGTAGAGACGGGGTTTCTTCATCTTGGCCAGGCTGGTCTCAAACTCCTGACCTCAGGTGATCCGCCTAGCTCGGCCTCCTTTTTGAGCTGCAAAAGGCAGCTCCCTCATCTAAAAGTAACAGAGATCAATGTTTGATTTTAAGTGGACTTGGCTTTCAGGTGGAGCAAGTGTAACAGTGTCACATAAACCCATGTCAGGAAGAAACAGCAGCACGTGATTCCACTGAGAGATAGCTGCTGCTTGCAACATGGAGACAAGGATGTCCTGTTGGAAGTAAATATGGAAAGTTCCCGGAAGACCATCCATCACTCTGATCAAGCATTAGGTAAGTCTTATTATCCATCTGAATAATCACTGTTGTTTCTTTGCCAAGTAGAGGACCTCCTGCCTCCACCCCAATTTAACCACAGTGCCCAACAGCCTGATATTGGGCAGCAGCACTAGGTGATGGCAGGCCTGCCCTTGTGGCCTCCCAGAGCACAGCCAAGACGGGTCTCTCCCTTGGATTACATATCTGGGAGGAAAACCACCTCTCGCCCTAGACCTTTTTGTAAGGCAGGCTTCATTAGACGCACCCATGTTGTCATCTAATGCCTTTATTCATCCCCAGAATGGGAAGTTACACCTGTGAGAGCTGTTTTGTGGACTCAGAAGCCCAAGGGACCATGGGGACTGACTAGTGGAACCATCATATTCTCTGGGGAGTCAGACCCATAGATCTTGGTATTTATCCACTGCCCTATTGTTAGTGGCTGCTATGGTCTGAATATGTGTGTCCCATCAAATTTCATATGTTGAAACCTAAATCCCCAATGCAATAGTGTTAAGAGTTGGGGCTTGAGGAAGTGATTAAGTCATGAGGGCTCCACCCTCACGAATGGAATTAGTGCCCTTATAAAAGAGGCTTGAGGGAACTCCCTAGCCCCTTCTGCCATGTGAGGAGGCTCCAAGAAGGCATCATCTATGATGAACAGGTTCTCACCAAACACCAAATCTTCTGGTGACTTCCCCACCTCCAGAACTGTAAACAATAAGCTTCGGTTGTTTATAAATTACCCAGTGTGAGATATTTCATTACAGCTGCCTGAACGGACTAAGACAGCAGCAGAACTGAGTTTAGAACCCAGGTGTAGAGAAAGCCCAGTCCAGGGCTCTTCCTTCGTGGTGAACACCAGTATAGTCTTATTTATTGTAACATAGGGGCCTCTGAGACTGCTCAGAAACTCACACTGCAATTTTCTCACCCTACACATCAGAAAAAATGGCATCCTTTCATCTACTGTTTACTTTGTCTGAAGATTGATAAAATGTTTCCATACCCGTAACAAAATGAGCTTGCTTCTCATGAGATTAAATCTGTTATTTACCCATAGTTTAAACCTGGGCACAGCAGGAGGTGCCCTTGCCCTCTGGTGTCCTCCTAGGAAGGGTGCTACAACGCATAGAGACTTTTCAGATTCAGGTGTTTGCCTGATGAATCAGGGATTTTCCCAGAAATCTCAGGGTAAGAGCTCTTGTTCTTTACATTACGTTCCCAGGCCTGTTGTAAGTGGCAATGTGCATTAGGTCATCTTATCTTCACAACATCACCAGGAAGTGAGGACTGTCATTATTCCCATTTACCATTGAGGAAACGGAACCCAGGAGAGGGTAAACGGCACACCCAAAGTCACCCAGCCAGTGCTGCCAAGCCGGGACTCAAACCCAGATCTGCCCAACACTAGAGCCACTGACACTGCTTCATCGTGGGCAACAAAACCCTTTTTATTCAAGTGTTATCAATTTAGGATCTGACATATTTTGGATAGAGATAAAGTATAAAAAGATCACAGGAGGCAGTGTTAAAATTACATATGAGAATAAATTCAAAACACTTCAAAGTCTGTAAAACAAATGACATGTTAATTACAAATGTCATATCTCCATTTGAGCAAATCCCGAAAAGACTCCCTCTTCTGAGCAATTTTCTATTGCTCGAGGTTGAAAGTAATGAAACTGCATTTCCTTTAAAATAGTCTAATTCTGTGGCTCAATTGTTATGAAGAACTATCTAAGTGTAAAATTATGGCTTTAGTTTTACATGATGAAGAAACTAGACTTTTAAAATGTCTAAGATCTCTCTTTTTTTTTTTTTTTTTGAGACAGAGTCTCACCCTGTTGCTCAGGCTGGAGTGCAATGGCGCAATCTTGGCTCACTGCAACCTCCACCTCCCGAGTTCAAGCGATTCTCTTGCCTCAGCTTCCCGAGTAACTGGGATTACAGGCCCGCGCCACCTCACCCGGCTAATTTTTTGTATCTTTAGTAGAGACGGGGTTTCACCATGTTGGCCAGGCTGGTCTCGAACGCCTGACCTCGTGATCTGCCCGCCTTGGCCCCATAAAGTGCTGAGATTACAGGCATGAGCCACCACACCTGGCCCCAAAGATCTCTTTTATTGCTTAAAATTGAAAACATGAATCTTTGGATAAAACTTATAGTCAAAGTTTTTATAATCTAGGAAAGCTATTTGATTCTTACCACTGCTGAAACTACACTTCCTAAATTCTGCTTAATTTGCTAAAAATTCTATTAAATTTAAGCTATAAAGAAATCCTCTTGATGTAAATATTTTTGAATACATAAAATGTTACTTTATTGTTCTGCCATTTCATTTTCACCAAATGTTATTCTTTAGGGATTTCATCCAAGTGAAGAGTGCATAGACTTACGTACAAAAAAAATTAGTCTAATTCTGACTGTATGCATTTAGATCAACCTTGACTTCTTCCCTAAAAGACTACTTTTGTTTATTAAAATGCAAAAAAAGTTACAGAGAATAACAAATTAAACAAGCAATACATCATTTCAGTCCTGGAAATGAGACAGCCACAGAACTAAACTCACAGTAGTGAGAGGAGGTCATAACAAAGCCACAGCCAGCTCTCATGAAAGTCTCTAACTGTCCCCACCTAAGAAATAAACATTGGGCTCCAAAAAGGCCAGATGTCTTCAATGTCTCAGCCCAGCATTTATTTCTGTTTGCCATCCAAATTGACTCCCTCTTTGATGTCCCTTTCTTTTGCATGTGCTGGTACAATATAACTTAATTTTGAGGCATCATCAACCTGGTTTTTAAAACCAACTCCAATAATACTGCCTTAGTCTACAATTAGGATTAGGAACTTAAAAGGGTTCTTCTTACATTTCATTTGAAAATTGATGTCTGCAGTGCTTGTTCATAATCCTCATTACAATTGCTGGGAAATTTAAAGGGTGGGATTGCATTCTCATTTGGAGGAAAGGGTAAGCTGGTTTTCATGCTCTTCCCAGGCAGCGATCTCATTTAGCCTTGGTGTTTGGCGAAAAAGAAAGGGGAAGAAGAAGTTAACTGGAGAACTAGAAGATAGAAATTTGCCATGTGGGCAGTTTAAGGTTCTGTGACTCTGTCGGCTGATATGCTTCTAATTCAGGGCAAAGAGGGGTGAGAGAAGAGGGCTGGCGAAAAAATGAAAAGTGCATTTTAAGCCAGGGAGAGATCTGAAATCTTAAGCTGAGCGGCCACAGGAGGCTTAATAATCACTGGAGTGCATGCATGGGAGATTCCACTTCAAAAGAAAGGGAATGATGCATTAATGCCCCACGGACATAGTAATGCCCTAGGGACTCCAGGACTGTCCCTGTCACAATCTGAGAGCCATAGAAAAACCATTCAGTGCCAGGCTTACTTAGAGCGTGTCCTCCTTAAAATTGCTCCTCCAAAGGCTATGTGATGTGGAGCTGTGTCTGTGAGGGCCCTTGAAGCAACCGGATGCTTAGGCCAGAGAGGAATCCATTTAGGATTCGGAGGTACAAGCAGCTGTCCACAGGAAATCCAAGAGCCTTGCCTGAGAAATGAAGAAAACCAGGACACCTTTCACTGATTCCGTCTGCAGAACTCAAAAAGACCTGAATTTTCCTCCTTTATGTTGAGATACAAATCCAAATAGCTTTAAAAGAAACTTTTTTCAAAAAGTTTAATGCTTAAGAATCCAGAAGTCCTCCAAAGTCATGAAGTGGAATGTAATGTAATAACTGGAATCATTTGAGCAGAACATTGCTTAAAGAAACCTGCATGTTTATTAAATGACCACCTTGGATATCTTTCCTTTCAGAAAAAGAAGTTCGAATCTGGATGGCTGAAAAATAATACTTCCAGTTCATTCATATTATCTGCTTCCTCACCAGGTTAAGATAATAGAAACCTCATCATATGGAAAGGTCAAGACTCATGACTACGTGTGCAGCTCAAAACTTCATTTTTCTCTTTTTCAGGAGTCCTCTGCATTCTCATTAATCAAAGCAAAGTTTGCAAATTGTAGCTATGCAAAACTTGCATAAAATCATTTAGTCCTTGATTTTTTCTCTTTGTTCCTTTTCAGTTAACTTTCAAAAAAATTTTTCCCAAACATCTCCCACTTCAGGAAAAAATTTGACAACCCCTTATAAGCCTGCATATTTTGTGACAGAGCTATGATTATACTCAAGCAGCCTTGTCAAGAGAAGCACACTCCAGCTTTTTTCTGAACCTTGATTTTAAAGAGTGCAATGAACTCATTGATGTTCTAATAAGAGCTTTCTGCACGTCAGAAAAGGAAGGGAAATGGGTGGGACTTATAGAAGGTGATGGTTATCATTAATAAATGAAAGCAAAATAAATAAACATAGCTAGCTAAGCCATGCTACTGAAAGTCAATCTGGCCCTAACTCTCCAGGAAACATAATGGTTCAGTCAGGCTAAGGGATGCCAGGGGAAGAGCAACCCTTCTGGAACCCAGAAGACACCAGGTTTTGTTCTGGAATCTCTGGAATGCAGCTGTCAGTGGACGCAACAGGAAAGTGGGTTTCCTCTGATTATAGAGAAGAACTTGACAACAATTAGACATGTCCGTAAACAGAAAAGTCAGAAAAAAATTATGTACTCCCCAGTGCAAGAAGCGTGCAAGGAGAGGCTGGATGATCACCTGGCAGAGAGTGTGTGGAAAGTGTTTCTCCTTTGGGTATGAGGTGAAACTGGATAACTAAAGGCTTAATGTACCTTCTAACTCTAAGAATCTGTGATTCCATAGCTTTGGATGATCAAGAAAAGCCACTCTGGGCCTTGGTTTCCTTATCTGAAAAACAAGAGCCTTGGCACAAAATAGGCCATCTTAGGTCCGTCGCAGCCCAAGATGGTATGAATGACCACCTGATAAACTTGTGATGTTGGAGGCCAGGCTCAGGCATCCCAACTCACTGCCTGGCTTAGAAAGGGTCATCAAACTTCTCTGGGTCTTGCTCTGAAGTCGTTTATATAATCCATGGGCAAGCTTGAAGAACGAGGGAACACAGCCCACCAAGTGCTGGAAGCACCAGAGGAAAGGCAAATACAGGCCACATGCCTCAGGTTAAAATATTTTCAAGGCCGAAGGTTTACTGAACCTTATTTCAGACAATATCAATCAAGAAAAGCATTGAGACCATGCCTCAGAGTTCCTTGTCATGGAATTTAAGGGAGTTTGCCATAAAGCTTATATTGATTACTTGATTTATAGAATAGGTTTCAAGTCTCAAAGACTTGTTTCTAAAAAGGAAACACCTCCAGCAGGGAGGAGGCACAGTTTCTGCTTGTTTTCCAGAAAACTGGTACACCATGCTTCATTCCAGTGACTCCTGGCATTTGTGCCCTATTAATGTTTGGTATAAGTTGGTGCCCAAAGTGTGTTTGGATGAACAAAATAAGTTTTATTGAAAGAAAATGTCTGTTTGTAACAAAGCTATTTTAAACTTGTATATGCACTTCAAGTATGTATATTATATAACATATTTTTAATTACCTTGACAATTTGAATTGAGGTATCAGTAAGGCAAAATCTGTGAGGAAATAAAGACATCTGTGATAACATAGGGACATGGACATAGGTCAGGGTTACAAGGCTAAGTGAAGCTCTGGATAACTTTAGGCCATTTCCTGGCAGGCTTCTTAATTTCAGGTTGAATTTGTCCATGATGAAGTGGGTATTTGCCTCTCAGGGAGCCATTTAGTTCCATACATAGAGAGAAAGGATTTATATGACTCCAAAGAGAAACGTTGACTTATTTTTTCTTTAAGCTGTTGGGGAAAGAGAGGGTAAGGGTGCCTTTACCTATAAAGCTAAAATGCAAAGACTTTAAAGACTCTTTCTGCCTATAATGGTTTGAGTCTCAGGTCCCCAGCCATTGAGTTCCAGTCTAGCAGAGCTCACGCAGGGTAAGAAAGAGTCTCTGGAGCAGGCACAGTGGCTCCTGCTTGTAATCCCAGCACTTTGAGAGGCCGAAAAAGGCGGGTGGGTCGCTTGAGGTCAGGAGTTTGAAACCAGCCTGGCCAACATGGTGAAACCCCATCTCTACTAAAAATACAAAAATTAGCTGGACATGGTGGCGCATGCCTGTAGTCCCATCTGTAATACTCAGGAGGCTGAGGCACGAGAATCGCTTGAACTGGGGAGGCGGAGGTTGCGGTGAGTCGAGATTGTGCCACTGTACTCCAGCCTGGGAGGCAGAGTGAAACTCTGTCTCAAAAATAAAAGAAAGAGTCTCATCCTCTCTCCCAGCCCCTCAGGATCCCCTCCAAGCTTCTTCCCACTCATCCCCAAAACTTGCTCTGAATTCCCCCGAGAATACCCCCTGAGCGTTTTGTTGGTGCCTATTTTATGACATTCATCATATTCCACCTCCTGTTCAGCTCAACAGCCCAGCACTCCTTGACATGTTTATGCAGCTTTGTGTCACCTATGTAGGATCTGGTCCAAAGCAGGGCTTCAAGTAATTGATGAAGAAGTAGCTAACACATGGTTTAGGGTGTCACCCTTCCAAACCTAGATACATTGTAACAGGAGACTGGATGGAAGGATGGATGGATGGATGGATGGATGGATGGATGGATGGATGGATGGATAAATAGATGGATGGTTACACCCCACGGGAGCACACAACTTAAACTCTGAGTGATGTAGAGTCAGAGACTGTGCAGGTAGAAAAGTGGATTTATGGAGAAGATAGCAGAGAAGCAAATAGGGAGAGAAATGGAGAGCAGAGCTCTCTGTCCACTTAGTTGGGACAGGGAGAGGACAGAGAAGGGACTGAAGTGGATCTCTGTGCCTTTGCTTCTCCGTTTGCCAAAGGAGTGGGTTTGGATCATCTCTAAGGTCCCTTCCAGCTTGAGAGCCCACTGGACCACAAATTGTGAATTACTAGTCACTGGGCCCTGGTGAAAGTTAAGTGGTACAGCTGCTTTCACCAGATCAGCCAAACGTTGGCAAGCATTTTTGACTCCCATTTTAAGAAAAATCCTTAAACCTTAATCATAATTTCATATGATGAACTATTTGAGCTCCCAAAGAGGAAATTCTTGCATTTCAAAAACTGCAATTTGAGCACAAACCCCTTGCCATGGCCTTGAATCTGAAGAGCATCCTTTCTGCCTCCCTCTTCTTTTTTCTTTTCTTTTCTTTTCTTTTTTCATTTCGTTTTGTTTTGTTTTGAAATAGAGTCTCTTTCTGTCACCCAGCCTGGAGTACAATGGTGTGATCTCGGCTCACTGCAACCTCCACCTCCCAGATTCAAGTGATTCTCCTGCTTCAGCCTCCCAAGTAGCTGGGATGACAGGCATGCACCCCCAGTCCCTGCTAATTTTTGTATTTTTAGTAGAGATGAGGTTTCACTATGTTGGCCAGGCTGGTATTGAACTCCTGGCCTCAAGCGATGCACCTGCCTTAGCCTCCCAAAGTGCTGGGATTACAGGCATAAGCCACCGCACCTGGCCTCCCTCTTCTTTTGTAGAATGTTGCTGATTCCTCTGTGTGAGCCTACCAACTTGTATGCACAGAAGGACATGTCCCACAGCGATCCCACTACACCCACTCCTTTTCCAGCAGAACCCTGACCTTTGCTTCTTGTTATAAGCCAGCATAATTACAAGCAGCAGAGACTACCAAAAACTCTACACACACGTGCTCTCGCACTCATACACAGACATGGAGCTGCTGTGAACAAACTGTTCAAGTGCATTCAAGTTCAAGAGCATGAGTGGGAGAAGGGGAGAGAGATTTTAATCTTTGGCCTGTCACATGGGAGAAGAAAGAAAATATCACGTCCTCATGCCTGTGTCCTGTAATGTTTATCGTCTGAGATCACAGGCAACGAATCTCCTCCCTGTGTCCCGTTTCCTCCCCCAGCCCTGGGTTGGGGATGCTGGCTTGGAATTAGAGAAGACAGGATATGTGCTGATCAGTAGAGGAAAAGTGAAGACTGAGTTCTAGATGGAGCCTCAGGGGCTAGAAGATGGGGCCTAACCTGGGGTATATGTGCACTTTGACCCACTAGAAATTATGTCTTAATTTTTTATGTCTTTGCAGATGTAGTTAAGTAAAGAAGAAGTTCTACTGGATTAGGGGTGGGTCCTAAATCCAATGACTGTGTCCTTGTAAGAAGGCCATGTGTGGGAGGCCAAGGCGGGCAGATCGCCAGGTCAGGAGATCGAGACCATCCTGGCTAACACGGTGAAACCCCGTCTCTACTAAAAATGAAAAAAAAAATTAGCTGAGCGTGGTGGCGGGCGCCTGTAGTCCCAGCTACTCGGGAGGCTGAGGCAGGAGAATGGTGTGAACCTGGGAGGCGGAGCTTGCAGTGAGCCAAGATGGCACCACTGAACTCCAGCCTGGGTGACAAATCGAGACCCCGTTTCAAAGAAAAAAAAAAAAAGCCATGTGAACACACGGAGACAGGTAACCAGGGAGAGCACCATGTGAAGAGGGAGGCAGACACTACAGTGATGCCACTGCAAGCCAAGGATTGCCACGGATGGCCCGCAACCACTAGGCTGTGGTCTTTGCCTTCTGCCATTTTGTTCTGGGTTGAACAGTGTCCTCCCTCAACACTGTAGATATTGGGGCAGTCTGTAGCTGGAATCTCTTTTTAGAGATAATACATGTATGGATTTTCCAGGGATGGCATGACAAATTAGTACAAATTAGATGACTTAAAACAACACAGATTTATTCTCTCATGTTCTGGAGGCTAGAAGTCTGAAATCAAGGTGTTGGCAGGGCCACACGCCCTCGGAAGGCTCGAAGAAAGAACACTTCCATGACTCTTTCTGGCTCCTGGTGGTTGCGGGCCAACCATAGCATTCCTCGGCTTGCTGTGGCATCCCTCCATTTTCTGTCTCCCTCTACACATGGGGATCTCCCAGCGAACGTGTCACTGCGTGTTCACACGGCCTTCTTTTTTTTTTTTTTTGAGATTCAGTCTTGTTCTGTCACCCAGGCTGGAGTGCAGTGGTGCAATCTTGGCTCACTGCAGCCTCTGCCTCCCAGGTTCAAGTGATTCTTCTGCCTTAGCCTCTGGAGTAGCTGGGATTACAAGCGTGCACCACCACACCCAGCTAATTTTTGTATTTTTAGTAGAGATGGGTTTTCACCATGTTGGGCAGGCTGGTCTCAAGCTCCTGACATCAGTGATCTGCCCCCTTCAGCATCCCAAAATGTTGGGATTACAGGTGTGAGCCACTGTGCCTGGCCAGCCTTCTTATAAGGACAGAGTCATTGGATTTAGGGCCCACCCCTAATCCAGTAGGATGCTGTCTTTATTTAACTAATTGGATCTGCAAAGACCCTAGCTCCAAATAAGGTCATATTCTGAGGTTCTGGGGACACATGAATTTGGAGAGAGGACACTTCAACCCAGAACAATATGGCAAAAGGCAAAGGCCACAGCCTGAAGGTGAGGAGATCTGGGTTCAAGGTTTGGGTCTTTGACTTACTAGCTGTGTAGGGTTGGAGAAAGCACTTCAATTCTCAATGCTTCAGTATCTTCAGCTAAAAAAATGGAGATGATGATAATGATGATGCCTACATCTCAAGCTTGTTGTGAGACTTAGAGTGAGAAAGACTGAGATCTGTGGTATGGGAATTATCTAGATAGATTAAATGACTACTTTCAAGTTCACTACTGAGCAGGCTCAATCAAAGGTCACAGAGCATTGTGTGGTAGGCAGCTCCTAGGACAGCTCCCAGCAGTCACCTCTTGGTATTCATACCCTGTGTAATCCTCTCCCCTTGAGTATTGCCTGGACCTAATGATTTCTTTTTTTTTTTCTGAGACAGAGTCTCACTGCTCTGTCACCCAGGCTGGAGTGCAGTAGTGTGATCTCGGCTCACTGCAGCCTCCGCATCCCCAGTTCAAGCGATTCTCCTGCCTCAGCCTCCCAAGTAGCTGGGACAACAGACATGCACCACCATGTTTTTTTAGTAGAAACCGGGTTTTGCCATGTTGGCCAGGTCTCAAACTCCCAAGCTCAAGTGATCTGCTCACCATGGCCTCCCAAAGTGTTGGGATTGCAGGCGTGAGCCACCGTGCCCAGCCTGGACCTAACAATTTAATTCTAATGAATCTGGCAAAAATGATAGGGTGTCACTTCTGAGACGGGGTTCCACAGAGACTCTGGCTTCAGTCCTGCTCACCCTCTGCTGCTGTGTCTCTCTCTCACTGGGAGGGAAGCAGCTGCCACGTTGTGAGCTGCTCTATGGAGAGGCCACATAGCAAGGAACGGAGGGAGGCCCCTGGCCAAAGCCCGTGAGAAATTGGTGGATCCTGTCAGTAACCACTTAAGTGAGCTTAGAAGTGGATCACTCCCAGTTAGCCCTGAGATCACTGCAGCCCTGGCCAAGACCTTGATTAGAGCCTTGGGAGAGACCTTGTGTCATTATGTCATAATTTCTGGGGGTCGGGAATCTGGACATGGTCAGGCATTTTGACATAATAAATGTTAGCTATTTTAAGCCACTAAGTTTGGGGATAATTGTTACACAGCTATAGATAACTAATACAGCTTATTAAATCAACTTAAAAGCAAGAAACAAGAGGAAAGAGATGGGTTCAGATGTAAGCAGAGTGAAAGACAACATGAGCTGAGCCCTGGATTTTGCAATATTCGTGTATCTATCCAGTTTCTCTCCCTGCCTCACCAGCCTTGCCCACTGATGGCAGGGATTCTGAGGACCAGAGTTGAGGTGTGAGCAAAGGGACCATTTTTAGACCTCATGAATAGTGAGTGCCTCATATCATGTGTATATTTAGCATATCATGAATATTTGATGCTTTGTTTATGTATTTTAAATGCCTAACAAGTGTATTTAATGCATGCTTGGTCTCTCCATCCCTTTTTTGTTTGTTTAAAAAGTACTTTATTAACCTTAAAATATTACAGAAATAGGAGTAAACTGCATCCTTGTTATTCATGCCTTCTGCTTTTCTGGCCACTCATTTGCCATGTATTTATTTTGCTTAGAGTGACTTCTATCAAGCCTTATCAAACTCCTCTTCATCCTTCAAAGCCCAGTTTTCAGTCCATCTTCTCCAGAAAGCCTGCCCTGACATTTCAGCCAGCAATGTACTAGAGATGGCTCACACCAGCTCACAAGAACCAATTGTTAATATTTCATGAATTTTGTGAGCTGGTTATGGAACACAGGCATTATTAAAAATTAAGTTATGTAAACTCACAAGTAAATAAATTGTATTAAAAACTAAGGTAGGAAATGTCCAGAACTCATCACCTCTGAATTATAATACATTTTGCTATAATCTGTGCTCAAGTTCATTTACGTCTATTGCACCGTTAAAGTGGAGCTACTCTGTGACGAGGCACTCTTGAGTGTCTCTCCCCAACTCCATGTTTAATGAGTCAACTTGGCAACTTGAAATCGACCATGGTAGAAGTATGGTATTTACACCGTGAAAATTGGCAAATGCTACAAATTGGAGTTTTTATTTTCTTTCCAGGCAGTTGTTAAACATTTACCAGCACTGCCACTGGCCCCAGCCAAAGTAATCTAAACTCTCATAGCCCTCCTATCTTTTCTGCTCAGTGAATGGGCATTTCGCATTTGCTGCCTGAGTTACCAGGTACATTTCGTGTGTGTGCTTCTATGTACACGCATGCCTCCTCCCCTTAACTGGGTTATTGCCAGCTTTAGAGGCAGGGACTGTGTCTCCTTCAACCTTCTGGAGGCCCTTTCCTTAAATGACTGAACAAAATGTATCCATCTCCCAGCGTGAAGCCCAGCACCATCCTCAAACTTCCTGGCACTTCCAAGGGGCTTGCCCACTCACCATCTCCGCTCCTCCCCTTCTGGCTGCTGACCTGCTCCTGTTGCTGCTCTCTGTGTCTGTCCCACATCAGTCCCTACCTCTCCTCCTCTGTCCCCCACAGCACTATGGACACAGCAATGTAATTTTACCGCGGGTTTGGTAATGGGCTGGAGTACAGCAGAGGAATCGGTAATAATGCAACGTGAGGTATCACTTCCTTGATGCATCCGTTCCCATTCCTGGGATCTGTCCCTACCTTTTTTTCTCCATGGGGCCCTCTCCACCAGGACCCTTCTCTCTTTGTTTGAGGGTCCCCAAGTTCCAGTTTCCTTACTCATCAAGAGAAAATTTACAATCTATCTCACACAGTAATGACAAAAGATTTGTTCTCAATATTTCCTAAGGCCCCATCTTTGCGCATTTTTTTAAAAAAAGATGACTTTATTAAGGAGTTTTGATAAATAAAAGAGTTTAGCAAGGCAAGGAATTGTAGAAGTTTTGAGAATATTTACACATTATTTAAAAAAAAAAAAAACATACTCCAGATCAATTTCATAGGCATCTATCAGAACATCTATCAGAACCCAGAAGCATTTACTCCTTCTCACTATGCTTCTGAACATGCCTTTGGATGGACTGAGACTGATATGCATCCCATCCTGGGTAACCTGACCCTGCACTCCCAGCATCTTCCTGAGGTCAGGAAGCCCTAGCAGGTGACTTCCCGGAATCCCCAGCTATTCTGAGATTGGCTTTGAAAACCATCATCCTTGCATCCTCTCCAGCCCTCTCGCCTTCAGAACCTCTATCCCTGAGCTCACACACCCTGAAATCACATCTCTTTGAGAACTTTTACAGACTCGCTTTTTTTTTTTTTTTTAAGAGACAGGGTCTTGCTCTGTTGCCCAGCAAGCAATCCTCCCTCCTCAGCCTCCCAAGGAGCTCAAGCGATTCTCCCTCCTCATCCTCCTAAGTAGCTAGGACTGTAGGCGCGTGCCACCAAATGTGGCTAGGTATTTTATTTTTAGTAGAGACAGGGTCTCTCTATGTTGCCCAGGCTTGTCTGGAACTCCTGGCCTCAAGCAATCCTCCTGCCTTGGCCTCCTAAAGTGGTGGAATTACAGATGTGAGCCACCACCCACCGCCTGACTCACTATGCATTGTCTCTCCCAAGCATCAACTGATAGAGATTTTTCCTTCCTGGAAGCACTCCTTATCCCCATAGGCCACTTCCTGCCTCCTGTTACTAGACATTTCTGGGTGGAAACATTTTCTGTCTCCAAAAGGAGACTTCAGGTAACAAAGGCAGGGACCATTCTAGCTCCCCCACCTTCCCTTGGTATCTTGTATTTCTGCAGCAGTTTGCTCATAGTCAATGTTCAGTGCAGTAAAAACCCTGCAACCTTCACCTGATAAAACTGCTTTCTCCAACACTTCCAATGTGAGGCTGCCCCCTTGCTGTGTCTACCGTGTGCACGTTACATTCATGACAAGGGGAAGACTTTTTTCTCTGCAGTAAAAATGATGTATACAGTGTACCGAAGGTCCCAAGGCTAAAAATGGGCTCATGAAACACTCAGACACCTCATTAAATGCACCTCTTTCTCATCCATGATGATGATCGTGAAGAGTGAGTAACCTTAATATCTCAAAACCACAAGTAGTCAAAAAATAATTTATATCTGGCACTTATATTATTCTCTTATATTGTTCTTAGAGTTCCATTATAGACTCACACATTTTTAGAATGAAAAGACTAGTCTGTTCCCCTCCCTTTAAAAAAAATTGTGATATACTGGGCAGAGTAGTAGTTCCAGCTACTTGGGAGGCTGAGATGGGAGGATCGCTTGAGCCTAGGAATTCGAGACTGCAGTGAGCTATCATCATGACACTGCACTACAGCCTGGGCAACAGAACGACAACCTGTTTCTAAAATAGATAAACAAATTTAATTCATTAAGAATCCAGACAGTTGCCCATTGCGGCACCCAGACAGATGGGCTTCCTTTCGGGCTGTGAGCAGCCAGTTAGGACGCCCCACCCGACTTAAATGAACTTAACAGTAAATCCTTTTGGGGAGTGAAGAGTCCTCTTTCCCCCTCACCCTTCCTTTTGTGAATTGAAATCTTTGTGAACACTGTTTTCTTAAAGCAGAATTCGCTCTACAGCCACGAGAAGGAAGGCTATCCATTGTCACGGCTGCTTCGACGATATTCTCTTACAAGAAAAACTTTTTCACTTTATCTGCCACCCCCCGACCTTTTCTTTAAACAACAGCAGCAGATGTTGGAGATGGGGTCAGAGACTGCTGGAGACCAGCTTTCCTACAAGAGGGTCCCATGTAGGAGTTGTCCTACTTCTTCTCAATTCCTCCAAATCAGGGTCTCAGAGTCCGTTATGACGGCTTGGACTCGGAACTGTGCTGGTGCAGTTTAAGGTCCGGAGCATCCCTTGGAAACGTTTTAATGTTCCTGACAGATCATCAGTCAAATCACCATGTCCTCATTTGGAGTTCCCAGCTCTCTGAACTGAACTCTGTCTAGCTAAAAAGGGAAGGAAAATACTCCATGTGCTCTTTACTGCAGGATCCAGCCAGATATGAGCCTACTTTCATTGTCAGTGGCACCAAAATCCAGATCATCACCCTGGCTGGAGACTCCAAATAGCTCCCCAAGGCCACGAACCTTGTGTAGACTTGGGGTTTGGAAGAGGTCACTTTGGATCTCACAAATGCACCTCAGTCCACCTCCGGAGCCTGAAAATGTTTATCAGAATGATTTGAAGTTCAAATTAACATCAGATGACTAGCCAAGGCACCCCCATTTATGTTATAAAATCACATTTTCCAAGCTGGAAAGGATCTTGGAGATCTTTGAGCCCAATCTCCTCATCCTACAAATGAGGAAAGGTGGGGAGAGCAGCGAGTTGAAGAGGGTCATCAAAGGACATGCTGCTGGTTGGTAAACAGAGACAGGGCCAGAACCCAACCAGGTCTCCTAACTCCCTATGACCATAATTCTTTCCACTACAGCCCGTCCGAGTTTCCAGATAACCAAAACATTGACAAAACCCTGCCGATGGCCCACCAACTTCAGTCAATATTTGCTATGACAAAATTCCAGCAGAACCTAGAGATTTTGAAATCTGTATTCATGTGACTTGATGTGTTCAACTGGAAAGAGACAATTTTTGACTTTTCTCTATGTGACAAGGCTATCTGTTGATTTAGGTCACCCACAGTGAGTGTTTTGTACTCTCTTACCAAATTCACACTCCATAAGTGTTCCATAAACATCCAGCCCATTTCTCCTGCTTCTTCACCCCCAGAAAGAACCCGCATGACAAATACTTTTTGGTTCCTTGAGGTGAATTGACCAGGGGTAGCAGAATTAGGATGAGGATTTTCTGGCATTTGGTCCTGGGGGCTTCACTTGACAGGGCCATTGAACCAAAAGTCAGGGGACCTGGGTTTGAGCACCCGCCTGCGCAATCCCTGCCTGGTTTCTTTGGAAAGGCTCATACCTGGCCTGGCCTGCAGAAGCCAGGGGGTTTAAGGAGCTCCAGCCCTGGGCTCTCAGCTTTAAGTCCAGCCGGCCTCTCATTTCCCAGGTTGGTCTCCACACTCTGTTCTTCTGCACCTGGGGGGTGACCTGCCATGGCATCATCATCAACAGGTTCTGTGTTTTGTTTTTCTCTGCAAACTCATTCAAACTCACTTTCTCCCCCATAACCCTTTCTATGACAGACTTCCCCAGTGCTTGGTCCTGGACTCTCTGTCACTGCACTGACCACCTCTTGGGACATATGACCATGCTGGGCTAGACCCCTGATATGGTTTGGCTGTGTCCCCACCCAACTCTCAACTTGAATTGTAATAATCCCCACATGTCAAAGGCAGAGCTACGTGGAGATAATTGAATCATGGGGGGTGGTTCCCCCATACTGTTCTTGTGGTAGTGAATAAGTCTCATGAGATCTGATGGTTTTATAAAGGGGAGTTCCC
The DNA here is from genome assembly GCF_000001405.40 of Homo sapiens. Classification (NCBI taxonomy): domain Eukaryota; kingdom Metazoa; phylum Chordata; class Mammalia; order Primates; family Hominidae; genus Homo; species Homo sapiens. The sequence goes on from NC_000010.11 coordinate 113,942,240, forward strand.
CTGCACAATCTCTCTTGCGTGCCACCATGTAAGACGTGCCTTTGCTTCTCCTTTGCCTTCGGCCATGATTGTGAGGCCTCCCCAGCCATGTGGAGCTGTGAGTCCATTAAACCTCTTTCCTTTAGAAATTACCCAGTCTTGGGTATGTCTTTATTAGCAGCATGAGAACGGACTAATACACCCCTCCAGTGCTGAAAGCTCACCTGGCCTTGGCTGGGGTGAAGTACCTGGTGGTTCTGATTCTACATGTCTGTATACATTCAATTCCCCAAACTAAACCTCTCTCTGGCTTCCCTCCCAGTCTCAACTAGGTCTCCCTCCCACCTCCCACTCCCACTGTATATATATATAATATATATTATATTATAATTATAATATAATATATATTATATTATATATTATATATAGTATAAATAATATATATTATATAATATATAATATATATTATATATAGTATAAATAATAGATATTATATATTATATAATATATATTATATATTGTATAAATAATATATAATATATATTATATAATATATAATATATAGTATAAATAATATATATTATATATATATAAAACTCCCATATTATATATATATATATATGGGAGTTTATTAAGTATTAACTCACATGATCACAAGGTCCCACAATAGGCTGCCTGCAGGCTGAGGAGCAAAGAGAGCCAGTCCGAATTCCAAAACTGAAGAACTTGGAGTCCAGTGTTCGAGGGCAGGAAGCATCCAGCATGGGAGAATGATGTAGGCTGGGAGGCCAGGCCAGTCTCTCTTTTCACATTTTTCTGCCTGCTTGTATTCTAGCTGCACTGGCAGCTGATTAGCTTGAGCCCACCCAGATTAAGGGTGGGTCTGCCTTTCCCAGCCAACTGACTCAAATGTTAATCTCCTTTGGCAATACCCTCACAGACACACCCAGGATCAATACTTTGTATCCTTCAATCCAATCAAGCTGACACTCAGTATGAACCATCACACCCACCAACCCTCTTCCCCACCTCCCATCACCCCACAGCCTTTGGGTGGGCCCAGTTTCAGAGTAAGGGTACCCTGTCTTACGGAAATGAAGGGGCCAGGCTGGGCACACGTGATTCACAGGAGTACTGTGCATACACACACATGCAAACACAGGCATGAGAATCGATGGAACAGGATGTGAGGATTTGGCCATTAGAAAAGCAAGGCTGGGCCAGGCGTGGTGGCTCATGCCTGTAATCCCAGCACTTTGGAAGGCGGAGGCGGGTGGATCACTTGAGGTCAGGAGTTCAAGACCAGTTTGGCCAATGTGGCAAAACCCCATCTCTACTAAAAGTACAAAAATTAGCCGGGCATGGTGGCAGGTGCCTATAATCCCAGCCACTTGGGAGGCTGAGGCAGGAGAAGCACTTTAACCCAGGAGGCGGAGGTTGCAGTGAGCCAAGATCATGCTGCTGCACTCCAGCTTGGGCAACAAGAGCAAAACTCCGAAAAAAAAAAAAAAAAGGAAAGAAAGAAACGAAAAGCAATGCTGGGTTTCATGATGTAAGTTTGATTATCTACTAATGTCTTTAAAGTGACCTAGTTTTGAAAGAGAGTTGAAACGTACCCACTAAATGAGGAAGATGAACACTGAAAATTTGAACATGCTGGTGGGTTCATCCTGTCCCCAGGCTCACATGGGTGTCATGGAAATATGGAAACTCATTAGCCACAGCAGATACCAAAACAAGACTGAATTTTGAGGGCCTGTTGCTGAAGCAGGTGTGTATTTCTTCTTAAAAGTCCTAAATCTGGTGGTATAATGAAGAGCCTTTGTTTCTATTTAAATTTTGTTGATCAAAAATCTGGGTTCATGATTTGTCCCCTTGACAATTTCCAAAAGCAAGTGTCTTCCTCACACAGCCCTCAGATGAATCCAGCGTGGGCCGGTGTCCTGTACTTGGGATTCTCCCTCTCTCCTAGAGCCCTGAGAAAGGTCACATGGGGAGCGCAGTGGGAATAAGCTGGCGACCCCTGGGTGGAAAGCGGTGCAGGCTGAACAGATGGAGCTCCGTGGAGGCCCCAGAGGCCCCGGAAGATTAATCGCAGCTCCCAGTTGACGTGGGGACAGGAGGCACACACAAAGTTGGGGTGTGGTGGTCACAGAGGCTGAGTGCACAGAGGATGTCATGGAACAACTGGCTTTGGGGCACCTTTTGACCTCTTGTTCCATCCTGAACCTAGTAATTCAGAGATGTAATATTCGTACAGTCAGTCCTGCAATTGCTCCATATGGTAGTTCCTTAGAAGTGTATGTTTTACTTGCAAGTTTTCAAAAGCTTTCCTATACTTTTAGGTTGGGTTCCCCAGAAACAGCCTAGGAAGAAGATTCATGTGCCAGTGACTTACAATGGAAGTACTCCCACAAGAAACCAGCAAGGGAACGGGGGAAACAGGAGAGGGAAGTGGGAAGAGACCCAGCACAGGTATGCGTTCAGGTGCAATCCCAGCCTCAGCAGACCCTAAAGGGGACCCAGGAGTATAAATTACAGCTTACGGTTTATCCCCCGGCGGGGAAGGGAACTGTCATTAGCTACAGGCCACTGGGGCCAGGATGGGCTCATGAATTCCCAGAATGTTCCAGATCTTTGCTTGTGGGAGAAGAAGCTCCAGTAGCCCAAAGGCCAGCCTCCAGAGAAGTTCTCATGTGGGAGCTTTTAGACAAGAAGCACTCAGAACCTGGGAGACAGACACGCAGAAGCAATAACATTCTCCTAGGAGGCCTGGCAGAGCTAGTGCACTTGATCCAAAAACCACTGGGGAACGGGCATATATCCTCCATTTACAGAATGGGGAAACTGCGATAAAGAGCCACTGTGCCCAAGGCCGCACACTCAGTGTAAATAACAGAGGCTGACAGAACCCACCCCGCGCCTCAGTCTTCCAGGCTCTTCCTTCGCTACCACATAAGTGGACTTTTCTTACTGTCTACTGTGGCTATCCACCCTGCCCAAGGTGACACGCGCCCAGGGAAGGAATGTAATCAGGAAGTCAACTCAGCTGCATTCCAAAGCCAACTGGAAATTCCTTTCAGATTTGCTGCTGGTTTTTATTATACTCAGCTATTAATCCCCTATCAGAACAGGTTATCAGGATCTGGTAGCAGCTTCTTACTTATTAATCTCAACACCTCTGGGAAACAGACTGCAGAATAGGTTAGTTTTGATGAACAAGCTCACCATTCTAATGTGCCTTACACTGTCCCCACTCACTCCACCCCTGTACCTGTGCCATCCCTGTACCTGTGCCATCCCTGTCCTACCTGGGCAACGCCTTCTCCTCGACTCCCTTCAAAGTCATATCCTACCTTCAGGCAAGATCCCCACTTAAGCCTTTGAGCATGTTTTGTCAAGACATCCACTACCCAGGGCCTGCTCCCCTCTGACCTTGGAAATCGGCTGTGCAGCCTCTTGGTAGTGTCTCTTTCTGCCTCCCTTTTTAATGGGTTTCTCTCCAAAGCAAAGATCCATTTCTTAGGACATCTGCAGCCATATTCTCTGTATATTCTGCAGTGTCCAGTGTGATGCTTGTAAACAGTGGATGTTTGGATAGCATTTAGCCACTCAACACTGGAGAAACGTGGCAGCACCAAGATCAACCTCAAATCACGAGCTCAGCTCAGCCTGGAAATGTGTCCTGTAGATGTTCTGATATGCGTTTCCTCTTTGAAACTGGGTGGGATCTAGGAGACTTTCTGTTCAGGACTGCCCCTCTAAGGGGTGCCAGGGAAAGGGGCGGGCTCTGGAGTCAACCTGCCTGCCTGGGTTATTAACTGTGTGGCCTCAGACAAATTTACTTCACTTTTCTCTGCCTCCATTTTCTACTCTGTAAAATGGGGTTAATAATATAAAAAGCACCCGTCTCATGGGACAAGAGGATTAAATGAGTTAATGTATTAATGAACTTAGGAGGGTACAGAATAAGCACCCTAAATAGATCTACCGCTGGGCGTGGTGGCTCATACCTGTAATTCCAGCACTTTGGGAAGCTGAGGCGGGTGGATTACCTGAGGACAGGAGTTCGTGACCAGCCTGACCAACATGGTGAAACCCCATCTCTACTAAATACAAAAAAATTAGCCAGGTGTGGTGGCGCATGCCTGTAGTCCCAGCTACTTGGGAGGCTGAAAGAGAAGAACCCCTTGAACCCAGGAGGCAGAGGTTGCAGTGAACCAAGATTGTGCCATTGCATTCCAGCCTGGGCAATAAGAGTGAAACTCCATCTCAAAAAAATAAAAAATAAAAAAATAAATAGACCTACCTATTAGTAGTAGTATTGCTATTGTTATTTTACAAAAGTCAGAGGGTTAAGGAATTTGCCTCAACATTTTATATCTAGGAAGATTATGCTCAAATATCACCTTCTCAATGAGACTTTCCCTGGCCACCCTATTTTAAATGGCAGCCATCCCCTTTCCCATACGTCTCATCCCCCTCTCCTGCTTGTCAGCTTCTAACCTGCTATGTAATTTACTTTTTTTTTGTCTGTTTCCCCAACTATAGGGGAAGGCAAACACAGGGGTTTCTGCCTATTGTGTTCCCTGCTGGATCCCCCAAGGGCTGGAACAGTGTCTGGCACACAGTACGGACACAAGAAATATTCATGGAATGATGAAGCAGCAAATCTAGGATTCAGTGATGTTTTGGCAGCTGTGAGCATCACCACACACTGGCTTGGGTGATGGCCTTGACTGTGGCTTCCTATATACAGTCTTCCCTCTCAGCCCCTACTCCCAACACCCACAAATATACTGTGATAGTTCAGCAGCAAGTCACAGAAAAGACTCAACTTCTACACGGAGGCACTGCATGAATGAGAAGAAAGATAGGCCACAAGAGGATGGCTATCTCATCATTTTTATTCTTCCACTTTGGTAACAAAGCCCTCAGGCGTGGGTCCACCTGAGACTGAACTCTACCATATAGATGTGTGCTGTCCAATCTAGAGGCCATGTGCCACATGTGAGTATTCCGCATTCGGCATGTGGCCAGTGCAGACTGAGATGTTGCTGCCAGTCAGCGATGCATTCAGTTCCGAGCCCTGCCTTTTATCAAGCTGCAGGACCTGCGCCAGACCCTCTGCTTCTGCCTACCCTCCTCTCCAGCATGGTGGTTGCCAGACCTCCCCCAGCTTCCTCAGTACCTGCTGCAAGGCCTCCCTACTTGAAGAATCTGAGAGCATCAAGGTTTTCCTGGCCTGCCTTGTCATCCCTGATCTAAATCAGCAAGGGCGGCTCTGGGCACAGCTGCTGTAAATGCAGCCCCTGCCCACGGGAGAGGAAATGAAGGGAACAGGCTTCTCTGCAAGGCCTGGCCCAGCGTTCCCTGGACTGGCCCTGGGGAAGCTTGGAGCAGGAGGGGCTGGGCCAGTTGCTTAGTCCTTTGAAGCTGGAATAGCTGCTTGGGTGGGGCAAGTGTGTGGATGGGGCAGGTTTTTTTTCTTACTGGCAAGAATTTCTGCTTCCAATGGCATTCATCTTTCCCAGGAACTCCCTTCAGCTGGAAGAGAAAAGAAAAAGCAAACAAAAGCAACCCTCCCTGAACAAGGAGACTTTCTTTCTATGACTGTGAGTCCCCGATAAGAAAAACCCTCTACCATTTGTGGCATCCTGTTCTAGAACCACGCCTGCAACTCCTCTCCCTGGCAAGGCCTCTCTGGGTGTGATTAATGGCAGTGGGGGTGCTGAGTGGCCTTCAGGTGGTTGCCACAAGGTCAGCAGTAGATGAACTGTTGGCGCTCGGGGACATGAATTCAAGCTGTCAGCCAAGTGTGCAAAATTACCCAGCTGAGGCTAATTTAATTCTCTCTCTCTCTCTTTCTCCTTCTCTCTCTCTCCCTTCTTAATTATAACTTAGACACATTGCCTGGTAGACACTTAAAAGAGATTAAAATGACCATATCATCGTTTTTATTTTTCCACTATGGTAACAAAACCCTCAGGCATGGGTTCACCTGACCTTGAATTCTGCTGTATGGATCTGTGCTGTCCAACCCAGAGGCCATTTGCCACACGTGACTATTGAGCATTCGGAATGTGGCCAGTCTAAACTGAGATGGGCTGTAAGTGAAAAATAGGCACTGGATTTCAAAGACTTAATATGACCAAAAAAAAAAAAAAAAAAAAAGAACTAGCTCAATAACAATTTTTATATTGATTACACGTTGAATGACAATATTTGGGATATATTGGGGTAAACGGAATATATTACTAAAATTAGCTTTACTTTTTAAAATGTGACTATTAGAAAATTTAAAATTGGGCCAGGCACAGTGGCTCACACCTGTAATCCCAGCAGTTTGGGAGGCTAAGGCAGGCAGATTGATTGAGTTCAGGAGTTCGAGACCAGCCTGGGCAACATGGCGAAACTGCATCTCCACAAAAAAAAAAAATATATATATATATATATATATATATATATATATATATATATATATATACACACATATATATACACACATATATATGCATATATATATACACACACATATATACATATATATACATATATATGTGTGTATATATATGTGTGTGTGTGTGTGTGTGTGTGTGTGTATATGTGTATATATATATATATATATATATATAAATTAGCCAGGTGTGGTGGCACGTGCCCATAGTCCCAGCTACTCGAGAGGCTGAGGTATGAGAATTGCTTGAACCTGGGAGGCAGAGGTTGCAGTGAGCCAAGATCGTGCCACTACACTCCAGCCTGGATGAAAGAGAGAGACCCTGTCTCAAAAAAGAAAAAAAAAAAGGAAATTTAAAATTGTATACATGGTTCACATTATCTCCTATTGGACAGTGCTGGTATAGAACTCAGTTTTCTTAGGATCTAAGTCTCTACATTCAGACCAGGAAGACAATGTGTTGGCCTTGCCTGCCTGCCTTGCACAGTCAACCCATTTTTCCCAGGCTGCAAGAGAAGCAGAGCAAAACTTTACTTCTTGCTCATTATTCATTCCAAAAATCCTGAGAAAGGAGGTGAGCATAGGACTTTCCTCAGTCACTCAAAAGCTCCAAAAGGAATTAAATTCTCATTTTTCTCCAAAGGCAAAGCCATGGTAGTTCCTGCAGCAGGCGACCCTTGTTTCCAACAGTACCTCTTATTTAGACATACTCATTATTTCAGTATCGTCTTTGTAATTCACTGTTCTTCTAACTAACCAATTAATAAACTGTGTTTGGAAAACCATTTATTAGCAGCCAACTCAAGGATATCCCTGGTTGGAAATGTTTAGGCATAAGTCATATCATTATTGCTAGGTGCTGCCCTGACTTAAATCTCCTAAAAGAAATTTCTATAACCAGTGCTTGGGAGATAGGAATACCTATACCAGCTCTTTGACTAGCAGCTGCGTGATCTTGAGAAATCCACTTCCCTGGGCTGCACATTCATCATCTATAAAATTGGCAGGTGCTTTCTAAGGGTCTTTCTACATTTTATGTTAGATTTAAAATTCTAGACTTAAGAAACCTCAGTTTTTTATATTGGATCTTGACTGGGACAAGCTTAATGATTTCTATCATAATTACGATGCAGTAACAAAAAGTTGAGCTTTTTGTAGTCAACTTTCCAATATTATTCAGAAGTTTTCTGACTATCTTATAACATTTCTCTTCTTTTAAGTTTGAGGTTATCGAATCTAAGCAGCAGAAGAACCCTTAGTATGTCCTTGTTATTTTATAGTAAAAATCACATCTGGTTTGTGTAATCACCCCAGAGTAGCAATTTAGTAATGTCTTTCTAGAACTGTAAAGGTCATCTCCCATGATCCTATAGTCTCCTTGGAATCTATCTTAAGGAAATTATCAGAAATTTGAACAAAGATTTATACAGAGAGTTAATGAACCAAGCTACTTAACAAAGCAAAATAATAATATAATAATAAACACAATTGGAAAGAGCCAGATGTCTAGTAATGGGTGAATGGCTAGATAGGAAGATGATACATAGATAGATAGACGATAGACAGATAGGTAGACTGGTAGACAGATGATAGATAGATAGACAGGTAGACAGATGACAGATAGATAGACAGGTAGACAGATGATAGAGAGACAGGTAGACAGATGATAGATAGGTAGACAGATGATAGACAAGTAGACAGGTAGATGATAGGTAGATAGACAGGTAGATAGATGATAGATAGGCAGACAGATGCTAGGTAGATAGATAGACTGATAGGTAGACAGGTGATAGATAGACAAGTAGACAGGTAGACAGATGATAGGTAGATAGCTAGACAGGTAGATAGATGATAGATGGATAGACAGGTAGACAAATGATAGATTGGTAGATAGATAGATAGATAGATAGATAGATAGATAGACTGGTAGACATGATAGATAGATAGATAATGGATACATAGACATATAGGTAGACAGATGATAGATAAACAGATAGATATGTAGATAGATAGATGGACAGATACAGTAAATCCATACAATAGAATGTTATCACAATATTACCAATGATTTCTACAAGCTGCTTCACAACAGGGGAAATGCTCCTGACGTATATTTTCAAAATCAGATTGGAAGACAATTCTTCAAAATCTTAACAGCAATTCTACCTAGGGAGGGGTCTTTATGGGTGATTTTTATTTTCATTGTCATGCTTTTCTATATATTTTCCTAATTATTTAATAATTCCAATTACTTTAACAATCAGAAAAATAGTGACTTTTTTTTTTTTGAGATGGAGTCTCTCTCTGTTGCCCAGGCTGGAGTGCAGTGGCACGATCTCAGCTCACTACAACCTCTGCCTCCCGGGTTCAAATGGTTCTCCTGCCTCAGCCTCTTGAGTAGCTGGGATCAAAGACACGCACCACTACACCCAGCTAACTTTTTATATTTTTGGTAGAAATGGGGTTTCACCATGTTGGCCAGGCTGGTCTCGAACTCCTGACCTCAAGTGATCCACCTGCCTTGGCCTCCCAAAGTGTTGGTAGTACAGGCGTGAGCCACTGCGCCCGGCCAAAACAGTGACTTTTAAAAAGAGAAATCATTGTGCTTTTCTAAGCCCTGTGGTGTTGAAGGCTTTGTTTGGTTCTGTGGTGGATTCATAGCTGAAGTGGAGAATCTAGCAACCCACTTGCTTTTGAACAGGACTCAGTGCATTATGGTGTTCAATGAAGCTTTGGTTCATGATCAAATGAAGACTTAGAAAAAAATAAAGTATAAAGAGTCAAGGAAAATAATTTTTTTTTTCAAATGAATGCTGCAGAATTTTTTTTTTTTTTTGAGACAGAGTCTTATTCTGTCTCCCAGACTGAAGTACAATGGTACAACCTCAGCTCACTGCAACCTCTGCCTCCTAGGTTCAAGCGATTCTCCTGCCTCAGCCTCCCTAGTAGCTGGGACTACAGGTGCATGCCACTATGCCGGACTAATTTTTGTATTTTTAGTAGAGATGGATTTTCACCACATTGGCCAGGCTGGTCTTGAACTGCTGAGCTCAAGTGATCCGCCTGCCTTGGCCTCCCAAAGTGCTGAGATTATAGGCATGAGCTACCACGCCTGGCCGGAATGCTGCAGAAAATAATTGTGATGAATGGAGAGGGAAGAGTGATCACAGGAGCCTGGTGGAAATGAAGTCTTTATGAGGGACACCTGTATTCGTCTGTGCAGGCTGCCATAACAAAATACCACAGACAGGGTAACTTAAACAACAGAAGTTTATTTTCTCTCAGTTCTCGAGGTTGGAAGTCCACGTTCAAGGTGTATCTTTGATTTCTCCTGAAATCAGTCTTTCCTTGGCTTTCCTGGTCTGTGCAACCGCATCACTGGTGTCTCTCTGTGAGTCTAAATTTCCTCTTTTTATAAAGACACCAGTCAGATTGGATTAGAGGCCACCCTAACAGCTGCATTTTAACTTATCACCCCCTTACAGGCCCTATCTCCAAATGCAGTCACATTCTGAGGTACCGGGCATTAGGGCTTCAATATGTGAACCTGGTGGGACACAATTTAGTCCTTAACACACCCATCCTAAATGATTCCCTTGAGAGGCTGAGCGGCAGGGAAGCTGGGAAGATGATTATTCTTCAACTGCCAGCAGGTGTTGGTGGAGAGATGCTTGTCGAACCGAGGAGGGGAGGCGTTAATTCCCTGGCATTTCCAGCCAAAGGCCACAAACTTCATGCCTGAGGAGGTAAGTATGGGCAACTCCAGCTGAGACAGCAGTCAAAGATTTTTATCTGGAGCCCAAAAGTCCCTGTAGGGATGTTTTTGGAGGAAAAGTGAGGTACCAAGTTAGAAGAGTCAGAATGCAAGAAATTATTTCCTCCTTGGCTAAGAAATTAGACTTGACCCTATAGATAGTGGGGAATCATTAGACACTATTTATATAATACTTGCATAACTTCCCTGATTTTTGTTTTGCTTTGTTTTGTTTTTAACTCCAGGGACTAAAAGTGACTGTTCTATGTGAGACTATAGAAGTGTTGTTGCTTATGAACACGGAGCATTTAAATAAAGATAATCTTGGCAAACAAGTCTTGGGGTTGAAATAAAAGATAGCCTTTGTTCTGCCAAATAAAAATATCACAAAATTGACATAAACACTGCTCCGCTTCACTGTACTTACACAGCCAAAGCAAAAACTCAAGTCCGTTATCCACATAATTCTGTTTTATTTATGGAGATTTTGGCTTTACTGGAGGATGCCTACCTAGTCTTACTCTCTTCCAGAAAATAATTAAATCCTGAGCCATCTAAATGCTAGAGGTAAAATGAACATTCTTTCTAGAATTTTCTTCTTTAAAATATGGCGTTCTCGTATTGTACAGACTGTCCAATTCTTTCTTAACCTTTGACTTCCTCTGCTCCCCCTAAGAGTTGCCAAGTTCCCCACCAAAGATCCCGAGAGGAAGGTAGTGACAAGAAAACTCTCAATGGGCTGTGATGGAGCCTGCTTTTCCTATTGAAATAGAGATTTTAGGTCAGGGAACCAAACAAAAAACTAAAACAAAACAAACTCATCGAAATGCAGGCCCCTAGATTAAGACTAACACTACTTAACTTTTAATTTAAAAGAGAGATGGAACAGAATGCCATTGGCTTCCCAGAAAAAGTGGCACTGTTCCCTACTAAGGCAAAATAGATTTAATTTGCCTTCTATTTTAAGACTTGGCCCCATCTTCTGTCCCTACCCTTGTTGTCCTGTTACCTCGTCTGTCTTCCAAACTAGTGCTTTTATCTTTGCAAGCCACCTTAATTCCTTTTTGGAACAAGACACAAATACAGACTCACGTACCCCAAGAAATAATATTTGAGGGCCCTTGTTGATGGTGCCACTAAGGCTTTTCTTCTTTCCCCCATTTTGTCTCCTGAAAGGCTGGAGTGTGGGAAAGGAAACAGCCCAGTCTTAATCATCTGTATTCATAACTGGGTGCTGGTGAAGGTGAAGTTCAGAAAGCATCCAACAGAGGGCCTATTATTTGCACCCTGGATAGTTACTATGTGTTTGTGTCCCCCAGAATTCATATGTGGAAGCCCTAAACGCCAATGTGGTATTAGGTAATTAGGTTTAGATGAAGTCATGAAAGTGAGCCCCAAGGTGGGATTAGTGCCCTTATAAGAAGAGGAAGACAAACCAGAGCTTCCTCTTTCTGCCATGTGAGGATATGTTGAGAAGGAAGCTGTCTGCTGGCCAGGAAGAGAGCCCTCACCAGAAACACAATCTGCCCATACCTTGATTTTGGACTTCCCAGCCTCCAGAACTGTAAGAAATAAATATCTGTTGTTTAAGCTGGGCAGTCTATGGTATTTTGTTTTAGCAGCCCAAGCTGGCTTAAGACCTCCAGGGATTGCATCAGCCCAGACTTGAAGGTAAAGCAGCAAACCTCCAGGGAGTCTTCCCTCTGAGCTACCTGGCAAGTCATGTGCATGGGCCACAACAGCACTAATGCATTTCCATCAGCTCTCTGCTGAGTGCCTGAACTTGTGTAGCCTTGGCCAGCCTTGAGGATTCCAGAGCCTTGGCTTAGCAATTTCTTTCTCCCTTATGAGAACTGGAAACACCAGTCTTTACGTCCCTGATGCTCACCCCAGAGTTTCTTACACTCATAGCATTTGGTGGAGCTTCACAGAGTAAAATTTTTCTCCTGTGCATTCTCTTGGGAGCTGGCCTTTTCTCTTACTGCTAATGTGATAGTTTCCATAAAATTTCACTATGTGCCATCTCTCTAAATTTATGGCTAATTTACTTTTCTTCTATCTCATTCAATGAAAAGCAGTCACAATAAATTACACATTGCGTTTTTTAGCTGGGCAGACATTCCAAGTTGACAACAATATGTTAATTACAGAAGCTTGTCCTGTTCATCTAAATGAAGACCAATAAGACTTAATTGCCTGAACTGGGGAGATGGGGGGTGAGTCTAAAACCTGTGTCATTGCCAAGATATTTGCTGCCTACTAAGCAAGCTGATCATGTTTCCCTGAAGCAATTTACACAGAGCACAGTGGAGCAGAGTTAGGACAATTATTCTGAAATTAATCTACATGAAAACCTACATAAACTAGCTTGACATTTGGATTGTGATCAAAACACAATTTGACTTTTCCTCTCTTGGTGTCTTCAAGTTTTATCCAGTGAGGGTGATCTTCGCTGGCACCTGCATCACTCAGGCCTTCCTGCAGTCTCTTGAAGGCCCAAACATAGTCTCAATTCAGTAAAAGGAATGTCTTCCCTCCCTCCCCAGGGTGGAACTATTTTTGGGTGGGAAGCATGATGGGTTCTTCTGATCTTTACTCTCTTCCTGACTGCTTGCCAGGTGGAGGGTCAAAGGGCATCAGAGAAAGAGAAGCAGAGGCAGAAGACAGTTCCTATTGCAATGGGGCATCCCAAGTTGGGCCCTGCTCCCGTTTCTGGCAGACTGTTAAGGCTGATGCTCTTGCAGGGCCTTTTCAGAAATCCCCCGCTGGCCCCTCTCCCCTGTGAGGGGGAGTTCCCTTGATGGGGCAAATACATCTCCATCCCCAATGGCCCCCTCGTCAACCTGAGACACTTCCAGGTTACCCCCCAGTGTCCCACAGCTGGGGCCTCCTGGACCAGACACATCATGGTCTCTTAGTCCATTCCTGCTGTTATTAACACAATACCACAGAGTGGGTAATTGATCAGCAATGATAATTTATATCCTACAATTTTGAAGGCTGGGAAGCCCAAGATCAAGGCCCTAGTGGGTTTATGTCTGGTGGGGGCTGTCCTCTGCTTCCAAGATGGCACCTTGTCTCTTCGTCCTTTGGAGGGGACGAATGCTCTGTCCCCGACAGAAGGGCTGAAGGGCAAAAAGGGGGGCCTAACTAGTTCCCTTCAGCCCTTTTATAAGGCACTAATCACATCCTTGAGGGGTGGAGCCTCATGGCCTAATCGTCTCCTAAAGGCACCACCTCTCTCAATACTGTTGCTTTGGGGATGAAGTTTCAACATGAATTTGGAGGCACACAAATATTCAGACCATAGTAGCCCTACAGCTGCCTTCCTGCTCCCGCAGATGTGGGGAGCAGGGAATCCCCAGTCCAGCAGCTCCCTAGCACCTCCAAAACACTTAGTCCTCTCCGGCCTTCAGATTTTTTTCACAGCACTTAGACCCCAGTCCATGGAGACAGAGGCCAGCCTTCAGGGTCTCCCAATGGCATTAACACATTGTCAAAGCTCTCAAGGCTCCTCTGGAAATCTTCCTGGATTACACTCTGGGGAGGGGTAGGCGGGACTCACAGCACAGCCCCGTGTTGCACTATCACAGCTCACTGCAGTCTCAAACTCCTGGGTTCAAGCCATTCTCTGCCTCTGTCTCCAGCTTAGACGGGACTACAGGTGTGTGCTATCGAGAACTAAGTCTCTAAAAGTAGGATTTCAGATAACAGCTGTTGTCTGGTAAGGGAGAGTTCCTTCACAGCAGCCCTTTCGATGTCTGCCACAGGGCCAGGCATGGTGCAATCCCAGCACTTTGAGAAGTCAAAGCGGGAGGATCACTCTTCTATATCCTGCCTTGTCTTCCTTATCATCTTTCCCTGCTAACACAGAGATCTCTCTCATTTGTCTAATAGCTGGTTGTATTCCTTTGTTAGTTAATGTATTTATCAATTCCCTATTGAAGGCTTTGAAGCATTACTTTTTCTACAAGTGATATGGTTTGGCTGTGTCCCCACCCAAATCTCGTCTTGAACTGTGGCTCCCATAATTCCCATGTGTTGTGGGAGGGACCCAGTGGGAGACAATTGAATCATGGGGAGGTTTCCCCCATACTGTTCTCCTGGTAGTAAAAAAGTCTCACGAGATCTGATGGTTTTATAAGGGGAAACCCCTTTTGCTTGGTTCTCTCTCTTCCCTGCCACCCTTTAAGATGTGCCTTTTGCCTTCTGCCATGATTGTGAGGCCTCCCCAGGCACTTGGCACCGTGAGTCCATTAAACCTCTTTTTCTTTATAAATTACCCGAAGTCTGGTATGTCTTTATCAGCAGCGTGAAAACGGACTGATAACGACAAATCAATTTTTTTTTTTTTTGAGACAGTGTCTCACACTGTTACCCAGGCTGGAGTGCAGTCACATGGTCACAATCACGGCTCACTGCGGCCTCAACCTTCCGGGGTCAAGCAATCCTCCCACCTCAGCTTCCCAGGTAGTGGGGATTACAAGCACATGCCACCATGCCTGGCTAATTTTTTGTGCTTTGGATGGGGAAAGAGTTAACATCTGAGAAGATAAAAGTAGAATCTGAAAGGAGGGAAGCAACAGAGAATCTGGAAATGTGGCAGGGCCAGGGCAGGGTTGGGTTTGGAGTGGGAGGCGTGTGGAGACAGGTTTGGGAACAGCCTCAGTAGGGGAGAAGTTGGAATCTGGAAGAATTTGGAAACAGGTTTCTGAAGGGCTTCAGGGCCTTTATGCTTTTTTTTGCTTATTTCTTTTTGAGCCTTTCTCTTAGGTTTGGGAGTTTGCCAAAGGAATGTGCTCTGCAAGTAAGTCAACAAATAGTTCCCGAGGATCTGCTCTATGAAAAGCCCAAATTGTCTTTGAAAAGCATGCACTGTTTAAAAATGTTATACTGTGGTAAAACATACATAACATAAAATTTGCCATCGACTATTTTTTGAGCAATATTTTTAATGATGCGTAATAGACGTACAGAGTTTCAGGGCTTCCATCAACCATTTTTAAGTGCACGGCTCAGTTGTGTTAAGTATAGTCACACTGTTATACAACCCATCTCCAAAGCGTTTCCATCACCATTGAACAACAGTTCTCCATTTTCCTCCCCCTGGACCCCGGCAACCGCCTTCTAGCTTCTGTTTCTATGAGTTTGGTTACTCTAGATACCTCATGGAAGTGGGGTCATTCAGTCGTTGTCTTCGTGTTGCAGAGCAAGCATTTTTAAGTCCTGCTATGTGTCCATCACTGTGTATGACTCCGAAATAGAAAAGGAGGATCGTTAAAAATGGATCTTTTTTTCACTACCACTGTGATCAGCAAAACTGGGAAAAGGGCAGACCTTGGCTGTGGCCTCTCACATTGCCCCAGTCCATGGCATGAGCGTCTCACCCAAACTTCTATTCTGGCCCTAACTTTCCTCCCTGCCCCCATCCAATGCTGCCTGGACCAGCTGTCACACTGGACTCTGGGACAAATTAATTCACGTGAAACTGCTAATGGCTGACACAGTAATAAGTCAGATTGTGTTTCAACATAAAGATTTAAATCTCTTTTTAACAAAAATATAGAGAAGGGGGTCTCACTATGTTGCTCAGGCTGGTCTCAAACTCCTGGGCTCAAGTGATCCTCCTGCCTCAGTCTCCCAAGTAGCTAGAACTATAGTTGTGTGCCACCAAGAACTAAATCTCTAAAACTGGAACTTCAGATGACAGCAGTAGCCTGGTAAGGGAGAGCCCGTTCACAGTAGTCCTTTAGGTGTCTGCACAAAGCAAATGGGTTTCTCTCTGCCCATCATTGTAAGCCTGTGACCCTTGGGACAAAACACTTTGCCTCATAGGTGCATCCTAGGAAGAATCCATCCTACTAAAGTTGCCATCAACTGGCAGAGCACTCAACTGGCAGTGGTGTGACCTGCTGTCTCCCTGCTCTGTGCTGGAGTGGAGCCTCTGTGATCTGCCTCTGCCACAGGCAAAGTTCTCAGGGAAACTAGAGAAACTGGACTGACTTGGGGGAACCATTTATGACACCAGGTAAAAGACCATGGAATCCAGGCTCTTCAGGGCCATCGCTGTAGGGGCCTACTTCCTGTCTTAGTTCAGGTTCTAGAAGCAGAGCCTAAGACAGGGATTCCGGGGCATGTGATTTCTCCAGGGAGCGCCCTTCAGGAAAAACCTCCACGAGCATTAGGGAAGGACGGGCCAAGCAAGGATGGATCTTGGGTAAAGCCGAGCTGTGACCTGAGGCCCAAGGGCCGCTGGGGCATTTCCACAGGGCAGTCACACCGTCCTTCAGAGAAGGGGGCTGGCCTTTGTGCCTCCTCAACAGTTAGCCTCTGGCTGCAGTAGCAGGGCTAACCTCCCAGGTCACAGCAGCTTGGGACAAAGTCCCTGCCTGGTAAAAGATCTGGCTGGTTCTTTCAGGGGAACGTAACATCTGCATGACTCATGCGTGCAAACCACCCACACGCTAGGAATCTGAAGTGGTTGCTCCTAGAAACAGAAATAAACGACCATCCAGTGATGAAGAGTTTTCCCCAGCAAAGAGACAACTCCAGGGAAGAGCTTTCCAGTGTGAGTACAGAGATTGTGGTTTAAGGTAACTAATGATTTGCATAAAGCCAACTTCCATATTACCTGACACATGGTAAAATATGGACACAGTGCTTTTTGAGAGGTAGAGAAAAATAACTCAGTACACAACTTTACTGCCTGTAAAACCCAACACCAGAAAATTCCCTCCAATAAGAATCGGCACCAGACAGGCGTTGAAATATTTAGCATCTTCTGAGATGTAATTACTACTCCGCTGTGTGCATCTGTGTTTGCTGTCCCCTCCGAATGGAACAGGATGTGATTTCACTGAATTGGCAGATTTATCCACCTGGCTTTTGAGCAGTTGGTCATTTTTCAGCCTGGTGGTGAATGCCTTTCCCCATACCCCCAGCACACAGGCAGGCACCCTCCGCCCCCAGCTCCCAAATCCAAGAGAAAAACTCAAAGAGAACTCAACCGAGGGTGGATGGTTTTTCTGTCAGTTACCTGCTTTCTGTTCCTTCCAGAACCTACAACGGCCGTGACACTGGGGGCAGATCAGGAGTCTATAAATGACATATGACTAAGAAGCAGAGGGATACCAGCTGCTTATTGACAAAATGGGTGGCTCCCAGTGAGGCGTGGAAGGACAGAACTGGCCCAGACCAGCTGGGAGGCCTTGGCACATACAACAGAGCCTGCTGGGTCACAGCACAGCCATTGTCATCCTGTGAAACGTGAACCTGACCTTCTACCCAACAAGTTAATATCTCATATGGGTTTCTCCTTGGTTTCTTGCAGGATTTATACTTATCAAGGTAGCACTGATTTCAAGGAAGTAGCTTCTCTGTTTCTTTATGGCTGAATACTGTGTCAACTAGTGGTTTGCCCAACCCAGAAATTCAGGGTGATGAGACTGTGCCCTTTAGGGTGGGGTGCACCCTTCAAACTCCTGCATCTTGTGGGCAGATGGGCTTCAGTCCCAAGGAGTTAGCCTCTTTGGGGTACACATCCGGTGCTGGGGCCAGGGAAAGAATCCAGGTTCCCTAATCACACGAAAAAGGTACCTCCTCCTCTGCCAAAGTTCACTGTCAACTCTGTCCCAGGGTCCCAATAGCGCTAACATAAGCCCCCCTCCACCAGTGTAGAATGGTGGGTCATAAGGTGCTGGCAGGGATGTGGAGATCAGCCAGCTCAGGAGGCTTCACACTGGCTTTGGCTTACAGTCTTTAAATAAAAGTAAAATGTAAAGATGAGGCAGCTCAGGTCAGTGCAGAGGGGAGACCTGACTCCTGCTCACTCACCCACCCCCGTCCACAGGCCCCAGGGGAGCTCCGTGGGTGCCCCTGGAATCCCTCAGCACTTTGGAAAGCACTGAGCCAATGCAATCCTCCTTCTGCACACGGAGAGACTCAGACCTGAAAGGGAAAGCCACGGGGGGTGGGTCCTGGGTCCTTCTCGCCACCCTATGCAGTTGGCCTCCTGGCCCGCACGCTTCAGAAGGCTCCTGTTGGAGCCCTGTCCCTTCCCCAGGTCAAGTCCTCTCCCTGGTCACTGCTCCACACCAAGTGCCAGGCCTGGTTTTTATTGTTCTCAGACTCAGTTCCTGCCTCTTTATCCCCATAAGCCCAAGGCCCCCTGCAAGCCCTTTTCCCCACCTGTGTGTGTTCTGCAAGGGAGGCACCTGAGCTGGGGCAGCGACTATTTACCTTGTTGAGGCAAAGGACAAGCGTGACTTCCTTTGTTTGATGTTGCTACGTTATTAGAAAAAATAAAACCACAGGCCCAACAAAGAGGTTTCAGATATGACTGGATGGCACCATCTCCCAGGGCCATGGGGGTTGAGGCCAGAGCCCAGGCTAGGTGATGAGAACCACCAGGACACAAAGACAGCAGACTCTGTGATGTCGACACAGAAAAATGACAAGGGGATGACGTCACTCTCCTGGAAGCTTCGGAGTCCACCTGCCTCCCTAACGAGGCATTTCTTAAGGCCTGAAATGGCTAAGGCCTCACCCCGCTGAGTCCTTCCTTTTCTTACGTCCTGTGCTCTCTCTTCGCTTCCCCGCCCTCTGCTCTCCACCTTTGCCCTGTCACTTGTTTCCCTGCTCCCTGCTCCTTGCACCCACTCCTTCTGTCTGTATCTGGCCTCCACATGTCTATTCTCTGCCTTTTCTTGTTGCCTGTCTTTTCCTTCTGTGCTTCTATCCTGCCCTTCTTTCTGTTTCTCCTTTAGCTGTGTGCATGAACACACTTACTTGCACACAAGCACATACAATGCAGGTATGCACATGCGTACACAATCCCACACAAGTTTACACTCAGAGAACTACACACAACCACACGCAGAAGCATGTGCACATGCATGCCCACATGCACACACAATGCATGTGTGCACACACACGATCATCCACAATCAAATACAGTCCCGCATAGACAATCTCATACAGCTTATGCTCACGCAGTCACACACACACACACACACACACACACACACACTCACTCACTCACCTCTCTCTAGACCAAGCTAAGTAAACTCAGAAGAGACCTGCTTTTAACCCACAGGCTTGTTGACGCCTCTTTGTACTAAGAGTGATTAGCAACCACAGGAGTGTCTCAGCTAATTAAATAAGTCTGAAGCCGGGGACCAAGAAGCTAGGAGTCCTCTTGTATAAAACTGGTTCCAGCCATGGCACCCCCTGGAAAGGAGCTTCCTGTCTCAGTCATTTGAGCAGGTGGCGACTTCAGCAGCTGCAGCTAGACTGCTAAGAGATGGGACTCCCCATAACTTTTGAAGACGGTTGTGGTTAGAGTTTGGAGGCCTACTTTGGTTTTGATCTTCGGAGACTGGGTTTAGAAAGGAAGCATTATTTTGAGAAGGGAGATCGTAATCACACTGGCTTTTTTGATTGACGTCTGCAGTCTGGCTTAAAGGGTTCCTTGGGAGAAATGCAGGGTTTGCTACTTAAGCTGAAAGCAGGCTGGTAGGTCTACCAGGTCAAAGAACAGAAACTAAGGGATTCTGAGTTTTCATCGTGGCCCTGCTGCTACAAATCAGCTGCTTGACGCAAAAGTCAACTGACTTCTCAAGGCCTCAAATGACCTAGTCTTACCATGTCAGTATCCTAATAGTCCATTGCCTAACTAAAAATTTTGTGCAGAAAATAATTGATCAGGGTTGAAAAGTAACAAACAGGAAGTTACAAACCATTCTTATTTCTTTTTAATGTATTTGAGGCAAACAGAATGGTTTAGGATTCCCTGTTAGATGGTAGTTTGAGGACATTTATTGTGAAGACAAGCAGACTTTCAACTAAAGTGACCATGGTGCCTGAGCACTTTATCAGGAAAAGTAGTCTGATAAGAATAAGGAAAGTAGGACAGAATCTAAAATTGGGAACTTTCCAGAGAATCTGCAATATGTGGTAGTTTTCTGAAATTCAGTCATCGCCAAGGGCAATGATGTAGTATTGGATAATAATTAGTGCCCAAAATAAGTTCTCCCACATATCACAAAAATGTTAAATAAAGTTTAATGTACTCCATTTAAGCAGAAAGGAATAATAAGAACATAATCTCTCTCTGTATATATGATGAAATATATATGGAGAGAAATATGGAGAGATATATGGAGTTATAATACATATATATGATTTAGACAGAATTTAATCTTCCTATGGATTAAAAATGTTCATCTGGCCGGGTGCGATGGTTCACACCTATAATCCCAGTGCTTTGGGAGGCTGAGGCAGGAATATCACTTGAGGCCCAGGGTTCTAGACCAGCCTGGGCAACATAGCAAGATCTCCATCTCTACACAAAAATAAAAAATTAGCTGAGAGAGATGGTGCACACCTGTAAGGCTGAGGCGAGAGGACCACTTGAGCCCAGGAGTTTGAGGCTGCAGTGAACTACTTCACATCACTGTACTCCAGCCTGGATGACAAAGTGAGACTCAGTGTCTCTCTCTCTCTCTCTCTCTCTATATATATATATATATGTATATATATATATATCTATCTTACAAAATGTTTAAAATAAAAAATGTTTGGGTCCTAAACAGGCAAACCCTCATCTCTGTGGAAAAACTCATATATCACCATGACATATTTTGCAAGAGTCCCAAGTAGCAGAGATTTCCCCATATGCAATTCATAAGCAATTCTCAAGTGCCTAGTAGCTGTGGGGAATTGGTTGCTTTTATATCTTTGAGGACACATCAGTCCAGACTATGGCAGGACATTAGTTGTCTCTTGCTACTGTAACAAATTACAACAAGCTTAGTGGTTTAAAATAACACACATTTATTATCTTACGGTTCCATAGGTCAGAAGGCTGAAATAGGTCCCACTGGGCTAAAATCAAGGTGTGGGCAGGACTGTGTTTCTCTATGGAGTTTCGAGGGAAGAAATTGGAAATTGTTTCCTTGCCCTTGTCAGCTTTTGGAAACCCCTCACATTCCTTGGCTCATAGCCCCTTCCTCCATCTTCAAAGCCATCAATGGCAGGTAAAGTCCTTCTCATGTTGCATCCATCTGACCCACAGTCATGTCTTCCTCTCTCCACAGCTGGGAAAGTTCCTCTCTTTTGAAGGATTCATAGGATTAGATTGGGCCCACTGAACAATCAAGGATAATCTCCCCATCTCACAGTCCTTAAAATAAATCATATTTGCAAAATCCCTTTTGCCATGTGAGGTAACATATTCACAGGTTCCGGACATTAGGAGGTGGGCATCATTCTGGTGCCATTATCTGCCGATCATAGTCAAGTAGAGGCCAGGATTCCAGACTTGGAATTAGCAGAGGTCAATGCAAGCTCAATTTAGCAATGGCAGCAAACTATCACACGACTATAGTAAGGCATGAAATTGCTCTGAATTTGTGCTTTCTCCCCCGGTCAAAAAAGAAAAAAGAAAAAAAAGAAAATAGGAGGTGTTCTCTACTTCATTAACTATGTCACAGAGCAATTTGAGGCTGTCACACTCCAAAAGCATGACACACAGTCCTAGGAGAAAGCCATTTGCAATGTCCTGGGGGAAGCAGGGCACAGAGCAAGCTCAGCACATGTCAGAGCCTGTCATGAACTACCAGCTTCAGACAAAATAGCTACCTGATCAGCATGTTGGGTTGACATCTTTGAGCAAGGCTCCAGGGCGCATTTCAGGAGACTTGGGCTCTAGCACAGTGACAGTAATGGAGAAGAAAACAAAGATGGTTGAAACCCTTGAGTCCCCGGATTCAAGTTATATATGATTTAGTGAAGGTGTCAAGGCACGTGCATAACTCAGATACATGGCAGGATGAAAAAGGCTGCAGCTTCGGGAGGAATGGGCTACAGGACTCGTGCCTATGGTCCATCCAGGTTACTGCCATGTCTCTGATAGAGACCCAGAGGAAAAGTTTTGGGATAGGTCAGCCAAACGGAAAGGCCAAGAACATCCCCTAAATGTGCCTACCTTCCCTCCAATAATCCATTATGGTTCTATCTTACATTAATTCCTTTAATCTCATTTTTAAAAACCTAATGCAATTGTATAGGCCTTTCAGACCCTGAAAGCATGCAAAGCAGATGTGGTACCTTTTTTATTTCTTTTCTTTTTTTAATAACATAGTAGTTTGTGAAATGCCTCTTCTCTTTTTTCCACTAGGGATCCTGATGGACTGGCTATCTACCTCCCCAGGATAAAAGCAGTGAGGCACCTGTTTTTTGAGCTTAATGTTGGCAAATGTGGCTAATACCCAACTGTCCGGGTGTTCATGAGGGGCTTAATATTCTTAGCAGTGTGCTTGTTCACCATGTTAGAACAAGATTTTTCAACATGGAGTTGTTATAGGGTTTTTGGTGTTTTGCTTTGGCATATTCAAATGGATGTAACAATATAAAAGAATATAAAAGTAAAGGCATAGTGAATAGTCTGTTGGGGGAAGGCAAGTGGGAGAGGAAGTATGGAGGAGGATGGAAATACCACAATCCTCACCTTACAAACAGAGAACCAAGAGTTGATATGGATAATTGATGGCACAAAAAACAGGGGTCTGGGTGTGCATTTGAAGTTGCAGAGATAGCTGGCGGAGGAACTCAGGGTCGTGCATTTAACAGGGAGAAGGGAGAGGAGAGAAGGCAATGGGGAGGAGGGTGAAGTGGCTGATGAGCTGTGGGGAGGTGGGGGATGGTGTCTCGGGGCCAAAGTCACATCTCTCAGGACAGGAAGTCAAAGACAATACCTGAAGTTGGTGAAATAAGAAGCAGTGGTATAAGCATGTCAGGGAAAGGTAGAGAAATAACCTCCAGAAACAAATAAACGGAAGTGATGAAATGCAGTTGGCTCAGGCAGCAGAACTGGGGTCAAAGAAGGCTGAGCAGAGGTTAGTTGCTATTCACTGAAGAGCCCTTCTAACCCAAATGATTTTCTAAAAGCCAATGTACATGTTTTAGCTGATGAAAAAATGTTGAGCAAGAAGAGTCCTTTTACTTTTATAATATTTTACTCTTTCAGAGAGGTTTAATTCTTTTTTTAATAAAAATGAGTTATAATTACAAATATTAGCTACATATATAGTATAGCTATCATATGTGGGGTGCGTGTGTATAAATATTAATTACTACATTGAGTTTTTATTCTTTGCGAACATTTTATTGTGAAAATACTCAAACACAAAAAAAGTTTAAAGGATTTTACAATAAACATCTACATACCCACTGCCTAGATTCCAGCACTAATATTTCATTATGATTGCTTCATTACCTATCTGACCATCTATCTATTCCTCCATCTGTGCATTCATCTTAGCTTTTTGAAAATACACATAGCATAAAATTTACCAGCTTAGCAATTTTCAAGTGGACAGCTCAATAGTGTCACATATATTCACATTGTTGTGCAATGGATCACCAGAACTTTTTCATCTTGCAAATCTAAAACGCTACATCCATTAAGCAAGTTCCCTTTTTCCTTCCCCTCCCCGCACAGCCCTGGGTAACCACCATTCAACTTTCTGTTTCTATAAATTTGACTACTTTAGATACCTCACGTAAGTGGAATCATACAGTATTTGTCTTTTTGTGACTGGTTTATATCACGTAGCATAATGTCCTCGAGGTTTATCCATGTTGTCTCAAATGAGAGGATGTCTTTCCTTTTTTTAAGTCTGAATAATAGTCCATTATATGCAGATACCAGATTTTCTTTTTCATCTGTCAGTAGACATTTGAGTTGCTTCCATATCTTGGCTCTTGTGAATAATGCTGCAGTGAACATGGGTGTGCAAATATCTCTTTGAGATCCTGTTTTCAATTCTTTTGGATATATACTCGAAAGTGGGATTGCTGGATCATATAGCAGTTCTAATTTTTAGTTTTTTGAGGAATGTTCATACTGTTTTTCATTTTATAATCCCATCAACAGTGCACAAAGATTCCAATTTTTCCACATTCTTATAAACGCTTTTTTCTGTTTGTTTGTTTTTTTAAAATAGTTGCCATTCTTGTGAGTGCAAAGTGATTATTACATTGATTTTTTTAAAGTTCATGTTAATCTTCTTCTAGGTAACTGAGCAAATAGGGTTCCCAGGAGAAACTGCAAAGCTGATGACTAGATTAGGCTACACTTTCCTTAGAAGTGGACGGTCTGTCACAGAGCTTTCAAGGCAAATCAGGGATGATGGAATTTCTCTTCATGGTAAATCTCATTCTTATTTCCTTGGTTAAATTGGTGTCACTTCATAGGTTGGTTGAAAAAGCCACAGGTTAGCCAACATTGCAGGTGCTAAGACAACTGTAATTCTATGTGTTAATGGTCAGATTATGAGCCAAGTTGAATATGTTGAATTTCTGATTGATTCTAAGCCAGTGGGCACCTTGCAGTGTCTGTGCCCGATTAAGGCTTTGTTCTCTAGGTGAAAACATCTTTCAGATGAAAGGCATATTGGCTTTTGAGACAAAGTTACCTCTTCAGGCTTCTGGAACTTTGACTCAATTTTCCTTAGATGGAAATGTTTGTCATTCTGCTTTACAGAAAGACATTCTCTTTTTGTTTCCGTTTCTGTGCAGAAGCCTATAGATCACCTTTTTAATTAACTCATGAAGAACCCAGGGACAGGAGTACACTCTGCCCTAATGGTATTATTGTAGATGGATCTAGTACTAAACATGACCTTGGGGTGTTTGTGAAGCTAGTGAAGAGATTAGCAAACAGAAATCTTAAGAACAATTTAATCCTTTTCTGCATAGCAGCATGGTAGTTGCTCTGCAAAGGCAATTCTCAAAACAAGCACAGTCACTTTCAGTACTGTGCTTGCATTCGGGGGCGGATTGAAAGGCTGAAACTGAACAAGTGTGTGGGAAAGCAGGTGATTACTGCTCCCCAAATACCGTGTGATGCGCCCGGTCACCCCTGACAAATCAGTAGCCAATTAATCCCACCATAATTGGTTGACCCTTGGCTAATCCCATTTCTAGATCATGTTTACTTGGCAGATCATGCCAGTCATCTAATTAGCATTCTTCAGGGTTATTCTACCCCCGCATGGACCGCTTTGGAATACCATATGCATGGTGATATTCAGTGAGAAGCGAGGTGTATGCGTATGGCACTCCTCTCCGTTTTGATTAGTAAACAAATTAAGTAATTGATGTTAGCTTAGATAACAGGGCACTTATCATGTTGGCCAGCTCTCTGCTAAGCACTTTGGCAGGCAAGATCTTACTTCATTCTCACCATCCTATGACAGAGGTACTGTTGTTATTCCCATTTCAAAGATGGGCAAAGGGAGGTTTAAGAGGAGTAAGTGACTTGCCGCAGGAGAGCTAGGATTCGAGCTAGGCCTATCTGAGTTTGAGTCGGAACAGAACTTTTTTTTTTTTTTTTTTTTTTTTCGAGACAGAATCTTGCTCTATAGCCCAGGCTGGAGTGCAATGGCATGATTTCAGTTCACTGCAACCTCTGCCTCCTGGGTTCAAATGATTCTCCTGAGTAGCTGGGATTGCAGACATGTGCCACCACACCTGGCTAATTTTTGTATTTTTTAGTAGAGATGGTGTTTCACCATGTTAGCCAGGCTGGTCTCGAGCTCCTGACCTCAGGGTAATCCGCCCGCCTTGGCCTCCCTAAGTGCTGGGATTACAGGCATGAGCTACTGCGCCCGGCCTTGAGCAGACCTTTTAACCACCATCTGAATTACCTTCCTTTGTGCTCCTGTGTTCTTAGAGCTACTCCCACTCCAGTGAGCTAGGATGTTGCTGTTAACTGTGTTGTGTGAATTGTAGCTCCCCGAGCTGACGGTATACTCTCCAGGAAAGGGACCGTTTTCTCTTCTTCACCTGTCCCACGCAGCCCCATCCTGGGTGCATGGTAACTATGTGGTGAATGCTTGGTAACTGATGAATGTGCCTACACAAGGTCCTGCCCTTTCACTTACCATACAAGGCTTCTCCGAGAAGCCAGCTCAGCTGCACGCAGCACACCAGCCATGGTGGACAACTCAGGCTCCAGTTATGCCTCTATCCACCAAATACAGAGTGGCCTTGGACAAGTGTCTCAGCCGCCCTGGGCCTTTTTCCTCTCTTGGGATTGGAGGATATTAGGCATCTGATCTTTCTCTGGAGGTTTCTTGCAATGGGATTTGCATTTATAAATATAGTTAACAAGGCATGACACTACTTGTGGCCCCAACAGTAAATAAGAGCCTGTCGCTGAAAACGGAGTTGCTGTGAGAAGAGCCATCAGCTACCAGGCGAGGCACCCACACCAGTGTTTCATAAGACATGGCAAAGCTCTTTCTTCCTTCTCCCATGTCGATCTTTGTGGATGTGCAGGATTTGGAAAGGCCTGATAAGAGAGGAGAGAGTGCTGCTCTATGTTGTGGTCTGATCTAAGCCAGCTTAAATGTTCACAGTCATTAAGTTGTTTTTTCGGGTACTGGTAGCTTCTAATAGTTTGAGGTAGGGGAGCGCTAAAGGTCTCTCACCCCAGAATCCAAAAGTCCCAGCCAAGTTCTGACACACAGACTAACTATTATAACCCAGCAGGCCCAAGACACAACAAAGAAATAAAACAGTCACCAACTATCGGTGAACCTGCCCCGATATTCACGTAGGTTCTTTTCTATTTTTCCTAAGCATCGGCCAGCTTGAGAAATAAAGGGACAGAGTACAAAAGAGAGAAATTTTAAAGGCGGGTGTCTGGGGGAGACATCACATGTCGGTAGGTTCCGTGATGCCCCACAAGTTGCAAAAACCAGCAAGTTTTTATTAGGGAGTTTCAAAAGGGGAGGGAGTGTGCGAATAGGTGTGGGTCACAGACATCAAGTACTTTACAAGGTAATGGAATACCACAAAGCAAGTGGAGGCAGGGTGAGATCACAGGACCACAGGACCAAGGTGAAATTAAAATTGCTAATGAAGTTTCGGGCACCATTGTCATTGATAACATCTTAATCAGGAGACAGGGTTTTTGAGATCAACTGGTCTGACCAAAATTTATTAGGTGGGAATTTCCTCTTCCTAGTAAGCCTGGGAGCGCTACGGGAGACTGGGGTCTATTTGACCCCTGCAGCCTCAACCATAAGAGGCAGGCGCACCTGGGGGAGCTGTTTATAAGCGTATACCTCCAGGCGTATATTCTCTTTCCCAGGGATGTTCCATGCTGAGAAAAAGAATTCAGCGATATTTCTCCCATTTGCTTTTGAAAGAAGAGAAATATGGCTCTGTTCCACCTGGCTCACTGGTGGTCAGAATTTAAGGTTATCTCTCTTATTCCCTGAACAATTGCTGTTATCCTGTTCTTTTTTCAAGGTGTCCATATTTCATATTGCTCAAACACACATGCTGTACAATTTGTGCAGTTAATGCAATTATTACAGGGTCCTGAGGCGATACACATCCTCCTCAGCTGACACGATTGAGAGATTAAAGACAGGCATAGGAAATCACAAGGGTATTGATTGGGGAAGTGATAAGTGTCCATGAAATCTTTACAATTTATGTTTAGAGATTGCAGTAAAGACAGGCATAAGGAATTCCAAAAGTATTAATTTGGGGAACTAATAAATGTCCATGAAATCTTCACAATCCACATTCTTCTGCCATGGCTTCAGCTGGTCCCTCCATTTGGGGTCCCTGACTTCCCACAACAACCAACCTACCTAGAAATTCCACAAGGTCCCAGCAATCTGCCTTTGGGCTCCATGAGTACCTGGCATAAAAGGTTCTCTTGAGGCAAATGCAAGAATATTCTACTGGCAAGTTTCAACCGTCTAGACACAGTCAAGATTCCTAGGCTAAACAATTAAGTGGATATTAGGCCCAAATGGTAACCCAGAAGGAATAAGCTGTCAAACTTCCTACATTCTTATATTTACGCAAGGGCAGAGGTGCCTGTACATTCTTTCTAGCCAACTAATTCTAATATCTTAAACACCACTCATTTCACCAATATAAATAAAAAGCATTTCTAAAAATCCCTATGCTAATTAATAAACTCTCTAGTATTGACTGATGATCAAAGTATTTGTATCTATCAAAGTCCTGGTGAAAAACAAACGTCATGCTCAAATGAGGTAATGGAAGAAAGTTTAATGAAGAGACTGTTGCAAAGGTATGGTCAGGTTTAAGATAAATTATCAAAGGATAGTCAAGCATCCTGGGCTAACAACTTTGAGAGCCTTTGCTACTCTCCTCCTAAGCTTAAAGGGACCAGATTAATATTGTGGTCTTTTCCTGTTACTTCCTCATTTTCCCACACTCAAGGTGTTTTTTCTAATAAAATTTGTGTAAGTTGACTCCTACCTTGGAGTCTGTTTGTTGGAGGATGGACTAACACAGCAACCACAAAGCCTTGGGGAAAACACCTCCCTTCACCAGGCCTCACTTTCCCCAATATAAAATAAGAAAGCTGACTCAGACATCTTCTGAAGTTCCATTCTGCTCCTAGTTTAGCTGAGCTAGAAGCTGGCCCAGACTGACTTTCAAGTTGGGGCTAGGCCCTGATGTCTGGGCTATCAGACTCTATGACACCTCATTCAGAAGATTCTACACCCTGATCTGCAGCAGAGTAAATGCTGAAGGCCTTTTGTCTTGTTACAAGATCTGTGCAGAGGCAATGGCCTGGCTCTTTCTATATTGTTTCTGTCACTCTTTCAAATGTGACCACTCACAGTACCCTGGACCACAAGTTAACCCATAGCCACCAAAGGTAATTGTGCATTTCTAGAAAACTCTATTAAAGCCTACAAGTTCCATCCTTGGAGGCACCCTCATCTTTACAAGTGCCTTCCAACTCATGGTCTGATCTCCTCCCTGACCCATGTTAAAGAACCAAAATAATTCTTGGGAAAACTGCGATTTTTGCTCAATGGGAGACTTAATTTTTTTCTTTCTGGGAAACGTAGATTATTCCTTTCTGCTTCCAGAACAAAGGGTAACTGGCTCTTTGGTGGAGAAAAGACTTACGTTCAGCTCTACATCAAAATGTCTCCTAATCTTGAGATTCTATCTAGGACAGTCTATATTTTCAAACTTCAGTTCAAGTTCATGTCCTTTGGTTGCCTTAAACTCACATTTGTCCTGCTTGCTGACGCAGGATAAACATGTGCTTTGCTCTCAAAAATAAAAAGGAAAAAAAAGGAGAAAAAGAAGGTTCACATCTCAGTGGTTGGCTTTGTTCTGAGTTAGGTACTGAATTCAGAAATGTCTTACCTCAATTAATAAAGGCAATTTGGATTTTCTTGACTTTGCAGTATGTTTGTCTGTCTGTCTCTCTGTCTTTCTCTTTCTCCCTCTCTCTCTTCTTTCTCTCTTACTCCCCCTCCCAGCTCAATCAATCGATTACACCTGCAGTTTATTTGCTTCTGCCTCTGTGGATTTTGGTCTCATACCAGTGGAATTAATGTAATGGATAGAAACTGAGCATTTTTGTTGAACTGGGGTTTAACTCAATTCAGCCCAGTTGGCTTCAATCTTTCAAGTCCCAAATGGGCCATCAAGTTAGGCTGGCAGGTGGTGAAATACTCAACAGAAACAGGAATGGAAGAGCTGCCTGCCCAGACAGCACCTCAAATATGGAAGCAACACATAAAAACAAATGAAGGAGCTCGGCATGGCAGCTCACGTCTATAATCCCAGCAATTTGGGAGGCTAAGGCAGGAGGATCTCTTGAGCCCAAGAGTTCGAGACCATCCTGAGCAAAATGGTGAGACCCCATCTCTACAAAAATAAGGAAAAAATATTTTAATTAGCCCGGTGTGGTGACACATACCTGTAGTCCCAGCTACTTGGGAGACTGACATGGGAGGATCCCTTGAGCCCAGGTGAGCTGCGTTCACACCACTGCCCTCCAGCTTGGGGAGTGAGACCCTGTCTCAAAAAAAAAAAAAAAAAAAAAAGACAGGGGCTGGGGTAGGTAGGTTTTTTCCAGATTCTACCCCCTTCTTCCACATAAGCCTTGAGTTAAGCATTGACAAAGGAGACCCTTTAGGAGGGAACGTGCCATAGGGTAGGGAAATGTCTCAGTTGTAGCTTTCATTCTCTTATTTTATCTCTTGTCTGAGTTTCTGGCTGAATCCTCCCTCATAATTTAGTGCTAGTTGACTTTCAGTAAATAAAAGAAAAAATTCTAATCCAGAGAACTTGCTGTTTAACAGTCACACTGAACCCTAGAGCCAAATAAGTAAGGCCTTCTTCAAAGTAATCACCCTGGGAAGTTGTGTTTTGTGATATTTGTTTTTTTTTAAACAATACTATGGCTGGTTAAAATAGTTTGAGAATTCCTCTTTTGGAACCTCCTTGAAAGGCTGCTCAAAGAGCCTTGCAGGACGATGGGCTGCAATAAGTTGTACTAAACCTCTGAGTAGTTTGTGAAACACAGATTATCACCCACTTTGAAGCCAGCACATTTCTCTCGTTGCTGTTTCATGTGAGGAACCGTCTAATACTTATGTTAGTTTCTGTTGCCACCAGGCAGGTACACATGAGCAGTCCTAGTCCATTTCTGGTAATAGGGAAGATTGGGTTATGCAGCAATCGGTAAGTAATATACCTTCAGAGCAAGAGTGAATTCAAAGTAAACCCAACCCTCTCCTTCCCACCTCCCAGTTGGAAAACAACTCTCCATGAATCTCTGACGTTTCTATACATCTTGTGAATTGAAGCACTGATTACCTTCATTCCAGACTATCTTCACAAGGATGTTTGTATAATAAATGGCATTAGAAGATAGAGATGGTGTCTCTCTCCAAAGCAAAGGCCATGCAGCCTTCCTATCTAGCATAAGAAAGATAATGCCTCTTTGTGGTACAAAAGGCAGGCATGTTTTTTGACCAATATAAAAGATCCAGTTCACTAAACTCAAGGTTTCTTTCCTATAATGAAACCCACTGCATGTGCAGGTATTATTTTGTTCTCATGTCACTCTGTGGGAATTGGGGTTCGAGAGCTGACACAAATGCTGATACTCTGGCTACTGCTATTACTGTGAGTAACAAACCATCCTTTGTCTCTGACCCAGGAGTCTCGTGTCTTCTGCCAGCATCCATGAAACTGTGGCAAACTTGTAGGTAAAATGCCCTTCACAGTTTTTGACATTCATTCCCCAGAGGACAGGAAGGAATGATGTCCTGATGCTGAGCAGGACGGGAATAGGGGGGAAATTCCCAGAGAAGCCGAAATGACAGGCCAGCTGGTGTGGTGGATTTGGAGCCTATATCGGTTTCCCGTAGCTGCTACAACAAATGACCACAAACTGGGTGGCTCGAAACAACAGAAATTTATTCTCTGACAGTTCTGTAGGCTGGAGGTCTAAAATGCAGGTAATAACAGGGCTGTGCTTCCTCCAAAAGCTCTGGGGGAGGTTTTGTTCTGTTCTGGTGGCTGTTAGCATTTCTCGGCTCATGGCAGCATCACTGTAATCTCTGTTTCTTCTTCTTCATGTGTCTCTCCTCTGTATGTCCCTTATAAGGATGCCTGTCACTGGATGTAGGATCTGCCTAGGTTAGCCAGGATGATCTCATCTCAAGATCCTTTCATTTATTTACACTGGCAAAATCCCTTTTTCCAAAGTAAGGTAACATCCATAGGTTCCATAAATTAGGAAGTGGGCATATCTTTTGGTGGAACTACCATTTAGGCCACCACAAAAAGCCCAAATTCATAACACCTGGATGGTCAAAATAATCTTAAGCCATTAATTTAATTCAAAGTGATTCTGGACTAATAGAGTCTCTAAGTACTTGGCAGAAGCCAACACAAATCCTCTTTGAAAAAAATGTATCTCCACCTTAGACCTAAAAAAAGTCCTACAAATAATTTCCCAAGGAAATGAGCAGATCATGGTGAAAAAAAAATAACGAAGCACACAAGAAAACAAGGCACTATGAGTAAAAACCAGCAGAAACAGATCTCTGTGAACAATTCTAAGGATAAGGGTGTTACAATGTAACTAAAATACTAAGGCCAAAATATGCCCCCTAACAACTGGAATTTTTAGCCAGGGGTCACTGGCTCCCTAGGGATCTTAGGTGAAGGTGAAAATCCCCTGGAATCTTGTGAAAAAAATTTTATATGTGAATATGCATATTTGTCTTGAAAGACAATTCTTAGATTTCATCAGATTTTTTAAACAGTACTTAAGCCAAAAGAGTTTTATAACTACTCCAGACCTACCGTGCACCAAGCTAAAGTAATTTGGGAAGCTATTAAAAATTATCGGGCTATTGCATTATAAAAAGGGCTTTCAAATCATAGAAAATAAAAATAAGATGTTATAAAAATCAAAATTATGACTACTTTTTTTTGAGACGGAGGTCTCGCTCTGTCACCCAGGCTGGAGTGCAGTGGCGTGATCTCAGCTCACTGCAAGCTCTGCCTCCTGGGTTCACGCCATTCTCCTGCCTCAGCCTCCTGAGTAGCTGGGACTGCAGGTGCCCACCACCATGCCTGGCTAATTTTGTGTATTTTTGGTATAGACACAGTTTCACCGTGTCAGTCAGGATGGTCTCGATCTCCTGACCTCATGATCCGCCCACCTTGGCCTCCCAAAGTGCCGGGATTACAGGTGTGAGCCGCCGCGCCCGGCCGACTACTCTTATCATGATCATTCAGTTATGCAAGGGATGAAAAAGCCCACACTGGATGAATTTCTATTTGAAAATCAATAGATGAAGTCAACTTTAAGAAAACAATGTGAAAATAATAGTGTTCCCAACTTTTATGTCATGTTCATTTACTCCTTCATTCCTTCCTTCACGCTATTTATTTCATGTGGAAGGCTCTCCCCAAGCCCTGCCCTTCGTCATTTTATATTCCATCTGTCTTCAAAGTCAAGCTCAAGTTTGATCACCACAATGTCTTTCCTGGATTCTTTAGCCCGTTCTCCTTTCTCTCTCTTCCCCTTTTTCTCACTTGTTCTCTTTCTCCTTAGAACTTCTATGGCTTTTGGAGAAAGTTCATAAATTGTTCACTTAACAAAAATTTTTTCTTTTTTGAGACAGAGTCTCTCTTTGTTGCCCAGGCTGGAGTGCAATGGCACCGTCTTGGCTCACTGCCACCTCTGCCTCCTGGGTTCAAGTCATTCTCGTGCCTCAGCCTCTTGAGCAGTTGGGATTACAGGTATGCACCACCACACCCAGCTAATTTCTGTATTTTTAGTAAAGATGGGGTTTCAGCATGTTGGCCAGGCTGGTCTCGAACTCCTGACCTCAAGTGATCCACCTGCCTTTGCCTCCCAAATGTTGGGATTACAGGCATGAGCCACCACGCCCAGCCAACAAATTTTTATTTAATTAAAATGACCAAATTTAGCATTTGTTTTAATTCATAACTCCCTTGGTTGAAATAGAAAGTCCACTTTAACTAGTTTAGGCAAAGAGAGGAAGTAGGGGAAGGGGGAAGGGAGGGAAGGGAGGAGAGAGAAAGAGAGAGAGAAAGAGAGAAATGTGTGTGTATGTGTGTGTGTGGTGTGTATGTGTGTTTATTAGACCTCTCTGAACCAAATAATAGGAAGAGCAAAAGCGAGGGTAGAATTGACCTTAAGCCTGTTGGGAATGAAAGCTGTCAACTTTCTCTCAGCCTCTCATCCCCACTTCTGATGGATTGATGTTTTAATCTTTCCTTCACCTGACGGAAGACATGGCTGCTGGTGGCACAGCAGTTCTGTGATCAGGCAGAAGAAAAGGATCACTGTCTTCCAGAGCTACTGTTAAAAATCTCAGGAAGAAGTCTTATTGCCTTGGTTTTGTCACATGCTCACCCTTGACCTAATAACCATAGCTAGGGAGTTGACATCCACCGACTAGCCCAGGCTGGGTCACGTGTATACTCCACTGTGGCCAGGAAAGATGGGAAGAAGGGTTGCTAGATAGGCAACAAGAACATATTCAGTGCATCACCTAATTCCACACTGATTCATATTGATCTGCTTTTACGTCTTATCTCCCTAACAGTAGTATGCTCTTTAAAGAGTATGGCTTATTTTGCAAGACAGGTCAAGTACTGCCTGCCACACACATACTTCGTTCTTTGAGAAATTGCCCCCAGGATACTCTGCCTAGGCACCTATGCTTTGAACCAGTTGATACTGACCTCTGTCCTCTACCTCAGCTGATGACTAAAGTGGGCATCAGACCTGAGGATGGTCAGTCTTCTGGTTGGCTCATGACCTATGACGTACTGCAAATGGCTGGCCTGGCTAATTTTCTCTCTCTCTCTCTCTCCCTCTCTCTCTCTTTGTCTCTCTTTCTCTCTCTCCTTTCCCCCCCCCCCACCTCTTCTGTCTCTCTCTCTCTCTCTGTCCTCTCACTCACTCCCTCTAAAGAAACTCAAAAATTTGAACCAATAGAATTGGTCAGCTAGTGGTGGAATCTAAACCAAAAATCTCATGATGTGTAGGATGTTGAAAAGACCATGATGGTCAGGTACCATCCAGAGTAAAGGGAGAAAAAACTGGGTAAGCAGAGGAATCAGAGGAACCAAGTGAGGGTAGACCTGATAGACACACAGTTAACTGGCCATTTACATCACAGAGGATAAGGCAACGATCCATGAACTCAGTGAACAAAAATACAAAGAGTACCTCCGTTGTGCTGGGTGCTGGGAACACAGCAGTGAACAAGGTAAACACTTTCCTTGTAGCCTAACAGGAACGTAGAGCCAAATGAACAAACCTGCAAACACAAACATTTGTAGTGAGTGGTATGAAGAGAAAGAAACATACTATTGACATGCCCAACATAAATCGAAAACCATTTCCCATCTGCATTCTTCACGATGCCCAGTGCCCATGCAGCCCTATTGTTGAATCTCCATGAAGTTGTAGCATAAGAATCGAATCATTAACTGAGATCACTCAAGTAGATCCCTTTTCCAACACAATCAAGAGACAAACCAAAACACTTAGTCTCCTCTTCCATCCTTTACCTTAGTCAGCACAATGAGCCATCAATATTGGCTTTTGGATGATTCGAAGCAGTGCAAATTGAACATAGTCAAAAGCCCACTCCTTGGAATCTTGTCAATTGGCAATTTACCGAGATAGAAAACGAAGAACTTTCATCTCTCCTCGCTACACCAACTTCAACCTTGATGCAAGATTTTAACACTGTAGAATCCTTTCAGTTCAGCACTCTTGGGTCAGTAGGAGTCCAAAGCTATTTTCTGATCCTTGATCTGCCTGAAATATGCAAATAGGACCTTCCCTGGGATATGTGCCATGTGCTCAAAGTGGGAAAAGATGGGTTGAGATGAAGGAAGAGTCCCCTGGTAGGCGATGACCCAGTGACAAGAGAAAAGCAGTAGGCATCTGTGAGGGTGAAGGAGGGGAAGGAAGCCAATGCTACTGTCTCTTCTGGGTGCCACGGCAGAGGTTCAGGGGGACACATGTTATTTCTGCCCACCTCACTCCTCTTTCCCATTCTTCTGGGAATATTTTTTTCCTTTGGGGGTTCCCTCTTCCCAGCCACATGACCTAATCAATTTCAAGCCCCTTTCCCATCCTTTCTCTGGGCTTATAGGGTAGTTTAAATTTGGCTTCTATCACTTGCTCCCCAAAGAATTAGGAAGGTTCTACTTGGCTCTGTCTCTGAGATCGGGAACCACACACTTAAACAAAGGAAGCCTACGAGCCTTGTAAGTGGAGGGTCCCGATGGGGTTAATAAGAGATTGACTTCCTTATGGGGAGTGTCGAGCCCAGACTCATACCCTAGGTGTGAATGTGGGGCTGTGCAGGCCTTCTTGGCTGCATGTGGACCTAAGAGAACAAGTTGCACTAGACTACTCTATTTAAGAGCTACTTTGATTGAAAGAACAAACCAAATAATAATGATGGTAATTATAACTTATTTCCCTCACTAAGTTATATCTTTTTATGAAGGCCACTTGGAAACAAGAATCTCCCCTTTGTATGCACATGGAAATGAGACACCTGAGAAGTGTGCTCACCATGGGTCACAGCTTGTGGCATTTCCCCGTTCGCTGCCTTTAAGGCTCTCAAAAGAACAGAGTGCTTACATTTTTCCTTGTTTGTCTCAATTCCTTTATCAGTGGTTTCCTTTCAATTCTATTTTTTTTAAAAAAAAGCCTTTTGATTTTCTTCATATAGCCTTAAAGAGATCAGTAAATTTCAAACCCACTTTGCAGCTTTGCTGACTACTAAG
This sequence comes from Homo sapiens, assembly GCF_000001405.40. Taxonomy (NCBI): domain Eukaryota; kingdom Metazoa; phylum Chordata; class Mammalia; order Primates; family Hominidae; genus Homo; species Homo sapiens. The sequence goes on from NC_000010.11 coordinate 113,978,602, forward strand.
TTTCTACTCTTGCTGGTTGGGCCCCACCTGGCAGGGGCTTCCAGGCGACTTTCTTTCTCGGGCTGCACCAGGCATTTTCACGTGGACAAAATGTGAAAAGCGAGGCCCACGGGAAGCCACGCAAACACTGTGACACACTGTCTTGCAAAATCTCTCGTGACCTAGTGGAGTGAAAAGTCCAAGTTCATTTTATCCAGCTTGAAAAAGCCCAGTGGTCAGGGACAGTGACCCACTGTGCTCTGGACAGCCCTGCATGTGACTGGTGAAAGCTCCCTTCTGTAAGAGCAGTGGGGACGGCCAGGGGAAATGCTCGTCTGGCCTCCTGGGTAACTCAGCCTGTGTCCCTCGCCGGGTTGCTGGGCTGAGCCGGAAGTCCAAGAGGGAGCCTTTTCCAGCTCTGGCCGCCAGGCCACATGGGACATGCAAAGCCATTCCAATGCTCCATGAAAGAGCATAGAGCAGCCATTGTCATGTAAAATTAGCCTGGGCAAAACCCCAGAGAACATAGCATTGGATGCCATCCGGCTCACCCTGAACAAGGGCATGTGAGAGATAAAGACTGTTCCAGCGCCTGCTTTTGGTCATCAGCGTTTTCCCAATTCCTCACTGTCCATCTGCTACTTTTCATCTCCCTCCTGCCCTGAATTCATTGATCACCACTTTGCTTCCCAGCAGATGAGATCCAGGAGACGGAAGTCTCCTCGTAGCCGCAGAGGAAAGGGAGAATCCAAGGAATGAATCCACTGGCCTTATGTTTGCCAAAGCTCCATTAAAACTGCACTCCCATTTAGCAAACTGATTTTTGGCTCTTCTTCCCGACTTGCTTCTCTCCATCAAATGTCTACTTTGCCTAAGATCACCCTCAGGCCTGATAACCCAGAATTAGGGCACGGTCTGGTGTCCCCTGAGGCCTTTTATTAAAAGCCAAGGCTGCTGACATTCTGCATAATACCTCCCCCAAAGAAGGCTTCGGCTTTCTCTCCATGCCTATGAAAAGCTCAGAGCTTGCCAATAGCGAATTGTTCTGACCCACTAGAGCCAGCCAGAGCCAGGGCAAATTTTCTGTAGGCCTCTCATCAATTACCATTTATTTTCCAGGCTGGACACTCCTTGTGGAGCAAGGCAGGAAGCTGAACTGTGCTCAGAGACGATCCTGGCAGTGAAAACGCCAGAGTACTAAATGAAAAACCGATTTTCCAACTTCTCCAAGAAGTGGGCCTCACAGGCCACCGTAAGGATTGATTTGAATATTGTCATTTCTTGACACCCCAGGCTGAATTTTCCAGGACACAAAGGTATAAGGTGTTCCATCTACTTGATCATTTTTATGGCCCATGGGGAGGTAGAAGGGAACAAGTAATTGGATGCACCAAGCTATAGAACAAACGAAACTGTAAAATCTTTGCCATCAAGTCCTGGGTCAAAGTGACTGGCTCTTAGATATGCAAGAAATCTGGCCTTTCTCAGAATAACAAACGGGAATGGAGCCTCCAGCAATAAGTCAAAAAGTGAGTCTTTCCTGGGCTTCAAGGAGCAGACAGTGTTTCCCATTAACCATCCAATATTGAAGAAAAAGAGCCACCTAAGAAATTAATTTTGGGTTACAAACTAGCGAGAACTATTGGTAGGAAATAAATCAAAACAGGCATACTGGTTGTGCTGCAGTGATAGGGTTGGTGGTGGGTATTTTTTTCTCTCTTTTCCTAACTTCCTGTATAGTATAATCATTTATATTATTTTTTTTAGTATTTTCAGAAAGCTTCTCTCCCTTTTATAGCGTGCATGCCACCCAAATACCTAGTTCAAAAGTTTGGCACTTATTCTGAATGCCTTTCTTGGTTTCCCCTTAAATATCTCAATTCATGCCTCACGTTGTCCCTGTCTCCACCTCTCTGTTCTAGTGGAGGCACTTGGTGCCATTTCACTCCTCTTTCTGGTCATTGACATCCTTTCCAAATGGCTTCCCAGTTGCTGGTCTCACTCATTGTCCTGCTCATCCTCCACCCACAGCCAGAGGGAGCTTTCCAAAATACAAAGGTGGTAGTGCCACATTCCTGTTTACCCTCTTCAATGCTCATCACTGCCCCAAAAGACAATATCAATTCGTTTCCATACCCAGGACTTTCCAAACCCCAACCTGCCATGTTCTTCAACCCCATCCTTCCCTCTGCAACCACTCTCCCCAGTTTCCCTCCAGATCCTTTCTCTCCAGAAATACTCAGCTTCTTGCAGTTTCCTCACCCACCTATCCATCCTCCACCCTCATAGCTTATTCCAGCCACAGGCCTTCATGTAACATTCCCTTTGCCTGAAATGCCCCTCCACCCACCACCACCCACCCACCATTGAGGAGCTGCTGGGCCACCTCCTGGGCCTCCATAAAGTTCAAGCATAGCACGCTTCCCACCCAAGCAGGAGCCAATGGCCACATACTTTGTTCTTCACTGACCCTGTCCTTGTGATAGCACACAGCTGTGGAGCTGGGAATCCACATTTTTGTCTCTCTCAGTAGACTGTGCACTCCAAGAGGACAGACCCAATTTGATCATTGCTGTACCCTCAGTGCCTGGCTTTGATAGTGCTTGGCACAGAGAGAAGCTTTAATGAATATTTGTTGATTTACTGAAAGGATGAGGGTAAATCAAGGAATGAAAATGTGACTTCTGGCCATCCTTGTGACCATATTTAAAATGGTATCATCTAAAGTACTCAAGAAAAAGCAAGTCACATCGAGTGTCTATTGGTTCCCCCTTTTGGCTTTTTGTCTCTCTCACTGCTTTACCCTTTCCAGGCCCCAAACAAGTGTCTACAAGGAAAGTATAAAGCAGTACCTACCAGAATTTGTTGTGTCTTAGTGCAGCTGTGCTTAGGACTTCATTGGCAAAGGATTATGGGTGACATAATGGTGGGGCCTACATATTACAGTGTGGTTCAGTGGCAAAGGATTATGAGTGGCATAATGGTGGGGCCAGTGTATTACAATGTAGTTCAGTGGCAAAGGATTATGGGTGACACAATGGTGTGGCCTGTATAATATTACAGTGTAGTTTAGTAGCAAAGGATTATGGGTGACACAATGGTGGGGCCTACGTATTACAGTGTAGTTCAGTGGCAAAGGATTATGAGTGACACAATGGTGGGGCCTATGTATTACAGTGTGGTTCAGTGGCAAAGGATTCTGGTGTCAACACTGTATTACAGGAAGGTCCAGGTTTTGAAAAGGAGGATATTCCTAATAGAAATATCTGCTGCAATTACAGGTACCCTACCTCAGTCTCCTCTTTGTGCATTACAGATCATTAACTATTTGACAGAGGATAAGGCAAACATACAGAGAAACCCAAAGCCAAAGTCGTGGAAGCCACTGTGAAATGAAGATTAGCTAGAAAGGAAGATAAAATATCCCTGAAATTCTAATGTAAATCCATGGGAAAGAAAAGTTTGTTAACACACTGCTGAAAAGTCCATAGTCTGGGTTCTAGCCCATCTAGCCATTAGTTGTGTGACCTTGGACAAGCCATCTAAACTTTTAGAACCTTAGTTTCTGCAGTGTAAAATGAAGAGGGGATTGAAGTTGGTGTCCTATGAAAAGATGTGAAATTGTTTCAGAACACTAAAAATCTGTTCACAATACAACAGTAAGAACCCAGGCCATGGCGAGAGAAGTGGGTTCAAGTCCTGGAACTGCGGCTGTGTTTCACTTGTATGTCCTTGGGCAGACTTTCTAAGCTCTTTGAGCTTCAGTTTCCTAATCTGAAGATTGGGGCTTATGCCATGGAACTTCTAGAGCAGTTGGGAGGAATAGGAAGTAGTGTATATGTAGTGAAGTTAGCTCTGATTATTGTTGGGTTTTGAGGCCACACAGCATAGTAGTTAGGAGTTTGGACCCACCTGGTTTGAAACCCCAGCTGTGCTGTATGACCTTGGGCAGGCTACTTACTTTCTCTGCACCTCTATTTTTTCCTGTGACAGATGGAGAGAATGGTTTTACCTACCTCAAAGAATTATTAAGGGGATTCAATAAGATAAATATAATAAATAAGTGTGAAGATATTGCTCAGGATCTGGCTGGCAATGCTTTTGCCTTTTCACTGCCTGAACTGAGTCCACAGGACCAGGTGCTCCAGCCCCTCCCACTCTGGCTCCTTCTTGGCTCAGCCCCCTGAAGTCAGAAGGGCCCTTCCTTCCCATCCTTTCAGAAGGAAGAGAGAAGAGGAAGGCAAGGTCCCAGTGACAGGGGAAGGGCCCAAGATGACCTTGGAGGCACAGAGAAAGCTGCCTGGAACTCAACTGCCCTCAGAGCCCACTGGTTCACCCCCCCTCACCTCTCTTGGTTTCTGAAGCTTAAAATAGCCTGAACCGGTGTGGCCACATTTCACTGTGCCACTCGGAGAGAACCCCTAGGGTGTTTTCAAAGCTAGTGCTGAGCTCCTCGGGGCAGGCTCCAGCTATAAGTTATTCATACACACCCTAGCTCCACCAGGTCTGCTGCAAAAATGTGTTCTGAGCGCTTTTCTGCTAAGGCCCCATCTACAGGCAGCTCCACTTGCTGGGAGGGGTCAGATCAGTCAGCTACTTTATTTAATAAAGAGGGATTCTGAAACCCTTCCGTGGCTGCTAGGAGTGCTGCTGACCAGAGCAAAGCGACCACAGGTTCTAAGCAGAGGCAGGGGCTGCATGGTGGGGAAAGGCATAGCCTGGGAGTCAGGCAATTGGTGTTCTAGATCCACCTCCGCCCACACCGTTAGATGATCTGAAATAAGTCACCTCCCCTCTCTTTGCCTCTGTAGGTCTCTCAAACTGGTTCTGTCCTCTGCTACGTACTAGTCTCATTCTTAGACCTTATATGATGTCAAGATGGCTTCCAGCAGCTCCAAACCTACTTCCTCTCATGTTCACATCCAGCAGGAAACAAAGAGGGCTTCCCTTCCCCTCGTTAGCCAGACCAAAGTCCTGCCCTGACCCCTGTAGCTTGAGTTGGGCTATGTGCCCATCTAGGGTAGGGGACATGGTGAGCTGGCCCACAGAGCCCACTCTGACCTCCTTCTGGGGCTTCCGTATACTGCAAAGGCTGGAAAACTGAAATATACATCCACAGCCTCCCTCTAAGCTGGGGTTCTGCAAGCACATCAGGTCCCAGCCACAGGATGTGGTAGGGTGAGATTTGAAAGACAGCCGTGAGAGAGGCACTCTTTTCTTGCTGTGGCTCCTGGCCCAGGACGGTTGTTTCAGTGTCCAGTCTCTAGCTTCTCAGATGTTGAAAAGCTTCAGAACCCTAGCCTGTAGCAACTGGATGTATTCTTGAATACAGGGGTTCTAGTGGGGGCCTCCTCACTCTCTGCCTTCTTGTTTGATCACTGGTGGGCAATGGGCATCTTTCAGGAAACCCAGCCAGAGCCTGCTCCTTCAGTCCTTCCAGTGATTTCATGAGCACCTGTTGCTTTGTGTTGAATACCTTTCTGATTAAAAACTGCCAGAGTAATTCCTTGTATCTGACTGCTGGCCAAGGCACCATCCCTGAACCAGTCACTGGGCCAGAGAGAGAGGAATGTGCTGATTGCCTAGAATTTGACATATACACCCGTCTCCGGGGTCTGTGTTGATCATCTCTGCCAACAGATACAGACCAAGAAAGAGAAGAGTTTCCTGAAATTACTATTACTTTAATATTGCTAAATTGCTTTAATAATTAAATTACAATGATTAAAATGGGGAATTGAAATTGGGCAACCAAAATCAGCAAATTCCCACTACCTATCCCAACCCAGATCTCACGGTGGGGAGCTCTAGAAGGCAGATAAATGGAATAGCCGCAGACATGAAGATTTTGTCCAGGTCAAACTTACGATGCAGCAGACATTGATGGTGCCACACCCAGATACCACCAATCTCCCTCGTGTGCCCAACACCTGGTTTCTTGAGGAAAACTCTCCTGGGTGACCCGAGCCACTTTGCCCATGCTCATAGACAGCTGGTGGGGGTGGGCGCCTGGAAGCTCACCTTGCCCAGGTTGACCCTTAACCAATGACTGACCACAGCCTGGGGCTGAAAGGCCAGCTCCCCTGCCTCAAGTACGAACTGACTCTAAGGTTTAATTTACATTCCAGAGCTCCCCTGTGGGGTTGAGCCTAGGTTGAGACTTGGCTGGAGATGGAACCTGTGCTTAGCTTCTTCCCCTTCCTTATCCTGCTCCCCAAGCTCCTAGAGGATTTTCTGCATCAATCATTAGCACAGGAATCCTCTTCTCAGCGTCTTCTCCAAGGAACCCAGCCATATTGAAATGGCCAGAATCATTCAACAGCTTGGCATGAAAATGATCAGTTTTCAGCCAGCGAAAACTCTGACCTCTACTCTGCCTCACTTGGAACATGACATTGTCAATGTTGAAGTGAGTCTTGCTTCCCAGCTAAGATTCAGGCTGTAAAATAGGTTCCTTCTTTTTAGAAGAGACCATTCCTTGGGGATCTTCTATAATTCTTTCTTTGTCCTTCAGCCAAGATTGGAGCCTTGCAAACCTAAGACAGCATCAATTAATCTTGTTTTTATTTTCACTGCTCCTTGATTAGAAAATGTTAACGATCAGAGGTAACCCCAAGTTCCTTAATAAATATTTGAATAAGGAACGTCTTTCCTTTCATTAGCTTGAGAAAAAGGTCGCTCTGGTCTTTGTATTTTAATACTGAACTTTTTTTTTTTTTTTTTTGTAGAAATCAGAAGGGAGTAGAAGAAACTTAAGTGTCTTTTTCTTTTTCTGAAAAGTAAGCAAGTTCATTGCACCACTAGCAGATACATAAAGGCTAAAGCCTGACCTCACAGGGCCCAAGAACAATTCCTGACCCCAGCCAAGATGAACACTGGGAATTTCCTTCTTAAGCAGCGGTTCAAGTGTCCAAATCAGTAAACGTCTTTGTCTTGGCGCCATGCAACCCACAGTCTCGCTACCTCCTACTGGGAGGGCCCATTACTGGGGAGATGGTTATATTGTAAGAAAACCTCTGTTTGCCAAATTGGAGGGTTGGGTAATTACAATTCCAGGACTTCACGTAGGTGGTTTCTTCAAAGGCCTTCATTTATTTGCTGCTTAGTGTAGAAGAAACTTCATTTATGCAGTTTCTTTTGCTCCCAGGGAGCCTAAGAGCTTGGTACAGCTAATGGACTGCTTATCACTGACTTTAATATAGTTCCAGGCAGCTTAATGCTAAAGCAACTTGATGATTTGATATGAAAAGCATCTATTTTTACTGAGAATGGAAGATTAACTACTCAGGTGTCCATTCAGAAAACAATGTAGCTGGCCAAAGACATTTGTTTCTAGAAAGAGACAGAGGCAGGAGAGAGAGACAGGGACAGAGAGAGAGGAAGGAAGGAAAGGAAGGAAGGGAAGGAAGGAGGGAAGGAAGGAAGGAAGGAAGGAAGGAGGGAGGGAGGGAGGGAAGGAAGGAAGGAAGGAAGGAAGGAAGGAAGGAAAAGAGGGAGAGAAGAAGAGAGAGTATACATGAATATATGCTGGTAAATATTAATCCCTGGCAGACAAGGCCGGCTCTGTCCAATAGAAATATGATGGGAGACGTGTGTAATTATAAAGTTTCTAGTAATCACATTAAAAAAATTAAAAACCAGAAGAAAGTAAAACTACGTTTAATAACATATTTCATTTAACCTAATATATCCTAATGTCACCTTTAATAATTATTTAATAATTAATGTAACCATTAATGTTTGAAATGAAATTATCATTTCAACGTGCACTCAATAGAAAGAATATTAATAAGATATATTGCATCCGCTTTTCCTAATTTTTCTAAGTCTTCACAGTCCCATGTGCTTTCTGCACTTACAGTACATCCCACCTCAGCCACATCTCAACACTCAAAACCCTGTGCCAACTGCGGGATGCTGCAGTGGACAAACCAGGCAAAACCCATCTTTATGGAGCTAACATCCTAATGTGGCCTGGTCTCTGCCTATGCCACCCGACTGAAAGGACACGAGTGACCTCCAAATGGCCTCTCCTTACTCCCAAGCCTCCTTGGCATTCTCTTTGATGGCTCTGCAGTGCGAGTCACATTTGATTATCTATGTCTTGAAATGTTCTCTTCTTGATTTACAAAACCCGATATTCCTGGTTCCTATCCTGTCCCTCTGGAGCTGTACCCACAGTGCTTTCTCATTGCCCTCCAGATACAAGTTATCTCTATGTCTGTCTCCATGTGAACAGCTCCCAATCCCAGGCTCCCAGGCGGAACCCGGCTCCTCACTCCCAGTTGCCTGCCCCCCACCAACACCTAAGAACAAATGCTCTGGACCAAAACCCTCATTTCTCCTGCTGCCCGTGCCAGCTCTCTTCCTTGATGCCCCAGGTTTCATCCATGTCACCATCACCACTGAACAAATATTCAGTGAGCACTTACCCTGTGCCAGCCGTGAGATGCCAAAATGGACAAACCAGACAAAACCCATCTCCATGGAGCCAACATTCTAATGAGAAAGGAAGTCAAATATATAGTGGTGTTACGTGACCTCAGCAAGAAGGGGACACGAGAGCAAAGATTTGAAGGGGGCAAGAGCTCAAACCATGCAAATACATTGGGAAGGGCTTGTAAGCCAAGAGACCTCATGGCTGGGGATGTCCAGTGTTTGGAGTTGGAAGAAACCATGCTACTGGAGTCAAGGGAGCAAGGGGGAGGAAAGAAGGAAAGGAGATCTGAGGGTAGTGAGGACCCTGTGTGGTTTGGCTGTGTCCCCATCCAAATCTCATCTTGAATTGTAGCTCCCATAATTACCACATGTTGTGGGAGGGACCTGTGGGAGATAATTGAATCATGTGGGCGGCTTCCCCCATACTGTTCTTTTGGTAGTGAATAAGTTGCATGACATCTGATGGTTTTATAAGGGGAAACCCCTTTCGCTTGGTTCTCATTCTCTCCTTGCCTGCCGCCATGTAAGATGTGACTTTCACCTTCCACCATGATTGTGAGGCCTCCTCAGCCACATGGAAATGAGTCCATTAAACCTCTTTTTCTTTATAGATTACCTAGCCTCAGGTATGTCTTTATAAGCAGCATGAGAACAGACTAATACAGGACCCTAGAGTGGCAGGCCATCTAGGCCATTGTGAGGGTTTTGGTTACCCAGGCTTAGAATGCAGGGCTGGTCTTGCCTGTGCTTTTCCATTCATTCAGTGTGCAGAGCTGACCCTCAACCTCCCTAGATCCCATTTCCTACTCTTCATTTTATCCAATCTCCCCTGCACCCCCTAACATTGGTAAGTTACTCTCTCTAAAACACAACAGTGATCATATCCTACTTTGTCACAACTTATCCCCAGCACCTTTTGTATAAGGTTTAAAGCCTCTGATGAGTCATTTAGGGCCCCCTTGCACAATCACCCTTCCCTCTTTGCCCATGGCTGCACCTCCCTCCAGTCAGATTGGAGTTTTTGCAGTTCCCTCTGCGAGCCTTGTAACCTCTCTTGTTTCCTGCACCTGAAGTATACTGGGTCACTACTCAGTTCAGGGAATAAACACGGTATCTTCTGTGAAGATGTCCCTCAACCAGGTTCACCCCCTAGGGGTAGTCACTTCTTTGAGCTCTCATAGCATTTTGCATTTGTTTTTAGCACATTTGCCATTTTTGACTTGCATGATAGTTATCTTTGTCTTATCCTCTCCTAAATTTGTCTAGAAAACTCACCCTTTTGGTCTGTGCAGACCTCATAGTTCCTAGGGTTATGCCTCCCCAGAATGGGGTACCATGTATTTGTTAAATATTCCAGTGAAAGAATGAATGAATCACAGTAATATAATGAAATGCTGTGTTGTACAGCTCTGTGGGGGCAGTGGAATTGGACATTTTCTTTCTTTCCTCTAATGTCCAAAAGTGAGTAGTGTCTGTTGTATTACTGAAATAAAATGTTCATACTTTTTAAAAATCACTGTAAGTCGTCATCAGCCATCAATCATCAATCATCAGTCAGGCAACTTAAACTTTTCTGAGCCTGTCTCCTCAGCTCTAAGAAGAGGACAAGCATTCTCACCTCATAGAGTTGTAGTGAGAATTAACAGGAGAGCATGTATGAAAGATATTAGGTACCTAGCCTGGCACATAATAGTTGTTCAGCAAACATATACGATGATGATGATGATGGTGTTGATGACGATAATGATGATGATGGTAGTGATGATGGTAATTATGACTTTCAAAGAGCTAAAAATGAAGTGCTTAAAGGAGAAGGTTCTGTCTGGGTGGTTGGGTGATCACAGCTCTCAAGGTAAGGTAATTAATTTTTCCCTCCATCTGATGCTATTTGCAAAAGTAAAGGCCATCTGATATATTCATAGAAGGTTCCAGATATATCAATTATTCATTCCCACATCTGAGACTTTGAAACAGGTAAATTTCATGCTGGGACTACAGATGACCAAAAAGGAAAAAAATCTAGTTAGCACGGCTATTCAGTGTGATGAACTGTGTACAGTATTAGATCTATATGTAGTTTTTTAAAAGGAGCACATTTTTCTTATAATAGTTTTATAGTTTTATTTTTACATTACAAAATGATGCATGTTTATTACATTATAAACAAAAAAGTAAAAAGAAAATAAAATCACACATCATTCCATTATTTAGGAGCAACGTCTGGACATGTTGAGGTATATTTTTCTTTCTGATAATGTTTTATTTTTTTTCCTTCTAACATTTTGAAAAAGTGCAATGTATCCTCTCTAACTATGTTACTGGTTAAGATTCATTTAAATTCATTTTTCTCTAATTAGTAATGACAAGAATGAAATAATACCTATTACCTTTCTCTTATGTAAAATATTATATTTAGTATATTACTTACTTTCTTCTTCTTCCAACCATTCTCAGCTCTGGTTTGATCAATGTGGAATTTTTGGATTAAATTACTGTTACTAATAATGTATATGTTCTCTTTCAATAATTATTTTAATATTTACTTAATTTTTATAACCATATTAGCAATAATTATTTGGATTTACTTATATTTAACTGGTTTCATAGTTTAAGACCTATACACTTATTCTGTGTGTCCTTCCCATTCTTAAGTGATTTTTTTACTTCATCTGTCATTTGACTGCTTCTGGTCAGTTCTTTGAGTAACTTTTTCAGCAGGGCAGGTAAGTGGTTGACTTTCTGAGGTCTAGAATATCTGAGTGTGTGTGACCATTACTCGGCTGAATGTAGAAATAGTAGTTCATAAGCATTTTTTCCCAAATTATGTGGATGTTGTTCAGTTGCTTCTTTTGTTTCATGTAATGCAGGAAAATTATAAATTCACACTGATATTTATTCATTTGTAATAATTTTCCTGGATGCTTACAATGCTTTTTTTTCTTTACCCTCGAAATTCAAAAAGTTCATTAGGGTAAATCCACTGGTCTATTTAATAAATCTTGCCTGGTACTTAAAGACTCATCTCTTTTCTTTAGCAATTTAGGGTCACTCTGTTTGGTAGTGGGGTCAGAAATAATGGATTTCAGAGTGTCTGAAATCCAGGCAAGCCCCAAGCTTTTTAAATAACTGCATAAGTGAAAGGCAGTGAGATGTGATAGAAAGAACTCAGTCTGTTGAGTCAGCTCTGCAGATGATCAGCTGCGTGACCTAGGACTTGTCACCTGATTGCTCTTGGAGCCTCAGTATCCCCCATCTATAAATGGAGATAGAAAGAACTCCTTGCAGATTTGTTGTGAAGAATAAACAAGGAAACAATCAGGCCTATTATAAATCATATCTCCTCTTGTGCAATATAAGGAGAGTAATTCCTTCCCAGGCCAAGGCCATACAACTTTGGTTCGAGAAAAAAATCAAATTCTATATTGGAACTCAGAGCTGCTCTTCTTACTAAAGGTAAAGGGTCTCGGAAACATGGCTCCCTCCTTGAAGGATGGGAATATTCTAGGGGACCAGGGTGCCTGCCAAGGGTGAGAATGAACATCAGCAGATCAGACCCAGTTACAGGAGCACAAACTGCAGCCTTGGGAAGAGCAGAGGGAAAAGAAAGGCTGTTTCTCTCCTGGTCACTGACATATGCCTCTTGTCCTGTCTCGGGTGTTCCATTGTCCTTATCCCATCATGACTCCGAACCATAGACATGGTGTTGGTAGACCCAGGTGGCCCGCAGTCCAGCAGCTTTGCACCACCCAGGAGCTTGTCAGAAATGCAGAATCTCAGGTCCCACCCTGGAGCTACTGGATTAAAATCTGCATTTGAACCAGATCCTCAGGGGATTCATGTGCCTGTGAGCTTGAGAAGCTCTCGTCTAGATCACATGTTGGTCAGAACCAAAGTTTTAGGTGGCTTCTTTGTTGTCAACCAGTGATTTTATTTTCATGCCTTTGGAAAATAGCAGTGAAAGCACAGCAGAAAATTCTAGAAGAAATGAAAGTAAAGCATATAGAATTTTAAAACACAGAATAAAGTCCAGTGGTTTCTGTCTCAGCCAGTTTCATGGGAGCCAGGGAAGGGTCTGGTTCTTCTCCCTGAGGCTGCTTTAAACTGCTTCCTTGCATTTTAGCACTTGGCAGGCTCAGAATCATTCTCTTCTGTACATGTTCTAAGCCTCTCTGCCCAACCACAATGATGAGAGCACAACTGCTGAAAACCATAATTGTGGCATGCGTGGCTCCTGTGGCTCCCCCATGCCTCATTCTGAGTCCATAGATGTGGTCACAAAACAGAAATTGGAATGCAATGCCGCGGCTTCTGTGGGTGTTCTGCGGTCTCAGCCTTGATCTCTCTGGGCCCCAGGTTATCTCTCGCCTCTTCTCCAGCTACCACCTGGATGGTGAATGTGTGTCCCCAGCACTGGCCACCAGCCCCTGGCCAGGGGCAGAGGCAGAACCAGAGTAGACGCTGGATGATGACTCCAAGACTTTACGGCTACTGTCCATGCAACTTGAATTTCCAGAGAGGTAAAATAGGATGTTGTTGGAGTGGGGCCTAGGCATTTTCTGGGGCTTTCCACAGTCCGCATGTGGCTGTCTGCCTCAGCTGCGTGAGTTCAGGGAACTTGTCAGTCCTGTCCACTCTTGTATCTGTAGTACCCACTAGAATGTCTGGCATATAAGAGACACTTACTATGTACCTGAACCTAGATCACAGTGCAACAAAGAACCTGCATGATCTTAGACCAAAAGAGCGCGATATGGCTTAGTGAGAAATAAAGCTAATACCCAATCTGTTGATGGGGGCCTCTGCTGCCTTCTAGAAGAATGGCATAATTCCTCTCTGCTGCAGACTGTTGCTTCTTTCTTTCATTCTTGAGGATAAAAGTATCCTTATTGGTTTTGTGAGCCAGGTGGAGGAGGGAGGAGAGGCCTGTGAACATAGTCTGCCTGGGGAAGGGTGAGATCAGAAAGCTTGGAAGCAGGCTTGGTGCGGTGGCTGATGCCTGTAATCCCAACACTTTGGGAGGCCAAGACTGGAGAATGGCTTGAGCCCAGGAGTTTGAGTTTAGTTGTAGTTAGCTGTGGATCGTACCACTGCACTCCAGCTTAGGTGATAAAGCGAGACCCTGTCTCAAAAAATAAAAAGAAAATTTAAAAAAGGAAAAAGCTCAGAAGCAAAATAAAGTGTGAGGAATGTAAAGATTTGGGGGCAGTCTAGCAGAGACGAATGGGATAGCCAGGGAGGCTAGAGAAAATGGGAGAAAACCTGGGAACAGCAAGACCCGTTCCCAGGAACAAAAGGGGACTAGTACCACTTCAGGAGACCGAGGTCCTGGGAGGGAAAAGCACACAGAGGTCACCGCAGCGTCATGTTCTGTTGCAACTCCGCCCCATCTCCCCCAGGCCATCAGTAAAGTCGGCCAAGTGCCACAGTCTTGTAGCGGGGTGTCTTGTGGAAAGCAAGCTGCATTCGACATTTGGGTGGGTGAGAGAGAGAGGCAGGCAGAGAGAGGGGTCCAGGAAGGCAAGCTGTCGAGTGAGGAAACCCAATCAGGGAAGTTGCTGAGGCAAGGACTGGGAGAAGAACGCAAGGCTCCAGCAGGAATCTGCAGAAATCTGGGAGTGGATGCAAGCTGGCTCCTGGATGCGGGATGGGGCTGGGAGCCAGTGAGCGTCGCACTGATGGGGAGGAGGGAGCCTGAAGGCTGGAAGATTTCGAGACACCTGGTTGCTGTTACATGGGTTACATAAGGCTCTGCCCAATTTATGGAGCCACCTCTGGCTCTGGGGGGAGTCAATCTTTAGCCTGTGGAAGCTGCCAGCACATGACTGAGTCTTAGTCACGATGTTGTAAAACCTCTCTGGAGATTCCTGGACAAAAGTGAGAATTGTCACTATTCAATGACAAATGAACCGGGATAACCAGGGTTGGATGACCTCCACCAGTGGCCTGGGCTGCTTCCCATGACAGCAAAGCCCTCCCTACTTAAAGGGACAGAGGTGCCAATCACCCGACAGTCCTTCTGATGTGAAAGCCCACTCACTCTGGAGAAGGGCCCTTTTCTAAGAAACCCACCTAAGTTGACCTCTGAGGCTCTATGGCAAAAAAAAAAAAAAAAAAAAAAAAAAAAAAAAAAAAAAAAAAAATCATAGTGGTGTAGTGAGGACAAATAAATGATCTTATTACTTGGAGAAAACTATTTTAGAGAAAAATTATACTTAAAAAAACCAGATGGTTCCTTTGTTTCCGATAGTTGCCTATAAATTCTCTATTTTTCTGGTCTGTGGGATTGAAATTGATTGAAACTGACATTTTTGGGGTTTTTTTGTTTTTTTTTTTAGCATGAGTCAGTTGACAAGAAAATTGAAAAAACAAAACAACCAGTGCCAACAGGGCTTGTTTTTTTCTCTTTATTTCTTTCCAAAAATCTATGTCCAGAGGTTCTGATAAGCCTAAAAAAAAAAAAAGAAAAAGAAAAAAGAAAAGAGAAGGAAGTCAATGATCTGTTTTTAGAAGCCTCTAGCAGTTCCCTTTCTGAAGCTGCTGTGCAGATTTGTGCACACATTTTATCCAGCTGCCATACATCTGGAATCTTGGAGTTGTCCCTCTGGCTCTCCATGAAAAACAGCAAAAAACCCCACACCACTGGCTTTCTGACCCATGTGGTTTCATAGCCTTTTCCAGGAGGTAAAATCCAGACTTGAGCTATGGAAAATTGCTTCTCTTGGCTTGAAAGTCACAGTTTAGCAAGTGGTGTGTTTCAGGGAAACTGGTGGGCCTGAAGATTAGTTTGTATTTGCTGCCTCCTGGGGCTCCCAATCAGCCACTTGGCTCCCAGAGTCACCAGTCTCCGTGTTGCAAGGCTCACCAGGGGCGAGGAAGAATGCGGCACAAATGTTACTGAGAACAGCCTTCCTGTCTGGATGTTTTCTGCCTTCTGCAGTTCCTCCAAGTCACCATCACATATACAGAAAGGCCGGTGGCTGACATTCGTGTCTTCTACTGACCACAAAGTGCCTCCTGTCCCAGAGATCTGGAGGTGGCCACACTTTGGTACAGCTATATGTCACTTCTTTCCCCAGCCACATGACCCACCCGAGATGCTTCACGCCAGCTGTGCTGATGAACATGAAGAAAGAGGCTACAGGGACTGGTAGAAAACCCACTGACTGATGAACTATGCTTGACCCATTTCTCCAAACACAACGTACATATGGGAGAAAGGCCACCGGGCTCTGAATGCAGTGGATCAGCTTAGTAAACAGTCTCTTTCCCACCCCTTCATAGAAATGAGTCCCCAAGGATGGTGAATTTTCCATATATGACTTTTAGAAATAGGGTAGAATTTGGGGTGGGGGTGGGGACAATAATGAATAGATTTAAATCAATAAATACCATATATATGGTCTGTCTTCGTTCCAATGTACAATCCTGAGGTCCACAGCATTTTGCTGATCATTAAAGTGCTTTGGAGAATGGTGCTTTCTTAGATGCACCATTCTCCAAAGTCCATGAGAAAAGTCAATGGAATCCCAGCCCCAAGCTTCAAACAGTGTTTATGCATTAGCACAGATGCCAGCCCCACATTCCCCGTGCAAACCTGCCTAACTCTACCTACTATGAACCCCTGTAGCATTCACCATCTGGGTGTCTCATTTTGCATGGAACATTTGATGGCTCTTAAAAATAATAATACCAACCTTTCTAGGTGTTCTTTGTATTTTTTCAACTCTTTTATAAGTCCCTGAAAGACAAATCTGTGCCCTTTGTATCCCCAGCATCAAGTTTAAGGCCCTCCCTATAGAAGGTTTCAAAATACTTTAATGATGCAGAGTCTCATGTATAAGCAGATATATGGCTCACTCCAAGTGAGGATAAGTATCCTGCAGTAGGAAATGACAAGGACAGTAGTTCAATTCAGCAAACATTGTTGATGTCTTCTTGGGGTCTTAGCTAAAAGAGACTGTAACAGAGAGGAGCTCCCAATTCCAAAGATAAATGTCATTGTGCTGGGCATTTGACCATTGTCAA
Organism: Homo sapiens; assembly: GCF_000001405.40. Taxonomy (NCBI): domain Eukaryota; kingdom Metazoa; phylum Chordata; class Mammalia; order Primates; family Hominidae; genus Homo; species Homo sapiens. Next base: position 113,995,045 of record NC_000010.11, read on the forward strand.
TGTGAGCTATAGTCATGGACGCAGGGAGTGGAGAAAATCTGAGAAGCCACAGTAATCAAGGTTTTAAAGGTGTAGACTTGCCATGGGTTATGGAGAGAAATAGGCTGGTGTGCTGGAGCCAGCTGTTAAATGCTCAAGAAAATTGCTAGAATTTTGAGAGCCAGTTGTTAAACCATTGAAATTGACTTAACTTGAAATTGGCTGTTGATAAAGTATTTGCACCATGGAAATCGGCTATTACTACAAATCAGAGCTCCTCCCCAACCTCATCCCACCCACATAGCTGGTTTGCCAGACCACTGCTAGCCTCCAACCATCTGTGCTCAGGCAAGGGTAACTTTTGACCAAAAGCTTCCAGCTGACTGTGACCTTAAATGGTCTTATTACACAAAGCAATGGTCTCTGCCAACAACTGCCTATGGTTCAAGGAGCAAAAGTTGAACTTTACCTGGAGCTAAGTGTGCTGAGAATCTTTGATCACTTCTTGCCCCCCTCAGCTAATCTGCCCACAGACATTGCTTATAGTCGCAGCTTTTCTTATAAAGAGCTACAACATGCATGCGAATGTAATATGCAACTTGAATTTGTAAATCTCTTTCACTATGAACTCTCAGAGCATTGCATGTGAATTAGATCAACCATTGTTCCCAATAGTGGCTCCCTGATGGGAAAGAAGCAGAACCAAGAATCAGATAGATGTCTGGGGTATTTGCATGACACTTTCTTCTTGGATTTTTGCTGCCTTTATTTGCTATCTATCTACAGTATTTCTCTGGTTGACCTTATCTAGTCCCTTGGCATTAAATTCCATGGTACACTGATGGTGCCCAAATGCAGCTATGATTTCTCCCCTGGGCTTCAGACTCATCCAACTTCTTCCTTGATGTCTCCACTGGGATGTCCAATGAGCGTGTTGGAAACATTACATCAGCTCATGTCACTCCTCTGCCTCCAGTGGCTTCCCATCTCACCCCAAATACAGATCCATGAGATGGTCTGTTCTACACCCAACCCCACCCCATCACTCCTCAGGCCTCCTCTCCTGCGGCCCTTCCCCTTGAGGCTGGTCTCCTTGCTGTCTACCAAGGACAGGCTCTGCCATAGATGAACTTGGCATGCCATCTCCCTGGGAAGTTCTCTCACCAAATGTCCTCCCTCACCTCCTCCAAGGTTAAACGGGCCTTCCTTGCCCACTGAACTTAAAATTACAACCTTCTTCACCCTCTCCCCTTTCCTTATCCCCTCCTCTTGTCCTCCTACTGATGCTCCTGTTTGTCATTCTCTCCTCCCCTGCAATGTAATCTCCTGAGGGCAAGAATTTTAGTCTGGCTTGTTCACCTATGTATCCCCAAGACCAAGTGCTGTTCCCAGCACAGAGGAGGGGCTCAGTAAATATGTGTTGAGTGAGTGAATGAAAATCTCAGTTTCTGTGCTTAAGCTTGCTTCTCTTCCAGTCTTCATCTCTGCTAATGGATTCACCGTTTCACATAGGAGCTCAGGATAAAACCCTGAGCTATCTTCATCCTCTACATCTAAAATGTTGGCAGTGCTGATAGCTCAGCCATCAGAGTAGATGCTGGATCTCATCACCGGCCTCCCCTTCTCTGCAATCACCATAGACCAAGCCACCCTCATCCCAGCTGGACAACTGCAACCACTTCCTACCTGGATTTCCTGCTTCTAGGCTCACCTGTCTCCCATATACCCCCCACACATTACCAGAGTTATCTTTTAAAAATATCAAACACAACACTTGACTCCTCTGCCAAAAACCTCCCAAAGGCTTCTCAGTACACTTAGTATAAAATCTATGCTACCTGACTTGGCAGCCGCTGACTTCTCCAGGCTCTTCCCTGACACCCTAACAGTTTCCCTATTTTCTTTGCTTTTGCCATGTTGGTTCTCTCACTCCACAGTGTGTATTAAAGGCCCACAATGTGGCAGGGCTGTTCTAGGTGTTTGGGATATATCATGGAACAAAACAGGAACATGTTTATACCCTTGCGGAGCTTCCATTCTACTGGTGAGAAATAAATAACAAGCAATAGACATGATATCAATTAATTATGTAGCATGTAAGAAGGTGATGAGTGCTGTGGAAAATAAAGTGAAATTAATGAGGACTGCAAGTGTTGAGCTGGGGCTATGGGAGGGCAGGCTATAGTATTAAACAGATCGGCACCGAGGATGCAAGACACAAGCAAAGACGAGGGCGCTGGGCCACCCGGGGCATCTTGCTGTTCCTAGAGCAAGCTGGGGTGGGCTCCTGCTGTGTCCACTCAGCAAAGCTGGAGCTCCATTTCTATTCCCCTCCCTGCACGGTTCCAGGTTGGTGTGGCCCACAGGGGATATTGTGCTCAAGATTTGGAAGACAGAAACGCAGCAGCAGCCTTCTTCTTTTTGCGAGGAAGGTCGTTGCAGGGCTCCAGGTGCTGTTGCAGCTCGCGCACGCTGAGACTCCCCCACTGGCTCATGCTGTTGGCCAGCAGCTGGGCCACGGCTCCTCTGGTTCCCACAGGATCACTTCCTTCAGCTCCTGTGGCTCCTGGCCAGGTGCACACTCAGCCCCTAGACCAAGTGCACCGAGGGTGGAGGCTTGAAGGCATTGAGGAACCAGTGAGGTTGGAGCTCATCCCTGTCCTCACTTCCCTCACTTCTCTCCCCACGTGCCTGCCCTGCTGACTTCAGAGGCAAAAACAACAGCCTCACATGGACTAGCTGATCAGCTCCCACAGCTCACCATCTGGCTAACCTGTGAACTAACTCACTCATTCACTCACTAAATAAATGGACTTTCATAGTGATTTGATATAGGGATAATATTTGTTTTATTATACTTACTATATACAGAATGGATGGCTTCTTATCATTTAATCTATGGTCATATGTCACCCCTTATAAAAATCTTATCTAAGTATCTAAAATAAAAGCCTCTGCAATCACCACATGCCTTCTTACCTGTTTTATTTTCTTTATGGCATACATTACCCATGAGATATATATTTTCTTTTAGTTTATTTGATTACTTGTTAATTGGCCCCATCCTATTCATTGCTCTCTTACCAGTGCTTAGAACACAGCCTGCACATGGTAAGAATTCGAAAAGTAATGATCAAATAAATGTGTTCAATGTCTTTTTTTGGCCGGGTGTGGTGGCTCACGCCTCTAATCCTGGCACTTTGGGAGGCTGAGGTGGGCGGAACACGAGGTCAGGAGTTCAAGACCAGCCTGGCCAACATGGTGAAACCCCATCTCTACTAAAAATGCAAAAATTAGCTGGGCATGGTGGCGCATGCCTGTAATCCCAGCTACTGAGGAGGCTGAGGCAGGAGAATCGCTTGAACCCAGGAGGTGGAGGTTACAGTGAGCTGAGATCATGCCACTGTGCCCCAGCCTGGGCCACAGAGCAAGACTCTGTCTCAAAAAAAAAAAAAAAAAAAAAAGTCTTTTATTTGAGTGGCTGTCAACAGGTTTCTGAATACCTAAATAAACTAAAATGGTTTCAATTGCAGACGTTTTGAATGCAAATCTCACAACAGCATAATGGAAAACTCTAGCATTTTATTCATAAAATCTATAAATGGAAATCAAACCATTTTTATGGATTACAATAGTCAAAATTACTTTTTATCAACAGACAAATTTTAAAAGCGCAACCAAACCAAAAGCAAACCTTTTATTGTATCATACCATTCATTTTGCATGCAAAAAAGTTTCCTGTTTTTCTTAGTAATAAGTACTGAAATAATCACAAGATACCGCTTCTGTTAGTAAATTACACTCAACTCCAGGAACATCTGAGTAAAAGCCAATGTTTGATACTATCTGGCTAGCAGGAAATTGAACTAAAGTTTTTTCCTACCAAGAAAATATAGGGCCAGGCATGGTGGCCCATGTCTGGAATCCCAACACTTTGGGAGGCCAAAGTGGGAGGATCACTTTAGCCTAGGAGTTTGAGACCAGCCTGGGCAACATAGGAAGACTCCATCTCTACAAAAAATAAAGAGTTAACTGGGCATGGTGGTGCATGCCCATAGTCTCAGCTACTCAGGAGACTGAGGTGGGAAGACGTCTTGAGCCAGGGAGCCACTCTGGGTGCCACAGTGGGACCCTGTCTCAAATAATAAATAAATACATATTTTAAAGACACAAGATTAGAAGATTCTTTAAGTTATACTAAAGCAGAACAGTGCTTTAAAACACATGTCTACGTTTAACATTTTAACGATTTCAAACCAAAGAAGCTTCCAAATCAAAACTTCTTTTGCCAATTCTGCAATAGAATGGGGGTAATTTTTGCCCAGTAACCCATTTCAATTGTCATTAATCATTCCTTCTGTACATTAGGCTGATGTTTGGCCACTTTGCTCTTCTTTCCTTTAGAGTCTGTGCTGGGAGCATCTCACTCCACTATAGATCTGCACTAGGAGAACCCAGTGTTTTCTTACTGTGGCCTCTCTCTTCAGTTCCCTCCTAGACATATTTGTTTGTTCATTCATGCATTCAACCAATATGAATTGATCCTCTCCTGTGTTCCAGAGGCTGGTTGAGTTTCAAGGTTCTTTCCTTGGAAGAGCTCCTTGCTTTTCGGGCCCATAAATGTTGCACCATTGACCCCAAGCAGTAAGTCGAGCCCTTGCTTGGTTTCCTGGGCGTTGGCACAGAGATCTTCTGGGGCGTAAACACTTCCTGCTACTATTCCTGCAATTCTCAGCCGCTAATTTCTATTTGTCCTTGGTTAAGTGCTCTTCCTTCCCATTTTTGTCCCTGCCCTTTTAAAATCTGAGAGCATCAGAGAATTTCCTATGCAGTCCCTGGTTTTATTAGTTCCCTTCCCCTTTTCTTCCACAGCAGAATCACTTGCAATGGCAGATATAGAGTGACATTTCAGAGAGCATCCCAACTCTCTTGAGATATCATTCATCTGAAAGTCCCTGAACGTAACATCTGGCCTATCTCTCCTCTGATCTTCGGGAAATCTGCTTCTCTAAGCCTAGAATGCATGTTTAACTATAAAACTTTCCCCATTCTCAGTTATCATGAGCTCAAAAACTAATTTTGGGTCCAAGCAGCCATGGATTTGAATCCTAACTCCATACTTATTGGCAATATCACCTCACCAAGACATTTGTACCTGAGTTTTCTCAAATTTACAAAAGGGAACTAACTACTCCAAAGACTGTATTTTCCAAAGGTGGCCACATGAGTAAATATATATATGTGTGTGTTTCATCCTATAGGCTTCTCCTACAATGTGATATTGACCCTCCTCTATCTAGGCAAGAAGGATGCTATGCAACTTCTAATACTGAACCAGAAAAGGCAACAGAGCTGCTGCCTGGTTCTCTCTCAGGACATGTACCTCTGGAATAGGGTTGCAAGGTTTAGCAATTAAGAATACAGGACCCTCATTTAAATTTAAATTTTAGAAAAACAACAAATAATTTTGCAGTATATCACAAACATTGCGTGGGTCATACTGAAAAATTTTCTATCATTTCTCTGAAATTTAGTCTTTAATTGGGTGTATTTTATCTGGCAACTCCACTTTGGAGACCAGAACCACAATGTCAGCAGTTTGGCTATACCCTGAGGTTACTAGCTCTTCCGCTTCCTCAATGTTGGAGTGTTCCCAGCCCAAGCACCAGACATTTGCACTAAGAAGCCTTCAGGAACCAGCGCATCTCCAGCTCTCTCCGATTCTCCTCTCTCTGTCTTAGAAAGACCCTTGTGATTACATGGGGTCCACTCAGATAATTCAGGATAATCTCTCCATCTCGAGGTCCTTAACTTGACCACATCTGCAAAGTGTTTTTTGGCCACGTAAAGTAACATGTTCACATGTTCCAAGGATTAGAAAGTGTGATGACTTATGTTTAGAAAGAAGAAGAGAATCAGCCAGAATCTAATCCCACTCTGTCTGCAGTCTCAGGATTCTTGCCTTCAGGATTAAATCTGTCTGTGTTTTATAGTGAGAAAGACACAAGACACCCATCTGTGATAGAGACTGTTAGCTTTCACCAAACCCATTTCCTCTTCTTCCTAGGCAGCATCCAGACAGCATATCTCAGACCACCTTGCCACTGGCTGTGGCCTGCGACTGAGGTCACCAGTGGAATGTGAGTAGGTGATGTGGCCACATCCAACTTGCCTTCCCCCAAATCTCTTGTGTATGTGACTGCATATGTTCTTTACCCTTCCATTGGTTTGATGCAGATAATTTTGACAACCTTGGAAGCCGTATGCTGGGGACACCAAAAAATGGGAGGAGCCTGGGTCCCTGAATCCTTGCTTGGGGGAGAATTGCCAGCCAATCAAGAACACCTGTTTTGGACTTTATGCCACCAAAAAACTTCTATTGCATTGAGCAATTGTACATTTTGGAGTCGTTTATCACAGTAGCTGGCATTATTTTGAGGTGGCACACCATGCAATTTCCAAATATTTTGGGTAAGCATAACCTGTTTTGCAGACAGGCACACCATGTAGGAAGTTGATTGGAGTTTTAGATTTCACTACGAACACAGCAGGTTTTATAAACATGCCTAGAAGAATGGATCTTTGCGGATTTTCCTGGCTCAGCCCAATTAAAGCCACTGCTGATGCAACAAACCCTGTTCTCGGTGCATTACATAACTTATATTAACAAAAACAGCACCGTTTTCATATTTTCACTGTGGTCTAAATCTGAATGAGGAAATCATTTAATTCTCTTTGACTTTGTCAAAACACAGTTTCTCTGGACACAATCATCCAAACATTCTTTGGTGTCCAAGAGAAACACCAATACACTTGTCTCCCCACCTAAGATTGGGGTGACCAATCATCTCAGTTTGCCCGAGATTGAAGGGGTTCCTGGAATGTGAGACTTTCTGTTTTAAAAGGGGGACAGTCCCAGGCCAATGGGTGAGAGTTAGTGCAACATACTACACTGCTAGAGTCAAGTAGCAGTGCCTCCAGCACATAACATCTAGCACATACATTACAAAGAAGAGAGACTTTTTCCTTCTTCTACCAAGAAAGGCACAATCTCAATTTAGGAAGTAAGTTCCCTTAAGGCACCACTGACTGGGAATATTTGAGTGTTGGATTCATCCAATGGTTGTATCCAGGCCCTCACAAAGGCCAAAGGAGAATGAAGTTGGACTGGCTGAAGATGTGTTCCCAGCTTTCCCTTTCGCACAGCAAAGCAGGCAGGTCGCTCTGAATACTATGACAACAGGCTCCAGGCAGGATGATAGTGCTGCAGAGGGCTGATGGGTACAGATGGCAGCCAGGAGGGCTCTATTACAGGAGCAGCAGCTGTCTGGGAGGGGAGGGGTGGGCACTGAGCATGCCTGCCTGCTCTTCCGCCTGGGGTCTCCATGTCACCTAACTCGAGCACTTGTCACTGGATTGGCCCATGTGGCAGCTCCTGAAAAATCGGACTCCTAACTCATCTGTGTGGTACCTACCCCACAGGGCTGTGCATCCCTCCTCAAGGCCTCTGAGTCTCATGTCTTTAAGAGTAACTTACGGGAGAGAAAAAAAGCTAACCGTGTTGCCCTGATAAAAATCACAACAGGCCACATGAGGTACTGCAGTGTGTCCCAACGCCCCATCTTCTCTATGTGAGTGATGTACAAGAGAGAAAAAAGCTAAAAGTATTTTGCCCTGATGAAAATCAGAAGAGGCCACGCAAGGTACTGCTGTGTGTCCCAGCATCCCATCTTCTCAATGCTGCTGTCGCCATTTTGGTCATGTCCCAACACTCCCTATGCTATTTTTTTTTTTTTTTTTTGAGATGGGGTTTCACTCTGTTCCCCAGGCTGGAGTGCAGTGGTGCGATCTCGGCTCACTGCAACCTCCACCTCCCAGGTTCAGGTGATTCTCATGCCTCAGCCTCTCAGTAGCTGAGATTACAGGTATGCACCACCACTCCCGGCTAATTTTTGTATCTTTAGTAGAGACGGAGTTTCACCATGTTGGCCAGGCTGGTCTCGAACTCCTGACCTCAAGTGATCTGCCCACTTCAGCCTCCCAAAGTGCTGGGATTACAGGTATGAGCCACCGTGCTTGGTTCCCTACTCTATTATTAACCCAATTTTTTTTTTTTTTCAGACAGGGTCTCACTCTGTAGCCCAGGCTGGTCTCTGACTCCCAGACTCAAGAGATCCTCCCCACTCCACTTCCCCAGTAGCTGGGATTACAGGCGCACACCGCCACGCCCAGCTCCGGATTTCTCTTTATATTTCCTCACTTTGTAAACTCAGTTCTATTTTTTAAAAGAAATTGCATATCATCAACATAAATGAAAAACCAGTATCACTTGGCAGAAACATAACAGTCATAAAAAATTAAGTACCATGAAAGCAAAGGAGTATTATTAGATTCCTGCTTGACGTAATTTCAGATGGAAGGCTCCAAGTCTGAAGCCTGCTCTGTCTTGAATAAAAAGAGACAGTAGCAGAAGTTAAGAGATGCTATCGACATACTCATACCACATGGAGACTTTCTCCTTATTAACTGAAAAAGAATTGAAAAAGAATAGTGTTCTCACTCTGAAATTCACTGTTATTTAACCTGTGTTTTGTGCCACCGAAAGTCATCTCACAGTCAGTGGGTAATCTGATTTCACTTTAAATGTATTATCTCCAGTGGTCCTCAACATAGCCTGATAGTTTAATTCTTTCTCTTTCTAGTAAGCATATTTTCCCACTGAACAAGATACTATTCCCAAACATTTTCTCTCTTTCTACACCCCAGTTGTCAACTGCTAATCTTGCCTCACATATATTTTAAAAAATAAAAACATAGCCAGGCACGATGACTCATGCCTGTAATCTCAGCACTTTGGGATGCTGAGGCGGGTGGATCATCTGGGGTCAGGAGTTTGAGACCAGCCTGGCCAACATGGTTAAGCCCCATCTCTAATAAAGATACAAAAAATTAGCTGGACTTGGTGATGCGTGCCTGTAATCTCAGCTACTTGGGAGGCTGAGGCAGGAGAATCACTTGAACCTGGGAGGCAGAGGTTGCAGTGAGCCGAGATTGCACCACTGCCCTCCAGCCTGGGCGAGAAAGTGAGACTCCGTCTCAAAAAAAAAAAAAACACAACAAAAATTAGCCAGAAGTAACTTAAATCTGTGTGCCTGTTTGCATTGATTTGAACCTTCTCCATCCTGTCTTCTCTTACCACTGAGCAAGCGTCCATCTGCCTATCAACAGCCAAACTCTACCAACAGCCAACGGGTATCCTGGATCACCCATTCTCCCTGCCTCCTCTAGGGCTTTGCTACTATGACCATCTCCCTCCCTTCCTTCTTCCAAATTAGTGCGTAAGTATATTCATACCTGTAATCTTTCTTTTTTTTTTTTTTTTGAGATGGAGTCTCACTCCATCACTAGGCTGGAGTGCAGTGGCACGATCTCGGCTCGCTGTGACCTCCGCCTCCCAGATTCAAGTGATTCTCCTGCCTGAGCCTCCTAAGTAGCTGGGACTATAGGTGCGCACCACCACGCCCGGCTAATTTTTTGTATTTTTAGTAGAGATGGGGTTTCGCCATGTTGGCATACCTCTAATCTTAAAGAAAACCTCCCTTTGTGTCCTTTTTCTGCTACGTCTTTATTTATCTGCTCCTCTCATCCAAACTTCTCAGAGGAATTGTTCCCGTGCTCACTGTATCTGTCTCCTTTCCACTCCTTAACCCACCACAATCCAGCTCTTACTCTTCTCACTTTGTCATTCCACTGAAACTGTGCTGGTCAAGACCTCTAGCTTCTTACCCTCCCCTGAAGACACTCTTTTTTCTTGGCTTCTGTGGCATCCACATTCTTGGCTTTCCTTCTGCTCTATGTCTACCTCTCCCGAGTTTCTTTTGCAAGACCCTTTTCCTCCATTCAACTTTCAAATGTTGGAGTCCACCAAAGCTTAGCCTTGAGCCCTCTCTCTATTCTCTCTCTAGGGGACCTTAGAATTCCCACAGGTGTAAGTATCAGCCATAGGCCATAAATGCCCAAATTTGCTTCTCCTGCCTGAGCTGAACCTTTGAACTCTTCCTGGCTTGCACAGATCTCTATTTGAATGCCTTGCAAGCATCTTAGATATCACATATCCAAAAATAAACTTGTGAGTTTTTCCTCCACACCAGTTATTCCCTAGTCTTTCTCATTTTAGCAAAAGGCACCACCATCCACCCAATGTCTGAACCAGAAACCTGGGAGTCAAGCTTGATTCTCTCTTTTTCTCTTCCACTCTCATCTTCTGTGGTTACCTCTAAGATACGTCCCCAACCCATCTTCTTCTCTCCACCTGCACTGTTTCCTCCGTAATTCAAGCCACCATCATCTCTTTTCTGGACTGGTGCAATAAACTCAATATCCCCAATACTCCAGAGGTATCTTTTAGACATATCATGTCACTTCCTTCCTTGAAGGCCATCTGTGGCTTCCCAGTGGATATAGAATGAAACCCAAAACTCTTACTACCAAACTGCAAAGCCCTACAAGTTCCACTTCTGCCAACCTTTCCAACCCCATCAAATTTCTTTTTCAACCTCTCTCTTACTACCTTGCAACCCCCATTGGCTTTCAATAAACAAATGACTTTGAGGGAATGAGTGAATGAAATGAATGAATGAATAAAGTGCCAAGATTTATAGGGAAGCAAACCTTGAAGCAAGGTTTTCAGATAAAAATTTAAGAATAATTAAAAGCTTTTACAGGAAAAATACATATAAGAATAAGAGTGTCATCCTAAAATGAATAAAAAGTATTCATTTCAAATTTTCCCAAAGGTACTTGAATAGCACATGTACCCATTCCTGAAAATTTCAGAACATCTTGGTTTGAAACAATGTTTACACTGATCTACCTGAGAGAGTGGGTACCTATTTGCTTCAGACACACAAACACTGTCAATATTCCTAAGAAGGAAAAATGAGAGGGACCTATGCCCACAAAAAGAAAGCCATTTCTTTTCTTTTTTTTTTTTTTTTGACAGAGTTTTGCTCTTGTTGCCTGGGCTGGAGTGCAATGGTGCAATCTCGGCTCACTGCAACCTCTGCTTCCCGGGTTCAAGCGATTCTCCTGCTTCAGCCTCCCAAGTAGCTGGGATTACAGGTGCCAGCCACCACACCCTGCTAATTTTTGTATTTTTTTAGTAGAGATGGGGTTTCTCCATGTTGGCCAGGCTGGTCTTGAACTCCTGACCTCAGGTGATCCACCTTGGCCTCGGCCTCCCAAACTGCTGGGATTACAGGCGTGAGCCACCACGCCTGGCCAAGAAAGCCACCACACACTTGCTATGACTTTGTATAAGCAGCTCAAGATCTCAGTGTCTCTACTTGCCTTTGTCTCTCCTACTCTCAGCGTTGCTATTACAACAAGAAAAATCATTTCCAAGATGTTACCTTATTTTGGAGAAAGTGTCACATACATAAATCCACACCAATATAGAAAAAGTCTGACACTGAATAATGAGAGATTTGTATGTCTTAGGAGTGTCTGAATTGATTCTCTTAATAGAGTGAACTATAGTTATAATGAGGGTTCGAAGGGTGGCCTTCTTGAATTATATATAAATATATGTTGGAGCAAATATTTAAGAAAGTTTTAATATCTTAATTAGAAGCTACTTTGACTCGAAAGATTAAACATAGTTATCATAGGACTTAGTAATTCCACTCCCAGATATATACCAGAATTGAAAACACACATCCACACCAAGATTTGTATGCAAATGTCCACAGCATTATTATTCATAATAGCCAAAAAGTAGAGACAACCCACATGTTTATCAACTGGTGAGTGGATGAAGCATATGTGGTATATTTATATAATGGAGTATTATTCGGCAATATAAAGAAATGAAGTTCTGATACATGCTGCCACATGGATGAACCTTGAAAGCACTTAGTCTACTACGTGAAAGAAGCCAGTGACAAAGGACCACAATTATATTATTTCTATTATATGACATCTCCAGAATAGGCAAACCTGTAGAGAGAAAGTAGATTGGTGGTTCCTTAAGGCTGGAGGTGATGAAGGGCACGGAGGATTAGGGAGTAATGGTTAAGGGATACAGGCTTTCTTGTAGCTATGATGACAATGTTCTATAATTGTGGCAATGATTGTGCAACCTTGTGATATACTAAAAGCCACTGAATTGTACTTTTTAAATGAGTAAGTAGTATTATATGTGAATTATATCTCAATAAAGTTGTTAAAAGCAATAATTACAGCCCACTGTCCCTAAATTATTATTTATTTATTTATTTTAGAGGCAGGATCTTGCTCTGTCACCCAGGCTGGAGTGCAGTGGCACAGTCACAGCTCACTGCAACCTCAAACTCCTGGGCTCAAGGGATCCTCCCACCTTGGCCTCCCAAAGTGCTGGCATTACAGCTGTGAGCCACCACGCCCAGCCTTCTTTCCATTTTTAGAGGAGGGTTCAGGATGTTAATTTAATCAAGACTGAGTTGTTAAATGCCATCATAAATATTTATTTGTTTTTAGTTTATTATTACCATTATTTTGTAGAGATAGAGTCTAACTATGTTGCCCAAGCTTGTCTTGAACTCCCGGCCTCAAGCAATCCTCCCACCTCAGCCTCGCAAAGTGCTAGGATTACAGACATGAGCCGCCATGCCCATCCTAGATTTTTTTAGTGATATGAAATCAGTTAACAGAGTTGATTAAACAGTTGATGTTTATAAACTGGTGGGTCGCATTGCTGAGGCTTTTATTCGTGTGCTTATTTGTAATTACCTTCCTTGACCTGCCTCTAGGGTGAACTTTTAACATTAGTCAAGAAGTTGCCATTTTCAGGCTGTCTTTGTCAGTTTGGACTGTACTAGTACCATAGACTGGGTGGCTTATAAACAGAAATTTCTCATAGTTCTGATGGCTGGCAGTCTGAGATCAGGGTGCCAGCATGGTTGAGTTCTGGCAAGCACCCTCTTCTAGGTTGCACTGCTGACTTATTGTATCCTCATGTGGAGGAAAGAGGGCAGGAAAGTTCTCTGGAATTCCTTTCATAAGGGCACCAATCCCATTCATGAGGGCTGTACCCTCATGACCCAATTACCTCACAAAGGCCCCTTCTCCTAATATCATCACATTAGGGGTTTGTGTTTTAACACGGGGATTTGAAGAGGATGTGTTTAGTCTAAAACAAAAGCTAGGCATTTTCTGCACCTTTGAGGATTTACCTAGCCGGGTCCTCCAGAAGACAGAGCAATCTACCTGTCAGGTATTTATGGTCTTTCTCCACTGGATAGCCTTTTCTTTTGTATTTTAAAATATTTATATTTATTCCTCACTTATGAATACAATGTCACTTTGATTAAAAATTGTGTTCTTACAATGGAGCTGTTCAATCACCATGGCAGAGCAGTCTTGACCATGTCTTCTTGTCACCCACTCAGCTGTAACTAAACTCTCCGGTATGATCTGAACTTGACCTTCAGACAATGACAGCCCAAGCATGTTGTTGGTTTAATGTCATGTCAGAGCTGTGACCAACAATAGCCATAATTGTGTCCAAACAGTCAACAATGTCAAACAAGACTCTCAAGGGTACATTGTGCTGGTAAAACTGAGTTTGATGACATTGGCTGCTCTGTCTAGCAAACGTTCTGGATTCATTTTTATTTTGAAGTTTTACTCCTCTAAGTGTTTCTATAGGAGTATTTTACATTTTAACCTTGTTCAGTCTCTGTGTTCAAGGTTGACAATCATTTTAATGGTCTAGGTTGCATCCATTTTGGTAAAGGAAAGCGACTTGTTTCCAAAGTCTCCAAAGACTATGGTGCTTTTTACCCACACACGGTGGCTTTTTGGAAGAATTCCAGAGAACATATTGTCATTATTGATAAAACAAACGAACAAACAAAATTATATTCCCCAGAGTCATTGCAAGCGTATCTTTCATGGTTATAGATTTTAACAACCTTGAGTTAAATTATTGTTGCACAATCCCACATTGATCCATGCAGTAAAAAAGACACATAAATCATAAGAAATATTCTAAATATTTCAAAAGAGAAGATGCATAGGCCAATGACAGGGTTTATATTTAGGAAATATGAATGTAACAATTCCCATAGAATCGTCAGTGCTGTGCTCACCAAGAAAATGGCCATTTTAAGTGGTATAAAATACCACTTGCACTGAATGATTGACTTGATTTTCCTTTGGTAATAACTTTGGTAATAACTTTCCTTTGGTCTGTTATGTTAACACAAGGAAGTGTGTCACTAGCTTTTGTTTTGTTTGTAGTTTAAGTGTTCCATACAATAGCAAACTAGGAACGCATTTTATTGGGGAGGAAGAGTAATTTATTCTTTTCCGTAAAACTCAAACCACGATGAATTCCAAGTTCCCCAAAATAATTTTTGTGTAGATGATAAACAAGCAGTGGAATTCCAAGGCATGAATCACTTATCTGTTTGAGTAAGTTGTCAGGAGCTCTAAAGCATTGGAGAATGGGGGCTGCTGTGGGTGATGGATTGGAAGATGGGTCGCCCCAACTTTGGATACACAGCAGTGAGCAAGGGTGGGCTCTGGAAGTGCAGCAGGTACATATGACAAGTAGGGAAAGCTTCAGAGTGAAAAAAATGTAAATACGACAATGAATTATTGAACTTAGACACATATTCCAGCAAAAGAAGCAGGTGGCTGCATTTCCATCTTGAATCAGTGAGAAACAAAACAAATGATTCATCAACCTGTGGTCTCTGGGAGGAGCAGTGAGTTGGAGACTGCCAGTCAGCCATGCTCTTAACACCTGTGACAAGTGAAGACCCAGTCAAGGGTCAAGGGCCAAAGGTCAAGGATCTCTGGACAGCTAAAACCCTTAAACAAAAGTCCTAGGAATGCTATGCTAGATTTCCTCTATGCACCAAAACTAACCCACCTCACTTTCTTTTAAAATAATTGATAACATTGAATTTTCCTGAATATAAGAATAACATGCATTGTAGAAAAAAAGACAAGTGTAAAAAAAATTACATATACTTTTTCTGCTCTGAAATAATTACCTTTAACAGTGTAGCATTTGTCTTTATAGTTTCTGTACAGATATAGTTATGACACAATTGGAACCATGATAAATATCCAGTTTTGTATCCTGCTTTTTCACTTACTGAAAAACCACTTAATATTATATTGTGAGCATTTCTCCACATCATAAATAGCCTTAGAAACATGATTTTTAATGGCTGCAGAACATTCTATTCCATGAATGTATCATACTTAACTATATCCCTACCTTAGGCATTCAGATTGTTTTTGACTTTTCATCATTATGAATGGTTCTGTCATGAACATTCTTCCTCACTTATTTTTAACAACCCAGGGCAGAGGAATCTTTGTGTTCAGTGTGGATAAAATTGCTAACATGGTCAGAAAAACGATGGCACATACTTAGGCAGGAGTTTCAAAATACTTCATCCACCAAAGATTTAGATCTGGGTGCTCTGGAGATGGCATTTCCAGTGAATAAGCACACAACCAGCCAACCTTTGCTCAACATTTTATGTCTAGATTCCAACTTGTCTTGAAATAAGGCCAGTCAACAACTTGCTTCCTCTAAGGGGTAACCAAGCCTCATGTACATGTAGTAGCACAAACATCCCTGATGAAGCATGACAGCACATGTCAGATGCCCAGGATGAGTGACTGCGGCAAAATGGTGAAGAAGGGAAAAGGGGCCTGTTGGCTCCAGCCTGATTTATTCATGTATTTAATTAGTGGTAAAACATACATAACATGACATTTACCATTTTAACCATTTTTAAGTGTACAATCAGTGCCATCAGGCACAGTCACATTGTTGTGCAACCATCACCACTATCCTGTTCCAGAACTTTTCATCATCCCAAACAGAAACTCTGTACCTATTAAACAATAATTCCCCCATTTCCCCCTCTCCCCAGCCCCTGCTAACCATCATTTTACTTTCTGTCTCTTTACATTTGGCCGGGTGCAGTGGCTCACGCCTGTAATCCCAGCACTTTGGGAGGCCTAGGTGGGAGGATCACCTGAGGTCAGGAGTTCGAGACCAGCCTGGTCAACATGGTAAAACCTCGTCTCTACTAAAAATACAAAATTAGCTGGGCATAGTGGCAGGCACCTGTAATCCCAGCTACTCAGGAGGCTGAGGCAGGAGAATCACTTGAAACCAGGAGGTGGAGGTTGCAGTGAGCTGAGATCAAGCCATTGCACTCTAGCCTGGGAAACAAGAGGGAAACGCCATCTCAAAAAAAAAGTTGTCTTATTCTAGCTACCTCATATGAGTGAAATCATACCATATTTGTTCCTTCATGTCAGGCTTATTTTACTTATTTCACAAGGATGACTATTTGCAACACCGATCAGAATTTCATTTCTTTTTAAGACTGAATATTATCCCATTTTACGTGTATATCACATTTTGTTCATCCATTTACCTATTGATGGATATTTGGGTCGCTTCCACTTTGGAACTATTGTAAAAAATGCTGCAATGAATATTCGTGTGCAAATACCTGTTTGATACCCTGCTTTTGATTCTTTGGGGTATATTCCTAGGAGTGGAATTACTGGATCATATGACAATTCTAAGTTTAATTTTTTGAGGAACTGTGAAGCCGTTTTTCACAGTGGCTGCATCAGTCTCCTCTCCTATCAGCAGTGCAGGAGGGGTCCATATCCTTTGACAACTCTTGCCTATTTTCTTTCTCTTTTTTCTTTTCTTTTCTTTTTTTTTTTTTTTTTTTTTTTTTTTTTGAGACAGAGTCTCGCTCTGTCGCCCATGCTGGAGTGCAGTGGCGCAATCTCCGCTCACTGTAAGCTCCTCCTCCCGGGTTCACGCCATTCTCTTGCCTCAGCCTCCCGAATAGCTGGGACTGCAGGCGCCCGCCACCGTGCCCGGCTAATTTTGTTTTTGTATTTTTAGTAGAGACGGGGTTTCACCGTGTTAGCCAGGATGGTCTCGATCTCCTGACCTTGTGATCTGCCTGCCTCAGCCTCCCAAAGTGCTGGGATTACAGGCATGAGCCACCGCGCCTGGCCCTTTCTATTTTATTTTATTTTATTTTTTAAATAGTAGCCATCCTCATGGGTGTGAAGTGGTGTCTCACTGTGGTTTTGATTTGTTTTTCCCTCATGACTAATGAGGCTGAACATCTTTCCATGTGCTTATTGACCATTTGTCTTTTTTTTTTTTTTTTTTTTTTTTTTTTTTTTTTTTTTGAGACGGAGTCTAGCTCTGTCGCCCAGGCTGGAGTGCAGTGGTGCGACCTTGGCTCACTGCAAGCTCCACCTCCCGGGCTCACGCCATTCTCCTGCCTCAGCCTCTCTTGCAGCTGGTACTACTGCCGCCCGCCACCATGCCCAGCTAATTTTTTTTGTATTTTAGTAGAAACGTGGTTTCACTGTGGAAGCCAGGATGGTCTCGATCTCCTGAGCTCATGATGCACCCGCCTCGGCCTCCCCAAGTGCTGGGATTACAGGCGTGAGCCCCCGCGCCCGGCCTTATCTATCTTTTTTGAAGAACTGTCCACTGTTTTTTAATTGGGTTGCTTGAGGAAGCTGCTGTGCTTGGGACATACAGACACCCAGCAGCTGGGTGCTTTCCACACAGAGCGCTTGTTGGCAAGGAACACTGATTCCCCAAAAATGCACAATTCAGAAGGGAGTTATTATGAGGCAAAGGGGGCTCCTCCTGGGATCCTGACACGGGAAGTTCTGTGGGCCTCCAGGGACCCGGAAAGGCGTCAGGCCGCTACCCTGTCCCTGCCCCTCTCTCTGGGGCTGTGTGGTCTTGTCTCCGCCTCTCCCTGCACGTCTGCTCCCCCAACCCACCCACCAATGGCAGGCAAGAGCTTCATCCCTGCTCCCCACCCTTAGCTGCTGGCTTCCCATGACACAAGCCCAGGCCTCATCTTCACATGACCCCAGGGCTCCAGGGTCCCCCAGTAGACTCAGGCTTCTCTGTCCCTTCATTCGGAATTTGTCCTCTGAGGTCAGAAGCCTTTCCTGACCCAATCAGCTGTGGTCATAGGGCCAGTCGCTGAAGGCAAATACTGTCAAGCCGGGTCCTGATTTCAGCAAGGGCTGTGGGAGGGGAGCACTTCAAATAAGGGTACATCATGGGTGGGCAATGATGGCTGTGCTTAGCACACAGAGGAGAAATGTAAAGCTTTCCAACCGTCTAATATCCCATTACTTACTATATCCACCTCTCAAACCCCCGAGAGCATTTGACATTGGATATTATTTGCCCTTGGCTTGATGTATTGTCTTTCAGGATAACGCGGCTGTCATGCTCAGAAGGCATCTTTGGATGTGGATGTGACAATGGCGTGCCCAATGCGGAGAACAATTTCCACTTCCATTCCAAAGACTGGATACCGAGCTAAGCTAGGCAAACTTGCTTGATTCAGAGTATTTCCACGTGAACCTGCTGCCAGCTGGTCTCCTTAGCGCTACATGCAAGCTATAGTCTCTTCTCATCTTTTCATTTGGTTCGAAGGGAAAAAGGCAATCATCTTACTTTTAGGGTAGTCAGAACCTGTGGAAGCCAAACAGCAGGGTGATGTACGCCCACAGCCTCTAGAGTCAGCCTATGTGAAACCCAAATACACTTGTGAAACACTAAATTTTTATCATTATTTACAGGTTATTGATGACCTGTAGTGCACACAATAAGTGATGACGCCTTGTACTTAGAACAAGAGGCTATTAGAAATGAATTCATTTCTTTGAAATGTAAACCAAGGATAAATCACAAATTTTTTCACTGTTCATCCCAGCCCCTTATGTCTGGATGGGACATCTATTTAAATGCTGTTCACATTAGTTCCTATGAAAGGAGAGGTGGAAAAGTGCCTGGTTGTCAGTGGTCCACTCCCAAAGGAGAGAACAGTCTTTTCTGTCTTTGTCCTATGGTGATAGAGCTGACCAAAATCCCATTTCCATTCTACGTCATCTTAGGAGGAAAATCTTGTGAAGGATAAAATCAAAAAGGGAGACAGTCAGATAGTGAGAAAAATTGAAGACAACACCTACTGACAGGTACACTCAGAGAATTTGTAGGATGGGGGAACTGAGGTGGGTGGGATGGCATTTTGTATTTAGTTCATTACCACACCTTTTTTAAAAAAGAATAATATGCTTTATTTTTTATAGCAGTTTTAGGTGTACAAAAAATTAGGCAGGTCATAGAGAGAATTCTTATATAACCCCTTTCCCATCACACAATTTCCTCTATTACAAACATCCTCCATTAGTGAGATTCATTTGTTACAACTGGTGAGCCAATATTATGAACCAAAGTCCATAGCTTAGGGTTCATTCTTTGTGTTGCATGTCTTACGGGTTTTGACAAATTCCTAATGCCATGTATCCACCATTATCATGCAGAAGGGTTTCACTGCCTTTAAAATACCCTGTGCTTCACCTGTTCATGCCCCACCCACCCACCCATGCAACTAGTGGCAAACACTTTTTTTTTTCTTACTGTCTCTATAGTTTTGCCCCCATGCTGTTTTCAATGGAAACTGGAACAGCAGTGAACACCGGTCAGGATGGGTTTAGAAGAGTGATGGACTCAGTTTACCGAGCACAAACTTACTTTGTGCCAGGTACTCTCTCAAGTACTTTACAAAACTTAGCCCACCTAATTCTCATCATTGGGTAAACTGTTCAGGTTACATAGCTAGGAAGGGGTGGACCTGGGACCAGAACCTAGAGAGACTACAGAGGCCATGCTTAACCTCTGTACTGCACCTCCTCCTCAATTTCTGGCTATTCTAAAATTAACATCATGACTATTTTTCCTCTTGAACCAAATGAAAAGATATGCAGATGTTAGGACTTACTGTGATTAGCATAGATTTGTTCCATTGGTCTTAAAATCTAAAAGTTTATTTAGAACCAAGTTGAACATCCCAAATCCAAAAATCTCCCATTTGAAATGCTTTAAAATCCAAAACTTTTGAGAACCCACATGATGTGCAAAGGAAATGTTCATTGAAGCATTTCAGATTTCAGATTTTGGAATTTGGGATGCTTCAGTATAATGAAAATATCCCAAAGTTGAAAATTCAAAACACTTCTGGTCCCAAGCATTTTAAATAAGAGATACTCAACCTGTATAACATGTACATTAGAAAAAAGTAACCATACTTCTTTTTGTTTTAAGATGAAATTATCTAGCAAAAATAGACACATGGGATTATATCAAACTTAAAAACTTTTGTGCATCAAAGGACACAATCAATGAAACAAAAAGGCAACCCTTAGAATGGGAGAAAATATTTGCAGATCATATCCCTGATAAGTATTTAATATCCAGAATATGTAAAGAACTCCTATAACTCAACAACAAAAAATCGAATAACCCAATTTGAAAATGAGCAAATAACTTGAACAGACATTTCTCCAAAGATGATATAGAAATATCCAATAAGCATGTGAAAAGATGTTCAACATCACTAATCATCAGAGAAATGCAAATTAAAATCAAGGTGAGTTATTAGCTCACATCCATTAGGATGACTATCATCAGAAAAATGGAAAATAAGTGTTGGCATGGATATGCAGAGATTGGAACCCTTGTGCACTGTTAGTGGGATTCTAAAATGGTGCAGCCGCTATGGAAAATGGTATGGAGGTACCTCAAAAAATTAAAAATAGAACTATTATATGATCCAGCAGTCCCAATTCTGGGTATATATCCAAAAGAAATGAAAGCAGAGCCTTTAAAGAAATATTTGCACATCAACGTTCATAGCAGCACTTTCACAATAGCCAAGATGTGGAAGCAATCCATATGTTCATCAATGGATGAATGAATAAACAAAATGTGGTATATCCATACAATGGAATATTACTCTGCCTTAAAAAGGAAGGAACTCTCAACACATGCTACAACTAGGTGAACTTTGAGGACATTATGCTGAGTGAAATAAGTCAGACATATAAGGACACATACTGTACAATATCACTTATAGGAGTTATTTAGAGTAGTCAAATTTGTAGAGACAGAAGGTAGAATGGTGTTACACCACCAGAGGCTGGAAAGGGGGAGAAATGGGAAGTTAGTATTTAATGGGTACAGAGCTCCAGTTTGGGAAGATGAAAAAGTTCTGGATATGGTGCTGGCAATTGTTGCACAAAAATGTGAATGTATTTAATGCCACTTTATACTTAATGAG
Organism: Homo sapiens; assembly: GCF_000001405.40. Taxonomy (NCBI): domain Eukaryota; kingdom Metazoa; phylum Chordata; class Mammalia; order Primates; family Hominidae; genus Homo; species Homo sapiens. The sequence goes on from NC_000010.11 coordinate 114,016,227, forward strand.
TGTCCTTAATGGACACTTGAATATTCCTAAGATGGTAAATTTTATGTTGTGTATATTTTACCACAACAAAAAAATTAAGCTACCTAACTTCTTTTCCCCTAAGAGAACCAGCCTGTCCTGAAAGCTTAACTGTGGTAGGGAATGCGTTCAGGCAAGAGAAGCTAAACTGGAGACAGGCTATTGCTCTGGCTTTCTCAGAAGTTCCATGTAGAATCTAAGACTGACCGCAGATCTCACTGTCACTGAATTCCAAGTTTTGAGAGATGTTCCATCTGAGAGAAGGAAGAAGCAACTGGAAAATAACAGATGATAAGCAAAGGCCTGCTTCCTTGACCAACTGGTGGCTTCTAAGATTCCTGGGATTCAGAGAGTTGGAAAGATCAGCCCACTTAAGGCTCATGACAACCCCATTTTACCTCTGGGCAGACTGAGGTGTGGATATTTGAGATTAACTTACCCTAAGTCACACACAGCTAGTAAGCAGGACCAGGAATCAGACTCTTCATAGTCTGACCCCAGAGGCCACATTCTTATTCCCTGTGCTCTTCTGTCTCAGAGGAGGGAAGGGACCAACAAGCCAAAGACACAAATGCAAATAAAGGATAAAAAGGCGAGGACATACCCAGCCTGCACCAGACACTGATGTTAGCTTGTTCCGTTATGGCACCCTTCTAAAAGGCAGCTGCTATTTCTGTCCCATTTTACAGACAAGGAACCTGAGGTCTGGAGACAATTGAATCAGCTTCTCCAGCTTCCACTGCCAGTGAACCCCATTCTGATTCACCAATCCCAGGCTTTTCCAGATGTCTGTCATGGCTGGAAAATAGAAGTTTCTTCACATAATGCCATTTTTCAGAGGCAGAACTGGTCCAGATTTCTGGAGCTCTTTTCTAATTTTTTTAACTTTAAAATCCTAACCATTCCTAATCCTGGAGTGTGTCAACCATTTCACCTCTTTCCTGCAAGCTAAGAGGCCACTAAACAACCTTGGCTGGAAGGGCTGAGCAGCCAAACCCATAGAGCGACAGAAACCACCAAGGTCAAAGTCATGGGCAGTTCTAGTCTGAGTCCTGCATTTTTGAAAGACAAGACTCCATCTTGAGAAAAAAAAATATAAAGCTAGAGGAAAATGTTGAAAATGGGAATCCACCAACGTGGAAGGCTTTACCCAAGATTTTCAAAGCTAAACACTGTGGGAAACAGTAGCAGATGGGCTGAACATATTGCAGGGATTGGACCGCACAACTGCCGGCACCGTGTAAGTTGGACCAAAGCGAGGAAAATCACAGGCTCCAAAATAGCTCAAATGCAACTGGGGAAAATGTGAAATAATGTGTTGTGGTAGAGAGCACTTCAACTTGTCGCACACACTAATGAGTCCAGGATACCCAAGGAAATAGACCTTCAGCCAAATCCAGCAGCAGCCATGGGCAAGAAGCAACAGGGATTCTCCCAAAAGCAGATTTCAGGAGCAACCACAGCTTGGGGGCTTTTCAGAAAGGGTCATCTTGGATGGGCCTGGGAGGGGTCACCCAGTGGAAGTGCTGACTGGAAGAATAAATGTGATGCTTTGAAGCCCAGACAGATTCAGCTGCCAAATCTTGTCTCACTCCCTTTCACATTCTCCTTATGCCTCTCTCCCTTCCCACCTCTGCCTTCCCGAGCCAGATGCTCCTCACCTCTCCCCTGCTGCCAGCTGCAGGATGCAGCTACCAACAAGTGACTGTCCTGCTCATAAACCCCTAGGGGCCCTCCACTTCCTACAGAATAGACTTCTACCCCCTCAATTTATCCCTCGCTGCTCAACCAAACCAACTTTCCACAGGTGCCAGGACTTCCTCTCTGTTTCCGGATCACACTCCGTGACCCCATGAGCTCCTCAGGACAGGGATGATGTCACCATCATTTTTGTGTCTTCAACTCCTCCACCTCATAGATTCTCAGTGAATGTTTGCTGAATCAGTAGCGCCAGCTTCACATGCTTTAGAGGCAGAAGATACAAGCTGGAATCTCAACTCCAGCACTTAATAGCTTTGTGATCTTAGGTAAGTTACCTAGCCTCTCTGAGTCCTATGGCCTATGTCAGAAAATGGGGTAAGTGTGTCTACCTTATTGAATCATTTTGAGAAATAAATGGGCAAAACATGTAAACTGCTCAGTCAATCACAAACTCTCCATAAATGTTTAAAAAAAAAAAATCCCTCCCCTGCCCATCTAAAAGTTACCTGTGTTCTAAGACCCTGCCACCGAGCTTGTTCCTTAAGGCTCAGGGAAGGAGAGAATCCAGCTAAAAGATTTCAGTGGCCTTTATTGGAAGGAGCTGTCTGTGACAGTGCCCAGTTTTAGTTATTTCATAAGAAAGACAACTGAGAGAGCTGGGCGTGGTGGCTCATGCCTGTAATCCCAGTACTTTGGGAGGCTGAGGCGGGCAGATCACGAGGTCAGGAGAATCAAGACCATCCTGGCTAACACGGTGAAATCCCATCTCTACTAAAAATACAAAAAATTAGCCGGGCATGGTGGCGGGCACCTGTAGTTCCAGCTACTCGGGAGGCTGAAGCGGGAGAATGGCGTGAACCCGGGAGATGGAGCTTGCGGTGAACCAAGATCATGCCACTGCACTCCAGCCTGGGAGACAGAGCAAGACTCCATCTCCAAAAAAAAAAAAAAGAAGGACAGCTGAGAGAAAACAGGTGAGAGAAGAAATGTTGAAAGGACTGGTGAGGAGGAAAGAAAAACAAGACTAAGACTAAGATAGTGATCGATTCAGAAAGAGAGAGACGTACAGTAGAAGTTTTCTGTCTTCTGGGGAGCATCATAAGATTGTTCAGTTCTTATGAGTTTCAGCTACTTGAAGAGATTAATAATCAAAACCAAGGACAGTAAACTTAGAATAAATGAGTGCACATTTGCTTTATGAAGTTGGGCTTTTTCTGTTAGCTAAAACAAGGAGAGAAAATTCTTCTCAAGAACCATTTAGGTGACTGCCCCCTCTCCAGCCACCCACCTCTGCTGAGCCACAGAGGCCTAGATTCTTCAACACACAGGATTTTTCTCTTTTTTGAGACAGGGTCTCACTCTGTCACCCATATTTAGTAGAGAAAGAGTTTTGCTATGTTGCCCAGGCTCGTCTCAGACTCCTGGGCTCAAGCCATCTGCCTGCCTAGGCCTCCCAAGGTGCTGGGATTACAGCATCAGCCACCGCACCTGCCAACACACAGAATTTTTCATTGAGATGATAGTGCTCCAAGTCCTGATGCAAACAGACTAACCAGGGCTCCAGAGCGGTTGGGTCACCTATATCACTAAGTAGGCCCTCCCCTGAACCTTTATATCCCCCGCCATCAACTCCCATACAATCCTCTTGTTCTCTGTTCCTCCTAGATAGTAAGCATTGTCCTCTGTTCCTTATCCCGAAATATTACTATTTTAGTGAAACTTTTTGAAATTGCAGGATGCAACCTATTTGTGGGTGGTAAAATCAGTTCAGTGGGTTGCAATCAACTATTTTTTAAAATGAGATAGAAAATAATATTGAATCACACACAGTAATGTGAAGTATCATTTTATGAAACTTTTATCTCAGTTACATATGTACAGGTAATATGTACTTTTTACTGTGAGTCTCAGTCAAAAATACTTAAAAAACTGACTTGGGTATCTGTACAGAACCAGTTATGATCATGTCTGATTTCTTTTTATATGTACTATAGCACCTAGCACCCTGCCTTAACACAGAGAAAATGTCCACTAAATATTTATGGAATAAACAGGAATGAATGAATTAATGAATGCACAAATGGATAAAGTACATGAAGTATTTCAAGAGTGAGAAAGCAGATATGGTAAGGTAGAAAAAAGTAAGACTGTCTTTGGGAAAATTTCTTTTACTTTTGGGGAAAGCTTGCTCATTTCAAGGCTCTAAGGTCCTGTTCATCTTGCATAACTGAAGTTTTGATTGGACAAAATATCCACTTGATAATTTCCTACTTCCCAATGTAGTTTATATTGCATGAAACTAATATAACAGTCTTTCAGAACTAGTGTAGTGACATGCATAACAAGATTGGAAGTAGATAATTTTCCATTTTAATGTTAGTGTCATGTCTTACTTAAAATTATCAGTGACAGTGGACGTGTTGGTAAAAAAAGGAAACAAGCTAAACATCCATCCACTGAGAAATGGATTAACAAAGTGGTCCATCCATGCAATGGAACTACTCAGTGATAAAAAGCGATGAAGTATTGATACATGAAACAACATGGATGAACTTTGAAAACATTATCCTAAGTGAAAGAAGCCAAACACAAAAGACAGCATATTGTATGATCCCATTCATAAGAGCTTTATAAACAAAAGGCGGATCAATGGTTGCTTGGGCCGGCGAGTGAGAGTGGGGATTGACTGCAAACAAGCCAAGTGATGTGGTTTGGCTGTGTCCCCACTCAAATCTCATCTTGAATTGTAACTTCCATAATTCCCATGTGTTGTAGGAGGGATCCAGTGGGAGATAATTGAATCATGGTGGAAGTTTCCCCCATACTGTTCTTGTGGTAGTGAATAAGTCTCAGGAGATCTAATGGTTTTGTAAAGGGTTTTCCCTTTTGCTTGATTCTCATTCTGTTTCTTGCCTGCTGCCATGTAAGGTGTCTTTTGCCTCCCGCCACGATTGTGAGGCCTCCCCAGCCATGTGGAACTGTGAGTCCATTAAATCTCTTTTTCTTTATAAATTACCCAGTCTCGGGTGTGTCTTTATCAGCAGCATGAGAACGGATGAATACTCCAAAGGAGGGAATGTTTTGAGGTATTGGAAGTTTTCTAAAACTGAATTGTAGTGATGGTTGTATGGTTGTACAAATGGACACATTTTCTGAAACTTATTTAACTGTGCACTTACAGTGCATGAATTTTCTGCTATGTAGATTATACCTCAATGAAACTGTTAAAAATAATTACAGATGCTTTGAAATGCCTTCTGGCAGTACAGGAGAAAGTTTCCCTTCTACTTCACAGTTGTGGATTTATTTTTTGGAAAACTGGACTTCTCTAAAAAGTCAGACCATTATGTAACCTGGCCGCTTCCCCCTTTTCCAGGAACGCGGGCAGAACATCAATGTCTGTCTATCTGCCTGCTGGTCAGCTTCCTTATGAGGAGGCACAATACCAACTGGCAAGCAGGGCCTTGCTGGTCATTTGCCCACTCACTCAGCAATGGGGATGCCAGGGGGGAAATAATTCCTTTGAAGCCCTTTCTATACTGTTGTGCTCCTCAGCAGACAGGATGTAGGGTCTTTCCTATGCTGCCAAAATCAGCAGCAATTGTCAAAAGAAAACACCAGACCAGTACAATAAATGTGAGGGATTTTTCTCACCAAATAACTCATTTCACTTTGAAAGTACAAAGCAGTTACATTTCTAACCTTGCAACTTGAAATCATACAGCTATTCAAAGCTAATGATCAAGGCAGGCAGCATTTTGAAGAAACAATTGCCATTTTCCTCCTTGCTTGTTCAGATAATGAAGGAATGTGTCTTACACATCTTCTACCCTCTCCTACCCTCCTTCCAAATAGTACCCTGGAACTGTGCTAAGTGCGTACTAAGCTCTGGATAAATACTTGTTGATTTGATTGATTCTTTGTCTACCCTAGTGACAATGGCCAGATTAGAATTGATGGGATGATTCCCGAAAGCTGGGAATGGAACACCCTGTACACTGTGGTCTCAGTAATTTGATTAATGATGATGTGTTTTACAATGATTACTTTCAAATCACAAATCTCCAGAATCCCTCAAATCCAAACTGGGTCTGGAAGGCAGGGGGAAGCTTAACAATATTTTGGCTCTCATCAGTTCATGTCAAAATTACAAACCAATTCCAAGTAGGTGAAAGTTATTATAGCTCACAGTTATATGAAAACCAATTTCAGCATTGCTAATGTTTAAAACAGACAGGTGCTGCGTTCAATTTTTTTTAAATGTCACCAGAGTTTCCACGTGATTTATAATCCTAATTCAAAAAAAGCAAAGCTTATGTGAGTCCTTGGCAAAACGCACAAAATACAAACTAAAATGAACAACAAATGGCAACTCGATATTGAACTGGGAATTACATTTTGTGCTGTTTCATTAACTTTTCCAAGTATTTCTTTCTAAAATGCACTCCTGGCTACCCCCGACACACACACGAGATAAAGGAAGAGTGCACACAGATGGCTCCCGTCCAGGCCACTCAGCGGCTCAAAGTGAATGTGATTCCTGTGTTCTCTCCATGCAGATCGTCAATGATGAAGCATGCAGTAAATAACCCTCCCTCCCTGGAAGTGAAGACAGCCTGTGGGGGAGAACTGGCTCCATTAAAGGCTTCAAGCCACAGGAGTTGTTTTCTCCGGAGATGATGAACGTGGGCTGGAAAAAGAGACAAGAGTCACCTACTTCGTGCAGCTTTTTCCCCCCAAACTGCTAAAAGTCCTTTACCCTCAAATAAAATCATCAAGAGAGAGCTGGAAATGGCATCTCTTGCCACAGATCTGTGTTTTATTGTTATTGTTTTCACATAGTATTTACTTAAAGTCTGCTGTATATCCAGCCCATGTGTAACTCACCAAATTTTGAGCATCTTTTTTTGACTGTGCCTGCCTATCCAGTTCTTTGTAAGATCCTTGAGAAATAGAATTGAGCCTTTTCTTCTTTGTAGCTTTGGCCTCTCAGCCAAGGCCTGGCAAAGAGTGTGCATTCAATTAATGTTGGTTGAATGGATGAATAGAAATGAATGGATGGGTGGGTGGATGGATGGATGGATGGATGGACCAATCAGTCAATAGATCTCCCCATTTTTAAGCTCCTGTGTGTCAAAGTTCCCTGGCATTGAGATTGTCCTATCAATGCACAGCATTAAATTCCTGCCGTCCATCTGTTTCGATGGTAAGCTTGGAGAAATACTTGTGGAAAGAGTTCCTTGCTTCTCTGATGCCACATGTGGAATGCTCTTTGCCAAATGCACTATTTGTCACTGAACACCACTCTTCCTGATATCTTATTCCATTTATAGATTCTGGCTCTGGAGTGCAAGATTTTATTTTTTGAATTAAAATGTGATAAGAGACCTTTCAGTTCCCAGAGTTTCTTCTCTTGTCTGTAGGTCAGAAGTTATTGGCTAGAGTCCCAGTATCTCCCTTGAGCTACCGCATGCGTCTGCTGACCAAATCTTCTTAGCCTTCAAACCAAATGATGTCATTCTTTATGGTGCATTTTTCTAACAGATTTACACTGACGTACACACACATACTTTTAATTTCCCACTGCTTACAGAACTCGCAAACAAGTGAGCAAGTTGTAATTCTACATGGTGAGCGCCTCACATAAATTTTTTGGTGACAATGTGGATGATAAATGTTGGCTTTTATCGAGCTGACTACTGGTAGCTGTATGGTTTTGTGGCATATTATATAATGTGATATGCAATCACTGATGGAAAGATGTCTCTTAGAGATATAGCACTTATAACACAAATTTTTATGATAATAAATACTATTTATTAAGTATCAAATGCCAGGCACCTTGCAAGAATCCTACATACATTGGCTCATTCATTCCACATTATAGTCCTAGGAAGGAAGAAATGTCTTTTCCATTCTGCTGATGAAATAACCAAATATCAGAAGACATATAACTAGCAAGTGGCAAGTTAGGACTTATACCCAGATCCAGCCTCTGTTCCTTCTATTTCACCACATGGGTTATATTGTTTTCAGAAAAACATGTTTCTCTTGCTTATTTATTTTGCTTATTACACAGGACATTGTGGTACTGTTCATGAACTAAAAGCCATGCTCGGAGTGATTGTGGTTTTGAGAAAGAAAGAGAGAGAGAGATAGAAAGAGAAGGAAGGAAGGAAAGAAGGAGAGAAAGAAAGAAGAAAGAAAGAAAGAGAAAGAAAAGAAAGAAAGAAAGAAGGAAGGAAGGAAAGAAAGGAAAGAAAGAAAGAAAGAAAGAGAAAGAAAGAAAGAGAAAGAAAGAAAGAAAGAAAGAAAGAAAGAAAGAAAGAAAGAAAGAAAGAAAGAAAGAGTAGCTGTAGTCCCAGCTACTTGGGAGGCTGAGGCAGGAGAATGGTGTGAACCTGGGAGGCAGAGCTTGCAGTGAGCAGAGATCGCACGCCACTGCACTCCAGCCTGGGTGACAGTGCGAGACTCCATTTCACAAAAAAAAAAAAAAAAAAGAAAGAGAGAAAAAGGAAGGAAGGAAGAAAGAAAGAGAAAGAAAGAAAGAAAGAAAGAAAGAAAGAAAGAAAGAAAGAAAGACCAAATGTGTATATTTTCTTCAACTTCAGTACAATGTAGCTCCTCAAAAAAAAAAAATCCTTAATTTTTCAGTGCCGATTTCCACAACATGCATATTCACACGAACTCTGGCATGAGTCTTGTTGATTGCTTCCAGAGCAACATGCTTTGTCCCAAATTACAAGGAAACCACGAAACAATACTGCACAAGGCTGGAGGGATAGGACATCACCACACTTGAAAGTCACATTTGCCAATATTGGAGCATCTACAATGAGAACACAGGGCACTCGTACAGCCCCTGTGCTTGGTTTTTGCTTTATGGAGTTTGCAACCCAGTGGCAAACAGGAAGCTGGCAGCAGGAATCTGAAGGTCAAGAAGCTGCCTTTTTTTGGCATATATTCTCCCTCTCCACTTCTTTACAGCTAGTGCAGCCATGACCCTCTAAAGAACATGTCTGTTCTTGTCTCCGGGGTGTTGTGGTGATGTTGTGGTGATGTCGAGGTGCTGAGATGGCTTTGGGGCTCAGCCGAAGGTCAGCCTTTATCGAATTTCGCTTCATGGCCCAATAGGCACAGAGCTTGTGGTTTACACTCTATCTCTGTGAGCACCCAAGGCCAAAGCAGGCTGCCCAAGACGGAGAAGAGAAGAACACCCCATGGCCCAGCAGTTCAAGCCACCCAGGGCAGCCACCTCCATGGCAGGGACACTCCAGTGCCTCCCTCTTCACCTACCCCCACAACACACACACATGCCCCATGCACGTTCCTCCTGTCTCCCATCGGAGTCCCTATTCCCTTAGCCCCACATTTTCTTCAGTCATTCAGAAATGTTCATCTCAAAATGCAGCAAGTAATTTCTTCCTGATGAACTGCTCCTTCTCTACCCCACCCTGTAACCCCCGCCCTGAGGTAATTTCCTAATTCTCTTTGACAAGACAGTTTACTCTTGACAAGGATTAGAGGTTATTTTTAACCTAAACCGCACACAAGGAAATGATGCAATAATTTCTTTGAGCTGGCTGAATGCTTCCTCTTTTTTGGTCTTCGAATTAATATGATTCTGAACTTTAAGTTGTTTCTGGCCTTTTTGAGCAATTTCGTAATCACAGAATAAAGTCCACGTCTTCCAATTTAAAATCCTTGCTCGTAGTGATCTTTTCCTGAATGATTGGCATTTTTATCCAATGTAGACTCTGATGTTAAAAATCAGAATGATGTTGATTTACCAGAGGTTCTCCTGAAGATCTTTTGGATCCCAAGTGATCTCCTTTACTGTCTTTATCCCTCTCACAAAATCTGCTCAAATACTGGAAAAAAGATGATCAACTCTGCCACCTGGGGCCATCCAACTGTCCTCTGTTCCTCTGATTTCTTGACTAAGACATTCTGTGAAGCACACGTACATTCCTTTTTTTTTTTTTTTTCCGAGACGGAGTCTTGCTCTGTCACCCAGGCTGCAGTGCAGTGGCGTGATCTCAGCTCGCTACAACCTCTGCCTCCCAGGTTCAAGCAATTCTCCTGCCGCAGCCTCCTGACTAGCTGGGATTACAGGTACATGCAACCACGCCGAGCTAAATTTCTTTCTGTATTTTTTAGTACAGACGGGGTTTCACCACGTTGGCCAGGCTGGTCTCAAACTCCCGACCTCGTGATCCACCCGCCTCTGCCTCCCAAAGTGCTGGTATTACAGGCCTGAGCCACCATGCCCAGCCGCACATAAACATTTTTTAATCCATCACTTATTTTTAAAAAATATTTGTGTATTTAAGTCCATATGTCTATATCAGGGTTTCTCAACCTCAGCACTATTGACATTTGGGGCCAGATAATTCTTTGTGGGGCATCCTATGCATCATAGGATGTGGGGCAGTATCCCTGGCCTCTACTAACTAGATGCCAGTAGCAGCCCCCTCTCCAGTTTCAACACCTAAAAATGTCCCCAGACATGGCCAAATGTCTGCCAGGGAGACAAAAATGCCCCCAGTTGAGAAACACTGGCCCTCATACTGCTTTAAATGACAAGTTCCTTTTGGACAGGGACTAACCTAATTTGTACAGACTTCAGCACAACAGAAAGGTGCTTAGAGAAGGCAGTTCTATGGTGATCACAGTCAGTAAGCATGCAACAAGAATTGTTGACTCACATCTAGAAAAACAGAAAACGTAAGCACATGATCAAGTAAATAGTGGGTACTGTGTCTCATTCAGCCTTCCGTTCTTGTCAATAAGAGTAAAACAACAGTGCTTAGCTCTCCTGTGTGAACCTCCCAGAGGAACTGAAAATTTGAAAGATGGAGTTCATTTCCTTGTAATTAAACTGTTCCCATAAAATAAGGTAAGAGGCAGGTAAAGGGAAATCCCCCACAGCAGTGTGAATGGTTATAATCTTCATGGAGAAGAGCCCACGCTGGGATGCACATTCTTTCACAATTACTGTACTGTTCTTCCAGGCCGGGAATTCGGGGCGGCACCACATCCTCTTGCAGGATCTGCCCCTTGTAAAAGCACTTCAAATATTTTTCATGAGTGAAAAGTCAAAAGATAGATATGAACTGATATATCGTTAGAATTGCTGCTGTTATTCAACCACTCAAATAGTATTAAACCTCTGGATCTGGCAAACAAAACCTGCTAGATGATCCCTTTATAGGCCTCTCTCTAGGCAAAAGAACAAAACCTTTTATCAGTTAATCTAATGAATTACATGGGTTATTTTTATTCTATTCATAAGAGACAAGGCGTGTAAGTCTTGCTTGTTCTTACATCCATTGGATAACAATTCCATTAAGCAAATATTTATTTAAACTAAGGGTATGGCAGTCTAGCCTGACAGTTATCAGACATCAAAGTGGAAATGCTCAAATGAGTAAAAAATCAGGCTCTGCCCTTGGAGAACTTAGAGTTCTGATTTCTATAACAATTTGGTTGTGCATTTGTAGTCAATCCCCAAATATATTTGCTTTTGAGTACCTGAAAGCCTAATGCTTGCTGCAAGCTCTGGAAGAGGTTTTAAAAATCCAGTGATCATTCAAAGGCGTGAGCAACTCCAGGTGATGAAGTGACGGAGAAAGAGTTTACGGAGACATGGCTTTTGAAGTGAGGGTGGGTGTTCAAAACAACATGAATGATGAGGTTTTATTTCCCCCGATTTTAAAATTAATACATGTTTCTTGTTTTTAAAAAATATATGCAGGAAAAAAGAAAAGCCTGAGGAAAAGAAGATTTCTCGTAAGCAGTGGAAAAGTTGAGCAAAAATGCAGGACCTGGCCTGCTAGGGGTGACAGAACCTGTGGCGGACCCCGTGGAGCTACGGAGAAACATGAGGTGGGGGTCTGAATGCCAGATCTAATCAGGAGGGCAGTGGGCAGCCATGGATGGCTGAGTGTTCTGGGCATGGCTCATTTCATGCTCATAACAACCCTGTGAGGTTGCAAGGGGTCTGATCAACCTTCAGATGCAGAGGTGGAGGATTTAAGGTGTGCAGTAACTTGCCCAAGGTCATGCAGCTAGCAGATGGGAGGAGTGGGCACTCCAAAACCCCGTGCCCCTCAAACAAAGTGGGAATTGAGGGGGGCAAACCAAGGATTGCAAAGGTATAGCTGCAGAAAGTGTGCCTTTGACGCAATAGAATGGTGATGTCATGGATTTAAAAAATCCAGATCCAGAAAAAGGATCTGACTTGCTTTGTGGATAAAAGACTACTTTACAACCCAGAGACATCCACGTGGAGTAGGTGGCTCAGCAGTGCTCATTGGTGGAAGGCACTTTCATTGGCCTTCAGGTACCCAGCATGGCCTGCCACTGATAAGACACCACCTGAGTCAGGTCAGGATCCCTTTAGGTGATTTGAGCTGCTCTTTTTGTACTTTTCGAGGAGATTTTATGCAACTGGCCCATCCCAACTGTTCTGGACTGTCTGGTTTGAAAGCCAGCCTGCTCACCAGGGGAAGCCCCAGCCTATGTCTGAGTGCTTCAGTGCTACCTGGGAGGCTCCAGGATGGAGTCCCAGGCCTACCTCACCTGGGTAGACCCAGGCCTCACACCAAGAAAGAACCTTCCCACAATAGTCAAATGGTGGAAGGAACGCAAATGTCCATCAACTGATGAATGGATACACAAAATGTGCGTGTGTGTGTGTGTGTGTGTAATGCACTACTATTCAACCATGAAAAGGAATGGTGTACTGATTACTGATACATGCTACAATCTGGATGAACCTTGTAAACATTACGCTAAATGAATTATTTCATTTACACGAAACATCCAGAATAAGAAAATCCACAGACAGACTTGCTATTGGTAAAATATCAATGGATAACATCAAATTTACCATTAAAACCATCATTAAGTATACAATCAGTGGTGTTTAGGACATCCACAGGGTCATGCAACCATCACCACTTTCCAGAACATTCTCATCACCCCCAAAGGAAACCCCTCACCCACTGAGCATTCATTCCTCATTCCTTCCTTCCCCCAGCCCCTTGCAATGACTAATCTACTATCTCTATGGATGTGCTTATTCACTTTAAAATGGTGAGTTTTATGTTATTTGTAATTTACTGCATTAAAAAAATAAGCAATGGGATTGGATGAGGTGGATGAAGAAAAGGATCCCAGATTGAGGATTTGTGCACTCCAAGGTTTAGAGGCCAGCCAATAAAGAAGGTTCAAAAGAAGGAACTCATCAAATAGGAGGAAAACCAGGAAAGTTGCTGCCCCAGAACTCAAGTGAGAAACAGTTTCAAGGAGAGTAGAGTGACTATCTTTGTCAGAGTGAATTTTGTGTGGTTCAGGTAGATACAGTCATGTTCACCTACACAGGAGGGGACCATTTCACACTCTTGACCAGCAATGCATGAACAGGCTCAGCTCCCAACAATCTTGCCAATACAGTATCCTCAAAATGCTTGCCAATCTCAAAAGTGAGAAATGGATCTCAGTGTTGTTTTCTCTTGCAGTTCCTTTATTGAGAGTGACGCTGAGCATCTTTTCAAATGTTGAAGGGCCATTTATCTTCCTTTGGCTGTGAACTATCTGTTCATGGACTTTGCCCATTTTCTGTTGAGCTATTCATCTATTTATTTTTAATTTCTAGGAACACTTCAAATATCAGAGAGTTGGTTCTCTGTCCCCTGGCATCTGCTTCTTGAAACTCTTCTCTTTGTTTCCACAAGAGCACTCTCTCCTAGGTCTTCTCTCACCTCCCAGTATCTCACCTCCACATTTTGGAATTTTTTTTCTTTTGGGCGTGTGGGTTGCTCTTCTCCTTTGTACCTTTTAAGGCTGGTGTCCCCTGTCTTTGACTGTCTTTCTTCTCTACACACTCTTCAGCATCCTTCCCCTCCCACCTCTTCCTCCACCGCAATTCTAATTACAACTGTGTGCTCAACTACCAAACCTATATGGAACAGGATGTTAAAATAAGACTTTCTGACGTTGCAGTCTGAGCTGAGACCCCAAAGCTAAGAAAAGGAGTGTTAGGTGCCCACACATTCTAAAGAGAGGTGCTAGACCTTCCATGCAGACACCGCAGAGGGTGACCCAAAAAAAAAAAAACAACCCTGCCCAAGGACCCTATAGCCTCATCCTTAGAGTCTTAAAAGAGGCTTGGGTATTAATCCTGGAGTTCCTGCAGGGTAGAGTTGCAGGGGTGCCATGGCTCCTCCCAGCCACCCCCACACCAAGCAGGGGGCTTGAAAAGAATCTTTGGCGAGCCTGGCCTGTGTCTTATGATGTTGAGGGGACAGAGAGTTTCGTACCTGACTCACGCTTTAAAACCTGTGAAGGTGAGAAGCTGGGTTTGCTTCCTGGGCAGCAGAGGGGTGAGAAAGAGCCCAAGGGGAATGAGCACAGCTCCCAGCTATGCTGTTCCTGGAGGTGTGTCGTCCAGTGAACGATCATTTTCTGAGCTGGGCACAGTGGGTCACTCCTGTAACCCTAGCAACTCAGGAGGCTGAGGCTGGAGGATCACTTGAGGCCAGGAGTTTGAGACCAGCCTGCGTGACATAGCAACACCCTGTCTCTACAAAATAATAATAATAATAATACAAAAATTAGTTAAGCATGGTGCTGTGTGACTGTAGTTCCAGCTACTCAGGAGGCTAAGATGGGATAATTGTGGTTGAGGCTGCAATGAGCCAAGGTCGCACCACTGCACTCCAGCCTGAGCACCAGAGGGAGACCCCGTCTCAAAAAAAAAAAAAAAAAAAAAAAAAAAAAAAAAAAACAAACAAACAAACAAAACCTCTTGGTCACAAAAATTTGGAACAAAAAATCTTGAAGGTACTAAAAGGACATAATTGGTGATTTTGCAGGAAGCTGAGAAGCAGACTCCTTGACATGGCAACAGTAGAAATGAGGAGATGCCAAAGAGACAGAATCTGGTAACTCTTGAAGAGCCAGCCTGTAAGTGTTCATGGACAACATCCTTATAAATGAAGTTTTTGCAAAAGATAGGCATAGACAAAAATTCATGTGGTGCCGTGGGACAGGATTCACTGAAGATTTTTAATATCAGTTGAATTTGGATCTTAGTTTCAAATAAGTAAGCTGTTTCAAATAAGGAGAAAATAAAATGAGGTCTTCTTTTTGATGACAAGCTCTGACTTTGGAATCACACAGACCTGGGCTGGGAGTCGTGCTCCGCCGTTTGCTAGGTTGTGACACATTGGATAAATCGCTCAACTTCTGTAAGCCTCAATTTCCTCCTTTAGAAAGTAAAAATAATATCTGACAAGACTATTACAAGAATTACATGAGATGTTGTGAACAACGCCCTTCACACAGGGTCTGGTGCTTAGTCATTGGTTGTAAAAGAGAATGTGACATTGATCTATGTCTCCATTAAATGGTGTAGGAAAGAATACATATTGTCCTATGAGTCCATTCAAGTTTTTAATTTTGGTCATTTGGTTTGTTGCTTTCTGGTGAATGCTACCTACCTTCATCAAATCATTATGAAGTTTCCAGAGCAAATTCTCTGTAATGTATTCTAAAGAAAATTGAGAGAAAAATAAAGCAAACTGAAGTATGGAAACACAGCTTGGGAGTTCAGAAAAACTATTTGCTCATCATACATTAAGTTAAAAATACAGTTGCACAAACAGATGACTAAATAATACTCAGACCCACAGATTTCAGCTTTTAAGTGCCATCTTACATAAGATTGTTCAACTGAACTAGCCTAGCCATTAAAAAAACTTAGATATGGCATTTTTAAAATAGAGACTCACATACAGCACATCTAAATCTATGCTGTTTATATAACACGAAGATAGCAGATATATCTGTAAGGAGGTGTTGGCATCACAGAGAATGACATACTATGTTACAGTGATTCTTGGATTTTTCCTATGTGTTAAGCCTGGACTTCTGATTCCAAATTCAGCTCCTACAGCAGAGGTACCCAGGGAAGTCTTGAGCCATATTAATATTAAGTGGCAAGATAAGGCATCAGTGTGAGTTCTTGAAACTTAACCAGGTAAAGATCTTTGGGTTTTGTTTACTGGCACAAAACAGGTACATTTGGTCTACAGCCCATGCACAAGTTAAAATATTATTAGCTCTGTTCTCAGTATCATAAACGATAATTAGTATACAATCTAGGACACATAAAATTCGGATGTCCATAAAATATTGTTAGCTCCGTCATCAGTATCATAAAGGATAATTAGTATACAATTTAGGACAATTAGGACAATAGACAAATGTATAATTAGTATACAATTTAGTATAAAATTTGGATGTCCACAACCTTCACATTCCATAATCAATCAAAATCAATATTCCGAGCAGAGCTATTTCTTAGTCAAACCTCTGATAGCCAGTATTTTAGGATCTGAAGCACTATTCCAATCAAAATCACTACTTCAAGGTCACAAAAATCCTGTTTTTCAATGGATTCTATATGAGGACCTGGTTTTATCTTGCCTCAAAGGCCAGCTTTGTTCTGTGGTTATAAAGGTTTGCTGTATCTCTCCTACCCAGTTATCTGCTGTCTTTTACACTGATTCCAGCTTGGGCAAAACAACAGGCATGTTGCAGCTGTAGAAACAGATTCTGAGTGTGACTACACGATATCAAAATATCCTGCTGAAAAGTGGTCTACACACTCAACCAACTGGATTGGCTTATTTTTCTCCTCAAATCCAAATTATTAAGGCAAACCTGGATTTTTCTACTCCATTTGTAAGAAAACACAATTGAGTTTCCTGATTTGTAATGAAAGCTATAACAGAACAGTACATTCACCACTGTCTTAAATACGTACCTAGTAGGAATATGCCTTACACTTCCCCTGCCCTCCTCGTTGCTAAGATCTACACAGAACATATGGGAACTTGATCTGCCAACAATCAGCTTGAGGTATTCGTGACTTTGTAACAGACTGAAACCCAGTAACAAAGTGGACTGTTTCCACCAGGGCCTGGATACCATTTATTTGGGGAGCCACCTTTAGTGTGAGAGACAAGAAGTTGTTCTGTTTGCTCTCTGTGCTGGAAGTCTTGTAACAATCGTGGCATGCGTGAGATTACAGATGACTCAAGATTGTGCAGAAGGAGGCAGCTTTCTTACAGATAGTAACACTTTGTTATAGGTTAAAATGCATCCCTACCCCCCACCAAAAAAAAGATATGTTGGAGTCCTAACCCCTAGTATTTCAAAATGTGACCTCAGTTGGAGATTGGGTCTTTACAGAGGTAATCAAGTTAAAATGAGGTCATTAGCATAGGCCATGACCCAATATGACTGATGTCCTTATCCAAAGAAGAAATTTGGACAGGCACACAGACAAGCTTGGGGAAAAGACAGCCATGTACAAGCCAAGGAGAGAGGAATGGAACAGATCCTTCCCTCACAGCCCTCAGAAGGAAACAATTCTGCCTACAACTTGAGGATGGACTTCTAGCAAACGAACTCACACCTCACTGATCCAGCACCATTGCAGAATGAAAAGTCCATATAAATTCACTTTCTAGATAACTCAAGTGTTCTGACAAATAAGCAGTTCCAAAATTTTCGTTCTACTCTTTTTTAACAAAAATATTTCTAAAACACACCCTCCACATTCTCAAACCAAAGGCAGCTGAACCCAATCTAAACCTTTCCTATTGATGCAGGTTTATCAGTGACTGCAGAGGGACAGAAGACCCTTTGTTTCTGCAGTAAGTGGCATCACTGGTTTCCCTGTTTTCTCCTCTAATACGAAGTTCCCAGACAGCCCCCTCTGCCTTCTGCATCATCCTCATTTCCTTGCTTGTCCTAATCTGTTGTGAAAGAACAGAAACCGGACAAACAAGACATTAAAACTGGTTCTCAAATAAAATTAGTAGTCCCAAGTGAGAGGCTGAAAGACACTCCTAAAGGTTAAACCACGTGAACTTGAAAAACTTCTTTTGTTGTCTATTCCTTTACTCCCTGTTCTCAGGGGGTGAGGATGTCAGATCCCTTATATTAAGGATACCTCAAGTGTTGTGCTACACAGACACAAAGCAGGTCACAAGAAACTCTTCTGGACTCCTTCGGCTTATAAATTTATGCCATAAAAACAAACAGCTGGGATCAATTATAGCTCGGGAAATATGCACCTCTATTAGGAGCCCAGTGGTGCTTTGTTCTGTGGTGGTTGTTATTTCACATATTTGGAATATGGCTATACCATAGGATGGAACTCTCTGGAATGGTCTTTCCATGATACCAAATTAGTTTGGGAAATTCTAATTCCCCAAACGGAATGATAATCAGATTAAATGACTACAAAGGAATAAACTTGCTGTTGAAATCAAAAGTGTGCTTACCAAATTAGATTCTTTACTACATCCTCTCACTTTTAAAGATAACGAATTTATTCAATTACTCTATTTGTACTGATTGGAAGCTGCCTCTTTTGCCATGCTTAGTTTGGTACAGAACATTTTTTGGCTTTATGCTATAATCTTGTTGTTGTTGCTGTTGTTTAAAAAACAATGGTAAGATAAAAGCTAATGTTTAGTAAGTACTGTGCTTACGATGAGCCAAGCACTATGCCAAATGCCTTATATGCCTTATTAAGTTTCCCAAATGCCTCAGAGGTACATATGATTTTTACTGTTCCCATTTAACAGGTAACAAAATGGAGGCCTAATGTGTTTGAGTAACTTGTCTGAGTCATTCAGTTACTAATTGGCAGCACCCGGATTTGAACCCAGGCAGTCTGACTCCAGAGCCTGTGTTCTGGAATCATTGTGGTATACGAAGAGAGGTAAACTTTAACACTACTAAAATTAGTGTGATCTTGCTAAAATATCATAATTTGAAATTATGTAATAAAAAACCTCCAGGCCAGGCACAATGACTCACTCCTGTAATCCCAGCACTTTGGAAGGCTGGGGCAGGCAGATCACTTGAGGTCAGGAGTTGGAGACCAGCTTGGCCAACACGGTGAAGCCCTGTCTCTACCAAAAATACAAAAATTAGCCAGCCGTGGTGGTGCCTGCCTGTATCCCAGCTACTCAGGAGGCTGAGGCATGAGAATCGCTTGAACCCAGGAGGTGGAGGTTGCAGTGACCCCAGATTGCACCACTCCACTCCAGCCTGGGCGACACAGTGAGACTGTCTCAAAAAAAAAAAAAGAAAAAGAAAAAAGGAAAACCGAAAACGAAAATGTGTAGGCCAGGGATGTTTTTTTAACTCTTCCACCAAGACTGAGTACTTTACTGACGACTTTTTTTGCAAGGTTAATTATGAGTTTTGAACTTGCTTAATAAACTTTTATGCTAAGTTGTTTCTCAGATGAGTACTTACTAAAACTCTACAATATGTAGAGAATATATGTGTGGGCATTTTTTACACCAAGATCATTCTCCTTAAGCTCGAGCCATGAAAGGGTATATAATCTCCATTAATTAGTAAGGGGGAAAACATCAAAAAATGCGTGCTGCGGAGTGGTTGGCAGTAGGAGAGAAGGAAAGGTAGGCAGTGGGTGGGAACGGTGACAAGTCATAATACAATAATCACTTTAGAGGTTTTCAGAATCAGTAAAAAAAAATGTTCAGGACTATGCCAATACCATTTTAGCTCATTTTCAAGGCTTATTAGGCTTCTCAGAGAATCTCAAAGCTCAACGTGCATATTACTTAACTACCTGGTTTGGAATGATACTTATTAGGACGTGGAAATGACAAAGTAGGTAGATTTTGCTTTTTACTTTTCTGTTCTGAACTTCCCAATAGCTCTATTTCAGCTCCTAAATAAAGTCCCCCAAGGTTGTCACAACTTTTGAGCCTGTGATTCTCAGTAAGAGTCTTCTGTGAAGTCTTTTTCCAGTTACAGATGAAAACAAAACAAAACAAAGAACTAAATGACTTAATTGCTTGGCTTTTCTTTGGGATTCCTTTGTCTTCAGAGCTAGTATCCATGCGGCGCTTTTAGACATTCACGCTAAAATGTATCAACAATGAGAATTTCATTTGTGTAGATAAATGTGATTGTCATGTCAGATCTTTTATATTTAAGCCAACTGAAAAATACAAATAAACATTGCGTGATAGAATTGCTTCATTTGTTCAGTTGTTTATTTTAAAAAGTACTCCATGACTAGCTCCAAGTCCCAAATATATCACGCAATTAAATTATGCTGAAAGTAGTAATAGGTGGGCCCATATCTGTTAAGGATGCAAATGTTCTAGCAATTAAAGACTAGCTAAGGAGGCAAGAAAGTCAAGAACTCTCTTTCACTTTCCGTGAACTCTCACACACGTCTCTGTCCTTATGCTTCAGTTTTTCCATCTTAAAATAGGGAGAAAAGGACAATATTTCTCCACTAGTATGAAAGCAATTTATATTTAGGAGAAGTTTACAAAGAAGGTTATTGCCCCCTTAATATCTAATTAGGAGATAATGTCCTGGAAATAAAGAGCTATCATAGGATAAAGGTCTCCAACAGGTCTTACTCAAGGAGCGACAAAACTGAGACACTGTGGAAAATAAACATCATGTCAATGGTTTGATATTTATTTATTTATTTTTATTTTTATTTTTATTTTTTTTTGAGATGGAGTCTCGCTCTGTTGCCCTGGCTGGAGTGCAGTGGCGTGGTCTCCACCCACTGCAAGCTCTGCCTCCCGGGTTCACGCCATTCTCCTGCCTCAGCCTCCCGAGTAGCTGGGACTGCAGACGCCCGACACCACGCCCGGCTAATTTTTTGTATTTTTAGTAGAGACGGGGTTTCACCGTGTTAGCCAGGATGGTCTCGATCTCCTGACCTCGTGATCCACCCGCCTCGGCCTCCCAAAGTGCTGGGGTTACAGGCATGAGCCACCGCACACGGCCTTGATATTTATTTTTAAAGCAAGAAGCCTGACCACAGTGGTTACCAAAACCAAAGCAGCAGCAATACTGTCTTACTAGCGTCTTCCTTTCTGAGGCAAAGGACTTGGCATGCCTCCACTTATTGAGTGGGTCTAGGTGGGCTTTTTTTTTTTTTTTTTTTTTTTTTTTGAGACGGAGTCTCCCTCTGTCGCCCAGACTGGAGTGCAGTGGCGCAATCTCGGCTCACTGCAAGCTCCGCCTCCCGGGTTCACACAATTCTCCTGCCTCAGCCTCCAGAGAAGCTGGGACTACAGGCGCCCGCCACCACGCCCGGCCAATTTTTTTTTTTTTTTTTTTTTTTGTATATTTAGTAGAGACGGGGTTTCGCCGTGTTAGCCAGGATGGTCTCGATCTCCTGATCTCGTGATCCACCCGCCTGGGCCTCCCCAAGTGCTGGGATTACAGGCGTGAGTCACCGCACCCAGCCGGTGGGCATTTTTACGGTACATAAATAATGAGTAAGTTAACTACAAAAATATCTATACAATACAAAGAAGTGGAAAAACATATGAAAGAAGATACCTGTTTGGTTTACTCAAAGTAGTGAATGAAAAGAGTGAAAAGAAAGAAATGTAAATGATTTGATCTGGCAAAGCAGACCAGTGTCTTCCACTGATCCCTTTTGGCAATTCCATTCAGTTGGATGGCCCAGATGCCATCTTCCATGGCCAAATGGAAAATACAATGTCTTATTTTATTGTGGAAAATCCACTGGAAATAACCTTTTAAGTGGTTCTTCTATTACACAGGAATTTAGTAAGTATTGTATCTACTATAAGGCCAGAATAAAAGGGGGCTAAAATATTTAAAGGTATCATTCCTACTCTTCAGAAACTTACAACAAGGGTTTTGGGGTTCTTGTTGCTATTAACTTCTCAGTTTCTTACAACACAATTATTTTGTCTGAAACACAATAAAGTTCTGTGTTACTGTTAAAATAAAACCTAGAGTTTTCAATAATCATCCCAGCTTGTTGTCATCACAAGCTCTGGACTGGGACAAACTTAAAGGACAACTCAGCCAATAGCTTATCATGTATAATGCTCATATTCCTATTACCATCAGTACTTTAAGGTAAGATTTCACTTGATAAGCAATCAATTTTTATTCATTATATAACTGAATTAGAACAGAATTTTTGGTTTATGTTGGTTTAAGTCTTGTATATTAAGACTTGTATTTAAGTCCTTTCTTTCTTCTTTAAGTTACTAGTCATGGCACTAAATAGTTAACTTGAGGGAAAAAAACCATTCTCTGCTCTGAATATTCTGCTACTAAAATACTGAAAAGGAGCTGATTTAAGAGAATCACATAAATACTTTTTTTTTAAAAAAAGAAGAGGGTACATACTAAGGAAGAACAGAAAAAAAGGGGAAAAACTTTTGTAAAGGTAATTTGCTAAAAGTATTTAAAAATAGTTCACGGTTATCCAGGCTCTAAACCCTATTAATATCTAGAGTGAAAAAGAAAGGAGTCAAGCGGATAAACAGAAGCTTATCTAAGTGAACTGATTCTTCTCATACAAGCAAATCCTGACCCCTTTCATGGTTTTCAATGTCATGATGATCGGAAAAGACAGCGTTTGTTGCTTTATAAATATATGGAGCTGTACGTGATTTCAAGAAGCTTTCACATACATTATCTCATTTAATTCCCACACAACCCTGTAAGGGAGCAAATGGTGAGTCCACTTTAAAGGTGAATATCAAAGGTCAAACAGAAAAGCAACAAAGCCGGGACATAAACCTGGACCTTTTACCTCCCAGGTCTGAACACTTTGCAAAACAGCCACATTTTGAAAAATATTATTATTGGCTCTAGCATTGTTCAATGTGCTTGTTAGAAACACAAGGAAGAAGAGGAGGAGAAAAGGGAGGAGGAGGAGGTAAGTGTGGGAGGAGGACGAGGATGGGGAGAGAGGAAAGCTTTTGAATTTTCCTAATAGTCCACACTTTGCTATGATTATGCTACTATTCTCTGTGCTTGTTTTCAAGATGGCTGGAGTTGGTCATCCCTGTGTAAATTGTGGCTACAAAACCAGTATCTGACCCTAAGTGTCAGGCGTGTTCTTTGGTTAGTTAGCACTGAGTGATTGTTTCAGCAGTTGTGTTGCTTTATGTGAAAGGTCATACATCTTTTCTGAGAAACAGCCACCTAAGCTCTGACTAACAAATCCTTTGGTTTATTATAGCTTGATTTCAAATAGCTTCAGGCTATTATCAGCCTCAAGGCACATTTTGCTAACAGATTTCGTACACTTCTTGGGGTTTTATTAAGAAATTCCCCCACATATCCCTTGGCGTATCTTCCAGCAGTTGTCCAGTTAGGCTACTCACTTTTATTTTTAACTCATTTTCTAGTAAAGTCAACTCAAGAATGTAAATGTCTTTGCCAGGCTCATGGCTTGCAACCTTGGATGGGTTAGATGCCTATTCATCACTGCTCTGCAGACTAATTTGATATACAACTTGAAACCACATTCAAGTCATCAGCAACTCTCCTGGGGCAGAAATGGCTGGATATATAGATTCGGTATCATAAATAATGGCTAAAGAAAAAGACTCTTCACCTGGGTCATTTATGAAGAATAGGTAGTACTTTTTTCTTTTCTTTTCTTTTCTTTTCTTTTCTTTTTTTTTTTTTTTTGAGTTAGGGTCTCACTCTGTCACCCAGGCTGGAGTGCAGTGGCACAACCACATTTCACTGCAGCCTCAACTCCTGGGCTCAAGTGATCCTCCTGACTCAGCCTCCCAAAGTGTTGGGATTACAGGCAGGAGCCACTGAGCCTGGCCAGGTAGTATTTTTTATGGACGTGGACTTGCATGTCTCCTTTGGAAAATCTCTTACCTATGTCTCGTTTTATTTACTACGAATAGGTATGATATACATTTATCTCATGAGCCTACCTTGCTTTTGTAAAGTATTTTGAAATGTTTATGTGAAAATGTTGAATAGGTGGTAAGAATATGGATTATTGCTGTAAATTATAAGCAAGAGTGAAGATTGTAACTACTAAAACACTCAATTATGTCTCAAGTGTATAAAAATGAGAATATTTTAATAAATTAAATATCATATATTTATGAATCAAAGCTAAATGTTCATTAATATCAAGTAAATATCAGTAAACATGGGAGATATAAAAATGTATGAGACAATTCTGGCTCTCAGTGAGCTTACAATCTATAAGAGAAGAAAAGGGGAAAATATAAAAATTAAATAACAACATAAGAAGTATCAAAAGGCAACCTATTGTAAATTGCCACCTGAAATGAAATTGGCAGAGTCACTACTATAGGTCAGAGGAAGGAGAGATCATTTTCAGAAGCAGTGGGCAGAGAAGATAAAGAGTCCAGCCACATCTCCAAGGCTGAATTCGCTGGGAAGCAGGAGGAGGTTTTGGTGGAGGGAACCCAGTGAGAAAGTATAGATGTACAAAAGGAAGGAGTATGGATCCCCAAAAGGAAAAAGAATACAGAAATGCAAGTTATGGTGATAAGGAGAGTTCTAATATGAAATAGGGCTGGAAAGGCCATTTAGAATTGGACCGGGGAGAACTGTGAATGTTAAATTGAAGAGGTAAGGTTGCTGAACAGAAAAGCATCTTGGTCAAAGCAGCATTTTGGAAATACTCCTTTGGTTATGATATGCCAGATTAAATGGAGCAGGGAGGACCAGAGACAGGGAGATCAAATAGAACCCATGGCAAGTCCCGGTGTGGGGTGAAGGTGGGGGGATGGGAAAGGAAGAAGTTGAGATAGGAACTCTGTGGAAGAAGTGCACGACCTCTCAAGTGTGCTGATCAGCCCTCATTGTTGGAGCTTTCTGTCATTTTCCAAAGCATTGTGAAATATATGGGTTTTTAGAACTGACTCTCTTTAACAGTTGCCAAGTGAAGAATGAAGAAATGAAGGAGTTTTATTTAACTTACAATATCCGATACCTGTAAAAGTTGATACGTTGAACCTTTTCTTCTTGATCTTGTATCCTTACCTAAGAATAAAAAGTGTTAGGCTAAAAAAAAAGTTAAAAAAAAAAAACACCAATCATAAAATGTAGGAATTAAAGGAGTTCTGAGAACATTTTATTTTTATTAGACAACCAACTCTAGTTGAACATGTACTATTCCAAACTCTTCTGTCAGTAAAATTGAAGGAAATCCCCCAGAATTCCTGAGATCCCTGTACTGGTACTCCTGCTAGAATAACCTTCTGGTTTCGAGGGTTTATAATTTAATGTATTATACAGAAATTCGGAGAAACTTGATGTATCTCTGAATGAGCAGAGAAAAAAAGTTTCAGGAAAGTTTTCCAACAATTCCAATGTCACGATGTGTTTATATATATAATGATGATACGGCAAAGTTACTGGCAATCTGGCTTCTGCCCTGAACCTCTACGACCAAGTTCTGGCCTTATCGCACACAGAAAAGCAATGCCTTCCACCCTTCGGGGGCATTTAAGGTTGACACACTCTATTCCGGTAACACCACTTGACAGAAAGATGGCAAGGAAAAGCCTCTTCCCCACATTCCCTATGCCTCACCCTGCAGCTCAGCACTCAGAACTCCTTTCCTGGGCAGCGTCAATTTCAACTTCTTCCAATCCCTTGGCTATTTTGAGACTGCCCCTTGTGGGTCCAGAAGGAAGCCAGGAGGCCGGGGACAGTGGCTCATGCCTCTAATCCCAGCACTTTGGGAGGCCAAGGTGGGTGGATCACCTGAGGTCAGGAGTTCGAGACCAGCCTGACCAACATGGTAAAACGCCATCTCCACTAAAAATACAAAATTAGCCGTGTGTGGCGGCACACGCCTGTAATCCCAGCTACTTGACAGGCTGAGGCAGGAGAATCACTTGAACCCGGGAGGCAGAGGTTGCAGTGGGCCAAGATCACGCCACTGAACTCCAGCCTGGGCAACAAAAGTGAAACTCTGTCTCAAAAAAATAAAAAGAAAGAAGCCAGGAGTCTCAGGCTTTCAGTGACTTGGATAACTTGGGGTGTAGTCTCCTTCCTCCCCTTTCTAACGCCTCTTGTTTCCTGGCCACTCCTCCTCAACCTCCCCAAGTTGGAAAATCAGCTGATAAATCATGGGCAGGGGGTGAATAAACAAATCACTCCCCAGTTTTAACATACTGATGCTGAGGTTTGGGCCTAAAGCAAATTCATATGTTTGCATTTATGTAAGAGAAAGTGGTTAAAACTGCTTGATTTTATATAAACTTGAAAAACATTACTTTTTGCTTTTGACCTGGACAGCTGTGGAAGTCGGTCTCTCCTTGCAAGGTAAGGATATGAGCTTGGTCATATTGATGACCATCAACGAACATGATGTTCGTTACGGGCGCTGTTCTTATTCCAATGCTAGAAGGACCTGTGAGCATTATATAACATTTTCATGCACCCTTACATAAACAATTAGAAGCTGTTTACTCCTCAAGGACTCAATTAGAGATTTTTTTAATTTTTTTATTTTTTTTTTTATTTCAGGCCTGAGCTGAGGACACTACAGGAGCCAAATTAGAGAAGGGGCTTGCAGTCCTGCCATATTGCATATTCATGGCTTTCTTGTCCCCTCACCCCCAGTATAATCCTTTTTGCCAGGTTAACAACTCACTAATTTCAAAGCAATTCATTTGCCAACTCAAAAAAAAAAAAAAAAAAAACCACAGATACAACTTTAAATGCTTTTGGATTTTAATCCTCTGGAGTATTTATATGTTTTCTTGTCTCATCCCTTCAAAACTAATCTCAGAGTTTTGAGAATCTGGGAACTTGGGCAAAGGAGAAAACAAGCACGCAGACCAAGGAATCTGAAATCGCAGTTCATTACGTCAGCATAAACTGACAGTACCTTTTTGTTTGTATTGACCCAGCTCAAATTATAAAATCACATGAGTAATAAAACACAAAATACAGGTGTTATCATTGAAAAGTCTAAAATGTAATTAAACGCGTTTTTTCCCCCTCGCGGTGGTATCGTTTACTCTGTATCTCAACGTTTCTGTCTCCCTAAGCCTCTCCTTTCATATCATGAGCATACATTTTTGCATCATGCTCACACGTTCATTAGCTAGGACTGAGGAGTGTGTACGATTCCAAAGGGCCCTCAGCGTTAGCTGTTAGATGCACAAACCTTCGCTTCCTTTCCACATCTACTGCACTCGAGGTTCAACAGAGGATCCTTGCAAGAACAGCGCCCAGAGAGCATTCTTGACAGATGCGCGCTTGGCTCCAGCAACCCGCTCTGCTGGGAAGTTTCTTCTAACCACTAACACCCACCTCCAATCCCCCAAGCTGTCACGACGCATGCTGGCTGGGTCCCGTCTTGACGGGGGAAGGGTTTTACACACACCCTGCTAGGCTGCCCCACATCACAACCAAGCTCGCAGGGCAAACTCCTCCAAGCCTGGCGGACAAGCTGTCCCAGGCGCTCTGGCGCTTCCTGAACACCAAGGTCCCCTCCCCGCTCAAGGGAGCTAGCGCTCTGTTCCGCAGAGAACCCCGGAACTGCAGGTCGAGGGGATGCGGGGGGAGCGGGGGCGCAGGAGGGAGCCGAGTGCTGGAGGCAAACGGGGCGCAGGAGCGGGTGCGGGAGGCAAACGGGGCGCAGGAGCGGGTGCGGGAGGCAAACGGGGCGCAGGAGTGGGTGCGGGAGCGAGTGGGGGCTGAGGGAGGGGACGGGGCCCCGGGGGGAGCCAGGCGCGGAAGGGGGCGCGGGGGAACAGGGACCAGGAACCAGCGGGCGCAGGAAGGGGTGCGTCCGCAGGAACCCGCGGGCGCACGGGAGGCACTAGCTACGCGATCAGCTCGGGACTCTCAGGAGCCGCTCAATTGCCAACGGGAGGGGGGTGCGGGGAGTTGGAGGTGGGGGTGCAGACCAGACGGGGGCGTGCCTTTGCCCGGATTGGCTGCAGGAGCCTGACGCGAGGCCCCGGGGGTTGGCTTGGGGAGTGGGAGCGGGGTGGGGTGGGTGCTGGGTGCCGGAGCTGCGGGCCCGGCGCGCTCAGAAACATGCTGAAGTCCCGGCGGCTCTTCCAGCAGCGGCAGCGGCTCCAGCAGCAGCGGCGGCGGCGGCGGCGGCGGCAGCGGCAGCGACAGCGCTCGGCTCCTGCGGGAAAGGCGCCCGGCGCCCATGCCTCCGGCCCCGCGCCGCGGCTGCCCTGACCCGGCCGCGACCTCCCTCTGCGCACCACGCCGCCCGGGCTTCTGGGGTGTTCCCCAACCACGGCCCAGCCCTGCCACACCCCCCGCCCCCGGCCTCCGCAGCTCGGCATGGGCGCGGGGGTGCTCGTCCTGGGCGCCTCCGAGCCCGGTAACCTGTCGTCGGCCGCACCGCTCCCCGACGGCGCGGCCACCGCGGCGCGGCTGCTGGTGCCCGCGTCGCCGCCCGCCTCGTTGCTGCCTCCCGCCAGCGAAAGCCCCGAGCCGCTGTCTCAGCAGTGGACAGCGGGCATGGGTCTGCTGATGGCGCTCATCGTGCTGCTCATCGTGGCGGGCAATGTGCTGGTGATCGTGGCCATCGCCAAGACGCCGCGGCTGCAGACGCTCACCAACCTCTTCATCATGTCCCTGGCCAGCGCCGACCTGGTCATGGGGCTGCTGGTGGTGCCGTTCGGGGCCACCATCGTGGTGTGGGGCCGCTGGGAGTACGGCTCCTTCTTCTGCGAGCTGTGGACCTCAGTGGACGTGCTGTGCGTGACGGCCAGCATCGAGACCCTGTGTGTCATTGCCCTGGACCGCTACCTCGCCATCACCTCGCCCTTCCGCTACCAGAGCCTGCTGACGCGCGCGCGGGCGCGGGGCCTCGTGTGCACCGTGTGGGCCATCTCGGCCCTGGTGTCCTTCCTGCCCATCCTCATGCACTGGTGGCGGGCGGAGAGCGACGAGGCGCGCCGCTGCTACAACGACCCCAAGTGCTGCGACTTCGTCACCAACCGGGCCTACGCCATCGCCTCGTCCGTAGTCTCCTTCTACGTGCCCCTGTGCATCATGGCCTTCGTGTACCTGCGGGTGTTCCGCGAGGCCCAGAAGCAGGTGAAGAAGATCGACAGCTGCGAGCGCCGTTTCCTCGGCGGCCCAGCGCGGCCGCCCTCGCCCTCGCCCTCGCCCGTCCCCGCGCCCGCGCCGCCGCCCGGACCCCCGCGCCCCGCCGCCGCCGCCGCCACCGCCCCGCTGGCCAACGGGCGTGCGGGTAAGCGGCGGCCCTCGCGCCTCGTGGCCCTGCGCGAGCAGAAGGCGCTCAAGACGCTGGGCATCATCATGGGCGTCTTCACGCTCTGCTGGCTGCCCTTCTTCCTGGCCAACGTGGTGAAGGCCTTCCACCGCGAGCTGGTGCCCGACCGCCTCTTCGTCTTCTTCAACTGGCTGGGCTACGCCAACTCGGCCTTCAACCCCATCATCTACTGCCGCAGCCCCGACTTCCGCAAGGCCTTCCAGGGACTGCTCTGCTGCGCGCGCAGGGCTGCCCGCCGGCGCCACGCGACCCACGGAGACCGGCCGCGCGCCTCGGGCTGTCTGGCCCGGCCCGGACCCCCGCCATCGCCCGGGGCCGCCTCGGACGACGACGACGACGATGTCGTCGGGGCCACGCCGCCCGCGCGCCTGCTGGAGCCCTGGGCCGGCTGCAACGGCGGGGCGGCGGCGGACAGCGACTCGAGCCTGGACGAGCCGTGCCGCCCCGGCTTCGCCTCGGAATCCAAGGTGTAGGGCCCGGCGCGGGGCGCGGACTCCGGGCACGGCTTCCCAGGGGAACGAGGAGATCTGTGTTTACTTAAGACCGATAGCAGGTGAACTCGAAGCCCACAATCCTCGTCTGAATCATCCGAGGCAAAGAGAAAAGCCACGGACCGTTGCACAAAAAGGAAAGTTTGGGAAGGGATGGGAGAGTGGCTTGCTGATGTTCCTTGTTGTTTTTTTTTTCTTTTCTTTTCTTTCTTCTTCTTTTTTTTTTTTTTTTTTTTTTCTGTTTGTGGTCCGGCCTTCTTTTGTGTGTGCGTGTGATGCATCTTTAGATTTTTTTCCCCCACCAGGTGGTTTTTGACACTCTCTGAGAGGACCGGAGTGGAAGATGGGTGGGTTAGGGGAAGGGAGAAGCATTAGGAGGGGATTAAAATCGATCATCGTGGCTCCCATCCCTTTCCCGGGAACAGGAACACACTACCAGCCAGAGAGAGGAGAATGACAGTTTGTCAAGACATATTTCCTTTTGCTTTCCAGAGAAATTTCATTTTAATTTCTAAGTAATGATTTCTGCTGTTATGAAAGCAAAGAGAAAGGATGGAGGCAAAATAAAAAAAAATCACGTTTCAAGAAATGTTAAGCTCTTCTTGGAACAAGCCCCACCTTGCTTTCCTTGTGTAGGGCAAACCCGCTGTCCCCCGCGCGCCTGGGTGGTCAGGCTGAGGGATTTCTACCTCACACTGTGCATTTGCACAGCAGATAGAAAGACTTGTTTATATTAAACAGCTTATTTATGTATCAATATTAGTTGGAAGGACCAGGCGCAGAGCCTCTCTCTGTGACATGTGACTCTGTCAATTGAAGACAGGACATTAAAAGAGAGCGAGAGAGAGAAACAGTTCAGATTACTGCACATGTGGATAAAAACAAAAACAAAAAAAAGGAGTGGTTCAAAATGCCATTTTTGCACAGTGTTAGGAATTACAAAATCCACAGAAGATGTTACTTGCACAAAAAGAAATTAAATATTTTTTAAAGGGAGAGGGGCTGGGCAGATCTTAAATAAAATTCAAACTCTACTTCTGTTGTCTAGTATGTTATTGAGCTAATGATTCATTGGGAAAATACCTTTTTATACTCCTTTATCATGGTACTGTAACTGTATCCATATTATAAATATAATTATCTTAAGGATTTTTTATTTTTTTTTATGTCCAAGTGCCCACGTGAATTTGCTGGTGAAAGTTAGCACTTGTGTGTAAATTCTACTTCCTCTTGTGTGTTTTACCAAGTATTTATACTCTGGTGCAACTAACTACTGTGTGAGGAATTGGTCCATGTGCAATAAATACCAATGAAGCACAATCAAGATTATGTACTGTGTGTCTGTAAAGGGTCAGTGACAATGAAAAAGACAGCTTGTTTTGTTCAAAATATAGACTGGATTTCCCATAGAGCTCTTTTAATAGGTTTCCATGACTCAATAACATAGCAAAATGCCTCCAGACCTAAATAAGGTGTTTACCTACTGAGAGCTACAGATTTACCCTACATTTTCACAGCCGGATTCAAGGTGTTCTAGACTACTTGTAGGCACTTTCAAGATCCCATCTGCTGCACTTGACTGAAGAAGTGACCTTTGTGATTGCGTAGCTCCTAAAAAAAAAAAAAAAAAAAAAAAAGTGACGCGGTCATTTAACTCAGCTGCAACTTTTCACGGAAATGCAGGAAAGACTAACTCATTGAATGATCAGTTGCCTACTTGGAATGCAATAAGTGGCTTCCACAGCTTATTTTTGTTTTCCAATAGAAAATCACAGCCTGCGGATGATCAGTGTGTGCAGATTTCTCCAGAGGCTGTTTAGAATGAAAAATGCTTTCATGGTTAAGCAAAAATGTATAAAAGGGCTTCTGAAGTAAATTTTTTTCTCTTATGTAGTTAAATAGATCATTTTGCCAGAAGTTCTGGGTGGACAGATCATAGGTAAAAGCAAGTGTGAAAGGATTTAAGTTTCCAACAAAATTACAGCACCCAAAGGATGGGGTATTTTTCATAAAGTTATTTCCTAAAGGAAGGGATAGTGCAATTCTGTCCTGAGATTAATTTTACATTCTCCAAAATACATTTAAAGTTCTTACTATATTTTTAAATAAGCTTTTTATTTCATGACCATACAGTAAAGAAACCAAAGTAAAGAATATTAACTTCTGGCTTATGCTGCACTTTAAATGAGCGGAGTATTCTTTAACAGGGAAAAGTTGAGACTGAATATTCTTTTTTGCAATGGCATATTCTAAAGACAAGGCAACCATCTTCTGAGAAAGGTTAATGACGTAGATGTTTTAGAGACCAGCAGAAGGTTGCATGAACAGTAACAGCCTCAACAAAAGCTGCTATGAAGTTTAACCCCTTTCCAGCAAAAAAAAAAAAAAAAAAAGGAAAAGGAAAAAGGAGAGCTTCTTTAAGAATACAAAGATAAATACTTAAACATATTTTGAAGAACATAAAATCAGTCTCAGGATGAAATGTCACTATAATTTCCCTAGGAACCAAATATGGTTAATATCCATCCACCCCCGACCATGAGTATGTAAGATGCATTTTCTTAGGGGTTTTGTCCTTCTTTGTTTGAAATTACTAGACACTGAAGTACCAGGTAAATGCTTCACTTTCTTGGTTTCCTGTTTATTTACTTATTTTGTCTAGATAAGTCTTCACATTTAAATAAAAAGAAATCTTCCCAGCCCAAAACATATACGCAGGCCCTTCAAATCTCAGGTCTTAAAATCACTCAGGTCTTAAAATCATGAAAGTCCTTTAAGCTTTAAGAACAAATGTGTATAATTTAACTACTTAGTACACAGGTTTAGTCACTTTAGTGAGTTAGAGGAAACCACTGTAATCTTGGGGCCGGTTTCTATGTATTGGCAGGAAATAGAAAAGATTTTTGTGTGATCTCCCAAGATCTCCAACTGAAAATTACATGGATTCAGAAACAGACCATGTCAGTGATTCCAAATCCCCATGAAGACTACTTTTTGTCGCTTTTGAAGAAGGCAGCCATTGATTTATAATAGGAAATGTGGGGAGCTGGGCTGTCAGTCCCAGTAGCGATGGCAGTGGGAGGAGAGAGCAGCCAGTCCTGCTTAATCTGGTGAGATTGTGCACTGCAGAAATAGGAAGAAGAAGACATTGAGTGTGCAAAAAGGCAGCCTTACCCATGGGCTTGTGTGTATCAAAGTACCAAAAGCATAAACCTTAAAATCAAAGCAGGAAAATGTGATCAAGATCCATAGATTTGCTACATTGGACGTTACATTCAGGTTAAACACTAACAATAACTCAATGGAGATTTTCCAGGATTTATAAATTCTCTCTCCGATGTAGAAATGTGTAATTGGTATAGCATATGGCTTCATACTTTGGTGAACTTGCCTATATAAAACTTTGCAAATAGAGTTTATTTGTTTCTTAGTCTATGCTTTCTTTGGAATTGGAATTATTAATAACTCCTAAGTGGCTATTGTGAAATCTTTCCTTGTTAAGCACATTTTCCTAGCTTATGTTAATTTCACATTTTGTTGAATGTGCCCGTTCCTCTGGCAGTATATAAAATTGCCAGACAGAAATTCTGCACCCAGAGTATCAGGGTAATATTAACATTTAAGTTTTTTGTAAGAGGTTCTCAGCAAGGATCTAAAGAAAAATTATTCTGTAACTTTTGCTGCCAGTTGTGAAAGACTTTTTAAAAAATGTTTTTAACCAAGCTGGACTCATTTGTTTAGTTGAAGGAAAAAAATTAAAACCTTAGAAGTAAATTAAACACACTGGCACAGATAATATCATTTTATTTGTACATTTCTGGCATAATGTGCTGAGAAATACTAATTCTTTTGACTCCCTGCCAATTTTCTACTAATCAAAATGGAGAAGATATGCACTGTTTGGATTATACCTAAAAATAGTTGTGCTACAGTCACATCAGCAAATGGAATTAAATTAATTTCTCTTTCTTCCTCTTCACATACACCCTCTGCACCATTTAAATTTCCATCTAGAATATTGCTCCTGAATCTCATAATTTTTTATTCAATGCATCCCAAATAACATTGCTACATTGCAATGATTTTTAAGCAAACTCTATTGAACTACTCTTCCGGCGGGATAACACTCTCCTGAAAATGCCATGTTTAGTCGGCTCTCATTTAAGGAGCCTCTACTAGATAGCTGTTATAATGTAATCAAAGAGGTAGGAATACTAGAAATAGATACTTTGTAGGCCAATTTACCTCATCAATAGTCTTTTTACCCTTTTGTAGGTGGAGGGCGATAGTGCCTGAATCAATCAGATTTGATCACTTGATCATAGAACAGATAAGCGGCTTCAAATCCGATTGCTCTAACGACAGACTGCAAAAATGGTAGCTCCAAGAAGCTCCCACACTGCTGGCACTATCAGAGCATGATCTTTGCAGTAACGTTAGCAGCACCCAAGAAGGCTTTGTAAGCAACTGCCTTTAAACCTTTGCCTTCTCTTGGATGTTTGGCAATGATCACGTCCCCAGCTTCTATACTTGAAGATCATTCTTGTCTTAGAAACACCACACTCACTAGCCCTTTTTGGAGCACTTCTTCGATTCTTTTTTTGTTTTTTTTTTTTTTTTGAGACGGAGTCTCTCTCTGTCGCCCAGACTGGAGTGCAGTGGCGCAATCTCGGCTCACTGCAGGCTCCGCCTTCCGGGTTCCCGCCATTCTCCTGCCTCAGCCCCACAAGTAGCTGGGACTACAGGCGCCCGCCACCACGCCCGGCTAATTTTTTGTATTTTTAGTAGAGACGGAGTTTCACCGTGTTAGCCAGGATGGTCTTCATCTTCTGACCTCGTGATCCTCCCGCCTCAGCCTCCCAGAGTGCTGGGATTACAGGCATGAGCCACCGTGCCCAGCGTTGGAGCACTTCTTCAATTTTTTCTGAGACAGGGTCTCACTCTGTTGCCCAGGCTGGTAGTGCAGTGGCACAGTCATGGCTTACTGCAGCCTCGACCTCCCAGGTTCAAGTGGTCCTCCCACCTCAGCCTCCTGAGTAGTTGGGACTACAGCCACGTGCCACCAAGCCTGACAGGTTTCTTTTTTGTTTTGTTTTGTTTGTTGTTGTTGTTTTTTAATTTTTTTTTGTTTATTTTTTGTAGAGACAGAGTCTCCCTATGTTGCCCAGGCTGCTCTTGAACTCCAGGGCTCAAGCAGTCCGCCTGCCGTGGCCTCCCAAAGTGTTGAAAATATGAGCTCGAGCCACCATGCCCGGCCTTCAATCCTTGAATAAGCTAGAAACATCTAGAACATCTAGTTCTTGATACATTTCTTTTCCTAGGAGAATTAATTTCTCACAAATCATTTCCTAAAGCTCTGATTTTCAACATCTGTCAATATTTACAGTTCCATTTTTCCTCTCTCTCCGTATTCCCTTGCTCATAGCTGTTAATTAGGAGTAGCAAGACCACGCTGTTTTCTTCCCACTTATGACACAAAACTTACCTATGATGCATTTTACATGTGAAGTTTGGGTTTCTTCCTGAGAATTTCAGTATTGCTCACAATTAGGTGGCAACTCCAAGCAGATAAAAATTTAAATACTTGTTTGTATTTTCCTATCAAAGGTGTTCAGGATGAGTTTAATATTTGGGGTGTGGGACTATCTTAGGCTTTCTTTTTTCTGATATTGTCACTTCGTAACCATGTGACCTTGTCAGTCTCATTATCTTGGTTTCAAAAGGTAACATTAGTTGTTCCACCTTCAACTATTTGCAAATTAGTTTTGCTAATTATTATTAGGCTAGCTGATTTGTGAGAATTGTGGGTAAAATTTTAGGGGTGTAGAAAACTCTTTCAAGCAGATGGCCCACTATGGCCACAATGGCTGTCTAACTGTAGTTCCCACTGTGCCCAATGACCTTGGGGACAAGTCACTTAGTTTCCTTGCCATTCAGGTTCACTTCCTACAAAGCCTGATCAGTAGCCTTTGTTTAATCTCTTTGAGATGCTATGACAGAAGTTCTTTGCTTTGCAAAGTCTATCTTTTTGAATACTTTCTCCTGGCCTCCTTTTCCCTTTCCTAGCAACTCCACCCACAGAAATCCCTCCGTCTTCTTCTTTTTTTTTTTTTTAAGTGAAAAGAACAACTAAGAATAGCAAAAATATATATAATAGCCCATGCATTCAAACAAATGGTCCTTCATTTTTTGTTGCAATTAAAATTCCACAGAAACCACAACTGAATAAAATAATCTTCCGAAACATCGGATTAAAAAACCTGTTTGCTGTGTGCTGAGCAAAAGTGATTGTTTAATGATTCTTAACCCACAGCCACTTTGAGAAAAGAAAGCCAATTTGGAAAACTACTCAACTCTACAATTTTGCATTGAGTTATAAATACTAAAAGCAACTATCTAGATTATTCTCCTTTTTCTTGGAATAGCAATTCAGAGATGAAAAGCACTGAGAGCAACAGGAGTTTATATTTTTGCACGCCCTTCCTTTATGGGTTGCAGGGTATTGAGTTTCTCTGTTCCCAACCTAATAAACAGGGACAAATCTACAGGAACTTTACTGGCTTACAATTTCTGTTATGTTAACTACAGGAACGCACCTGCAATCTTGAAGTCCTTGTAAAAACTGCTCTTAAAGAGTAAACATTAATAGACATTCCAATAACATTTTCTTCATTCAAGGGATTTTTTTTAAACCATTATAAGTAACATTTTAGTAAGATGCTCTTTTTAAAGAACTCATTGCACTTAACTGATTTTGTGATCAATTCAGAGATAGTAGTTTTTTTTTTTCTTTTCTTAAAATAGACATACTTAAGTAAAACTGAGTCACTCAGAAGAATTCCAGACTCTTCAGCATGGGAAAGATCTTGATGTGTCTAGTAAACACTACCCCAGCCCCGTGCAAGGTTATACCTAGATCAGTGCAGATCTAGAGAGATGATCTGGTGAGATCATTTTGAGATTTAAAGACCTGGTCTACTGAATAGCCCATCCTATCAGCAAATGTTTCTTTTATAGCAAACCCAGATCCCTCATCCTGTTTTAACTCATGATTGATCTCAGGGAAATCTGAAAAACTGAGGACTGAGCCACTATTGTTTATAAAAATCCTTTTGATGGCCAGGCACAGTGGCTCACACCTGTAATCACAGCACTTTGGGAGGCTGAAGCGGGTGGATCGCTTGAGCCCAGGAGTTTGAGACCAGCCTCGGCAACATAGCGAAACCTCATCTCTACCAAAAATACAAGTTAGCCAGGCATGGTGGCATGTGTCTATAATCCCAGCTACTCAGGAGGCTGAGGTGGGAGGATCACTTGAGCCCAGGAAGTCAAGGCTGCAATAAGCCCTGATCATGCCACCGTAGTCCAGCCTCGGTGACAGAGTGAGACCTTGTCTCAAAAACAAACAAACAAACAAAAAACCCTCTTGATGATATACATGTAAAACTGTGACACCCTCTCCTCAGCTTTCTATGCACTCAATAATTCCATTTGCTTTATAAACAACTTCAAATCCATTCATTCTTTCTGTTGTTCACTCGGGAATCATTTCCAGTAACAGGGATTCCTTCTAGCTAGAGACAAGAAAGAGCACAACATGATACAAAATATTAAGTTCAGACCTGGTCTGATGTCATCAACATGTCATCATTCCTGGAATCATGCTAGTAACTTTTTTCAGTCACCAGAGTCACAAAGCTCTGAAGATCAGAAGAAAATATTGTGCAAAGTGAAGAAGTATAACATGAAGATTAGTAAATCTTTACAGTACTGTAAAAAGCATCCTGTAAGCATGGGACAAAACAGACAATATACATTTTAAAAATGTAAATTCCATTATAGGTAATTTATGTTTTATAAATTATAAAATATATAATATTTTTTAAAAACATAACATTTTTCTAGGACCAGGCAACGAATTAAAACCCCCTCCCGAAAGGGCACATGTTTACAACTCTCTTCAAACCTTTTGATTGTTAATATACCTAAAGGGACAAACAAATGTTATATTTGTTTCTTTGAGATGGGGTCTCGCTCTGTCACCCCGGCTGGAGTGCAATGGCATAACCACAGGTCAATGTAGCCTCAATCTCCCAGGCTCAAGCGATCCTCCCATCTCACCTTCCCCTGAGTAGCTGGGACTACAAGCATGCGCCACCACGCCTGGCTAATTTTTGTATTTTTTGTAGACACGTAGTTTTGCCATGTTGCCCAGGCTGGTCTTGAACTCCTGAGCTCAAGCAATCCACCAAGGCTCAAGTGATCCTCAGCCTCCTGAGTAGCTGGGACTACAGGCACATGCCACCACACCCAGATTTTTTGTTTGTATTTGTGGAGACCGGGTCTCCCTATGTTGTCAGAGCTGGTCTCAAACTCCTGGGCTCACTTGATCCTCCAGCCTTGGCCTCCTAAAGTGCTGGGATTGCAGGCATGAGCCATTGTGCCTGGCAGAGACAAATAAAGTTTTTCACATTATATGTGCTGGGAAAACACTTGGGGAGCGTAATTTTATAGAGGATTTCTGTGATTAGTCTTTTGTGATTCATATGTTCATCTGTTCTTAATTAAGGGTATCATGTACGGAGTGAGTGTGCTGTATGGGTTGCACCCAGCCAAGACGGAGCCTGTCACACTCTGGTTGGGGAGATTAGACATCCGTGTGTTGAAAAATGACAAAATATGAGGCAGGTGTGGTTGAATGCCAGATGCCTGGGCCAAAAGTAGGGCTCTAGACCAGTGCTATCTCATAGAAACACAATGCAAGCTATGTATTTAATTTTATATTTTTTAGTACAATTAAAAATTAAAATAAAAATAAATAGATAAAATTAGTCTTTCAATATGTAATTGATCTAAAACATTTTTATGAGATACTTCACTTTTAAAAATAGTAAATCTTTGAAATCTGATGTGTATCTTCCGTTTCTAGCCCATTTTAATTGGAACTAGGCACATTTCAAGGGCTCTCAGTAGCAGGAGAGAGTGAATGGTAGGGTGGCATAACCTAGAGGCTGGATAACGACATGGACCTCAGATGAGGAGAGAAAACGGCATGAATGGCCATTCCAGGGGAAGTTATAAGGAGAAGAAAACTGCATGAACAAAAACCTAGAGGTATGGGGAGTCAAGAAGAATGATCAGACAATGAATAGGCAGTTGCAGGTACTTCATTTTGATAGAGTAATTGGAGATAAACCTGGAAAGTGGTTTGGGAACAGATCAAAAAGTTTATGCAAAAGTGTTGAACTCTAATCTTCCTAAAAGCATGGAGATTTATAAGCAAGAGTGTCAGGATTAAAACAGTGTTTTAGAAAGATTCACCTGGCATCAGAAGGCATGATGGGTAGATATTAACATCTCAGTTAATCTTCAAAGTAATTCTGAGTTCGTAAATTTAAAAATCTCATTGTACAAATCAGAAAACTAAGATTTATGTAATTTCATATATGTGAGCTTATTATATTTTTTTTTTTTTTTTTGAGACAGCGTCTCACTCTGTCACCCAGGCTGGAGTGCAGTGGTGTGATCTTGGCTCACTGCAACCTCTGCCTCCCAGGCTCAAGTGATCCTCCCACCTCAGCCTCCCAAGTAGCTGGGACTACAGGCACGTACCACCACATCTGGCTAGTTTTTGTATTTTTTGTAGAGACAGGGTTTTGCCATATTGCTCAGGTTGGTCTCAAACTCCCGGACTCAAGCCTTCAGCCTGCCTCAGCCTCCCAAAGTGCTGGGATTACAGACGTGAGCCACTGCGCCCGGCTGACCTTTTTGATTTTTATGTATCAACTTCAGGAGCTGACTCAGAGAAACACACTCCTACCAAGCAGGTTTCTGAGTGCATAAGTATGAGGACCTGTTAATTGCCCAAGGTCATGCCCCTATGGAGGTAATGCACATGAGCTCAGGCAGTTCGTTCAAGGCAACAGGCGAGCAGAGATCAAGTCTAGGTGCCTGACTCCTAAGTTAGTCTCTTTTTCATATCTCCAAACTACTTGTCCATTCCCTACCAGACTAGAGGTTCCTTTAGAACTTGTCTTTCTATCTTTAACTCTGCAGTGCCTGATGCATTACCACATACATGGTATGCACTCTGAATATTCATTGACTACATTCTACTAGAGTCAGAGAAACAAGCTCTCTAGCTCCCGCAATAGTCCAGGCACATAGTGGTAACAGGCCTAACTGGAGCTGAGCACTGCAAGAAGATGTGACATAACCCTCTATTTCTTTTGTACATCCAGATTTTCACTATTAGACACAAAGAATAGTTTCTCTAGGAAAAGTGCTAAGCCTCAAATTGCAATGTATAATATATGGGACAACCTCTGCTGGTATCACAGGAAACAATGAGGTTTTCCAAATATTTCTAAGAAATGCACTTATTTCTAGAAATGGCACATCGATTGTTGAAATTCTGTACCTAACCAACATAAATTCTATGACTATGAAGGTGGTATATACTGTATGAAAATGTACATCATTATTTAAAAATAGGCATTTCACCAAAATTGCTAAATGAGAACTACGTGCTCTAAGTTCTAGGTCAATTGTCAATGGGAAAAATACTTGATTTATTTGTCACTTATTGTATTATATCTTAAATGGGATTCTTTCCTTTCTAACTGAGAGATCCAGAGACATTGTTCTCACTGGACTCTACAGGGAAAAAAAAAAAGCCCCATCCCAAGCCCCAGTGCGTTCCGTGGACCCAAACAGTCATCGTAGCTAAGAGAGCAGATTTCATTTCATTAATGTACAGATTTCTATTTTAAATGTTACTTCTGCCTGTTAATACTGTAAGAAATAATATATCCATAAAAATATATTTAGGGCAAACAAACATCACAGCCCTCTCAAAGTTTCAAAACAGATTCATAATCATTATCTTCCCATCTTAGCACAAAAGCTAGAGTTTATATGGGATCTTTAACTGGTCCAAGTTACATGGATTTTTGCCTTTTGACAAAGCATTAACACTTTACTTGAGATTTTTAAATTGTAGGTGTGTTCTCAATAATGCAGAATTCATTTTAAATAACATTATATTTCTATTCCCTCAATGGGATTATTGTTTGCAAGAAACTCAGTGTTGAGGCTTCACACTGGAAAGGTGGGAGCCAGGCAGAGGCTGACATGAGGAAACCTCCATGGGCCATGACCTTGGGACATTTGCAGGCCCCCTGCTTCAAACACTCAAGAAACCTATTTGGTAAGAATGCATTTCTCTGTGTCAGCTCTTCAGATTGATATATGAAATCGGAAAGCCACTTTAATAATTCACAAGGTAGTGGTCACAAGGCCTATTACACACGCCGTGGGCATGACCAGATATTCTCTCTCTATACCCAGGGAAGACAGTACAGCCAAAAGGTTCACAGTAATCCTGGGGTCAGAACTGAGAAGCCTGGTTGCAAGGACTTACCAGTGCATCCATTTTTACTATGGCCCAGAACACTGGAAGTCTGCTGGGTTTGAGACCGACTCTTCCCTAGATAGGGATTGGATGGGCACTGCCAGTAGTGGACTCCCTGTCTCTCCTTTTTCTGTCACCAATAGCCAAGTGCCCCTCCCCTCTCTGCTCCATTCCCCAGTAGACAGATTCTTCCTTTATAGAAGTCGAGACACCTAAGCAGGTCGGTCAAGTCGTGTTGACCTGACTGTCTCTTTACAGGGACAACATGTCTTTGCTCTCATCCATTATTTGACTTAGAAGGGCTGGTAGTTAGGAGGAGGTTTTGCTGCTTTCCCTACAACTCTTGAGATTAAAGCACATCTCCCATAGAAAAGCTACTTGTCCCTTTTCTACATTATAGGAACCCAGATACTTGGTTCTGTTAATCTTGCTAATGGAAATAGCATTGTTTCCATTTTATTTAACGATATAGCTCTTTTCCTTAAACACATTAAATATATGTCTAACCAGCATTCAAATCTTTCTTTCTGTGATCTGTATGTCAGATGAATTTGAACTCTAATTACATTTTCCTGATCCATATTGTAGAAACATCTTAGCTAACTGTGCCTCTGAAAATGCCACACTCTTAGGTCTGGACTCTGGACAGATGTCTTAGACTCTGGACAGATGTCTAAGAGGTGAATCATGTTTATGCAGGGGATAAAAATGATGGTTTTGTGATGGCACTGAGGAACTGGGTTCAATCTAACACATGTTAGATTGCAGTTGTAGGGCAAAGTTTGAAATTTGTGGCAAAAAAGATGATTGCATTCTTAGGCTTTTTGTTTCCAACCAATAGAATAATATATTGTCACCTTCCTGCATTACAAATGCAATTATAATACAATAATACAAATACAATTTATAATCATTTATTCATTTGTTTTACCTACTATGTGCTGGGCCCAATAGAGTATAGGGCAAGGCAGACACTGTCCTCAAAATCAGGAAGCTACTGTAGCTAATGTTTCCTCCACTTGCACTTTTGAAGAATTAGTAGAGACAAAGTAAACAAGTGCTTTTTAGAGTTCATTTCTCAGAAATCGGAACTAACTTGCAGGATGTCAGTCCAGTTGCGAAAGGTGAGAAAAGCATTTTATTCCTTTTTAAGGGTGACCACAAAACCCATATATTGGAAATGTCAAAGTTAATATTACATATACACATGCATATATATGTATATATATGTATATATATGTGTATATATGTATATATCTTTTTAGGTAAAATATATGGGATAGTCCCACAAGCTCTTCTCTGAGGCCCTGTGGGGCAAGATGTGTTTTGGGATTCAGAATCTGGAGGTTTTAGGAAGGTAATATGGTTCATATACTAGATATTACATAACACCTAAGCAGATATCAGATATTACATAACACCTAAGCAGGGTCCAGATCAGCACCTTATAATCCAACATTGGTGTCTCTACTGTGAAATGTATGATTATTCACAGTAAGTGGGTAAATAATGACTATAAATAGCCTCACACCACTTCAGGTCAGATCTTGCTGCCAAATGAGTTCAAGTAAGGTCACGTTTGCTGCCAAATGAGTTATGGAAAAAGACTCTTATCTTCAGAGCTTTCTGGATTTGGGAATTTGGAGTAAGAAGTTGTGGACCTGTATTATGGAATGTTCCTTTATAGAAAACCATCTACTGTTTAGGAAAGGCAACAAAATATATTTAAGCCTACCAGTTATATTACATCAATTGATTTAGTAGTAATATTATTCAGCAATTAATTAATTTGAGGAATAAACACTTACTTAATAGTGGCCATGCCAGGGAGATTTTGAACCAGCTAAGGTTACATCCTGTTAGCAGATATTAATAGCCAAAGGCATGATTGTGATGCGGGGACAACTTTCTTTGGAAACAATCCGCAGTAGTCAATATATTATATAGCCAACCTTCGGTTTAGCAGAGACCAACCTATCAGCTAAGAAAATATCTTTAGTGAATACAATGCTGATTTCAAAGAATCTCAGAATTGGAAGTGAACTTAAAAAAAATCACTGTAGCCCAACCATCTCTCAGAGCAAAGATTCTTCTTATTCTTGAGACATCAACCCCTTTAAGATTACAAAAGAAAAAAGAAAAGGAAAGAAAAAGAAAAAAGGCTATGATCTTCATCCCAGAAAGATACACATAATCTACATATGAAAATCATCACAATTATTTTCAAGGGTTCCATTAAGAAATCCTGCCTTAGATTCTTGCCGTATTTGAAAAGAAAGCTAAGGTAAAATTTCACAGCAATCTTAGTACCGCAGAGAGCGTCTTTATTTTAAGCTGCTTCATAAATTGCCTGTGGTCATATGTCTTGGTGTCTTCTCTGACATTTATCTCAACTTATGATTTTCTATGCAGTATTTATAAGATAAATATTTTTGAACTCATTGTGACCTTTTGTTTTTATCTTAAAAGTTGGAAAGAGGAAAAGTAATGACATTTTAGCTTTTCTCTTTGTATTTTTACATTCCATATCATCCATAACTCAGAAGGGTAAAAAAAAAAAAAAGAAATCCTGTAAGGAAAAGGCCTAAAATGTCCTACTAGTAAATGTATCAAGCATCAATTTTCAGTTTGACATTAACTGAGAAAGGAAATGATGAAGTAAATTTTCTAAGTGTTGAGCTGTCACAGGAAAAATGATTTGTATTAGTCTCTGGCATGAAATCATGATTTAGATTTGTCAGTATTAGGCCACAATTTATTTTCTTTGACATCTGTAGGAGACTGAGGGGAGAGGGTTCTGGGCATGTTGCAGTGTACACTTCCTTCTGCACTCTCATCTGAATTGTTCATGAAGAGCATCCTTTTCAGCCTAAGTGTCTGAAAGAGGCTCACCAACCTGCCATGAGGCAGTGCCATGGCAGATCTGCAGAAGGAGTGCATGAACCCCCAGCCACACTGATTTCTAAGTGAGCAATGGCTTCCTCCATGCATGGACAGGAAAACTTTCCTTCAGCTTCTTTCCATTCAGTCTAACAAAATGGAACATAAATGGTCCCAAGTACAAGCCGGATCCCACCTGAAGTCTCACCTGTTAACTTGGTTCCCATCCAACAGCTTGCCTCATTGTCTTCACATGCACACAAGGCCAAGCCAGGGAAACCCCAGGTAGGCTGGAAAAATAAGCTTAGG
Source organism: Homo sapiens (assembly GCF_000001405.40). Classification (NCBI taxonomy): domain Eukaryota; kingdom Metazoa; phylum Chordata; class Mammalia; order Primates; family Hominidae; genus Homo; species Homo sapiens. The sequence continues at coordinate 114,060,187 of NC_000010.11, forward strand.
TGATTGGTTTCTGGCCCATCATGCAATATTTCTTATCAGGCTCTGCAACTGGGCTTTGGCTGGGCCTCAGCCCAGAGTCTGGGGAGAATGGAGAGCTCCTCCTTAGATCAAGTGGCCAATGGGTGTGGAGGTTTTCCTCTCACATTGTTACCATTGAGGACCATTTCTTCTCCCCTCCCAGTAGGAGAAAAACACTCAGTCATAATAATTAATGTACTTTGGAGCTATTTGGTGTCAAAAAAATACCATGAAGATTACAGAACACAGAATCTGAAACAACCTTGAGAACAGTATACTGAGTCAAAGAACCAGACACAAAAGGCACATCTTGCATGAGTCCATTTATATGAAATATCCATAAAAGGCAAATTCATAGAGACAGAATGTAGACTAGTGGTTGCCAGGGGCTGGGAGGAGGGGGAGGGAAGAGTAATTGCTTAACGGGTCTGTGGCTTCCTTTTGGGGAGATGAAAACTTTGTGGAACTAGATAGTGGCAATGGTTGCACAACCTTTTGATTATACGAAATGCCACTGAATTGTGAGCTTTAAAATGACTAAAATGCTGAATTTTATGATATGTGTCTTTTACCACAATAAAAAGAAAAATCCTATAGAATTATTTTCTATTAGGCTTGCAATTTGTTTAGCTAAACAAAATCATGTAAAACCAAAACTGGGGAAGCTATTTTAATAAAAGAGAAAGGAAGAAAATTACCGTCACTTGAACAATGGTGAAATATATTTTTATCAGAGTTTAACGCATGCAAGGAGGAATCTTAGTCTTCATAAGCCAATGTGATTTCTTCTTTTTACAGATAAAAAAGTTAAGGCTTTTGTGGTAACCCAGTGTTCAGGAACAGACATCTAGATTTGAGTCTTTCTCTGCCAGATTTATGGGCTATGCAATTTAAGTGCAGTTACTTGGAGCTCTCCGAAACTCAGTTTCCACATCAGTAAACTGAAAATATCTAGGGCTGATCTTTTGAAAATATCATCAGACCTCATGATTCACCAAAGCCAAATCAATTAGAAGTTACTTCAAGACGAGAGAATACCACCATGACAAAGTCTTAGCAGTGCCTCATAAGAAGGAAGTCAAAATGGATATTTATAGGGTTTTAGCTCCTGGGGCACATATGATTCACGGCAGGCCTTTCAAGGTGCAACCGGTTGAGATTGGGCAGGATTTGCAACATAATAGTGTAAGATTGGCCGGCTTAGCAGCGCAAAGGTCTTGAAGCAAGTCTTGACAGGTAAACTGTTGTTTGAATAGCAAGCTGCTTGCCTGTTGTCTCAGATAAATTCCTACCGGAATTTTCTGAAGCAAACTGTGCAGTTATTTATTGACTTACAGTCTTACTCCTGTTGAGGGAAGGGTTCCTGGAACAAACAACTAAATTGTGATAACACCGGTGGTCTCAGTTTCAGTCCTGAGTCTGTCATGTCTGATACAGGTCGGAGTTCCCAGAGATGCTATGGTCACGTGTCAAGCGCATAGCCTGGGCACTCAATACATCCTTCATTTTTTACCAAAGCATCACCACCATTTCCGCTCAAAACTTGCTCCTTGATAGTGAATCTCTGTCAGAACTAGAAGAAAGGTTTGTGCTGTACAGACCGGAACCCTTCCTGCCATCCACAGTCGGACTGGGCTCCACTTCTTTGGTCAAAGGCAAATTAATTCAGCTACAATAAAGACTCCCAAGTCTTTTCACCATCCTGAATGAGGCAGCAGCAGAGCGCAGGGTTATGATGCTGACAGACCGAGGCCCTAGCTTCCCTGTTGCTTGATTTGTGACCCTAGGCCAGTTATTTCCCTCTTCCAGCCTCACTTCCTCATCTAGAAGATGAGGACGATCGCGTTTAGCACGTAATACATATTCGGCTAACTTTTTAAATTAAGTAAATAAATTGTTCTCTCAAATTTTTTTTAAATTTTTTTTCTAAGGTTGAAAAAGATGAAGCTTTTTTGTTTTGTTTCCATTTGTTTCTGGTCATCCCTTATCTTCTGGGAGGACCTGGGTTACAGCTCCCTGGACATGATCCCATCCTTTCATGTGGGATCCTGGGCCCGACCTATTCAGAGGGAGAATGCGGAATCTCATGGGACAAGGTGGGTGCGAGGGACCCACAGACAGATTTTTCAAACCAAAGTTTAGATAAACATGATCAAATCTAAAAATATTCATTCTTAGCTACTCTCCTCTTTTCCTATGACTTTCAACACCCCTCATGTGGTTGAAATTTGTAGCCATTCCCATTCAACCTGCTTTGCTGCCTAGGGGTCAAATATAACAGAGTTTTTTTGCTTGTTTGTTTTTGTTTTTGTTTTTGCAGTATTTATTTGTATAAACTAGCAGTTTTCTGACTACGGAAACATCCGCATCCATATGGCAGGTCAAATCCATGCTATCAGAGAATTGTGGATAATTCTAATTTTGAACACTTGGAATGGAAGCTTTCAGAAAAGGCCCCTGAACTGGGGATTGGGACCTGCATGGGTTCTAATTCTCTCTGCCCCCAGTAAGTTTGTGGGAGCAATTTTATACCTGGTAACTCCAGTGTTGAATGTGCAAAGGCTGCTGGTTGAACCAGGCAACCACTAAGGTATTTTCTTAGCTCTGATTAATTGTAATTACCCTACTTTTAACCATTGATGTATTCTTGAAAGTTCAGGCTTTCCTTAAAGGCAAATCTCATCACTTTCTCAGGGGTTTTAAAAGAAATCCAAGTTAATTAATTAATTTATATCTTTATATCAAGAAACATTTATTGAGCTCCAACTAGAAGCCAGGTACTATGTTAGGTCATGGGGTCATGGAAACCCAGGGCGCTGGAGACCTGGAGGAGGGCATGACCAACATAAATCTCTAACTCGGCAGGGTTTACTGTGAGACCCCCAAGGAGGGAGCAGATTCTAACACTGGCTGGGACAGTCAGGGACAGCATCACCCACAAGGTACCAACGGGCTGAATCTTGAGTGGTGAATTGTTTTTGCCCAGATGAAAAGGACATTCCAAGCAGAAGGAAGAAACTCTCAAAGGCATGCAGGCAAAAAAGAGCAAAGGACGTGTTCTGTGTTCCAAAGACAGCAGGAACATTTGCATGGCCGGAGCAGAGGCTGCCAGGCTGGCCCAGTGGGAAAGGATTCCTGATAACAGGCAAAAGCTGGATTGGGAAGGAGTTTATATATCTTAATAAGAATTTTGGACTTCATTCTATAGGGAAGAGAGTCACTGAAGATTTTAAGTACAAGAATAACTGGGTCAGATTGGAGTTTTTTTCACAAGCAATCCCCGGTCACAGGGGAGATGGATGGGTGGAAAAAGAACTAAAGAAGACGGCAAGAGAAGGCCATCAACTTCAAAATGGGAGACAGGTGGAGGAGCAGTTTGGGGAAGTTCACAGTAAACGGATGTGTGGTTTAAGACTCTTGCATCTGTGGGGATGCGGGGAGAGATGGCCACCAAGCACCTAGGAAAATAGATTTGTGCCTCAGGGAAGGGTTAGAGAACAAGGGACTTGTTGGAGGGACTTTTCACTTTTAACTTCAGGTTAGAAGTTAAATGCGAAAACGATCTAATACACCAAAAACACCCCAAAATAAGTAGGAAAATAACGATGAGGAGAAGACAAATGATGGGGAAGAGAACAGTCATTTCTACAGTTTTCCTTGGGCTGGTTTTCAAAATGACAAGTCTTTTTTACATGTTGAAGGATAAATATCTCTTTTGGATAGCCAATTTAGACATCATATGAATATAATAATGGCCTCATTGTCTCTAACTCAACACTGCCATGATGCCCTGAGTAATTGTAAATGCTCAAGATGCACAAAGATGCAAGATCCAAGGATACATCTGCATACGTCCACTGAAGATCACATTTTAAACCTTAATAGCTTAATAACAGATAAGAAAAATACAGATTCCAGTATTATTAAATATGTATGCATGTGTATCCATATAAGTGGTGTGTGTGTGTGAGTGGTGTATGTGTGTGTGTTCACATTCTTTCTCCTCCTAGGAAAAGATGATGCATTAGCTCAGGTGAGTTGCCCAGAAATAGCTAGGAAAAGGTCATGCTCTCCTTCTTCAGAGTTTCAGCCTGTTGTCCTCATATGCCCAATTTATGCAGGACTTTCCCCTACATCATCGAAAGAATGTGTTTGGCACCAGGGCCTTGGTATCAAGCAGACAACATATTTCTTACTTTAGAAGTGCAACTGGTAGAATAAAGAGCCTGAGAACCGGAACTGCTGCCAGAAATAGCAGGGCAAATTCACCCACTTCCAAGAAGGTCACTCAGTCTCAGAACAGGGTACAGGCAGATCGAAGCAAATTCTTGGCACCGCCTCTGCCATATCTGCCTGTTGCATAATGGACGGCCCTTAGTTCTCTTGATTGAGAGCACTGGTGTTGACCTGGCATTTTCTGTTGCTCTCTGTTATATCACTTTCCAGTCCATGTCAAAACAATCACTATTGTCAGTGACCTTCCCTAATAACTCAGTCTCTCTTCTGTATTTAACAGCTGCCTGTTGAGAATCCTATTTTTAACAAACAATTATAACCTAAGAGCTGTCATCTGTCAGGTTTTAAATGTTTGTTAAAAATAGGAGTCCCAGACATGTAGCCATTAGGCAACAGAAAGCCATAAACAATGGGAAGAGCAAGCAACAGCAGGAGACGTTAATCACATCTGAACTCATTACTAAACCTCCACTTTGGAAGGGCCATAGTCAGTGGCAAATCAGGCAGAGTTGGAGGGTGATTGCTGTTAACAGAAGCAGTTCTACTGACCTTCAGGAAATTATGTCCTGTGGACATCCTGCTCACATTAATAAATGAGAGCAATGCTCTTTTGGTGGAGGGGGAGGACCTGTCCTAGAGTAGGAATTGGAAAAATAAGATAACGTCTCAAGAATGATGCATAACTCAGGAGAGTGCTTTGAAACCATAGCTAATTTTTCCTCTTTTATTTAGCACCACCCAAACTGCTTTTAGGCATTACATCACTTGACCTAAGAGAACACTGTGAGGCAAGTACTGTGTTGTCACATTTTACTGATGAGGAAACTGAGGCTTAAAGAAGGTCAAATAACTTGCCCAAGAAGACAGAGCTGGGAAATGGCTGTATAGGACTTCAGGAACCCAGGCACTTTCCATAGAGCCCACCCTCTTAACCACTCCATTCTTTCTCCTACCTGTGACACGAAATGCCCTTTTACGAAAACTGAAGCAGAAGCACCACCTCTCCACCCCACTGCTAGACTCTCTGATTCAAGCCACACTTGGCCAGGAGGGTGGTGGCAGCCTGGGTTCTGGTCAAGACAGAGCTCTCTAAATCATCCTCCAGTTGGGGAGTGAAGGTTGCAATTTGTTCCGTGGCCTCATTCTGTCTGATTCAACACTCTGCCACGATGCCCTGAGTAAATTGTCAATGCTCAAGATGCACAAAGATGCAAGATCCAAGGATACATCTGTGTATACGTCCACCAAAGGTCATATTTTTAACTTTAATAGCTTGTTTTTACCCAGGCCCGTGACTCCTTTTCTTTTCTCATGCATGATAGAATATGTGCTTTTCTTCCTGAGCTATACCCTACCCATTTCCTTGGTCTTACCTTCATAGTATTTTTCCACTATTTCCTTTGATTTAGGGAAATTCAAATTTTCAAATCTACAGAGCCCTAGGACATGGGAGACTATTAAGTTCACTAGAGCAGAAGATCTTTAAATAGTAGCCCCTGGTAAATTGGATTCTGCATCATTAATAATCACCTGGAGGACAGAGGAAGAGAGTCCCTCTAATTGACAATCACTCAGAAATGAATATAAAACATCTCTGAAATGCTAATTGTTAAGTGTTTATTGAGGCCCATCATATGCCTTTGCTGAATACTAAAGTACCAAAACATTTCCAAAGAACTTACAGTCTGATTGTACTCCAAAGAATAGAGGTAAATATGATATTATATTATATGTAATCAAGTGTGAAAATGTGCACAATATGGTTCAATTGATGGAAGTATGTTGTATAATCATGTTTTGGTCACACACCTACAATATCAAGTGAGCTACTATTTTCTCAGTTAAAATTCAAAGTCCATAATTTTCTGTGAGAAGCTGTGACATCACAATAAAGACACTGATCAGGATTTTTTTCTTTCTGGCATTTAGATTTTTTTTTTATTTGAAGCTCTTTTAATATCTTTGAAATATTTAATAAGAAATGCAGTTACTATTAAATATGCAGTTATTAGCCACAGATAGTACTTCTCATTGTAAATAAAAGTTATTTTCCCAGCACCTACTCGCTCCTTAAATGTTATTTCAAAAATGCATTCTGTGTGATGATACTGTTCTTAGGATTTCACTTTTGGAATCCAAATAACAATAACGTTCCCTTTCTCCCCGTGAAATGCATCTGTTCGGAGCCCTGATGACACAGAAAGAATTCTCAAGGTCTCCTGGAGAAAATACTTCATCAACTTGATGGCCAACATGAGATTTTGAAGAAGGGAAGACAAGTGCAACCGGCTGAGGACGGTGCACAGAGGCCTTCTAAATTCTTCTGCAGTTTGTAGTGCTACAGATAAGTTTTTCCATGGAGCAGTCCAACCTCAGTTGCTGCAAGACCTGTTTTTTCTGTGTGTGTGTTTTTTTTAAACAAGTCAGTAAACTAACTGGAACTTCTGTCAAGTCTTGTGGCTCTGTATAAATGGGTGCAGATTTAACTTGACACATTAATTTCTTTCTAGAAAACAATTTATATTCATAGAATCATGGAATCCCAGAGAGGGAAGGGCCTTCACAGTCAGCCTGTCCAAACATCAATCTCGCGCTTGCATTGTTCACTTCAAAAGCAGTCTGTGTTCCAGAGCAGCTGCGCTCAGGCCCCGGAGGCTGGTATTTTGCATGTCCTCTGTCCCGTCGGGGCCGTTCAGGATGAACATCACTTGTTGGTGATTATTTTTGCTGGGTGGTATGGACAGATTCTGAGTGATAGGTTGGTAGTTTGTGAGGATTAGAGATTTTGAAAAACGCTATTTATAAAGAGAGATGCCAGTGTTATTATTTTCATCTCTGTGTGAGGAGTCCGAGGCCTAGAAAGACCAAATGGGCAGAGCTTGAATGCAGGCCAGGGAGGCTCCAAAGCCTACGCTCTGATGCTCTTTCTGCCAAACCACACTACTGGGATATTTTAACAAACCCGAGAAAGAATGAGGGAAAATAACTTTTTTTTTTTTTTTTTTTGAGACAGAGTTTCGCTCTTGTTGCCCAGGCTGGAGTGCAATGGCACAATCTTGGCTCTCCGTAACCTCTGCCTCCCGGGTTCAAGCGATTCTCCTGCCTCAGCCCCCTAAGTAGCTGGGATTACAGGCGCCTGCCACCACACCTGGCTAATTTTTTTGTAATTTTTGTAGAAACAGGGTTTCACCATGTTAGCCAGGCTGGTCTCGAACTCCTGACCTCAGGTGATCTGCCCACCTTGGCCTCCCCAAAGTGCTGGGATTACAGGCATGAGCCACCATGCCCAGCCTTTTTTTTGAGGCAGGGTCTCACTCTGTCACCTAGGCTGCAGTGCAGTGGAAGGATCTCAGCTTACTGCAGCCTCAACCTCCTGGGATCAAGCGATCCTCCCACCTCAGCCCCACCGAGTAGCTGGGACTACAGGTGTGTGCCACCATGCCCAGCTAATGTTTGTATTTTTTGTAGAGATGGAGTTTCGCCATGTTGCCCAGGCGGGTCTCAAACTCCCGGACTCAAGCAATCAACCCACCACTGCCCCGCAAAGTGCTGGGATTACAGGTGTGAGCTAAGGCAAAATGACTTTTTAAAAAATAGATTAAAATGTATTGGTAGCATGGAGAACTAGAAACTGATTTTGGGGGGCGGGGGGTCACCCAGTAGCTACAGATATCTACCTCCCCTGCCCTGTATTTCTACATTTTTCTTTTCTCTATAGAAAAGTCTATACTTTAAAAAATTCCAGCATGTAGTTTCATTTTCAGTTTCCCCTAAATGTATGCAGATTTGACAGATCCCTTTGCCAGCCACCCATGAAATCAGATGAGTAATTTCAAATTGCAGGGCTGGAAAAATGACCAGCACAGAATAAAGACATCAGCTGGCAGCCGCAAAAGACAGATCTCAAAAATGAGGAGCAGTAGCTGAGAGGCTAAGAGAATCTGTCCTAGCCACAAGAGCTTGGAAAACAGAGGAAGTTGAATCAGGTAGATTGCTGTGAGTGGGAGACTAGGGAGGAATTAAATCTTGGAGTGCCCAATAACTGTTTGGTGTCAGCTCTTGACAGAACGCAAGCTCCCACATGCCCGGTGACCAAGCAAATTAAGACAGTCCTGGCTCAGGCTGCCGACAGGAACAAGAGAGAGAAATCTGATGTCAGAATAAAGGCCTCATTGGCAAATTAAGCTGAATCAAGGTGAAACGACAGCATGGCAGAAACTTACTTGTAATTTGCCTGCCTTTAGTCTATACTCCCAAATCTTACACATGTGCAGTAAAATATTTTTTCACTAGGAACTGTTATGCTGATTTTATAGAAAACACATGGAAGACAGATCCCCAAAGAGGGAGAAGAAACATGACAGTGATGAAAAGAAAACAAGGTCCGTGGCTGGTGACAACCAGACGTTACCAACAGCAGCATCAGGAGGTTTCTGTTCGATGGATGGTTCATTTTCATCCAAGAATTAAACAAAGGAACATCAGATTTTATTTTTGAACATTGGAGTTTATGATTGTTTCCTTCCAATAACAGCTACTTCATTCATGGTTCCACCCATCCATCATTTGGTTCTGTTGAACTCAACTAGGTTTTCCTTTTCCTTAACATTTTACATTTTGTTAAACAGAAAAGTGAAGAGAACAGAAAAGTAACCATAATTAGAAACAGATATCTATATACCTGCCACCTACTGGAGTTGATTAATATTGACATTTGGCCATATTCACTTCAGAGCTTTTAAATGTTTTTTGTTGTTGTTGTTGTTGTTTATGTTTTTGTTGTTGTTGTTGTTATTTTAGTTTGTTGAGATGGAGTCTGTCTCTGTCGCCCAGGCTGGAACCAGTGGCATGATCTCGGCTCACTGCAACCTCTGCCTCCCGGGTTCAAGCAATTCTCTTACCTCAGCCTCCCGAGTAGCTGGGACTACAGGCATGTGCCACCACGCCCGGCTAATTTTTGTATTTTTAGTAGAGACGGGGTTTCACCGTATTGGCCAGGCTGGTCTCGAACTCCTGACCTCATGATGTACCCGCCTTAGCCTCCCAAAGTGCTGGGATTACAGGCATGAGCCACCACGCCCGGCCCTAAATGTATTTTAAAAAATAAAGACAAGTTGAAGCTCCTTGGTTTCTTACCCTGTACTAGTCTCCTTTTTTCCTCCCCAGAGCCAGTCTCTATCATGAATTCAGTAGGTTTCCTTTACCAAGTTGTCATACCTGTTAATATATATATATATGTGTGTGTATATATGCACTATACACACATACACATGGATACATCATAGAATATTGTCTTGTTACTAATTTGTTTGTTTTTTTTTTTTGAGACAGGGTCTTGCTGTGTCCCCCGGGCTGGAGTGCAGTGGCTGGATCATCACTCACTCCAACCTCCACCTCCCCAGCTCAAGCGACCCTCCCACCCCAGCTTCCCAAGTCGCTGGGACTACAGGCACACACCCCCGACTGGCTAATTTTTTGTATCTTTTGTAGAGACAGGGTCTCACTATGTTGCCCAGGTTGATCTCAAACTTCTGAGCTCAAACCATCCACCCACCTTAGCCTCTCAAAGCTTTAGGATTACCGGTGTGAGCCACTGCACCTGGCTTTGTCTTATTATTTTTAAAATTAATTATTACTTTTAGCATATTGTAGATATTAATCCATAGCCACATCATAGTATAGGCATGAATCTACAACTTGCTATTTTTCAGCCAATCCATTTTGAAATCCATTTTTCTACATCATATGGAGACCACTAGTTTTGAGAACTTTAAAAAAGATGATTCCCACAGGGCAAATGTTCCTATTAGGTAATAAAAGATTCAGGTGATGAGTATTATGGACAAAAGGAAGACATTAACTGCACCTCACAGAGTATCATGAGGATCTCTGATTGATCAAATTAAAAAATCAAATTAAGAAGCACAACATTTTTTAAAATTGCAGTGAGTACTAATCAGCCTTGATATGTTTGTTATGGAGCTATTTTATTGAAATAAAAGTGCTTTGAAGATGAAAAGCACATTTTTTTTCTTTCCCAGAATTAAATCATTTCATCCCTCCCTCAGGCTACAAAGTTCATTCAAGTAGAAAAAAGTAAATGCTCCAGTTCTTTTCTTTTTCTTTTTTTTTCTTTTGAGATGGAGTCTCACTCTGTCACCCAGGCTGGAGTGCAGTGGCACGATCTTGGCTCACTGCAACCTCCACCTTCCCAGTTCAAGCGATTCTCCTGCCTCAGCCTCCCAAGTAGTTGGGATTACAGGTGCCTGCCACGATGCAATTTTTGTATTTTTAGTAGAGACAGGGTTTCACCATGTTGGCCAGGCTAGTCTCGAACTCCTGACCTCAAGTGATCCGCCAGCCTTGGTAGTTCTTTTCTTATGGAGTTTCAGCTGACTTATATTAAGGCTTACTTGCTTTCTCTTTTCATTTCTGACCACAGTTTGTAACTTCCCTGCACTGAAAGATACTCTTTTTCCACCCCTTAAAGCATGCAAAGTAATGGTCGGAAGGGAGGGCTCATTAACGTTTTTCATTTTTTTCCTGTGGTTTCCTCTCATTATTTCATTGCCTAGGCAATATTTTTTAAAAGACCTCATGCTGGTGAACAGAAGTTGACATAAAAGAGCATAACAACTTTTTTGGAGTCTCAAGGTCTGTGATGTAAATACCCCAATTTGTTTTTCAAAGGTTTTCATAATCCATTGTATAAATACACATATTTACATAATTTCCAAAACATGTACTTTGCAGCCACAGTCCTTCCAGCATTATCTATTAATAAGGAGTCACATGTAGATGTGGATTTGCAAGCTTGAATTCCAACACATCACTTTATCATTTTCAAATTTCGTGAGCGCTGGAACTTAGTGGGCAGACTTCCCCATCTCACTTCAAGAAAACATCTGAAGGGTGTCATCCACTTTGGAGGGAACAAGACACCCCAGTTTCGATAAACTTGACCTCTGTGGGATTATACCAGAGAGGGAACTGCTCAAACTGAGCAGAGGGAATGGGTGTCTGTAGGCACTGAACTTTAAGCTTGTCCTTCTAAGGTAACATTTGCAATTCTTTCTATGATGCACTTTTTATTTTGTCCCCTAACTTCTGACGAAGGCCATGGGTATGTCAGTGGAAGTCAATAAAGGTGGCACATAGGTCATTGGAAAAATGGAGGGTATTTTCTATATTTGAGTGGTTTTCAGTGGGCTTCTTCCACCCTTGCTTGAGGCCGAGGAGCTTAGAGAGGATGGGAGGAGTTTAGAGGTGGGGACAGGGCTGCCAACAGTTTGAATTTTGCTTAACTTTGGCTGGTTGGAAGGCAGAGCACCCAAAGGAGACCTCTTTGGGTATTTCCAGATTCCCATCTGTGGCTGAAACCAAAGAACAAGGGTACCAGAGACCCTTTGGTCAAGTCCTCTGCGACGCCTTCACAGGACATTTTACTTGGCCCTCTGTCAGTTTCTCCTAATAAAAATCCTTTTTTATTTTTTGCTTCAACAATCTAGGTCATTTGCTGGTATCTCCTAGGCTTTCCAATTCGACAGAAGGGTCTTCTCTTTACCCTCAGAGCATTTTCATTTTTTACTATATTGAATTTCTTTGGTATATTACCTTTTATAATAGCTTCTCTTATTGCAATGTATCTGACTAGTGTTTTCTCTGCATTTTCATCTTTAAAAGAATTAAATAGAGAAGAGTAAGAATAAGGGGAAGAATTTCAAACAAGGGAGGCCCGAGGCCATTTTCCCCGCAGTGAGCTCTGCCCCACTGAGTTCTTCCCTGTCGGGGATCTCTCATTTCAGTTTCAGATGGTCCCCTTGACCTTGAAGACAGCCCTCTGGGAAAAGCTCTTAGTCTTACACCTAAAATTATTATTCTTGGCAGTTCGGTGGGGAAAGAGGCTGAAATATTCCCCTTGGGGAGCTGTAACCCCAGCCCCAAAGATGGCTTAGTGGGGCCTATAACACTCTTATCTTCAGATGATTAAGCTTGCGAATTAAAATTCTTGATTTCTCATATGCATAAGTTTCTCACACTGAGGTGACTGCGGGGAATTCTGGGTAGTGTCCCTCTATCCCTCCAGATCCACTTCCCCCTCTTCTCCTTCCATTCAAATCTGGCCTTTGGAAAGCTCAAGGTAGGCAAAAGTATATCCTTAAACATCCAGCCCCTTGATACCATCGTCATCCTCATCGTGAAACCTTTATTAAGCACCTGGACTCCTACAATACGAAGAAGTACGAGGGGCAATCCCTGCCCCAAAGGTGTCTCTAACGACATGTGACCACAAGACACACATCTATCAGCATAAAATGAAAAAATAGCTTTAAGGAGAATTATGTGGGCAATAAATATTGCAGGAGTTCAGGGAAGGGAGAAAAGACTGCAGCTGGGGGTAGACAAAAGTGATCTCATCAGTGAGATGGGTTTTGGGAAATGGCAGGCTTGAGACTAAGGCCTGTCATTGTAGCACTTTGGGAGGCCAAGGCCGATGGATCACTTGAGGTCAGGAGTTCGTTGGCCTGGCCAACATGACAAAACCCTGTATCTACTAAAAATACAAAAATTAGCTGAGCGTGGTGGCGCACACCTGTAGTCCCAGCTACTTGGGAGGCTGAGTCAGGAGAATCGCTTGAACCCAGGAGGCAGAGGCTGCAGTGAGCTGAGATCGCACCACTGCACTCCAGCCTGGGCGACAGAGTATCTATTCTTCCAAGGAGTATTGTGTGAAAAAAGGCATAGAGGCAGAGGGGCACTGGTGCATCTGAGGCCAGTTAACAGGCCAGAGTTTGACACTGCAGGTGTGTTTTACCCGAAGGGCAAGGACTGCCTCCTTTCTCTAGGTGCTGTATAATGTCCAGGCTATTTGGTGTACCTGGGAATGTTAAATAACAGTGTCTGGGGCTTTGACAAGGAAACAAAAGTTACCTTTGTCTTCTGCCTGAGTTGCAAAGAGCAGTATGTTTTTAGCTTGGAAAATATTGAGAACTTGTTTCTTTTAGCTTACTTATTCTCACTTATCCTGGTAACACTGATGCATTTTTTTCATGTTTTAAAATTAATACATTCAGTGATATGCGTGTATTATACACAGGAAAATTCACTCTTTTTAGCATATGCCTTCTTGCGAATTTTGACAAATGCATACAGTCACGTAACCATGACCACAATCAAAATATCGAGCAGTTCCATCATGCAAAAAATTCCCCTGTGTCCTTTGCAGGCAACCCTTTTCCTCACCTCCAGGCTCGGGCAGCGATGGATCTATTTTCTGTCCCTACAATTTTGCCTTTCCCAAAATGTCATATAAATGAAATCACACACCCTGTGACTTTTGAGTCTGGCTTTCTTTTTTTTTTCTTTCTTTCTTGTTTTCTTTTTTTGTATTTCTTCATTTTAATTTATTTTTCATTTTTGTTTCTCACTTACCAACACGTGTAAAATGTAGCAGATGCGTTAGTAAAGAAGAAGCAGCTGGGGAGAGAAAGGCAGGAATTAAGCAGCCACACATGAAGAGTCAGGTTGAGCAGGAAGTGATTGGGGGCAGCGGTGGCAGGCGTCCTCCTCCCCGCCCCACCTTCCCACAAAGCACCAGCAACTGCTGCTGCTCACAGCCCTTGAGTCTGGCTTTCTTCACTTAGCATAATGCATTTGAGATTCGTCCACATCGTTGCATGTCTCAGTAGCTCATTACTTTTTGTTGCTGAGTAGTGTTCCATTGCACAGATGTACCGAAGTGTGTTTATCTATACACAAATTGAAGGACATTAAGTTTGTCTCTACATTTTTTGCATTTACAAATAAAGCTGCTGAAAGCATTCACATGCAGGTTTTTTGTTTGTCTGTTTGTTTGTTTGTTTGTTTTTGAGAGAGAGTCTCCCTCTGTTGCTCAGCCTGGAGTGCAATGGCGTGACCTTGGCTCACTGCAACCTCCGCCTTTCAGGTTCAAGGGATTCTCCTGCCTGAGCCTCCCAAGTAGCTGGGATTACAGGCATGAGCCACCACGGCCGGCTAATTTTTGTATTTTTAGTAGAGGCAGGGTTTCTCCATGTTGGCCAGGCTAGTCTTGAACTCCTGACCTCAGGTGATCTGCCTGCCTCAGCCTCCCAAAGTGCTGGGATTACAGGCATGAGCCACCACGCCCGGCCACATGCAGGTTTTTATGTGAACCTAAGTTTTCATTTCACTCGTGTACATACTTAGGGAGTGAATTAAGTGTGTGGCTTCCGGGTCATCTAAGTATATGTTTAGTTTTATAAGAAACTGCCCATGCCTATAATCCCTGCACTTTGGGAAGCTGAAGCAGGATTTCTTGCGCCTAAGAGTTCAAAACCAGCCAAGAAACATGGCAAGATGTTGTCTCTACAAAAAATTTAAAAATTAGCCAGCCATGGTGGCACATGCCTGGAGTCCCAGCTACTCAGGAGGCTGAGGCTGCAGCGAGCCATATTGACACCACTGCACTCCAGCCTGGGCAACAGAGGGAGAGTTTGTCTCAAAAAAAAAAAAAGAAAGAAAGAAAGAAAGAAAAAGAAAAGAAACTGCCCAACTGTTTTCTAAAGTGACTGTGCTGTTATTCATTCTCCCAGCAGTGTAGAAGACCTCCAGTTTCTCTGCGTCCTTGCTGGCACTTGGTCATTTAAATACCTTTTAGCTATTCTAATAAGTGGGGCTTTAGTTTACATTTTAGTTTGCATGATGGTGAGCATCTTTCCATCAAACTGGTAAGTTTTTATTAGTAATTCTACCACATAATAATAATTCCACCACAATTGTAATTAACCATTCCATTACAGCAGTGGTTCTCACTGGCACCAGTTCCGCTCCTCTTCCCGGACATTTCGCAATGTCTGGAGGCATTTTTAGCTGCCACCATTGGGGGCATGCTATTGGCATTGAGTGGGTAGAGGCCAGGGGTGCTGCTAGCCATCCTACAATGCCCAGGACAGCCCCAACAACAACGTGTCACCCATCCCAAAATGTCAGTAGTGCCCAGACCGAGAAGCCCTGCACTAGAGGGTTGTCAGAAAGATTCAGACGTGGGCCACCCTGAAAACTGTGGGAGCTCCCCTCATGTTATAGTCATTTATACTAAATAAAAACTGACTTAGAAAACAATTTTCCAATTGATCTCAGGCCATTTTTTTTCCTGAGACAGAGTCTCGCTCTGTTGCCAAGGCTGGAGTGCAGCAGCATAATCTCGACTCACTGCAACCTCTGTCTCCTGGGTTCAAGTGATTTTCCTGCCTCAGCTTCCTGAATAACTGGGATTACAGGCACCCACCACCACAACTGGCTAATTTTTGTATTTTTAGTAGAGACAGCATTTCACCACGTTGGCCAGGCTGGTCTCGAACCCCTGGTCTCAAGTGATCAGCCCGCCTCGGCCTCCGAAAGTGCAGGGATTGCAAGCATGAGCCACCATGCCTGGCCGATCTTAAGCCTTCTTTTTAACTGCCAGGGACTCTCACAGGTTGATAGATTCATAGCCCTCAGCTTGTTCCTTGCCACCATGATCTCTCTCCCGAGTTTAGACACATGCGCTTGCTAACTTAGGTATTTGGTCCTCCTCTGATGTGAAGACATGTCACATCATTGCGGGTTGGGGTTTTCCTTTGCAACAGAGTTCATTTTAATGGTGAGATTTTATATTATCAAATTTTGGCCCAAAGTAAGTTATGTTTGCATCATAAATCCTTGAAAATGGTTACAATTTACTACCAAAAAGGCAACTCACTTTTCCTCTCTGCATCTCAGTTCCTCTGCTTGTGAAGTGAGTCTCAGGGGGCAGCTGATCTTTGAGGCCACGGGGAACTCTCACTCTCACGTGCTTTGATTCTACCGAGATCATTGAGTGCCACTCCGCCATCCAACAACATAATGAAATGGTTCATGTGCCATTTGTTGGCACCAAAGGTCTACATTGATTTGAAAACCCTAGCCTCCAAACATCCAAAAAATAAATGTTATGAGGTAAGCAAGAAGGCATGATTTGCCTAGGACAAATTTGGTTTCCTTCTAACACTCCTTATAGATTCCAGTAATTTTTAGATTTCAGTTTTTGCTTAAGTTCAGAAATAGAGCCATTTCCAGGCCATGCTGGGGAGCCCCGAATGGGTATAGAAAGAGCAGCAAGGCAGAAAGACAAGTAACCACCTACTTGCTCTAGCTAAATACTGCTTTACAATGTATGTCTTATTCTACTTGCCACTAATGCAAAGTAATAACTTCATTCAACAAATACTTACCATGTATCTACTCTGTTTTCAGTGTTGTGGCAGAGACTTTGGTAGACACCAAAGAAGACCAACTATGGCCTTCCAGAGTCTGTCTTGACATAGGGAAACACCATCACCCTGAATCCTTAGACCATTAGCTAATGATTTACAAAGGCTACTCCTGAGAGGTTCGTGTCCCTAGAGCAGACGTCTACACACAGGAGGCCCTGGGTAAATGTTTCATTGATGAAATGATGGACACTGCATTAATTCGTTTTCACACTTCCCATAAAGACATACCTGAGACTGGGCAGTTTACAAAAGAAAGAGGTTTAATGGACGTACAGTTCCACATGGCTGGGGAGGCCTCACCATCATGGTGGAAGGTAAAAGGCATGTCTCACATGGCGGTGGACAGAAGAGAGCTTGTGCAGGGAAACTCCCCTGTTTAAAACCATCAGATCTCATGAGACTTATTCACTATCACGAGAACAGCACGGGAAAGAGCTGCCCCCATGATTCAATTACCTCCCACTGGGTCCCTCCCACAGCATGTGGGAATTCAAGATGAGATTTGGTTGGGGACACAGCCAAACCATATCAGATGCCAAGCAGTGCTTCTCAAACTATCTGTGGCAGAGGATCATTTTCAGTATTTCTAATCCATGGAGACTAATGCCTAGGTAAAACACAGTAAAAATGTGCTTGGATGTCCCAGCAATGCCAAATTGTTATGCAAGGTTTTCAATGCTTTCTCAGTCTCTGTGTTTATTTCATTGTAGACTTAAAAAAAAATCTCACAGCCCAGTACTGGTCACAGATGAGGCTTCAGCAGTAAAAGAAAAGAGGGCACATTCTGCCTGAAGTAATCAAGGATGTGTGAACTCACAATTCACATGTCCTGCACCCACTAAGTCTGAGGTCTTATGCAAGTAAGGAACTGAAACAATCAGAACGACTCCCAGGCCTCAAATACCATCCAGATGTAATCTTGCTTCTCCCAAATGCTCTTCCTCTCAAAATCTGTTTTCTGTTCAGGCATTGGATGAGGTAGAAATAAAGGCAGGAAAGGAAGGAAGAAGAAAGGCAGGTGTGGGACCCTGGGGTGGCCAATTCCCATGCAGAGGGATGTCAAAGGGGTGTTGCCAGCGACCCACGGTGGCTCTCCCTCACTCCAGTTCCTTCAGAGCACCTTGCACTTATCTATCCATGGGCGCAGATCACACCTCTAGGAGCTGAGAGTTTTAGGCTGCAGTTCTCACACCTCCCTGCTTAGTCATGGGGCAGTACCTGTCACATCACATCACCGCCAGGCCACTCTCGGAAGGGATTCCAGACACTGACCTACAGCCTCATGGTTCTCTAATTTGCGTTTCTAGCTCACTGAAGCAGCCAGTTCACGGCAATCAAAGATTCCCCTGCTCCCCTTCCATCTTACCTCCTGCCCCTGCCAGCCCCAGTCACCACAAGGTGGCCATGACTTTCTTTCCCTCTCAGTCTGTAGCCAGCCGCAAACCAGTGACCTAGAGAGGTGTCACCGCCTCCCACGAACAGCTCTGGCACTCAGCTTTCTGTGGAAAGCATTTTATTTTAAGAAACAGAGCAAACTGTCATTGTAAGACCTCTTCTACAACTTGGGATGAAAGTTCGTCACAAAACAAAGTGCCTGCTGAAAGAGGACAGGAATAAGAGGTCAGCATTGTTAACTCCATGATCAAGCCACATGCGCTGAGAAAAATCGACACGTGAAAATTCCTCTGTATGTCTCAAAATCTTTTTGCAGATGGTGCTGATTTTTTTGCAGGACATGGTAACAGAGAAATCCTCTGCTAAGTGAGCCATTATGTAAACTGTTCTCATGAAAGAATATGACAAACAAATATTCACCAGACTTAGGTCATGGGTGTAGTGCTTTTAGTGATAGTATCAGCATTGCGTTTTCTTCATTACTCAAGGAAACAGAGAATTAATTTGACCTAGAAAGAAAGTTGTCATATAGAGGTACCAAACATCGTACTTCTTAACACTTTGACATAAACTCTGAGTAAACGATATTAAAGTTGAATGACATTATTTTGAGAAACAGTTACTGGAATTGCCTCTCAGCTGTTCTTCCTACTTCTGCTCTCCTCTGACTTCCATCTACCCTGCATATTAAATTAATCTTCCTAAAATACTCCTCTCTGTCCCTCTCTTGCTCCTGAATCTACAATGGCAGCCAATGGAGTCAGCACCTTGTAGAGCAGAAGGAAACTTAGCCATGCTCTCCAGCCTCCTTACTTGCAAAGTGGGGAAGTGAAGACCCAGAAAAAGTGGTTTCCTCACTGTCATTGAGCTAGTAATTGACAGAAATAAGAACTAGAACTTCAATTTTTTTATCTCTTTTTTTTCTTTTTTCTTTTTCTTTCCTTTTCTTTTTTTTTTTTTTTTTTTGAGACGGAGTCTTGCTTTGTCGCTTTGTCGCCCAGGCTGGAGTGCAGTGGCGCGATCTCAGCTCACTGCAACCTCTGCTTCCCGGGTTTGAGTGATTCTCCTGCCTCAGCCTCCTGAGTAGCTGGGACTACAGGGGCTCACCACACGCCCTGCTAATTTTTGTATTTTTTGTAGAGAAGGGGTTTCACTATGTTGGCTAGGCTGGTCTCGAACTCCTGATCTCAAGTGATCCGCCCGCCTCGGCCTCCCAAAGTGCGGGGATTACAGGTGTGAGTCACTGTGCCTGGCCTAGAATTTCAAATTCAGGGCATGATTATTTTTTCTGCCTTAATTCCTCTAATAAGCTTTCAAAGCACAGTTTGACCCCCGCATTTCTACAGAACATCGTTTCTCTACCTGAGCTCCCAGCTCCCCATCTCTGCTATGCACTGAACTTCCCCAGCCCTTCCTCTAGCCCTGGGTTTCTGCTGGAGCTTCAACCCAAAGTTTCCCCGCCCTACTGCCCTGTGACCTGAAATACAGCTGGGTTCATTTGTTTCTATTCCACCCACTCCTCCATGAGGCCCAGCCCAAGAACTCCAGTGACCTCTTCCTGGCACTTTTTGTACTCCATTGTCTGTACTTCGCTGCCGGCATTCACTCACATGCTGGTTAGTTCACTAAGTGTTTTTGGGTCTTTTCTTCTTAACACCATAGATTTATGGGACATTAGAGTGGAAGGTATCTAGAAGTCATCCAGTTTGACCCCATGCCTCTTACACAGTTGTCCTGTACCACCTTGCTGATACCAAGAAGGTGAAAATGAAGATCTGACCGCAAACTGCCCATTCCAAGTTAGACAACTTTCCTTTTCAGACAGCACTTCCTTGTGTTGAGACAAAAATGTCCTTCCCACCCATCTTCACCCAAACTGACCCTGTTTCTGCACTCCAGATGGATATAGAATAAATCAAATCCCTCTTCCATGTTTAAATCCCTCTGCATACATTTAAAGACAATTTGTGTGCGTCCTCCATTCTCTTAGCCCCTTCTCTTTCCCAGGAGTCTCTCTTCCAGTCCAAATAATCCTGGTCCTCCCATTCTGCCCATGACATGGTTTTGCATGCTGCACACGGTACTCCAAAATTATGGCCAAAAGATGTTGGCCAAATACCAAAAATTTGAACATAGGACAATAGTCCCCTGAAGGCTGAAGAGAGTGGCTCATTCACCTCCCTTGTTCTAAGTACTGTGTCTCTACTAATGTATCCTGCACACTCACTACATTTCTGGAGGGCATTTCACACTGAGGATTTACAGTAGGCTTATTCAACCAAAATTTATCATCAGGGTACATCTTCCCTTTTTAAGGTGTGTGTGGTTATATT
Source organism: Homo sapiens (assembly GCF_000001405.40). Lineage (NCBI taxonomy): Eukaryota > Metazoa > Chordata > Mammalia > Primates > Hominidae > Homo > Homo sapiens. Next base: position 114,080,462 of record NC_000010.11, read on the forward strand.
TTCAGATTTTTTTTTCAGAATGCTTATTTATTCTTGTTCAACTAATCTCTGCTTTCTTTCATTCAATGAGGCATTATCGAATGCATTGGAACCTGGTAAAAAACAAGGAAGAATCAGATGCTGGTTTTTATTAAAACGTGCTCATTATAGGTAAGGTAAGACTTCCATAAAGAATTTTATTCTAACATAAACATGAATGTGCTTTTAATGAGTTTTAGTTACAGTACCATGGAAATTCAGAGGAAATGAGATTGCTGTGATCAGGAGAGAGGGAGGATAGAAGGCCTCATGGAGAAGAGGTAAGATTTTAATATACAAAAGTTATGGGAAAGAAATTCTCTGTGACTAGAACAGGATGAGCAGAGCTACAGAGGCAAGAAATCAAAGAATAGCAGCTAAAGTTCAGAGAGGTGAGGAGGGAAAGCATGAGTTTCACTGCTGTCTCTGATTCCAGGCCAGTCTCACCGGGTTCTTCCTTAATTTCCTCCCTTCCAAATTTGCACATCCCTTCTTCCATGGTGAGGACTTATTTCCAAAACATTAACATATTTACTCGTGTGCTCAATTCTGCAACACCCATTGCCACCTTCACATCACTGCACAGAACAAACCTACTAAAAAGAGTGCAAGATTGGTTTGCACTTCTTTTATTTTCCTAGACTGGAGTCTAATGGTTAAAGTACTTTGTTCAAAAATTACCTGGGGAGCTGAGTACAATGGCTTATGCCTGTAGTCCCAGCTACTTGGGAGGCTGAGGTGGGAGGATCACCCGAGCCCAGAAGTTCAAGGCTGCAGTGAGCTATGATCACACCACCACACTCCAGCCCTGGTAACAGAGCCAGATCCAATTTCTTAAAAAAAAAAAAAAAATTAATTACATGGATTAGTTCTCTCCCTCCTGCACCTTTATTCAGCCTATTATTCATTTGAAATACAGCTGGGTTCATTTGTTTCTATTTGCATTTTGTTTGAGTTTTCCCCCTTCATCTTTCGTGATTTAACTTTATTTTTTTTGAATATGCAGAACATTCATGTGCTTGACCAGAGACTTTATTTTGTGTATCTTTGGTAGCTTACTACCATCTGGAGCATTCGTAGTATGTCATGGCAGTTGTTTTTTGATTGACTGATTATTGAATAGACAGTTGAAAATTGTATGTAACAGAGATGCCTGTTATTGAGAGGATCTTACATCAAGGTCCTATAAGCTCATGCCTTTGATGCCCAATCATGACAAAGTCTGATGTGTCCAGAAAGCCTCAAGCTATTCAAGGATGTGTACCCAGATGGCAGCCCTAGTATCTCCCAAAGGAAAGGTCCTCCATCTGGGATGCCATTCAATGGTACCCTGGAGAAATCTGTCCTGGGGCTTTGTCCTTGATGGACTAGTAGCTGTTGAAAGATTTGTAGAAGCAGCACCCGCATAATAAATGTCTGAAATGACTGCTGCTCCTTCTGCTGTGGGCAAGGTGACAGACAAGAAGAAAACGTTAACCTTCCTTAGAAGTTAAGACGTATCTGTTTATACACTGCATTTCTTAGGTGCAAATAGGACACCTATTTTTGAGAAACCTGGCAACTAAACTGCAGCCAGGTTGGCCTCTCAGTGGAGAAGAAATAAAAAAGATATGACTCATTAAACAAATAACTCTGAGTAAAAGGACCCTAGTGAATACAGAGTCTATTTGTTTTATTTTTAAATTACATTTATCAGTCATTACAAATATAATCATTAACAGATTATTTACATAATTGGTTGTAAAATGCAAACCCAGGGCCAAAAGGCAAACTAGTTTTTCAGTTACCAAACACAATACCCTGAAATTACAAAGAAATGCGGATGCAGTTCCATACATTAAGGCTGATGGTCCCCCTTTACTCTCTATGGAAAGAAAAGAAAACGTGTGCAAGGTCATTGGTGGCATCTCGAAATGTGCTTTGTCATGGGCCTTATACCGGCACTGCCTCGGGAGTTGGGCTGCTCGGCTGGAATGATTCCTGAGGACCAAGCTCACTCCAGTAGCTGGGGGGCTACAGTGACATGAACCTTTTAGTAGTTCAGCTGGTACACAGGTTCCTCCCTAAAGTCCTCAAACTTTCTCACTGGAGAGAATACTGGTGGATAATTAGTAAACTTCTCTCCTGTGAATGTTGCAAAACACGTATCTGGCTTCATGATGCAATTAGAGGGAAAAGGAACTCATCAACAGCTTCCATTTTTACCTGGACAAGATCTCCAATCTACAGATGAAACTGGATTCAAAGGGAGATTAAATGCCTAACCTGAATCACAGCGTGAGATCTAGATTTAGCTACTCTGTACTATTTTTCATTCTTGAACCATACCAAAATGTAGTGGCTTAGAACGACAACAGATCTGCTCAGGATTGCAATGGGTTAGCAGTGTGGGCTGGGCTTACCTAGTGGTTCTTCTGCTGGTTGTGCCTGATGGTTCATGCTGCCGAAGCCATCTATCTGGCAGTTCAGCTGAGCCTGGGTGGAGGGGTGGGGTCTAATATGGCCTCACACACATGTCTAGAGGTTGGTGTTGGCTGTCAGCTGGTCATGTTTCATCACCTGGAGGTAGCATTCTGAAAGGGCAAGCCCCAAAACACAAGCGTTCTTCAAGCTGCGTCTTATATCAAGCTTGCTGACATCCCATTGGCCAAAGCAAGTCACATGGCCAAATTTCAAGTCCTCATGGGAGGAGACTACCAAGGCTGTGGAGGTGGAATTCACTGGGAACAATAACTGTGATAACCTACAACACAGAGTCTTATAAGGAGACAGGCTATCTGCATTAAAATCAAAACCACAGTGCAAGGCTTACGTGGCTTCTCAAGGCTCCAAGCCAGGGCGCTTTCTCCCACCCCACCTCCTCTCTGTCCTCACCAGTCCCGTTCTGATTTCCTGGTTAGTGTGCCATTCACATCAGACCTTGGTCCACACAGGCATCTGTGAGACACAGAGACTTCATCCCGTGTCTCTGAGCCTAGCACTCCTTTTGTTCCTGGCCAGCAATCCTAGGTTGTTTGTTTAGTTTTTTTCTGTTTAAACTAGTTTAAAAACATAATAAAGTAAAGCCGGGCCTGGTGGCTCATGCCTGTAATCCCAGCACTTTCAGAGGCCAAGGCAGGTGGATCTCCTTAGGTCAGGAGTTTGAGACCAGTCTGACCAATATGGTGAAACCTCCTCTCTACTAAAAATACAAAAATTAGCCAGGCGTGGTGGTGTGCGCCTGTAGTCCCAGCTACTCAGGAGGCTGAGAAAGGAGAATTGCTTGAACCTGGAGGTGGAGGTTACAGTGAGTTGAGATCACGCCACTGCACTCCATCCTGGGCAACAAAGCAAGACTCCATCTCAAAACTATATATATATAAATATATATAAATTATAAATATATAATTACAAATATATATAATATTAATATAATATAATATAATATTATATATAAATATATAATATAATATTATATATAAATATATAATATAATATTATATATAAATATATAATATAATATTATATATAACTATATAATATAATATTATATATAACTATATATATATTTATAATAAAATGTTTACCTGGTTTCAAAAAAAGCTAAATGGTAATAGAGTAAACGATTAAAAGTTTATTAACTCCATCTTTATAATCTACTCTTCTAGATTTTTCTTCTGAAGACTTTACAGCATTATCTGGTCTCCTGGGTCCTTCTCATTTCTCACTCTGGACTTCAAAGCTGCAGGAATTCTTTGGATCTGCAAAAGTGGGCAAGATTTGAGTGGGTTGTTCGGCTGTTGTAGCTATTCCACTGTCTCCTGCTTAATCCCTTCTAACTGACTAAGTTTATCTTTGTTAACTTCAGACTTCTGGAGCAAGGGGTCACCTCCATCACACTGGAGTTGATTCTCAGGGAGCTGGTGACAAACTGCCCTGTGGCTGCTGGGGCTGGTGACAGTGCAGCCCTGCACGATGCTTCTGTGCCCACATGAGCACAGTTTGAAGTTCCTCAGCAGGCAACCCTTGAGCTGTGGCAGCCAGGAGGGTGTTTTAAGGCAGCCGTCCCCAAACTATTTGCCACCAGGGACCGGTTGCATAGAAGACAATTTTTCCAAAGACCAGGGTAGGGGGGTGGTTTGGGGATGAAACTGTTCCACATCAGATCATCAGGCATTAGATTCTCATAAGGAGCACACAACCTAGATCCCTTACATGCATAGTTCACAATAGGATCGGCTCCTATGAGAATCCGATGCTGCTGCTGATCTGACAGGAGGTGGAGCTCAGGCAGTAATGCTTGCTCGCCAGCCACTCACCTCCTGCTGTGCGGCCTGGTTCCTAACAGGCCACAGACCAGTACCAGTCCAGGGGTTGGGGATCCCTGTTTTAAGGTGTATATGGGGAGTATTATTGAGTCCAGGTTTCTGCTACCTTGGGATACATTTTTATCTCATATTCCAATTAGAAATGTTTTTCCACATCAAATAAAGCAGAATTAACACATTATATTGGCACAGTACACACACCCTCTAAAGAGCATATCGCATCCTAGAGCAAGCAGACAGGGGCAGGGCACCAAGGGCACACACAGGTGGCAGGCAGTGGGAACATGCAGGCGGACGCTGCAGCAGCTTTGGTGTGAAGACTGCATGGTCTGTGAACAAGGTCACCAAGTGGAGAAGAATAATGATCATCCTGGCCTCTCAGAACAGCGTGGCACCTGCAGAACGGGAGTGGCCACACCCGGACGCAGGCAGAAGACAAATCCAGAGCACAGCAGAGCAAACAAGCTCATCCTCAGCCACACCCATCAGAGGGTTTTCACCAACTCCCAATGCTCAGGAAATCAATATCATAATCACCTACATCAGAAGTACAGGTCACATAGGTGCATGAAATGCACATGCGTGATATAAATTATTCTTCAATTAATTGCAGTAAACTGCAATTCTTGTTTAATAGCGGTGCTTTCAGTCATTCTTATCAGATCTTTTTTACTGTCTTTCTAAAGTCCCAGATTGCAGACTTTTGTAGTATTGTTAGAAGGAAACGTGTGGGCTAGGCAGAGACTTTCCAAATACTGCTGTCAAGATGCAGATGGCCAGAGTGGCAAGGCCCAGCCATCCTCACTCGGCTGAATCTCACATTAAGAAGGCTTGGCCTGGCACGGTGGCTCATGCCTGTAATCCCAGCACTTTGGGAGGCCGAGGTGGGCGGATCACTTGAGGTCAGGAGTTCAAGACCAGCCTGGCCAACATGATGAAACCCTATCTCTATAAAAAATACAAAATTAGCCAGGTGTGGTGGTGCACGCCTGTAATCCCAGACACTCGGGAGGCTGAAGCATGACAGCCGCTTGAACCCCAGAGTGGGAGGTTGCAATGAGCCAAGATCATGCCACTGCATTCCATCCTGGGCAACAGAGTGAGACTCCAACTTAAAAAAAAAAAAAGATGATATATGTTTGCCTGTTCTTGGGACACATCATACTTCCAAGTAAAGTCTGAACTTACCCTTTCTATTACAGGAAAAGGCCCATTCTTTCCCCTGCTTTGCCACCTTTTATTCAACCTCTAGCAGTTGCGAGTATCTTTTCCCCATGGCATTTTACTCCCATTCCACCTTCTATCCCCCAATCTCTTTTTGAAATAATATTTATTGTTACTAACCTCACCCCATAATCCCCTTTTCATGTTTCTTTCCTCTGGATTCCGGGAGAGTTTCTCAAACTCATCTTCTCCGTTGATTTACATTTCTGTGGTATCCAGGGCCTCCGTGGGGGCTTGCAGTTTGGCAATCACAGTTTTCATCTCCATGCTGTCTTTCCTGCTCACAGAGGTGGACTCCTCGAGACTGCTTGGACCGTTTTCCCAGCAGCAATGACCTCTTGGATTTTACTGAGAACACAGATTAGGACCTTGTTGCTCGGAGTCTGTTTCACAGGGAGCTATTTGCTCCATTCCTCAGATAGGTGAACTGCGGAGACTTCCGTGTCCACTGCGTTCTGTCCGAGCTGAGTCTTCAAGAGAGAGATGGATGAGTAGCCTCCATCCACTATTGGAAGTTGAAGCACAGTCTTTCAGAATGATGGGGCCACCTGTTTGAATTTCTTTTACACAAGTCAAGAGATTGACACCAGCTTCCCTCCCCTGGGTCAGAGGTCTGGCAGCTTCTGCAGAGAGCATGGTGGTGGGAGGGAAGAGAAGGGAGAAAAGCAACACCATAAGCCCTTGGTAGAGGATTCCCTACATACCGGGGGGCCCTGTTCATGTTTACAGCAGCAAACACTCTTTGTCTGATACAGTTGTTCTCCAAGCAAGCAGCTCCCCAGTTCCCTGACTATGCCTGGCACAGTGCTGGTGGGATCTCAGGATTTCTCTCCCTCCCTTGCCTCCCCCAGCCACATGCACGCGCCTCCCCAGCCCTGATCGTCGAATGGGGTGGATATTGGTAAGGATCTAAGCCTCTTCCACTTCCCAGATAAGTGACTCCTTTACATGTGTGTGTAGTAAGATTGGGGGAATATTATATTCACCAGAATTTAGCCTAGGGAGTGCACTGTATGTGGAAGAAATAATTTGATAAGCTGTTTGGTCGAATGGAAGAAACGGCAAAGCCACAATCTTGTTACTAAAGATGGCCGCTTCACCGTAGGCCATGACACAGGGTGAGGAATTTGTTTTGCTCCTGAGAAGTAACGGAGTAGGTAAAAGAGAAAGTGAAGTCATAGAGTTGGAGAAACCCATGCCCCGTGCAAGGTCACCAGCCCCATGACCTTCACCTCTTCGGTTCAGGCAGAATTTGTCAATGTCGACACTACTGATGCTTGGGGTCAGGTGATTCTTTCTTGTCAGAGGGCTGTCCTATGCATTGTGGCATTTCTGGTCTCTACCCACTAGATATCAGTAGCCTTCCCCTTCCATTTTGACGTCCAAAAATATCTCCAGACTTTGCCAAATGACCCCTAGGAGGCAAAATTGCCCCAGTGGAGAAGCATGGAGTTACAGCAACTAAACTCATGAAGCGCCTGATATGGGGGAATTCTTTGTGAAAAGCATTGAAGGGCTTGCGTTTCTGGCCAGACTGATATGGGGCCATGCAGAGGCAGCTGGAGGGACAGAGGGGCCAGAGACAGAAGGGATCATGAGAATATACGCCCCAGGAATTCATAGATATGGTGGGGAGGGCTTTGCTGTTTTTCAGGCTGTGGTCTCTGGGGGCAGGGAGCTTGTCTGATGTGTGCATTACAGAGTCAGTCCCTTTCTTTAATCTGGGGTCTGTGCTATAGACAATAGACACTCCTCCGTGTTCCTCGCACGAGGTGGTCTGTCTGCCCCAGTTTTCAGCTGTAAGATAGGCTGTGCCCACTTTTTCAGTGGGACTCTGGGAAGGAGCTAGAAGTTGCCCCACCCAGTGGCTCTCCTGTGAACCAACATCTCCACGCTAGTTTGAGCCTCCTACTAATAACAATGGCAGAGATAACAGTGGGCATTTATGGTGACACAAATGAGGAGTGTCTATTGTGGAAAGATGGGCACATGGCAGGACCTCAGGACTGTCTTTTCAGGTTCAAGTGGAGCAATACTTTGGGTGGCCTCCTTCAAGACAGATGTGTCTTGAAAACTTCCAGGGCCAACTGCCTCCTTTGTTTTTGTTTTGTGGGTTTTTTGTTTTTTTTTTTTTTCTTGAGACAGAGTCTCCCTCTATCACGCAGGCTGGAGTGCAATGGCATGATCTCGGCTCACCGCAACCTCTGCCTCCCGGGTTCAAGTGATTCTCCTGCCTCAGCCTCCCAAGTAGCTAGGACCACAAGCATGCGCCACCACACCCAGCTAATTTTTGTATTTTTAGTAGGAAGAGCTTTCACCGTGTTGGCCAGGCTGGTCTCGAACTCCTGACCTCAAGTGATCCACCCGCCTCAGCCTCCCAAAGTGCTGGGATTACAGGTGTGAGCCACTGCACCTGGCCATTTTTGTGTTTGTGTTTTGGTCTAGGCCGGTCAATGCTGAACTCCTAGGGGTCCAGACCTTCTGTCCATTTCCTATCAGCTTCTGCTCCATTCTCTCACGTGAACATTGGGACTAGTTTGCTCTGCATGGCGCCCACCTATTTTTTTTTTTTTCAGCAGCATCAGGATTCTTAGAATTTTCCAAAATCACTTCCTTAACTCCTCTTCTGCTAGATTTCTACTCTCCACCAGATTCCTAAAGCCATTATGGTTTGAAGTGTTGGGAGCATGTGTCCATATTAATTGAAATCGAATCAGCACATACATGTGGAGGGGCTAGAATGGAATGATGAGGGCGTAGGTGACTCTATCATCTCTCGAGCAGCTTTTGTGTGCCTGCCAATACTTTAAATAAGCAGCAGTCCCCCAGTTCCCCGACTCTGCCTGGCACAGTGCTGGTGGAATCTCAGGGTTTCTCTCCCTCCCTTGCCTCCCCTTGCTGGGATTACACTTGTAATCCCAGTACTTTGGGAGGCCGAGGTGGGTGGATCACGAGGTCAGGAGATCGAGACCATCCTGGCTAACACAGTGAAAACCCGTCTCTACTAAAAATACAAAAAAATTAGCCAGGCACGGTGGTGCAAGCCTGTAGTACCAGCTACTCGGGAGGCTGAGGCAGGAGAATGGCGTGAACCCGGGAGGCAGAGGTTGCAGTGAGCCGAGATCACGGCACTGCACTCCAGCCTGGGTGACAGAGTGAGACTCTATCTTAAAAAAAAAAAAAAAAAAAAAAAAAGAATTAATCTAACAGCATGTAAGTGCTTAATAGATAATGAAAGAACCAATGAGGGAAGATTTGGATTATTTAAAAAGTAATGGGAAAAACTGGTTATTTATAAAAGTATAAAATTACAGCTTCACTTGATATATTAAAACACATTATAGTTTGGGTGCAGTAGCTCACACCTGAAATCCCAGCCCTTTGGGAGGCCAAGGAGGGAGAAGTGTTTGAGCCTAGGAGTTTGAGACCAGTCTGGGTGACACAGGGAGACCTTGTCTCTCCAAAAAACACAAAAAATTAGCCAGCCGTGGTGGCATATCCCTGTGGTCCCAGCTACTTGGGAGGCTAAGGTAAGAGGCTCGTTTGAACCCAGGGGGTTGGAGGCTGCAGTCAGCCATGATCATGCCACTGCACTCTAGCCTGAGCCACAGAGCAAGACTCTGTCTCAAAAAAAAAAAAAAAAAAATTTACAGGAAGATTAGCATAAAAGTAAAACACAAAGCCTTTTAAAAGTGGAAGAAAAGGTTGAAATTGAGCATTTTCTAGGTGTCACATCAATAGAATAAATTATTATGAAAAAGAATAAGATTTATGTAGCTAAAGAAACTACATAAAAAGCCAAATAAACATTTTGAAAATTAAGAAAGTGAGGCTGGGTGCAGTGGCTCACACCTGTAATCCCAGCACTTTGGGAGGCCAAGGCAGGCAGATCATTTGAAGTCAGGAGTTTGAGACCAGCCTGATCAACATGGTGAAATCCTGTCTCCACTAAAAACGCAAACATTAGTCAGATATGGTGGTGCACACCTGTAATCACAGCTACTCAGGAGGCTGAGGCAGGAGAATCGCTTGAACCTGGGAGGCGGAGGATGCAGTGAGCCGAGATCGTGCTACTGTACTCCAGCCTGGGCAACACAGCGGCGAGACTCCATCTCAAAAATAAAATAAAATAAAATAAGAAAAGAAACCAAGATTCAGAAAGGCTAAGTAACTTGCCTGTAAACACTGTGTTAATGACTCAGCAAGCTGACAGCAAATGCTTTTTTTCTCTCTACACTATTATAAAATGGCATAAAAGAAGGCACAAGCTACAGTTTTGTGTTTTTTGTCACGATTAGCACATATTTATGGAAGAAGTATACTTTCAAAAAAAAGATTGTTGTTTTCAAAATTCTAGCCTTCAGATAGTTTCCTAAATGTGGAATTTGGAGTCAAAGGTGATGAATGTTTTTTGAAGTTTCACGGTACCATTGCCAAAGTCCCTTCTTTTGCAATCTTTGCCACTTTGACAGGTGAAAACATGCTATCTTGTTGTTTCGGTCGGTGTGCATTCTTTCTTTGTTTTATTTTTTTTTTAATTTTGAGACAGAGTCTCACTCTGTCGCCCAGGCTGGCGTGCAATGGTGTGATCTCGGCTCACTGCAACCTCCGCCTCCCAGATTCACACCATTCTCCTGCCTCAGCCTCCCGAGTAGCTGGGACTACAGGTGCCCACCACCGTGCCCGGCTAATTTTTTATATTTTTAGTAGAGACGGGGTTTCACCGTGTTAGCCAGGATGGTCTCAATCTCCTGACCTCATGATCCGCCTGCCTCGGCCTCTCAAAGTGCTGGGATTAAAGGCGTGAGCCACTGTGCCCGGCCCATTCTTTCTTTATCTCTAAGGTTGAACATTCTTCCATGATCACTGGGTGTTTGTGCTTCTCTTCATGACCTTTGTGTGTTTTTGTGTTGCACGGAGAGCAGTGGTGAGATCTCGGCTCACTGCAACCTCCACCTCCCAGATTCAAGGGATCCTCCCATCTCAGCTTCCCAAGTAGCTGGGACTACAGGGCCATGCCACCACACCCAGCTAATTTCTGTATTTTTTGTAGAGGTGGGGGTTTTGCCATGTTGCCCAGGCTGCTCTTGAACTCCTGAGCTCAGGCGATCGGCCTCCCAAAGTGCTGGGATTGCAGGCGTCAGTTACCGTGCCCGGCCGTATTGCACTGTTTTCTTATTATTTTGAAAGGTTTTCTTGTAAAATAAAGGTATTGACCCTTTATCATAGTGTTAAAATATTTTTGCCAGTTTGTCGTTTGCCTTTTTATTGTTTAGTGTTTCTTTGGCTACATAAATCTTATTCTTTTTCATAATAATTTATTCTATTGATGTGGCACCTAGAAAGGGCTCAATTTCATATTTTCTTCTGCTTTTAAAAGACTGTTTTATGTTATGCTAGTCCACATGTAATGATTTTTAATATATCAGGTGAGGTCGTAAGTTTAATCTTTTGCAAATAACCAATTTTCCCATTACTTTTTGAATAAGTCAAATCTTCCCTCATTGGTCCCTTTTTTTATCTATTAAGCACTTAAATATTCTTGGGTGTCTCCGAAGTTAACTATTCTATTCTATCCATTTATCAGTGCTTATGCCCACAGCATAGAGTTTTAAAGTAGCTTTCAAATCTCCTTTAATACTGAGTTGGGTTAATTACGTGCAGTTCTCCAAGCCTGTCTCTAGCCCTTTTAACCTGCTTTGTCTTTGTCCAGAACGTCCTGCCCTCCCCACCCCACCTTGTCACCTGGGTAACCCCAGCCACTGATTTTAATTGACCAGTTGTTCATCCTCAGGCCTCCCTTCCCCTCCTTTACCTCCTCGAAATTTTGAGCCTCTCAGGACCACAAGCAGCATCTCATTCTTATCCTCTGCCCAGCAGCCCGACATCCACAAAAGGTGTTGAATAAAAGCAGAGGTCAAAATGGAGCCAGATGGAGGTGGGTGTGGGAGGTAAGCTTCAGCGTTGATCTTTAAGTCAGAAGCTTGACTTCAGGAAGGTTAGCCAGGCCTTCCAGAACTCAGAGTCACATAGGCCTCGTCCTGACTTCCACAGTCTCTTCAAAGACTTCCATCAAATCTCCACCTCACTCTAACCTTCTGCAGAACAATGGTGACAACCCCCGTTAATGGGATATTAGGAGATGATTTCTATTGAAGATCCAAGTCAAAGATGTATGGAACTGAATTTTAATTTTGACAGCACAGCATGTGAATAAACATCATGGTGCTTTATTGCTCTAAGTCTGCTGCAAAATTCATTGCTTCTTTACAAGTCAGAAGCCCCATAAACAACTTCTGTAATGTTCCAGTAACTACTTTGACTGTCATTTCTGATATTCTGAATGATTCATAGAAACTTTCTGCTGATTCCAACGGCAAAAGTACTTTCTGTCTAAAGCATTAAGTCTGAAGATCCATAACTCTCAGGGTCATCAAAAGCAGTTGGAAAAATAGCTGAAACTGGCAACAACAAGACTCTGGAGGCAGCATCCCTTTACTTAAGGATCATGAACACTGACGTAGGGGTTGTTGCATGCTTGTCTCCATAGCTATCCTTGAATAGCTTCCAATTTCAAAGGTGTGGGAAAGGTCTTGCTCTTGAAATCGAGTGACTGTCTCATTGGATTTGAAATAGAAAGGGACCATATTTCTTTAATTATGCTCCACACCAAAGATGCTTAATTTGTCCTGAGTAAACAATCAACACCCCTTCTAAATGTGCACTCACATCCTGCATTAGAAAATAATTGGTAAGATGGTCCCTCGTGTGTATAGGAGTGTTAAGTTTTCAAACCCTATACCAAGGTTTTATAAACAAACTCTCCGTGGTCTGTCCCCATATCCAGGCGGAGCAGGGCACTGCCTGAGTGGTAGGTTGGAGAACGCTGCTTACGTTTGTCGCCGAAGCCCACACGCCCACACCCAACTGTCACAAAGCCTGAAATTCCTACCATTAGAGTTACTACTTTTGGTTGATGGCTTCAAGAAAACCCTTGCTCAAAGACAAATATAACAGGCAAGAATTCTTCCATGACACTCAGTTGCAAATAGCATCGCACTTCTTTATTTTTCTATTGCAAATTAAAAGGTGTTAGGGTGGCTTATAAAGAATAGAATAGAGAAAGGGGAAAGAATTCTTTCAGTGGTGACCCCAGCAGACATCACCCTAATGAAGTGATGAGGGCTGGCACACTGGTGATGCCATGTGGGTACGGTATACTTTCCATGTGATGGGATAAGAAGGGCACTTCCCCAAATCCCACCACTAATCATAAGAAAAATCTAATCGTAAGAAAAATCTCCACAAACCCAGTTTGGGAGACATTCCACAGGCTAGCTGGACAGTACTATTCAAGGTGTCAAGGTCACAAAAAACTAGGCAAGCCTGAGAAACTGTCATAGGCCAGAGAAGACTGGGGACATATGCCGACTAGATGCTTTAAGGTACACAGAAGTGGCTCCTGGAACAGAAGGAGGGCACTAATGAAAACACTGGTGACATTCGAACAGAGTTTGGAAGTTAGTTAGTAATAAAAGGTACTAATGACATCTCTGAGTTTTGACAAATGTACCATGGAAATGTAACAATGGTAAAAGCTGGGTGAAGGACGTAAACTTTCTGTATGATCTTTGCAACATTTCCACAAATCTGAAATCATTCCAAAACAAGTGTCTTTTGAAGAGTTAGGAAGAAATCCAATATCCTTTTTACTCTCTGGTGCTGCCACCCCTACTCTTGGGCTGTACGGGACCTCTGGGAACATAGAGGGGCCCTAAACAATTCTCTAAGTCTAGGGTCGTACTCAGCTGGTTTGCCTTGCATCACCTTATGTGCTTGTGGGCATAGCCCACTGCCCACCGCTGTCTTTCCAGTGCTGTGGTTCTGTCTGAGTCAAGCCTCACTAGCTCAGCAAGCCCAGGTCAGGTCCATCCTGGTGCCAACAGGCAGTTTATGCCAAGCAATATTGTTTGGCTGTGTCCCCACCCAAATCTCTCCTTGAATTATAATAATCCCCACGTGTCAAGGATGGGGCCAGGTGGAGATAATTGAATCACGGGGGCAGTTTCCCCCATACTGTTCTCGTGATAGTGAATAAGTCTCATGAGATGTGATGGTTTTATAAATGGGAGTTTCCCTGCACAAGCTCTCTTGCCTGCTGCCATGTAAGATGTGCCTTTGCTTCTCTTTGCCTTCTGCCATGATTGTGAGGCCTCCCCAGCCATGTGGAACTGTGACTCCATTAAACCTTTTTCCTTTATAAATTACCCAGTCTCGGGTATGTCTTTATCAGCAATGTGAGAACGGACTAATATACCAAGTTTGCCAGCCCCTGCATTCTAGGTTCGGTACTGGGAGACACTTGCCTTGGCTATCAGGGCCCTGCATGACAGATCAGTACCCTGTCCTTCACTGGCCTCCAGGCAGGCAGCCATTATCCAAGTTGTCACCTTCCTTGAGGTAGTGCCTGCCCGTGGGAGTGCCCTGCACTGTTCCAGAGTCTCCTCTCCTGCCCTCCCACCAGCCTTGGGGCTCTGCTCCCTTTGTCCTCCTCTTCACCCCACAGAGCCCTGTCGTTCCAGTGGGTTGTGTACTGTCTCACACAGGAACTCCGACTGTTGAAAACAAAGATATCTAATGCTCCTTGGAGATAAAAGAAGTTCAGACATCCAGGACACGGAACCTGGCTCCTCATTTGGGATAAGAAGGGAAAAAAGCTACCTCTTTTTCTTTGTCGTAGAGCTTACAACTTGAGAAAAGTAGGAACGGTTAATTCTCAAGCTGGTAATTCCACCACCTCAAATGTTCTGTATATGGCCTTGCCCCACCCGCACATGAGGAGTGACATCACATGGTGATGGGAAGCATCAGCACCGGGCCCTGTACTATCCCCCACCCCGAAGAGGGAGATGGGGAAGGATCTTGCCATACACAGTCAGCCAGGAGCCCTGGCCAGGTCCACCAATGGGAGTAGCCAATAGAAAATAGTGTGGGCCTGAAACTGTCTTGGGGGATTCCAAGGTAACCACTCTGCATAAAAATGAGGCTCACAGACCATGTCAGAAAAGAACCTTGCAATGAATATAAGACTCTTCTTTCCTGATATGAGTTCAGAATATACTGTCTCCCAAGGCTTGACATCTGTCCTTTGGAGACATGTGTGAGCTTGCTCTAAATGGTTAAGTAAAGAATCAGGAGTGCCTTCCAAGTCCACGGCAGGATTGGGAACAAGGAGACCCTGCCTGGGGAACTTGATCACCACAGGGTCTGGACCACCTCTCTCAACATCACTGACCATGAAGCCCCAGGGGCCACTGCGGATAAAATGACTCCAACCTGGGCAAAAGCCACTGGGGTACAGGGGGTGTGTGTGTGTGTGTGTGTGTGTGTGTGTGTGTGTTTCTAGAGTGTGAGCCCCCTTCCTTTGGGTAAGGGTAACCAAAATGGGCAGGGAGCGGGATTCGAGTAGAGATCTTTAGAGGAGGAACATGAGAAGGGGGCACCAAATGAGAACCAGGGGAGCCCAGTTAGGACTTGTGGGCGCACTGGCAGGATGGTGGCCACTACAGCCAGTTTACAGGAGACCCAGCAGCTTGTGCAATGTCAGGGTGCTCTCAGGGCAAGCTGCAGCATCTCTGCCCAGAGCAAAGACAGGAGGGTATCCATCCACCGGACCACCGCTAGAACTGATTTGCGGAATGGTCGCGGGATACACAGCCTCCCAGCTTCACTCTGCAGCCTCCTGGGATTCTGAGTCACCTAATACACTTTAATAAATTCCTTTTTTGCCTCACAGGGCCAGACTTGGTCTCTGTTATTTGCCATCAAGAACCTCAATTGACACGTTAATTCCGTTTATCCCAAATTTATATAGATAAGTGTCACATGGAAACAATTCCCTTGTGCCTGGAAACAGTAAATTAAATGGATGGAATGGAACCAACCAGGCTGCTGTATAGCAAAAGAGAATAAAAATGTGTCTTTGTTTCCTCCCTCCATAATGCATATTAAATAACACATCTTACATTACATCTAAGCCTCAGAAACTTAAAAACCACTAGTAAGCACACGAGGGCTTGTGAGTTAATTATAACAGCCTTTGCTAAGTTCGGCTTGTGGTTTTCCTCTTATAATGAAATGTCAAGAATGGGGGAGGTAAGCTCAGTCGTGTGTTGCCGCTGATGTTTTTAACCAAAGGATCTGAGGCTGTTTGATATTTTTGGCTTCATAATTCCCATTTCCAGTCCTGATTTGGAAATAAAGATTGAAGTCCAAAGAAAAAGAAAGAGTGTTTCCAAGATACAGAATAGTCTGGCGTTCCGAGGTAAAACCTTAAATGCCTGAGGTCCATCTTCCCATTCTTTTGAGATTGCTTTTTTCATGTAGCAAGCTGTACTTTCCTGTTGCTCTTTTTGCCCCTTCCTGCCTTAGGACTGTAGGCTGGTGTCTACCTCAATGTATTGCAGTATTCATTTTGTAGCTGCTGACTTATTTCTTCTTGGGATTCCTCTTGAAGAATAAGACTTCAAACTCAGGACTTGGCACCAAAAAGAAATGAAGGTGTCACCATGTTGCTGTTGGATGCCCATGGGGGTACAGAGCTGTGTTTCTCATCTTCTTTCACCCCTATCACATGAAGTAGAGCCCAACAGAAAAGGGGTTCCCATAGCTGAGGTAGGCGGGGTGGGCATTATGCTTCTTATTCAGCTTTGAAATTTCAAAAGCCAAGAGACAGAGGTCAGTGGTGCACGATGGTATTATTTTGCCCTCTGTGAACTAAGCACACGCTTTCAGTATGGGTTGGAAATTCCTAACACTAAAAACTACCAATGCTGCTTTCTCTAGCCAAGGTGCAAGCTCTTCTGGACTCTGTGCATGTGTGTGTGTGTATGTGTGTGTGCATGTGTTGGGGGGAGAGTTGTGTAGAGGTGTGTGTAACTGGCCCTTGTCTTTCATAGAACCCAGGCTTATCTCACTGTGTCAGATACCCAGTCCCTAAGAATGACAGGAAGTGAATTTCGTCCCAGCCTGAGTTTGACCCATGTGGCTCCACTTCCAGACCCAGGATGACATCCAAGTTCTTCCGAACTTCCGGATCCTGAGAAGCCATTTATAACTGAGGAAGAGAAAGCCAGAGGGAAGTTGTTGACTGCAAGAGAGATTTTCAGTGAAGCTCCCTGAAAGCTGTAGAGAAGGCAAACCAGGAGTCCACTCTCTGCTCAATTTCCTGTTGAGTTCACCCAGCCTCCTTGCCATCTGGCCTCAGCAATAGGTGAGGGCCCTCACAGGGCCCAGCACGGAGTAGGCGTGCAGTCGATGATGGTGATGGATAAATAAATGAATGTTTTATTTGCAATATCACTCTAGGCTCAAATTCCCAACAAGGCATGACATTTAGTAGCCTCTTTGCAAATGTATCTTTTCACAAGGAACTTGGCCTCCAAATCTTGGGTGTGTACAGAGAATACAACTTTTCACCAGACCTATAGGCACATCGTCCGAAGCGGTCTGTCCCACCTCTATGGGATGACCACTTTCCTTTGTCTAGCACCTGACACCCTCCAAAGTCCTTTTTCTTACTTTACCTCATTTGAGTCTCAAAACAAGAAAGGAGGGCAAATTTTATCCGTTTTACCAGTGAGGAAACTGGCGCTCTGTTATGGGCTGAATTCTGTCTTCCTAAAATTCATATGCTGAAACCCTAACCACCCCCCCGAACCCCACAATGTGACTATATTTGGAGAAGGGGCCTTTAAATAAGTAATTAAGTTGAAATGGGGTCATGAGGGTGGGCTCTCATCCAATCTGACTGGTGTCCTTATAAGAAGAGAAGATTAGGACACAGACAAACACAGAGGGAAGACCATATGAACACAGCAAGAAAGTGGCCATCTGCAAGCCAAGGAGAAAGGCCTCGGGAGAAAGCAAACCTGCTGACACCTTGATGTCCGATGTCTGGCCTCCAGCACTGTAAGAAAATACTTTCTGTTGTTTAAACCACTCGGTCTGTGATCTTTTGTTATGGCAGTCCTAGCAAACTAATACAGGCTCAAAGAGGTTAAGTAACTCACCTGAGGTCTCACACCCAGTAAGAAGAGTGAACTTTTGTCCATATGCCCCAGTTTGAAAATTCCTTTTTTTTTTTTTTTTTTGTTTTTGGAGACAGGGTCTCTCTCTGTCACCCAGGCTGGAGTGCAGTGGCATGATCACAGCTCACTGCAGCCAAAACTTCCTGGGTTCAAGCGATCCTCCCACCATAGCCTCTTGTGTAGCTGGGACCACAGGCACGTGCCACCATGCCTGGCTATTTTATTTTATTTATTTTTTGTAGAGACAGGGTCTTGCCATGTTGCCCAAGCTGGTCTTGAGCTCCTGGGTTCAAGCAATACTCCCACCTTGGCCTCCCAAAGTGCTGGGATTATAGGCATGAGCCACCGCATCCAGCTTGAAAATTCTTTATCAAATAAAACAATTTATTTAGGTGGGGAAACACTGCCTCACAGCTGCTATTGCATAGTGGGCCTCTGACTGACTGACTTCTACACCGTTTAATTGCCTGAGGGTTATACACACAGGCACGAATTATAATGTTCCTTTAATTTCAGGCAACATTGATTCAATTAATATTTACAACAAACTGTTTCTTCGATCCTAGGCAGCACTGGGAAATAATACATGGTCCCCAGTCCCCACTCCTTATGACCCTCACCCCACCTCCAGGGAAAGCTGAAACAGCCCTCCTTATCTCTCGTGATTTGTTCAATAATCACATGCCCTATTTGAGCAACAGGCAGAGAATGACAAAGATTCTGACACAAATTAGACTTCTTCAGATAGATCTGACTCCAATTCAAACAGCTTTTTGACCTTGACTTATTTCCTGTGGGTTTAACAAAAGCGCATCTTCTCCCCTCCCCACCCAAGCCAGAAGGGACTCTGCTCACCCACAGGAGGCCCACTTTGTTTTTGTTTTTGTTTTTTTTTTTGAGGGGGAGTCTGGCTCTGTCACCCAGGCTGGAGTACAGTGGCACAATCTCGGCTCACTGCAACCTCCACCTCCTGGGTTCAAGCAATTCTCCTGCCTCAGCCTCCCGAGTAGTTGGGATTACAGGCACCCACCACCACACCTGGCTAATTTTTTGTATTTTTAGTAGAGATGGGGTTTCACCACGTTGGCCAGGCTGGTCTTGAACTCCTGACCTCAAGTGATCTGCCCACGTCGGCCTCCCAAAGTGCAGGGAATACAGGTGTGAGCCCCTGCACTGGGCCAGGAGGCCTACTTTTTAATTCTACTGTTTCTCCTTTCCCTGCTTCCCAGGGACCCTTCCAGAGACTGAGTTGGAGCAGGTGGTTTTGCTTTGCGTTCTGACCAGGAAGTGAAACCTGGGTGTGAGCAATGTTTTGCATTATGGGGCCATTTCACCTTTTCCTCCCTGCCTCGGGAAGGAAGGCTTGCAGTGTCCAAACTGGGTCTGACCTCTCAGGGGACATTTCTCAAAGCAGTGGGAACAAGAGTCCCTCAGTGCTGGATGGCTGGGGAATGGGTGGCCGAGGAGTGAAGCTCTATTCTGGGCAGAGCACTCCCCCTTGCTGAAAGGGCTGGAAAACGCTTTTGTCCCTGCTGGAAGTGGAGTAGCGTGGGATACAGGGCAGGGGGTCGCTGCTGAGTTTATCAGGGGAGCAGAGATTAGGCACTACTTGGTTAAAATACTAACTGCTGGGCTGGGTGCAGTGGTTCACGCCTGTAATCCCAGCACTTTGGGAGGCCGAGGTGGGCGGATCACCTGAGGTCAGGAGTTCAAGACCAGCCCAGCCAACATGACGAAACCCTGCCTCTACTAAAAATACAAAAATTAGCCAGACATGGTGGCATAGGTGTGTAATCCCAGCTACTTGGGAGGCTGAGGCAGGAGAATTGCTTGAACCCAGGAGGCAGAGATTGTTGAGTTAAGATCACGCCCCTGATCTTGCCTGGGCGACAGAGCAAGACTGTCTAAAGAAAAAAGTAATAGTAACTGCTGAAAGTGACAGAGACGTAATCCATATGTGCAACCGCCAGATGGCCACATTCTGTGTTCTGAGCCAGGTTCCGCCGAACGACCGCCCTAGATGATGATTTCGCACCCTGCCCAGCTCCAAGACCAAAACCTCAGTGTTTTGAGAATTCAATTTCCTACTCATTGATTTAGATAACATACATGAACTTGAATTCATTAGAAATATGCCTTTGTGTCTTCATGATCACCATCTTTGTGGTTTTCAAGATGATTGTTAGATCCTTATCAAAATATAAACAATTGGCAATGGTTCCAATTGTGTCAACAAAAGCCAACTTCAAACCTGTAATCCTCATGCTGAGTGGAGAGGCTGGTGCCCCACCCGGGCTGTGACATGGTGGCTTGGGAGATGTGTGACTCAGATATGTCAGACCATGAGTGAGGCACCCAACCTTCCCTCCCAGTGACCTTTGAAGTAAGGCGAATTGAAGTCCGCTGGTCTCCAGACAGGCACGGTAACGTGCACGCATCGGATGTGGTTCCCGGGGAATGGTGGGTGATTGTCCATCTTCCTAACAGTCCTCAAATGAGGACTCAGTTCCAGCTCTTAACGCAGCACAACAGAGTTCTTAATAGTAAAAGTCGTACTTTTCACTCACCGTGAAAAGCAAGTCTGCACATTGCTAGATATGTCCCAGTATTATTATCCAAGCTCCAGAAACGTACTCAGCCACAAAAGTAAAAATTCTCCTACTCCACGTGGAAGTGGCTCCGTGAGAAAAATTCCCTATCAAGCCAGAAACGCACCTACAGAGGGAGAGAACGACATGAGAGGGGACCGGAGTTCTCAGGGAGGAGGGAAGCCTGGCTCCGCATCCCAGAGCTGCCAGGGACCCGGAGCAGAAGGAGGAGGCGGGGAGGACAGGGGCGCCGACGGAGACAGGCGATCCCTCGGAAAATCCTAAAAGCCAGTGAAGCGTGGGCTCTGGACGGAAACAGAAGGTCAGGGCCGTGGTTCACGCCGTGGGAAACCGCAGCCAGTGATAAGCTGGGAAGCCACAGGGGCTGGCAGCTGCAGTCGGAACGAAGCGGCTGGAAGCTCCAAACGGGAGCTCTTCCCAGCTCGCTTTCCACTTCGACGGCACCGTTCAAAGCTCTGCTCAGACACTGGGACAAATAAATGACAGGGCTCCGAAAAGAGGGTGAAGCTCCTCCGCGCCCGGCTTTTCCCTCCGCAGAGCCTGGGCTCCCCGCCTCGCGCCGCCCCTGACCGTGGCAGGCTCGGTTCCCTCCTCGCTCTGCATCCTTTGATTCACGTACGGCCCCGTTTCCAATAACCCTTTCCAGGAAGCCAGAGAGAGAAAGCGCCCAGCTCCCGGCCTGCAGAGTGGGGAGGGAAGAAGGAAATGATTGTGTTGACTTCATCTGGAAGCAGGAAAATGCTTCTCTCCCTCCTTCTTCGCCAAGCCAAGAAATAGATCCTTTACCAGAAAGCCATGTGGCCACATGGCCACCACTTGCAGAGGGGCTGGGTGAGGAGGAGGTGCTTTGCCAACGTCTCAGCTGACAGCAAAGGCCAGTGGCTCATCAGTGAGAACATCATACCTCTGTCAGAGGGGAGACCCTGAGCAGCTCCCGACACCCACACAGGGCTAGGAATTGACGGTGGCTTAGGGTACACGTAAGAGGAACAGCATCCACCACAGGACAGTCCCTTCCTCGCGTACCACCCGGGATCCCTGCTCCCTGTCATCGCCATACTGTGTTCTCTCAGACTGTAAGGTCCTTGTCCTGTCTCCCTCACATGGATCCTTTCCAGACCACGGGCACTCTCTCAGGTCAGCAGGTCCAGCTGCAATCTGGAATCAGCATCTACCGTGTGGAAATGGGAGAGGGGACTTGGTTCTTAAACCAGGGGCCTTGGCATTAGCTACCTTTGGTTTTTCTCCAGAAATAAGAATGATTGGCCGGGCGCGGTGGCTCACGCCTGTAATCCCAGCACTTTGGGAGGCCGAGGCGGGCGGATCACGAGGTCAGGAGATCGAGACCATCCCGGCTAAAACGGTGAAACCCCGTCTCTACTAAAAATACAAAAAATTAGCCGGGCGTAGTGGCGGGCGCCTGTAGTCCCAGCTACTTGGGAGGCTGAGGCAGGAGAATGGCGTGAACCCGGGAGGCGGAGCTTGCAGTGAGCCGAGATCCCGCCACTGCACTCCAGCCTGGGCGACAGAGCGAGACTCCGTCTCAAAAAAAAAAAAAAAAAAAAGAATGATTAGTTAGATAATTATAAACAATGGGGGGGGGGGGTAGTTTTGTCGTAGTTAGCAAATTACATTGAATGTAACAAAATCTTAAACCATAAAGCAAAACGTGCTGGGTTTCTGCTTCCTGTGGTGACATGACATGAAAGCCCAGCTCTTTTTCCAGGAGGACACTTCTCTGTTTACAAGACTGCTTGAGCAATCCCATTATCAACTCTCTCCAGAGAGGATACAGCTGAGGCAGCTCAAATTCAGAACCTTATTTTTAAAGAACTAAAAAAAAATTAGATCCTTTGATAAGATCACTCAAGTATAGTCCAAACTAGCCTCCCAAATTTTGGAGTGCCAGCAATTATGTTCAATATCTCCCCATCTGCCTCCCCCCAAAAGAACCAATTAATATCTTTTTCTTTTCTTTCTTTCTTTCTTTTTTTTTTTTTTTTTTTTTTTTTTAGACAGAGTCTTGCTCTGTCCCCCAGGGCTGGAGTGGCAGTGGCACGATCTCGGGCTCACTGGCAAGCTCCACCTCCCAGGTTCAAGCGATTCTCCTGCCTCAGCCTCCCGAGTAGCTGGGACTACAGGCACCCGCCACCACGCCCGGCTAATTTTTTGTATTTTTAGTAGAGAGAGGGTTTCACCATGTTAGCCAGGATGGTCTCGATCTCCTGACCTCGTGATCCACCCACCTCGGCCTCCCAAAGTGCTGGGATTACAGGCGTGAGCCACCACGCCCGGCCGATTTCTGAAATTAAGAAGTTAAAGATTTAGGTAGCAGTGGAGTTGTTTGCCCGTTTGGGAGTGGGGAGGTTGAGACGTGCATCTGGCTGATGTGCGGCAGGAAGGTGGCATCACAGAACACCGGGCACATCCTCTCTAACAAGTGCTCTGCAAAATGCCTGCAAGGACGTTGCCCTTTCTTCCAAATGTCTGGCTCTGAAAGACTTAGAAATAAAATTTTCAAAGGTTGGAAAGCTTTTGATATTTTCTGCATTAGGAGTTTGGACCACAGTAAAATCATACTCATCATATGTTGGATTAAGCTAGTGCCTGCCATCCAGGGTCGTAGACTCTTCTAGGGGTTGAGTATCTGCCTTTCACCTGACACTGGAAAGACAAGGACTGAAAAAAGCTGGAGTTACAGGAGAGACCTCCCAGGATCCTGCAGACAGGGCAGGATGATGAGAAGGAAAGCGTGTCGTTCCCAGAACTTGTCTGTGAAGATTGGGTGGTTTAATAATATTCATCCGCCATCTAGTGGCATTTAGAGCATAAACTTAACTCACACATTTTCTAGGAGCAACTACGTCAGGGAGGCCTAATCTGCTAGACTTAGACTTTATAAATTATTTTTATTTTTTTACTCAAATACATTTTTAAAAATCCATCATTAGGTTCGTCAGGGAGAAGAATATTAATAAGAACTAACTTTGAATCTGTTTTGGTACATTGGGTGATGACCAGAAACTGCTTTGCCTGATCTTTTGTGGCAGGTGACAGCTTGTTTCTTCATACTAATGTCATCTACAGTGCCAAAACTACACGTACACATGTAAGAAAATTCCTTGCCATCTTCAGTGCTGGAGATGAGGAGTTCCATGATCAGCGCATCACTGTGCCTTTACTATTTGTACTTCTTTTGGAATGCTTTTATAAGGATAAGACCACGTCTTTCATCACATCACACCATTTGCACGGTTGGTCCTTGCCTAGTGCTCAGGATCTTGCAATGTCCTCAGCCCTTGAAGAACCATGTTCAGGGCTGGGGTTCTGAACTCTCTCCCATTACAATAGCTGTATTAGTCGGTTCTCATGCTGCTAATAAAGACATACCTAAGGCTGGGTAACTTATAAAGGAAAGAGTTTGGCCAGGTGTGGTGGCTCACACTTGGAATCCCAGCACTTTGGGAGGCTGAGGGTGGATCACAAGGTCAGGAGTTCGAGACCAGCCTGGCCAACATGGTGAAACCCTGTCTCTACTAAAACTACAAAAATTAGTTGGGTGTGGTGGTGGGTACCTGTAATCCCAGCTACTCAGGAGGCTGAGGCAGGAGAATTACTTGAACCCCGGAGGCGGAGGTTGCAGTGAGCCGAGATTGCACCACGGCGCTCTAGCCTGGGTGATGGAGCAAGACTCCATCTTGAAAAAAATAAATAAATAAAAATAAAGGAAAGAGGTTTAATTGACTCACAATTCCACATGGCTGGGGCGACCTCACAATCATGGCAAAGGAGGAGCAACATCATGTCTCACATGGTGGTAGGCAAGAGAGCGCATGTACAGGGGAACTGCCCTTTATGAAACCATCAGATCTTGCGAGACTTACTCAGTATCATGAGAACAGCACAGGAAAGCCCCACCCCCATTATTCAGTTACCTCCTACCAGGTCCCTCCCACGATACGTGGGGACTGTTACAATTCAAGGTAAGATTTGGGTGGAGACACAGAGCCAAACCATATTAATAGCTAACGTGTTCAGTTCTGGCACTATGTGATCAGGTACAAAATGGGTTTTATCCTCATTATCTCATCTGACTCTCACAACAATATTATGAGGAAGGGGCCTCCTAGCACCCCCATTTTGCATATGAGGAAAATGAGGCTCAGAAAAGTCAAGCAACTAGATCAAGTGATGGTGGAGCCAGGACTCAAACCAGACAGTCTGATTCCAGAATGTACACTTTTAGCCATTGCAGCCTTCTCCTCCAAGTGATTCTCCTGCCTCAGCCTCCCCAGTAGCTGGGATTACAGGTGTGTGTCACCACACCCGGCTAATTTTTGTATTTTTAGTAGATACGGGGTTTCACCATGTTGGCCAGGCTGGTCTCGAACTCCTGACCTCGTGATCCACCCGCCTTGGCCTCCCAAAGTGCTGGGATTACAGGTGTGAGCCACCGCGCCTGGGGGAAATCATTGTTTTATGGCTCCCATTTTTTAAAGCCACTTAAGGTTTTAATGCTTAATGTCGCTAACTCTGTTACATGTTCTTATCATCCCAGGGTGCTCTTTGTTTTACATTTATTTTCTTTTTTCTTCTTTTAAGAGTTGTTAAAACATCTGGGTAGTGGAAGTTTTATATTAGCTAAACTAATATAAATTTATGTACTTAGAGGAAGTACACTCAGCTGAGGATAGAGTGATGACAATGGTCAAAATTAATAAAACTAAGGGGAACATACTGCAGAAAAACTTGTACTCATGTCATTTGAGGCTGTTTATAAGATTTTTTTAATTTTCCATTTTAATGATTATGTGCTAATACAAGGCAGTAATTACTTGCATCTCTAACAACTAAGTCTATAGATTTCTACTTGAATATTTCTTTTTTCCTTCTATGCATCTGTGATGGTTAATATTGAGTGTCAACTTGATTGAATTGAAGGATGCATAGTATTGTTCCTGGGAGTGTCTGTGAGGGTGTTGACAAAGGAGATTCACATTTTGAGTCAGTGGACTGGGAGACGCAGACCCACCTTCAATCTGGGTGGGCACCATCTAATCAGCTGCCAGTGCAGCTAGAATAAAACAGGCAGTAGATGGAAAGAGCAGACTTCCTGAGACTTCCAGCCTTCATCTTTCTTCCATGCTGGATGCTTCCTGCCCTTGCACATCAGACTCCAAGTTATTTAGCTTTTGGATTCTTGGACTTACACTTGTGGTTTGCCAGGGGCTTTCAGGCCTTTGGCCACAGACTGAAGGCTACACTGTCAGTTTCCCTACTTTTGAAGTTTTGGGACTCAGACTGGCTTCCTTGCATCAATTCTCCTTAATAAACTCCCATTCTTATATACGTCTATTCGATTAGACCTGTCCCTCTAGAGAACCCTAATACAGCATCTTTCACAGATATTTGATCCATGACAATTAATTGGCTAGTACTTGGCCTTGAAATCTTGGATCTATATAGTCAATATCTTTACTTTACAATATGTAATGGAATTTTAAAATGATAAACTATAACCCTTTTCCAGCCAATGAACACTGAAGCTCAGAGAGCTTTTAGTGGGCTCTTGGCAAATGACTCAACCAAAGCAGTTAATGCAAAAAATCTTTCACATCTTATTGTTTTTAGCAAAATGTCTCACCAGGGAACTCTTCAGTACAGAAAACAAAATTTCTAAAAATATAAAAATTATATTTATAAGATATAATTTACAATATAACTTGAAGCGGTTCCTAAGATAGTGTTGTTTTCTACTACATATTAATATGTAACATCAGAGCTCTGCTTCCTTTCAGCTGAAATATGACCAAAAATGAAGGGGCAGTTCACTACCAGGACAGTTTTTGTCTTTGCTTAAAGTTGACGTCTATTCCCATATCCTGCTTGCTAAAAAACCGGCAAAGAGCAAAAAGCGTTCCTTGAGACTCTCACATACCAGCAAGAAATATGTGCCCAAAAAATTTAAAAGAAAATACATGGCATTTTTTAATATTATAATAATTTGGGCGCAGTATATTCTTTTTCAATGATCTGCAGGGTAAATTATATCTTGGGCTGCACAAATTAATCTGAACTACCTAGGGAAAATGTGACCAGTACAGAGATCTATTTAATAGTGTTATACGCCTGGATTAATTTTCCTTTGGCACTGTGTAAATTGATCTTGCAACTGCTTAGACAAATAGTGGTTAGGAGCAAACTGAATAATTTATAACTCATTCACTCATTCAGTAAGAGGTGACTGTGCATTCTGTTTGTGCCTGGCACTGTGTTAGGGCTGAGGACCCTGGTGACTAGAAATTTCATGTCGTGCCTGAGAGCATAAACCTTACAGTTGGAAAGCCTGAGTTCAAATTCTGGCTCTCTGGTTAGTAAGCTAGCTGCTTTCTAGCCAAATGACTTCAAACACATTGCTTAATCTTATTTAGCTTGTTCATCTCTGAAATGGGTTTTTTCTTTTTTGCAAGAATAAAATAAATCAACGTAAGTTATCTAAAACAGTACCTGATTTATAGCTTATGAGCCCAGATCTCGAATCAAATGCTGAGCCCCTTGTATGCAATCTAAGGAATTAGGGACCTAACTTTATTAAATAACTAAAAATCATTCTTTTTGGTCGGGTGCGGTGGCTCATGCCTGTAATCCCAGCACTTTGGGAGGCCAAGGCCGGCAGATCACCTGAGGTCAGGAGTTCGAGACCAGCCTGGCCAACATGGTGAAACCCCATCTCTACTAAAAATACAAAAACTAGCTGGGCCTGGTGACTCACATCTGTACTCCCAGCTACTCAAGAGGCTGAGGCACAAAGATCGCTTGAACCCGAGAGGTGGAGGTTGGAGTGAGCTGAGATCACGTCACTGCACTGCAGCCTAGGTGACAAAGTAAGACTCGGTCTCAAAAAATAATAATAAAATGAAAAATAAAAATCATTCTTTTGAAAAAAACTTCCCAAACCTGCCATTTTCATTAATACAGCTGTGGATTAATATGGCTGGAGAGGAGGCATTGTCTCTGCCCTTATGTATGTCATCAGAAGAGACAGATAAGCGTGAAATTGCTCCTAGTCCCTTGTCAGGGGGGCATTTGTTTGCTAGTGTTGTCATATTCACTGATTTTTTTTTTAATTAGTTGTTGGCCAGACACAGTGGCTCATGCCTGTAATCCCAGCACTTTGGGAGGCTGAGGCAGGCGGATCTCAAGGTCAAAAGATCGAGACCATCCTGTTCAACATGGTGAAACCCCATCTCTACTAAAAATACAAGAATTAGCTGGGTATGGTGGTGCGCACCTGTAGTACCAGCTACTCGGGAGGCTGAGGCTGCCTGAACCCAGGAGGCGGAGGTTGGAGTGAGCCGAGATCGTGCCACTGCACTCCAGCCTGGCAACAGAGTGAGACTCTGTCTCAAAAAAAAAAAAAATTAGCTGTTCAAGGCCATGATTATAACCATGGCAACTCTGGCCTCACACACATCTCTTAGAGCGGCCCATGAGCCCTCTAGAGCATCCTTTGACGTGGCCGTATTTTGCTCGGCTGATAGATGTCTTCTCAAAATGGCCCAGGGTATCCCTTGTTCTATTTACACTATTCTGTTCCATTTCTTCAAGACACAACAATTGCTAACCATCATAATTTCTTTCAACACGTCTCTATTTAACTAACTTGCTATGTGGAATGGTCTGAACTCTCCTCATTTTCCCCCGTGGTCTTTGAGAAAACTCTGAGGCTGGAGGATGCTTTGTGGCAGACTGTCAGAAGAGTCTGGATGTGCTAACCAGGCCCTCTTGAGTCTCTTACTGCAACCCAGGTCCAGATCACTTTGTTGTCATCTTGTTTGTTACCTTATTGACATCCTGTCCTCATTTTTCTTCTTCCCCACCCACAGCTATGTGCCACCTCCACTGAGGAAAAGCACTGGGCATTTGGAGCTCACGATTTCTTCATACACCCGTGAGTCACTGAAAGCAATGCGAGGCAGTACTGCACTTGGCAGATGACAATTAGTTTGTCCACTCAATTTTGAAGAGAAAATTACCCTCTTTGGGGAGAAATATGTCAAAATAATTTCTCAAACTATTCAGGAGTTACCCTTAACCTGAAGTTAAGTATGGATATAATGAACAGATTGTCAATATACTAGAGTGGATGGGATCCTCATCTGTGACGTTCTATTTAAATGCAGTTTTTCTGGCAAACCTAGTACTCAGTTCCTTATTTTTTTTTTTGAGACAGAGTCTTGCTCTGTCGCCCAGGCTGAAGTGCAGTGGTGTGATCTCGGCTCATTTCAACCTCCTCCTTCTGGGTTCAAGCGATTCTTTTGCCTCAGCCTCCCGAGTAGCTGGGACTACAGGTGCCCACCATCATACCTGGCTAGTTTTTAGTAGAGACAGGGTTTCACCATGTTGGCCAGGCTGGTCTTGAACTCCTGTCCTCAGGTGATCCGCCTGCCTCGCCCTCCCCAAGTGCTGGGATTACAGGCATGAGTCACTGCGCCTGGCCATTTTCTTATGTGTGACATTCAAGATTGTTCACAGCCTGACTGTTAATTAGATAACTTCCTAAGGTCCCTTCCTTTCCTATAGGTCTTACCATTTCTTGCTAAATATGATAAAGGTTGGCAATGGCAAAACAAATGCCATCTTTTGGTGCCAAGAACATGATCCAAAGTTCTAGCCAAATGGAACAAACAGGTGAACACGTTCTACACATTCCACGTTACCACCTCTGCAGCAACTTTTGCCCTGAGCAAAAGGCATGGAGGTTTCTTCCATCTGGACTTCCCCCTCTGATTTTCCTCCTGTATGTTCTATTTCTTCCTATCTGTGAAAGTCCTTCTCAAATGCTGTCTCTTCCAGCTAAAATCCCACCCCTATCAGTGCCATCTTAGGGCACTGATCTCTTCCCATCTTGTTCCAAGTTATGCACTTATCTCCCAAAGTGCCTTGCACATAAATAATGATGTTGTATGAATTTGTTAAATAATAGAATGAGAAGAAATGGTCTTTTTTCATTTTTTAAGCATGAATCTTTTGAGCATCAAACAGCAACCTCTTGTCTTTGTGCCTTTTCAGAAGGCTGTACAGAGCTCTTCATGCTCAGCTTCAGTAGTGAGCTGGGTCCAATCAGGAAATAGAAATCACATAGTGGATAAAATCGAAGTTTAATACAAAGAACTATTAACTATGATAAAGGAGTATCTATAAGATAAAAGGGGCCTGGCAGGGTGGCTCATGCCTGTAATCCCAGCACTTTGGGAGGTCGAGGCGGGTGGATCACCTGAGGTCAGGACCAGCCTGACCAACATGGTGAAACCCTATCTCTACTAAAAATACAAAAAATTAGCCAGGCGTGGTGGCAGGTGCCTGTAATCCCAGCTACTCAGGAGGCTGAGGCAGGAGAATCGCTTGAACCTGGGAGGTGGAGGTTGCAGTGAGCCGAGATCACGCCATTGCACTCCAGCCTAGGCAACAAGAGCAAAACTCCATTTCAAAAAAAAAAAAAGGTAAAAGGAAATCCTATACAGTATGCGAGGGTTCAGAGAGAGTACTCAAAGGAGGAGTTCAGACCTCGTTGGAGAAGGTATGTCTCAGCCCACTGGATAAGCAGCAATGTTAGATGGTTTGGCCAGGCCAGGGCGGGTCTACCAGTTGCTAGGTAAGCAACAGCTAACCTCTAGAGTGTGGCTGGAGAGCAGGCAGTCAGTCAGCAGCCACTGGTGTGGACATGCAGTAGGAGCCTGGACACCAGCAGGGCAGAGGACTTCAGAGCTTGTGGGCCACATGGAAACTTGCAGAAGGAATGGTTATCCTGTGTATGACCCTCTAGGCAAAAGTACCTGTGTGTGAGCCAGGCAGGAGCTTTGGTTTCCATGTCAAGAGAGCTATGGAAAGGTTACCATGAGAAGAGGCTGTAAGGTTGTAGATGGATGGTTTTTCTGGTCCCACGGCTGGGGCAGGCTCCACTGGATGGAGATCTTCACACTCACAGGGCTGACACCAGCCTCGCCCAGAAACCTGGGGAAGCCTCTTTCTCCTGGAATGTGCCTCCATTGCCCTCTACTGAGAAATCTTAACATCACACTCCCTTTAGTGGAGAAATGTTTAAAGGAATTCTCTTGTATATTACAGGTATTGAAGAGTGCATTTGGAGCTGTGAGGCAATAAATAGATGACCAACACATCCTTCATCTTTAGAGCTTCCTTAGTTCATTTGGTTCCAAGACCTATGGAACCCAAGGGTGATTAGTCCCTGTAAAGCCAGGAAAAGGCTGGCCTGGTGTAACCTCAGGCAAAACACTTCCTCCTATGAACTTTTTTCTTCATCTTATAATAAGGGGTTGGACCACATCAGTGGTTGTCAAATACCAGGCTATTGTGAGGTGAAGAAAACAAATACAGTATTTTGTAGAGTTGAAGCCATTCAGTTTAAAAGTTGATTCTTTCTACCTTTGTTTTCAGTGTTAAAACATCCTGTCGTTTATGAAATAGTGATAGTAAGTGGAAAAAAATTTTCATCCTTACTTAGCAAAATAAAAGCAAGCTCAGAATTTTGTTTTCAGTTTTCCTATCCTGAAAGTCTGGTCACTCTGGAACTGGATGTTTTCTCTCGAAGGTCGCTCTCATTTCTGACACTGGTCTAGAGGATCTGTTGGTCTTTGCTTCTTGTCATCCAATTTGAAAGCAGGCAGAAGAAACTCTAGAAAAGGTGATCGCTTCAGAGCACGTGTAGTAAATTCGGGTCTGTCACAGAATATCAGCAAGGCTCTGCACAATGATGACTGTCAAAAATATGAAGAGTTTCATATTTTTAAGATACCTTATTAAACTCTAGGGCAACCACAAAAATGTTTTAAAAAGAGGCATAACTCATAAAGCCATAATGAAAATATAATCAAATTTTATAAAATACTCAACACAAAAGCAAGCAGAAAACTGGACAAAGATGGAACATTTATTTCGGATATGTCTTGTTTTGTTTTTTTTTTTTTTTTTGAGATGGAGTCTCACTCTATCGCCCAGGGTGGAGTGCAGTGGCACAATCTGGACTCACTGCAACCTCCGCCTCCCAGGTACAAGTGATTCGCCTGCTTCAGCCTCCCCAGTAGCTGGGATTACAGGTGGCTCACCACCACACCCAGCTAATTTTTAATATTTTTAATAGAGATGGGGTTTCACCATGTTGGCCAGGCTGGGCTCGAATACCTGACCTCAAGTGATCTGCCCACCTTGGCCTCCCAAAAGTGCTGGGATTACAGGCGTGAGCTACAACACCCGGCCAATTTTATTTTTTTGAGGAGTCTCGATCTGTTGCCCAGGGTGGAGTGCAGTGGTGTAATCTCTACTCACTGCAACCTCCGTCTCCCAGGTTTAAGCGATTCTCGTGCTTCAGCCTTCCAAGTAGCTGGGATTACAGGCTCCCGCCACGATACCCAGCAAATTTTTATATTTTCAGTAGAGACAGGGTTTCACTATGTTGGCCAAGCTAATCTTGAACTCCTGACCTCAGGTGATCCACCTGCCTTGGCCTCCCAAAATGCTGAGATTACAGGCGTGACCCACCGCTCCTGGCCTAGCACATGTTTCTTGCTTAGCATAATGGCTGAGTCCAAGTGGCAGCAATGAGTCCATCAAAACACACATCATTTGAGTTAGGAGCAGTGCTTAAGTTATATGTGTTGCTTTGGAAGCACCACAGAACCTCAGCAAAGTATTGAGGGGAAAGCTTTATTACATTTAAGAGAATGAGAGCGAAGCATGTGGCGGGGTGACAGGTATGGAGACGCCGCTGCTTGTCTGGCTGCTCATCTTCATCAGCACCATCTCTGTGTCCCACACAAAGGGTGGCTGGAAATGAAACATCTAGACCTCCCTCCAAGGGAGGTTCGAGATGCGATTCATGCGAACACCTCCCTTTTGTTGGAATTAGTAAACATCCCAATCCTTACGGGGCTTTTTCTCTTTTCTTCCCCATTCCTACAAAAAGGTAACTGCCCCCCCCCGACACACACACACACACACACACACACACACACACACACACACACACACAATGTATATGATAGAACCAGGCCCTCAGGACAGAAGCTGTGTGAGAATGTCAGACAATTATGAATTTAAAAGCTCCAGCCATCTGAACACTTCCCCTGCTGACTTTGTGTGGTTGTGCACAAGAGGAAGGGGCTGGGTTGAGAATGAGTAGAACACGCACACAGCATTCTTCCATTCTTCCATTGTACTTATTCTCCAAATGCAGTGGCTACACCTACCAATCCACTTGTAGAAATGGGATTAGGCTCCAAGTGTTTCTCGGTAGCTGTTGAAAAGTCAAACCAAGGTCTGAAACTGGAATTGGATTATAGATCTCAGTTGATGCTGCTCAAAAGAGCGTGGCTCTCTTTCAGCAACACACATCACCTTCTCCCACCTCTTCCCAAACTCAGTCTGTTCCAAAGAAATCAGAAAATTGAACAATAGGATCTTTCTAGACAATAAATATATACATACACATACTATCTCCACACTCTCCCCCTTTTACCTTGCTAGAGGGTCAGGCATATAGCCCTCTAAAAATCAGGATATGATTCTTAGAATAATAATTTTTAAAGTTAACTATAGCAAAAGTAGTACATACTCGCTGAAAAACTTCCAGTAACAGAAAAATATAAATTCAAATAGAAAGTCCACCACTCTATAATGTGATTTTCAGGAGAAACCACTGTGGAGTCTGGTATGTATCCATTCAGAACTTTTTCTTTGCATATACACATGAATGCATATTTAAAGGTATTTTTTCCCTTTGTTGCAAAGTTTATGCTATTAAAGCAACAATTTTTACAGTACACATATATATGCATCCTTCAACTTTTTTTAATAATTATTTTTTTAGAAACAGAAATTAGACCTCTATTTTTGAAGATTTAGCTTAATAATATGTCCATGTCGCAGAGCTTTGCAGTTTTCAAAGTTCTTTCCCATGCATTATCCTGTTCACTCCACAGAATGGCTCTGCAAGGTGAGCTTTCTCATCCCCTTTTACAGATGAGAAAACTGAAGCTCAATGAGGTGGGTGATTTGTAAAAGGTTTCACAAAAAGTGGCAAGGTAGGGTCTTCCAAGTCCAAGTCCAGGGACCCTTACAGTCCTCTGTTGCCTCCTCTAGTTGGCTCTGAAGGAGATGGGCAGGAAAGGGAGTCTCTGTTACAGTCATCCACAAGGCAGTGCACGGGAAGTTATGTGTACAGGTAATTTAAAAGCTTAAGGAACACCTGGCTGGCACGATTGCTCACGTCTGTAATCCCAGCACTTTGGGAGGCCGAGGCAGGTGGATAGCTTGAGCCCAGGAGTTCGAGACCAGCCTGGGCAACATAGAGAAACTCTGTCTCTACGAAAAATACAAAAAAATTAGCTGGGCGTAGTGACACATGCCTATAATCCCAGCTACTGGGAGGCTGAGAGAGGAGAATCACCTGAGCCTGGTAAGTTGAACCTGCAGTGAGCCCTGACTATGCCACTGTTCTCCAGCCTGGGTAACAGAGTGAGACCCTGTATCAAAAAAAAAAAAAAAAAAAAAAAAAAGCTTAAGGAACACCTATTCACTGTCCAGACTGTCAAGAAAATTATGATGTGATTTATTACCTATGATTCCCCCTCCAAACACCTTTACAGTTTAAGAGGAAACAAAATGATTGTTTTTATTTCCCTTCTTTGACTGTGGTTAGAGGAAAAGCTAAGTCAAAAGACAATCAAAAGGTGAAAATAGAGGCACCAAGTCTCCAACAAAGAGTTTACTAGATCACACGCTCTTATGCATGGGCATCTTCTTTAAACTAATTATTGGTACTTTTGTTAAAAGCATATTAAGCATAGAAAAGGAATCTAAATATGACCTTACCCCACTTCCCAAGGTATTAGAACTTTTGACTTTTGGGAAGCAGCAAAGAATAGCAAAAGGCATCCATAAAGTGAGTTCAAATTCCAGCTCCACAAATACCTAGCAGTAAGCTCTGGGGTAAATTACTTTGAGCCTCAGTTTCCTACCTCATAGGGTTGTCTGAGCCTCACTCAAAGCAGTTAATTAGTATTTGTTCTCTGTACCTCCACTAATATGTTTCCTTTAAATGTGTGTTCTTTATCATTTCAAAGGGAAAACATTCTTAAAATACAAAAGCACTAGAGTAGGCTGCATTTGATTTCTGACCAGAATAGCTGCTAAATACTAGTCTGCTTTCTAAGTAACTATTGCATTAAGTAAACTTGGAAAATGCATAACAGCACCTCAGGGGAAAAACTTGTCCATGTATGATGATGGAGCTACTTTTCTTACGCTGAGAACAGGTATCCAGAATCACTCGGGGGCTTTACAACTTCATGGTGGGATGGATCATGCAGACAGCTGCCACCAGGAAGTGAGAACTATGCCCCCCAGATCTCACCTGTATTCGAACTTGATCCTTACCCCACTCCATCCTTGCAAAAAACTAGTAAGCTCCCTGCTTTTCATTTCCACAGATTGCAATACTCCATGCCACATATTTATCTGTTAATGAGCATCAGAAAACAGATTAACCTGGAAAAACGCTTTGGTATACTCTGAATAAGTGTTTCTTAAGATGAACTGGCTCTTTTAAAAGTTCCTAAAAGTCAACTTTAAATTACGTAATACATAATTCCACAAAAACCCTGCACCCTCTTCCCCATCCCTCCAACACACATACACACAAGGTTACCATAGCTAGGACTTTAGTGTGTATCTTTCCAGAACCCCCTCCTTAAAAAAATACATACATATATGTTAAGCTGGTATATCTCTAGGTTGATTTATAATTATAAAGGTACAAAGTGACATGAGGAATCACCATGGAACATCTTCCATAAACACGATACATTAGCCCAAAGGCTGCTGGTCCTACTTCATGCGGCACGCCAGCCATCCGATGCGTACGTAAGCCTATCTGTAACATGGAGCACTCGCATCACCTCAATTGCAATTTGACAAATTTGACAAGGACTCTTGCTGAACTTGATTCCTTTCCCCTTTCATCTCTCACTCACCTGACTAACCTGGTAAACAAAAGCCCACTCCAACAGGATAATGGAGGAAACGCAGATACAGCCAAACCAGCTCCGGATGGTGAGAAGTGTTCTGGTTGTCGTTTAGGGTGGGGTGTTTGTTCTGTGGGTCGAGTGGGCACAGACAAATGGAAAACATTCTTTCCTGCTCTATACCAAGTTGTTGCTGAAATGGGAACTGTATTACACCTGTGGGTCCAGTATGATCTTTAAAAATCATCAGCAACATCTTGGGCTTTGACATACAAGTTACTAGTATTAACAACATAAACTTCAGAGCACCTTTGTGAGATCGGATCATCCAATATCTTGGAAGGCACCTGATACTTCTGCTTCAACTTTTTTTTGGAAGTTGGTGCCTCAGAGCTTAGAAAGCATTTAATCATATCAAAGAAAAACAGTGACAAGCATTTTTAGGCAAGCACATTCCTCCTTTTTTACTCATAAGCTGTGACAAGTTCTTAAGATAGTATTCACTATTTAAAATATGATTTCTATGAGAAAGAGTTCGGAATTCCAATTAGAGACACCAGAAACAGACGCTTTGCAGCCTGCTTGTCCCAGCAGGCTCTCTGCACAATTCCCTCCACCCTGGCCTCAAATTAACACAAAGCAAAACACAAAATCTAGAAACAAGCTAGTTCAGAGTCCAAAGAAGTACACTCCTTTGGTATGGACACCTGGGGACCTGGTTTCTGGGGAAGAGATGGCATCGATAGGAGCTCTAGCGGGAGCAGAACCAAGACACAAAGTGTTTCTCCCAGAGGTGGCCAGCCCCACAGCTCCAGACCTAGAGCAAGGGCAGCAAGCTGGGGGATCTAGGGGGTGTCTTCCCTAGTCAGAACTCACCAAGGGGCCAGACTAAGAACCTTTAGGTAGTGTGGCAAGTTTAACTGATGTTTCTTGGGATAAGCAAAGTGGGAAGATGCTGAAAACACTCCCTTCACACCCTTGGGGCTTTAGTGGCTAAAAACAAAAAAACTACAGAAATGGATGATGTGGAAAGCTACTCTAGTATTTAATGTATTTCCTGAGTTAACTGTAACTAGAAGTTAACTATGGACAAGCTTGGTTATTTCAATGGATCTTAAACTTTCAACAGAACTTTTGTACTGGGTTAGATGGTAGAGATTCTTCTCTTGAATATAATAGCCTATCCGTTTTTATGGAGTGCAATTAGGGGCAGGTAGTATGTTAACAAGCCTGGCTGTTGGAAAAAGGCTGGAAATTCCTCAGAAATAAAATATTTCTTAAATATATGCTTCCCTTCACCTTGAGTTTTTTTTTTTTTTTAAGAATCAAGTCTCTTAAATGTAAGTTAGGGAGCAATGGCAACACAAGTTGGCAGCCACCACAGGCTTGGGAGTAAAAAGGTCCCTCGCAGTTTCCCATTGCTGGAAGAACATGAAGGGGGCCAGAAAAGAGGAGATGGCACAGTTAACTGGGGTCTGGAAGATGACAAAGACATGTCACTTACAGGATGGACAGGAATGATGACTGGGCCTCCGAGAATAATTTATGAAAACCAAATATCCAGCCTTAAAGTAGAATGTGGACCTAAATACCCAGAAGCACCCGCTCTGTAAGATTTGTAATGAAAATTAATATGGAGTTAATAGTTCCAATGGAGTGGTGGGCCCAAGATCCATATCAGTGCTAGCAAAATGGCAGAATTCTTAAAGCATCAAAGTTGTCCTGCAAGAGCTTTGGCGCCCAACGATATCTAAAGAAAATATGAAAACTCCCTTAGCCTCCTGAAGGACAATGTTACAGCAATTAATCAAAAAGAAAAACCACAGGCCCTTCCCTTCCCCACAATTCAATTTAAGGAGTCTTCATTTTCCACAGTAAATTTTCTAGATATGTCTTGAAGACCTCAAAGTACTGGAAAAGAAGCTCCCATTCAAAGGAAATTTATCTTAAGATACTAAATGATACTAATTTTTTGTCCATTTGAAATATGTAAATTGTGCTATAATAAGTTATCCTGTCAAGTGTAACCACTGTCCACGTAGTTGAAATTCTGGGATCAAGAAAGTATATTTAAATTGACTCCCATCATAACTGGTGGGGCACATCTAACTGTGAAAAGACACATCACACAATCACCTTTCTGTTGATTACATGGCCTGGGCTCTCTGCCTTCTCTCCTTGCCCCTCCCCCCAGCTCGTACCCTCCCTGCAACAGCCCTCTACTCTGGGGTGCTTGTTACCCTCTTGCCCTAAATCTTCCTTTCTCTTGCAAACAAATCCACAGTCTACTGAAAGCAGATTATTACATTGGAAAGGTTTCTTTACTAATTTTACACTTACTCTACAGATCTTGATTTCAGGGGATTCTTTCCAATAGTTAACTCATTAAGTTACACGGCATAATTTAAGTGTACCAGAACTGTTAGAGCAATGGAAACCAATGCCTTGTGATGTGAAATATTCCATCACGCATGCTAACTTGATTAAATGCCATTTTAGTATCTTCTTATTGAACATACGTAGATGTGAAGGCTTCAGGCGGCAGCCTGCTGGGTACATGGGGTGCTTTGCCTGCACCCCTGGTTTAAGTCTTAAATGATGCCCCTTCCAAGCCATCATCCTGTCCCCATGCTCTTCCACTCCTACCTTTGACTGAAGCACAGATCATAACCCCTCCACTTCCGAGACTGGCCTTCAATGAGGAATTTAGGGCTTTCTCCATATTTTCTCTTCCCCAGCTTTGAGGGGTGCTTTTTCTTCCCTCCTCCTCAAGTTCCTTTTGCACCATCACCACCCAACACTTTCCATGACACTTCCTTGCTTTGGCCAGAAGCCATTAGGTAAGGTTGGAAAGTTTTCCTGACCTCCCTTGTTTAGTTTTGGAACCTCACTATTCACTCTCCACCAGGCTGGAAAACAAATATTGGGTCCTCAGTCCTGCCACTCTCTGCGGTCATCATCAGCTGATGCGTTGTTTTTAGCTCAGGTTTTGATAAAGTGAATTGTCTCCAGGGTTACTCAGACCTGCCAGCTCTCAAAGTCCTTGGTGGTTAAACTTGGAGAAAGACCACATGAAGACACTCATAAGCACACATAATCCCTCTGTAATATTTTTTTCTGTAATTGATTTTGCTTTTAGAAATTGAAGTTTTAAACAGGGCTGTCATTTGGTCATCCTTCCAATTCATTGGGGTCTAGTTTAAAATATGACAATTGGAACAAAATCTTGAATCCAGTGCATATTCTGGTTTTGGCATTGCGGTTGCTTCTGAAGATCCTCAGCAGGGATTGAGACCTTGGTGTGCACAGCAGACCCCTGAAATTGGTGGGCTTGACCTTCTGGCAAATTGCTTCGTTTTTCCACTTTCTGTTCAGGACCGCTACATGCTGAAATGTGGATGCATACAGAAATAAATGCAGTTCATTAGGTACTAAAGTTTTGTTTTTTTTAATTTGGTATTTGTGTAAATTCACCTTTTGAAGCAATAACTATCAAGTCTAAAAAGCAATTGATGTTTCCATTAACGTTTTTCTGGGGAAAAGTTAGTTCTAAGGATTTAACATCCTGTAACTGAAGTTTAACATAACAGTATCCCATAAGCAGTCTTTTTTATTGTCAGACTACTGCCAAATTTTAATTTTAAAAAGTGTACTTTTTTAAAAAAGTGTAAGTTAGAAATTAATAACAGAGCATCTCTACGGGGCAGAAACATCAAGTCTGGTCACACTATTCTCAGACAGTCATTAAAACTCAGCATTAGTATCAGTTAATCACAGAGGAACGCTCCTGAGTTGCTGCTCCTGAAGGAGCAGGTACTCATTCTGCATTCATTAACTTAAGCTGATTTTATTAAGAAAAAACAGACTTGGATATAAGTTCATCAGAATGGCCTTCCCATCTCATGACTGCAGGTCATACTGACCACGTGAATGGTACTTTGACATAGTTAATTGAATATAAAGGAGCCACTAAAAGCCTCTGCTCATAATTATCACCTCAAGTCACTACTCTCCTGCTACGTGGACCTAAATCAAGAACCACGGCTAGTATCTTTCCTTGATTTACCCTCTTTCCCTATATCTTCCTTTCTCTTGCGAACAAATCCACAGGCTACTGAAAGCAGACTGTTAAGTATGTTGGAAAACTTTCTTTACTAATTTTACACTTACTCTGCAGATCTTGATTTCAGGAGATTCTTTCCAATAGAGAACTCATTAAGTTATATGGCATAATTTAAGTGTACCAGAACTGTTAGAGCAATGGAAACCAATGCCTTGTGATGTGAAATATTTCATCCCACACATATTCACTTAATTGAATTAATGCTTTCAGTGTCTTCTTATTGAAAATACTTAGTTCTTTATTACTGAAGCTAGACTACATGGCAAGTGAGTTCTATAATTTTATGGAAAATCTGAATACATCACTGGCTTATCAAATAAGAAATTTTCACATACCTATAGGCCACAGAACCTTTTGTAAAAGGCTGATATGGTCTGGCTCTGTGTCCCCACTCAAATCTCATCTTGAATTGCAATCCCCATAATCCCCATGTGTCGAGGGAGGGACATGGTGGGAGGTGACTGAATCATGGGGACAGTTTCCCCCATGCTGTTCT